>NC_000018.10:6260000-7510000 GCF_000001405.40 Homo sapiens | reverse complement strand
ATTTTAGATAAGGTGGCCAGGGAAGGCTTGCTGATAAGATAGCTTTTGGGCGAAAACAAGAAATCAGTGAGTACAAAACCATGTGTACATCGGAGGGAAGAGCATTCCAAGCTGAGAGAACACAAGAATGTAAAGGCCTTGTGATGGGCATGTGCCTGGCTCTTTTGAGACACAGCAAAGAGACCTGTGGGCTCAAGCAGAGTGGATGAAAGGGTAGAGTGGAAGGAGATGTGATCAGAGAAGTAGTAGGACTGCAGTAGTTATTTATCACTGCATAATCAGTTACCACAAACTGGGAGGCTCAAAACAATACCCATTGATTATGGTCTTAGTTTCCATGGGTCAGGGATTCATCACAGGGCCCTTGGCTCAGGTCTCACAAGGCTGCAATCAAGATGTAGAGTGGGCTGCAGTCTCACTGGAGATTCAACCAGGGAAGGTTGTCTTCTAAGTTCATTCATGTTGTTGGCAGAATTCACTTGCTTGCAGCTATAGAATTGAGAGCTTTAAGATTGTTTTACTGGGTGTCAGCCAGAGGCCACCTTCAGCTTCTAGAGGCTGCACAGAATTTCCTGCCACATGGCCCGCTCCATAGGCAGATAAAAACATGGCAGCTTGCTTTCTTAAGGCCAGCAAGAGAGGGAGAGAGTCTGCTAGCAAGAGGTAATGGTAGATAATGTAATCAAAAGAGTAACCACCATCATTTTGCTGTATTCTATTGGTTAGAAGGCAGCCATGGATTCCACCCACACTCAAGGAAGGGGATCACACAGCAGCATGAACACCAGGAGAGAGGATCATGAGGCCACCTTACAGTCTGTCTTCCACAAGGACTCATCACCTAGGGATATATGCCCTTGTAAGGACTTTGGCTTTTTCTCTGAGACTGGGAGCCATTGGAAGACTTTGAACCAAGGAATTACATGCTGTGATTTGTTTTAACAGGAAACAAATGGAAATAGACTCCCACAGGCTGAGGACAAAAGCACAGGATCAACTAAGATGCTATCCAGGTGAAAGTGGATGAGGGTAAGTTTGGGATGGTGGCCATGGAGAAGGAGAAGCCATGTTCTGAATATATTTTGAAAGCCGGGCCAACGTGATTTGTTACAGGTTGGATGTAGAACATGAGGAAAAATGAGGAGTCAAGGTTTATCTCAGATTTTTGTGCTGAACAACTGGAAGGATGGAGTTGCCGTTATCTGAGGTGGGGAAGATTGAGGGAGAATATCAGGGGCCCTGTTTTGGATACATTTGAGCTGCCAGCCATTTGATGGCAGATAAGTTATGCTACGTACACTCAACCCTGGAAGGAGGAGTGATTCATCTTTAATGGAACTGCCATCTATACCAGATTTGGGTTTGCATTCCACACCTGCAGCACATCTGCAAGCATTACTGCTTGAGCGCTGAGTGCTTCATTTATAGGCATCAGATTCCAGATTCCACGGTATTGCCTCAGAGGACCCATTTATGGCAAAGGAAGTATGAGATACAGTGGTTCTCCTTATACTTCCCATTACCTGGAAGCAGTAAGAATGTTGGAATGACATAGTAAAGGTTCCAAAAGGGTGTGAGCTTGGGGATGCTGTCTTTCAGGATGGAGTCTATGCACTGAGCTACTGGCTGATATAGAGTGTTGTGTCTCTGACAGTCAGACTTCATGGGTCCAAGAATTAAGGGGTAAAAGAAGGATTGGCCCTTTCAACATCACTCACAGTGACTCACCAATCTTGCAAGTCTAAGCTCCAATGGATAGAAAATTCTTGTTCTCAGCAGAACATTGCTTCAACCTGGGCACAGTAAGATGTCCATGGAAACTAAAGCAAGTCTGAAGCCTGGACAATTTGGTCTCTTCAAGAGGAGATAACAGCAGGCAAAAGAAGTTTCTATATGAACATGGGAAATCAATTCTATTATCATGAACAGCTACTTATTGTTCCTGCTACTATGCAACCTGGAGGACCATATCTGGAACCCAGGGAATTCATGGGGGCATCTCATAAGTGCTCCAGGATGGGTGAATCTGTGAAAAAGTCGACCCAATGTGGACATAAGTAGAGCTGAGATCTGCAAGAGATTGGCCAGCAGACATGGGCGGTGCCCCACATCATGCCCTGCCACCCACCCTGATTTCAGCAGCAGGTATGGCAGACAGTTCTTGTGTATGTGGCAGTATGTGACCTCCAGTGCCTTCTGCTTCAGAACTTTCTCTGAGGTTGCACTAGCTCACTCAGCTGAGGACATGTGGTTGGGAAAGTAAAGGGATTTAATGTCTTCAGAAGCAACCCCAGAGCAAGAGGTGATGGGAATGATAGAGAATGTCCAGGCTTCTATGTTTTGGTGGGATACTTTTCTGCATGGGTCCTCAAGGGTTTTCTAGTGGGACATGAGCCTCAGGTGCCCAGAGCAGCAAACAACTCAATAACATACATTGCATTGGCTTTGGCTTTTATTCCTTCCGTTCCTCAAACTTTCCCTCCTTAACTTCTGCCTCTCGGGATCACCACCCAAATCCAGCTTAGGCGCTAGTCTCCCCTGGCCTGTGCTGTGTGGACCTTCACTGACAGAGGAAGTCCTAAAGTCTACCGAGTCTGCAGCACAGCTCCCAGGAGTCCCTGGGGCAAGCCTAGGGCTTCCATGGACAACAGAGCCCAGGGCTCTGACTCCTTCTAAATCCCAATGTCTTCTTTATTTCTAAGAAATGCCCTATCCACAAAGGGTCATTTCAAATGATAACTTGTTGTTTTAGGTATGCAGTTCAGTGAAAATCTGCATCGATTAGAAAAAGTTTAAGACTTCTTCCCGACTAGAATTGAAATTGCACCCCCCAACTTTCCTAGTCCTACCCCATATGGTCAAGTCAAAAGTGATTTAAAGATAAAGATATCGCTATCTTTAAATCATTTTTAACTTGAATTTGATGCAAATAAGGCAGCGCATATTCATGTATTGTTTTATTACTTTCATGCTAAAGTTCCTGTTTCATTTATATGGTTTCCACTCAGAATGGGCATCTCCTAAAAGAGGAACTAAGTTTGTATAAGCTTCTTTGCTATGCAGTTAGATGCATTATATATATATATAGAGAGAGAGAGAGAGAGAGAGAAATTTTATGCCACAGGTGAAATTGTTTCTTTCTTTATTTGAGGATGAGTGCTCCTTCTGTCCATTGAGTTAGATTATGGATAAATTCATCACACATGAAAAAGAAATCCTTTAAAATTATATGCATCTTTCCTGATCTAAATCAGTTCAGAACTATCATTTTGACAAATGTCTGAAAGTTTTAACAGACCTAATTTCCCAGAGGTCAAAACATGGCAGAAAGAGGAATGAGATGGAGGATATTTGGCTAATGGCTTCACAGGCTGGAGTGGGAAAATTGAGAGCGTCATATACCATGATGACATAGAAGTGCCCATCTTGCCATACTTCATCCCAGCTCAGATATCATAAAAAAGTGCCAGCTTTTATCAGCTCTCTAATGGATTTGTTAGCAGTTCACGCAAGGGAGTGTCCCTTCTCATGATCTTCCTTTCAAAGAGTACATTTATTTTCTTCCTAATTGTGCTCCATCATAAGAAGGAAACTGGTTTATAGAGCAGGGTGTCCTCTGATCAAAATGAAATTAATAAAGAATCAGAGGATTTTCCCCAGGGTATTCCAATAGCCTCTCCAACTAAAACAGCTTCTGATAACTGACAAGGATCATGCAGTTTTATGATCAGAGTCCTCTGCCCTGGCTCAGCTCTTCATCTCACGTCTTTGAGATATCATGCCAGGTTGCTGGATGTCAAAAGGGAGAACAACACCAGGCTTCACATCTAAACGGTCCTTTTGTCCACCTGTGAGCACAGATTATCTGAATTAAGAATGGTGCACAGCTATGAGAAATGTATTTTCCTTATAATGCAACACCCTGATTGGGGTAATTAAACAACAACCATTAAAAGTACTTTTCCAAATTCTGTTTTCCCCCTAATTTAATGACACAGATTTATTACTTAGCAGACATATCTATAAAACAAACATGGGGTTCATTTATTAATCAGTAGAAGGATGTGCTATTGGGCTTTGGCTGTTAGTTACATTTAAAAACCACAAAGATTAAGGCAATGAAAAAATACACTGTATTTTATTTGTGTTAATGTCAAAGCACACTGATGAATTGAGTTTCTCAGGCTGTACAACTGAGGAAAACCTTATGTGGGATGAGGGGCTCTTGCTGAGATTAGCCTTGCTGAGATGAGATCCTATTTGCCCTGGATAGATGCTCTCACCCTGGAAGAAGAGAGAGGAAGATGAGAGAAGCATCTTCCTCCAGCATAGAAGGCTCTCACCTCTCTGTCACAGCAAATTAAATCACAGAATTTGCCTTGCTCATATTTTAGAGCCCGCTGCAAGTCTCATCTTCCCCTAAACCATATTCAGATAATTCATTCAGTATTCTCTTTCTCTGAACATTTAAACAATTATTGTCCCTAGTATCTGTTCTAGCACTTAATCATTTGCTATTTTGTATTATTTAACAGTTTATGCATTTATGTCTCATTTCCTTGTTCAAATTTTCTTTTTTTTCCTTGTTCAAATGTCTAAGCTCTTACAAAATCATATCTACTGAGCCCAGGGCTGGGAAAATAACAAAAACTCAATAGTAGATGTTTGAATGGATAGATGAATCAGGATGGATCCAGACTGAGAAATGGGGTGGCATCAGTGTGTGGTGACTTCGCCAGTTAGGAATACTTCTCAGTCTACTCTGAGAATGACTTGGAGAACTTTGTACTTTGAGACCATCAGCAGTTAAGGAAGATACTGCTATGGACAGGAGGCAAGGAAATACTGGGTAGAAGAGGGTGGTTCCCTGGGAAAGGCCCCACCCCCAACACTGGAAACCCTCAGCCCTAAATGGGAGCAGCCATTCCTGTTTGTGCATCCATATGTTGCCTTTTGACCTGCCCTATCCTGCACCCATATAAACCCCAAACCCCAGGCTCCATGAGCAGAAGAGCAGAGGAGCAGAAGAGCAGCACAGCAGAGAAGGAGAGAAGAGAAGGAGCATCTGAAAGCTGAGAGTAATTTGGCTGGGGACGGTTGGAGAGGAGATTGTCCATGGGGCAACCAAACTCCAGGGGCAGATCATCTTCCCACTCCATCCCCTTTCCAGCTCCCCATCCATCCTGCTTAGAGCCACCTCCATCTGGCATTAAAATCCCCCACATTTGCCCTCCTTCAATTTGTCTGTGTGACCCAATTCTTCTTGGATGCCAGACAAGGACCTGGATACCAAGAGGGCACTGAGTTGGTTAATACTTAAGCCGTCTGTGGATGGCAGAGCTAAAAGAGCACTGTAATACATCCACTGGGGCTTTGGGAGTTGCAGGCATCCACCCCTAGATGCTACAGTGGGGCCAGAGCCCAAAAGTGCTCCCCTTGGCTCTTGCACCTGCCCGTCTGCGTGCTCCCCCTCCCATAAGGGGTTGAGTGCACAGCGGCCAAACAAAGCCACACCCACCGCATGTCCTGTGAGGGAGGTCAGGGAACTCTCCCATTTCAATACTACACAGGAGTTTGGTTACTGCCCTGAGATGATATTGAAAAGACTTACATTCAATATGCTCTGGAAATGAATTATAGGACGTCATTAAAAGAAACTGATTTACTTTTTTTCCAATTTGGGAAATACAAATAACATGCATAATGTTTTCTCTATTGTATTTCTCATCTTTTTAACGGATAAAACAAAATTCAAAAGAGCAGGAGTTCAGATATCACTAACTTTCTGCCCAAGCCATCACAACAACTTGTATCAGTGAATCCTTTCGCCATTTTGTTACTTAGAATTCTACTAAGGTTGATGCAGGAATTCAAAAAGTCTTTATTGTTGGGGAATCACACTGGTCTCAAAACTTCAGCCTTTTAAATATTTATTCTTAATCTCAAATCCTGTGGCTTTCTTTGTTTTAGCCAAATTACATACATTCTCCTAATGACAGTAATCCCATTCCCCCTTATCCTCAGGGATACATATGTTCCAAGACCCTTCCCCATGGATGCCTGAAACCTTGGATAGTATGGTACCCTACATATACTGTTTTTTTCCTATACATGCATACCTATGATAAAATTTAACTTATAAATTAGGCATAATGAGAGATTGACAACGATAATAATAAAATATAACAATTATAACATTATACTGTAATAAAAGTTATGTGAGTGTGGTTTTTCTCTCTTTCTCTCTCTCAAAGTATCTTAAGATTTTCCAACCGTGGTTGACCTCAGGTAACTGAAGGTACAGAAAGCAAAATCACAGATAAGAGGGCACTACTCTATATGTCAATTTAGTTTTTAATTATTTTTTTAAAAAATGAAAAACTCTTCAACAAGCAAATATTATCAAATGAAATATTCAATAGCATTTTTATTTTAAAAAATCTGGAATTTTGTTTTTAGAAGATGATACAATTTTTGATTAAACCTCATATCCGGTCTGGTTCCATTTCCTGAAACACCCCTAAAGTTGCTTATAAACGATTTTAGGGGACTTTACATATTTTGATTGATTACTTGATGAAGAGCATCAAATATTCACCACATTATTATGGTTAAAACTTATCTTGAAAAACAGCACTTCGCTATATGGCTCCTGTTTCAATCAGGTCTTTTTTAGCTTTGGCCATCCACATTCATTCTGCTTCCAGAATCCATAGACTACAGCCCACAGGCCATATCTGGCTACAGTCTATTTTTGTATGGCATGTAAGCTAAGAATAACTTTCACATTTTTAAATGGTACAAAAGAATCCAGTAAATACTATTTTGTGATATATGGCAATTATATAAAATTCAAATTTCGCTGTCCATAAATCAAAGTTGTTTTTTTTTTTTTTTTTGAGATGGAATCTCGCTCTGTTGCCCAGGCTGGAGTGCAGTGGCACAATCTCGACTCACTGCAGCCTCCGCCTCCCGGGTTCAAGTGATTCTTCTGCCTCAGCCTCCCGAACAGCTGGGACTACAGGCGCCTGCCACCATGCCCAGCTAATTTTTGTATTTTTAGTAGAGACGGGGTTTCACCATATTGGCCAGGCTGGTCTCGAACTCCTGACTTTGTGATCCACCCACCTCGGCCTCCCAAAGTGCTGGGATGACAGGCATGAGCCACCGCACCCAGCCAAATGAAAGTTGTAATGAAACACAGCCAGCGTATCCATTTATATTTTGTCTATGGCTGCTTACATACTGCAATGCCGAGTTGGGTAATTGCAACAGGGACCATACGGCTCAAAAAGCCTTAAGTATATGATCTAGTCCTTTACAGAAGAAGTTTGACAACTCCTGCTCTGTTCTGTTGATTTTTTTCAGGCAGATAATCCCATCTGCCTCCCCTTGTTTGCCGCCCCCAGCACTAGTTACCTTTAAGCCTGAGCTCAGCTGCTCACACTCTGTGGAGCTTTTGTTCATATTGTAAGTCCACACTGAGTTTTCCTTTTCTTAATGTCAATAAAGCTGTTCCCAAACAGATAGGCTGCAACCCGGGACTCGTGGTAGCCAGCCCTTAAGATGGCCCCAGTGTGCTAAGGTTGGTGTTGGTGACCAGAAGAATTTAGAGAAAGTGATTGTCATTCCTGAGATTCCATTATAAAGACACTGTTGCTTTCATTTTGGTCTCTGTCTAGCAGTCTCATGCTCAGATGTCTCTGCTTGGGGAAACCATGTTGTGAGCAAACCAACAGTGGGGGCCGTGTGGAGAGGAAGCCTCCTGCCAACGCCTTGCAAGTGAGCTTGCAAGTGGATCCTCCAGCCCGATGTCAAGAATTCAGAGAGTATGGCCTCAGCCAACAGCCTGAGAAACCCTGGCCCAGACCATCCAGCCGGGTCATCGCAGATTCCCAACCCTCAGACAGCATATAAGAAAATAAATATTTGCTCCTTTAAGCAGCTAATTTTGCAGTAATTTGTTATACAGCAATAGATAACCAACACAGACCTCAGCCAGTCTAGTATTGTCTACTGGGGCACTATCTTTCTTCCTTGGTCTGATATCCCTAGTCTGTTTCTAATTTTTTTGGTTTTTTTTTTTTTTTTGGTTTTTTGAGGCTCACTGCAGCCTTGAACTCCTGGGCGGACTCAAGCAATCCTCCTGCCTTAGCCTCCCACACAGCTTGAACGACAGATGCATGCCACAATAGCTGGCAAATTTTAAGAATTTTGCTATTGAGATGGGGGTCTCAACATCTTGACCAGGCTGGTCTCAAACTGCTGGTCTGAAGCCATCCTCCTGCCTTGGCCTCCCAAAGCTCTGGGATTACAGGCACAAGCCACCATGCCCAGTTTGTTTCTGGTCTTTTTTGAGGTGTGATTTTCTTTCTCTTTTAAGACCCTGCCTCACCTGTGGGACCTGGCTGATTTTCTTTTTTTCTTTTTTTTTTTTTTTTGAGACGGAGTTTGGCTCTGTCGCCTAAGCTGGAGTGCAGTGGCGTGATCTCCTCTCACTGCACCCTCCACCTCCCAGGTTCAAGCAATTATCCTGCCTCGGCCTCCCGAGTAGCTGGGACTACAGGCCCACGCTGCCACGCCCGGCTAATTTTTTGTATTTTAGTAGAGATGGGGGTTCACCGTGTTGCTCAGGCTGGTCGCGAACTCCTGAGCTCAGGCAATCCGCCCACCTCGGCCTTCCAAAGTGCTGGGATTACAGGCGTGAGCCACTGCGCCTGGCCGGTTGATTATTTTTTCTTAACTTTGACCTTTTGCTTTTCTCCTCCGCTAGGATCCAGCCTCTCCCCTTGGTTGTTGCAGTCCCTGACTGAGGCTTTACAGCCTAGCGCAGACTCCTCGGTTCTCTCCAGCCCCAGAATAGGAATTCAGTTCTAGGCTGTGGATTTCAAATGTCAGATAGCCATTGGTGTCGACGTCTCTTGATTAATATTTTAAATACGAAAACAAGGCAAAAAATTTCCCAGGGGAAAATACTGCGTTTTTGAATGTGTGTTTTTGAATATTCTTACTATTAATAATATCATTGTCATATTTTAACCTTTCACTTGAGGAACATAAGGATTATAAGAACATGTAGAAGCATGGAGGAGATTTAGGAAATCTGACTTATACCTGATAAAAATGAGGCCCCTGAGGTTATGTGAAGTTCCCAAGGTCACTCAGCGCTACGAAAGAGCATTTCAGTGGAACAAGTATGTCAAGGATAATGGAAGCTGAGAAAGGATCTTTTGGGGAGGTGGGTGGGGCTTCCCTGAGGACGGCTATCATGCCTTTCTGTATGAGTGAGTCCTAGTCCAGTTACCACAGGCTGGACACCGAATGCAATGAAGCAGCGATATGACTCGAGATGCTGTTTCTTATGTTTTTATGTTACTTTTAGGTATGACACAAAGTCTGGATCAAATAGCAGCTACTTGGCTGGGCACAGTAGCTCACGCCTGTAATCCCAGTAATTTGGGAGGCCGAGGCGGGTGGATCACCTGAGGTCAGGAGTTCGAGACCAGCCTGGCCAACATGGCAAAACTCCTTCTCTACTAAAAATACAGAAATCAGCCGGCCGTGGTGGCAGGCCTCTGTAATCCCACCTACTGGGGAGGCTGAGGCAGGAGGATCGCTTGAACCAGGGAGGCAGAGACTGCTGTGAGCTGAGATCGCGCCACTGCACTACAGCCTGGGTTACAGAGCGAGACTCTGCATCCAAAAAAAAAAAAAAAAAAAAAAGCAGCTGCTAGACCCGAGTGCCCAGCCTCCATAGGAAGATGTAAGAGTCTTTTCTGACGGATGCTTAACTGTCTGTTTGAGTCTATGAATCTGCATTTCTTCCAGTGCTACACAGAGAAAATAAGGCCTAATCAAGTCTGGGGAGGAAAAAATTCAAAACACGCTGACAGAATGTCTAGGAATTGGACAGAAAATGTACATAGTGAAAGGATTGGAAATGAAATGGGGTGGGGGAGAGGAAAGGATGCTCTAGTGTTTTATTCTACACACTTTATATTTTTGAATCTTTTACAGTAAGAATGTATTTGAGTATTTCTTGTATAATTTTTACAAGGGTTTACGAATTTTTACCAGAAAAGTAGGCCTACTGGTCGTAACCATTTTAGAAACTGAGTTTAAAAGTGGAATTTGTGAATGTGTATGGCACATATGGAGCTGAAATAATTGTCCCTACCGAACAAATAAGCACGGGTTGATGACTGCTATCATACAGGAAGAAGCTAAAGCAACCTATAAATCAATCCACATGTCTTGATAGAAGTGAAAATCAAAGGCAATAAATTCAACACAACCAATCCCGGGAGAAGAAACGGGGTTAAAAGTTATGGCTTAAGAGATTTGAATGAACTGTAATGAAGGGCTTCTTTATGGTAGAGCTATTAAGAGCAGGGAGGAAATTTAGTAACAGATTATTCAGGCAAACTGGGACTCTTTTCCCTTGGACATTTTACAAATGGAATTAAAAAGCACTTGTTTCTGACTAATTAGGAATAGTTCAGCTTGCGGGTTGAATTAGTTATTTCTATTTGGTTACAGAGAGGAAAACTAATAGCGACTTTGGTAGTCACAGTCAACGTGCAATCATTTTAAAATAAAATAAATTTGGAGATAAATCTGTGTGTTTTAACTGCCTAAATCCTGGAAAATAAATTGAAATTTAAAAGGGATATTCCTTATAAATATCTCTACTTTGTCACACACCTATGGTTCAAGTTCAGATCTTCACATCTTTTAAATGTTTTAAAACTTAGTTATAATTTTAACTTTAAAAATAATGGACACTTTTTTTTGAGATGGTGGGGTCTCACTATGTTGCTCAGGCTGGACTTGAACTCCTGGGCTCAAGTGATCCTCCTGCCTCAGCCTCCTGAGTAGTTGGGACTACACATCTGTGCCACCACACCCAAAGACACATATTTTTGTGTGATTAAAAGAAAAAGGTAGATACGAAAGCTATAAAGAAAAAAAAGAAGTATTTCCAGTCAATAATATCCTGGAAAGCTTAATACAGTAACATCTTACTATTTTGGACTAGTTCAGAGAAAAAAACAAAGGATTTTATTTTAAATGATTTTAATATCTGAAGGTAAATATTACGCATAGCACAACTAGGATTAAAAAATGGTTGTTTTTTAATGAACAAACAAGTTATATGACTCCAAAAATATGTAAGGCAAGCTTGCTTTTATAAATATTTTAAGCATTTTATGTTGATTAAGCTTTTAATTCATACTAACAGTAAAAGAAAACTGACTTGTTGAAGAAAATCAACCCCTGTCTACACTTAATCACATTTTTCAAATAATGGACTCTGTACTACTGTGGTTTTACTTCCTTGTCTTCTTTTTCCCTGTGAAGTGACAATCTTAGTTTCTGACTGTGGAATTAAAAGAGGCAGAGACAAAGGAACCGGAGCAAACACTGTGCGTAACTTATGCAACGAGAGCAACAAACCAAAATGCCAGCAATTAAATACTGAGACTAGTTTTCACACACGATAAATTATTTGGCATAGGTGATTTGCTTTAAAATTCATCCCTCAAGGAATATATTTATCACTTTCCAAATGTTTATGTCCAGGTCAAGAAAAGCTACAGGATAAAGGAAACTTAAGTTAATCCAAATATCATATTGAAATCCCACCTTTAAAAATGTTAGAAATTATTATTTCATTTATTTATTTATTTATTTATTTATTTATTTATTATTTTTTTTTTTTTTTGAGATGGAGTCTCGCTCTGTCGCCCAGGCTGGAGTGCAGTGGCGCGATCTTGGCTCACTGCAAGCTCCACCTCTTGGGTTCACACCATTCTCCTCCCTCAGCCTCCCGAGTAGCTGGGACTACAGGCACCCGCCACCATGCCCAGTTAATTTTTTTGTATTTTTAGTAGAGACAGGGTTTCACCATGTTAGCCAGGATGGTCTTGATCTCCTGACCTCGTGACCTTCCTGCCTTGGCATCCCAAAGTGCTGGGATTACAGGTGTGAGCCACCGCGCCTGGCCTAGAAACTATTTAGAATAATGCCTGTATTCATTTGAGACATTTTCCAATCCTTTTTTTGTATTGTGATTTTTAGATATGATATTAACTTTCCTGTTTAATTTGCTTTAGTTTATTTTAAATTATTAGTTCAGTAGCCATAGTAATATTTAAGGATTAAACTATATAAATCATAGGATTATGAATAAATTTTTTCTTTTATCCTTTTATATGTTTTCTGACTTTTAAAAAAGGTAATGTGCACCTATTATTTTTGTAATAAGAAAGAAACTCCATGTTATGGATTTAAAAATATTGATTCAGAACCTTGAACCTTTCCAGGACAGGGGAACTCACTAGATGTGCCACACTGAAATCCTGTCTTGAGAGAGATTTTGAGGATTCTGTATAACCATCTTCCCCAAGTCATGAGGTAACTAGACAGGATGGGAAGGCTCTACACAAGAGTGAGCCCCCAACCTTTATAGGGTATGCCTTGGAAAGCCAGAGATCACTCCTCCATTTCTCAGAGACTCCATGAGCCAGGAAAAGGAAAGATCTGGCCAGGTATTACCACCATCATCCCCTTCTCCTCCTCTTCCTCCCCCTCTTCCTCCTCTTCCTCCCTCTCCTCCTCTTCCTCCTCCCCCTTCCTCCTTCTCCTCTTCCTTCTTCTCCTCTTCCTCTTCCTCCTGTTCTTCTTCCTCTTCCTCCTCCCTCTCTTCCTTCTTCTCCTCTTCCTCCTCTTCTTTCTCCTCCTCCTCCTCTTCCTCCTTCTCCTCTTCCTCTTCCTCCTCTTCTTTCTCCTCCTCCTCCTCTTCCTCCTTTCTCCTCTTCCTCCTCCTCTTCCTTCTCCTCCTCCTTTCTCCTCTTCTTCCTCCTCCTATTCTCCTCCTCCTCTTCCTCCCTTCTTGTTCTTCATGAGATGAGAATATTTTTTTAATTCTATTGGAAAAATAACATAAGCAAAAAATTATATATGTGTGCATTTATCCTTCCATCCATCTGTTCATCTATCCGTTTGTCCATTTATCCATGTATATTGGTTGCCTCGAGGAGGGGGAACTGGGTGGTTGCTGGGGAGGGAGGAAAATTTACTTTCCACTGTATACTCTATTGTAACTTTTGACTTTTCTGCCATGTTCATGTAATACCTATTCAAAAAAATAATTTCCTAAGGAAAATTACAACATGAGACAAAAATTTTTTTCAGAATAATGATGTAAGAAAACCAGCTAAGATAAAGTTATAAGAGGACTGTTGTGAGCGCTTCCTTTACACATGTAGATTTATTTACCCCTACCAGGTGGGCACTGTGAGCAGCACCTCCACTTTACAAATAGAAAATGGGAGAAACTAAGTACCTGACTATATACACACACACAGACACACACACGGTTTTGTTATTGCCAAATAATCTTCCAAATTAATTGTGTAAGATTCTCTCTTCCCCAAATTTGCATAAGTATGCCAGTTTCCCCATACTTTTGGCAATACTTTTATATTTTAACCACTGAATAAACCAATATACATCAAGTTCTATTAGACATTAGCCTTCCCAACTAGATTTAAACAAACAAACCAACAGAGCTGCTCACAAGTAGTGAAATTGACTTACTAATGATTTACCTCAAGGTTTCTACTGACAACTCAGTAATGATATTAATAGCTAATGAAATCTTCAGTAGCAAGTTACCCAGCTAGATGGAGAAGGATGAGGGACAAAAGGTTGGTGACACTCCACTAACACAAGAGACCAGGACTCCTTTATGTGCTCCTATTGCAACACATGACTTTCTCCCATGGCACTTATCACTGGTTTAACATTTTCACTTGTGTGTATGATCCCTTGATTTGTGAGACCTAGAATTGAAATATCCATCTTTTCCAGTAGATCATGAGCTCCATGAGGGCAGAGCATTGAGATTTTGTTGGTCATCTTATTCCTGCACCTGTCCCAGGGGCTACGACAGGTCTAGACAGATGGATGAGAGTTTCAACTTTATCCTGTGTATCCATGAAGGCTCTTTTGGTTGCAGGTGCAGAAGAAGTCATCCCCATAATAGACAGTTACATGTCACATAGTTTGAGAAAAGGCTAGAGTGTGAGCCCATTAGAACCCTTGAGTTTGACTCTCCTTGGACAAATACTATGGCTTTGTTGACAAGTGGGTTTCTCAGCACTCTTGAAACTAGCTTTCTAAGTTGACAACTATATTCAACACCACAGAATACTTTGCAGTATTGTAACCCCTTTCTATGACGAGATATTCTTAGGAGTTACTATGATTAAAAAATCCATTGCAGGCTGGGTGCAGTGGCTCACACCTGTAATCACAGCACTTTGGGAGGCTGAGGCCAATGGATTACTTGAGCCCAGGAGTTCAAGACCAGCCTGAACAATATGGTGAAATATCGTTTATTAAAAAAAAAAAATTAGCCGGGTGTGGTGGCATGTGCCTGTGGTCCCAGCTACTCAGGAGGCTGAGGTGGTAGGGTCACCTTAACCAGGGGAGTCAAGGCTGTAGTGAGCCATGAACACACCCTGAACTCCAGCCTGGGTGACAGGGTGAAACCCTGTCTCAAAAAAAAAAAAAAAAAAAATCCATTGCCAACAGAATAGAGAACCCAGAAATAAAGCTGCACACCTACACCAGTGCACACCTAGTCTTCAACAAAGTTAACAAAAATAAGCAATGGGGAAAGAACTCCCTATTCAATAAATGGTGCAGGGATAACTGGATAGCCATATGCAGAAGATTGGAATTGGACCCCTACCTTTCACAATGTACAAAAGTCAACTCAAGATGAATTAAAAATTTTAATATAAGTCTTCATGCTATAAGAATCCTAGAAGAAAACCTGGAGGCCACCATTTTGGACATCAGCCTTGGCAAATAATTTATGACTAAGTCCCCAAAAGCAATTGCAACAAAATCAAAAATTGGCAAGCGAGACCTAATTAAACTAAAGCGCTTCTGCACAGCAAAAGCAACTATAAACAGAGTAAACAGACAACCTGCAGAATGGAAGAAAATATGTGCAAACTATGCATCTGACAAAGGTCTAATATGCTTATAGATTCTTATAGATTCTGGATAGAATCTATAAGGAACTTAATTCAACTAGCAGAAAACAACTAACCCCATTAAAAAGTGGGCAAGGAACATGAATAGACATCTCTCAAAAGAAGACATACAAGTGGATGACAAACACAAATAAAACTTTCCACATCACTAATCATCACAGAAATGCAAATCAGAACCACAGTAAGAAACTGTCTCACATCAGTCAGAATGGCTACTACTTAAAAATCAGAAAAACAGGCCGGGCATAGTGGCTCATGTCTGTAATCCCAGCACGCTGGGAGGCCGAGGTGGGAGGATCATTTGAGGTCAGGAGTTCGAGACCAGCCTGACCAACATGGTGAGACCCCATCTCTACTAAAAGTACAAAAATTAGCCAGGCATAGTGGTGCACGCCTGTAGTCCCCACTACTAGGGAGGCTGAGGCAGGAGAATCGCTTGAACTCAGGAGGTAGAGGCTGTAGTGAGTGGAGATCATGCCACTGCACTCCAGCCTGGGCAGCAGAGTGAGACTGCATCTCAAAAATAATAATAATCATCATCATCAGGAAAACAACTGATGCGGGCAAGGCTGCATTGAAAAGCAAACACTTATATACCATTGGTGGGAATGTAAGTTAGTTCAGCCACTGTGGAAAGCCATTTGGAGATTTCTTGAAGAACTTAAAACAGAACCACCATTTGACCCAGCAATCCTATTACTGGGTATATATTCAAAAGAAAATAAATCATTCTACAAAAAAGACACATGCACTTGTATGCTTATTGCAGCACTAGGCACAATAGCAAGATATGGAATCAACCTAGGTGCCCATCAACAGTGGATTGGATAAAGAAAATGTGGTACATATGCTCCATGGAACACTATGCAGCCATAGAAAATAACAAAATCATGCCCTTTGCGCAACATGAATGTAGCTGGAGGCCACTATTCTAAGTGAATTAATGCGGGAACGGAAAACCAAATACCTCATGTTCTTACTGTTAAGTGGGAGCTAAACATTGGTTACTCATGGATGTAAAGATGGCAACAATAGACACTGGGAACTACTAGTAGGGGGAGGGAAGAAGGGAGGCAAGTGTTGAAAAACTAACTGTTGGGTACTATGTTTAACACTAGAGTGACGGGATCAGTTGAACCCCAAACCTCAGTATCCTGCAATACATCCATGTAGCAAACCTACATATGTACCCCCTGAATCTAAAATAAAAGTTAAAAATATTTTTTTAAAATCCATTGTCTTTATCACTACTCCCTTCCCTTCCCCACGTTCCCATTTTGTGGATCTAAACTTTGAACCTAGCAGCCAGTCAAAGAAATGGAGTTAAATAGTCTCCTTGCTTCTGAATGGTGAATGCTCCCCCTTCCCTCCAGTATTTAGCTGTTAGTAAATAGCTGGATCTTACCTTAAACTTTAAGTCTGTGTTCTTTTTTTTTTTTTTCCAACACATAGGTGTTATGCTTTAAATGTGCTTCCTGGAGTTCATGTGTTGGAAACTTAATCCCCATTGTGACAATGTTGGGAGGTGAGGCGTAATGGAAGGTGTTTTGGTTTTGAGGGCTCAGCCCTTATGAATAGATTAATGGCATTATTAAAAAGGATGGCCAGAGTGGGTTTGCTCTCTTGTGCTCTTGCCCTTTCAACCTTCCAACAGCAAATTGCCCCACACAAGATGCCAGCACCTTGATGTTGTACTTCCCAGCCTCCAGAACTATGAGCCAATAAATGTATGTTGATTATAAATTACCCAGCCTCAGGTATTGTGGTATAGCAGCACAAAATGGACTACAACAATAGGTGATAGAAAACTCAACACACGCTGGCTTAAATATTAGGACCATTAGTTAACTCATATAACTGACTTAAATGTTGGCTTAAACTAGTAACTCAAACTCATCATGGAGCTGGCTTCTTTCCATTTCTTCTCTGCCTTTCAAAATGTCAACTTCATCTTAGAGTGGACACCAATCATGTTGCAATATAGCTTCCAGATGCTTGCAGGACAATATATATCTCTGCTGGAGTGGGGGGCCTTTCTATTAATTATATTAATATAATATATCTCCCCAAGGAGTAGGGGGCCTTTCTATTAGTCACGAAAAAAGAGACTTTTCTTACTTGAACCAAATAGTGAAGATATTCTTTCAGGGTTTATCCCAGGAATTAGAAGTAGAATCAGTACCACCAAAACCACGGGGGTTTTGGTAAACGCTGGAGAGGCTGCCACAATGTCCTCTAAGTCAGTAATAGCTGTTATAGTATTCGCTAAAGTTTACTGAGCACATCCTGTTGGCCCAATGTTAGCTTAACAGTTTACACACATTGTATTATTTAATCATGACAACAAACATGACAAGTAGGCATTACCATCCCCATTTTACAAATGAGGAAATTGGAATATGTCCAAGGTTGTACAGGAGGATTCCAGAGATAGACTGAGGACTACAATATCCAGTCCATGATTAAAACAACCTCACTACACAGTAAGAGTTATGGAAGGCTTTTGAAGGTGGTGTGGTATGTGTAAAGCAATGATTTAGGGCCCTCAAAACCATCCCATTAGACCTCTAGATAAGCCATCCAATTCCCTTATAAAACCAATTAAACCACATTTACACCCCTGCAATGTATTAGTCTTCTCCACTCTCCCACATAACCCCCTACCCCTTACCCTCAAACAGGCATTTTAAAGTACGTAAAGTATGAATTTTTTTCACCATAATTTGCAACAAGAAGCATTAGATACAAATCCGATTTAGTTAAAAATAGGGATAAGGTATAGATAACATCCAGAGACTCCACTGTTAACTTGAAACATGAAAAGAAGCAAAACCTAAGTAATCTGTCAAATTATAAGACATAATTGATTTACTTAACACACCCTCCCGTGATTCTCTGGATTCTACTTCCTCCTGCCAATTCAGGGAGTCTTTTCCTGTAATGGTAATTATTCTCTCTCTTCCATTGTTGGTTTTCCTTCTGTTTTAGATCATTCTCATCAGCATAAAAGAATGCTACAATTTCTCCCACTACAAAAAGCACCTTGAACCCTGCCCCCTTCTTTTCTGGGAAATGACCCTTTTCTCTTCTTTCCTTTACAGTAAAACACCTTGATAGAGTTCTCTCTTCAACCTGGTCCCAACAGGTCTCCCTGCTCCTTGGGGACCGTTCTGATGAGGGTCACCACTGTCCTCCCAGTGCCAAGCCCAATGATCTGTTCTCAGTCCTCATTTGACCTTTTGGAAACATGACACAGTGACCACTCCATCCTGCTTGAATCATATTCTTCACTTGGCCTCCAGGAAACCACATTCTTGGGTCTTCTCCCACCACTTCTTCTCAAGTTTCTTTCCTTGGCATTCCTCCTCATCTTCTTGACCTCTAAGTGGTAGACTGCCCTGGGGCTCCATTTGAAGCCAGACCCCTTTCTTCATAGATTCATTCCCTGAATGGTCTTGTTCACTTCCGTGGCTTTAAATACTATAGGTGGGTGTCAGAATACATCCAGGTTGCTATAACAAAATACGTTAGGCTGAGTAACTTATAAATAATAGAAATTTATTACTCACTGTTCTGGAGACTGGGAAGTCCAAGATCATACCACCAGCAGATGCTGCTCCTGGTGAAGGTTCATTCTGGCTCATAGATGGTGTCCTCTCACTGAATCCTCATATAGTGGAAAAGGCAAACAAGCCCCCTTGGGCCCTTTTATAAGGGCACTAATCCCATTCATGAAGGTGGAGCCCTCATGACTTAATCGCCTCCTAAAGGCCCCACCTGTCAATACTATCATATTGGAGAGTAAGTTCCAACATATAAATTTTGGGGAGATCATAGCAACTGACAACTCCCCCATTTATATCTTCAACCTATACCATCTCCCTGAACTCTAGATGCTATATCCAACTTCCTACCTGACATCTCCACTTGGATGTTTAACAGGCATCTTCAACTTTACATGTCCCAGAAAGAATCCTTAGTGTACTTCCCCCAAAACCTGCTTCTTCCAGAGTAATCCACAACTCATTTTTTCAAGTTGCTCAGAAAACTTGTGATCATTTTTGGATACCCATCTTCCCCCTCACAGCTAAAATAAAATTTATTAGTAAATTTTGCCAACTTGACCTCCAAAACACACTTCAAATATGGCCGTATCTCTGCTACTATCATTCTAGTCCAAACCACGTCATTCTTTCTTGGCTTCCTGAAACAAACTTCTCTGGTCTCTCAGCTTTCATTCTTCCTTCCCTAGTCTATGCCTCACATAAGAGCTAGAATAAATACTTTTAAATGACACTTCTAGACATAGAATGCACCCACAACTTCCTCACCTCACCCAGAATTAAGTTCCCATATTTACATGGTACAGGAGGACCAATATGGCTTGTCCCCTTGGTACCTCTACCACTTCATCCTCTGTATGCCGACCCTTGCTCATTCAACTCCAGCCCCAATGAATCCCTTGCTGGAAAGGACACTTCTGGCACACTCCTACCTCTTGTGTTTGCAGTTACTGTTCTGCTTCCTAAATGCTCTTCCTTAGATGTTCACATGGTTTGCTTCTTCATTTTATTCAGATTTTGCTTGACTGTTACCTTACCAATGTGGCCTTCTGCTCACTGTAACTGAAATAGTAATGACTATTCCCCCAGTCTCTGTTCCTCTTTATCCCCTTATCTAGTTCTCTTTTCTTCACCTGATGTGATTTATGGTGTCGTATTTGCTTATTGTTTGTCTCCCCTCCACTAGCATTTAAGTTCCAGTAATGCAGGGACAGCTGTATTCCAGGAGTGTAGAATAGTGTCTGCTAGGTGCTGGGTGCTTAAGATGTATTTGCTGAATGAAAGAATGAAGGAATGAGTGAGGGACTTGGTAGTTATCCCCCTTTGCTTTGTGCATCTATTCAGTGACAAGTATCTGTAGATTCTTCAAAAGGCCATTCATATCTCTCTCTTCCTTTCATTTTCATGACCACAACCTTAGTGGACCTCCCACCTGGAGTAGTGAACCTCCCACCTGGAGAGGGATCTCCAGTCTTTGGTTTCTACTCAGTCTACCTCTCAAAAGGACCCTGAACACTGATATTGTTAATAGTCCTAAAACCACTTTCACCTAAAGCTGATTGCACTCTCTATAGTGAAATCTAATATTTGAAAAGCCCAGTTACTCCCTATTGACTCTTTTTTTTTTTTTTTTTTAGACAGGGTCTCATTCTGTGGCCCAGGCTGGAATGCAGTGGTATGATCACAGCTCACCGCACCCTTGACCTCCAGGCTCAGGTGATCCTCTTGCCTCAGCCTCCCAAGTAGCTGGGATTACAGGCACCCACCACCACACCCAGCTAATTATGTCTTTTTCTTAATGTGTGTTCTTGGTGCCTTTGTTGAAAATCAGTTGGCTGTAAGTACATGAATTTATTTCTGGATTCTCTATTTTGTTCCTTTGGTCTGTATGTCTATACCAGGATGTTTTGGTTACTATTCCTTTCTAGTATATTTTGAAGTCAGGTAGTGTGATGCCTCCAGCTTTATTCTTTTTGCTCAAGATTGCTTTGGCTATTTGAGGTCACAAAAGATCACATGTAGCCAAAAAAATCTTGATCTTTTGGGATTCTTCACAAATTTTGGGACTGCTTTTTCTATTTCTGTGAAAAAATGTAATTGGTATTTCTAATAGGAATTGCATTGAATCTATAGATCACTTTTTTTGGCAGACTGTTGGCATGTAGCAGCACTACTGATTTTTTTCAGCGTTGATTTTGTATCCTGCCACTTTACTGGATTTGTTTATTAATACTAACTGTTTTCTGGTGGAATCTGTATAGGGTTTTCTATATATACGATCATGTCATTAGCAAACAGGGAAAATCTGACTTCCTCCTTTCCAATTTCGATGCCCTTTATTTCCGGTGCCAATTATCTTTTAATCTGGTTTTGTTCCTTCCCTGTGGTAATCAACTGGGTTATTTGTTAACCAAGTCATTCAATATGAATATTAGTCAGAATAGACTAGTTTATGCTGTAGTAACCAAACAACCCCCAGATCTCAGTGGCTTAAATAGAACAAAGGTTTCTTTCTCATTTGTGCCACTTACCCAGTGCAAATAGGCAGGGAGCTTGTATCTCATAGTCTCTCAAAGACCCATGCTGAGAGGTGCTATAGCACCTCATATGGGCACTCTGTGGTCACGGCAGGTGGGAAGGTGGGAGGGTGGAGCGCTGACTTCGGGTTTTAAAACCTCAAATCAGATATGACACTCATGATTCCCATCATGTGACACTCATGATTCCCATCCCCATTCACATGGTTCCACCTATCTGTAATGGAGCTGAGGAATGGGAGGGCGCATGGCTATCAAGCAAAATATTTACATCATGAATAACTCAGATATTTACACAAACTGATAGTTACCTAGAATGGACTGGAAAGTAAATACATTTTAAGCTGTATGATGTTTCCTGCAGCTGAGAGATGTCATATAATTTGTTTGTATGTCTTCTTACTGTGATTTAATTTAAGGTGAAAGTTCAATTCAATGCCAAACCATAACAAGCTTCATTTTATGCCTTGGAGTTAAGAATCAACTGGTGTTGATTCTTGTGTACACAAAGCAACTATTTTTAAAACTTATCTGCAAAGTCTTAAAAGATTTTCACATATTCCAAGATAACTATGAAAATCATCATCTTATTTAATATATGGCTGATGCCTGTTAGAAAGAAATGTCATTTTCCTAGCATCTCTTACTGGCAATTGGATGGGGAATTGTAACACTTGGTATGTCATTCAATCTCTGCCGAAGGATTTTTAGGTCAGAAGTGCACTTCTTAGTCTCCCTGCCAAAGCGACAAGATCTATAATCAGTTAATAAAATGTTTTCGTGAATCCTGACTAGGGTATTTCACTCAAATGTAACTGAAATAGCACAGATTATTCTGGCTTGTAAAGATAAAGCTGTGTGCAAACTTATTATGCAATAGAGAATAGCTTCATGTTCATTATGTTCCAACCATGCTTGGTAGACTTGCATTTGGATAAGTCAAAGTCAGGGTAATGGCTCTGTTGCCCAGGCTGGAGTGCAGTGGCACAATCTCGGCTCACCGTAACCTCCACTTTCTGGGTTCAAGCAATTCTCCCACCTCAGCCTCCTGAGTAGCTGGCACTACAGGCGCATGCCCCCAGGCCCGGCTAATTTTCCTATTGCCTTTTGAAGTGTGATTTTCTAATTGCAACTTTCAAAATACTTTTTCTTATCATGTAAGATTTAAAAAAAACTTTGTAATTTGCATGTGTGACAGATACCTGTAGTATTCAACACTTCATTTCTTCCTCTCTCCCTCCCCTTCTTTCTCCTCTTCTCTTTCTTTTGCTTTGGGCGTAGAGGGTCGACTTAAGCATTCATTAAACATTAACATTCATAGAAACTATTTTCATTCATTCACATAAAGCTCTTCTCTTGTTTGTTAGTGAGTTTGTTTTTATATTAGTCTTTTATCAACACATTTCATTACCCTTCCTGCTCACTATTACATGCAAACATTTAAATTTGATATGCACTTTATATTTGCATGGCTTTTTGCAAAATGCGTAGTTTTTTTGTAGGTATCTTTACTTTTGAAATAGGATTTTAAGTCTCATTCTAGTTCCTACCACGTGTTGGTATGTGAACTGCCATGGGTTCTAATTGCTGCATTGCTGCATGGTATGCCACAGCATCTATCTGCCATGGATTACTTTCCCAGTGATGGAAACCAGGTCACCCCTTGCCACCACAAACAATGCTTCCATGAACATCTTCACATATGTCCCCTGATGGACATGCCTAAGACCTTTCATGACATTTGCACCAGGGTGGAGGAGCTGCGTCACACATGACTTAGCCATGTTGTACTACTCTGAGGTGGCTGTCCCACATCACTGTGCTGTGAACTGTCCCTCCGCATCTTCATTAATGCCAAGGTGCTGTGGGAGCCATCATATGAGCACCACTTGATCTTGCCTTCTGGCCTCAGTTAGTTTGACCAGAGGTCACCCCGGGCTTCAACTGGGCCAATGCCTTCAATCCCAGGGTGTTAGGACTCAGTTAGGAAGGACTGATTCACAGAAAGAAGAAAATCTGATGCAAGTCAGGGCACCAAGACAAAAGCCCAGCTAGCTGGAGACAAGACTCTGATAAAAATTAAGAGGAGCAGGGAGGAAAGGGTGAAAGGAACAGCAACAACAGCAGCAACAAAAAAAAATTGGGGGGAAGCTGAAATGTGACGGATGGGAGGGTTTACAGGGCTCAGTGGATTCCTAGCTTGGGGAGTGTAGACAGGCCAGCCCCTCTCAGAAACCCCACGTGCCTTAGCAGTCGCTGCCAGAGTCATGTGGCGAGCAATGATCCCGTTTCAGCAAAACATTATCATCTCTCACATTAAATTAATGACGTTAATTTGGATGTTATTGCTTTTGTAGTTCTGCTGGTAATTAATTTGTAAATTTGTTTTGGTTTTATAACTGTAAATGAGCCATGATCATAAGGTGCTTATACTTAATTTTACATTTCTTTTATTTGAGTAGCAATGTGATAAAAAATATATTTAAAATCAATGCTGAGAGTGTCCCTTTGTTTTGTGAAAGTGTCTGAATTTTCCAACTCAGGTTGGAGAAGTATTGCTCAAGCCTGGTCTCATGGTGCTGGATTTTGGGCTCAATTTGGGCACACCCATTTATCTGTTTGATATCCTCTTCTTAGTTTCCAACTCCTGATAGTCTTTTGTATCCTGTTACGCCATCCAGTAGATTGCTTTCCTTCCAGCCTCATGGCTTTGGTAAAGTTTGAAAAGCATGCTGCCAGTCAACGGTTCTTAGTCGGAAGCAACAAAGCCAACTCTGGCTGCTATAAGCAGAGAAGAAATTGATTGCAAATATTTTGAGTGGTTCATTGGTGCACTGGAAAGGTCACAGAACTTTGGGTGGAACAGGGAGAAGGTAGCCTGAGCAGCAGAAGGGATGGCATCACAAACCACTCGACAGAGCCCAGCTGCAGAGGATGTTGCTGCTCCTGGCGCCTGGATGGCATTGCCTGCTCAGTGTCTGGCCCTGGACCATGGACATAGATGCTACAGTGGTGCCAGTGGTGACCTGGAAACCCAGAGCTTCTGCCACCAGAAGGAATTTGTCTCAGTCACTATTCTGAGTTCCTATCCTCTGTTCAAAGTGGGTGGAGGGCGGTGAGCCTGAGTGGTTGTGTCACCTATCCACACTCCAGCTGCACGGAGGCCTGGGACCCAAATATCTGGCACTTTTTTTTTTTGAGATGGAATGTCACTCTGTTGCCAGGCTGGAGTGCAGTGGCACGATCTCAGCTCACTGCAACCTCCGACTCCCTGGTTCAAGCGATTCTCCTGCCTCAGCCTCCCGAGCATCTGGGATTACAGGCACGCACCACCATGCCCAGCTAATTTTTGTATTTTTAGTAGAGACGGGGTTTCATCAACGTCACAATCTCCTCACGTTGTGATCTGCCCCCCTTGGCCTCCCAAAGTGTTGGGATTACAGGCGTGAGCCACCGCGCCCAACCAGTGTCTGACACTTTCAGAATCTATTTTTGGAGGTAAGCTCTGCTTCCCATCAGGGCTTATTATGTAAGCAATTCTCCAAACACAAGAAGAAGGTTCAGATGAGAGAGGTCGGGGGGAGAATTGATACTCTCCATGCCTTTTATGTCTTTATCTGAGTAATTGTTTAACATGTCAAATAGGAACTCAGGATGGGGACAGCTAGGAGCTGGCAGGAAGCCTTCCTCCTGTCACTCTGCCCATCTGGATGGCTGGCGAGACAAGTCCACGTGGTGGAACCAGGCAGCATCTGAAGTTTGCCCCTGCTTTCTGCCTCATCCACAAGTCATATTTCCTCCCAAAACCCACATTCATGAAGGGAAGAGGAGGGAGGAGACAGGAGGAGAATCATGTTAATTCTTGTTTTGTTTGTGTTCTTTCATCTGGCTAGATGCATTTTCAGAACCATGTAAATCAATGGATTTTTTTCATTACTGCAATAAAATTTGCCTTTGTACCCAACTCCCCAAGGAATCGGAACATAAACAGAGCTTCCACAATTCACACTTCACCTCACTCAGGCGCGATGTCTTTGTTAGACTCTCTTTGATCATTTCACTTTTGATCTGCCTGTTTGCTTGGAAAGAGCTATTCAAATCTGCAGAGGGCCCTTCTACAGCAAACCCTCCGAGGAGGCCCACTCAGGACCCACATCAGCTGTGATGTTAATTTTATGTGTCAACTTGACTGGGCTAAAGGATGCCCAGATAGTGGTAAACATTACTTCTGGGTGTGTCTGTGAGAGTGTTTCCAGAAGAGATTAGCATTTGAGCTGGGGGCTGGATAAAGAAGATTGCCCTCACCATTGCAAATAGGCACTATCCAATCCCTTGAGGGCCCGAATAGAACAAAAAAGGTAGAGGAAAGGTGAATTTATCCTCTCTGTTTGAGCTGGGGCATCTGTCTTCTCCCGCATATGGACATCAGGACTTACATCCCTGCACCCCCTGCCAAGTTCCCAGGCCTCACGTAAGGGTGAAGATGGGAGGTGGCCAGTAGCTGGTCAGCTAGAGCCAAGTTAATTTCCCCTTTGGACCAGAGCAAGGGAAAGAAGAAAGATTGGTAAGGAATGGTATTTTCCTTCACCTTCAGGAGAGAACAAGCAGGTACAAAGGAGCCCAACAAATGCTAATCAAATATATCTAAATAAGCTATTTTACAAAAACAGACAATGCTGGATTAATCAAACTTATAAACAGCAACTGCAATCTTAGACCCAAATCCAGGAAGTCCCTTACTTTCACATGGAATGAGTTATAAATGCCAAAGTTTAGATGCAGTGGGGGAGAATCCCAAGACAGCTGAAATATATCATAAAAATGCTTGAATTATTGCTCCTTCAGGGCTGCTTACCCAGCCGTCCTGCGGGCTGGTAAGAGGCTTCCTACTTTAGGAGGCAGCTGGCAGCACCCAGGGGCTGGGAGAGCTCAGATGCCATCCCCTTCTCAAGGAGGCCACAAGGCCCTCTCAGCCACACCCTTGAGGTGGATATGCAGGGCCACCAGCCACAAGCCTTCAAGCTGAGACATACCAGTTCCCAAAGACTGAAGTAACGGGAAGGGTTGACCCTCTCTCCCGCTTCCCTGAACACTTCTACTCAATCTGGAAAGGGGCATAGGGTCAATGCAGGTTCATTCTAGGGATAGCCTAGGTATTTGGAAGATGAAGTGGGCCACAATGTGTAGACAGATGTCCAGCCAGCTGTTAGTATTAAATTATTTTTGCATGTTAAAATGTTGGCCCAAATGATTTCTTTATTATTTCAAATAGAAACTGTATTTGGATTAGGCCTTTAAATGTGGATAGAAGCTGCACTGGAAAATGCCTGGTCTTTCAGGCTAGATACAAAGGCAGCTCAGCATTTGTTTGTTGCACTCATCATCAAATACTAAGGTATTTTGATAAGAAAGCCCTTTATCCATCCTTGTTTAATGGAATTGGGAGCAGGGAGATAGGAGAGCCAAGCTTACTCAGGGTCACAACTATCTGGTGTCAGAATAGATGGATAATTAGAATGATTATTACTTTAAATACACTATAGGCAAATTAATTTTGTAAAAGTGAAAACACATTTATTCTCTCTTCACAGAGATGCAGAATGAAACAGTTTGACATCAGATAATAAGAGCCAAGGCAGAATTGTTTTCTCCCAGTTATTTGGAGAGCCATCCATCCAGTCTTTGTGTGTGCCTATTCGTTCTAATGGCATGGCTTGCTCCCATTCATTCTAAGCAGTGGAGACGGAGCTTAGGAGGGCTCTTGCAGTGTGGGGTTGGTGAGATCTGGGTCCCTCTTCCTTTTTTTTTCTCAGCTGTACCACTGACTTGCAGTCAGGACTTTTATCCTCTTTACAGGGTTTACAGAGCTGTGGTCAAGCACTCAGTCTTGGATTACAGTCCCATCTATCACTGAGGAGGGGCTGTGGACCTTGGAAAAATTAGTCCCCAAGTTCCCTCTTTTATATAATGAAATTAGGAGCAGTACCTACCCCATAGTTTGTTAAATCATTAATAAGAGAATCCATCTAGAACACTGGCCAGCGTGCAAAGCACTCAATAAATTCTCAAACACCATAATTTATTATTATTTAAATAATTTTCTCTTTTCTTGCCCTTTATTTGACCAAATGATTGAGAAGACATAATTATATTGATGATCATGTGTTTGTGTTACAAATATGAAAGAGACTAAGATATTTAACAAAAAGAATGCTCTGCACTGTTTTATATGACTCAACACAGGGATGAGTAGTATCTTCTTCCTGAAAGCAGCATGTCAGATGATCACTATAGAGCACATGTTTGGGCTGAAACTCTATGGCTGCCTTTGTGTAGGAGATTTTTTTGGGTTCTGTTACTTCAACTAAGCAACAATTCAGTACTTTCCAGACAGCTCTCATGTACTATATCTGGGTCTACTCTAGTCAGAATCTTCAAATTTTAATTCCAAAACAATTATTTTTCTTTCTTTGTTAAGTATGATACCATGACAATATAATTCTGAGTGGGAAGTTGCCTTATTTGTAGCTTTCTAGGAAAGTTTTTTAAAATTTAAAGTACCCTTTAACAAAACAAACTACATTTTGACAATGCTAAAGTAAGTGTTTTGAGGAGTGAGATGCTTTTACTTTTACTAATTTATTCCTCAGTCAAGAGATAGTTTTCAATGATAGAGATCATGCTTAGTGTGGGAATGGTGAGAACTCTGTCAATGTGACAGTTTTAGAAACTTTCAACTTTTTTTTTAACAACAGCAACAAAAACCCTTTGCTTAAAAACAAAGTGATAAATTTAAAAAAATTTTTTAGTCCTTAGAACATTTGCATTTGTGTTTATAACTTCAGGCACATTAAGTTCTTTTAGTCTTTTGTTGTACTCCACAAATACCTGTTTACCAGATTTCTCAACGGAGGGTCAAGTCTCTTGAGAACGCACCTTTGTAAGAATATCGTCTCAACAGATGGATTTTCTTAGCCTGGATTTTAGATTATGTATTTTCATGATATATGCATTTGGAGGTTCTGCAAATATATTTCCTTCTATTGATAAAGTAATTTATTCCAATTCCAGTTTTCTCTCAAAAATATTTTGGTGGCTTTCAAAAAGCTTTTATTAGAGATACAACCAAGAAAGAAAAATGACAACCACAAGATTCAGCCCAATTGCTTCGCATGTTGTTGCTCTGAGCCTCCTCATAGTGCAAACAAAGAGGAAAATGAAATTAGTTACAATATTGACCTTGTTTTAAAACCTAAATACCCATGAATTGCTTATGAGGAGGACATTTTGTCCTGGCCCCAGGATCTGAGAAAAATTTCTCCCCTTGGGTCTTATAAAAAGAAAACTATGTAATATAATTTTTCTAAAGTTCAAAAGATCCCTACACTAAATTTGTAATACTGAATTTTCTATGACTGTCCTCCCATAAGTAGAAGACAGTGCAAAACCTCAATTCAATAAAAGCCATTCTACGAAAGGTCAAAGCACAGGCAAGTAACCTAGGACCCATGACCATGTGAGTCCCGCCCTCCTTCCACCATGGACTGAAATCTAATTCCGGGGAGCCCTCTCAGGAAGAGACATAAAACCCTAAAGAGAAGAGCTGACTTACCCCAATCCGCAACAGGTGACAGAGTCAGAAAAAGACAGGGCTCCTTTCCATTCAGACTGAGCTAGCAGAACTCCTGGGCTAACAATCGTCAGCTGCAGGACGTGTGATACCTTCCAGGGCAGTGTTGTCCATGGGAATGTTCTGCAGTGACGGGAACCTTCCATACTCTTTGCTGTCCACTTCCATAGCTACTAGACACTTGTGACTGTTCAGCATGTGAAATATTGAGGCTGAGAAACTGAGCTCAAGTTTTCTTTGCACTTAATGAACTGAAATTTGAGGCCAGGCACGATGGCTCATGCCGGTAATCCTAGCACTTTGGGAGGCAGAGGAGGGTGGATCACCTAAGGTCAGGAGTTTGAGACCAGCCTGGCCAACATGGCGAAACCCCATCTCTACTAAAAACACAAAAATTAGCCGGGTGCAGTTACGGGCACCTGTAATCCCAGCTACTCAGGCGGCTGAGGCAGGATAATCGCTTGATCCCAGGAGGCGGAGCTTGCAGTTAGCCGAGGTCATGCCACTGCACTCCAGCCTAGGCAACAGAGCAAGACTCCGTCTCAAAAAACAAAAACGAAAACAAACAAAAAAAGAAATTTGAAAATCCACATGTGGCTAGTGGCTACCTTATCAAACAGGAGGCTCCTGAGCACCATGAAGTAGGCAATTCAATGTACCCCTGCTCTCACTCTGGGCCTCCTGTGCTGCTGGGGGCTTCTCTTGGCCAGGCCTGGTGTAGAGGGGAAGAGCTAGACATTGCATCTGTCTGGATGGTAGTTCTGAGAGCATGAATTGGTAATGGCCTCAGTCAGGGGTGATGGAGCAGGACAAAGGCTGGGCACATGAGTGAGATGCCCAAACTGGGCCCAAAGCCTACAGCAGTCACAGGGTCATTGACAGCAGTCAGAAGTCTCTGTACTCATCTTGATGGCCACATCTGGGGACAGGTGATGTGCAGCTCAGGCCGGGGTTTACAGTGGTGGCTCTGGTGACAAGTTCAGGCTCAGTAGTGTGTTTATCTCCTTTCGCTGTTCTCAGGCATGAGAACCCCAGGGTGTAGAGGGCCCCCAGCCGGGGACCCACATTGCCGATGAGCAACAATGTCATGAACTCATTTTTGTCACATTGCTTAGATTGCAATTCATAAGTTTAAAGTAGAAAAAAGTTTTTAAAAAAGAATACAATAATAAGAAGCAAACCTCATTTCACAACACAGGTCCAGTTAAGGAAAGTAAATATAAACCAGATTCCACGGTGTCTTACTCAACAGCAAAATGTTTTTAAAGGGTAATAAGACGAGATGTTCCAGCATGTTCCAGTAATTGCTGAAATTTTAACCCCCAAAAGGATACACTTTGGTGATACAGAAATAATAAGGGAATGTTTTGGAACAGTAGCAGATATTGCATTCGTTATTTGAACGTATGTAAATTTGATATAAAAAGAATGATGTTGGCAACATTTCATTTTTTTTGAAAAATTTTTTGTGTGTGTGCAGAAAAAATCACTTGCTCGGAAATGGGTCAGCGTAATGCAGTTCAAGTAAAAAGCTTCTATACACTGGCTTACACCAAGAACTTCCCTAAATATGATTGTGATTTTTTATAATGATCATAAATACTAGGGTAAATGGAAAACAGTTACTCTTTCTTGCACTAATATATTGCATTAGCTATAGAAAGTGATGTCAGATTCAAGTCTAATTACTCCTATTTCACTTCTGCTATTTTTCTCCTCACTTTATTGTTTTGTTTTCTGAGCTTCCAGCCATTATCTCTAAAAATGCAATATTTCTTTATCAAGTAGCAACAGAAATGACGTAAATAAATAATTCCTTAAAAATTAAATGAAGCCAGTCATAAGAGTTGGGTGAAACAAGTTATTGCTTTCTTCTAACAGCAAGTCTATGGGATAAGTAAAAAGATATATTAAATATCCCTTGAATATTAAGTGTACTTTACTCGTGGATGCTTGGCACACATTTGCACACCACATTAATGTGGCGTATTCAGCCTTCAAAGGTCAGAAGCAAAAGGCTCATATTTTAGCCCATGAGAATGAGGAAAAGGATAGGTAAGGGAAAGTTACATGATGATTCCTTAGGCCCTGGTGGAAGCTAATGTGGATGTTGATAGGACAATTTTTACCTCCCCTCTGACAAATAGAAGCCAAGGTCAAAAAGGAAAGGTCAAAATAGATGACAGAGGAGAGTCAATAGGAGCAAATGTAAAGAAACTGCAATAGTAATCCCAGCACTTTGGGAGGCTGAAGTCGGTGGATCACCTGAGGTCAGGAGTTCGAGACCAGCCTGGCCAACATGGCAAAACCCCATCTCTACTAAAAATACAAAAATTAGCCAGGCATGAAGGCACATGCCTGTAGTCCCAGCTACTCAGGAGGCTGAGGCAGGAGAATCGCTTGAACCGGGGAGGCAGAGGTTGTAGTGAGCTGAGATCATGCCACCGCACTCCAATCTGGGTAACAGAGTGAGATTCCATCCACAAAACAAAACAAAACAACAAAAAACTTGCAATATTGCATGGAGTCCTGTTGCTAACATGCTAGCATCAAGCTCCCAAAGGCTTCATGAGGGTATTATAACTACTGTCATTATCGTTGATAATCGTAAACACATACTGAGACCTTATAATGAACCAGATGATACGCTAAATATTTTACTTATGTTCTATCACTAATTGTTTAAACCAATTCAGTGAGTTAGACACTTTTTATAGCTAAAGAAGCTGAGCTGCACAGTGTTGAAATAGCTTGTTTAATAAGTGGAGGAATAAGATTCAGGCTCAGATCTTCCTGATACCATGTCTCCCTTCTGATGGCCACACTCTCACATGGGAAATAGATTCTTAGGGTACCAGATTTCCAAGTGTCCAAGCGGTTTGAATCTAGTTACATTTCCTGCCACTCTCACATTTTGGGGTAGGTTACACAGGTTGCTTACAGACTGTTAAGGGCCTTCCTCTTATTTTTTATTTGTTCTCAAGCTTCAAAGTGCATCAACTGTATCCATGAAACTCACGGTATTAAAGACTATATTCATGAAGTTCTTTATTCCTATTTCCTTTTCTAGATGGAAAGTCTCAGTCCTTTCTGTATCATTTCTGGGTGGGGATTTTGCTCCCTGACATATTCTTGAACAATTGGAACATAGAAATCCAGATTTGGAAAATATTTTTATACAATGAAGATCTCAACTTTGTGACATGGCCTGTAGGGACTGTTCACATAATTGTTTGGCAGGTGCCAGGTTAATCTTTATAATCGATGTAGTACAAGCCTTGTTGCTAGGCAAACCTGGATTTGAACCCTGGTTCTGCCACTGAATACTCTAGGAAGTTGTTTACCTTTGCTCTGCTTTGCATCTCCTGTAAAATGGGCTAAAAGTATTTGTCTCATAAATGAAGTTGTGTGGTTTTCATACATGAGAGGTGAAAAGCCCTGGTCAGTGGTACTTAGTCACTCAACAAATGACAGCCCTGTGGTCCACAGCTGAAATTATGTCATGAACACTCCCGGGGAACAGAAACAGCACACAGCAAACACCGTGGCCTCACCTTACTCCATGCAATTCCCAGCGAACTAGTTCAGAAAGTGGTAGTTGGGCAGTTCTAATTTCCTTGGGTTCTTGCATGGCTGAGAATATCTATTGCCTTTATACATGAAAGACATGTACACATGGAGGACAACTTGGCCTCTTTTGCAGTTCTGTGTTAATGTGCTTTCTCCTTCAGAATGCCGCGGGCATTGCCCTACTGTGTTCTGGCACAAACAGTCAAGGAAAAATCATTGCTAGCCTGGTTCCACCCTCCTCCCTGCCCCCATGAGGTATTCTCTTCCTCTGCCTGGATTCCTTTGAAATGGAGATTCTGTAAATTTACCCAAATGTGACTTGGTGTTGATTCTGTATCACTTTTTCCCAGCACACAGATTTTATTTTCATGGAGAGAGATGGTTAGGAAACACAACATAAAGAGTAAATTACAGGCCAGGTGCGCTGGCTCATGCCTGTAATCCCAGCACTTTGGGAAGCTGAGGCAGGTGGATCACTGGAGGTTAGGAGTTCGAGACCAGCCTGGTCAACATGGTGAAACCCTGTCTCTACTAAAAATACAAAAATTTAGTCTGGCGTGGTAGCATGCGCCTGTAGTCCTAGCTACTCGGGAGGGCAGGGCAGGAGAATCGCTGGAACCTGGGAGGTGGAGGCTGCAGTGAGCTGAGATTGTGCCACTGCACTGCAGGCTGGGCAACAGAGCCAGGCTCTGTCTAAAAAAGAAAAAAAACAGAGTAAATTACATAGTGTTTGGGAAGGGATAGGGACCTGCTGGATAGAGGTGGGATGCAATTTTCAGTAGGGTGGTTTTGGGTAGCTCTCTCTTGGAAGGTGACATTTGAGCCCAAGATGAAGGAGGTGAGGGTCGAAGCCAAGTGCACATCCTGAAGGACAGGAGGTTCATGTAGAGGGAGCCACAGCTGAGGGAAGCAGCGAGAAGCGAACTGCAGAGGAGACGGGAGGGGAGAGCAGGGGGAGGTCAGGGAGTGCAGGGTGCTGGGTCCAGTAGAGCCCTGTGACCATGACGGAGGCTTCAGCTTTCTTTCTGAGTGACCTGGGAGCCACTGCAACGTTTTGAGCAGACAAGAAACCTGATCTGACTTGTGCTGTGAAAGGAACATTCTGACAGCTGTGTTAAGAATAGATTAGGTTGAGGGAAGACTCAGCTTTCCTTCAGAAACACTTTTTCTTTAAAAATCTATTATATTTTTGATTGTTTTGGTTCCATTTTACTCTGGTATTCTCTTTAGAAACAAGAAGGACACATGTCTTGGGTCTCTTGCTCAGTATCTCACCTCTGTGATCTTTACAGACTTTTGCAGACAGCTGCCTTCTCATCATCTTGGGACGAGGTCCCCATACGTGCTCTCTATTTATTCATTCAACAGATAGCGATTGTGTGCATTTTTGTGCATTAATGACTGCTCCACAGCTGAAGGTACAGAGGGAGCAGGAAGGTGAGGGCCCTTGCTTCGAAGATGCTTGCACATCAGTAGCGATGATAGAGTGAGAGCAGATGAACACACACGAGGATCCCATACAGCCATGGGGTTGCAGAGAATAGAAAGTGGGGGTGACGTTCTAGAAAATGATGGAGGGAGGAGCTTGGGATACTTAGGTCAAAGGAGGTCGCTCTGAGGTGATCTTCGAGCTGAGACCAAAGTGACAAGACGACACCAGCCATGCGCCTAATCAGCAAAGATCAATCAAGGCAGCAGGAAACAGGGAGACCCTGAGCACTGGGAATGAGCTTGGTGTGTTTGAGGAATGAAGAGAAGGTGGGCACATAGCAAGCGAGGGAGGCAGTGTCACCGTGAGGTCAGAGACGCAGGCAAGGAAGGAAATTGGATTTTATTTTCAGGCAAAGGTAGTCATTGGAGGATTTTAAGCAGAACACAGATGTTGTCTGATTTACATTGCTGGAAGGTCAGAGTAGGGCAAGATTTCTTAAACAAGACATAGAAAGCAAACTGCAAAGGAGAAGATTCATAAATCATACTTTTTATTGTTAAAATAAAAACTTCTACCAAAAAATAAGATTTAAAAAGGGAAGAGACAAGCAATCATAAAACCAACCAATGGTTAGTATCTAGAATAAATATAAAAATTCCTACAAATCAAGAAGAAGGAAAAAATTCAATAGAAAAGTGGGTTAAATATATCAATAGGAAAATGGAAGTCAATTCACATGAAAAAGATGCTCAAGGGGACCGGTGTTCAGGGACATGCAGATTTTAAAAGCCAAAAGATACTCTTTCATTCCCATCAGATTGGTAAAAGTCAATAGACCTACCGTATAACATGCTGGAAAAGATGTAGAGAAATCGGTACTTACACACTGCTGGTGGGGGTTAGAGTGGTAAACGATATCGTGGAGAGTGGTATAAAATACCAAGAAAAGTTGAAGACGCTTATTCTTTTCAACCCAGAAATCCTACCACTGAATACATATCTTAAATAAAGTACTGTATATGTATGCAAGGAAACACCTCAAATATGTTCATAATAGCATTGTTTGTAATAACAAAAAAGAAAGTATCAATGGGAAAATAAATTATTTTCTATATTTAGGATACTATACAGCAGTGAGAAATTGATGAATAAGAGTCAGAGGTATCAAAGTAGATCAATTTCACAAGCATACTGTGGAATGAAAGAAAGTTGTAGAAAAAACACCTAGTATGATACCCATAAATATAATTTAAAACTCCCAAGCATTGTATGTATTGCTTAGAAATCAAGAACAAGGATAAAAATGTATAAAAATGCATGAAAATGACAAACCAAAATACAGATTAATGCTTACCTTTCATGGGGAAGAAAGGGGACCTAATTAGGGAGACATATTGAGAGCTTTCACCAATGTTTGCAATGTTGTTTTAATTAAGTTGCATATAGTGGGTATATGGGTATAGACTGGGATTTTTTTGGTTGTTATTTTTACATACAACATATTATTATGAAACCTTTAGATACAAAAAACAGATACAAAGAAAAAAGATCCCTTAAGCTACTTGTGGAAAATGGCAAGAGAGAGTGAAAGCAGAGATAGCAAATGGAGGATTGGCAAATACATCAATCCAGGCAAGAAATTGTGGAGATGGGGTAAGTTCAGGGTAGCGCCAACAGGACTTGGTGATAATTGATGCAGAGGGAGCTAAAGAGAGGAATTAGGTATGACTCCTAGAATGTGGACTTGGGAAATTGAATGAATGTAGAGCCACTTATAATGAAGACTGGCACATAAGAATGTTTGGGGATGGGAAGAGATCATGAAGTTCAGTCTGGAACATATTATGTCTGCGATAATTAGTAGACATCCAAGTCCGAATGTCAAGTTGACATTTAGATATGAGCCAAGAGCTCAAGGAAAGGAATCGGTGCTAGAGATTTGAATTTGGGAGTTATTAATATCTAGATGGGATGATAATACCAGGAGAGAGATGCCAGAATGTAAGATGCCCAGGAATAATCACTGGGCATTCATTCTGTTATTGACCTAGAAGGAGGTAACACAGAAACCTGAAAAGGAGCCAGGTGTCTTCAGAAGCCAAGTAAGGGGATAATATCGAGAAGAAAGGAAGGGCTAATCCTGCTGAAGTCAAGTAAAATATGGACAGTGTAGTGTCACTGTGGAAGTTGTTGGTGTCTTGGCAAGATATGCTTTGGTGTTGTGGTTGGGGCAAAATACAGACTGCACTGAGCTCAGAGTGAATGACAGGAAAAATGGAGATGGACTAACCCACCTACAGGTAGCAAACAAAATACAATTGAGGGTCCTTTTTATACCCCCACTCTTCTTTTTTTCCCTCCCATCCAGAGTCAACCACTATTTTGGAGGTGGTGAATATTCTTTCCAACACATTTTAATACTTCTGCTTCACATGCATATTTACAGAAATTAAAATGCTTTGTGTTTGAAAGTTTATACAAATGCTGTCATATTTGACACATCAACATGCAACTTGGCCTTTTCCACCCCATATTAAAATTTTGAGATATTGGCAACTGCAGATTAGTAGATGAGTCATTTGTTTTTAACTGTTTTATAGTATTCACTGTATCAGTGTAGGACAATTTATTTCTTTATTCTCCTATTTATGAATATTTAGGTGAGTTTCAACTTTTGTTGTACATAGCTCCTTAGACTTATGTTCAGAGTTTCTTTTGTTCGAATATCTAAAAGTTGAAGGGTGTTTTTTTTTTTTTTTTGACATGGAGACTCGTTCTGTCTCCAGGCTGGAGTGCAGCGACGCGATCTTGGCTCACCACAACCTCCGACTCCCTGGTTCAAGCGATTCTCCTGCCTCAGCCTCCCAAGTAGCTGAGATGACAGACACGCGCCACCATGCCCAGCTAATTTTTGTATTTTTAGTAGAGAAAGGGTTTCACCATGTTGGCCAGGCTGGTCTTGAACTCCTGACCTTGTGATCCGTCCTCCTCTGCTTCCCAAAGTCTTGGGATTACAGGCGTGAGCCACCGCACCCGGCCAAAGTTGATCTTCCGATATCTTAGATTATAGGTGTCTTAAACCTCTGGAGCTGCCATTTAAAAATACCATAGACAGCTATAATAGCTTAAACAACAGAAATTTATTTTCTCACAATTCTAGAGGCTGGAATTCTGAGGTAAGAGTGTCAGCATGGCTGATGGAGGTCCTACGCCTGGCTTGCAGAATGATGCCTTCTGGCTGCGTCCTGACATAGTAGGGGGAAAGAGGGAAATACAGAGAGAGACAGAGAGAGAGATCTCTTTCCCATTTATTTATTTATTTTGAGATAGGGTCTCACTCTGTCACGCAGGCTGGAGTGTGGTGGTGCGATCATTACTCACTGCAGCCTTCACCTCCTGAGCTCAAGTGACCCTCCCACCTCAGCCTCCTGAGTAGCTAGGACCATAGGCATGCGCCACCACACCCAGCTAATTTTTAAATTTTCTGTAGAGATGGGGTGGAGAGATGTGTTGCCCAGGGTCGTCTGGAACTCCTGGGCTCAAGAAATCCTCCTGCCTTGGCCTCCTAAAGTGCTAGAATCACAGTTGTGAGCCCAGCACTTGGTCTTCTTTTTTTCTTATAAGGTCACAGTCTATCAGATTAGAGTCCCACCCTTATGAGTTCATTTAACCTTAATTACCTCCTAAAGTTCCTATCTCCAAATATAGTCACATAGGGGCTTAGGGCTTCAACATATGACTGTGTGTGTGTGTGTGTGTGTGTGTGTGTGTGTGAGAGAGAGAGAGAGAGAGAGTGTGTGTGTGTGAGAGAGTGTGTGTGTGTGAGAGAGTGTGTGAGAGTGTGTGGCGGGGGCACAATTCAGTCCGTAGCAACATGCTATGGGAATTTTCAGCTTTATTGGATACTGCCAAATTGCTTTCCTGAGAGGTTGTATCAATTTGCACTCTCAAAAACAGAGTAAGAACCACGTGAAGTTGAAAATCAAGCAAAGTAATAAAACGTTTAAGTTTTTCTAACATTTTGGATCACAAATTGATATCTGACATTGAAAACTCATAAGACATGAATGGGAACCAAATTCCAGATTCTAGAAACCATTAAATTACAGACTCTAAGAACCCTCATCTTTGAGAGGCACCTTAAATGCCATTTTGTTTAACCACCAGATAATATCAGAATCAGTCAGGCTGTCCACCCAAACACCAACGATTTGTTAAGCATGTGAGATTTCTCAAACATCTTTCAATCATGGAACTCAATTAATTTAGGATAAATTAATTGATTAATTAATCATTAAACAGTAGCTTCCTAAGATGATATGGGTCATCTTAGGAAGCTACTATTCTTTAGAGTAAAATGTGAGAACGCTAGTTTATAGCACTATAGGAGCAAAACCATGCACAATATTTCAAACATACACTTTCTAAGTTCTTAGGACAAATACTGCCTCATTCTGATAACATAGTGTAAGAAGGCCTTGCCCAAGAACTCATGAGGTTGAGAGTTAACTTAGTTGAGCTGTTGGTCCCTTTTTGACCTGATATCTTGGTTTGTATGCCTGATTTCTTGCTAAGATTCTGAGTAAATGGTCAGAACCCTGTGCCCTTCTTTCCAGTAATTAGTTCTCCTGATTTTATGGTCACTCCAACCCTCTACTTGAGATACTGGGTGCCCTCAGTACTCCAGTCCTACTTTGCCTGACCATCCACCCAGACCTCCTGTCACCTACTCCAGATAGCACTTACCCACCTGCTTGGCTTCCTCTTTTTTTTTTTTTTGAGATGGAGTCTCGCTCTGTTGCCTAGACTGGAGTGCAGTGGCACAATCTCAGCTCACTGCAACTTCCGCCTCCCAGGTTCAAGTGATTCTCCTGCCTCAGCCTCCCGAGTAGCTGGAATTACAGGCGCCCACCACCACACCCGGCTGAGTTTTTGTATTTTTAGTAGAGACAGGGTTTCACCGTGTTAGCCAGGCTGGTGTTGAACTCCTGACTTCAGGTGATCTGCCCACCTCGGCCTCCCAAGGTGCTGGGATAACAGGCATGAGCCATAGCACCTGGCCCCTCCTTTTGCCTTCAGTGTATCCTGGCTGCCCTTTGTCTATCCCATACTGTACCTCCATCTGTTCAACAAATATTTGTTTAATTCCTACTGAAAGTTGTGAAGTCTGAAATGAGCAAGAAATACTCACAGAAGAAATAAATTTTGAGCTGAGCTTGAGGGAGGGAGGAGTGTAGGAGCGATGAGAGGGCATTCCAGGCCAAAGAAATACCATTAGGAACAGGGACTTTCCTCTGGAATGAACAGGGCATGGTAAGTTACTTGTAAAGCCAAATGAGAAGGCCAGGAACAGGTACCATAGGGACAAACCCAGTTCCAGCTGCTACCAAAAAAAGCACTGGTGTAGCAGGCTAGCATGCATCCAAGAAGGAGCTGCACATTCAGTGGCAATCAAAGCACATGGTGTCCAGGTGTGGGCAGTGCGGATTTAGATGATGTAAGTGACCCAGGAAAGGAGTCCCATGAGCCAGGAGAAGAATAGCAGCAGCGTAATACACAGTGAGGAATACTCAAGAAGGCAAAACAGGAAAGCCAGTGGCACTAGGCAGGTCTGTGGTGACGGGGCAGTCCCAGCCACTGAGCTGGGGCTCAGGAAACAGAACCTCAAGCCCTGGAAATAGGGGTAGGAGAGTAAAATGGAGCACCAACTATTAGAACCAGAGCACCGTGGCAGGAGTATTATTAGTGTGCAGCCCCCTAAGATGGACTTACATAGCTTTTTAGATTGGCTGTGGTCCAGGGAAGATGAGGATGGCTTTAGCTGCACGTGGGACACAGCAGGTTGCAGCTGCCGCTGGGATAGGGATATCATGGCTGGAATGAGTCAAGTGCTATATGGAGAACAACTCCGTTCTGAGGTCTCCCAGACCAAATCCAATCCTCAATCCTGCCCGTGAAGGGAGGTCTTTTTTCAAGTTCAGGGAAGCAGTAAAAGGAAATGGATGTGAGTAAGAAGAGCAAATCTGTTGGTAAGTATGATTAAAGGTGACTAAATAGAACATTTTAGAGGCCAAATTATTTTTAAAACAGTGTGCAGTGTTTATATGCACTGCCACAATCTTATGGTTGTTTTTCAATTATTGTTCTTTGTTCAGTGCAGATCTGAGTGTGAACCATATGTTATGCTTGTTAAAATATAAAAGGAGAAACTATGTAAGATTCGTTGACCATTGCACAAATGTACTAGAACCTTGGCAAGTTCTTTGTGGGTGTCAGCCTGCCATGCTGGCTTGCATAGACAGTTGAAGGGTTTTTTGTTTTTGTTTTTGTTTTTTACAGGGTCTCATTCTGTTGTCTAGGCTGGAGTGCAGTGGCATGATCCCAGCTCGACCTCTTGGCTTAAGCAATCCTCCCGCCTACACCTACTGAGTAGCAGGGGCTACAGGCATTCGCCGCCACACCTGGCTAGTTTTAAAATTTTTATTGTATAGACAGCATCTCACCATGTTGCCCAGGCTGGCCTGGAACCCCTGGCCTCAAGCAATCTTCTCACCTCAATCTTCCAAAGTGCTGGAATTACAGGCCTGAGCCACCACATCCTGCCGGTAGTTCAAGATCTTAATTGACCTTAGAGAAAAATAAACTGAGAGCCTACTAAAAAGGGCTTACTAAAGAAATACTGTCTGTGGATTGGACTAACTACAGAAATACTGTCTATAGGTTAGATGAACAGCTTCTTTTACCAGCACTCCTCAAAGGCTGGAAGAGATGCCATACAGAGCAGGGAGGCATTGGCTGGGGACTTTATGGGGACAGGGCTTTGGGCATATATGAGTCCCTTTGCTCCTTTCTATAATCCAGGCACTTCAGTGCCTTTAATAATAACAGTAACACAGTCTATAGTAAACCTGAGGTCAGGAGTTTGAGACCAGCCTGGCCAACATGGTGAAATCCTGTCTCTACTAAAAATACAAAAATTAGCCGAGCGTGGTGGTGGGCGCCTATAATCCCAGCTATTCGGGAGGCTGAGACAGGAGAATCGCTTGAATCTGGGAGGCGGAGGTTGCAGTCAGCTGAGATCGCACCAGTGCACTCCAGCCTGGGAGACAGAGCAGACTGTCTCAAAAACAAAAAAACCAAAAACCAGTAATACAGTCTATAGTAATCGTCTAGAGAGCAGCCTTCCCCTAGATGTGATGATGACTGTGGTCGTCCTTTCTCTCGTGTACTCACATTTCCTCCGGCAATAAGAGGAAACACTGGTGGTGGTTAGGAGTCCCAAGTGTCCTCGGTGAGTGGGGCAGGCGCTGGCAGACAGAGCAGGGGGATGTTTGCTGGGGTGCCTTTGGGGTCCGGATTCTGTGAACTGGTGACACCGGGTGCTGCGGTTAGCCCAGGCACTTCTGTCCATCTACAAAGTTGCTGTATTTTATTAACTCCAAGATGCCACCAATTCTAGAAGGTGCCATTATTGTATGTACTGGTAATTTTAAAAGTTCCTGTCAACTCCAATTGTAAAAAACTGTCAACACTAAGGCATGCTGGTTTCAGAGACACGAGCAAGTGAAAATAGGAAATGAAAATATATTTTGGAATTGATGAAAAATTGTACTATTCTGTGAAACCTCCTGGGAAAAAATGGACTGGAACTTTAGCACAGCACTGAACTTTTAAAGATAAAATAAAAATCGCAGGAAAAGTCACATTTCAGGAAAAGCCACATTTCAGGAAAAGTCATATTTCAGGAAAAGCTCACAGGCGCCCTGGGAAAGAACCCAGAGGGGGATGCAAGAGTCTCAGGACACACCCCAAGAAGGCCGGAGGGTTGGCACAGGGTCTGGGGTACCTGATAAGCGTGTGTGGAAACAAAGGGCTATAACGCCGGGCTGGGGACACATTGGTCTGAAGGAGCGCATGGCAGTGCCATGGGTTTCTCTCCACCATCCTGCGTGAGGGCTGGCAGGGCAGGAGATCGCCACATGCCCAGGCAGGTGGGCATTTTGCAGCTGCTGCTCCCAGCTCTGCTGCTGTCAGTGAGATGGCAAGAGGCGTGTCAGGGTCTCTGGTGTTGGGAGTAGGAAGAGGAGGGGTGGAATCTTCATGTTAAGCTTAGAGCGGTGCCTCCTGGACAGAGGTATGAGGCCGCACCTTTGAGAACCTTGGAAATGTGTAGGTGAAGTGACTCCCTACCCCAGGAGAGACTGGGATCCTTGCTGGAAGGCAGATGCAGACTTTGTAATTTGAGCCTCCATGTACAACCAACCTCACTGATGCCCACGTGACTCACTGATGCCCACGTGACAGGAGGATGACCACAAACTGGCCCCGCTCTGATAAAGGAGGAGCCGTAGAGATGAACTTTCCAGTGTTTGAATAAACCTGAGTGAGTGGATGATGATAGTAACGGAGTCAGGCCAGGAGCACTGGCTTCCCAGGACTCAGCGTTACTGAGGGGGAGTGTCTTAGTTCGTGTTGTGCTGCTCTAACAGAATACCTGAGACTGGGTAATTTATAAAGAACAGAGATTTATTTCTCCCAGTTCTGGAGGGGAGTCCCAAAAGTTCAAGGCCCACATTTGGTGAGACCTGCATCATCTAATGGCAGAAGCGGGAGAGAGAATGGGGATGCAGAGGGAGGAGCAGAGGAGGGAGAAGGAGGGAACATCCAAACTCAACCTTTTGTCAGGAGCCCACTCCCAAAATGGCATTAATCTATTCACGAGGACAGAACCCTCATGACCTAACCACCTCTTAAAGGTCCCAGCTGCCTATGCTGCTGCATTGGGGATTAAGTTTCCAACACATGAGCTTTGAGAGACACATTCAAAGTGTAGCAGGGAGCAGTGGGAAAGACCCCTCAGCTTCTGTCCCCTACCTACAGGCAGAGCGCTACAGGTGAGGGGAAGTCATCTCATATGGCAGCAGTATCACTAACTCAGGGGTGGCCTGTCTTCCCTCAGTGGCTTGCCACGGCATCTAGAATCCTGATGAGCTTCCTTCTGTAAAGTTAAATTCGTTTGCACTCATGCTTGTATGGGGAGAGCAGGAGTCTAAAGACATGGAGAGAAAGCCGTTACCCGGGGAGAGTAATGACTAGTATTTAGCACGTGGGGGCTCTAGGTCCCAGTTAAGAGACACGAGGGGTGAGTACCAAGTCTAACTACTGTCTCAATGGAGTTCCAGAGGCAGATAAGGGAGAAATGGGGGAGAGGCAATACATGAAAAATTAATGACTGAGGCTTTCTCAGGACTGATAAAGCTGAATAGAAATTAGGATGTATAATTACCAAAGTAATAGAGAGACAAAAATAAAATGTGGGGGAGGGAGAATACTCTCAAACAATGCAAAAGGCCAGAAAGAAAAAAAAAGGCATTTTTTTGAATTAGCAATTAGAAAATCGAGACAAACAGAATGCACAAAATAAAATGGTAGCAACGCCTCTAAATATATAGTCATAATCAATGTGAATGTATTCAATTTCCGCTAGACAAAAAGAAGAAAAAAACAAGTTACATGTTGTTTATAAATCCAAATCTAGAAGACAAGGCTTCAGAAAAGGATATGGCCCAGGGTGGTCAAAGGCTGCATTAGGAGTGCTGTTTGTATTGAACAGACCTGGTTATACTGGAATTATGTTTCCCAAAAAGCTCTTTTTTATCCTAGACCATGGCCTTGAATTTCTAGATGCCCTAGTTTTTTTACTGTAGCCCTGCGCTAATTTTAAACATTAACTTAAAACAGTAGCAGAGCAGGATGAGAGCTCAGTTTCCTGATTTCTAGATAGGACTGCGCCTGTCCCGTGATTTCTACCCCCGCTAAGGACTTGTGCAAGCAAGCATCCTGCTGCCAAAGGGAGAAGGAAGGATTTGTCACTCTTTCCAAGGTTGTGAGTGGAGTTACAGGTAAATGGTTAGAACACATGCTTCCTTTGAACTTTCTTCCCAGGAGGGCACCCTCAAGTGCTCCTTCACCCACTCGTATCTTGGTGGTCTTCTCTGCTCAAGTCTGTCTGCCTGCCTGTCTGGTCCCAGATGCTCAGCTCTCGTGGTTCCTCCTGCAGCTGTTGCCCAAGCTTTCATCTGAAACTTACTTACCTGGTCTTCTCTCACTCAAGGGGCGAGGTGGTAACTGCTAAAGGGAATAAACTCCAAACACATTGTAAGTTTCTTAAGGAGACATTTCCCCAAATAGGAAACAACAATTCAATACATTTTGGTTAAGAATCTACTCTGTACAAAATCCCATGTTGGATGCCAATAATTCAGAGTAAATCAGACACTCTAGTCTCTAATGGATGAGGCAAACAAGTAAACACATGATTCCAGGATCATCTGTCTATTTTAACAGTAGAAAGGTCACGGGCATCCCTGACTCCATGGGGGTCAAAGAAGGTTTATGGAAGAAATAACACCTGAGAAGGGCTCTGAAGAGTAAGTAGACCGGTACCAGTCTGGGCCCTGTTAAGAACCAGGCTGCACAGCAGGAGGTGAACAGTGAGCCAATGAGCGTTACCCCCTGGGCTCCACCTCCTGTCAGATCAGCCGTGGCATCAGATTCTCATAGCAGCTTGAACACTATTGTGAACTGCACATGCAAGGGATCTAGGTTGCGTGCTCCTTATGAGAATCTAACTAATGCCTGATGAACAGTATCATCCCCAAAACCATCCCCTCCCACAACCCTCCCCCCATCTGTGGAGAAAATATATTCCACCAAACCAATCCCTGGTCCCAGAAAGGCTGGGATCACTGCTCTAGAGCACTCCATGTGTGTCTGTGGAACTTGGGTGCACAGTTGCTTGGACCAGATTGCAAAGATTTATGCTGAAGTGATAATATTTTAGATAGAGTTAAATAAAAATATGATTAAAATTAATTTCACCTGTTACTTAATGCGCCTATTAGAAAACTGAAAATTATATGGCCGGGCATGTTGGCTCACGCCTGTAATCCCAGCACTTTGGGAGGCTGAGGCGGGCAGATCACGAGGTCAGGAGATCGAGACCAACCTGGCTAACACGGTGAAACCCCGTCTCTACTAAAAATACAAAAAATTAGCCGGGCATGGTGGCAGGCGCCTGCAGTCCCAGCTACTCGGGAGGCTGAGGCAGGAGAATGGTGTGAACCCAGGAGGCAGAGCTTGCAGTGAGCCGAGATCGTGCCATTGCCCTCCAGCCTGGGTGACAGAGCAAGACTCTGTCACAAAAAAAAAAAAAAAGAAAGAAAGAAAACTGAAAATTATATATGTGGCTTACACGGTATTTCTGTTGGACAGCAATGGTTAGGCAGTGCTTGACTCTTAAGCACTCAGGCAATGTTAACTCTGATTATGTTTCAAGAAACTTTATGAGGTCAAGGAATGCATATTGTTTAGTGCTGTCTCCTGAGTAACTAAGAATGTTGGCACATTGCAGGTGGCCAACAAATTGGTTGACTGATGAAGTGCAGGACAGATACATGCACTGCTGGTTTTTGGCCAGTGTTTGTCCTGCACTGTTGCCTGGGGCCTATGTTGGCTCTCAAATACCCACAATGTCACAGTTAGCTGGTTGGGTCCATGGGGTCCAGCTCACATTTTACTTCCTCCAGGAACCTACTATATTTCCAGTTCCTGCTCCCTATTATCTCTCCAATAAGAAATGATCTCTCCCTCTTATAAAGTCATGCAACATTTTGGAAAAATATTTCTTACAGGACTTAGCCCTGCTTCCAGATATAGCTCCTCTGGCACATTAATGTGAGTTCCTCCAGAGCTCACTCACTCTGATGCCCCTGTCTTCTGCTTATTGCTCTGAGCAGAGCAGGTGTTCAGTATGAGTGTGTTGAACTGAATTGATATTTTCTTTGCACCTTTCTTGTATCTTTCTTCACAGAATGTAGCATCTGGCTGGCCACTGAAGTGCCCAGTAAATATTTGATGAATAAATAAATCAATGGGACTGACCTGCAAAGGGAAGGAATGGAAACACCTCTGTTAATGTCATGGGCATTGTAATGGTTGCCTTGGAGACCTTGCTTCTCTATGGTCAGAACCAGTGGTGCTTACAGTCAAGGGCAGGAAGAGTAAAGGGCAGGTTTTGGTAGACTAGTGGAAAAGGTGGGGCTGTTCCCAGGTTCCAGTCCCACCCCCAGAGAATGCCAACCTGAATGACTTTCTCCACAGCCTTTCCAATACAGGGCACCATCTGCTCTCATCAAACACCAAGACCTGGACAAGGTGATGGCTCACTCTTTAGTCAATGCCCGGCGTTGGTCAAAACAAACCAAACCAAACCAAACCAAGATTTCTATGCAGAAAAGACAGTCCAATGCCACTCATAATAATTTAGAACATCTTTTGGAAAAAAAAAAGGCAACCCCCAACCAATAAACTCCCCCAAACCCCCAAAGTAAAATCCCTGGACTCTGTGTCCATGGGTTCCCATTGCATGCTTTCACAAGGGAGAATGGGAAAGGCACCAGAGCCCTTAGGGAGCAAGCATGGGTCACACAGTTCATGACGCTGGGCTTCGGATCTGAACTCTGCTACCTGCTGCCTCAGTAGTTCTTGGCAAGTTACTTAATCTCTCTGAACCTCAGTTTGTTTTTCTGCAGTGGCGACAGGTAACTTATTGTGAGAGCTATGTGCCAGGTCCTATTCTAAATGAGATAGGTCCTATTAAAGCCTAGCATGGATGTATTACTATCATCTTCGTTTTATAGATGGGGAACCGAAGCACAGAGAAGGTAAATTACTTCCCATGTCACATGCCTCAAACCTAGTTGTTCTGCTTCGTGTCTGCGTTTTGGAGGACTGTATTATCCATCACATGAGGGTCTTGTGAAACAAGTAATGAAGTTCCTGGCACCCAGTAGCACCCGGCATATGGTGGCAATGACCCATTACCTAAAGCTGTCTCCTCCTCAACTAGCAGCCATTCCCTTCTTTTGATAGATTATGGTGTTTGATCTGAATCTGTTGGCACCAATAAACAGAAGAGGTTCCTCTTGATTATCTATAATGAATCAAAGATGTCACTGATTTATTGCATGCAATTTAGATTCCATTTAAACTGCTGAAAATCAAGCATTGTGAAGCTGTTCACAATCACATTCTCTCTTGTATGGATAAAAAGTTATTCATTTCCTAATCCTGTCTGATACTTCAAACACTAGATGTAGCTACTTTGCCCGTATAGAAAGCAACTTTGAGAGACAAACATTTCCTTCTTCCAATGTAAGAAGACATTCTATTTTATCTTTTAAAATGATGGTCTTGGTGAGTCACTCTTCAGAGGATATTGTGAAGTGAAGCCAAGTAGCAGCCAGACAGACAGCCCAGGTATCTGTCAAAATACAATCCAAGTATTAGACATACTTGCTTTCCCTCTTTTGTCTTTATACCATTCCAAATTTAGACCGAATCAGGAAACATGAAAAGGAGATGGGGGGATATGAGGAAGTTTGTAAAAGAAATAGTCTATCCTATCTGTTACTGAACATTTTGAAACTCTTTAACCCTTCTTTAAAAATTGTGCATCAGTCACACGTGAGCCCCTGCCTTCCTTCGGCTGCCTTCGGCTTCCTGACGGGGTCTCAGTACTCAGCCAGGCAAAGCTGCCATTCTCCCCAGCGAGTGGTCATTTCCAAGCTCAGCGTGTGAGCCATGGCCCTAACGGGGCACACTGTATATGTCCTGGCCAGAGAGGGACCTCTACTCAAGGGTATTCCCACAGAATGTGAATCACTAATCACTGTGATTCCCCAAGTAGCAATGATGCACTTCACTCAATGCCTAGAGAAAACAAAATTTATGTAGTCACATGTGAAGCATCTGATGAAGTATATCTCATCAATTTTAGTGTATTATTTAAATATTAATGATTTGTTGAATTTGAAAATTTTTAAACAAATCATAAAAAAGAACATCATTATTCAACACATTTCTTATTGGTATAATATATAGAAAAAAGAAAAAATGGAATATGCTATAATAAGATAGGTTATCACAGCCATAGTTTTAGAAAATACGTGGTTTTGGGGTGTTTGAAACAGAGTCTCGTTCTGTCACCCTGGCTGGAGTGCAGTGGTGCAATCGCAGCTCACTGCAGCCTCAACCTCCCAATCCTCCTAAACCAATCCTCCCACCTCAGCCTCCCAAGTCGCTGGGACTGCAGCCTCAACCTCCCAATCCTCCTAAACCAATCCTCCCACCTCAGCCTCCCAAGTAGCTGGTACTACAAGGCATGCGCCATCACAACTGGCTAATGTTTTAAAATTTTTTGCCCAGGCTAGTCTCAAACTCTTGGGGTGAGGGGATCCTCCTGCCTCTGTCTCTCAAAGTGCTGAGATTACAGGTGTGAGCCACCTGACCTGTCCAAAAATAGGTGTTTTGTTTTGTATTCAAGCCCTTTGTTCAAAATGCAACTGCTCTACTTCCTGGATACATGGATACGAATGTCCTCAGCAGAGCACTACTGAGCCCAGAGTCCAAACAAAATATAAAGAAATAAGGATGTCAGATCAAAAAACACCTACAGCCCAGCCTGGTTGGGTGGTAAAGACAAGAATGCCCCCTCCTAAACCTTCAGAAGTTGAAGAGCCCTTCCACGTTTCAAAAGGGGCCTGCAAAAGCCAGGTTTCCAGCCTTTGGTTCCCACTTCCCCAAACAAACGAAAGTTATTCTGCATTGCAAGGCAACAAACAAGTGAGCTCCAGAAAAGCAGGCTTCCTCCTGTAATCCGTTTTTGCCCATTCTTTTTCCCAAACCATAGAATAGGAAACAAAATGTTACAACAAACCCTCAACCCCATGAAGGGCGTTCTACTCCCTTCCTGCCTGAGCACAGGTCCCCGAATATCACTTAGTTTTAGCACAATCTGCTTGGATAATATATGTTCTGTTTCCATGCGCACGCATTTCCATACATGCAGCAGATGAGCCAGAGAGATTTCTCTGAGCATGTAAATTCTTTCAGAGGAAACAGAGAAACAAGCCTTGTACAAATTTGGGAGAACACCCCCTTCTGACCACGTGGGAGATGGATGACCTGTTTACAACTGAAACCCATGCAGAACATTTTTCACTGCAGAACAAGCAGCTGACATGATTGCTGTCGGTGTTCACAGAGCCAAATATGAAGATAATTGTAAAGAAAGAGACGGTCGCATCGGATAGAAGATGTGATCCTGCTCTCACGTTTTTCCTTCTGGCATGACCATACACGTTTTGTAAGTGGGGAGAAATCCTAATAAAAGCCCTATCCGTGCCGTTTTAGAAACTCTGAATAATGGCATGTCTGAGACTTTTTGTAACATTTTCAGTAGTTGAATCCAGTTTGTATTATCTTTCAACCCATTCTAAACACAGGTCAATACTGACTTTGCAAAGATCTAACTTTCACTTCTGCAAAGTGTTCTAAAACTTGTATTTATTTTTCTCCTTTCTGAAACACAGTCTGAATGTCTTTGTAGGAGCTTTAGTATTTTGGGTCTGGGCTGAAGCAAAATGAAACGGCATCATGCTGGCTAGAGTTCAGCATTTAACATTTTAGAAAAGTCTGTAGAGAGAGCTCAGCTGAAATAGACAGGAATCTACATTCATGTGGCCATCAAAGGAACAGAGCAAGCCGGCAGGGGCGGCCCCAGTGTGCGGCGTCGGGCTCAGAAGAAACACCAGCGATCCAGGGAGAATATTGGCAGGGGCAGGGAGAAAGAAAAGCTTTCTTGGGGCTACTGTTCTTAGAATTTTTCACCTGTGTACAAAAGGACAAGAGAAGCTGATCTCTGACGAGGACATTACTACATCAAAACCCAGCTTCCAGAGACTGCTTAAAACGGTCTCTGTTGCTCCTTGGATGCCCTGATTTACATGCAGTGGTGGGAAGGGAGCCACAGAGATGGCTCCAGCCCAGCGCCTGGCCCGCAGGGCTGGAACAGAACAAGCAGATTTCTAGGGCCTTGGAAAGACAAACGGTGCCTATGTGGTATACATCAACGAAACTCCAGGACAGCCTGGCACGCAGTGAGACATCAGTGAACAGTGAGAAGAGCTCTATCAAGGCCCCACGGGCTGCTGGGGCCTGGTCACCTGTTGCCTGTTCACAAAGGGGCAAGTGGTTGAGTTGCCAGCTCCGAGAGGGTTGATGAGCAGCACGCACGCTCCCTGGAGCCATGGTACTGACGTCTCCCCCAGGTCGGGGGCTGCCGTGCTTGGGAAGGGCACGGGGTCACTTGGGAAGGCTGATTACACAGGGAACTTTGAGCTCCAGCACACAGATGGGAGGGGAGTCGGGTGATGCGGGAACAAACACAGCTCACAAACAGAAAGATAAAACGCAGGGGCTGCCCATGAAGGGGAGGGTGCCCCTATCTCCCCAGTGGGGTAATTTCCAACTACAGAGAACAGTTGCTGCCTCAACAATAGAGAAGAACATTTTTACTGATGTGCTCAAGAAAAGATGGGACAATTCTTGGCAAGTAGATAAACATTAAAAAAAAAAAAACAGTGAATTTAAATATCAATGATTTTAAAAGGTAAAATTAGCCGACCTCTCAGAAAAGAATTGAGAGTAGATAGGAAGACGCCTACCTATTGAGAGAATTTGCCGAAGAAGATTTCAAAGGGTTTTTGTTGTGTTTTTGTTTTCCGGTAATAACAGCTCTATCAGCAGCAATGTAAACTATGAATAGAAATAATAATATTTAGTAATCCAATCACAAGAAGAACTGTCGGAAGCTCACAGTTCTGTTTCTTTTTGATCCAATTTTAGATTTTCCCTACAAAAGAGAAAAAACAAGGATTGTGATAAAAACTCATTTTCTTCTCTCGTTTAAAAAACATTCATTCCATAATTAGAAGCAATTTTTGATTCCATACTAATGAAGTTATATGGATGCAGGGGCATTTGAGATCCACAGCTAATTCATAAATAGGATCTTGCCAAGAATTTCAGCCTCTCCCCCAGGTGACCTGTACATAGAGGGTGCTGCAAGTAAGGAAACCTGTTTTGATCTTGGGTGTTTTAGCTTTTTTGTGCCTAGTGTTAGGTGAACCAACACAGAAGCAAATTCAGCAGTCATAGCTATTCTTCTGTAAGCTGTAGGCTGACTCTGATAGGAACTCATTCTGGGTGTCAGGAGGCTTCAGGGGCGAGTTACAGGCAGCTGAGTCTAGTGCCAGCTGCTAGGAGTTCTGGGAGTGAGGAGCTGTAATCAGGCAGGAGAGGCTGGCAAAATTCTAATTCAATTCTAGGGAATACCTATTTCCAAAGGAAGCTGTCATCAAAAGAGGAAATGGTGCAGTGGCCTTGGGAGTTCTGAGCAGAGGCTCAGTGTAGATAGAGGGTTAAACTCTATTTTCTTATTTTCTGTATTCTTGATACTCTGGCATTTGGGGCTTTGATGCTGGAGAGACTGTCCCTTCCAGGGCTACCTAATTCCTAGAAATAGCAAACAATTCCCCTGTGAGCATGCTTTTGATAAACCAACCAGTCTAGAGCTCACACCCTCAACCAACCCTTTCATCAAACTCTCACTCACCAAACCAATACACCCCCTGCCCTATGTCACCCCAGGGCCAGGGACCTGCCAACTAGAGACCACCTTTATAGCACTGGGCCGCTCGAATAATTTAAAGTATCCAATACTAAGTCTACTCAGCTTACTTACCCTGCCTGGCTTATTCCTTCCCTCGTAAATCCCAGTAAAGGTCCCAGCCACACGGTGCCCACATCCTTGTTTCCTGACCATCCCTGGTCTTTCTGGCATGGTGGGGCTTAAAATGCCCCGTGCCTGTGGGGATCTGTGAGTGCAAACTTCCTCACAGCCGTCATTTCTGCGTCTGCCGTCTTACCATACCTGACACTAAAACAAACCCCAGGTACATATTTAACTCAACAGGGTTATGGACCATGAAAGCTTGGGTGGTTCATGAACTTCCCTGCTCCTAAGCATTGCCGTGGAGATCAGCTATGCAGACCTTTTGGCTGCAGCTCCAGAAATGGGGGTGAGCGGCCCAGAACCTGCGTTTCTAAAGGCACCTCCATACAACTCTGCTCAACGTGGTGTGAGTAGCAGAAAATAGCACTAGGAGAACCTAGCCACCAGGAGCAGAACTGGTAGAACCAGGTCAAGAAGAGAGCCCTCACTTTAAAACTTACTTTCTGATGCAGCAATTCCAATTCTAGAAAATTATCGTATAAATATGATCTATAAAATATTTATATGATAAATAAGGAAATAACTAAATATGCACAAGTATCCTTGGAAACCTTTTTATATTACACATAATTTGCAGTAAAAAAAAATCATACTAAAGAGGCCACGTTAGATTGGTTAAGTATTACATATAATGATATATAGTTATACAGTGTACTATTTAGCAGTCATCTGGCATAATGTTCCATGGCATATGAAAATATTAATAATATGTTGTTAACTTTAAAAATCAGCCAACAAAACAGTATAATGATATAATCCTTTTTCATTAAATATACATAGACATATATACAGAGGTTAAAGCCTGGGGTTATCTCTGGTTCATGTCGTTACAAATATTTTGTGTATGTGTTTATTTTTCTGCATTTTCCAAATTCTGTACAGTGCACATGAATAATAAATTAATTTCATTGTTTTCTAGCGTGCAGGCTGTGTTCTCCCTAGGGCAGGACAAAGAAGGAATTTGGAAAATCACATACCTCTCCCCCAAAGACCGAGAAGCTCTCTAAATAATGAGCATTCGCTAACCCCCGGGCCATTTGGCCTTTGGACACAGCATGATAGAAGTTGCTTTCTGGGCCTCACTTGCTACGGGTGAGAGTTCCTGACACCTGGAGAGGCTGAGCCCAGGCTCTAAATGAGACCTGGTGGCTCCAGGTGACTGGAGGCCCACTCGGCAAGAGGGGTGTTATTAGGCCTAAGTGGGGACTGCAGGGGCTGTGGTTATGCTCCAGTTGGTGTAGAGAATTCATAATTAGCAACAGCAGGATTATAAAGCAAGGAGCCAGAAAGAGAAATAAGGGAGGGGAAATAACCTACCAGGAAAGGGCAAGAATAATCCACTCATGACATTATCAATCCCATAATAACCAAGTGATGATAGTGCCTACATTAAATACACTTCAAAAATAATCAATGCAAAGAGTAGGATAAAAACAATTTGTGAGAAGGGTAAGCATTAGAGTATAGAGCAGTTAATACAGCTACAAGGAAAAGAAATCAATATAGATTAATTCATTTCAAGGTCTCTCGTTTATTAGGAAACCGTTATTTCTTTTTGTCACTTTTCAATCCCTCAAGGATGCTCAGAGGAACAACAAATGCTCGGATTTCCACAAAAAATCTGAAAACTCAGGTGTGTTTGAAATGAATGCTCTGAAAATACTTGTTGCATGTAATTGGAATTATGTAGTATTTTTGTAATTAACAAAGAATTGTTATGAAAATGTGGGGGACCCCAAATTTTAAGTCTGCTATATTCCAAGGCAGCTGCCTTCTGACAAATAACCTGTGACAATTTCATAATATAGGGTTCCGAAACCTCATTAAGCCACACGCGTGGTGCAGCTGAAGCACTCATTGCTTTCCAAGGGTTTGTGAAAATGTAATTAGGCAAACCACAGGCATCTGCAAATGTGGTGCTTTTGCTCCAGATGGATGGAATCTCAGGGCGCCCCAGAGCTTTCACAGGGACGATTTTTCTCAGTGTCAGTGACTTGAACACACACCTAAGATGGTCTTTTTGCTCTTGCAGGAGAAAATGTTGCCAAATGGGTAGACTAAACAATGAATGGCTGCCGGGTTTAGTCATACCTCTCTGTGTGAGCCGTCAATTGCTGACGGGAGCTAGGACATTATTCCAGCTACAAAATGGGCGCGTGATCCTGGAAACTGATGCATGGGCCTTGCAAGCTACGTCTATAGAATTGGCTGTAGGTACTAAGCACAGAAGACCATCGGATCCCTGTGGAGCCCGACCCCACTGCTTCACCCGTGTGGTCCAAGCTGCTCCCTGGATGTCAAGGATTGGCCATTCCTGTGGTGTCAGTAGTGAGTGCTTGGATGAATGTGAGATCTATAGGCTGGTGATGCAGATGGTGACGGGAAGAGACAGTAGAGATGCCAACACACTCCCTGGACGGTGTTTCTGGAGGGAAAAGGTCCGCGTCTGGCGAGCCAGTGGAATGTGCTGTGGCAGAAAATCCACAGGCTCTGGAATCTGACTGTCAGAGCCTGGGCCCTGGATACAGTGTCTACCACCTTTGTGATCTGTGGCATGTTATTTAGTATCTTGGAGCCTCAGTTTACCTTCTGTATTATTAGGGTAATAATGTTTTCTTTTGGGGCTTTTGGTGAGGATTAAATGATATATGGAAAGCTTATTTTGAAAAGTATTAATTGATGTACTCCTAAATTCACACACACACTCACGCACACACTTGCACACCCCCATACACACACCCACACCCTGTTATCTCATCCATGCTTTATATGATTTACTAATATTTAGGTCTTTTAGCAGGTCCATCTTAGTAAATGAAAGTTGAATCAGACAAAAAGAAATACATAAAATTCTCGGCTTTAAATGAAAAGCAAAACAAATAACCCTCACGGAGGGGTAAGACGGGAACACTTGGGAAGCACATCTGTTTTGTCAGAGCTGCGTGGCTCTCCCACAGCCCCTCCCAGATGGCTGCAGAGACCCCCCGGCACGAGTTGCTGAAGAGCCCCCCGCCTGAGAGGAAGGGAGAAGGTGGGACACAGGGGCTTGCCATGATCAGGGCCCGACCACAAATAACAAACACGAAGTCTGGCTAACCTAAAGAGAAAATGCATGTATTAGAGGGATATTAGGAAGGCTGGAAACACAGATTTGGAAGATGGAGAGCAGTCAAGAGACTCTGGTAGTGAGAGCCCCGCCAAGGTCCCCTCCCAGAGTCACCTGGTTAGAACGAGGCCGCCAAGGCTGCAGGAACTTGCCCCTGGTATCCCCGCTACCGGAGGCGGACGGGGGATGTCACTGAAAGGTGCTGCAGGAGGAACTGACATTTTGTGACTCTGGCTGCAGATGGAAGGTCCTGAGGGTCATGGCCCACCAGCTGGCGACTCCCAGGCGTCTAATCTCTCAGGATTCCAAGGTAGGTGGGGGGCCTGCTTTCCACCAGCTCCCCAAATGGCCAGCGTTGTCACATAGGAAGGAGGCTTGGACTCTGGGTGACACACAAAAGCAAAAAGCCCCCTGACGCGTCCACTGCAGCCCCATGGTGTCTTGCCCTCCCTCCTGAGATTAGCCCGTGGGGTGTCTTGAAGGGAGAGCCCTGAAAGAATAGCCAGAGAGGCCCCATGATTTCAGGACAGAGGGGCTCTGTGTTTGCTTCTGGGAAGGCAACCAGGGTCCCAGACATCTTTACCTGCACCAGCCGAGGTGGAGGTAGCAGTGAGCAGATGGCGTCAGGGAGAATCCAGGTTGGAAAGGCCAGTTACAGTCAGCTGAGTGTCTGTGGCCTTGGGCAGCAAGGACAGCCCAAAGTTCCCAGGCTCTGCTGGGAAACTTTCGGAGGAGGACCAACAGAGAGCTTGGGGACGGGATGGGGACATGCTGTGGCCACATTGAGGAGGTGCTGCAGAGCCCATGGGCCCTGTGATGAGGTGTGAACAGGAGAGATGCGGCCCAGGGTTTGCCATCACAGAGGGAAGGCTGCCCCTCAGCCTCGCCCCTCCCTCCAGACCCCAGGCCCTAGAAGAAACTATTAAGATGTGAACTGGGAAGGGGGAAGCACTGAATTTCCTGACTTTACCTGACATAACTGAAAAGGCCTAAAAATGACTGTTTTCAGCTATCACATAGAATGGTGGCTTCAAAGGAAGCTTAGGTTGAAATATAGAGAAGGAAAAATGACATTTTTCTGAATACCTGAGCCTATGCCTTGAACACGTGTATACACTACATCAGTTGTCCTCTGTCAGGAGGGACTTTTGCCCTCCAAGGGACATTTGGCAATGTCCGGAGATAGTTTTGGTTTTCACGACCTGTAGGGAGAAGAGTATGAATTGCTCCTGGCTTCTTGTGGATAGAGGCCAGGGAAACTGCTAAACAGCCCACAACTCTTTATGCAAACTGCACATGAAGGAATTATCTGGTCCAAAACATCAATAGTGCCGAGGTTGAGAACATGCGGGAGCTCTATTGGGGTTTTAAAGAATCATTCTGCAGTGCATGTCTGCCCTGTAGACCAGTTCAAAGTCCTAGAATTGGAATTAGAGTCTGGTGATCGAGGGGTAAGGTCTAGACCCTCTGAGAGAAACTGTGTGTGCAAAGAGAAAGTGGATTTGGCCAGAAGTCAGGGTGGATTTCAGAACTATCAAGGATTTGTAAAAAGACTGCTTTGAATGGAGAGATCAGAGCTAGAATATGGTATACCTCCCAGCTCTGGCCTGAACCTGCCCTGTACACTGCACTACAGAAGTAGGGCAGGCTTAGGGGCACATAGGAACCAAGAGGGTGCATTTGTCCAGTAGGAACTTAGGCTCAGGGAACAAATATCTCTCCTCTTGAAGCCCACAGGCCAAATGACTACTGAGAGAGTATCATTTACTTCTTTAGCCAATGCCAGCTTTTCGCTTTCTCAACTAGGGCTTCCTGCCTAGTTGGAGGGCAGGAAACGCTCAAGGGAGCATTTGGCAATATCGGGAGACATTTTTGATTGTCATGACTAGGGGGCTGTTATGGCATCAGCTGGGTAGAGGCCAGGGACTCTGCCCAAGATCCTGCCATGCACAGGACAGGCCCCTCCCCTCCAACAAGGAATCACCAGATTCAAAATTGTAATAGTGCCAACATAAAGAACCCTGCTCCTGGTCAGTGATTCTCAACCTTAGTTGCATGTCAGAATCATGTATGTGGAGGAGCTTTACTAAAATGTACGGGCTCTGTCCTCTGCAATTCTGATGAATTCTTCTAAGGTGGGACGCATACGTTTTTAAAGCTCTCTGGTTGATCCTGCTGTGCAGTCAGGGTTGAGAGCCTCTGATGGAGACTTTGCCAGGCCTATTAGAGTTCGCTGGTGGAGACTGCCTGCCCCTGTGCCGTTTAACCACCTGGGGTGGGGAAAGGAGACGAGAGCCAGCATGGTATCCACTCCCAGTGCAGGGAAGAGAAGCATCACCCAGTATCCAGATCTCCTGCAGGGCTGGGGGAGTGAAAGAGAGAAACGCGATCCTTTTTTCCTCTTTAGGGTGAGGAATATTCACTAGGAAGAACATTTGTGATGGTTTGAAGTATTCATTGATGTTTTGCCCAAAACATATAGTCCCTATTAAACAATAACCCTCACCCATTTCATTCATTCGGGCTCCTGATATAAAGCCTCTAGTGCCATTTGCTGGAAGGAGTGGAACTAGAGAACAACAACATCCAATTCTTGGCCTTTAAGTTAAAAACAAGTATTGTGGGATGAAGACAGAAAGTTTCTAGAAGAACATTACTGTGCATCCTCTCACCACCAAATAAAACTCCTCTGAAGCGGTGGGGGAAGCATCGGGAAAGAAACAAGGGACTTGGTGATGTGCTGGTGGCCCACTGAGCCAACGCGGATGGGGGTGGCAATAATAGAATGTACTATTTGGGAATCCTTGGGCACCCTGTGTGGAGGAGGCTGGAGGAAGTGGTCCCGGCTCTAGCTCTCTCTGCACTTCTGCATGGGGGCCACCGGGGGAGCTGTAGAGTTCAGATTGTGGCAGGGCAGCTCTGGTTGCAGGGAACAGGGACAGCCCTGAGTCTTCTGTGCCTTAAGAAAGGTAGATCACTGGAACACTTCTCCTGCCCCAGAGAGGGATAGGCCAAGAGAGGGCATTGGGCTTGCTGAAATCCTGTGGTGGAGGGCCTGGTGGGATTATCAGAGAGGGTTCAACCTGGAGGGATGTCTGTGGCCATGTGACAGCCCAAAGGGAAAGTGGGCCCAGAGGAAATGTTATTTCAGGCCTGAAATGATGGAGAAAACCATAATTGCCTAAGACTACATTTTCTGCCATCAAGTAGTATGGGGCTTGAAATGCACGTTGAGTTCTAGAAAAATAAAATGTGCTATAATGTCTTAAAAGACTCGAGTAAATGGCAAGAAAAGTCAAACCTTCTACATATTCAAAGTGCGCAGTACTTCCTAGACCCTGGATGAATTACTGCGAGCATTACCATGTAAACCGAATGACTGTGGCCCCAGCTCTATCAGCTTGATTGCTAGGAATTGGTCTCTCAAAGTGTTCTGCAGGGATGAGGGATCCCTGGGGACTTGCCGTAGGCTCCACCTGGTGCTGTTGCTTCCGCAACTCGTGGTCCCCATGTTGCGGTGAGCCGAGCATCCCTTCTCCCACAGAATCCCTGCTTCAACCCCTGGCTGGCCTAAGGGGAGGGGGGAAGGAGGGAGGGAGGCCCCCTCCTCTCAGTTTCTATCTGTTAGCCATGGGCAGGCCCCGCCTTTTCATCCCCCACAGCACAGCACCTGCCAGAGGATGTGAATTTTATAGTCACAAAATCAAGTGTGTAAAAATGAAACTTTATAACTGCACTTAGTTCTTGAGCCCCCATTTCTGCTGATGGCAGAAAACTTGTTACTGCCAATTGAGTATAAACGATGTTACTAAGTATTTCTCACTCTACTCTGGGTAAAAAGTTCAGGATGTTTTCCTTTCCCTGCTCATGACCTCTCCCCATGGGTAATCTAAGAATCAACTAGGCATTCGGCGGAAGGAGCATCTATTTATCCATTATGTAGCTCAGTTAGGAATTGCAGCCTTTGCTGACGTAACATCCACTTGTGAGTTTTTTTCACTGAATGCCACGGTGCTTCACCTAGTGAAAGTTCTGTGTTCCTGCTGCATTTTGGTTTTCAGGTCTACCCAGGTCACTCTGTTTCCACTTAGCCCTCTCTGTCGATAACCAGAATGTGTCCTCAAGCCCTCCGTCCCTTGCTGTCCTTCATGGGGGCTTGGCAAGCTTTTGGAGGGCTTAGCATATTACCTTTTTTTTTCTAGGTTATTTTAAGGCAACGTAAACCTCCCTGCTAAAACCTCAATGGCTTACAATAATAAAGGTTTATCCTTCAGCCGCACATCAGCTGTGGGTGTGCTCGAAGCTCTTATCACTGGGATCTAGGGAAAAGGAACAGCTTCCATAGGAAGGAAACATTTTGAGCAAATAATACACTTGGCCATACTCTTACCATTCAGGAGTTGGGAGCGACTCAGAGCACAGAGGAGGTAGACGTTCAGTTCCTTTCTTCTAAAAACACCATGCTGTTGTTTCTACAGGCCACACTTGGTTAGCAGGTTGGCTGGGGGATGCCCTTTATTTCAAGATGAGCTGCCTTCTCAGGTTTTACCTCCGTGATCCCCCCCAGTTCTGGGCGTTAGCTATTCTCTCTTCCCTGGCCCATCATCCAGGGGTGTCAGAAGGCAGGGTCCTTTCTTAGACACTCACTAGTGCATGTGCCCTGCTCATGTTCCCCCTAGAATTTTTCTTTTCTTTTCTTTTCTTTTTTTTTTTGTTTTGAGATGGAGTCTTGCTCTGTCTGGAATGCAGTGGCATATCTCGGCTTACTGCAACCTCCGCCTCCTGGGTTCAAGTGATTCTCCTGCCTCAGCCTCCTGAGCAGCTGGGATTACGGGCGCCCGCCACCACACCCAGCTACTTTTTGTATTTTAGTAGAGATGGGTTTTCACCATGTTGGCCAGACTGATCTCGAACTCCTGACCTCAGGTGATCTGCCCTCCTCGGCCTCCCAAAGTGCTAGGATTAGAAGCGTGAGCCACCGCGCCTGCCCCCTAGAATTTTTCTTTGCATCGGCTGCTTGAACTTTTTCTTCTTCTGGGCAGGAACATAGCTGAGATGTCATCCTGCATTCCTCACACCTAATGGTCTACCTAGGCCATGAGTTGTCCCAGTCTTTGGTGCTCACAAACCATCCTATGCCTCAAAAAACCTCTGTCTCAGAAGACACATCTTCAGCTTTCGGCATCTCAGTTATCAGTTTAAAAAATGACACTCACACATTCAATTGACATCTTTATTCTTGGCGTGTCTGCCCTTCCCTGAAGCAGTGGGGATCATTGCTTTAATGGGTAGAGGGTAAATACAACAAAAGATAATGTGGCGGGGGGAAAGTTCTTATTTTCTCAGAATTTTAACTTGCCACATATTTGATCAGATTTTACTGAAGCTTCAAAAATAGCAGTGAAGAATAACAATGGAGAGAATAACTTCCATCCAACCCCAAGTTATCCTGAGCCATTGACTCTAGTACCGTACCACCACCCCAGCATCCTCATGCCTCACCAGAAAATCAAACTAACTCCAGGCTCCATTTCCCCTCCTAATGTGTCCTTTCCCAATCCTCATTTTCTGCCCCAGTACAGAGCCCTTTTTCAGGACGAATGATGGTGAGACCATCGGTTCCTTTCAGTGGAAACTCTACACCCTCCTGTGCTACCTCACTCCCCCAGCCTTTGTTCTGACTCCATGGCTCTGACAATACATTCAAACTACTCTGATAGAAGGACAGGCGTCAAAGTCGGGGTCATTAAGTCTTAAGTAACAGCCCAGCCAACCTTGGCTGTACAATGCTCAGACTGGTTCCTTTTTAGTCTCTATCCAGTGGCATTTCAATAAGCCTCATAATCTTGTCTCACCCAGGGTTGTTTTGTTATTATTTCTGTAACTTTTGTAGCCATCTGTGGGTCAAGTCCACCTGTTACTGTAGAACCAGTTCAATCTGGTTCGACTTTGTCAGTAACAAAATGTAATAAAATAATGAGTTGTTTTTCTGTGTAAGGGATCCCAGGTTGCAAGTCAGATAACCTGCGCCTGCCCAGATGAACCAAGTATGCCCAATTTGTGACCTCAGTGCTGGCTGGAAACAAAAGGTCAACCACATTTGAAGCCTAAGAACTTGGATCAAGGAGCAGGGACGGAATTACGAAGCAGAGAAGCCCTGTTTCTGTTGCAGTGCGGACTTAGCCAAGCACCCGTCACCGCCTCTTTGCATGATCTCATCAAATCATGCCTCCTTGCATCTTCCTGTCTCCCTCACAGTTACACTTTTGCATGCTTGCCAGTTGACTTGCAATAAAGCTTTTTCTTTTCCCCAAAGCTGGTGCCATAGTACTGTCTTCTATACATGTCAGAAAACGTGATGCACGTCCATCACGCTGTGACACACCTATTCTCATTCATTTAGCATCTCCTTATCTGCTGTTCTTCCTCCTCACTAAAAGGTTTCATCTTTTGCAAAATTAGATTTGAGTTGTGCTGCTACTTGACTGATTCCAGTAGGACGCACCCATGCTGACCACTGTCAAGAGCCTCAGTCCTGGCAACCCTGCACTTTTGTCAAGTCCCATGACCTTCTTCATAAAACTCTGGAAGAGAATGTTTTTTTCCTCTATCCTACCACAATACAATTAAGACATAATTAGCGAAAAATTAGCCAAGCAAGTGACCTCTGGGGCACAGCATAATTTTCCTGTCCTCGTGGGCTCCAAATAGCAATTGAAGAAGAATGATACCAATTATCGTTCTGGAGAGACCACAGCCTTAGGAAGAGGGAGCAGAAGATGACATCTGATGCCTGGATGGCTGATGATGGCCTTCATGCCACTTCACCCCTGGAAGCTCACAATAGATGTGATAGCATCTGACTCCCACCCAAAGGTTTTGTAGAAATAACCAATTACCTTTACAGTGATGTGACTGTCATTGGCATGCTCAGTAACCAGCCATCTTAGGAGGCAAAACTCACTACTACTACTGGTTCACCTGGGTGTAAACCCATTTGACACAGTCATGTGGGCTTTTCGTTTTTAAGCACAAGCAAGATGTAACTCATCCATATTTCTTTACAGATCCATGTCAGGGTATTTTTATTCTATTTGAACAGCATGATTGTTGTACTCAAAATCCAACGAAGGGCTTGGGGCTTACTAAAAAGGAAGAGTCAGCTATTGTTAACTTACTTTATTTCTTCTTAGAGCGACTTCTTTTTGGAACACTTATCACTGATCTTGGATAGGCTTGCTCTACCGGACTATTCAGAGGAAATTAATGTTAAGTGTGACAGCTAATCCCTGAGCCATTTCAGTTTTTAATATTCCACAAGTGTCATACTTTCTCAAGATTCTATTCATAAAGACAATTTTAGAGTGCTGATGTCCATGTAATTTTTATAGGCTAATGGATACTTTTCAATGTAGTAACACCTTACATTTGAAATGGCTTTGGTAGTCTTTAAAGTGCTGTCACTCATCAGTCTCTCATCTGTTCCTGTAAGGTTCCTGTGAAACGGGCAGAGGCATTTTTCCTGCCATACAGAGACATTGCTCCTGCTGAGCAACACAGAGCTGAGTCACAGACAGTTTAAGTGCTTATGTGACTGCTTAAGGGCCAGAACCCTAACTAAAACTTCAGCTCTTCCAGTTATAGTCCAATCACCTTATCATACTTCCTAGAAAGCACATTGGATTTGGAATCATATTTGCCTGTAAACCTGGATTTGCTACTTGTTATGTCTTGAATGTGTGTCCCCTCCAAAATTCATGTTGAAACTTAAACCCCATTGCAGTGGTATTAAGAGGTGGGGCCCTTTTGGGAGAAGAGATTAAGTCATGAAGGCTCTGCCTTCATGAATGGATTAGTGCCTGTTAAAAGGGCTGGAGGGAGCTAGCTTAAGCCCTTTCTGCCCTTCTGCCTTCTACCATGTGAGGGCACAGCATTCGTCCCTCTAATGTGTGAGAATGTAGCAAGAAGGACCTCAGCCAGATACAGAGCCTGCTGGCCCCTTGATCTTGGACTTCCCAGACTCCAGAACTGTGAGCAATAAGTTTCTGATCTTTGTAAGCCACCTAGTCTCAGGTATTTTATTATAGCAGCACAAACAGACTAAGACACTACTCACTGCATTTGTGGTCACTTATTTTACTGGGTTGTTGTGAAGCTACAGTGAGGACATGAATATGAAAATGTCACCCAAATATGGACTTCTGTCCTGCTTTCCAATCTAGACAGCCTGGTCACATTGGGGGCATATGAGAACCTCCTTCTACTTCGGAAGTGATTTCATAAAGTTCCACTGTGGTGTCTGAAGCTCAATGGTTCTCAACTGGGGAAAGGAAATGTCTCAATGTCTGAGGAGGCTTTGGGTTATCACAAATGAGGTAGGAGGTTGCAACAGGCATCTGCTAGGTAGAGGCCAGGGATGCAGCTCAATGTACTAGAATGGATAGGATAGCCCCATAACAAAGTTTTCCAACCCCAAATGCCCATAGTACCAAGGTTGAGAATCTCTCGTCTAGAGCAGGGATTCTGAACATGAGGTCAATGAACACATCGATGGGCCATGAAAATCTAGAAACCCACCTTCAGTAATTACACAGTCTACTTGAGGCAAGTGTGCATTGTTCTGCAGCAAGGGTTCATGACCATCAATTGATTCTCATAGATATTTGTAGTTTCAAAATAGCTATGATCCTTGCTCTAGCTCTGTCTTTAAGCCCAGTGAAACCACTGCTTACACAAAGGTTTGCATCTTCAAATCCTTTGGAGGAGGAGGAATGACATATCATATAAATAAAATATGATGTATTGCCCTTCACTAAGTAATGAGCATAATAAAGGAAGATGCACTGGAAGAATCTAGCAGATGATGGGTCACCAGGCAGAGCCAAGGTAGCACTGGGACAGAAAAATGATTTCCACTCCCAATTCTGGTGTACCTTGTCCAGAGAGAGTCAGAATAATTCAGAATTGGCCAGGTGTGGTGGCTCACACCTGTAATCCCCGCACTTTGGGAGGCCGAGGCGGGTGGATCACAAGGTCAGAAGTTCAAGACAAGCCTGGTCAAGATGGTGAAACCCCATCTCTACTAAAAATACAAAAAATTAGCTGGGCGTGGTGGTGGGCAACTGTAATCCCAGCTACTCGGGAGGCTGAGGCAGAGAATTGCTTGAACCTGGGAGGCAGAGGTTGCAGTGAGCCGAGATCACGCCACTGCACTCCAGCCTGGGCAACAGAGCAAAACTCTGTCTCAAAAAAAAAAAAAAAAAAAAAAATTAGCCGGGCATAGTGGTGTGCGCCTGTAGTACCAGCTACTCGGGAGGCTGAGGCAGGAGAATCACTTGAACCTGGAAGGCGGAGGTTGCAGTGAGCTGAGATCGTGCCACTGCACTCCAGCCCGGGTGACAGAGCGAGACTCCATCTCAAAAAAAAAAAAAAAAAATTATAATTCAGAATGAGGCTTGGGAGTATCGCTGACAGTGACCTACTTGCCAGGTGAGGGAAATAAATTTTTTAGGGCAACAGTAGGCTACGATTAAATATATTTCTTCTGTGTACTTGACAATACCCTGAGAAGTTTATTTATGTTGTCTCATTTGAGGTTATGTTTCTCCTACAGGGTATGTAGCTTATTCACCTCAGATCCAGGTCTTCCTGGTTCACCAGAAGTCAGAAGCCCTGCTGGAATCTAAACATTCCATTCAGGCATCCTGGCTAAAGGAATAGCAGGCAGATGTCAATGTGCGAAAGATTCAATCCTCTGCTACAGCAATTATTTATACATAAACTCTTCACATTATAACCATCTACGTAAATCTGATGAAGTTATAAACCCCTCCTCAGAGAACTGTTCCTGTGCCCCAAACACACCTAATATTTTTCTTTCTTTTTTTTTTTTTATTATACTTTAAGTTTTAGGGTACATGTGCACATTGTGCTGGTTAGTTACATATGTATACATGTGCCATGCTGGTGCACTGCACCCACTAACTCGTCATCTAGCATTAGGTATATCTCCCAGTGCTATCCCTCCCCGCTCCCCCAACCCCACAACAGTCCCCAGAGTGTGATATTCCCCTTCCTGTGTCCATGTGATCTCATTGTTCAATTCCCACCTATGAGTGAGAATATGCGGTGTTTGGTTTTTTGTTCTTGCGATAGTTTACTGAGAATGATGTTTTCCAATTTCATCCATGTCCCTACAAAGGACATGAACTCATCATTTTTTATGGTTGCATAGTATTCCATGGTGTATATGTGCCACATTTTCTTAATCCAGTCTATCATATATTTTTCTTTTTAAGATGGCGAGAGTTCACATTCTCTGTAATATACAAATAACTACAACTTGATTAGAGCGTGCAAGTGTTTCTTTCTCTCTATTCTGTGAAGTTTATTTCATAAGGTCTTGAATCAACTCTAGCCCATCTCTGGCTTCACTTTCTAAATTATCCTCCTAGATGTTTTGGCAGTTGCTGCAAAAAGGCTAGAGGAGAATAGTTCGGGCCAACTTTTAGACAGAATGCTTTATTTTAATGGCTATAGACTGTTTCATTGTAATACGTTTCTCTTCTCTAATTTCTATGCATTGAACATGTCCAAAATACAAATAGTTATTGCTGGTGTTAATACTCAGTTCATATTGTTTTCAGAGGTGCATGAATTCTGTGGGTGAAAATAACCTGTTCCTCTTTGTCTGTATCTGACAATTACTCAAGAAAGACCTGGAGGTAGATTATAATCCTTATTTTTAATATTATTCTGGATTATTTTGCTCGAAGTCCAAGCCTCCTTCCTGGAACATAAATGAAGTTTACTGCAAATGAGATAGTTATAAAACCTTAAAACAGACAACCTTAAGGTGAAGGTAATCCGTTAGGAAAAAAATGAACAAGCTAACTCAACCCTCATAAGCAAAATGGATAAAGCCGAGAAGCACTAATGGGTTACAGAGTTTATAACCTACAGCTCATGTGGTCCAATTCTATCATCACCGAAAGTAATCACATTGTTTTACAGCCACTCCGCTGCGTGTACCGTCTCAGTCCAGCCCCTAATTCAAGTGCCTGTGTTACAAGAGCTATTGTCAGCCATCATCGGCTCAGGAGGGAGCACTCACAGCAGCCGGCCTATTCTCCCTTTCTTTGAGTGAGTACTTCAGGATCAGGTTTTGGCTTATTAGCTGTAACATAGTGTAGAAGGTAAGCCATGAGGCCCTAGCTACACGGCCCACTTGTAAGCACAAACAGAAGAGACTTATTTCTCTGGAGGTAGTGATAGAACATCTGTCTTCAGAGCCAAACTCATTCAAAGACACTGAAAGAGAAACAACACATCCTCTCTGAGTGCAAGCTGGTCATCCAGATGAAACTAAGGACTCCCCACAGCACGGAAAACATAGCCATATCCTGAGATGTGTCACTAGCTGCATTTTGCTGGCTAACTTTTTCAGATGGGTCAACTCAAACTTTGCTGGTGGACTTAGACACAGACGGCTGAAAGGGTGGCCAGAGAACTGCAAATCTTAAAGGTAATCTCTTCAATGTTTCAGGACATTTACAGTGAACAGTCTAGAAGCAGGGAAATCAGTCTGGTCACAAAATATTTGGAACAAAATAAGGTTGGTTATGTTTTGGTGTACGGTAAATGTAAACTATTGACTCTCTAAGATAATGAGAGTCAATGTACAATTGATCAAGAATCCATACGGTGTAAACAGATGACTCAGGTTGGAATTCTGAGTCTTCCATCTCTGGATGTGTGATCCAGGGCGTATTATTTAACTTCTCTCTGGTTAGTTTTCTCATCTGTAAACTAGGGTGTGCACAGTATTTGTGTTATTCGAGTTGTTGAGATTTGAGTGAAGTAACATCTGTAAAGTATTAGAGCCTATGGCAACGCTTGAAACAATCATTCACCAACAAGTATTGATTGAGTGCAAACTATGGGCCAGGTGCTGCTTGTGGTATTTAGGGTACAGTGATGGACCCTTAAAGAGTCAAAAGTCATATACAAAAAAGTCACAAACACTAATGGAGAAATGTGAGCGATTATTAGTGCTGAGAAAAATCTGATGGATTTTTTCATCATGAAGGGAGCATGCATTTCAGGAAGACTAGATCCTGTCTACCCCGGCACGTTGCTCAGAGAATGTGACCACCTCAGGACAACTTCCCTGACTTTCTAATGAGCCTCTTTTCTTCCTCCTTGACATTTAAAATATTTCTTAAAATATGGCATCACCAGTGGCCAAGGAACTGGAGACCCGAATTGACCAGCCATAGTAAGTAGAGATCATGCATGGAACCTAATAGCCCCAAGGCTCTTCAGGGGTGCCTCTCAGCACAGTGGCCTCTCTGTGGGGGACAGATGCCCAGCCAGCATCTGCCCAGTGGGTAATCCTCCCTGGTCCTTACAGTTGTGCCAGGTACAAGTTTTTTGGCTTCAGTGTGACACTGGAGCCCGGCTGTCTTGATAGCCACAGTCCCTTTTGCCCTTTCGTGTGCCCTCGCCCCTACTTAGGTCCGGAAGCAGCAAATGAAGGCTTTGTTGGTGCTTGTGCTTGTCTGATTCGCTGCAGCCTGGCTGATGCTGGCTCACCCCAGTGTCTGTCTCCAACAATCGCAGAGGTTAGGGGTGTTAGTTAAAGGGATCTGACACCTGAGATAGTGCCCTCCCTTGTCCCATGGGTAATGGACCAACCTAAGTGGCTGATCCCTCTTCCGGTATGTTTCAATTCACTCCTTTTAATCTTTTCCACACTTAATGTTGCATGCCCATCCGTGCCAATTAGCAGAGGCTTATAAGCTCAGGATTTGAAGGCAATTGAACTGATCTGAAATGATAAAATGAATGAAAGGACAAGTAAGAACTTAACTAAAAATGTAGAATACATTCCACAGCCTTTGGAGGAATAGTTGTGCCTACCCAAAAGAACTGGCAAAAAAAATTGTGTTCTGGTTAAAATACCTTTGTATGGGAGACAGTTTCTAAGCTACCTTTAAGGTGGCAACATTACATAATTATAAAATACATATATGTTATATATGGATATTATACATGGTATAATATATTATATATGGGTATTATATATAGTATAATATGTAATATCCATATATACATATAAATATATATACATAGCTGTGTGAGTTACTGAAATGATATACAGTTTTGCTCCATAAGCACAATCTATATTAACATGAACCACCTTTAAAAATAAAAATCTAGGCTGGGTGTGGTGGCTCACACCTGTAATCCTAGCACTTTGGAAAGCTGAGGTGGGAGGATCACTTGAAGCTACAAGTTCAAGACCAGCTTGGGCAACATAGCGACCTCATCTCTATCTTAAAAAAAGAAAAGGTATATGGTTAGCTTTTGAGGATGATGTATTGTGATGACTTTTAAATGAGATAATGAATATATAAAATCTATAGATTGATAGAGTTGAAATGTAAATCCAATAATTTATCAGTTTGGTACAGGTTCAGAAATTATTTTTATCTTCCAAATTGGTGTTAGAAAATATTTCCATTTGTTTGCAGCTAAAATATATTCTCTTAACAAGTGTGTATATTCAAAAAGTCCTTGGACTATTGAATGGATTAAGGTTTAAAATTACATCATTTAGGTTAGACTGGGGCTCTGAAAAACTAATGTGACTTACTTTGTTTCCATTAAAGTTGTTTCCAAAATACACACATTTCATTATAATTAATGCATTTAGGTTTTCTCCCATCAGATATTTTACCAGGCTAATAATAAGTAATAAAGTAGACTCATTTGAGTTTTTACTCGAGGTACCTGAAGGTAATCATAAAGACAGAGAAAAAAAGTGATATAATCCACAGACCAGATTAGAAGCCCCCAAATAGCTGAGAGTTGGCTGTTTGCAAGATCCATGTCTCCTAAGTTAGAAGCTGTGTGAAAATTAGAACACATAGAACTAGCTCTGAAAAGGCAGAAAAGTGCTTCTGAGGTTTGACTTTCCCCTCCCCTGAATATTTTTTTAATTGAAAGAAAGAACGTGTTATAACCTCAGGCATACCTTAGTTATAACCCAACTTGAGACGGTGTTACAATTGCCTGTGTGGGTAATCTGTTTGGAATAGGATATCCTGAAAGGGCTCAAATCATTTTGTTTTTTTTCTAGTTGCTGAAATAAGTCTGATAAAATTTTATTTTTTTTGCATTAGTTGGTTTCAAAAGCCTCTTTAAGTAAAAGTGACTCAGCAGCTAAGTTAAAATATTGCAGTCTTTTTTTTTTAAAGTAAACACAATATGTCCTCAAGGAAAACAGTATTTTTCAGCAAGAAATGGAGACATTAATGTTGTTTACTTTTTACGTATTTGTCTTAATTTTCAAAGTAAGATCACAGTGACAGAGCCATTAACATAAAGGTTAGGAAGAGCCAAGAAAAACAATTGAACTGATGCTTGAACCAGTCAACCCAGGTGAATGGGTCATTTCTGCGAGAGATTGAGAGTCATGAAGTATTTCTCTGAAAAAAATTCAGTTCTCTGTTTTCATTCCAATTTGCTTTCTGACTTATAATAACCATAGTCACTGGTGTTTTAAAGATCTTGACAGTTGAACATGGATTTATAGACTGCAAAGGGCTTTAGAGAAGATTCGGTCCTATCTCTATCTCCCTTTACAGTGAAGAGAGAGAGCCTGGGGAAGCGGAATCTTTACTTGAAATTGTACAAGTAGAAGCCTCCTGACTTAGCCCAGTGTTCTCCCCGCCCCCGACACACACCCTGCTGTACATGCCACCACATACATGTTTAGGTATCACATTTGCATTAACTTGAACATGGGCAATGAGTTTTGTCCAATGTGTCAGAGAAGAGGGAGTGTGTGCCTCGCCTCCCCTACACATGCTTTTTCTCAAATGCTCAGAGCTACCCACCGGCCTTCAGCCCTCCCTGACCCTACCTGGCGGTGGGAGTATGAAAGAGGCAAAGCACCTGGAGCTCTCCCCGAAGCTTTGGTAAATTACTATAAAATCGTGAATGACATAGGGACTGGAGGGTCTTTCAATGTAACCCTAAGAGTTCTTTACACTCTGGCAGCCATCTTTTACTACTTGCCAGAAGTGGAAACAAACACATTTCTGGCAAAACAAAACAAAACAAAACAAAACAAAAAAAAACCCAAACCAAAAAACAAAAAGACGACAACAACAACAAAACAAACCTCAAGGGGCAACAGGCGAGGAGCTGCCTCTGGCAGCGGTGGAAGGTGGGCTGAACTGCAGAGGGCAGGGGTCTTTCTGGGGTGACAGGAATGTGCTGCATCTTCGGGTGGTGGTGCTTTCTCGGGCAGCTATAATCGTCAGAACTCATGGAATTGCACACTTTAAATGGATTCAGTTTTTGAACGTAAGTAATTTCCCAGTAAAATTGAGTTTTAAGAAAACTCAACTGGGAGTGGTGGCTCACGCCTGTAATCTTAACACTTTGGGAGGCCGAGGCGGGAGGATTGCTTGAGTCCGGGAGTTCAAGACCAGTCTGGGCAACACGGTGAGACCCCCATCTCTACAAAATAAATAAATAAATAAGCCAGGCATGGTGGTGGGCACCTGTGGTCCCAGCTACTCAGGAGGCTGAGGTGGGAGGATCAATTGAGCCTGGGAGATCAAAAAGAAAACTATCGGGAATTGACACAATGGGAATCTAATGATAAAAGCTTCTCAATTATTATTTCTCTTGTTATGAATAAAATAGACTGCATTATTAATATTTTATGGTTTTAATAATAATATCCTATGGTACTTTTAAGAAAGCAAAATCACCTACCTATGTGATATTGGTAGTGAAAAGTTTCTGAGTGTCAGGTAGTTTTTTTTTTTTTTTTTTTTGAGACGGAGTCTCGCTCTGTCCCCCAGGCTGGAGTGCAGTGGCGCGATCTCGGCTCACTGCAAGCTCCCCCTCCTGGGTTCATGCCATTCTCCTGTCTCAGCCTCCCGAGTAGCTGGGACTACAGGTGCCGGCCACCACGCCCGGCTAATTTTTTGTATTTTTAGTAGAGACGGGGTTTCACCGTGTTAGCCAGGAGGGTCTCGATCTCCTAACCTCGTGATCTGCCTGCCTCGGCCTCCCAAAGCGCTGGGATTTCAGGCGTGAGCCACCATGCCTGGCCATCAGGTACATTTTTAAATATAAGACTGTGTAAGAAAAAGGTGAATTTAACTCAAGACTTCCCTCTCCTACTCAGGAAAGGACTGGAAACTGATCTTCCTGGATGTGAGAGGCAAGAAGCCCTATCTTTTTAACTCTTTGCTGACCGGAGTGCCTACCTCAGTCCACAGGCGACAAAGAAATGCTTTTGTAAAAGTTTACTACTTTCCTCTACTTATTTTCCATTTGACTTGATATCTAAAAATATAGAGCCATGCAGTAGCCTCCCTATCTCCAGGACAGCAGATCATTAATCTACAGCTCTGGTCAACTATCTTAAGTCCACCAATTAGCTTCTATCTTTAAGCATACCATTTCAAACGGCCTCTCCCTGAGTCTCTAGGGAGGATGTCTAAATGCAGTGGCCTATTTTCATGCAACCTAATGCTCTTAAACCTGATACTATCTCTTGGACCTTGGGGTTAGGCTTAATGTGGAAGGCAGTGGAAAAGGCCTAAATACTTCTCATGTAATCCAATGGAAAGAGGGCCTCTCTCTTGGTGTATGGTGTTTCTCTGCTCCTGTGATAGAAAATGAAAGCATTACAGGCTTAATACGTTAAATGGGGAGAATATTGCATAGCAAATAGTAAGTAAAATCTATTACGTGCTTTGCCAGTGCTGTTGGGTCTTTAAATAACGGAGCAGGATGCCCTCTGCAGAAGATACTGTCTGTGCGAAGTCACATCTCCAGAAGAGCAGGGAAGACGGCCTCGCTCCCTGGCACTGCCACCTGAGTTCCGGTCCCCTGGGCCCTGGCTTCCTCAGCTTATCTGCTGGTCTGAGCCTTCTTTCCTCCTCTCCTTGCTGGCCTCTTTTCTTCTCCGTTAGAAGCTCTGCTGTTTACCAGTATAACTCAGGAGAATTCAGGACGGTCAGTAATTTAATGACCAGAAATTAGGAAAACAAGCTAGATTTCTCTCTCTCTGAAGCCCTTCTTCTAGGGTTATCATTGATTCTTTGTGTAATTTTCTCTCTTTGATCTGGTATATTTCTATAAAATAAGGCAATGTTTTCTGCAGTTTTTTTCCCTAAAGATACATATTTCATCTCCGTGCGTAAAGAACGAAAGTAAGTAGGGATGTGCCTGAGGGTGGAATGGAGATCAGAAACTGGGCAAACATACAAATCATGGCAAACGTCACCACCCAGCTTTCTTTTTTGATGCTAGTGTTTAAGAGAGGCAGAATTATGCTGAGAGAAGCATGTGGACACTGAAGTCAGACTTGCAGGGATGTGAATTGAACTGAGTGACCTTGGGCATACGCGGTGACTTTACTAAAACTTTCTCCTCATCTGTACGGAGGAATGATACCTCCCTTGCAAAATATAAGGCATGTAAAGCTCATAGTCAATACACAATGAAGTAAAAATATAATTAACAGGAAACTAACTGGGTTGACATTTCAGAACACAACTTCTGCAGTCACTTTCCACTTTCAAATTCTATGAATATGCTAGTTTGAAAAAGAGTTTCTCCTTTTATTGAGGGAATCACTATATCATTCTGTGGACAGGAGCGAATGCCCCTTGTGGGACATGCAAATTATTATTTAAGGGAGGCATTGCAACCTGGAGGAAACAGCACAGATTTGGAGTCAAAAGACCTGGTTATGGCAAACAAAACAAAACAAAACAAACACCTCACCATATTAGCAATGTGACCTAGAAAAGAAAAGGCTTAGCTTTGTTTTGCTTTGATTTTAATAATAAAATTGCTAAGGCAGGAAGATCACTTAAATCCAGTTCAAGGCCCCATCTTTACAAAAAAATAAGAAAATTAGCTGTGTGTGGGGCGGCACATGCCTAAAGTCCCAGCTACTTGGAGGCTGAGGTGGGAGGATCACTTGAACCCAGGAGTTAGAGGTTGCAGTGAGCTGTGATTGCACAACTCTACTCCAGCCTGAGTGACAGAGTGACACTTTACTCTCAAGAAAACTAAATGAATAAAATTAAAATGAATAACATTATGTGTTCCTGCCTGGGTGCAGTGGCTCACACCTGTAATCCCAGCACTTTAGGAGGCTGCGGTGGGCAGATCACTTGAGGCCAGAAGTTCAAGACCAGCCTGGGCAACATGGCCAAACCCCATCTCTACTAAAAAAATACAAAAATTAGCCAATTGTGGGGGTGGGCGCCTGTAATCCCAGCTACTTTGGAGGCTGAGGCATAAGAATCATTTGAACCCAGGAGGCACAGGTTACAATGAGCAGAGATCATGCCACTGCATTCCAGCCTGGGCGATAGAACCAGACTCTGTCTCAAAAAAAAAAAAAAAAAAAAAAAAAAAAAGTGTTCCAAACCCTCTAGGTAAAAAGCCAGAATTTTGATGTACAGGTTTTAAGGAACCACTAATACTGAACCAAACAAGCACAGCTGTTTATTATTCTTTGACATCCCACCCGACAACAAATTAGAATCAGAAGCTCCCATCTGAAAGTGTAAAGAGGGACGAAAATGTCATGGGAGAACATCAGAGATTTAAGGAGAGGAGAAAAAAGAAGTAGAAAAATGCTCATCATTGATAAAGAAAAGTGACGGTGTGTGAGGCATTTGTAATAAAAAATTGGGGTAAGTTGACAAGGATTCGTCAGAGGGCAGAAAGGTGTGTGGTTGAGCAGGACAAGGGGGAGGCCTGTGGAGCTGGGCCCAGTGGCACAACTGGTGAAATTGACTAATGAGAGACTTTTTCCTTATTCACTAGAAAAAAAATTAGCAAATTGGCTGAAAGTTTGGAAGTTTAAAATTTTGCTTCACAATAGAAAAACTAAACCCAACAACACTTTGTGGTTGCGAACAGTCCCAGTGATCACAGAACAATGAACAAGGGAGAGACACATGTGGTGGACTCAGGAAACAGCCACGCAGGAGAAGGAGCATGGTTTCCTTCCAGGAGCCTGTGGCACTAAGGGCTGCAGTTTTAGATTAACCACATATCATACAGTCATGTCTTTCTGCTGTTAGTTAACAGTTATTGATTGCTTACTGTGTGATCTGCACTGGACAAAGCAAAAGCCCATTTAATCCTCATGAGAACTCAAGATATGAGTTCAAGTTTTATTCCCATTTTAGAAGGGAATATGTTCGAGTGACAGAGTGGCCAATAATTCCCCCGAAATCACACAACTAGAAAGTGTTTGGGATTTGAGTTCATTGCCAAACCAGAGATGATAATGCCAGTCCTTTCTAACTCACAGGGTTTTCGGTGAGGGTCAAATAGAAGGAGATAAGTGAAAATGTAATGGAAAACATAAGCTACCTTACCAATATGTATCATTGAGCTGACTAAATGCTAATTATGTGCTAACAGAAAACAATTTTTTTTTTTTTGAGACGGAGTCTCGCTCTGTCGCCAAGGCTGGAGTGCAGTGGCGCGATCTCGGCTCACTGCAAGCTCTGCCTCCTGGGTTCACACCATTCTCCTACCTCAGTCTCCAAGTAGCTGGGACTACAGGCACCCGCCACCATGCCCAGCTAATTTTTTGTATTTTCAGTAGAGATGGGGTTTCACCCTGTTAGCCAGGATGGTCATGATCTCCTGACCTCGTGATCCACCCGCTTCGGCCTCCCAAAGTGCTGGGATTACAGGCGTGAGCCACCGCGCCCAGCCAACCAAAAACAATTTTAAACCTTTTGGAGATTGGACAATATTATCATATTTAAATATTAATTAAAATAGTTGCTGGGTGCGGTGGCTCATGCCTGTAATCCCAGCACTTTGGGAGGCTGAGGCGAGCGGATCACCTGAGGTCAGGAGTTCAAGACTAGCCTGGCCAACATGGTGAAACTCCATCTCTACTGAAAATACAAAAATTAGTTGGGCGTGGTGATGGGCGCCTGTAATCCCAGCTACTCAGGAGGCTGAGGCAGGAGAATTGCTTGATCCTGGAAGGCAGAGGTTGCAGTGAGCCAAGATCGTGCCACTGCACTCCAGCCTGGACAACAGAGCAAGACTCCCTCTCAAAAAATATGTGTATATATTAAGTATATATACATATTTAGTATATTTTATGGGCCTAATCAAACAAGTAACTAACATTGCTAAAGTGTGACAGTTGGCTGGGCATGGTGGCTCACGCCTGTAATCCCAGCACTTTGGGAGGCCGAGGCAGGCAGATCACGAGGTCAGGAGATCGAGACCACGGTGAAACCCCGTCTCTACTAAAAATACAAAAATAAGCCGGGCATGGTGGTGGGTGCCTGTAGTCCCAGCTACTCGGGAGGCTGAGGCAGGAGAATGGCGTGAACCCGGGAGGCGGAGCTTGCAGTGAGCCGAGATCGAGCCACTGCACTCCAGCCTGGGCGACAGAACGAGACTCCGTCTCAAAAAACAAAAACAAAAAAAAGTGTGAACATTTACCAATGTAGCTGGATCGCAAAAACATACTGTTGAGAAAAAAAAAAAAAAAGCAAGTCGTGGGATGCCATGTACCATTTTTTTGCCATTTGTTCAAGTGTCTGAAATATAAAGTGGTACTATATATTATATATGGATAAATACACATTTAGTAAAATTATAAAACCATGGAGCATGTTGAAATTTATATAACACCAGCTGCTCTACCAGATAAGCCCTGAAATTTTAATAGCTTTAACACAAAAATGCTTATTTATTCTCATTTGTATCACAGCCTAATGGATGTTTCTGGCTCCACGCGGAAACCCATGAACTCTGGCTAATTCCATCGTGGGGTCTTTTGCTCCCCAGGGGCAACTGGGGAGAAGGACAAGGGACAAGCATGTCTTCTTCGTCACTACTTGTCCAGAGAAGGACGTTATCACCCCCATCCAGGTTCCCGTGGCCAGCATGCAGTGACGCAGCCCCACCTGACTGCATGGAAGACTGGGAACTGTTTTTTAACCTCCCGCTCAAGAAGAAAGGTCACTGATTTTGGTGAACTCACAGGGTTTTGAGGGGATGCACAAAGAGGATGCATATGAACTTCTGGATAGTTGCCATGTGTAGTCTGGGGGAAAAATGGAAAGCTAAAGGAAATACGCAAAATGTAAAATTTTTTGAAGCTGGATGAATGGTACATGGATATTATGGCACACTCTGTACTTTTTTTGGGTGTTTAAATGTTTTAGTTTTTAAAAAGACCAAAAAGGGGGAAATGTGAACCTTTTCTTAACGCTACATATTAACCTGCCTATGGTCTCAAGCTAAAACTGGGCTGGCAAACTAAGGCTCACAAGCCAAAAACAGTTTTTATGTTTTTAAAGGATTAAATAAATAAATAAATAAATAAATAAATAGAAAGAAGAAGAATATATGACAGAGACTGTATATGGCTGAAAAGCCTAAAATATTTACTATCTGGCCCCTCTGAAGGAAAAGTTTGTCAGCCCATGTCAGAACAAAAGAAAATATGATGTATTGTCTTAAAAACATAAGTTAAAACTCACTACATGCCAGACACTGAGCTCATACATGAATTCTTTAAAAAATTTAATCCTTATGACAGCATTATCAAGTTGGCCAACAAGGAAATTGAAGCACAGAGAGCTTAGGTAACCTACACAAGGTCACACAGCTATTGTAACCCTAGCAGTATGATTCCAGAGCTTACCTTCTTCACTACTATATTATTCTTTCTTCCTAATTCGCTTTTCCATTTTTCAAATTTAAAAGTATTTTCTGAACCATAATAACAAACTGATGAAATTATAGTTTACGTTCAAATTTTATTTCACATTTATATATGCGTACGTGTATATCTACAGTTTCAGCAAATGAGCCTCATGGAAGGCACTAATATTATCTATGGATTTCACTTCAGTGTAGTAAAGGGAGCATTATGAAATACTTGCTGTCATGAAAGATAAGGCAAGACTGAAATGTTTCAGGTTAGTGGAGACTAAGGAGAAATAACTTCTGAAAGCAGTGTGAGGTTCTGGGACAGAGAACATACTGGGAGAAAAACTGGTGTAACAATTGAAGAAAGTCTATAGTTGAGTTAATAATATTGTACCACTATAAATTTGCTAACCTTGATAATTATACTGAGATTATGAAATATGCTAACATTAGGAAAAATGGTATGAAGAATATAAGGGAATTCTTTGTACTGTTTTTGCAATTTTTCTTCAAATCTAAAATGATTCAAAATTAAAGTTATAAAAGAAATACAAGTGGTTCTGAGAGACTAATAATAAACACATGCAGTGAACATTTATTGAGTCTCCACACACACAAGAAGGGGTGTCAGGTCTGATGGCACCCTCACCATCTAAGCGTTGCCTGCAGCGGCTCCAGGGTGAGCAGATCCACCCTCCAGTGCTCCACTGAGAGAGTTCCCATCAGCTGAGGCAATTCTCTGGAGAAGGGTCCTCGGCAGCCCATTCGGGAAACACCTGGAGGATGGAGTACCAACTGATGAAGGGGTTTCCTGTGGCATCACAGTGTGATAATGACATTTGCTGCTAAGACTGCTAAGATAGGGACTGGAAAGTGGTCAATGGAGCCATCACATCTGCAGTCATGCCGAGGCGAGTACCGTCAGAGAAGTGTCTGCCAAGGTGGAAGGATGGAAGGCTCATGGAGTTAGGTTGAATAATACAGGTGCAGACAGCAAGTTTAGACCACTCTTCCAGCAAACTTGGATGGAAAGGGGAAGCTAAAAAAATAAGGTGTCTGCTAGAGGGACATGTAAAGAAAAATCTATTCTGTTATGAAGACCTGCTACACCACAGCCTCTTCCTAGTGGGCCTTTACCAGCACGTGGCCATGTTTATCCCAGCTCTGGCCACAGCTAATTTGATCTTGAATGGGCTGGAGTCTAGTCTACAGAGCCCTAAGCCTGGCAGGAGGGTCTTGCTGATGGCACGGGGGTGACCAGCCAAACAAACTTGATCTTTCCTTTGGGGGATCTTGAGTGTGAGGCTGACTTTGCAGAAGGAGAGATGGGCAGCTGAGCCTGAGCTGGCACCAGACTTGCTCTCGGGTCATCAGAGCTGGGTTGGATCATCAGAGCTCCAGCTAGTCACCAAGGAGCTGCCACCTTCCAGTTCTCCTTGGCCTGCCTGAGAGCTGCTGAGAGCATTTCCTGTCTGTCTGTGAAGTCTCATATTATGTATTAGATTATTAACTAAATATATAAAAGGTATCCTCCTTTTCCAACCCTCTCAAAGAGCTTAACTCAAGGCAGATGGTATGAGGGGACAAAGAGGACTTTGCATTGCATTGTGCCAAAACTAATATTCCATGAGCTGTAAGGCACACTACTGTTATGTACCTAGAGAAAAAACCCTTGCAATAGAATGGTAAGGGGCCTTCGCTGTAAAAAAAAAACATGCTCGTCTCAGAGATGCTAAATATGAAAAATATATGTCTTAGAATTGATGAAATACAGCACATTCAGAAAATGAGTGTTGGAGATGCTTACAGATTGAGTTAAAGAAATGGTTAGGCAGACAGAGAAGAAGATACATCAGGGAGAGAGGGTGGGATGCTTCCAACAGAATCAGGAAGGAACCGGTTCAAGGTCATAGAGGAAAGTTTCCATCTTCCTGTCGTGTATGGTAGGCCTTACAGATGTGGATGGAGAGAAATATGTAATTGAAAAATGAGATATTTCAATAGGTTAGGGTTGGGGGCCTTACTTTTCTGAGTCATTAGGAGGCAATTTTGTATTTCCTTTTGGAATTATTTCAGGACCATATTTTATGGGTTATTTTATAAGCTCAGACTTGTATTTCTGAGTTTTAACTGCATTTTACCAATGATTCTATGAGATGGCTAAGAGTGTAAAGATGTAGAATTTAGTGTTTAATAAAAGGCAAACTAGCTCTAACACAAGAGTGTTGCTTCTGTGCACATGCTGTATTTCAGCAGAATTGCAACCATAAATTTCACATAATATTACCAAATGATGTGATCTCAGATTATGATGTTTAATGAAAAGACTGTAAGCTCAAAAGCACAATGCTAGAAAATCTGGCGTCAGTGCACGGTCTTTATTACACCTAGGAAGGGCCTGAAAGTTCAGGTGAACCTATTTCTTGATTCACAGATGAGAAAATGAGGCTAGCAGGTGACAGAATTTGCCCAGTGTCACACAGAGGGTATGAGGAACCAGGACTTCAGAGTTTCTCACTCCAGATAAGAGGATTCCTCTACGTGCTCCACCACTCACTTGGCAGATTTTATAAGTTCTTCCTTCAAATTAAGTTTTTTTGAGACACAGTCTCACTTTGTTGCCCAGGCTGTAATGCAGTGGTGCAATCATAGCTCACTGCAGCCTTGAACCTCTGTGCTCCAGCCATCCTCCCACCTCAGCATCCCGAGTGGCTGGGACTACAGGCGTGCACCCCTATGTCTGACTAATTATTTTTTGTAGAGACAAGGTCTCACTACGTTGCCCAGGCTGGTCTTGAACTCTTGGGCTCACATGATCCTCTCACCTGGAACTCCCAAAGTGCTGGGATTACAGGTGTAAGCCACCATGCCTGGCCCAAATTAAATGTTTGAATTCATTTTTGAACAGTTACATGTGTTCCAGATTTGCTTTCCACAAAGATACTCATTTTGCTAACATTCAGCTCAAGATGGAGAGATTCTTGAGTTTGGGACTTTGACATTCAATGCGTTGGTGCTATGTTGGCACATTATTTTGATTTGTTCTTGGGGGTCATAAGCTCTTCAAGGGCAGTGGTTGCAGGGGCACTCTGCCAAACTCAAGACTGCACCTTACTTTGACCTCACCTAGTGCTACTTTAAAAATGGCTGAGCAGACAAAGACGTTCCATCATCTCAGGGAAGACCAACCTCCCCAGCTCAGTGTTTGAGGACTCTATAATCAGACAGCAATAGAGCTGCCAGTCTATCCCCACTGGGTCATACCCCACATTCAAGTCACCCTGATTAGGTTGCTTTTCTCCCTCAAACTCCCATTGCATCAGTCTCTGTGCCTTTGTTCATGCTAACCCCACAGCCTGAAAGCATTTTCTGCCTGCCAACCTCTTCAAATGCATTTCCAGCCATGGTACTGCTCAGTCCTTAGCAAATGCCTGCTGTTTGCAGGTGTCAGGGCAGGCAGGCACGGGCCTCCAGTGGCACACAAAAAGGACCTTGTCTCTGCCATCAGAGGTTTTTCAGTCCAGTGGGAGGGAGCTACACCAACACACAGCACACAGCAATATGCACATCATCATCAACAGTGGTAACTGCTATGAAGCCAAGCACCAGAGTGCTGAGATCAAATAGGAGGAGAACTTAATTTAGCCTGCCTGGTGGTCTGGAAAGTCTCCTCTGAAAAAGTAACATTTGAGATGACATTTGAAAAACCTTTAACCTCCAGCAACATCCATGTATTCATAATTCCTGGAAAAGGGCACGGTGTTTCCTGCCTGGGTCCTTTTGTTCACTGCGTTCCCTTGGTCTAGAACCTCCTCGACTCACCCACACTGCCGCATTCTAGTGTTTCCTTCTGTATCTGACCTATTCCTGCCTATACTCCAGACAAGTGTCACCTCCTCAGAAAACCTTCCACTAGTTTCCCCCTCTCGTCCTCTCATCATGTGGGCTTGGCATTTCCTTTTATGAGCCCAGAGCACCTTACCATAGCACCTGCTATGTCGTGCTGACATCACCTGGCCTGTTCAGCCACGGTCTCCTCAGCTAAATTCTTCAAGGGCGGAAGTAAATCATCCTTGTAGACCCAGACTCTAAAACAGCATGTGGTACGTGGTAGGCATCGTGTAAATGTTCTTGAAGATCCATCATTTATTTATCCAGTGGGCCCCAAACATCGGAAGGTTATGGTTCTCATTTGTTGAAAAATACGACTCTAGGAGAAATCCGTGACTCCATAGAATCTTTTGGTTTTACTGCTTCCAAGATGCAAAACACTAATGAATAGTTGGTTTTTAATCTTCTGGCTTGAATTTTGATCACCATTAGGCAAATAACCAAGTGAGTCAGTCAAGCTTAATCTACACGCTTTACAGGAAAACATGAGAGGTGGAAAGGGCCATGTCATTCACTTAGATGCTGTTTCTTTTTACATTTTAACGTATTTAAGAACTATATTTAATAATCAGATAATACTACTTATAAAATACAGTAACAGCCAGAAACAACTGTCAGAGAGAATCTAAGCGGGGGCATTTCAAACTGGGTTCCTTTGAGTCCTGGTCATGTGGAGACGTCTCAGGGAGGGCTGTTGGGTCTCTGGGACTTCAGTGTCACTGCTGTGTTTCCATCTGTTTCCCCATCCTTCTGTGTGCCCCAAACACCTCAGGCCCCATAACAAACTATCTTGGAAATGGCCTCTTCTTATCTTAAAGCTCTCATGATTTTGGGCGGAAGTCAGCTCAACAAGAGATTTGTTGTAAACAATGTTTGCTTGTCTAGGTTAAAGATTTCTGAACTCAGGAAACACTTTTGAACTTGAGAAATAAGACTGTGACCCAAGGAGTGGGATGGGGCAGCAAGATGGTCCCAGGCAGCAGGGTCAGAGGACCTCAGTGTTCAACTCCAGCCCCTTCCAGCTGCAGCCCTGGAGCAAGTGACTCCACTCTCCAGTGCCTCACACTCAGCATCTGTGACATGGGAAACGTGCCGTGACCTTCCTCAGACAGCCACTGGAGGATTAAGGGAGACGCCAAATGTAGGAGTTGTTTACCATGGTGATAACGATTACGTATGGAAGTAATACTACGAAGGCTATGAAAATAAGTTTAAAATCTGTGAGCACACAAAATATTTTTATTTTACTGCCTCCAAGATGCAAAGTCTAAACAGTATTTGGTTTTTATCATCTGGCTTGTGTTTTGATAGCCATTAGGCAGACAACCAGGTGAGTCAATCAAGCCTAGGTTTTTATATTTTATGGAAAGGCATGAGAGATAGAAAGGGCCATACTATTCATTCATTTAGATGTTGTTCCTTTTAAGATACTTAAGAACTATATCGAACAGTTAGAGAGTAATATTTAAATTTTCACCGGTGTGCAGACAGCCAGAAGGAACTTTCAGAGAGGATTTCAAACTGAGTTCCTTGGAGTCCTGCTTCTGTGGAGACATCTCAGGGAGGGGTTGTAAGGTTTCTGGGACTTCGGGGTCACTTCTGTGGTCCCACCTAAGTTCCCCCATGCTTCTGTGTGCCCAAGGCACCTCGGCTCCACGAAACTCTACCTTGGAAGTGGCCCCTTCCTTGTCTTAGTGCCCTCATGCTTTGTGTAAGCTTATACGTTTCCCAATCTCCCTCGGCTCCGTGTCTGGCTTCCTGAAGATCTGGCTTCTTGAGTATGCACTGCAAAATGTTGATTCCTTGCTTTCCTTACTACCCTCATCTGTGTCCTCCAACGCTGCCTGTCCCTCTCCAGCAGGGACCGTCTATGTTCTTGTTTTATGCAAAGTCTCATTTTTCTGCTAGGTCAACATTCTGGATGCTTGGAGGGCCTCTGGCACTGTGTTTTGTGAACCTGTGAATACTCTGTGAGTGAACTGCATTCTAAGCTGAAAATGGTCAGGGCATGGTGTGGCCATGTCCCCAGCCGGCTCCACGTTGGGGTGGGCCACAGAGACACACACTCAACCATTATTCAATTCATTGGTAGGAATTTAGCTACATTTGTTTCTCTAAAATTAAATGCAGTTAGCTTGAGAGTTTTAGTAAATGTTAAGTATGTATAATTAATAGCAAATATTTTGCTCAGAGGTTCCCAACAGATCATTTGTGATTGATCAGCTGATTCTGAAAGTTAGTCAAGTAAAAGACTTAGTAGCCACATTTGCCTAGATAAGACCCTCAAACTCACAATCACAGAGACACACACACATACACAGACATGTACACACACACACATACACGTGCAACATTGGCATTTTACATATTAGACCCTAAAGAGGATAATTTCCTCCCAAGTTTGTCACTTCAAATGTTTCTTAAAATCATAGCTCATTTCCGGTGCGTCAGCTGACGCCTGTAATCCCAGCACTTTGGGAAGCCGAGGCGGGCGCATCACGAGGTCAGGAGATCGGGACCATCCTGGCTAACATGGTGAAACCCCGTCTGTACTAAAAATACAAAAAAAATTTAGCCGGGCGTGGTGGCGGGCGCCTGTAGTCCCAGCTACTGGGAGGCTGAGGCAGGAGAATGGCGTGAACCCGGGAGGCGGAGCTTGCAGTGAGCCCAGATCGCGCCACTGCACTCTAGCCTGGGCGACAGAGCGAGACTCCGTCTCAAACAAACAAACAAACAAACAAAGTCGCTTCTACTTACCACTTGCCCATTGCCATCAAAATATGTTAGATCGCAACGTACAGATGATGTGCAGCCATGGCGCACACTGTTCCTGTCTAGGGTGAAAGCAGGCTATGTGGTGACCCGGAAAAACCAATGCACCAATTAGGCTCCAATGTTTAGATGGCTAAAATGAAAGGACTAAAATAAAATGTAGAAGTTGTTTATCATGGTGATAATGATTACTTATGGAAGTAATCTTACGAAGGTTGTGAAAATAAGTTTAAAAGTTGTGAGCACACAGAACATGATCCATTTTGAGACACCTGTTTTTGCTATCCCATGGCCGTAATCATAAACTAACAGCTCTTGAGATTATTTTACTAACACATTAGACTCAGAAAGAAAAATAACTAAATTGATCTTTTAACTTTAACTTTCCATGCTGAGGGAAGTTCAGAAAATCTAAACGAAAATCCTTTTTTAAGAAGTAGCCTCCCGCAGCAAAAAGTAGTGTTTTAAATCCATCAAATAGGTGATAGCTACCTGTCTCCCAAACTTATGGGATCTTCACGAGGATTCAATAAGATAATTAATAGGTAAGTACTTATGTATTGTGAAATTGTATACAAATGTAAGGGACTACTTTCATTATTACAGTTATTATTGCCTCAATTATTATTATTGTGCTTAGGAGTTTGGTGTAAGTCTATTATCAGCTAGTGACTTTTCTGGAAGAAGTAGCAGACCACCATTAGGACTGAATATAAAAACACCAATAATTTTCTTAGTGCCTTTCCTAGCTTTTCAAAGAGTCTCATGGCAGGTAGCACCATGCCTCTTTGAGTTCCATTTTATCATTCTGATGCTTTACTTAAATATTATCAGGCAGGAAAGTGCTTGGCAAATATTGTTCAGAAATTCATTCAATATACATTACTGGTGGCTGCCTGCATGCTAGGCCCCAGCCATATATGGATGAAACAGACAAAAATCTCTGCCATGTCCTAGCCACAGCAATCAGGCAGGAGAAATAAGAGCATCCAAATAGGAAGAGAGGAAGTCAGCTATCTCTGTTTGCAGACAACATGATTCTATATCTAGAAAACCCCATAGTCTCAGCCAAAAAGCTCCTCCAGTTGATAAACAACTTCAACAAAGTTGCAGGATACAAAATCAATGTATAAAAATCACCAGTATTCCTTTTATTTATTTATTTTTTGACAGAATCTCGCTCTGTCGCCCAGGCTGGAGTGCTGTGGCATGATCTCAGCTCACTGCAACCCCGGCCTCCTGGATTCAAGCGGTTCTCCTGCTTCAGCCTCCTGAGTCCTATACACCAGCAATAGCCAAGCCGAGAGCCAGATCAGAAAGGCAATCCCATTCACAGTAGCCACATAAAGATAAAATAGCTAGGGATATGGCTAACCAGAGAGGTGAAAGATCTCTATAAGGAGATTGCAAAATACTTCTCAGAGAAATCAGAGATGACACAAACAAATGGAAAAACATCCCATGCTTATGGATAGGAAGAATCAATATCATTAAAGTGGCTATACTGCCCAAAGCAATTTACAGATTCAATGCTATTCCTGTCAAACTACCAATGACATTCTTCACAGAACCAGAAAAAAAAGCTATTTTAAAATTCATATGGAACCAAAAAAGAGCCCAAATAGCTAAGGCAATCCTAAGCAAAAATAACTAAGCTGGAGGCATCATGTTACCTGAATTCTAACTATACTACAAGGCTACAGTAACCAAAACAACATGGTACTGGTACAAAAACAGGCACATAGACCAATGGAACAGAATAGAGAGTCCGGGAATAAGGCCACACATCTACAACTATCTGATCTTCAACAAAGCTGGCAAAAACAACCAAGGGGGAAAAGATTCCCTATTCAATAAATGGTGCTGGGATAATTGGCTGGCCATATGCAGAAGACTGAAGCTGGACCCCTTCCTTACACCATACACAAAAACCAACTCAAGATGGATTAAAGACTTAAATGTAAAACCCAAAACCATAAAAACTCAGGAAGACAACCTAGGCAATACCATCCCAGACATAAAAATGGGCAAAGATTTCACAACAAAGACACCAAAAGTAATCACAACAAAAGCAAACATTGGCAAGTGGGATTTAATTAAACTTAAGAGCTGCACAGAAAAATAAACTATCAACAGGGTAAACAGAATGGGAGAAAATATTTGCAAACTATGCATCTGACAAAGGTCTAATACCCAGCATCTATAAGGAACTTAAACAAATTTACAAGAAAAAAACAAACAATTTTTTTTTTTAAAGTGGGCAAAGGACATGAACAGACACTTCTCAAAAGAAGACATAGATGCAGTGAACAAGCATATCAAGAAAAGCTCAGTATCACTGATAACTAGAGAAATGCAAATCAACATCACAACGAGATACCATCTCACACTAGTCAAAATGGGTATTATTAAAAAGTCAAAAAATAACAGCTGCTGTCAAGGTTGCAGAAGAAAGGGAATGCTTATACACTGTTGGTGGGACTGTAAATTAGTTCAACCGTTGTGGAAAATAGTATGGTGATTCCTCAAGGAGCTAAAAGCAGAACTACCATTCCACCCAGCACCCCCATTAATGGGTATATACCCAGAGAAATGTAAATCGTTCTACCATAAAGACACATGCACACAAATGTTCATTGCAACAGTATTCACAATAGAAAAGCCATGGAATCAACCTAAATGTCCATCAATGACAGATTGGATAAAGAAAATGTGATACATATACACCATGGAATACTATGCAGCCATAAAAAAGAATGAGATCACGTCTTGTCCGGGAACATGGATGAAGCGGGAGGATATTATCCTTAGCAGACTAATGCAGGAGCAGAAGACCAAATACCACATGTTCTCCCTTATAAGTGGGAGCTAAATGATAAGAACTTATGAACACAAAGAAGGAAGCAACAGACACTGGGTCTACTTGACGGGAGAGGGTGGGAGAAGGGAGAATAAAAGAAAAGATAGCTACTGGGTACTGGGCTTAATACCTGGGTGATGAAATAATATGTGGCAAGAGAGACAGTGAGGAGTCAGGGACTATGCCAAGCTGATGTGACAGTGTACTTCTCATGGATGTAGCTTCTAAAAAGTATGGTCCAGTTAAAGTATGTTCCCTTAAAATCTTCAGGTTACTTATGGGGATAAAAAACTATATATTAGTTGCAATGTGCAGGTGATGGGTGCACTAAAAATCTCAGAATTCACTACGATGTAATTCTTCCATGTCACCAAAAACCACTTGTACCCCAAAAGCTATTGAGATAACAAAAAATAATTTAGGTTATGTTGTTGAAGTGTCCTTTAGAAATATCAATTGGCCAGGCGTGGTGGCTTATGCCTGTAATCCCAGCACTTTGGGAGGCCAAGGCGGGTGGATCACCTGAGGTCAGGAGTTTGAGACCAGTTTGACCAACATGGAGAAACCCCATCTCTACTAAAAATACAAAATTAGCCGGGAGTGGTAGTGCATGCCTGTAATCCCAGCTACTCAGGAGGCTGAGGCAGGAGAATCCCTTGAACCCAGGAGGCGGAGGTTGTGGTGAGCTGAGATCATGCCACTGTACTCCCAGCATGGGTGACAGAGGGAGACTCCATCTCAAAAAAAAAAAAAGAAAAAAAGAAATATTATCAATTTACACTCTCACCAACTGTTTTTATTTGTATTTCTTCAATTAGTATTGAGTTTGAACTTTTAAAACATATTTATTGGATATTCATTGTTCTCTATTGTATAATCAAGTTTTCTTCAGCTGGTAGAAATATCAACTTGACATTTGTATATACATTTGTTATATCCTGGGTTTACATTTAAGCCTTTCATTCTATTTATTCCCAATTCATCACCACATTGTTTTAATTATTATAGTTTTATAATATATTTTAATACCAAATAGTGTGTCCCTAACATTGTCTTTTATTTTCAGAAATTTTATGGTTATTCTAATGTCTGTTCTTTCAGATAAAATATGGAATCATTTTGTTCAGTAAGGTCATTTGGTTGGGAATTATACAGAAATCATTGAATTTACAAGTTAATTTAGGGAAAAATGATATTTTTTCTCTCAATATCTTCTTTTTCAATATTTATTTTATAATTGGCCACCTTATAAGCTTTCTTATTGTTCCTGATTTTTGTTCATTTATTTGTTATTCCTGGGTTTTCAATAAGTAAAATCATGCCATCAGAAAATAATAATAACTTTGTTTCATTCGTTTCAGTATTGAAACCTCTTATTTCATTTTTTTTTGTTAATTCTATGTCAGCATGTCCACATTAATGTTAAAAGAAGTCATGCTAAATGAAACTTAAACTGACTGTAACATTAATTCAAAGCCTTTTGGTTTTGTCTTGTTTTTACCGTTTCACTTGCTGTTTCTAAATTATATTATATAACAATAGTTTTTCAGAAAAGAGGCTGGGTGCAGTGGCTCACACCTGTAGTCCCAGTGCTTTAGAGGCTGAGGCAGGAAGATCGCTTGAGGCCAGGAGTTCAAGACTAGCTTGGGCAACATAGTGAGACCCTGTGTCTACAAAAATATAAAAATGTAACCAAGTGTGGTGGTATGTGCCTGTGGTCCCAACTACTTGGGAGGCTCAGGTGGGAGGACTGCTTGAGCCCAGGAGTTCAAGGCTGCAGTGAGCTGTGTTGGTGCCACTGCACTCCAGTCTGGGCAACAGAGCAAGACCCTGTCTCTAAAAAAACAAAACAAAACAATAATTTTTCACAAATGATAAAGAATTTAGAAGATGGTTTTTTGTCATGTATTAAAATAATCGTTATTCATTTTTTACTAAATAACATGGGAAATTGTATTAATAGTTTTATTATATTGAACATGTTTGCATTTCAGGACTTCAGGAATGAAGTTCATTTGACTAATTATGAGTTTTAAAAGGAAATTAATATCTTTGTTTAATCCTATGAATAACAGTCACCAAATCAGCACAACAGGTGCAATTCAGTCTTGCTTCCAGTGGCTCTGGTTTATTAAATTTATTATTATTATTATTATTATTATTAAGACGGAGTCTCACTCTGTTGCCCAGTCTGGAGTGCAGTGGCGCAATCTCAGCTCACTGCAAGCTCCACCTCCTGGGTTCACGCCATTCTTCTGCCTCAGTCTCCCGAGTAGCTGGGACTACAGGCACCCGCCACTTCGCCTGGCTAATTTTTTTTGTATTTTTAGTAGAGACGGGGTTTCACCGTGTCAGCCAAGATGGTCTTGATCTCCTGACCTCGTGATCCGCCCGCCTCGGCCTCCTAAAGTGCTGGGATTACAGGTGTGAGCCACCGTGCCCGGCCTATTAAATTAACTATTAAAGCAAACTAACCACAGATCAAATGCCATGGAAGGAGGTTCAGAATAGCATGGACTAAGTTTAATTTTACATTTCAGGCAATTCTGAAGACATAAAACATGGTTGGCAGCAAAAGCTGAATATTGCAGCTTTACAACATAGATTAAGAAATGAGATGAAATCCACTTGGGGATTTAGATGCAGTTGTTGGCAATTATAGAGTTTCGAGTAAGACGATGAGAGCAAAGACATGTTCATCCTAAATGAAAAAGGCCACTTGGTATGCCTCGCTTTTCCAAATACAGATGTTTTATTGGAAAATTCAGGTAGCAAAATAGTGAGTTGTTTAGGGTCATATTGCTTTATGTTTCACCATCACAAAAAGAAAAAATTATCTTGGAGACATATTTCTGTAGAAGGAAAACTAAGTTAAATTCATTATTAATTAATTAGTGGACCAATTATTCTGTGATATCTATTATGAGGCTCCAGTTTTGATCTGAAAAGGTAACAAACCTAAGCAAGGCTGGTGAAGAGTCCCTCTCCAGCTGCCTCCCCTGCCATGCCTGTCCTGTCTGGCTTGGTGGTCTCCTAAGCGGCGGCTATTTCAGCTATCCCTTCATTCTGGCAATTTCAGCCTCCCTCTCAGCTTCTTTTGCCCCCTGTTTCTCCCTAAGTGTCTCAAAGCTGCACACTCAGGTTTTTATACTACTCTTGTGAGATCATCTAACCTTTTGGTTTTGTTTTGGTTTTGTTTTGTTTTTGAGACAGTCTCGCTCTGTTGCCTAGGCTGGAGTGCAGTGGCACGATCTCAGCTCACTGCAACCTCCGCCTCTCAAGTACAAGTGATTCTCCTGCCTCAGCCTCAGCCTCTCGAGTAGCTGGGATTACAGGGATGCACCACCATGCCTGTAATTTTTGTCTTTTTTTTTTTTTAGTAGAGACAGGGTTTCAACATGTTGGCCAGGCTGGTCTCAAACTCCTGACCCAGGTGATCTGCCCGCCTTGGCCTCCCAAAGTGGTGGGATTACAGGTGTGAGCCACCATGCTCAGCCGGAGATAATCTAATCTTTAAGCTCATTTCTTTTTTTCCTAGAAGCTCTTCATTGGTAAACTTTTGTACCCCTATTTGGATGTCCTTCCTAGTCTTTATGGAAGAAAATAGGGGCAGTAGCTGAATGTAGAAAATGCATAAACCAATGGAAGGGTGAGGATGAAGGAGGTCTCAGGTTCTATTTAAAAACAGCATCGCAATATGCATGAGGGCAGAAAATGAATTCAATTTTTCAACTCCGAATCCGAAAAACTGATCAAGACAAAAAGGGAAGGCTGTGCTCAGCCCCGCAAGGTCCCTGGCTTCATGCATATATGCGGGCCTACAGTTTACAGCAAACCTTCAAGGAAAGTGGGCTACCTATCATACTATCCAAGCACAACAGCAAACTTTGTTTACCGGGCACGATAAAATGATCTCCTCCCCACCAGAAAATCTGTATTTTCTATCTTCCAATTCTAAGTAATCTTTGTGAAGCCTCTTGTCTGAGGATTTCCTCAGCATTTTTCCTGTACTGTAAATCACTCCTTCTCTCTGCTGTCTGACATTTTCTAATGAGAACTTCCCTTAGGCCCCCGGATGACTCTCGTGGTGGGACGCCATGACATGTCTATTCATCTTCCGTGTTTCCAGAGTCTCAGGAACACCAGGTTTTCTGTAAAGGGGTGTGTAGCTTGCACTTTCTGTCTCAACCAAAAGTGACACAATGAAAAGGGCTCAGAAATGCCATGAGCACGATTCTAGTAGTTGGATCTCTGAGGGCATTACACGATGAAAGAGACAAACCTCTCCAGGCCCTTGGCTTCAGATGGGGAGTGTTTTCACAGTGGGCATGTGGGCATGTGTTGAAACTCCTTTTTGTAATATAAAGAAGATACTTCCTGTGGGGTGTGGGTGATTTTGTAATTTCCCAGGTACCATTTCTAGGGATAGATGCTTCTTCCCTCTTTATTCCGCTCTGTTCTATCTTTTTCTCCTTTTTTCCCTCAGTTCCTTTGCCCCCACCTATGCCCTGCCACCACTCTCCCTTTCTCCTTTTGTCCCTCCTTCTCTTCATCAGGTATTTACCAAGTGCCTCCTGCTGGCCCTGCCCTGTGCTAGGGTGTAATGGAGCTTCCAGTCTAACAAAGGAACATAAATTAACCAAATGATCACACAAATTAAAATGTAACCACAAACATGACAACTGCTGAAGGAAGAGATACAGAGAGCTGTACAAGGCCCAAACTGGGGAATCTGCGGAGGTTTTCCTGCGATGCTGCTGTTTGAAGTAAGACCATAAAAATGGGGAGGAATCGGCTGGGTGTGGTGGTGCACGCCTGTAATCCCAGCACTTTGGGAGGCCGAGGCGGGCAGATCACGAGGTCAGGAGATCGAGACAATCCTGGCTAACGTGGTGAAACCCCGTCTCTACTAAAAATACCAAAAGAAATTAGCTGGGCATGGTGGCAGGCGCCTGTAGTCCCAGCTACTCGGGAGGCTGAGGCAGGAGAATGGCGTGAACCCAGGAGGCGGAGCTTGCAGTGAGCTGAGATCACGTCACTGCACTCCAGCCTGGGCAACAGAGTGAGACTCCATCTCAAAAAAAAAAAAAAGAGTGGGGAGGAATCATGTAGGTAAAGAAAGCAGTAGGGGGCTGGGTGCAGTGGCTCACGCCTGTAATCCCAGCACTTTGGGAGGCCGAGGCAGGTGGATCACGAGGTCAGAAGTTCAAGACCACCCTGGTCAAGATGGTGAAATCCCTTCTTTACTAAAAATACAAAAATTAGCTGGGCATGGTGGTGGGTGCCTGTAATCCCAGCTACTCGGGAGGCTGAGGCAGGAGAACTGCTTGAACCCAGGAGGCGGAGGCTGCAGTGAGCTGAGATTGTACCACTGCACTCTAGCCTGGGCAACAGAGCAAGTCTCCGTCTCAAAAACAAAAACAAAAAGAAAAAGAAAAAACAAAAAAAAGCAGTGGGGAAGAGCCCCGTAGGCCGAGACCCCAGCAAGTGAGAAGGACTCAGGCAAGAGGAGGTGAGAGGAGGTGAGGGCCATGGCTGCTGAAAAGAACCTGGGAAGGTAGGCAGCAGGCAAGTCATGCAGGATTCTGAGGCCACATTAAGGATTTTGGTGCAATGCTAAGAGTGACAAGAAAGTACCAAAGGGTTTTATTTGGGGACGGGGGGTTGATTGGATCAGGTTTGTATTTTTAAAGATCACTCTTACTGCTGCATAGGGGAAGGAATTAGGGAAGAGCAAGTGTGGGGGTGAGAGGCCAGTCTGAGGTCCGTGGTAAGGGTCCCGATGGTTTGGTCTGGGTTGATCATAGTGGAAATGGAGAGGAGATGAAGGGTTTGAGTGATATTTCAAATGCAAAGTTAGTATTAGTCCACATTAGACTAGCTATGGGGAAACAGGAGAAAAGGAGATGTCAAAGATGACTCCTAAGTTTCTGGTCTCCTCATAAGTGGATGGGGGGGTCATGTTATTTACTGGCAGAGGCAATTGCAAGAAGATAAACTTGGGGATAGCAGTTTTGGACACATTGAATTTCAGATGCTTTTGAGGCCTCCAAAAAGAGACACAGACTAGAAGATGAGATACCTATGTCTAGGGCAAGAGGAGTGGTCTGGCCTGGGGATACACAATTGTGAGTCACTGGTGCATAGTTGCTGAAGTGAGTCACAGTCGTGTATCCCCAGGCCAGACCAGTCCTCTTGCCCTAGACTGGAGCCCAAAGTATGGGAGAGATTGTTCAGGAGATAAAGTGACACGAGGAGGAGCTTAGCCCGAGAAACTCCTGCATGAACAGTTGGGTGGAGGAAGGCAAGCGTGCAAGGAGACCCAGAAAAAAGTGTGGTATCATGAGGGCCAAAGGGGAGATGGAATGGTCCAGATTGGAAAATGCAGGTGACAGGCCAAGTGAACTGAGGACTCTAAACATCCCTGGATTTATTAGTGTGGAGGTCACTGGGGACCTTGGCAAGCTTTGTAAATGTCACCTCACAAAGATGTATATCAAAAAGATGGACCACTGACAAAAAAAAGTCCAGAGCAGAGACAGAGAGTCTTCAGGTAATTTACTAACAGATATGGTCTATATTGCGACTACCTTTTGACAAAAATAAATAAAAAATAAATTAATGATTAAAATCTGGGGAGATACAACTACAGATTTTTTTGTATAAGATGCTTTTTTTTTTTTATTTTTAAGATGGAGTCTCACTCTGTCGCCAGGCTGGAGTGCAGTGGAACGATCTCAGCTCACTGCAACCTCTGCCTCCCAGGTTTAAGCGATTCTCCTGCCTCAGCCTCCTGAGTAGCTGGGACTACAAGCATGAGCCACCACGCCCAGCTAAGTTTTGTATTTTTAGTAGAGACACGGTTTCACCACGTTGGCCAGGATGGTCTCAATCTCTTGACCTCATGATCTGCCCGCTTTAGCCTCCCGTTGTTTTTTTCTTAACAAAGTCTCTTTAATAGGAGCCCCCAAGTCCAAGGGTCTTGTTGAGAACTGTAGCAGAGTAAGTTCAGCAGTGGCTGTAAACCAAGAAAACACTTATCAAAGGTGCAGGCATAGAAGAGATTCTGGCCGGTGGTTAGTGTTCTTAACCAAAATGATCAAGGTGGCTATGAACCAATTCGATAGCAGTGTGTCTTAACAATGCATACAAGCATGCTCCTAGTGACTTACTTGAGGTTCCTGCCCACAGATACTTTTTCCCTTAAAGCAACTGATGAGGTCTCAAGTCTCTATTTTCAGACAGATGGGATTTTCAGTGAACATTCTTCCCTCATCATTAGCTTGGATCTAGGTGTGCTGATAGGTCGATATCTTCAAATGTTGAATTAATGGTAGCCTGCATACCCTCTCACTGAAGGTGACCCTATTGGACAAATTCTAAAACTGTTCTTCCCATGAAATGATTGAATTCTCAATTTTCACATCTGTATCACTAAATGAATCTCCAGGGAGTTTTTGCTGTACTAGAGATGTGGCCAGTAATGGCCAGTAATGGTGGAATTCTACAACAGGTATTTGGCAAATTATGGCCCATGGGTTACTCTACTTTGCTGCTTGTTTTTCTACGGTCCACCAGTTGAAATGTTTTTCTTTTTGCAGTTTCAAATGTTCGGAAAAAAAATAACTTTTTTTGTTGTTTTTTTGTTTTGTTTTGAGACAGAGTCTTGCTCTGTCGCCCAGGCTGGAGGGCAGTGGCACAATCTCGGCTCACTGCAAACTCTGCCTCCCGGGTTCATGCCATTCTCCTGCCTCAGCCTCCCAAGTAGCTGGGACTACAGGCGCCCACCACCACACCCGGCTAATTTTTTTTATTTTTAGTAGAGATGGGGTTTCACCGTGTTAGCCAGGAAAAAATAACATTTTTGATGTGAAAATTGTATGAAATTCAAATTTCAGTGAGCATATAAAGTTCTACTGGAATTCAGCCACGTTCATTTATTTATTCATTGTCTGTGGCTGCTTTCATGCCACGGCAGAGCTGCATAATTGTGACAGAGTTTGTATGGCTCTCAAAGGCTGAAATATTTATCCTCTGGTCCCTTACAGGAATAGTCTGCTGAACCTGCTCTGGACAATGATAATTTCAGGACTCTGACTCCCTTGACCTTTAAGTTAGCATGGAAAGTGAAGATCATAATGCCATTCCTCCTTTGTCAAGCGTTTGTTCTAAAGTCCAAAGTGTTTCGGGCTCACAATAGGCCTGTGAGTTAGGAAAGGTGGGCATTATTAACTCAATTTTACAGATACAGAAATTAGGCCCCGGAAGTATTGACCAGGCTGAGCTCACAGCAAGCCTGTAAACAGGTACTATTGTTTCCATTTTAATGATGGGAAGATGCAGGCCAGGCATAGTGGCTCACGCCTGTAATTCCAGCACTGTGGGAGGCAGGTAGATCGCTTGAGCCCAGGAATTTGGGGCCAGCCTGGGCAACAAGGCTGAAATCCCATCTCTACAAAGAATACAAAAATTAGCCGGGCATGATGGTGCATGCCTATAGTCCCAGCTACTTGCAAAGCTCAGGTGAGAGGTTCGATTGAGCCCTGGAGTTCGAGGGTACAGTGAGCTGAGATCACACCACTGCCCTCCAGCCTGGACAATAAAGTGAGATCCAGTTTCTTAAAAAAAAAAAAAAAAGGAAAGATGCAGACTCAGACTCAAAGAGATAAAGTAACTTACACAAGATCACTCATTGCTTCAGAAAGGGAGCTGAACTTGGATCTTCTTATCCTGATAAAGTTCCATCCCCCTCCCACCACTTGGCTGCCTCCTGGGTGAAGCATCTGGCCTGTTTCTGAGCTGTCCTTTTTGCAGAGAGGGTTATCTTTGGCTTTAATACTGACACCGCCCCTGAAGAGAAAGTCCTTTGTTTGGTCTTGATCTGGTTTAGGCCAGGAAACACTAGAATACTTTTGAGGTTTCCCCCCATCCCCCTGGGGGCCCTTGGGTAACCCTAGCTTAAGTAGCAGCTCCAGGATGCCAGCAGGTACTTCCCCACGGAAAGCAGACAATTGTCTGGGGTCCTGAAGTTGTGGCTCAAGAGAGCAGGCTCCAGCATGTGGGGGCTTCCATTTCTTTATCACTTCCCACTTCTCTGGCCATCTTCTGTCCTCCTCCTTTTCTTTGTTATTCTCTTTCCATTCCTTCTTGTCTTTGTCATTCTCTTTTCTTTCCTTCTTGTCTTTCTCTGCACATTCTCTAGGTTGAAGCACCTTACCAGTGGCAGCAAAAAGCAGGGCCATTTTAAATTCATACACTGCCAATTTTGCAGTAATGTACAGTTTTATTCTGCCCCTGGAGTTCATTTGTTGAGAGTGTTGCTGTGAATCTGGATTGTCTGCCGGTGGCCTGGAAGGCTGTGAGACTCTGGCTTGTGCCTGCTTGTCCCACCCGCTTCTCTGGCTTCTCTCTGTTCTTTTGCAATTCAGAACCTTGGCACATGCTGTTCCCTTTGCTTGGAATTCTCATCATAAGACCAACTTCCTGTCATCTGCTAGGTCCTGGCTAACAGTCACCTCCTTAGAGTTCAGTGAGGCCTTCCTGGATCCCTCAGTCTAGAGCAGCCCCCTCCTCCCTGTGCTCTGCCAGGTCACCAGTTTATTTTGCTCAGATCACTGTGCCCTGTTATGCTGTCTTCTTACTGCCAAGGATGAACCTGAATGCAGCTCCAGGACCTCCTCTGACTAGCAAGTATGGCAGTAGCTCTAGCATTCATCCCAGTGCTGGGTACAAAATAGGCATCAAGAGTGTTTTGGGATATTATGCTGAGAGAAATAAGACAGGCACAGCCAGACAAACACTGCATGATCTCACTATATGTGGAACCAAAAAAAAATTGGACTCACAGGAGGAGAGTAGAATGGCTGGGGCAGGGAGTGGACTGGGGAGATGTTGGTCAAAGGACACACAATTTCAGTTAGACAGGAGGAGTAAGTTCAAGACATTCAACGTACATCAGGATGACTACAGCGAATAACAACATATTGTACACTTGACTACTGTTAGGACAGCAGATTTGAAGTGTTCTCACCACAAAAATGGTATGTGAGGTAATGCATATGTTAAATAGCCAGATTTAGCGATTCCACAGTGTATACATATACCAAGACAGTGTGTCATACACCATAAGTATATACAATTTTTACTTGTCAAGTAAAAAAATAATAATACATTTGGATAATGAATAAAATTCTTAAAAAATAAAATCCACAAAATAAAAATCATTATAATTTGCAATTCAATGTAGATTATATGCATGTCTATAAAACTATGTATCTATAAAACTATACATATAGTGTATACAGTATGACTATATATTGTATATAGTCAGTTGAAAATATTGTAAGTCAAAAAGTGCATTTTCAACTTCCAGTATTTTCAACCTTCAATGGGTTTATCCAGGCGTAGCCCTGTTGTACGTCCAGAAATGTACTGAATGCCTATTGGAGACAAACAAACACAAAGGAAATAATAAAAGAAGGAAATATGGAGTATTAGAAATGAAGAAAGAACAATAAAAAAATAAGGATAAATAGGCCAGGCACGGGGGCTGACGCCTGTAATCCCAGCACTTTGGGAGGCCGAGGCAGGCGGATCACGAGGTCAGGAGATCGAGACCATCCTGGCTAACACAGTGAAACCCAGTCTGTACTAAAAATACAAAAAAAAAATTAGCAGGGCATGATGACGGGTGCCTGTAGTCCCAGCTACTCAGGAGGCTGAGGCAGGAGAATGGCGTGAACCCAGGAGGCAGAGCTTGCAGTGAGCCGAGATCACACCACTGCGCTCAGCCTGGGAGACAGAGTGAGACTCTGTCTCAAAAAAAAAAAAAAGATAAATATAATAGACTATCCTCTTGAATGCTCTAAATTATGTTAGATGATTGAAACAAAAAGTATAACATTGTCTGATCTGGTTCTCAGTATATGTACAGAAAATATTTAAGCTAATTATACTATAAAGTAGGGGAGGGAAAATGTAACTTAAATGGAGGAAAGGATTCTACACTTTACTCAGACATAAAATGTTGACACTAATGGGCAGTGAAAATTTATATACGTAAAGTGTAAGACCTAGAGCAACCACAGAAATATCTACCCAAAAATATATCCTCAGAAATTTACATACATCAGAATGAAATTCTAAAAAATGTTCAGGTAACCTCAGAAAGGCAGGAAAAGTGAAACAAAGGAACAGAAAATGAGGACAAATGAAAGATAGTAAAATGGCAGAATTAAGCCTTAACATATTAATAGTTAAATTAAATGTAAATTTAATTGCTCTAAATACACCAATTAAAAAACAGATATGGCCAGGTGCGGTGGCTCACACCTGTAATCCCAGCACTTTGGGAGGCTGAGGCAGGCGGATCATGAGGTCTGGAGTTTGAGACCAGCCTGGCCAACATGGTGAAACACTGTCTCTACTAAAAATACAAAAAAAAAAAAAATTAGCTGGGCGTGGTGGTGGGCGCTTCTAATCCCAGCTACTCGGGAGGCTGAGGCAGGAGAATCACTTGAACCTGGGAGGCGGGGGTTGCAGTGAGCCAAGATCGTGCCACTGCACTCCAGCCTGGTCAAAAAGAGCGAAACTCCATCTCAAAAAAAAAAAAAAAAAAAAATTGGTCCAACTACACATTGACTAAAATAAACTCACCGAATATAATATATTCATTATAACATATCTGATATATTCAAGTATAGGTAGGTTGAAATTAAAGATATGAAAAATTACATATCATGTAACATTAATCAAAAGAAATTAGAAACCACTATATTAACATCATAAAATAAAACAGACTATAGAGCAAAGAAAATTACATGGGACTAAGAAGGACATTACATAATAATGAAATAACAAACCAAGAAACCATGGTAATCTGAAATGTCTGTGCATCCAACAACAGGTCTTCAAAACACGAAGAGCAAAAATTGTTAGAAAAGGCCAGGCGTGGTGGCTCACGCCTGTAATTCCAGCACTTTAGGAGGCCGATGCAGGCAGATCACCTGAGGTCAGGAGTTTGAGACCAGCCTGAACAACATGGAGAAACCCGTCTCTACTGAAAATACAAAATTAGCTGGGTGTGGTGGTGGATGCCTGTAATCCCAGCTACTCAGGAGGCTGAGGCAGGAGAATCGCTTGAACCCCAGGAGGAGGAGGTTGCAGTGAGCCGAGATTGTGCCATTGCACTCCAGTCTGGGCAACAAGAGCGAAACTCCGTCTCAAAAAAAAAAAAAAGGGCTGGGCGTAGTGGCTTACTCCTGTAATCCCAGCACTTTGGGAGGCCGAGGCAGGCGGATCACGAGGTCAAGAGATTGAGACCATCCTGGCTAACATGGTGAAACCCCATCTCTACTAAAAATACAAAAAATTAGCCGGATGTGGTGGCGGGCGCCTGTAGTCCCAGCTACTGGGGAGGCTGAGGCAGGAGAATGGCATGAACTCGGGAGGCGAGCTTGCAGTGAGCCAAGATCGTGCCACTGCAGCCCAGCCTGGGCAACAGAGCGAGACTCCGTCTTAAAAAAAAAAAAAATTGTTAGAAGTGACAGAAAGAGGCCAGGTACAGTGGCTCACGCCTGCAATTCCAGCACTCTGGGAGGCTGAAGCGGGTGGATCACGACGTCAGGTGTTCGAGACCAGCCTGACCACATGGTGAAACCCTGTCTCTACTAAAAATACAAAAATTAGCCAGGTGTGGTGGCGAGTGGCTATAATCTCAGCTACTCAGGAGGCTGAGGCAGGAGAATCGCTTGAACCCAGGAGGCAGAGGTTGCAGTGAGCCGAGATCGTGCCACTGCACTTCAGCCTGGGTGACAGAGCGCAACTCTGTCTCAAAAAAACAAACAAACAAAAAAAAAACAAGAAGTGACAGAAAGAGACAAATCCGCAATTATAGTTGGAGACTTAAACACCCTTTTATCAACAATTGATAGAACTACTAGACAGATGCACAGCAAGGATATAGAGGAATTTAACCACACCCAACAGGGTCTAATTGGCCTTTATAGAACACCGCATCGACAACAGCATATATATTATTTTCAGTCAAGGAATATTCATTTAGATAGACCATATCCTGGGTCATAAAGTAAACTCCAACAAATTATAAATAATTGAAATTAAACAAAAATCTGTTCTCTGAGTACAAATGAATCAAACTAGAAATCAAAAACAGACAACAGGAAAATCTCTAAACACTTGGAAATTAGCATAATTCTCAATAATCCGTGTATCAAAGAAGATGCCTTAAGGCAAATTTTAAAAAATACACTGAGCTGACCAGGCACGGTGGCTCATGCCTGTAATCCCAGCACTTCGGGAGGCTGAGGTGGGCGGATCACGAGGTCAGGAGATCGAGACCATCCTGGCTAACACGGTGAAACCCCGTCTCTACTAAAAATACAAAAAATTAGCCGGGTGTGGTGGCGGGTGCCTGTAGTCCCAGCTACTCCGGAGGTTGAGGCAGGAGAATGGCGTGAACCCGGGAGGCGGAGCTTGCAGTGAGCCAAGATTGCGCCACTGCACTCCAGCCTGGGGGACAGAGCAAGACTCCATCTCAAAAAAAAAAAAAAAAAAATACATTGAGCTGATTGAGGCTATACACAGTAGCTTAAGCTCCCACTGTTTTGGGAGGTCAAGGGAGGAGGATCACTTGACCCCAGGAGTTAGAGACTAGCCTGGGCAACAAAGGGAGACCTTATCTCTACAAAAAATTAGCCAGGTGTGGTGGTGCCGCCTACAGTCCCAGTTACTGGGGACACTGATGTGGGAGGACCCCTTAAGTCTAAGAGTTCGAGGCTGCAGTGAGCTATAATCGTGCTGCTGCACTCCAGCATGAGTGACAGAGTGAGACTCTGTCTTTTTTTTTTTTTTTTTTTTTTGAGACAGAGTCTCGCTCTGTCAGCCAGGCTGGAGTGCAGTGGCATGATCTCAGCTCACTGCAACCTCCGCCTCCCAGGCTCAAGCAATTCTCCTGCCTCAGCCTCCTGAGTAGCTCGGATTACAGGCGTGTGTCACCACGCCTGGCTAATTTTTGTATTTTTAATAGAGACAAGGTTTCACCATGTTGGCCAGGCTGGTCTCGAACTTCTGACCTCAGGTAATCTGCCCGCTTTGGCCTCCCAAAGTGCTGGGATTACAGGCGTGAGCCACCACACCCGGCCAACTCCGTCTCTTAAAAAAAAAAAAAAAATTTGAACCAAATGAAAATTTAAAAAACAACTTACTGAAATTTGTGGGATGCAGCTAAAATGCTGCCAAGAGGGACATTTATAGCACTAATTGTTTACATTAGAAAAGAGGAAAGATTCTAAATCAATCATTTCGTTTCTACCTAAAGAAACTAGAAAAAAGTAGAGGAACGTAAACCCAAACCAAGCAGGAGGAAGGAAATTATAAAGGTAAGAACGGAAATCAATGAAATTGAAAACAGAAAAGCAATAGAGAAAATCAATGAAACAAAAGCTATTTATTTGAAAAGATTAATAAAATGGAAAATTCTGTAGTTATATTGACAAAGAAAAAAAGATGACCATAAAACCCAAAATAGACAAATGGGATTACATCACACTTAAAAAACTTCTGCCCAGCAAAGGAAACAACCAATAGAATAAAGAGACAATTTACACAATAGGAGAAAATACTCGCAAAATTGATATCTGATAAATCATTAATGTCCAAAATATATAAGGAATTCAAACAAATGCAATTGCAGGAAAACAAATAACCCAATTTTAAAAATAGGCAAAGGACCTGAACAGACATTTTTCAGAATAAGGCATACAAATGGCCAACAGGAAAATGAAAAAATGCTCAATGTCACTAATGATCAGGGAAATGCAAATCAAAACTAATGAGCTGGCTGGGCACAGTGGCTCAGGCCTGTAATCGCAGCACTTTGGGAGGCCGAAGTGGGCAGATTACCTGAGGTCAGGAGTTCGAGACCAGCCTGACCAACATGGTGAAAACCCTTCTCTACTAAATACACAAAAAAAATAGCTGGGCATGGTGGCAGGTGCCTGTAGTCCCAGCTACTTGGGAAGCTGAGGCAGGAGAATGGTGTGAACCCAGGAGGCGGAGCTTGCAGTGAGCCAAGATTGCGCCACTGCACTCCAGCCTGGGCGACAAAGCGAGACTCTGTCTCAAAAAAAAAAAAACAAAAAAAACTAATGAGCTATCACCTCACACCTGTTAGCATTGCTGTTATCAAAAAGACAAAGGATAGCAAGTGTTGGCCAGGATGTGGAGAAAATGGAACCCTTATATACTGTTAGTGGGACTGTAAATTAGTACAGCTATTATGGAACATAGTAGGGATGTCCCTCAAAATATTAAAAATAGAACTTCCGTATGATCCAGCAGTTCCAATCAGCATGTCAAAGAGATATCTGCACTCCCATGTTCACAGCCGCATCATTCACAAAAGCCAAGATATGGAATCAACTTACGTGTCCACCAGGGAATGAATGGGTCTTTAAAAATGTAGTATGATCCACAATGGAGTAGTATTCAGCTTTTAAAAAGAAGAAAATCTGTCACTTGCGATAATATGGATGAACCCAGAGGACACTATACTAAGTGAAATAAACTGGGCACAGAAAGACAAATAATGTAACTTCTCACTTATATGTGGAATCTGAAAAAGCTGAACTCATAGAAACAGAGTAGAACGGTGGTTACCAGAGGCTGGATGTAGGGGTTGGAGGCGGGCTGCAGGAATTGGACATGTTGATCAAAGGATACAAAATTTCAGTTAAACAGGAGGAATAAGTTCAAGAAATCCATTATACAACATGGTGACTGAATAGTTAATTAAAATGTATTGTATTCTTGAAAATCACCAAGAATAGCCAGGCGTGGTGGCTCATGCCTGTAATCCCAGCACTTTGGGAGGCCGAGGCAGGCGGATCACGAGGTCAGGAGATCGAGACCACGGTGAAACCCCATCTCTACTAAAAATACAAAAAATTAGCTGGGCGCGGTGGCGGGTGCCTGTAATCCCAGCTACTGGGGAGGCTGAGGCAGGAGAATGGCGTGAACCTGGGAGGCAGAGCTTGCAGTGAGCCGAGATCACGCCACTGCACTCCAGCCTGGTAGACAGAGCGAGACTCCGTCTCAAAACCATCTCACACCAGTTAGAATGGCAATCATTAAAAAGTCAGGAAACAACAGGTGCTGGAGAGGATGTGGAGAAATAGGAACACTTTTACACTGTTGGTGGGACTGTAAACTAGTTCAACCATTGTGGAAGTCAGTGTGGCGATTCCTCAGGGATCTAGAACTAGAAATACCATTTGAGCCAGCCATCCCATTACTGGGTATATACCCAAAGGACTATAAATCATGCTGCTATAAAGACACATGCACACATATGTTTATTGTGGCATTATTCACGATAGCAAAGACTTGGAACCAACCCAAATGTCCAACAATGATAGACTGGATTAAGAAAATGTGGCACATATACACCATGGAATACTATGCAGCCATAAAAATGATGAGTTCATGTCCTTTGTAGGGACATGGATGAAGCTGGAAACCATCATTCTCAGCAAACTATCGCAAGGACAAGAAACCAAACACTGCATGTTCTTACTCATAGGTAGGAATTGAACAATGAGAACACATGGACACAGGAAGGGGAACATCACACACTGGGGCCTGTTGTGGGGTGGGGGGAGGGGGGAGGGATAGCATTAAGAGATATACCTAATGTTAAATGACGAGTTAATGGGTGCAGCACACCAACATGGCACATGTATATATATGTAACAAACCCGCACATTGTGCATATGTACCCTAAAACTTAAAGTATAATAAAAAAAAAATCACCAAGAATAGATTTTAAGTGTTGTCCCCACAAAAAATAAGTATGTGAGGGAATTCATACGTTAATTAGCTTGATTTATCTGTTCTGCAATGTATACATATTTCAAAACATCATGTTGTACATGATAAATATACACAATTTTTGTCAATTAAAAATAAATAAGAGAAAAGACACAAACTACTAATAATATCACGAATAAAAATGGGTAATATTATTATAGTCTCCACGAACAGAAGAATGGTAAGGGAAAGCTAAAAACATTCTACACAAATACATTGAACAACTGAGATAAAGTGGACCATTCCTTCAAAGCACAAGCTACCAAAATTCATACAATATGAAATAGATACTTTACATATCCTTTTAACTATTTAAAAAGTTCAATTTTCTTGAAAAACTCAAGAAAAGATGGCTTCACTGGAGAATTTTACCAATGATTAAGAAGAAATGTCACCGGCCGGGTGCAGTGGCTCATGCCTGTAATTCCAGCACTTTGGGAGGCCGAGGCGGGCAGATAATGAGGTCAGGAGTTCGAGACCAGCCTGACCAACACGGCGAAAACCCATCTTTACTAAAAATACAAAAATTAGCTGGGCGTGGTGGTGTGCGCCTGTAATCCCAGCTACTCAGGAGGCTGAGGCAGGAGAATCACATGAACCTGGGAGATGGCAGTTGCAGTGAGCTGAGATAGTGCCACTGCACTCCAGCCTGGGTGACAGAGCGAGACTCTGTCTCAAAAACAAAAACGAAAACAAAAACGGAAGAAATGTCACCAATTCTACACAATCTCTTTCAGAAAAGAGAACACATTTCCACTCATCTTATGAAGGAGGTGTCATTCTTATACCCAAACCTGACATAAACAGTATAAAAAAGGAAAACTACAAATCAGTACCTTACATCAATATAGGTAAAAAAATCCCCAGCAATATATTAGCAAGTAGAATTTAACAGTACATAGGAAGAATCATACACCATGACCGAGTGGGATTTATTTCAGGGCTGCAAGTCTATTGCAATATTTGAAAATTAATGAGTGTAATCCACCATATTAACAGGCCAAAGAGAAAAGATCACATGAAAATATCAATTGAAGGCCGGGCGCGGTGGTTCACCCCTGTAATCCCAGCACTTCGGGAGGCTGAGGCAGGTAGATCAACTGAGGTCAGGAGTTCAAGACCAGCCTGACCAACATGGTAGAACCCCATCTCTACTAAAAATACAAAAATTAGCCGGGTGTGGTGGTGCATGCCTGTAATCCCAGCTACTTGGGAGGCTGAGGCAGGAGAATCACTTGAACTCGGGAGGCAGAGGTTGCAGTGAGCTGAGATCGCACCACTGCACTCCAGCCTGGGCAACAAGAGTGAAACTCCATCTCAAAAAAAAAAAAGAAAAAAGGAAAAAGAAAATATCAGTTGAGACAATAAAAATTTGACAAAATTCAACACCTGTTTACGATAAAGGCTCTCAGCAAACTAAGAGTAGATGAGAATTTCCTCAACACGATAAAGATCATCAACAAAAAACGTACCACTAGCACAGTACCTAATGGTAAAAGACCAAATGCTTTCTTCCTAAAATTGGGAACAAGGTAACAATGGCTGCTCTCACCTCTCTCATTCAATGTAATACTAGAAGCCCAAGCCAGCACAATATGGTAAGAAAATGAAATAAAAGACATACAGATTAAAACAGAAAAGAGAAAACTTTTCCTATTTGCAGATGACAGGATAATCTACATAGAAAATCCCAAAGAATTAAAAATACAAACAAAACAAAAATCTGGAAGTAATGAACGAGTTTAGTAAGGTCACAGGAGACAGGATCAATATACAAAAATCAAGTGCATTTCCATATACAAGCAGTGAACACATGGAAAACAATACAAAGCAATACCATTTACAGTAGCTAAAAGAAAAAAGAGACTGGGCATGGTGACTCACACCTGTAATCTCAGCACTTTGGGAGGCCGATGCAGGCAGATCACCTAAGGTTAGGAGTTCGAGACCAACCTGGACAAAATGGCGAAACCCCATTTCTACTAAAAATAAAAAAATAATAAAAAAAAATTAGCCAGGCATGATGGTAGGCACCTATAATCCCAGCTACTTGGGAGGCTGATGCAATAGAATTGCTAGAACATGAGAGGCAAAGGTTGTGGTGAGCCGAGATTGTACCACTGCACTCCAGCCTGTGCGACAGAGTGAGATTCCACCTCATAAATAAAGAAATAATTAAATAAATAATAAAAATAAAGGAGAAAGAAAAAGAGAAGAAAGCAGCAGGTATGAATCTAAGAAAACATGTACAGAAATTTTATGTAGAAAACTACAAAATAGGCCGTGTGTGGTGGCTTACACCTGTAATCCCAGCATTTTGGGAGGCCGAGGCGGGCAGATCACGAGGTCAGGAGTTTGAGACCAGCCTGGCCAATACGGTGAAACCCCATCTCTACTAAATAATGCAAAAATTAGCTTGGCTCGGTGGTGGGCACCTGTAGTCCCAGCTACTTAGGAAGTTGAGGCAGGAGAATTGCTTGAACCCCGGAGGCGAAGGTTGCAGTGAGCCGAGATAGTGCCACTGCACTCTAGCCTGGGCGACAGAGTGGGACTCCACATCAACAACAACAACAACAAAAACCTACAAAATACTGATAAAAGAAACCAAAGATCTACATAAATAAAGACATGTACCATGTTTATAAAGGGTTGGAATATTCAGTAAAATGGAGTTAACATTTCTCTCTAATTAATCTATAGGTTTAATGCAATTCATATCAAAATCACAGCAATGTTTTTTGCAGTATAGTTCAACTTATTCTAAAGTATATATAGAAAATCAATGGAATTAAAATACCAAAAACAATTTTGAAAAAGAAGAATGAAGTGGTAGGAATCACTCTATTTGATTATATAACTTACCATTAATATATAGTCACAGTAATCAATACCGTGTGGTATTGGTGAAGGGACAGATATATGTAAGTCACTGGAGTAGAATAGAGAACCCAGAAATAGACTCACAAGTACTGCCAGCTGATTTTGGCAAAGGCACAAGAGCAATTCAATGGAGGAAGGACTGTTTTTTCAACAAATGGTGCTGGAGCAGTTGGACACCCAAAGGCAGTCATCATCATCATCATCATCATTATCATCATCATCACCTTGACCTAGGCCTTACACAAAATTTAACTCAACATGGATCATAGATGTAAGTATAAAATGTAAAACCAGAGCACTTTTAGAAGATAACATAGAAAATCTCTGGGGCTTAAGGTTTGGTAGACTTCTTAGACATGACGCCAAAACCATGATCTGATTTTTTTTTTTTTGAAATGGAGTCTTATTCTGTCACCCAGGCAGGAGTGCAGTGGCATGATATCAGCTCACCACAACCTCCACCTCCCGGGTTCAAGCGATTCTCCTGCCTCAGCCTCCCGAGTAGCTGGGACTACAGGCGCCTGCCAACACACCCGGCTAATTTTTGTATATTTAGTAGAGACAGGGTTTCACCATTTGGGCCAGGCTGGTCTTGAACTCCTGACCTTGTGATCTACCCGCCTCGGCGTCCCAAAGTGCTGGGATTACAGGCGTGAGCCACCGCGCCTGGCCAAGCATGATCTGTTTTTAAGAAATGATCAATCGGATTTCACCAAAATAAAAACTTGCTCAGTGAAAAACTTTGCTAAGTGGATAAAAGAATAAGCTACAGACCTGGAGAAAACATTTGGAAACCATAATCTGACAAAGAACATGTACATAGAATATATACAGAACGCTCAAAACTTTTTTTAAATTAAATTTAATTTAATTTAATTTTATTTTATTTTATTTTTTCCTTTTTTTCTTTTATTATTATACTTTTAAGTTTTAGGGTACATGTGCACATTGTGCAGGTTAGTTACATATGTATACATGTGCCATGCTGGTGCGCTGCACCCACTAAATCGTCATCTAGCATTACATATATCTCCCAATGCTATCCCTCCCCCCTCACCCCACCCCACCACAGTCCCCAGAGTGTGATGTTCCCCTTCCTGTGTCCATGTGATCTCATTGTTCAATTCCCACCTATGAGTGAGAATATGTGGTGTTTGGTTTTTTGTTCTTGCGATAGTTTACTGAGAATGATGGTTTCCAGCTTCATCCACATCCCTACAAAGGACATGAACTCATCATTTTTTATGGCTGCATAGTATTCCATGGTGTATATGTGCCACATTTTCTTAATCCAGTCTATCATTGTTGGACATTTGGGTTGGTTCCAAGTCTTTGCTATTGTGAATAATGCCACAATAAACATACGTGTGCATGTGTCTTTATAGCAGCATGATTTATAGTCCTTTGGGTATATACCCAGTAATGGGATGGCTGGGTCAAATGGCATTTCTAGTTCTAGATCCCTGAGGAATCGCCACACTGACTTCCACAATGGTTGAACTAGTTTACAGTCCCACCAACAGTGTAAAAGTGTTCCTATTTCTCCACATCCTCTCCAGCACCTGTTGTTTCCTGACTTTTTAATGATTGCCATTCTAACTGGTGTGAGATGGTATCTCATTGTGGTTTTGATTTGCATTTCTCTGATGGCCAGTGATGATGAGCATTTTTTCATGTGTTTTTTGGCTGCATAAATGTCTTCTTTTGAGAAGTGTCTGTTCATGTCCTTTGCCCACTTTTTGATGGGGTTGTTTGTTTTTTTCTTGTAAATTTGTTTGAGTTCATTGTAGATTCTTGATATTAGCCCTTTGTCAGATGAGTAGGTTGTGAAAATTTTCTCCCATTTTGTAGGTTGCCTGTTCACTCTGATGGTAGTTTCTTTTGCTGTACAGAAGCTCTTTAGTTTAATTAGATCCCATTTGTCAATTTTGTCTTTTGTTGCCATTGCTTTTGGTGTTTTAGACATGAAGTCCTTGCCCATGCCTATGTCCTGAATGGTATTGCCTAGGTCTTCTTCTAGGGTTTTTATGGTTTTAGGTCTAACGTTTAAGTCTTTAATCCATCTTGAATTGATTTTTGTATATGGTGTAAGGAAGGGATCCAGTTTCAGCTTTCTACATATGGCTAGCCAGTTTTCACAGCACCATTTATTAAATAGGGAATCCTTTCCCCATTGCTTGTTTTTCTCAGGTTTGTCAAAGATCAGATAGTTGTAGATATGCGGCATTATTTCTGAGGGCTCTGTTCTGTTCCATTGATCTATATCTCTGTTTTGGTACCAGTACCATGCTGTTTTGGTTACTGTAGCCTTGTAGTATAGTTTGAAGTCAGGTAGTGTGATGCCTCCAGCTTTGTTCTTTTGGCTTAGGATTGACTTGGCGATGCGGGCTCTTTTTTGGTTCCGTATGAACTTTGAAGTAGTTTTTTCCAATTCTGTGAAGAAAGGCATTGGTAGCCTGATGGGGATGGCATTGAATCTGTAAATTACCTTGGGCAGTATGGCCATTTTCACGATATTGATTCTTCCTACCCATGAGCATGGAATGTTCTTCCATTTGTTTGTATCCTCTTTTATTTCCTTGAGCAGCGGTTTGCAGTTCTCCTTGAAGAGGTCCTTCACATCCCTTGTAAGTTGGATTCCTAGGTATTTTATTCTCTTTGAAGCAATTGTGAATGGGAGTTCACTCATGATTTGGCTCTCTGTCTGTTGTTGGTGTATAAGAGTGCTTGTGATTTTTGCACATTGATTTTATATCCTGAGACTTTGCTGAAGTTGCTTATCAGCTTGAGGAGATTTTGGGCTGAGACAATGGGGTTTTCTAGATATACAATCATGTCGTCTGCAAAGAGGGACAATTTGACTTCCTCTTTTCCTAATTGAATACCCTTTATTTCTTTCTCCTGCCTAATTGCCCTGGCCAGAACTTCCAACACTATGTTGAATAGGAGTGGTGAGAGAGGGCATCCCTGTCTTGTGCCAGTTTTCAAAGGGAATGCTTCCAGTTTTTGCCCATTCAGTATGATATTGGCTGTGGGTTTGTCATAGATAGCTCTTATTATTTTGAAATACGTCCCATCAATACATAATTTATTGAGAGTTTTTAGCATGAAGGGTTGTTGAATTTTGTCAAAGGCCTTTTCTGCATCTATTGAGATAATCATGTGGTTTTTGTCTTTGGCTCTGTTTATATGCTGGATTACATTTATTGATTTGCGTATATTGAACCAGCCTTGCATCCCAGGGATGAAGCCCACTTGATCATGGTGGATAAGCTTTTTGATGTGCTGCTGGATTCGTTTTGCCAGTATTTTTTGAGGATTTTTGCATCAATGCTCATCAAGGATATTGGTCTAAAATTCTCTTTTTTGGTTGTGTCTCTGCCTGGCTTTGGTATCAGAATGATGCTGGCCTCATAAAATGAGTTAGGGAGGATTCCCTCTTTTTCTATTGATTGGAATAGTTTCAGAAGGAATGGTACCAGTTCCTCCTTGTACCTCTGGTAGAATTCGGCTGTGAATCCATCTGGTCCTGGACTCTTTTTGGTTGGTAAGCTATTGATTATTGCCACAATTTCAGATCCTGTTATTGTTCTATTCAGAGATTCAACTTCTTCCTGGTTTAGTCTTGGGAGAGTGTATGTGTCGAGGAATTTATCCATTTCTTCTAGATTTTCTAGTTTATTTGCGTAGAGGTGTTTGTAGTATTCTCTGATGGTAGTTTGTATTTCTGTGGGATCAGTGGTGATATCCCCTTTATCATTTTTTATTGCGTCTATTTGATTCTTCTCTCTTTTTTTCTTTATTAGTCTTGCTAGTGGTCTATCAATTTTGTTGATCCTTTCAAAAAACCAGCTCCTGGATTCATTAATTTTTTGAAGGGTTTTTTGTGCCTCTATTTCCTTCAGTTCTGCTCTGATTTTAGTTATTTCTTGCCTTCTGCTAGCTTTTGAATGTGTTTGCTCTTGCTTTTCTAGTTCTTTTAATTGTGATGTTAGGGTGTCAATTTTGGATCTTTCCTGCTTTCTCTTGTGGGCATTTAGTGCTATAAATTTCCCTCTACACACTGCTTTGAATGCTTCCCAGAGATTCTGGTATGTGGTGTCTTTGTTCTCGTTGGTTTCAAAGAACATCTTTATTTCTGCCTTCATTTCTTTATGTACCCAGTAGTCATTCAGGAGCAGGTTGTTCAGTTTCCATGTAGTTGAGCGGTTTTGAGTGAGATTCTTAATCCTGAGTTCTAGTTTGATTGCACTGTGGTCTGAGAGATAGTTTGTTATAATTTGTGTTCTTTTACATTTGCTGAGGAGAGCTTTACTTCCAAGTATGTGGTCAATTTTGGAATAGGTGTGGTGTGGTGCTGAAAAAAATGTATATTTTGTTGATTTGGGGTGGAGAGTTCTGTAGATGTCTATTAGGTCCGCTTGGTGCAGAGCTGAGTTCAATTCCTGGGTATCCTTGTTGACTTTCTGTCTCGTTGATCTGTCTAATGTTGACAGTGGGGTGTTAAAGTCTCCCATTATTAATGTTGGGAGTCTAAGTCTCTTTGTAGGTCACTCAGGACTTGCTTTATGAATCTGGGTGCTCCTGTATTGGGTGCATATATATTTAGGATAGTTAGCTCTTCTTGTTGAATTGATCCCTTTACCATTATGTAATGGCCTTCTTTGTCTCTTTTGATCTTTGCTGGTTTAAAGTCTGTTTTATCAGAGACTAGGATGGCAACCCCTGCCTTTTTTTGTTTTCCATTTGCTTGGTAGATCTTCCTCCATCCTTTTATTTTGAGCCTATGTGTGTCTCTGCACGTGAGATGGGTTTCCTGAATACAGCACACTGATGGGTCTTGACTCTTTATCCAATTTGCCAGTCTGTGTCTTTTAATTGGAGCATTTAGTCCATTTACATTTAAAGTTAATATTGTTATGTGTGAATTTGGTCCTGTCATTATGATGTTAGCTGGTTATTTTGCTCGTTAGTTGATGCAGTTTCTTCCTAGTCTCGATGGTCTTTACATTTTGGCATGATTTTGCAGCGGCTGGTACTGGTTGTTCCTTTCCATGTTTAGCGCTTCCTTCAGGAGCTCTTTTAGGGCAGGCCTGGTGGTGACAAAATCTCTCAGCATTTGCTTGTCTGTAAAGTATTTTATTTCTTCTTCACTTATGAAGCTTAGTTTGGCTGGATATGAAATTCTGGGTTGAAAATTCTTTTCTTTAAGAATGTTGAATATTGGCCCCCACTCTCTTCTGGCTTGTAGGGTTTCTGCCGAAAGATCCGCTGTTAGTCTGATGGGCTTCCCTTTGAGGGTAACCCGACCTTTCTCTCTGGCTGCCCTTAACATTTTTTCCTTCATTTCAACTTTGGTGAATCTGACAATTATGTGTGTTGGAGTTACTCTTCTCGAGCAGTATCTTTGTGGCATTCTCTGTATTTCCTGAATCTGAACGTTGGCCTGCCTTGTTAGATTGGGGAAGTTCTCATGGATAATATCCTGCAGAGTGTTTTCCAACTTGGTTCCATTCTCCCCGTCACTTTCAGGTACACCAATCAGACGTAGATTTGGTCTTTTCACATAGTCCCATATTTCTTGGAGGCTTTGCTCATTTCTTTTTATTCTTTTTTCTCTAAACTTCCCTTCTCGCTTCATTTCATTCATTTCATCTTCCATTGCTGATACCCTTTCTTCCAGTTGATCGCATCGGCTCCTGAGGCTTCTGCATTCTTTACGTAGTTCTCGAGCCTTGGTTTTCAGCTCCATCAGCTCCTTTAAGGACTTCTCTGTATTGGTTATTCTAGTTATACATTCTTCTAAATTTTTTTCAAAGTTTTCAACTTCTTTGCCTTTGGTTTGAATGTCCTCCCGCAGCTCAGAGTAATTTGATTGTCTGAAGCCTTCTTCTCTCAGCTCGTCAAAGTTCTTCTCCGTCCAGCTTTGTTCCGTTGTTGGTGAGGAACTGCGTTCCTTTGGAGGAGGAGAGGCACTCTGCTTTTTAGAGTTTCCAGTTTTTCTGTTCTGTTTTTTCCCCATCTTCGTGGTTTTATCTACTTTTGGTCTTTGATGATGGTGATGTAGAGATGGGGTTTTGGTGTGGATGTCCTTTCTGTTTGTTAGTTTTCCTTCTAACAGACAGGACCCTCAGCTGCAGGTCTGTTGGAGTACCCTGCCGTGTGAGGTGTCAGTGTGCTCCTGCTGGGGGGTGCCTCCCAGTTAGACTGCTCGGGGTCAAGTGGGTCCCTGACCCCAAAACTTAACAGTAAAAAAAAATCACAGTCCAGTTAGAAAATGGGCAATATATATGATCAGAGACTTCACCGTAGAGAATATCCATATGGCAAATAAGCACGTGGAGTTATGTTCAACATCATTAACCACTAGGGAAATGCAAATTAAAACCATGATGAGACATCACTATATACAGTACCTACTAGAACAGCTAAAATGAAAATAGCAACAATCCCAAATGCTGAGGAGGGTGCAGAGAAACTGGATCTCTCACTCATTGCTGGCAGGAATGTGAAATGGCACAGCCACTCTAGAAAACAGTTTGGCAAACTTTTTAAAAAAAGAAACCACACTTACCATATGCACCAGCAGTCACACTCCTGAGCATTTATCCCAGAGAAATGAAAACTTACATCCACACAAAAATGTGTGCATGAAAGTTCATAGCAGCTTTATTTGTAATAGTCAAAATTTGGAAATAATCCAAATGTTCTACATTGAGTAAATGGCCAAACGAACTGTGCTATGGCCACACCATGGAACACCCACCAGCAATAAAAGGGAGCAATTCATAAAGATACCAACGTAGGCTGGGCGCGGTAGCTCATGCCTGTAATCCCAGCACATTGGGAGACCGAGGCAGGTGGATCTAGAGGTCAAGAATTGAGACCATCCTGGCCAACATGGTGAAACTCTGTCTCTACTAAAAAAAATACAAAAATTAGCTGGGCATGGTGGTGCACGCCTGTAGTCCCAGCTACTCAGGAGGCTGAGGCAGGAAAATCGCTTGAACCTGGGAGGTGGAGGATGCAGTGAGCCCAGATCGCGCCACTGCACTCCAATCTGGCGATAGAGCGAGGCTCCGTCCCCCCCCAACAAAAAAAAAAGATACTAGCGTAGGGGATCTTTGTGGTGATGGAATTGTGGTGGTGGTTGCACAATCAACATAAGATAACATTGCATAGAACTATGTGCACATGCATGCACACACACATAAACACACACACATAAGTGCATGTGAAATGGGAGGACTGAATAAAATCTGTGATTTGTATGAATGCTAATTTTTTGCTTTGGATATTGTGCTATGATTGTGTTACTATTGATGTTACCATTGGAGGAATTGGGTGAAAGGAAAGTAGGACCTCTTCACACTATTTTTACAATTTTCTGTTAATCTAGAATCATTTTAAAACAAAACCAAAATATGCTGAGAAGCAAAAATAATAAAATAAAAATTATCTGTACCCCCTAGTATTCAGCTCTCAATATTATTTGTTAAACATTCATTCATCTTTTTCTTTTTGTGTCTGAGTATATTTACAAAAAGGGCTTATAATGTTCATACTTCTTTGTTACCACATTTAAAATTTAGTAACAGGTCATGAGCAGGTTTCCCTGTTTAAATATTCTACAATAAGCTTTCATGTCTTCTTGGTATTAGATAGATTAAAACAATGCTATTTCAACTTCTTTAAGTAACAGAACACCTCTTTCTTAAGCCCTGGTATTATGAGAGAGAGAAAGGAGGAGCTGCTTATAGAGTGGAGAGCAGAAAGCGGGTGATGATCTGTTTGCCCCAGTGTTTCCCTATAATGGTCCTTGTCGCATCTCTAGCAGACCGAGGCTCTGGGCATGCGGTTTGAAAATCATATCTATTTGAAAAAACCGTAACAAAAATGCTCTATCAAATATATTCAGTGCTAAACGTTTAATTGTCCTAAACTCCATCCTTACCCTTCACCAGATGTGGTAATCTCCTTGGCTTAATTGGAAATGAGAAACATAAATGTTTGAAACGCAGTTGCTGTGGTGATTAACAGAGGCAAGAGAATGAATTAGCTGACCTTTTCTGTTTCTTCTGGAACTTTTCATTTAAAATTCCCACTTTCCTAAGCTGTGTCATTATAGCTTCTATCTTGACAGCTGAGTTTTATACAGCGATATATTTTCATCTATAGGAATTAGTTATTGGCATAACACTCTTAGCAATGCTGAGTTTTTCTTACCAAAATTGAAAACGTGTCAAGACCTCCAAAAGCATTCTGGCTGTAATTAACCTAAGCTTGCCCTTTAAGGTTTTTTGCTAGTATAGATAATTTGTAAATATGGCACAATTTTTTAAAAAGTTAAAGCACTTAATAAAATAGTCAACTATGATATATAGATCCAGCTACATAAAACACTTCTTACAAATGCACGTATTAAAAATTGTATTTAGATCGCAGCTTCCTAAGAAAACAATTAATGCACCATATTGAATAACACACACTTTCCACTAAAACTGAAAGGAAAGGCAATGTTCTCTCAGTGAGACACGCCTTTGGCAATTCATTCCATTTGCAGAAGTCTCAGGTGCCAAATTTGCTGTTAATCAGGTTTTCTATCTCAGCTGACAGTCCTGGTGGAGTGCCATGCTTTTATTTTCTTGTCCTATTTAATGTCATGATTCAGAACTTAGAGAAAATATCATCATCTCTACATGGTGTGCAAGGTAAAAAGATAACCAGGTTTTCAATGTCCTAATTTTTCTAGAGAAAACAATTATGGATACGAACTTTAAAAATTGCTCCCAGAGGACTCTAACAATCATGCACATTTTTTTTTTTGAGACGGAGTGTCACTCTGTTGCACAGGCTGGAGTGCAGTGATGCGACTTGGCTCACTTCAACCTCCGCCTCCCGGGTTCAAGTGATTCTCCTGCCTCAGCCTCCTGAGTAGCTGAGACTACAGGTGCAGGCCACCACACCCAGCTAATTTTCTTATTTTTAGTAGAGATGGTGTTTCACCATGTTGGCCAGGCTGGTCTCTAATTCCTGACCTCAGGTGATCCACCCGCCTTGGCCTCCTAAAGTGCTGGGATTACAGGCGTGAGCCACCACGTCCGGCCCAATCTTACATATTTTTTAGGGTATAGCCAATCCAAGGATTTTCCTTTTTACAGCATCCCTTGTCAGAGCCCAGAAGTGCCCATCTCATACCATTGCTTGTGCAAAGTTCAGTTACCTTCCCGCCTGGACTAAATGCAGTTCCAGGGGGCCTGAGCATCCCAAAATGAATACAAAAGCATCTCAACCTTACTAATGTTTTTTGTGAATTCCTATTCATTGGGATCAGTTTCAAGGACTATTACAGATGCTTTCCGAAAAGCAATTCGGTTAAGCAATTAACAAAACTGAAGCTTGAACTTTACATATTTCTTTTAAGTCTTTATTCGTGAAAGCAAGGGAGGTAGGAGAGGACACTGGGTGAGAAGGACAGTGTCTGCGTGGCTGGGTTTTACTAAACTTCTGTTATCCTTGTTGCTTCTTAGGTGGAAATGATTTGCTTTTCTGTGAAAATCCTGGGAGTTGCACCCTTCTGCACAGAGTCCAAGTTTATTCCTGTTGTGTTTGAAATTTACCTCTCACTGCTGTGGGACCTTCATTTCCTCATAAGGCAGACAGTTAACAGAGCAGATATTCACTTGGGAGATCAGGCTTCTTAGTGGAGAGTTAGATTCATAACCCAGACACATGACCGAGTTGAAAGAGGATCTCCGTGTTCTTAGTGAAATTGAGAAATGGCTGTAGATACCGTGCAGGGTAGTTTGGGTTAGGCTAAGATGCTCTGGTCACGCAGGCTGGGATGTGCACACTGGGGCCAGGCCCATATACTGTGAATTGATGCACATGACTGTCTCCTTCTGAGCTCCCTGTGATCTACAATAGATGGTTATCAATTTATAACCAGCACGTCACGTATTCTGAGCAGTTCACACTGGCTGGAACACAAAGCACATACTTATTAGTGACATAAATCAAGAGTTTCTGAGCCTGAATAAAGATGACTTTGTAACCCATACCCAGGAAAATGAGAATTGGGAAGCAGCACTGGCTATCCCTACGGCAAATGCCAGTCATTCCCTTCCCTGAACACAGGCCGTGCAGTGTGAATTCTGTTTCCATGGGAAGAAAGGGCAAACAGAAAATCAGCCTGTGGTTTAAATCAGTTAGGACCTCAGAGGACCCTAGATGCGGGAGCTTTCTTTTCCTTAACTGTGATACATTTTCATGATGGAGAAGAAAGGCTGGGAAAGGAATTGTGACTAGCATAAAAGATAACACGGGGGCCTTGGTACAAATGAAAACCTTCTGTCTGCTGGATCTTTTCTAGTGAGAGGGCGAACTGTGATTTATCTCTGCAAGAGATAGGCATGACCCAGGTGAGAAACTTTGGCTTGAAAATGATTCCCTCCTGGACAGCAGATGGGTGAATTAAAGGTAAAATGGTTTTTAAGGCCCAGAGTGAGTCAGCTAGAATCTAAACACACCAAATGCACACCCAAGGGAAGTGAATAAAGGCTCGCAGGGCATCCGAGAAAGCATACAGCTCCTTGGACGGGGTAGGAGGATCTCATTCAGGGAGGCCGGAAACCCATTGCTCCTGGCTGTGCCTTTACGCCCTCGGTTGGGTGAGTTGCAGTGCTACACAGAGGTGGCCCAGCCCCTGGGAAGGTGTCTGGGAGACTCAGCTGGCAATGCTGTGGACCCTGCTGCCCAGGACACACTGCCGGCCACACCTACAGGGGAGGCAGGGCCAGCTCTGTGGAGAGGACAAGCCTGTCTTAGGACTGGACTGGCAGCTCAAAGTCCAGCCCGACTGAATGTCAGAGATGACTTTTTCTGTGCAGTGGGAGCACTTTACGATTTCTCATCAGGCTCAGAGCCCCATCACTTCCACGAAGGCTACCCCACCCACCTAGAGGATTGTTACGAACATGAAAAAAAAATGTGTCTTTAGGGCACTGTTTGACGGTGATGAGTAAATTGCCTTTATTTATAAGAGGAGAGCAGGGGACATGTCATTGCAACTGGCACATAACAACCACAAGGTCAAAAGAATAAGCTGCTTGAATGCAGGCGTCCCAGTCCCAGGAGCATAACTCCCGGGACTGCGATCTGTCAGGGATTTGAGAGGTTAAGAGTGTTAAGTGTATAGGGGGGTGTGTGTGCCTGCGCATCTCTCTCCTAAACCATTTTCTTAGGGACTCCCTCGGAGGCTATCAAGCCTTTCCTGATGCAGTCAAATGCTGAATCCACATTTTGTGTAGGTGAGGTTTTATTTTTCTTCTTCTCTTACCTTTGGGATACTCTGGGAAGGAATTAACTTTTTGCTTCTTGGAAGTGGCATCAAAATATTTACTGTTATCACATTCAGTTCTTTCTCTTCCCACATCCACTTGTTCCCAAGATGGTGTGAGCAGTTTAATCAGGATCATACACCTCCTGTTTATGTGACTGTATTTTTAGATGAGCATTTCTTTCTTTCAATTTCCTTCTTTTACAATGCCATGCCAAAATAAAAAAGGAGATGGGGGAGTCTCTTTCACTTCACATGAATCAGATTGTTGTATCCTATCCAGTCAATACCATCAAAGTCAGCATCAGATAAAAGAACAGGCTTCAAGCTAAAAACAGCACTGCACTGAGAAAACCAAAGCCATGAACGCACTTCCACTACACTCACCACCCTATCCTCACGAAGACCAGCACCTGTGCCTGTTCCCCACCCATCACTACGTCTTAGCCTGTTTGGGCTGCTGTAACAAAAAAAAACAGGGTAGCTTACAAACAACAGCTACTTATTTCTTACAGTTTTACAGGCTGGGAAGTCCAATATCAAGGCACCAGCAGATTCCATGTCTAGTGAGGGTTTGCTTTCTGGTTCATTGATGGTACTTTTTTGCTGTGTCTTCACGTGGTGGAAGGGACTACCTAGCTCTCTGGCATCTCTTTTATAAGGGCCTGAATCCCATTTATGGCCTAATCACCTCCCAAAGCTCCACTTTCTTTTCTTTATTTATTTATTTTTGAGATGGAATCTCGCTCTGCGCCCAGGCTGGAGTGCAATGGCACAGTCTCGGCTCACTGCAAGCTCCGGCTCCCGGGTTCAAGCAATTCTCCTGCCTCAGCCTCTGGAGTAGCTGGGATTACAGGTGCCCGCCACCATGCCCGGCTAATATTTTTTTGTATTGTTAGTAGAGACGGGGTTTCACCATGTTGGCCAGGCTGGTCTTCAACTGCTGACCTCGTGATCTTCCCACCTCGGCCTCCCGAAGTGCTGGGATTATAGGCATGAGCCACTGCACCTGACCAGCCCCCACTTTCTGATAGTATCATCCTGGGGATTAGATTTCAACATTTGAATTTGAACCAACATTCAGACCATGACGCTATGGCTGAAGTGTCCATACCCCTATACAAGGCTGGACCCTCCTCTTGGTTCCTGCTTGGCTACTCACGGGCACCTCTCCAGGCTCTTCCTTGTGCCATTCCTTTGCTCAGTTTTTCCTTCCATCTTAAAAAAAAAATTAGATTGACCCCACTCTGGGTTTTACTTCATTTCTGTGCTCCCTTTATTGCAAAACATCTCAAAAGAGGAGTTAGTAGTCTTCCCAAATCCTGCCTTCTGTTCTGTTAAATATGATTCATGTGAGCTTTTGATCCCAAAACTTCACTGGAATTACTCTTGCAAATGTCACCAATGACCCCCATGTTGTTTACTTGACCTATGGGTAGCATTTGGCACAGTTTCTCACCGCTGCCTCTGGGAAACTATTCGCTTGACTTTGGGGGTACCACATTCTCCTGGTTTTCTCTGCTGCTTTCCCCCCTTTAATCTGTTTTATTTGCTGTATCCATCTCATCTTGCTGACCTCTTGCTTGGCGTGCCCATAGCTCCAACCCCTGATGATCTCATCCATGGTCATAATTTTGAATATTATTGTATTAACTGTGGTGTTTTTTATTTTCTAAATGCTGATGCTTTGACATCTGGGGCCTGGCTGACCCTGGAGGGACTGCTTCTCCCAGGGTTAGCCAATTCCTAGAAGTAGTAAACAACTCTCTCAAATGCAAACCAAACCAAGCCAGAGCCCTTATTCTCCACCATTTCCTCATCTGAACTTTCACACCCTGGGCCACCGTCCATCTGCTTTAACCACCCCAGGACCAGATACCAGACAACGAGGGACAGCACCCACACCCAGAGCCCACTGAAATTATACTAACTAGCCAATCTGAAATGCCCACACTGCCTCACCCATTCTTTCTCAGGGAAACCACAGTGAAGGCTCTTGCCTACAATTTCCCTCTCTCTCTGCTCTGCCCTCCCATTTCACTTTGGTGCTTCCCCGTGTGGCCCTGCTTGGCCTGCCATGCCACCTGTTTCTAGGGATCTGTGAATATAATACACTTCTTCCTTCATGGCAGTCCTATGCACGTCTGTGTGTCTTACCATGACTGATTGAAACAAATCCCAGGTAACCTTAAAACAATAAACACACAATACACACTTTAAACTTATGTTTCTGTCCCAGACTTCAGTACACTCCTGATGCATATATCCATCTGCCTGCAGAACATCTCCACTAGATGTCAAGTAGTATCTCAAACTTAACATATCCAGTCTCTGATCTTCCACTGTTCCCGCCAAACCTGCTCTTCCTGCAGTCTTTCCCATGTCGCTTAATGAAAACTCAATTTTTCCTGTTGCTCAGTAGAAAACAAGGATGTCCTCATTTACTACTCTCGTTCTCCTGTACCTCGAAGCCATCGGCAATTTTTTTTTTTTTTTTTTTTTTTTGCTCTGCTTTCAAGTGATGTCTAGGACCCATCCTTCTTTTACAATGCCATGCCAAAATATAACCCACTGTTGCTATGTCAGTCTTCAGCTCATAAAAATGTACCTGGAACACTGTATATGCTGAATAAACATTTATCGGATGACTTTCATAGTAAATGTATCTATTTTGTGATCTGATTAATTGATAAATGCATGCCCTACTTTGTTACAAATAAGATATATACTTTATTTCAACCTTATTAGACTTGAAGAAAGACTAAAATTTATTATCCCGATGTAACCTGAGCCCTTGAGATCAAGATGAGATTGTTTCAAGTCTAATTTCATTCGTGGTTAGACGTTCAACCCCGTTCCAAAGCTTTCCATGAATTCCCAAGGACCTGAGTCTCATGGTCACCATCAACTGCAGCTTCCATGGAAATGGCTAAGTCTATGGATGGTTTTACCATCGTGTGCCTTTTGACTCTTTCTACAACATTGAAGTTGACACCTGATTCATTTTTCACTCTCACGAACCCTTTTAAATATAGCACAACTTACTGAATAATTTTGTTTCATAGAGAAGGACTTTAGACTGCAGAGACGCAATGATTTCAAATTGAGCACTACAAGTCATTATTCTGCATCCACTTACCACTGGGGGTTTCTAAATGGCCACTTCCCTCTACAGGGTCCTCAACCCTACACACTTTTTCTCTCTCTGCCTCCCCAATCTCCTTTCTCGATTGCTACTCCACCCCCCTTTAAAATTCTCATTCTTTTTAGGAGCAGAATAAATGGGCCTTCCATGTTACAAGATCTTCCTCTGAAGATGGTAGTTGGTTTTTTAGTGATTTTAAATTATGAATTACTTTTTATTATGAAAAATTTCAACATATAAAAATATGAATAGAACAATGAATACTCACAGAGCACACCATCCAGATCTAGTAATATTAATATTTTGTCGTATTTTTAGCTGAAACCTTTTAAAGTAATTTCAGATATTATGACACTGTACTCTTAGCATTATTTCAAAGAATGAGTACATTCTCTTCCATAACCACCAGGCGATTTCCACATCTGACATTTTAATATATTTCTTAATGTCATTTAGTATCTAGTTCATTTTCAAATACCTCCACTTGTCTCTAAAACAGTTGTGGTTTGAAACAGATTTCGTCTCAGTTAAACCTATATTTTAAAGAGCATCCTGTTGTGAAGCATCTTAATATGGTTGCATGCTTTTCCTAACGCTTCTCTTTGTACAAAGTAGAGACAAACACCAGTGGTCGAATGCTCTCTATTAAATTACCTGTTGCAGTAAATCAATACCATTAAAGTGGGGTCTCTATTTTACACAGCTGTTTAACCGCATGAGATGGATGAACTCATTTGTTAAATTGGGATCTGTAAACAAAAACAAATGGGAGGAAGAGCAACAGAGACAATGAGCAATGGAAACATAGTTTCCAGACTGCAGAAGCCAGGGCTTTACTAGAAAATATCTGCAGCCCTGAAGAAAGGCTTTCCGGGGTTCCTGTGACTGTTACCTAGCAACAAGCCTATCGTGCAGGGCACAGTGGAGTCCAGTTTAGCAGGGCTCAGGAAGAACACGTGGGCAACAGCACCAAATTTCTTCTTTTATACTACGTTAATAACTCAGGTCCATGACAGGCTCTTACAGGGGCGGGTGTCTGAAGAAATCATCCCTGAATAATGCTTTCCCCATGTTAAGTCCCTAAAGGAGAAAAATGGCTTTAGCTTAATTTACTGTGCACATGTCATTACTTATTTGTCCGTATATCCATCTGATAAGAGTTAAATATACCATATGAAAAAGAAAATCATCCAAGCTCAAATTAGTTTTGATGCATGGTGTAAGGCTCCAAGACCCAGCCAAATTCATTCCTAATAGCAAATGAAGTCTGTATCACAGATTTAGTTATTATTAATTTTTTTTTGCTTTAGAAATTGCTTTTAAGTAAATGACTGCATTTTTTCATATTTGCCCTCTTTCTTCTATTAGAGTGTTAATCTGAGCTGACTGGATTGCTTTTCTGTCATCTGTTTTTGCGTAAGATTTTTCAGAGAAAAAGGTGTGTTTCCATAGTACAGTATTTCAACAATGCAATTATGCCAATGGTCTTTCTTTATTAACAATACCTCCCTTTTAAAAATGCTCTAAATGCTTCTCTAATGTTACTTCTCTTTACCTTTTAAGTAAGTCAAGCTAAGACATGCATTAGCCAGAATCAGGACAGGAACCCAAATTTCTTGATCCCTGGTCTAGATTTTCATTGATTGAACTTTTTTTTTCCCCAAATATACTGAGGCTGTAGAAACTCATTTGCCTGGAATTGTGTCCTGAAATCCCAAAGTTCTGCAGATAATGAACGTGGGACTCAGAACTTACTTAAAAGGCCATTTTGGTCCAATTGTGTCCAGAGTTTGTTCCTGCCGGTGGGTCATGGTCTCACTGTCTTCAAGAAAGAAGCCACGGACCTTCGTGGTGATTACTACAGCTCTTAAAGATGGCACGGACCCAGAGACTGAGCAGTAGCAAGGTTTGTTGTGAAGAGCTAAAGGACAAAGTTTCCACTGCGGATGGGGACCTGAGAGGGTTGCCTCTGCTGGCTGGAGTGGCCAGCTTTTATTCCCTTGTTGTCCCCTCCCATGTTCTATTTCTGTCCTATCAGAGAGCCTTTTTTCAGTCCTCCCCATGATTGGCTACTTTTAGAATCCTGCTGATTGGTGCGTTTTACAGAGCACTGATTAGTGCATTTTACAGAGCGCTGACTGGTGCGTTTTACAATCCTCTTGTAAGACAGAAAACTTGCCCAAGTTCCCACTGGACCCAAGAAGTCCAGCTGGCCTCACCTCTCACAGTGGCTGTATTTCCGTTTTTTTGGAAAAATAATTTCTGTTATATTGAGGATACTCTGAGATTCCATAATAAGAGCAAACGTTTCTATATGGCTTACTATTCTGTAGGGACTGTTCTAAGTTTTTTAAATGAGTTCTCATTTAATCCTCACAACAGAGCTATGAGATAGACACTATCATGATCCTCATTTTATAGATGAGGAAACTGAGGCACAGAGGGTTTAAATAACTTGCTCAAGGTTGTGGAGCTTGCATCTGAACCTAAGAAACATAGCTCCCAAGTGATGCTCTTAACAACTATACCATCCTCTGCTTTTACATTGGTTGTTCATTCATTCATTCATCCAACGAATTTTTTTTTTTTTTTTTTTTTTTTTTTTGGAGACCGAGTCTTGCTCTGTCACCCAGGCTGTAGTGCAATGGCGTGATCTCAGCTCACTGCAACTTCTGCTTCCCGGGTTCAAGAGATTCTTCTGCCTCAGCCTCCCAAGTAGCTGGGACTACAGTCATGTGCCACCAAGCCTAATTTTTTTTTTTTTTTGTATTTTTAGAAGAGATGGGGTTTCACCATGTTGGCCAGGCTGGTCTCAAACTGCTGACCTTGTGATCCGCCCACCTCAGCCTCCCAAAGTGCTGGGATCACAGACGTGAGCCACCACGCCCGACCCATCGACGCATCTTTGTTGTGAGCACTGGAAACTCAATGGCAAGAAATGGACACTGTCCCTGCCCTCAGAAGATTATCCTCAAGTCTGATGGATATAATAGCCCAATGCTATACAGATGGTTGCTGTCCTGTGTCACCCTGTGTAGATCAAATTATTACAAACCTCCAGGTAAGTCACGCCAAATTTTCAAAGACTACACTTTTCATTACAAATGTGACTCATTGTCTTAGTCCGTTTTTGTGTTGCTATAAGGGATTACCTGCAGCTGGACAATTTGTAAGGAAAAGAGGTTTATTTGATACACAGTTTTACAGACTATACAAGAAGCATGGCGCCAGCATCTACTTCTGGTGAGGGCTTCAGAAGCTTCCATGAACAGAAGGGGAAGCAGATCAGGCATCACAAGGCAAGAGAAGAAGCAAGAGACAAAAGGGAGGAGGTACCAGGCTTTTTTAAAACAATCAATTTTCGTAGGAACTATTAGAGTGAGAACTCACTCACTACTGGGAGGACAGCACCAAGATGTTCATGTGGGATTTGCCCCATGATCAGAACCCCTCCACCAGGCCCCATCTCCACCACAGGGGATTGCATTTCAACATGAGACTTGCTAGGGCCAAACTGTATCCAAACCATAGCACTCATCATCCATTCATCCATCCACTGATTCATTGTTCAAACATTTATTGGGCACATTTACTATGTGTCAAATGCTGGGTCAAGGTATGTTGAGGGTACAGGGATGCCCAAGAACACTGCTGCAGAGACCACTGCTGTAGACGATTCTCCAGCTGGTGGGTTAAGGAGCTGCCATCTCCTGCTTCTCTGCCTGTGGAGGAATAAATGTGCAATGGGTATATGCAATTTTTTTGCTGTAGGATTTATAGGAATACTGCCTAGAAATACTTTTGCTCCAAACTCCTCTCAGGCAGGGCTCACACCTCCATGGGGCACTCAGCTACTAATTTATCTAAACCATTAGTACTCCCAATTGACACAACTCAGGGCCACCCTTTACAATCATCACTAACCAAAGAGCCACATGCTTCTGAGTGTTGTTTAATATGCTGTTGTAATATGGAAATAAGAGGCCGTGAGGGATCCTGGGAGCCTGTGTCGGGGCTGTCAGTGCCCCATCCATATCTTTCTCCCCTCCCCACTTTGGAGCGCTGGATTTCCAGCTGCCAGCATGTACATTTCTTCTCCCATAAGTGCTCTCTGGCTGCCATGGGATCCATGACTCCTGGGACGACTCAGCCAATTACAGATGGCGGGACCCTCGGAAGTGCATCTGCTACGCTGGCTCCTGGATTTCCACAGCAGGTTAGAGCTGCGGGTACCCATAGTTGTAACTCACTTGACAAGGAACCCTTTCTTGTCTGTCATTCTGTTTCTGTCTTGCTTACTGTGCTACAAGTGCTCTCTGGATCTCATATCAAATAAACTAATTGCACTTAAATCCTAGTCCTGGGGATTATTTCTGGAGCACCCAAACTAAGACTTGGGGCACAGTCTGACTATTCATATTCTAGCAGCTTGATGGGGTTTTGTGCTGTTTGTATCAGCCCTATTCATGCACGTGGGCATCACAGGCAGTTCTGTTCCATGAAAGACCTTGTCATTCTTGCAGAAAGCGTCGTGTCTTACTTTAAACAAAGACCAAGAACCCTAAGCAGATGTAGATTTGCCTTTTAGAAGCTTTCATTCTCAGTGACTCCCACCAAAACTTGGCTTTCCTGTGTCTTTATTAACTCATTTCATCCTTTAAGTGCAGTGGCACAATCTCGGCTCACTGCAACCTCTCCTTCCCAGGTTCAAGCGATTCTCCTGCCTTAGCCTCCCAAGTAGCTGGGATTACAGGCACCTGCCACCGTGCCCAGCTAATTTTTGGATTTTTAGTAGAGACGGGGTTTCACCATGTTGGCCAGGCTGGTCTCAAACTCGTGACCTCAAGTGATCTGCCTGCTTCGGACCCCCAAGGTGCTGAGATTCTGAATTTGATTCTTGATAAACTGTTTTTAGAGTCCAGGGTGGTCTGATTATGAAGGTTTTCAGTGGGTTTGTTTTTAATGCCCTTGGTCTTCAGGTTATAATAGCTTGGGAGGCAAAATCATTAAGAGTGTCATTGTTTTGTGATTTGCCCACAGATGAGATCAGTCTTGAGGTTACCTTCCCGGAGATGCCAGTGGTCTGAGGACACATCTCTCCCTACATGTCTACACATCTTCTGTGATGGGGAAAAATTCTGCTGGGTTTAAGGAGCGACATTGAAATATTCCAGGACACATTGATATATTTTTTAACGAGAATGGTGTCAGTCTAGAGAAAAACTGAGATGTACTGTGTTAACATCAGTTAAATAAAGGAAGAAAGCAGGCACCTGAAGACAGAAATGATTGAAGGGTTAGCGGAAGGCAAAGTTTGCAGAGGGTTGGAGGAAAGTCGACGAAGGAGGAGGAGAGAGACGAGCAGGAGATAGGACCAAAAAACCCAAAACAAACCACAACCAAACTAGTTTTCTGTCTGCTTTGCTCTTCTGTATTTGGCCTCTGTGTTTGGAAAACAAAAGGGAAAGAGGAAAAAGCATAGACATTCAAATTTCCCCAAAGCAGAATGGATGGCAGTCCAAGACTCTGTGTGGAGTCTCATGCTTCATCCCCAGGGCATTTCAAGTGTTACAATAATTACTGCCCTCATAGTTGCACGATGGCTTTTGTTTATTTCACACACGTTGATAATGTCAAAGTTAGAGACTGTTTCAACTCTGGGTTTATTAAGTGGCTGCTTGAAGTTTCCTTAGAAAATGAGAGGTAGCTGGCCGGGCGCAGTAGCTCATGCCTGTAATCCCAGCACTTTGGGATGCCAAGGTGGGTGAATCACCTGAGGTCAGGAGTTCGAGACCAGCCTGGCCAAAATGGTGAAACCCTGTCTCTACTAAAAACACAAAAAAATACCCGGGCTTGTTCGTGGGCGCCTGTAATTCCAGCTTCTCGGGAGGCTGAGGCAGGAGAATCACTTGAACCCGGGAGGTGGAGGTTGCAGTAAGCCGAGATTGCACCACTGCACTCCAGCCTAAGCAACGGAGTAAGACTCCATCTCAAAAAAAAAAAAAAAAAAAAGAGAGGTAGTCAAGATTAGCATTTATTTGAGTTCTATTTTATAATTGCTTTCTTTTCTATATTTTTCTACCGCCCCCGCCCCCCCGCTTTTTCCCTCAGGGCTGACAAGTGACAAAGGAGTTTTATCACCCTACCTCTTTGAATATTATTTAACCAAAAAGTGAACTGGGGCAAAGCAAATGCTTTCCTGTTTTCAAATATGCAGGCATCCTATCATCAACGGAAGTCAATTTCACCTGCCTGATGGGAAAGCACCACATCCTTCTTAAATGGAATCGCCCCCTCTGAAACTGACGTTCCATACAAGCAAATGACCAATGTGCTGGCGCTGGTGCAGGATTAAAGATGATGATCCTATCTCATGTTTCTACCGCCGCTCATCATTTCTAAGCCATAATCATACAGAAACCACTTGATCTGCTTCTGATTCGAGTCTCTTCAGGGGTGGAAGCGTAATGGCCAGGGACACCAATAGCTCACAGCCCCTGCATGCCTGTGAGGCAGGAAACATCCAGCCCAGAGCCTGGGATAAACTTTGCTCTGCAGAAATCGCCCTGAGATATTAAATGTCCACAAAGAGCAGATGGGAGCCTTGCTTCTCAGAGTTCTTCCTCCAAAGGCCTCTCACTTCCAGCAGCTGGATATTAGCCCTGACTCCCTCTGAAAGAGGAAAGGCTGAGTTGATTTTGTTTCTGTTCCAGTCGGAGGCTTTGCTGTGACTCCAACTCAGAAGGATGGGCCACAGCCTGGGTGGGAGCAAAAAGGTTCTCTTCATAGCCCTGCTGCTGGTATGGGCTGCTCTTTTCACTCTCTGCACCTGTCTCCCATTCTGTGAAATGGGGCAAGGATGCTGACCGCAGATAAATATTTGAGATTGAATTTCTGTGTTCAGGGCTTTGAAATCAAGAACAAAAGGGATAATTTGAACATAAAGCATTGTTAGTATTTTGCATCTACTTCTGCCAGTACTCTATTGTTCTCTGCTATAGAGTCTTCTCCAGGTTTTCCTTCGGAAACTGTTGCTGCTGTCTGACAACACCCACATGGCTCAGCCTCTGGCTTCCAGTGTCTGAGAAGGAGACTGTCCATATAGCATGGAGACAGCCCAGTTAGCCGCACTGATAATTTCGCTCATTAATACATGAAAACTTGAAAACACACACAGAAATAGTGATTTCCCATAAATACTGGGACACTTTCTGCTTTAGAATGAAAGCAAAAGACCTCCTTCACCTTATGTCCCATTACAATGTATGCATGCTGGTCATTTTACCTTTCTGTAAGAAACCCAAGGGACAGAGGGGCCGGAGGCTGTGCTGCTCCCAGTGGCTGCAGTTCTTGGAATTTATGAGGTTGGAAGGCTGTCAGCTATTCAGAATCATAGAGCTCAGGGGCTGACAACAACGGGAAGGGATTCTCTTTACTATTACCTCTCATACATTGCCTCCATAAATATCTTTTTTATTATTATTTCTGCTGTTTGTAGATTTAGTTTATGGATGTGGTTAATGCTGCATCTGAATGTTAAGGGAGTTACTATCCTTGTTAAGATTCTGACCTATTGGGGAGATTTGCTTAGGCTTTTTTTCCCCACAATAAACACATCTGGTAGATGGCAAGGGGCTTATTTTTCCCCTGGATGCCCTGGTGAGTGTTTGGGGGGAGTGACTTTTAAGCACCAAAGAGAGCATTCTCTCCAACATTTAACATTCTTTGATGTTGGCTGAGGAAGGTAATCATCCCTGCCTGTGCCTTATGGGGGGCGGAAGGGGAGCCCTGCTGCAGCGGGGTTTCTGTGCTGTTTTCTGCAGGCTGTTTCTGCGCATCTATTCTCCAAGAACAATGACGGGGCTGCAAAGACAAACCCCAAAGCCAACAGGGGCCCAGTGCATGGGCGGGGGGGTGCACACACCAACACCCCACAAAGCCACTGTCAGTGCCCATCACCTGCTGAGCGATAGACACATCCTCTTCCTGTCCCAGGGAGGCAGGTCTCTGTGTAGAGTGGTGACCAGCTGCGGTGCGAGGGCTTCATTGGGTTCTTGGTCAGAGTAGTGTCAGGCAAGGTGTGGGGATCAAAGACTGGATTCCTGAGTGAAGTTGATTTGATCCTTAGGACTATGTCAGTCATTTGAAGAGGCAGTTTTGGAAGGATGAGGTACTCACCTAGTAATCAAAATACTGACTGATTACTCCCAGTATTCTTAATAATGATATTTCATAGACTCACAGAGATAGGGCCAAGACATGTGTGCCTGTGCATGTGTGTGCGCCGGTGTCCGCATATGTATATGAACTTGTGTGCATGCATGCATGTGTGTATGGGTGTGTGCACCTGCCTGTGCATGTGTGCACATGTGTAGGTGTGCGCACATGCATATGTGTGCACGTGTGAGTGCATATGTGTGCACGTGTGTTTGCCTGTGTGTGAGATTTCTCAGCCAGAGTTCTTTTCTGCCATGTATCCAACGGCCTACACCTCCTCCCTACTGGAGCGTCCATAGGCACCAGCAGCACGACAACCTCAAAACCCATTCCATGTTGTTTTCCTTCAAATCTGTTCTTCCTTTCCCTTTTTTCAGAAAATGATATGCTCACTTGTCCAAACCAGAAACATTGATGTTTGTCTTACATCCTCTTCTCCCCTTTTCCTCAGCTCACATCCATTAAATCACCAAGGCATTTGGATTCTGACTTACAAATCTCCTCTCAAATCCTTCTGCTGTTCTCTGTTCCAGTTGCCATCACCCCATCTCAGGCTATGATTTTCTCCTAACCTGGATTACTACAAAAGCCCCCTAGAGGGTATGCTTCTCTCTAACCTGGACCCCCTATCCATTTACCTTGTGCAATAAATAATGGCACTTAGGCATAATACCGCCTTCATTAGCTCCCCATCATCTTCAAACAAGGGTCAGACTGGATTGCATGATCTAGAAGGAACTTTGTGGTCTGTTTCCTGCTGCTTTCTCCTGTAAGCACCAGTGCACCAGCCATGTGCCATTTTGAATTACTTGCAGTTCCCAGACCACTCTCTCTTATGAGTCATTGTGTATGTTTCTCTTTCTATTCAGAATAACTTCCCCCTCTCTATCCTTAATTCTAATTCAGCATTCACTTCTTGGCTTAGGTGCTACCTCCTTCAGGAAGTTAATTTTTCCCAAAGATCGAGCAAAATGCCCCTCCATTACACTCCCAGGACACCTCATGCTTTATCCCACACAGCTGTGCTGTGTTGTGTTGTGCTGTGCTGTGCTGTGCTGTGCTGGGACTGCCTATTGACTTGTGGGTCTCCCAGCCAGGATGATGACCTTCTTGAGAGTAGTAGACACTGTTATTTTATTCTCAACATAAAATTTCAACCAACTAGTCAGTATTCCCTTGCTTGTTTTATAAAAACATACATGAGTCTTTTTACACCCAGTTCAATGGTTTTCAACAGTATTGTTTCCCTTCCTCTATTTCTCCTGTGTTATTCTAAACACAGTATTTTGCTGTTCAAGTCAATGCATCTGCATAGACCCACAGTTTTGTACCCTGCACAAAACTGTGATTCACCTTACTCAACAAGAAAATAAGTTGCTAATGCAGTTGGCACAGTAGTATTAACAACAGTGATAGTCAATATTTGTTGAGCACTTGCTGTATGCCGTCCAGTGTCCTAAGCTTACATGTGTTGGTTCACTTAATTATCACCAGAATCCTATGGAGGAGGTTCTATTAACGCCCTGATTTCAAAGATAAGGTTAACCAAGGTATAGTTGAGTGAAGTTTATTCAATAATTAGGAAGTGGTAGAGTTAGGATGCAAGCCCAGGCAGACTGACTTTAGAATCAGACTTTTAATCAATAAGCTCTGTTTTGCTGAGTTGAAATTGAGCTGAAATATGATGTTGTGAATGTTTCCTCCTGGGAAATTTTTCTAGTGACAATCAAATAGTCCCACTGGACCTGTGTTATTAACAACGTAGAGGATGCACTGGGTTTCAGGGATTTCTCCCTCTTGGGGAAATTTTCACTTTCCTCCAAGGACTCAAGAACTGGAGAGCCAGGTGCCTCCCATAAACAAAGACTTCTCAGGCGCATCCAGGGTGGGTGTCCGCCAGAGTGGAAAGTCTTCATTTGTACAGGGCTCTCACTCTTTCTAGCCGCAACCCTTCCAATGGGCTTTATCCCTAGCCCAGGAGTACTGTGTAAGTATTCTAAGTATAGTTCATTGGGTATGAAGATAGAAGTGAGAATTTATCTGCTTACCACCAAACGTGGGAGAGAAAGGCATTAGCTCAACATGTTAAGCACAAGTTGCGGTGTGAGACAGTACCGCAAGAAAAACTGCCTGAAACACTCAGAGACCAGGGGTACCAGGGGTGGGTGACTGCATGGGAGGATGGAGAAGGCGTCACAGTGAGTCCAGTCCTCTGGCTACCACAGCCCACATCACAGCCACACTCGTGTGAGGGTACAGAGGAGCTGAGCAGGTCACTCCCAAGTGGGAGCACTCCCCACGTGGCTTCCACCTGGGGATTGCTGGGGAGTCCTGCTGCCTGGCCATCTGCCTGTGAGCTGAAAGCCTGGTGTGGAGATATCCTGCCTTCTCTAACAATCCCTTCCTTCGCCGATACCAAGCTACTTTTCTCTCTTCCTCCCTCTTCATTTCTTTGGTGCTCAGAGACATGAGGTGTGAGGAAAGCAAGCAGGCTTCCTAAAGAAGCCACAACCAGGCTGAGTGTGGTGGCTCACACCTGCAATCCAATCCCAGCATTTTGGGAGGCTGAGGCAGGAGGATCACCTGAGGTCAGGAGTTCGAGACCAGCCTGGCCAATATGGCAAAAATGTGTCTCTACTAAAAATTCAAAAATTAGCTGGGTGTGGTGGTGCACACCTGTAATCCCAGCTACTCAGGAGGCTGAGGCACAAGAATCACTTGAACCTGAGAGACGGAGGTTGCAGTGAGCTAAGATGGTGCCATTGCACTCCAGCCTGGGCAAGGCAACAGAGTAAGAATCTGTCTCCAAAAAAAAAATAAAAAAGAAGCCACAAAGCCACAACATACAACATTCTGTCTGTGCTCAAGGTTCAGACCTCCCAACTCCCAAGGTAACAACTCTGACTGCTCTGGAGGAAAGAATAAAAGTCTTGATTGGAATTTCAAAATTTTAATCGGTGGGCCCGACTTAAACAGAAACCACTGGACTGATTTCCGGAGCTTTAAATGCCAAAGTGTGGGGCCAATATTTCTACCAGGGAAAGATGGCTTCCAAATGAGGCATCTGGCATCTAAGCACACACAAGCATACGTGTTTACTGTGTCCAGATAAGTCAACAACTTTACTGAGCACCTACCCTGTGCCCAGAACTCGACTGAATCAATTGTGAGTGTTTGGCAGCAGGGATACATATGTTTGCCTCTAGCCTAGTGACAGCAGCACAACAGAAGGGAAGAGAAGGCACTCTTGTTGAGACATGTGTCTGGAAGATTTCTTCCAGTATGGCCACTTTTACAGCTTATAGGTGAAGCTGCTTCCTTTGGTGTACTTTTATTGTAAGTATTACTTCTTCCCCTCCATAGATGAGCCAGGGAGGCTAATAGCACATGCAAATGGGCAACATGAATCCTGGCAAGCAGGTGTCAAAAGTAGGCAGCCCATGGGCAGATGGCTGGCAGAAATTTACTTATTTATTTTTAAATGATCAGTACACACAGTACTTCTGTGTCCAGTCTCTATATATTCAGTCTAGCCCATAACAACCCTATGAAGTACTATTATTATCATGGTTTCTCTTTGATGGATAAGGAAGTGGAAGCACAGAGAGGTTCAGGAACCTGCCCAGGGTTACAGAGATGTGGTTTGTATTTCGCCTTCAACATCGGCCAAATTTATTTGCCAACATTTACAAATTGTAAGACTGTGTATGAAAATCCACATTTGTGTTGTTGCTTTAAAAACTGGAAGGTCTGACAGTGGGCTCTGTGCCAAGCAGAACTAAGCTGTAAAATATAAACATTTATTGACAAGCATGCATAAAAAGTCATACAACCTGTGAGGTCCTCACTCTTGTCTCTACAGGCACTCTGAAAAACAATGTATATGAGAGATTCACTCTGAGATGAAAATGAGGCAGTGTTTTAATAGCAGAGTCAACTCCTCTTTTGGTGGAATTAGGCAATATTATAATCCAATAAATGGTGAGACAAAAAAAGCAAACAGGGCTTCAGACCAAAGGTGCTACTCCCAAGATGTTGGCCTACTGGGCTTGCAAGATTCCCAAATGCCATTCATGCAAGAGTGAAAGTACATGAGTAACACTTACTCATTATACTAATAAATTATTTTTAAGAACTCTTATGATCAGGGAAACTATATAGTTCACTGTCTAAACTAGGACACTTGTAAGTGTAAAAGTAGGTGTTCAACTTCCCAGTTTATTGCATCTCATCTTCAAATGCACCCTTCATTGCCTGCTCTGCTACAATACAGATGAGCCCTGTGAGTATTCCTCCTTTGCCAGCTGGAATGTGGTGATGCTTTTTCAGGAGAGGATGTTGGAGGGACATGGGAGGAGGAAGGAGTTTCTCTTCCTAATTCTGTGCTCCTCTCCAGGCTTTGTCAGCGTGTGGTTTCTCTGGCACTTGCTTCTGAACGTACATGAGGGCTGGCAATGCCCAGAAGCCAGCAGCTTCTCCCAGGACCCCCTTGAGCAGCTTTGCCACTGAGAGCACCAAGGAGACACCTTTCTGTGAATGGCTTTTCCTGGATGCCCACTTGTGGCTTTACAGCAAAGTTCTGAGGCTCAGTACCTCCTTGTGGACAGCTTCCTCCACCTGCACAGCACTACAACAAAGGATTTCTGTGCCATCTGGTGAGCCACAGCTGAGCCCTCTCCAAAAGGCCTAGAATTTAAGCCTGACTCAGTCTTGTCCCTGGGCTATTTCAGCCTTAGGGACCAGGGCTGCTCCTTATATCTGCAATTCTGTAATTCTTTAGAATTCTCTTTAACGCTCACCAATTTCCCCATTATTTTCATCTCCTATGACTAATTCTCTTTTGTTTTTTTGAGACAGAGTCTTTCTCTTTCACCCAGGCTGGTGTGCAATGGCACAATCTCAGTTCACTGCAAGCTCTGCCTCCCATGTTCACGCCATTCTCCTGCCTCAGCCTCCTGAGTAGCTGGGACTACAGGTGCCTGCAACCACGCCAGGCTAATTTTTTGTATTGTCAGTAGAGACGGAGTTTCACCATGTTAGCCAGGATGGACTCAATAGCCTGACCTTGTGATCTGCCTTCCTTGGCCTCCCAAAGTGCTGGGATTACTGGCGTGAGCCACTGTGCCTGGCCTTTTTTTTTTGACGGGTGGGGGATGGAGTCTTGCTCTGCTGCCCAGGCTGGAGTGCAATGGTGCGATCTCGGCTCACTGCAAGCTCTGCCTCCCGGGTTCAAGTGATTCTCCTGCCTCAGCCTCTCGAGTAGCTGGGACTACAGGCGCCCACCACCATGCCCGGCTAATTTTTTATATTTTTAGTAGAGATGGGGTTTCACCATGTTAGCCATGATGGTCTCAATCTCCTGAACTTGTGATCCGCCCGCCTCGGCCTCCCAACGTGCTAGGATTACAGGTGTGAGCCACCACGCGCAGCCTCCTATGACTAATTCTTTACATTAAACTTTGCCTATACAATTTACTGTGTATTCTCTGTGGTCTGATTGGACCCTGACTGATACACAGTTGGTACCTAGAGCGGCCCCAGGACATAGACTTGCAAAGATGGGACCTGGGAATTGGTTTGGTGGTGCGCTTTGGTTTGAGCCCAATGCCAAGAACAGAAAATAGGACACTAGTAAGCCATGGTGTGTATCACAATTAATCTAGCCATTACCTGTGGGAAATTTAGATGAAGCATCAATTTAGGCATGTACTTTGGGAGCCCAAGGGTCTGCTGCACTTGTCCATTCTGGTAATAATAATTACTATAAGACCTATGGTGTGGGATGGATTCTTTTGAATGCATTTTAGCACGTACAGAAAGAAAATGACAAGCCCAGGTCATTTAACCTTTAGCCCAAGCCGTGGGCGAAAAACTGGAAAGCCTCCCTGCCAGCCCTAGAAGAATCTTATATTTCTTTTTGCCATAGTGCTCACATTGCTGAAAATTAAACACAAAATTTAATTTGTGTTGGTTGCTCAATTACAACAGTTGAACTCACAATCTTTCCAAGTTTCTTATGTAGAAGCCAGGGCATGGACTGGGGGGAAATAGGCTCCTGAAACAGAATGGGAACATCTGGTTGGATGGATTGTCAGATGAAACTAACATCCGAGTCTCAATTACTAGTAGAATTGGCTTGCCCTCCAGTGTCTCAGGAACCTAGGCTTGTTTGCTTGAAAACTCTCTGATAACCTCACCTGGGGCAGATACTTTGAAAGCAGGTGACTATTATCTTCACGACCCTCCATAACCACCCCGTGCTCCTCCTAGCCTCATAACTAGGCTCAATCTCAGGGGTACAGGTATACCTTACGGCCCAGAAAGAAATAAGTTGCACACTAAAAGGATTACAAGCCTTTGCTAATGTATATACTTAGAAACCTGAGAAGCATTTGTGGGAGCAGTTTCTAGGGATGCCAACCTGGGGATGGAGGGAGAAAGCAGTAGATGGGCCAAATTAATGGATCAGCGTTTACCAAAGATTCTGGATTTTGTATGTGAGCTCGTGCCATTGGAGGTGGCTCTAACCGTTTACTTGTTTGCTTGACTAAAACTGGGACTCCACAGTGGCCTACATTTAATGATGCTGAGATGCCTGAGTTTCCCTGGCACAATGTAGAGAAGAGAATCCAAGGATTTAAGGAGACAGGAATTTGGAACTGGATTTTTAGTGTGTGACCTGCACACCCCTCACCCCACAACTACCACGAGAAGGTCCTGTAGACCCTTTCTGTTGTTGTTGTTGTTTTGAGACAGAGTCTCACTCTGTCACCCAGGCTGGAGTGCAGGAGTGCAGGGATGCAATCGTGGCTCACTGCAATCTCCGCCTCCAGGGTTCAAGCAATTCTCCTGCCTCGGCCTCCCAAGTAGCTGTGATTCTAGGTATACCACCACACCTGGCTAATTTTTGTATTTTTAGTAGAAATGGGGTTTCACCATGTTTGCCAGGCTGGTCTTGAACTCCTGACTTCAGGTGATCCACCCACCTCAGCCTCCCAAAGTGCTGGAATTACAGGTGTGAGCCACTATGCCGAGCCCTGTAGACCCTTTCTTTACTAAGGCATTGAGAAATACATTAATGAGGGGAGCACCTGTACTATGGTTTGGCTGTGTCTCCACCCAAATCTCATCTAGAATTGTAGCTTCCATAATTCCCATGTGTTGTGGGAGGGACCCAGTGGGAGTTAATTGAATCATGGGGGCGGTTTCCCCCATACTGTTCTTGTGGTAGTGACTAAGTCTCACGAGGTCTGATAGTTTTATAGGGGAAACCCCTTTTGCTTGGTTCTCATTTCTCTCTTGTCTGCTGCCATGTAAGACGTGCCTTTCACCTTCCACCATGATTGCGAAGCCTCCCCAGCCACGTGGAACTATGAGTTCATTTAACCTCTTTTTCTTTGTAAATTACCCAGTCTTGGGTATGTCTTTATCAGCAGTGTGAAAATGGACTAATACAACCTGAATTCGTAGAAACTCTGTGGTTTCTCTCTGTGGTAGGCCAGGTATGACTGTAGAAGATTTGGCTATCGCAATGGTCTCCTGATTACAATGGGGCTGATGGGAAGCTGTAGTTGCAGTGATTAAGCGGTAGCACTCACCTGAAGACAAGGTGGGTACACCTACTGTGCATGGCAGGTGTTAACCAGAGGCACCAGGAGTATAGCCTCCCTTCTTAGGATTATTGATGAACCATTTATAGCAGATTCAGATAGCAATGTTTGAAGTGTTTGCATCTGGAATGCAGACTTCTGATTAGGGTCTTTCAAATGATGACTAACCATCCCTGGAGTATGGATTTCTAATTTGAAGAGTACTTCAAATGTTAACTGCATCTAGGGAGTAGATTAAAATTAAATTATATCCACATATGTATCACACTGAATATGCTGAAGTGTTTTAAAGTAAATTGTAGGCCATATAATCAACAGTCTTTCTCACGTGACAATAATCAGTTGCAGTGAGAGGCAGCCGCCTCTGTTAGACGGGTGCACACACTCCATTGCACCGCAGTCCCTTGCGTGTCCTGGAACCTCCCTGTACATCAGCTGCCATTTGTCATCACGTTTGCTTTGTCACTTTTCTCATAGATGTGTAAAAAGGGAAGTGGAATATTTATTGTACTATGTCTCTATCAAAAACAGGAAAATAAAAAATAGACCTGGAAAAGTTGCATATTTTGAAATAAAATGGAGACAGTATAGTTATGATTTTTAAAGGCTGTATCTATGCAATTAATATGCAAAGCAAAGTAGATTCATTTGGAAAGAATACAATTTAAGGCACCATGGTAGACTGTCTTTCCAAAGATGCCTCTCACTCCACATGCTCTGCGGTGATGTGACCAACTGCCCCTCAGTGACAGGCAGGAAACAGAGGCAAAGTGGGCTCACAGGTAGGAAACAGAGGCAAGGTGTCTTGCTCAGAGGCCAACAGGTACAGGCCCAAGTCCTCTTATTCCCAGCACAGTGCTCACAAGACAGTAGGCTGAGCAATAGGGGGTCCTGGAAGCTGATGCCATTCCTAGGGTGGTGCCTGGTGGGTAAGGGCAAGTTTGTGGAGGAGGAAAGAGAGAGAGAGAGAAAGAAAGAGAGAGAAACTGAATTGGTGTTTGAATTCAATAGGGCAGATAAAAGTAAGAAGACCAGGTACAAGAATGTAGAGTAGAAAACAAAGACACTTGAATCTGTGCTGACATTAGTGACTTGCTTGATCAATGAGTTGTGAAAGTAACACTCTGGAACTTCTAGGGTGAGGTCCCATTTGAGTCCAGTCAACCCACGAAACATGAGCCATCATAATAAACTGCTGTTTGCAGTCTTTAAGAATGGGCATAGTTTGTCATGCAGCAATTGATAATCCAAACAGACTCCATTATGCAATAGTCCTTTATTGTACTTATTACTTTCTGGCCTGGACCCGTAGGTTGTGAGCCTGGGAACTCCCACCTTAGAGTTCTGTAATTGCTAGAGATTGATGTCACACACCTATCTCAACCAGCACTTACCCATCAGGAGTGTTCGTAGTGCACACACACATATTCAGCTGGTTTCTGTTGGCCAAACCTTTTTTCCTGGGGAAAGAGGGGCCCTCTCCAGCCCTTCCTAACCTTTATCCACCTCAGAGATATGCAGATGAGTTCCTGAGGCCTGCAGGTGCCCTGCAAAGAGGTGTGCCATGTATACTAAGGCATGTTAATTCAGTTTTTTCTACTTTAATAACTGGATTTCCTTCATATTCCTAAAAGACTTTTAAAGGAAGTTAAGTGAGGGTGTTCCACTTTAGAATTTCTTTCTTTTTTTTTTTTTTGATACAGAGTCTCACATTCTGTCACCCAGGCTGGAGTGCAGGGGCACGATCTTGGCTCACTGCAACCTCCACCTCCCAGGTTCAAGCAATTCTCCTGCCTCAGCCTCCCTAGTAGCTGGGAATATAGGAGTGCACCACCTCGCCTGGCTAATTTTTGTATTCTTAGTAGAGATGGGGTTTCACCATGTTGTCCAGGCTGGTCTCAAACTCCTGACCTCAGGTGATCTACCCACCTCAGCCTCCCAAAGTGCTGGGATTACAGGCATGAGCCACCACACCCAGCCTTACTTTCAAATTTCTAAGGGGTACAGTGGCATCACTGTGGCCATACCCTGGTGGGAGAGCATCTAGGACCTGTGACTGTCACCCTAGGGACCCATCCTGAACCCTCATGCTGCCAGCACATGTCTTCTAGCCCTGCACTCTCTCTGACCTCACCTATCTTCCTTCCTTCCTTCCTCCCTGCATTCTTGCATTTGATCTTCTTTTATCACCAATCTAACCTTTTGAATTTCATCACCAATTCAGTTTCTGTCTTTCTCTCTCTCTCTCCAAGCTAGGCCTCACCCACCTGGCACCACCCTGGGAATGGAGCCCCCTCCAGGAGCCCCCGGTGCTCGGCCCAATTCTCTGTGATCCCTGTACTAGGAGTTAGAAGAACTGGGCCTGCGACTGGTGGTGCCATCAATATATCGACGGCCTTGCAGCAAGATGCTTTAGCTCTGTTTCCTCGTCTGGAGACTTAAGGAGAGGCCTGATTCCTGGGCCACATCCAGCGTCACATTCTGTCTTCCACATTCGCCTCCATTGCTCTACTCTGCGCTTCACCCACGGGCCATGCTTCTCTCTCTCACACCCGGGCCAGCTGCCCAAGGGCCTCCTAAGTGCACCCCATCTGGGATAGGTAGCAATAAGGTTCCACTGCAAATATATTTTATTCTTTTCTTCTTAATATACTATTTGCACTCTACCCTGAACTGTTTCAGAAATCTCAGTGAATAGCTGCAAAGATTAAGCCCAACCTTGCTGTAATTTTGGTATTTCAAAAAAGCAATTGCTTCATCCATCATTTAGCTCCGTTCCACCCTAATCAGATCAAGATCACATAATCACCTTTTTCATAACTCGGCAAAACATTTGAGTTCAAATAATGCCTTTACCAAGACCCTGATCTATTGTTTCCAACAATTAAATAGCATTCGTATCAGAGAAGGCCATCTTTTTCCTGCCCAGGCCAGGGCCCTACTTTGGAGGAGTCATACACAGACAGGAAGCCGCGCCCCTTCCTCTTCCTCCACCTGGCCTCCTTGCCAGGACTTGGCTCCGGAAAAGGCCTCTGTGGTCCTAGCTGCTCCGTCTCTGCTCTGTGGGACCTAGGAGCAGGCAGCGTGGAGCTGTCCATGTCATTTGAGGTCTGGCCTCTGCACAGAATCCGGTCCCTGAGTGGGGCCCTCCCACTCCAGCGTTGATCTCATTCTTCTTCCCGAAACCTGCCGGGCCAGCACGGCTCACAAATGCTATCAGCATTCTGCTTCTTCCCTTGCAGATATGCATGGGAACAACTTCTGAATATAAAGACATTAAACAATGAACATTGTTTGCGATAGAATTAGGGCTAAAGCCTGAGCAAAGAGTTGGACGAAATACATCTTTATCTGCACTGTCTCTGATTTAAACAAGGCATAAGATGTTTGTTCAAAACGCTGGCCATATCTGGCTGTGCCTGCCTTTATGAGTCCCTACCCCGCCCCCTCCCATCAGCAGCTGGGAAAAAATGACGTCTTCTCCTGAAAGCAGATGACTTTCCTGCTCTTCTCAGGACACTCTCCCACCAGCAGCAGCCCCGGGGGGTTTCTGAGGGTGGTTGCTGTGTCCTGCTTAAGCTGCCCTGGCTGCTGTCACCAGGCCGGCCACCATTTCTGGGTGGCACAGGTGGGGAGTGCTGCTTTCCCCCAGTCAGAAGAATTTGGCAATAGCCCCCCATCTTCCCAGGCCTCTCTGATCTCTGGTTCCATTTTAATTGAATCCTTTGCAGAATATGCTGGTAACCGATTATACCAGCAAAGTCATCAGAGTGATATTTACATGTCATTAATAAGGCCAGGGAGGAAGGGATGGTGGGGGAAGCTGTGACAGGGGAAGAGGAGAGGGAGGAGAGCAGCTCAGGGCAGAGTGTGGACTGGGGCCAGGTCCTCAGGTTGTGAGTCTGGAGCGAGTCAGACACCTGGCCGGGGAGGGAAAGTGGATGGGTCTTAAATAGTGAGTTCCTTTCAGCATCGTCCTTTTGTTTCTTGCCCATCCTCAGTATCCTGAGCCCCCAGAGCCCTCTGACCTTCCTGATCATTTCCTTGTGTCTTGCAGATAAAAGAAGAAGGCAACCTGCATTTGTGTGCAAGCCTGTGTTTGCCTGCGGCCCTCATGCCCTCTGTCCCCACACCTAGATGGATGCTTCCTGAAAAGGTGTTCTCAGTAGCCACTGTGCTCCTCCGGTGGAACCCCTACCCCCCCACTGTCTGCACAATCCATCTGAGAAACCACACACGTGAGAAGGGGCACAGGATCAGCCAGGCAGATAAGGAGCCATGGCTTGCTGCAGCGGGGGACCCTCCTCACTTTGAGGGTAGCGGCCTTGTTGATAGTCGCATCTTCCTCAGCACCTGCGTGTACGGTCCTGTCCGCTGGAATGGCTCCTGCACACTGGAATGGGAGAGGGTGAAGTCTTTTCTGGGAGTTGCTTTCCAGGGAGGTCAAAGAACCCAGCTGTGCTCTAACTTTTTTTTTTCATTGATTTAGAAATATTTCAGGGAAATGGGGTCCAAACAGTGGCACAGAGTAAACATTAATAATAAGGGACCTACGATGTGAGTGCTGTAAACACGCCCAGGCCCCTGCATGCCTTGGACTTACGGGCTTTTCTGCCTGCCCATCATGGTAACTCCACTGAGCCTGATGGGCATGACCTAAATAGGGCACCTATTTAGCTTTCCTCATAGGAATGGGTGCTTGGCTCCATACACACATCTGTAATAATCAGGCGCCCTGATCACAATACAGCGGTGCAGCAGGAATACGCACGCTCCGTTCAGCGAGCACCCTGAAAACCATTACACTGCTAATTATAAACACAGGCTGCCAAAGCCCAGCTTCCTTCTATTCTTCTTACATCCTGCAGATGGCCAAACTTAGGAACTCGTCATCTGATTCCCCTGGAATGGCAGCTGGTGGCTTGATCTGTCAGTGTTTGGGGTTGGGGCTGGATAGAATCTGTGATAGACCAGGTCTCTAATCACAGTGTGGTTTCCATCTCTAAATGGTCAAGGTAACATGGCACATCCCTCTGGTCTTGGCAAGAAAAAGAGCAGACCTCTTGGAACCCACAATGGAGCACTGCAGGTAGATAAATATGTAACCCTTTTTGTTCCTTGGGTGTCCCCAGCTCTACTATAGTTTTGTTCCAAAGGACCTTCCTGCCTTTGAATGTGACTCCCCAGAGTTGGGAGAGTTGCTTAGAAATGGTATGGGCTGATCATTTCATCAACCCAGAGGCATAAGCATGTGAACTTGGTCTAAACAGTCTTTTTTAAAACCAGAGCTTGGGATCAACTTTCAAGAACTATGGTGATTGGCTCCCTCCAGTCACCACAGTTCTTGAAAGTTGCATGGTGACAGCTCAGCCTCCTCCCTCCTGACTGGGTGCAGAGCATTGAAACTGTGTCCTTCCAAGCCCTGGGGAACAGAGCTGATTAATGGGTCTGGATATTTTTTTTCATTATTATTTTTAATATGGCTGGAAATCTGGCAGGCTGCAGGTATCCAGCAGAGAATCAAAATGAGAAAATGTTTAATACTGTTGGTTCAGGTTTCTAAGAGCAGAGGAAGGATTAAGGACTTGGGGGTCAAAGAAGTGCTTTAGATGCTGCATTGCCCTTCCTAGCTGTGTGACCTCAGGCGGGTTCCTTAATCCCTCTGGGCTCCAATATTTTCTTCCTGTAAAATGAAGCTTGTTTTGGGAGCTTTTCCATTATTATTATTATTCTTTTTTTTTGAGACTGTCACCCAGGCTGGAGTGCAGTGGCGCAATCCCGGCTCACTGCAACCTCCGCCTCCTGGGTTCAAGCAATTCTCTGCCTCAGCCTCCCGAGTAGCTGGGATTACAGGTGCCCACCATCATGCCCGGCTAATTTTTTGTATTTTTACTAGAGACATGGTTTCACTATCTTGGCCAGGCTGATCTTGAACTCCTGACCTCATGATCTACCCGCCTCAGCCTCCCAAAGTGCTGGGATTACAGGCGTGAGCCACCGCGCCTGGCCGGGCTTTTCCATAGTTAATACTAGCTATTAAATCATTTGACCCCTATTGGCTGTCCACTCATGCTAGGGGATGTTCCAGTTGTTGAAGACAAAACATCAGGTCTCCGCCCTCAGCGGGAGAGCAGGGCACAGACGTGTCCACCAGCAAACAGCATTGTCTTACAGTGCACCAGACACAGCTGCACCTCCCAGGTCCCCTCAGGAAAGAGCTTGCAGAGAGCCATCTTACCAGGGTCTCACCCTTCCTGGGCAACTTGCAGTCAGTTACCCAGCAAGGAGAGGGTATAAAGGCCCAGCCATTTGGCCATTTTGGCCCCACCCAGGATAACACTGAGGGTGATTTGTGCTCCAGACCCCCCCTGCTGGCTTGGTAGGGCCTGAGTTGCATTTGGACTTTTTCTACCCAATCCTGCTTTGTCCTCTCCTTTTGAAAACAGGTGCCCATCTGCAAAGCCCATCCTGTCCTCCAAACTCCAAAGTAGCTTCTACTTTCAGAGAACCCGACCGCCATCTAGCAGAGGGGCAAGCAAGGACAACGAGGTGTCTGAGTGGAGGCAGGCACTCAGGGAGCCGCTCGGAGCCCGTTCTAGTGACTTGGTTATTTCTGCCAGTACTGCTATTGCCTGGGAGTGCCTGCAGACCTGAGTTTGGTTTCCTCCACAGGAAACAAGAGCTTGTGCACGGGTAGTTTATTTGTTAGGTAACTCCAGGAAGCAAGAGAAAGAAGTCGGGAGAGAAAGGGGGGATGGCGAAATTCACATGGTGGCCAGGTGTTGCTGAACTGCCTGACCCGTGGCTAACTGGGGCTCAGTCTCCACTGGGGTCCCGCTAAGGAAATTATAGATATGCCTCTGGGTTTCCTTCTATTTCTTTCTAGTCACTGACTCCCAACCCTTTCTGATGGATGGCTCCCTCTCCTTCTCTCTCCCCACTTCAGGGTTGTCTTGTTTGGCTGAGTGAGCTCTGGGGGCGTTGAAGAAAGACCTGGGGCTAAAAGGAGTAAAAGATGCAGAGGGCACTTGGAGTGGCACCACTGGCAGCATGGCAAGTCGTGCCATCCACAGCAGCAGCTGGAACAGGGGCCGAGGGGCATGGGATGGGGCCTGCTGGTCGCCACAGCCTGTTAGCTCCTGTACCTTTCTTGAGTTGCTGCCAGGAACTACCCTGTTGGTGGCTACCCTGATCTTCCCATGGGGATACAAATGACACATGGAGGCTAAGCTTGGCGGCAGACAGCCTGCTGGGATAAGCCAGAGGGGGCAGCAGCTTAGAGTCTGTGCAGCTCAGGCTGTCGGTGCACAGTTCCAGGTGGGCAGTGCTGTGGTTCTGTGTGCAGGCTCAGGAGCCAAACGGTGTTGGTTCAAATCCTGGCTCTGCCACTTATTAACTAGGAGCCTTTAGGTGAGCTCCTTACCGTGTCTCACCTGTAGGATAGGGAAAATGAAAGCACTTAGGAAAATGAAACCACTGTAGAGGGTGGTTGTGAGGCTTGCATGAAATGAAGCCTGGGAAGCACTTTGTCCAGGGCTGGCGGGGAGATGGAGGCAATACTTGGTAGAGGTTAGAATCATTAGATCTTTTACTCAGTATCCTTCCTGCAAAGGAAGTCAACATAGAGCTCTTTCCCACACACTGCAACTGCGTAGTATCACTCTATTGTCCGCTTTAATAGCACCCACAATTGCAAGCATGTAAATACAGCCACAGTTGTGAGAAGTAGCCCTGGAATCATTTCTTTCTCCTCTACTATGTAACGGGCAAAAGAGCCATTGTTGAAATAAAGAATAGCCTGTGCCCCTTCCCCACCTCAAGCTTCTGGGGCAAGGTCCATTGCCAACTTAGAGTCTCTCTGAGGTCACTTACATCTATAATTGCTTCAGAATAATTGTTTTAATGCTTGCACCGAAATCACCCTTTATGCTCCATGAAACAAACAGCTTTAAAGTCATCTTTCAGCAGCTTTATTTTGTGTTTACTAAATTACTTATTCCACAATAAACCTGATGAGAGGCATGCTTCATTATTCTTAAGTTCTACTCTAGCAAAAGTATAATAAATGTGGATTCAAGCACTTCTGGGTTGCTTGTCTATTTCATTCATCCTTTCATTCCTTCCCTCCCTCTCAGCATCTTGCTTTATCCTGGATGCTGACACCTCCTGTCCTGTGGAGACGGGGGTCATTTTGTAGAAGGAGGTAACCCCCCCAGTCTGGGTAGTTTTCATCAACCCTCTAAAGGGTGTAAAATCAGGACAATAGAAGAGCAGATAGTAGTACAAAATAGTTAAAATCAAACTCTGAATTCAGGCTAACGTTCAAAGATTGACTATGCCTCTTGGGAAGGAGTTTTTTTGGGGGTTAGCAATATCTATTTCACTGTATAAAGCACCTACCACAATGTCCAGCACCTATTAAGCTAAAAGGAGAGTCCTCTTCCAACTAAAGCATGGAATATTGGAACTAAAAAAGGTTTTGAATTTAGACACATGTGATTGAAGTCTCAGACAGAACATATCCAGCATGTCTTTGACAGGTGAAGCCAGCTAGACATCCTGGGTTGAGGGGGGACATGGAGAACTTTTCTGTCTAGCTAGAGGATTGTAAATGCACCAATCAGCGCTCTGTGTCTAGCTAAAGGATTGTAAACGCACCAATCAGCACTCTGTAAAAACGCACCAATCAGTGCTCTGTGTCTAGCTAAAGGTTTGTAAACACACCAATCAGCACTCTGTAAAACAGAGCAATCAGCACTCTGTAAAACGGACCAATCAGCGCTCTGTAAAATGGACTCATCAGCAGGACATGGGTGGGGCCAAATAAGGGAATAAAAGCTGGCCATGCAAGCCAGCAGCAGCAACCCGCTCGGTTCCCCTTCCACGCCGGGTGGAAGCTTTGTTCTTTCCCTCTTCACAATAAGTCTTGCTGCTGCTCACTCTTTGGGTCCCCACTACCTTTATGAGCTGTAACACTCACCAGGAGTGTCTGTGGCTTCATTTCTGAAGTCAGCGAGATCACAAACCCACTGGGAGGAACAAACAACTCTGGACACGCCACCTTTAAGAGCTGTAACACTCACTGAGAAGGTCTGCAGCTTCACTCCTGAAATCAGCAAGACCACGAACCCACTAGAAGGAATAAACTCCGGACACATTTGAACATCTGAAGGAACAAACTCCAGACACACTAAGAGCTATAACACTCACGGCGAGGGTCCACGGCTTCATTCTTGAAGTCAGCAAGACCAAGAACCCACCGGAAGGAACCAATTCCAGACACATCTTGAGTTTGAATTTCAAAACCCAAATTAAAGTATTTAAACTTTACTTCATAACAGGCATCACCCCCAACCCAAGGATATTTAAGGATAAATCTAGAACATTATGAAAGACCATGGCTTTTAAAAATATTGTTTAATATGGCTGGCACAGTGGCTCAAACCTGCAATCCCAGCACTTTGGGAGGCCAAGGTGGGCAGATCACGTAATGTCAGGAGTGCGAGACCAACCTGGCCAACATGGTGAAACCGCGTCTCTAACTAAAAGTATAACCGTGGTGGCGGGTGCCTGTAATCCCATCTACTAGGGAGGCTGAGGCAGGAGAATCGCTTGAACCGGGGAGGCAGAGATTGCAGTGAGCCGAGACCATGCCATTGCACTCCAGCTTGGGTGACAAGAGCAAAATTCCATCTCAAAAAAAAAAATGTTAATACTATTATTTTTATTTTATATTTTAATACTATTATTTCAATACCGTTCATTATTATTGTTAACCACTGTGTCCACATACAACACGGAGGAGCAAAAGAGGATTGCATATGTAGGATGGGGGCTGTAGGGTGGCCAGGAGGGAGGGCCCCAGACCCCCTGCTGTTTCAGCTTGGTGTTGATGATGGGAAGACCCCTCCCCAGGAGCAGAGAGTCTCACAGCCCTCAGGGCGCAGACCAGAGGAGCAGAGATGCTCCTCAAACACAAGGCACAGCAGGCACACAGAAATTAACTTGGAAGTGGTTTGTGAAGATTCTCCATCTTAGAGTGGCTTGCTCAAAGTTGGCACCCACTCAGTTGAGTTTAGTCATCATCAATTTAAGTAACAGCCAGAAGCTTGGAATATTGGTTATAGGCGTCAGGCCCTTAGGCTATGGTGGTGGCTCCATGCTCCTCATTAAATCACAGAACCACCCATCCTACCTTCTCTGAACTCTGGGACCACTGTCTTGACACATTTCTTACATAGAATACTATTTAGAGTAGATGAGGCTATGCTGTGTATGATTTTCAGGGACAGGAATCCTCCAGGTTTATCCTACAATGCTAATTCAAGGATTGGGCTCCTGTTATTGTATGCCCATCATCATTGAGTTCTTTGCTTTTAACTTCACAAATTACAAAGAGAAGAGGAAACAAGAAAGCTCGCACATGGAATGTTTTACGACTGGCCCAGAAGGCGAGGATATGATTCTGCCCACATCCAGCCAGAAGTCAGTCACACGGTCCCAACTCAACTGTAAGGCAGGCTGGGAAATGTAGTTTTCTTAAGTGCAGGACCAGTGAGTACTGGTACTGGTGAGCATCTGGCCAGTCTCTGACACCATTCGCATTAAAAAAAAAAAAAATTCTCTTCTGCTAATGGTTACCTAATGCTCTTCTCTGCAATAATATCAAGCAACATGCAAAGGCAAATTTATGCTCAGAAAAATTAAAGCACATGTTCAATTTCACAGACTTTATTGACAAAGTAGAACTATATAGTTTTTCCAATGCCCAACTGTATCAATCAGGACCAGCTAGGGAATTAATGCTACAGCAACAACCTCCAAATCACAGTGGCTTAAGATGCAAATGTTAATTCCTCATTTCAAATCCTACCATGAGCTGGCTCCTCATTGCATGCTGCTTTGTTTAGCTCCACCATAAGAATTTCTCATCATAAGAATCTCTTTGGTCAAAAAATCAAGACCATGCGGGTCAACATGGTGAAACCCCGTCTCTACTAAAAACACAAAAATTGGCTGGGCAGGGTGGTGCGTACCTGTAATCCCAGCTGCTCAGGAGGTGGATGCAGGAGAATTGCTAGAACCTGGGAGGCGGAGGTTGCAGTGAGCCGAGATCGCGTCATTGCCCTCCAGCCTGGCAACAGGGTGAGACTTCGTATAAAAAAAAAAACAAAAAAAACTTCACGGTTGTGGCTTGGCTTGGGGAGAAGGGTGTGCAGAGTTGCACAATGACCCTCAAAAGCCTCCACCCTGAGGTGACCCATATCACTTCTGCTCATACATTATTGCTCAAAGGAAGCCACTTGAACACAGCTCATTCAACAGGCAGCAAACGTGATCTTCCAGACACCCAGGAAGGGCAGGAGAAACCTTGGTGAGCATTAACATCTCAGTAGATAGGAGTCAAGGTCTCCTACCTCTGCAGTGACTGAAAAATGAGGCCTGTGAATGCAGGTCAGGCTCAATCTCAGCCAGTCACCTACAGTGTTTTTTTTATTTCTATTACTTTTTTTTTTTCCAGAATGCAGGACCTTGAAAGTCCTTTGGGCCCTAGTGTGTCTGGAATTGGTGGTTCTTGGTCTCACTGATTTCAAGAATGAAGCTGCGGACCCTCGCGGTGAGTGTTGCAGTGAGTGTTACAGTTCTTAAAGATAGTGAGTCCTGAGTTCGTTCCTTCTGATGTTCAGACGTGTTAGGAGTTTCTTCCTTCTGCTGGGTTTGTGGTCTCGCTGGTTTCAGAAGTTAAGCTGCAGACCTTCGCGGTGAGTGTTACAACTCTTAAGGTGTCGCTGGAGTTGCTCCTTCCTCCTGTCCGGAGTTGTTCATTCCTCCTGGTAGGTTCCTGGTCTCACTGGCCTCAGGAGTGAAACTGCAGACCTTCACGATGAATGTTACAGCTCATAAAGGCAGTGCTGTCCCAAAGAGTGAACAACAGCAAGATTTCTTGCAAACAGCAAAAGAACAAAGCTTCCACTGTGTAAAACGGGACCCGGGAGGATTGCTGCTGCCAGCTTGGGCAGCCTGCTTTCATTCCCTTATCTGGCCCCACCCACATCCTGCTGATTGGTCCATTTTACAGAGAGCTGATTGGTCCAATTTACAGAGAGCTGATTGGTCCGTTTTACAGAGAACTGATTCGTCTGTTTTGACGGGGTGCTAATTGGTGCATTTACAATCCCTGAGCTAGACACAGAGTGCTAATTGGTGCATTTACAATCCTCTAGCTAGACATAAAAGTTCTCCAAGTCCTCACCAGATTAGCTAGATACAGAGTGCTGATTGGTGTGTTTACAAACTTTGAGCTAGACACAGGGTGCTGATTGGTGCATTTACAAACCTTGAGCTAGACACAGGGTGCTGATTGGTGTGTTTACAAACCTTGAGCTAGACACAGGGTGCTGATTGGTGCATTTACAAACCTTGAGCTAAACATAGGGTGCTGATTGGTGTGTTTACAAACCTTGAGCTGGACACAGAGTGCTGATTGGTGTATTTACAAACCTTTAGCTAGATGTAAAAGTTCTCCAAGTCGTCACCAGATTAGCTAGATACAGAGTGCTGATTGGTGCATTTACAAACTTTGAGCCAGACACAGAATGTTGATTGGTGTATTTACAGTCCTTTAGCTGGACATAAAAGTTCTCCAAGTCGCCCACTAGATTAGCTAGACACAGAACACTGACTGGTGCGTTTACAAACCTTGAGCTAGACACAGAGTGCTGATTGGTGCATTCACAAACCTTGAGCTACACACAGAGTGCTGATTGGTGCATTCACAATCCTCCAGCTAGACTTAAAAGTTCTCCAAGTCCCCACCAGATTAACTAGATACAAAGTGCTGATTGGTGCATCCACAAACCCCGAGCTAGACACAGAGTGCTGATTGGTGTATATAAAATCCTCAAGCTAGACATAAAAGTTCTCTAAGTCCCCACCCAACTCAGGAGCCCAGCTGGCTTCAGCTAGTAGATCCCACCCTGGGGTCTTGGGTGGTGCTGCCCGCCAGTCCCATGCTGCGTGCCTGCAATCCCCCAGCCCTTGGGCAGTCGATGGGACCCGGTGCTGCGAAGCAGGGGGTGGTGCCCGTTGGGGAGGCTCCAGCCGTGCAGGAGCCCACCGCAGGGTGGTTCGGGCATGGTAGGCTGCAGGTCCCAAGCCCTGCCCCTTGGGGAGGAGGCTGAGGCCCGATGAGAATTCGAGCGCTGCACAGGCAGGCAGGCAGTGTTGGGGGACCCGGCGCACCCTCTGCAGCTGCTGGCCCAGGTGCTAAGCCCCTCACTGCCGGGGCCGGCGCCACTCCGAGCATGGGGCCTGCTGAGTCCGCACCCACCCAGAACTCCATGCTCAGCACCGGTTCCCGCCCCCAATTCTCCCTCCACACCTCCCCGCCAGCAAAGGGAGCCAGCTCCAGCCTCTGCCAGCCGAGAGAGGGTCTCCCACAGTGCAGCGGCAGCCTGAAGGGCTCCTCAAGCATGGCCAGAGCAGAAGCCCAGGCCGAGGAGGTGCTGAGAGTGACCCAGGGCTGCCAGCACGTTGTCACCTCTCACTAGGATATCTGATATTCTTCATCCACCCAGAACTCTTCTTTTTGTTCCAGACTGCCCGACTTGCTCTCACTTCCTATAATACTGATAGAACTATCTATGTATTGGCATTTATGTAAAATGCAAACCCCCTTTGGCTTCTAAGGGAGGGCAGGTGTCAGTTTCTATAAGATTATGAACGGAGGGCTGGGTGCGGTGGCTCACGCCTGTAATCCCAGCACTTTGGGAGGTCGAGGTGGGTGGATCACCTGAGGTCAGGAGTTCAAGACCAGCCTGGCCAACATGGTAAAACCCCATCTCTACTAAAAATACAAAAATTAGATGGGCGTGGGGGCGGGCGTCTGTAATCCCAGCTACTCGGGAGGCTGAGGCAGGAGAATTGCTTGAACCCAGAAGGCGGAGGTTGCAGTGAGTCAAGATCACACCACTGCACTCCAGCCTGGGCGACAGAGTGAGACTCCATCAAAAAAGAAAAAAAAAAGTTATGAACAGAAAGGAGAGGGGTTTGAGCTGACAAGGGTCACTTTCTCTCTCCATGGAGTTAGCCTGTACATGGTGGGAGACAAGGACAATGGGCAAAGGGAGGCAGAGCTAAGACAGACAGACGCATGTGCACACACACTGGGCAGTGGAGGAGGCGGAGGTTGGGAGTCTGGATCCAACCACATCTGATCCAGCCCAGCCTTGGCCCTCAGAGCTACCAGACCCAGTAAACCTCCTACTGGTTTATCCCGGAGCTGGTTTGAATCAAGTTTCCTTCACTTACAAATGAAAAAAAAATCTGATGAACTCCTATCTATAAAATCCTCCTGGAGAAATGCAGCTTTGGCATCTAGAGAAGGACCAAGCCGGTGTGCTGCTGTGAACAGGAGAGAAGCTGGAGCCACGGGAGATGGCTGGAAATAGACTCGGGCTGGATGTTTGCCAGCAGCTACGGTAGGATTAGGAGCTGGAAGACTGGACACTGTGGCTCTCTAGGGACTCTGCAGACATTTAGGGAGAGGTGGCTGAGGGGATGCCCACAGAAGTCTCAAATTTGAGCAGTTATAGGTGACTCAAGGAGCTTGGCATTGGAATGATTATTTTCTATGTCCTGCCAGGCAGAAGGTATAATGTGGGAGATTTCTAGCCTATGAAACTAAATCTATGCAGTGCATTAATCTTAATTTACTTTTTATTCTGATTTTTGTAGTCAATTGTTTAAAACCCAGGATGTCCTTTCTGAAGATAGTTGTTAGGATGCTATCAAGCACTCCTCTCAGCCCCTCCCAGATGCTGGGGTGGGGAAGCAATCAGTCTTATCTGTGTGGGAACCAGACTCCCACGAAGAGCAATCAGGGGAAGAAAGGAAACAAGGAAACTAACACGCATTTAGTATCTACTCTGTCCTAGGGGTCTGCTCTCTGCATATGTAATATGCACGATCTGTAAGATCCTGGAAGGCAGTTTACTTCATAAACGAGGAGATTTAGGTGGAGAAGGGGTAACTGGCCACTGTCTTATCACCAGCATGCAGCAGAGCTGGGTCAGGGGCTGGCTTAGTCTGATTCCCACATTCCTGCACTTTTCACTGTACAATGTTGCCAGGCCAAAGACACACCTTCTGGTCCCCACTCCCATTTGCAGATGTCTAAAGTTCTATGATAGAAACTTAAACACGAAAGCCTTTTGTTCGTGTTAAAAAGCAAAACTCTTTTATTTCTTTATTTTTTATTTATTTATTTTTTGAGACAGAGTCCCACTGTGTGTTGCTCCGACTGGAGTGCAGTGGCACGATCTCAGCTCACTGCAACCTCCACCTCCAGGGTTCAAGTGATTCTCCTGCCTCAGCCTCCCGAGTAGCTGGGATTACAGGCACACGCCACCTCACCTGGCTAATTTTTGTATTTTTAGTAGAGACGGGATTTCACCATGTTGGTCAGGCTGGTCTCGAACTCCTGACCTTAAGTGATCCACCCACCTCAGCCTCCCAAAGCGCTGGGATTACAGGCGTGAGCCACCATGCCCGGCCCAATTTCTTTCTTTATTTCTAAGATGGGGTCTCACTCTGTCACCCAGCCTGGAATGCAGTAGCCTGATTACAGCTCACTGCAGCTTCAAACTCCTGAGCTTAAGCAATCCTCCTGCCTCAGCTTCCAAATTAGCTGAGACTATAGGCCTGTGCCACCATGCTCAGCTTTTTTTTTTTCTTGGTACAGATGGGGTCTCACTGCATTGCCCAGGCTGGTCTCGAACTCCTGGGCTCAAGTGATCCTCTCACCTCAGCCTCCCAAAGTGCTGGGATTACAGATGTGAGCCACTGAGCCCATCCTAAAGCTCCATTAGATTTTGTGTGAGAGTTCAAAAATCAGGAAAGCCTGTGTTTCTGGTGACACACTTCACTCATTTCATAAGTTTGTGGCAGGTAGTAGTAAGTCAGAAGGTCAGTGCAGGTATTATGATGGTGTGGGAATAAAGCATTAACCAGCCTGGGACCTTAGCAGCCCTGCTAGCAGGTAAACCCTGAACTGAATGCAAATCAGCAAACAATAATGAGTCAGACCTTCCAGAGCAAACCATTTCCATTTCATTCTATATCTATGTATAGAGTGGCACAGAATGAGAAGAAATAGCAGATTAAAAAAAGATAATATGGCTGGGCGCGGTGGCCTCACGCCTATAATCCCAGCACTTTGGGAGGCTGAGGGGGGTGGATCACGAGGACAGGAGATGGAGACCTTCCTGGCTAACATGGTGAAACCCCATCTCTACTAAAAATACAAAAAATTAGCCAGGCATGGTGGCATGCACCTGTAGTCCCAGCTACTCGGGAGGCTGAGGCAGGAGAATTGCTTGAACCCAGGAGGTGGAGGTTGCAGTGAGCCGAGATTGTGCCACTGCACTCCAGCCTGGGCGACAGGGTGCGACTCCATCTCAAAAAAAAAAAAAAAAAAAAAAAAAAAAAAAAAATATATATATATATATATATATATATACACACACACACACAGCAACAAAAGCAACACACACTGAATAATATTTTGAGAGATTAACATTTAAGAAAGTACGTCATCCAGGAAAAGAAATGTGGGAGATTTCTTTTTATTTTTTTTTTGAGATGGAGTCTCACACTGTCGCCGGGGCTGGAGTGCAGTGGCGCGATCTCGGCTCACAGCAACCTGCACCTCCTGGCTTCAAGCGATTCTCCTGCCTCAGCCTACCGAGTAGCTGGGATTATAGGCGCCCGCCCCCGCACCCAGCTAATTTTTTGTATTTTTAGTAGAGACGGGGTTTCACTATGTTGACCAGGCTGGTCTCAAACTCCTGACCTCGTGAACCACCTGTCTCGGCCTCCCAAAGTGCTGGGATTACAGGCGTGAGCCACTGAGCCAGGCCAAGGGAGATGAATTTCAAGAAGAACAAGTTAAGTGGGAAGTCATACAATGGAATATTATATAGCAATGAAAAATAAGTGAACTACAGCTTCAAGTAGCCACATGGATAAATCTGTAAAATACAATGTCAAGCAAAAGTCACATGCTATATCATTTACAGAAACTTAAAAAAAAAAAACATGCAAACCAGTCAGTCCTATATATTGCTAAGAGGTACATTTACATGCAACACAAGGATAACATCAAGCATGGGATCAATGCAACTAAATCTAGGATTGTGTTTACCTCTAGATGGGGGGGGGGAACAGGATGTTTGGGATGGAGAATAATTCAGGAAGTTTCCACTGCTTTTGTGATTAAGCTGGGTAGGGGCAAATTGGTATTTGCTAGATTATTCTCTACATGTTTTGATGTCTGAAATACTTCCTAACAAATAAGAGAGAGGTAGGCAATAAAGAGGAAACAGTCTGGAAAATGAATGTAAAGGGATTCTAAGATTCCCTTAGAAAGGATTGTCCAGTGTGGGGTCCCACTGTCTTGCATATTTGACTAACAGTAATGACAGTTTAAATGTGACATTTAGCAACTGTTTCTGCTGATGAATCAAACCTTCATATGTCTTAACCTCTCACTTTTGGCAAATATAATGCCAGTCACACAGTAGAAAAATCTCTTGTGATTCATTATAGGAAACTGATATGTTTTCTTTTCTAGCCTTTTTAACTTGGCCAAATTAGAAATATTTTAAATGTCAAAAAAGAGAAAGAAAAATGCCATGTGCAGTCCTTTAGGGGAGACAGCTAATTCAACAACAGAGGCCAGAATGCTGGATGAACAGAGAGAGGTATTGCATTCCACTGTAGCTAGTCCCTATTCTTGCAAATTTACAAAATTAGAAACTTGAGTTATTATAAAGTAAGAAAAATAAGCCCCTTTCATTTATTTCTTTGGACATTTTATTGATTATAATATTATAATAGCTTTTACCATAAAGAGAGCTTATATAAATCCAAGAGAAGGTAAAAACACTAAAAGGAAAGAGGACAATTTACAAAACAAAGTAGATAACCAAAGATATCTTAAATTCAATTCTATTAATGCTCAAAGATATGCAAGACAAAAGGATTAAGGTCCTATTTTCATTTTTCATCCATCAAATCGCAAAAGATTTAAAAAAATTAAGAGCACACCTGTCTATCACAAGTTTCTGTGGGTGCTATTATATAATAAATTGTTTTCCTTAGGACAAGAACCAGTTTCATCTAGAGAGGGAAATACATCTACCTTCTAAATGTATGATTTATTATAAAGTACCAAAAAATCTATTCAAAATATCTCCAAATTAACCTAATACTATATAAGTAATTAAATTTCTTCCTCTTCTCTATCTTTGGATAAAATGTTCAAGGAATTTGTTAAAATGCAGCATATTCTCTGGGTGTGGTAAGCTCTGAGACATTATTAACTATCACAGCCATTGCTTAATTAGTTTATCAGATTAACTATTGAGTAGCCATTAAAAAACTCCTGTTCTTGTCATCTTTAATAGTTTTGAGAAGATACAAAAGCAATAGCAGAGACCCAAAATGCATTTAGAACAGATTACAACAAATATATGTACATGGAGTATAGACATGTACTTCAATATTGTAGAAATGTATTGGCTTAGAGCTCTCTCTGTTATATACTGCTTTGTTTTCTTTTGTAATGAAATGAAACTTTATAACAAAGTTAATTTGGCATAGTCAATGAGATATATGGTGATTACTGTGCTATGCAGTCCTTGGGCGTAAGTGTTGAGAAGCCCCAAACAAAACAAACCCAAATTGTAGTTTCTTCTTTTCTTAGCTTGTTCATTTCAAATATCTATAATCCGCATCAAGTGGACATTTTTTTCCTAATACAATGAATCATAGAATATTTGTTCTTCATATGCATAATATCACTTCTTCTTGCTAAGAAACTAAGGTTTTCAAGGAAACTTCCCAGCCTGGCTAGTTCCCTGTGTGTCCAGAGCAGGGTGACGGGAGGATTACCTTCTACTCAAAAGCCATCTTTGCTTACCAAGATATGGATTGTAGATTTAGGGGTGCTAGGAAGATCTAAATAGGGATTGGTGGCTTGGAAGAGAAAGAACACAGGGAGAAGAAAGTCTGAATCCTCCAAAATAATGAATCTGTGGCAGGAAAGCTGCAGGGGATGGGGTGAGAATGGGAGGAGCAGATAGACCTTCAGCAACATCCTCCTGCTCCCACTGGCTCAGCACTGGAGGGTACCCTAGGAAGCCTGCAAGACAGTGGCATCCAAGGCTGGGTGTAGATGTCATGTGGCATCAGGGCAAGCCAAAGCCCTGACACCCACGCTGCTCCATGTCATATCCCCATGGGCCAGATTTGCCTTAGCTTTGGGCAAAGCCCTCCATTCCACAAGTAAGGTTAGGAGGAGTAGACATGACTGTAAATGAAAAGATATACACTTTGTGAGGATGGCACTGAGTCAAATTATAATCCATGCATTGTAAGAGTCTTTTTGGAGAACAGATGGAAGGGTGTGGAGCGGTGGGGAAGGTGGTCAACAATGTGAGGCAAGGTCCTGCAGAAATACCCACATCCCACTTCAAACACAAGGCTATGAGAATTAAAAATTTAAAAACTTTTTTAGATATAGAGTCTTGCTTTATTTCCCAGGCTGGAGTGCAGTGGTGCAATTATAGCTCAATGTAACCTTGAACTTCTGAGCACAAGCAATTTTCCTGCCTTAACCTCCCAAATAACTAGGACTACAGTTGTGCGTGACCACACACAGTGAATTTAATGTTAACAGAGGTCTCACTTTTTGACCCATGCTGGTCTCGAACTCCCGGTCTCAAATGATCCTCCTGCCTCAGCCTCCTGAAGTGTTGGAATTACAGGAATGAGCCACTGTGCCCAGTCAAGAATATTTTTAATATATACATTTGTTCAAAAATTTATAGACAATAAAATCCTCAGTTTTCAACAGAATCATCCACATGGACAAGAGATAAAATGAGAACACAAAACAGGAAGCAGGGACTAGGCCTGCTGAAAACTGGGGTCAAAGAGAGGGAGTGGTGGACAGGAGTTCTATTCAGAGAGAAAGGGGATGGAAAGTTCCCCATATACATCCAGATGGGGATGCTCTGGGCTCCCTGCAAAAGAACATAGACTAAAATTAGCTACAACTACTAACCAAAGCTGGGGTAGAAAGTCAGCTTCTTGCTTGGGTGGAAGAAAAGAACAGAGATTTCTTGGTAGCCTGAAACCAGGCCTAACTATGTACTGGCACAGGGACTGGGTTTGCATGTAAGGGTTTAAGCTGTCAGCATAAAGCTTGATTATAACTAGGGACTCTGCAGTGCTGGGAGGTGACAACCTCAAAAGATCAGACAGAAAAGTTGTACATAAGAAGAGGGGGTGGGAGACAACTCACATTCAAAATTTCAAAACACATAGAAAGGTTTGTGTCGTAAAAGATAGCCAAAAAAATTCAACAAGTGAGAATTCATTCCTGAAGAAATGAAAATAATGGAATAATCTGAAAGGATTTACAATAAGTATGGTAATATTTTTCAACAGGGTAAATAAAGGAAAAACTTTTTTTAAAAAATTACAAAATTGGCAGACATTAATTAGTAATGTGTAGCTATGAAAAAGCACCAGTTAAGAGCCTGGAAGTAACAAATATAGTTATTGGAATAAAAAAGAGTAACTCCACCAATGCTGTCAAATCTATACAAGACACAATCAAATAGAAGATGTAGTAAAGTGAATGAAATAGTGAAGAATTCATCCAGAATATAACACTCAGAGGTCAAGAGAAGAAACAAAAATGGAAAATATTGAGAGACATGGAAGACAGACAGATTCTATCATACATCCATCTGTGAGTATTTTCAGCAGTAGAGGGGAGAAGAAATGGTGGTCAGGCATTTAAAGACAGAATGGCTGAGAATTTTCAGAATAAAGGATGCAAGTCCTGAGACTGAAAGCGTACATCAAGTTCTACACAAGGTAACACATGTTCAAAGTAACTGTAGGTCACCAAGAAAAAAGAAAAAGGTGCTCGAAAAAAACCCAGATTATCCACAAAGGGATAACAGTTAGATTGAGAGCACAACTTTCATCTGGAACAACAGGGACCAGAGGAGAATGGAGTGTCATCATCCATATGCTGATGGAAAACACTGTCAACCCTGAATTCCAAATACAGCTAAATTGTCATCCAAGAGTGAGAGCAAAATAACTTCAAAACTACAGAGACAAAGGATGTTGAGCACCAAAAAGACAAATAAATCCACGAGGAAGCCATGAGATGCACTCGGACGTCATTATAAATAGTGCAACAGAAGCCCAACTCTAACATTGGAATGCCAATATCCCAGGGAAAAACTCAGCATGCATCATGGCCTACTGGGATTATATTAGACATTAGAAACAGGCAATTGAAAGGAAAAGTCAACTTCCAATTAAGCAAAACTTATTATTCTCTAAGGAATGAAGGGAGGAAGGAAGAGATGGACCTAATGGAAGAAGGAGGAATAGAGGAAGGAAAGAAGGGAGTGGGAGGTTCACCTGCCTGCCCCTATATTTCCCAAAGTGGAGAAGTGAGAGCCCCCTGAAAAGATGGATATGTGAGCCAAAGGGAGTTGAGGCTCACCTTTGGGTTTACCTATTGAGTGTACCTCCTGGGGGTGTGTATGGGATGGGGGCAGGGGACACATGGGAAATATGAACCAAAGCATTTCTGGCCATGTACCAGGCGATCATCCCCTTGACAAGAACTCTGCTGGGAGAGAACAGCAGTGCATTACAGGTCCATGGCAAGGATGGCCTGGAGCACAGGGCAGGGCCAGCACCTCTGCAGGGCTCAGGTTGGACACCAGACAGAGATTCTCCAGAGCAGGAAGAGGGCATAGAAGTCATAAGGCTCTTGTTTTGTATCAAGCCAGCCTGCATCAGAGGGCACCCCCTAAATTTGGTGTCTTTGTCCATTTGTGCTGCTATAACAAAATAACCTGAGACTGGCTTATTTATAAAGAATGGAAATTTATTTCTTACCATCCTGGAGGCCGGGAAATCCAAGATCAAGGTACCAGCGGATTCAGTCTCTGGTGAGGGTTCTGTCTGTTACCAGGATGGTCCCTTGTTGCTGTGTCCTCACATATTAGAAGGGCAGAAAGGGACTAGCTAGTTCCCTGGAGCCATTTCATAAGGGCACTAATCCCTTCATGAGGGCAGAGCCCTCACCACCTCATCACCTCCTGAAGGTCCCACCTCTTAACACCATCACCTTCGGGTTTAAGTTCCAACCTAAGAATGTTGGAAGAACATGTCCGTTCAAACCTCAGCACTCGTAAGAGGTTAAAGTGCAACTCTGGCCGGGCGCGGTGGCTCACGCCTGAAATCCCAGCACTTTGGGAGGCCGAGGTGGGCAGATCACGAGGTCAGGAGATCGAGACCGTCCTGGCTAACGCGGTGAAACCCCGTCTCTACTAACAATACAAAAAAATTAGCCGGGCGTGGTGGCGGGCGCCTGTAGTCCCAGGTACGCGGGAGGCTGAGGCAGGAGAATGGCGTGAACCCGGGAGGCGGAGCTTACAGTGAGCCGAGATCGAGACACTGCACTCGAGCCTGGGAGACAGAGCGAGACTCCGTCTCAAAAAAAAAAAAAAGACATTCAAGTGCAACTCTCTGTCCCCATCTCTGTTAGAACCTGAGAACCAACTGGGGCAGCTGCTGAGCTATAATGAGTGGAGCTTTGAGAAGAAACATGGTAAGAAGAATTTTAACAACTTAGCTCAGTTTTATGAATGAAATTCCTTCTTGGTCCTTTTTGCAATTTCATTAATATTTTAAAATTGCTTTTAATCGCTTCATTTGATATCTTAATGGTGTTTCTTTTGAATGTGATGCTGTTCGGAGAACTTGAAAGTTCAGCTTCATTTGGGTGACACATATGAAATGTTATTCCTCTCTCTTTGGTGGAGGAGAAATAAGCCTGCATTCTTTCTGCTTCCGGGTTTTGGGCTGCACATCCACAAAGGCTGAAAGCTGCCATCCCAGGACCATTGGGCTTAGAGGGCCAGGTGCTGAGACAACTATAACCAGAGAGCTCTGCAGCACCCCACGATTTCACACATTCTAGACTCTTCCCTCAGGCTTCTTTGTGTACAGGCATTTCCTCAACTGGGACAACATTGCCCGAGTGGGCAAGAGTACAGCATGCAGATGAATTAGGTCAGAGGCCTGTCCTCACAAGCGCCTGAGCCTTCACCTGCCAAAAAGGACGAAAATTTGATCTCCACCACAGGAAGGGCTTTTTTATGCAGCTACATTTCCAACACCTAGAATAGTGCCTAAATATTAGAATGAAATCCCATGGACAGGGAGGTATCCATTGACATGACCGCTTTTATTTCTTTTCGAAATGCATTTTTAAACATGCATTCCTTCATAACACAGACAAAAATGATGGGGTTGACAAACCTGGACATTGCTTAAGATACAGATGGGCCAGAAAAAAAAATATTTAGAGAAATAGATGGGTTCCTGTGTGCTTTTGAAGTGGAAGAAGAAAGGAATCAGTACTGTCTTCTGCCTGAGATATTCAGTCTAAGAAATATTGCTGTGCTATGAAATTACTTACTATCCAAAAAGAAGGCCTCCGGGGATTTAAAATTATATTGCATGTGTCTATGTAGTATATTACAGCACGTTAAAAAGGTAAAGTAAATTAAAAGCCTTAAAATAATTTACATAATTTTTAAAGATCCCTGTGGCGTATTAATCATGCCTTCTACTCTATTTATCATCTTTTTGTTTTTGTAAATAGAAACAGTCTCAGAATTATGCCACTTGACTAATAGGTGGCCCTTGTGTAGAAATGGCCACTGACCCCTGTCCCCTTATCACGCTACAGGAGTGACCAGTACCAAGGGTCCTGGCTGCCTCTCACTCCGCCAGCGCCCCAGAGCTATTGCTCATGGAGCCCCCACTGCTAGTTTTTAAGTTCAACTTCTTCTCTTTATCCCTAAGTCTTCAAGAACCCAGGTTTTGGAATACCCTTAGTAGCATCCCAACTGTGTTATGATGAATTAGGCTTTTGGGGCTAGCCTGAGAATCTGACCTCCACTGAGAATATGTGGATCAATTGCAAGTCAGTATAGAATGATAATTAAGAATGGGGTTCTGGAACAGGCAGACTACCATTCTTGGTGTCCAGGTTCTGACATGTATTAAGGGCATGACCTTGGACAATGTGGCTGCTCTTTGCCTCAGTTTCCTCCCCTGTAAAATGAGAACAATAGTTACAACCAACTTTATTGGTACTATTATGGGCTGAATGTGTCCCCTCAAAATTCATATGTTGAAGTCTTCATCCCCACTGCCTCAGACTGTGTCTATATTTGGAAATAGGGCCTTTAATGACGGAGGCAATTGAGTTAAAATTACCTCTGGCCATTAGGGTGCGCCCTCATTCAATATGCTTAGTGTCCTTATAAGAAGAGGAGATTAGGACTCAGACACATACAGAAGGAAGACCATGTGAGGACACAAGGAGAAGAGGCCACCCACAAGGAGAAAGGCTTCAGGAGAAACCAACTCCTTGATCAGAGACTTCCAGCCTTTAAAATTGTGAGAAAATGCACTGTTGTGGTGCTTTGCTATGGCGTTCCTAGCAGACTACTGCTGGTACCTTTGAAGATTCCATGAGACAATGCATGTTACATGCTTGGAATAGTGCCTAGCATAGTAAGCGCTCAAGTAATTTTAGCGACCCGTATTATATAACACAATAAGCTGCTATTTCTAAATAACTTCCTTGTGAATTAAGATTTAGATCACTATCTGGTCATAATGTGGGCACTTTTAGGTATCAGGATTAACTTGAACCTTCTCTTCTTTACATTAAACATTCATCTGTTCATTCATTCGTTCATAAAATAAACATGTATTCACTGGCAACTCCCAGTCAGGAACTGCGTTTGGTGCTGGGAGCACAAGATGGATGGCACACAGATTGTAATGCTTCCTTGAGGAGCTTAGAGTATCTGGAAATGGTCCAACATGGCGCTTGGCATCATTAGAAAGATAGATAGAGTGGTAGCTGGAGGCTGGTCAGGTTGAGCATTGAAACAAAACAGAGCGATTGTCCGTCTGCAGAGCAGGCAGATGAGCGCCTCTCTGGACAGGAGGCCACTCTTGGGATGATGTGGGTTTACTAGAGAAGCTCTGCGGTCACCCAGCACTGACCTGCAACATCCAGAGAAAGATGGCTCTGTCTAGCAAAACATTCACGCTGGGCTTGAGCTTAACAGGTTGCAAGCAAAGTCCAGCTCTGCTGGTGAAATTACGGCCGGGGCGTGTTGTGTAGTCTAACGGGAAAAGTGCTGATGCCGACCCATCTACCTGGCCACGCTCTCTAGCAGAGAACTGGAATCGTCACTTATGCTCTGCAGGAAAGCTGCTTTCATAGCTAGGCCAGATTTCTTTGCAATTACAATGTCAGTAATGAGCTTCATAGTTTCTCTCTTTTGTAAAACCACTTCTTCAGGTATAATTGATATACAGTAAAATAGACATATTTCAGTGGTAAAATTTGATGTGTTACACCACAAGGCAGTAAACATAGCCATCATCCCCCAAATTCTCCTCTTGTCCCTTAGTGATCCCTTTTTCCTGTCCTTCCTCCGCACCTGCAGGCAACCACCAGTCTGCTTTCTGTCACTATCAGTTAGCTGGCTTTTTACATTATTTTGAGATTCACCCAGGTTGCTGCTGTGTATTCATGCTTCCTCTCTTTTTGTTGCTAAGTGGTATTCCACTATATAAATATGCTGCAGTTTTCTTATGCAGTCACCTGTTGATAGACACGTGGGTTGTGTCCTTTTTGGGCTTTTGCAAATAAAGTGGTTATGAACATTTGTGTACAGGTCTTTGCATGGATCTCTGCTTTCTTTTCTCTTGGGTGAACACCTAGGAATGGAATGATTGGATCGAATGGTAGGTATACGTACATCTCTTTTTTTTTTTTTTTTTGAGAAAGAGTCTTGCTCTGTTGCCCAGGCTGGAGTGCAGTGGAGCTATTGCAGCTCACTGCAAGCTCCGCCTCCTGGATTCACACCATTCTCCTGCCTCAGCCTCCCGAGTAGCTGGGACTACAGGCGCCCACCACCACGCCCAGCTAATTTTTTGTATTTTTTAGTAGAGACAGGGTTTCACCATGTTAGCCAGGATAGTCTCGATCTCCTGACCTCGTGATCCGTCCGCCTCGGCCTCCCAAAGTGCTGGGATTACAGGCGTGAGCCACTGCACCTGGCCGTATGTACACCTTTTTAAGAAACTGCAAACTGTTTTCTGAAGCAGCTATATCATTTTGTATTCCTACCACAAGTGCAAGAGATTTCTAGTTCTTTCACATCCTCATCCATATGTTCAGTCTTTTCTAATTTTAGTCATTTTAATAGGTGTGTAGTGGTATATCATTGTGGTTTTAATTTGCATTTGTCTAATGGCTATTGATGAAATGTTTGTTCAAATCTTTAGCTGACTTTTTATGGGTTGCTGGTTTTCTTATTATTATGTTTGGGTTTTTTTCTGGATGCAAATACTTTATCAGACATATGCTTTGCAAACATTTTCTCTCAGTCTATGGCTTGACTTTTTATTCTCTAAACAGTGTAAAGAGCAGATTTCAAAGTTTAATGAAGTCTAATTAGCCAATTTGTTCTGTTATGGCGCATGCTTTTGGTGTCATATTTAAGAAATCTTTGCCTAACCTAAGTTTACAGTTTTTCTCCTATCTTTTCTTTGAGAAGTTGTATAGCTTTAGGTTTTACATTTAGACATATGGTCTCTTTTGAATTAATATCAATTGGGCCAATTTGGTTCATAGTTGTATTCAGGTCTTTTATACCCTACTGATTTTCTGTCTAATTGTGCTGTCAATTATTGAGGGCGGGGTCCTGAAATCTTGGACTATATTTATGGATTTGTTTATCTTCCCCTGTGCTTCTATCAGTTGTTGCTTCATGTACTTTTGAAGCTCTATTATTAGATCCATATTGAGGATTGTTATATCTTGCTGATGAATTTACCTCTTTATCATTAAGAACTGACCTTCTTTATTCTTGGTAATATTCTTTGCTCTGAAATCTACCTTGCTTGAGATTGATATAACCACTGCAACTTTCTCTTTTTTTGAGACGGAGTCTCGCTCTGTAGCCCAGGCTGGAGTGCAGTGGCGCGATCTCGGCTCACTGCAAGCTCGGCCTCATGGGTTCACGCCATTCTCCCACCTCAGCCTCCCGAGGAGCTAGGACTACAGGAGCCCGCCACCACGCCCAGCTAATTTTGTTTCCGTATTTTTAGTAGAGACGGGGTTTCACCGTGTTAGCCAGGATGGTCTTGATTTCCTGACCAAGTGATCTGCCCGCCTCAGCCTCCCAAAGTGTTGGGATTACAGACGTGAGCCACTGCGCCCGGCCTACCCACTACAACTTTCTTTGATTCATGTTAGTGTGGAATATATTTTTAATCTGTGTCTTTATATTTAAACTGTGTTTTTCGCATGTTTATAGCAGCACTGTTCACAATTGCAAAATCATGGAACCAACCCAAATGCCCATCAATGAGTGGATAAAGAAACTTGGTGTGTGTGTGTGTGTATATACATATATATATATATATGATGGAATACTACTCAGCCATAAAAAAGAATAAATTAACGGCACTTGTAGTGACCAGGATGAGATTGGAGACTATGATTCTAAGTGAAGTAACTCAGGAATGGAAAACCAAACATCGTATGTTCTCACTGATATGTGGGAGCTAAGCTATGAGGACACAAAGGCATAAGAATGATACAGTGGACTCTGGGGATTTGGGGGGAAGAATGGGAGGGGGCGAGGGATAAAAGACTACAAATAGGGTGCAGTGTATACCGTTTGGGTGATGTGTGAACCAAAATCTGACAAAGCACCACTAAAGACCTTACTCATGTAACCAAACACTACCTGTACCCCAATAACCTATGGAAAAATTTTTAAAAAATTGTATTTTTATAGGCAGCGTAGTCTTGCCTTTTGGTCCAATATGACAATTTCAAACTTCTGGTTGGAATTTTTAGTCTATTAACATTTACTGTGAGCATGGATATGCTTAGGTTTAAATGTACTCTCTTCCTATTTATTTTCTATTTGTCTCTTTGTTTTCTTTTTCTTCTTATTCTGCTTTCTCTTGGATTAACTAAATACATTTTACTATTTCATTTTATTGCCTTAGTTGAATTATGAGCTTTAACTCCTTGTTTTGTACTTGGGTGATTCTCTTAGGATTTTTACTATGCATCACTAACTTATTCTGGTTAACTTTCAGGTGATATGACACCACTTCATATATATAACAAAAGAATATAAAATAGTATATCCCATTTCCCTCTGCCAGCCTTTGTGCTACTGCTGTCATATATTTTACCTTTCCACATGTTAGAGATTCCACAATACATAATTGTTATGTTTGTTTAAATAGTCAATTATCTTTTAAACTTATTTAATAAGGAAAAGCAATCATCTATGTAATCATTAGTTATTATTTCTGGCGCTCCTGATTTCTTTTTTTTATTTATTTTTATTATTATTTATTTATTTATTTACTTTTTTGAGACGGAGTCTCCCTCTGTCACCCAGGCTGGAGTGCAGTGGTGCCATCTCGGCTCACTGCAAGCTCCGCCTCCCAGGTTCAGGCCATTCTCCTGCCTCAGCCTCCAGAGTAGCTGGGACTACAGGCACCTGCCAGCGCGCCCAGCTAATTTTTTTGTATTGTTAGTAGAGACGGGGTTTCACCGTGTTAGCCAGGATGGTCTCGATCTCCTGACCTCATGATCCGCCCGCCTCGGCCTCCCAAAGTGCTGGGATTACAGGTGTGAGCCACCACGCCCGGCCACTTATTTTTATTTTTATTTTTTATTTTTTTAGATGGAGTCTTGCTCTGTCACCCAGGCTGGAGTGCGGTGGCCTGATCTTGGCTCACTGCAAGCTCCGCCTCCCGGGTTCACATCATTCTCCCACCTCAGCCTCCCGAGTAGCTGGGACCACAGGTGCCCACCACCACAATTGGCTAATTATTTGTATTTTTAGTAGAGACGGGGTTTCACTGTGTTAGCCAGGATGGTCTTGATCTTGTGACCTCGTGATCCGCCCGTCTCGGCGTCCCTAAGTGCTGGGATTACAGGCCTGAGCCACCCCTCCTGGCCGATTTCTTTGTATAGATCCAAATTTCCATCTGGCATCATTTTCCTTCTGTCTGAAGGACTTCCTTTAAGATGTTTTAATAGTATGGTTATGCTGGAATAATGAATTCTTATAGCTTTTGTGTGTCTAAAAATATCTACATTTTGCCTTCACTTTTGAAAGATATTTTTATTGGGTATAGAATTCTGAATGACTTTTTTCTTTTAAAACTATTTCTCTTGTCTTTTTATTTATATTGCCTTTGTCAAGAAACCAGCTGTCATTCTTAACTATGTGCCTCTTATGTATGTCTTTTTTCTCTGGCTGATTTTTAAATTTTCTTTATCACTAGTTTGAGCAACTTCAGTTTGGTTTGCCTTTGTGTAGTTTTATGCCTTGGAGCTCATTGAACTACTTGTGACACTGAGTTTATTGTCTTCATCAATTTTGGAAAATTGTTGGCCATTATTTCTTTCAATATTTTTTTCTTCCCTGCTCTCTTTTGGAGACTTCAGTGTCACGTTAAGGTGCTCAAAATTGTCTCATAGCTCACTGCCCATATTTTTAGTTTTAAAAATCCTTATTTATGTTTTAGTGTGGATAGTTTCTATTGCTATGTCTTCAGGGTCACTGATCTTTTCTTCTGCAATGTCCAACCTCTCATTAATCCCATTCAATTTTCATTGCGGACATTTTAGTTTTTATCTCCAGAAGTTGCATTTGGTCATTTTGTACTTCTAGGTCTCACTTAACTTTTTGAACACATGGAATAAATTTATAATAATAATGTTTTAATGCCATTGTTTGTTAATTCTAACATCTGTGTTAGTTCTGGGTCAGTTTCAACTGAATGATTTTTCTCTTTATTATGAGTCACATTCCTGCCTCTTCTGCTAATTTTTTACTGGATGCGAGATATTGCCTTTTCGGCTACTGGATGGTTTTGAATTGCTACAAGTATTCTTGAACTTTGTTCTGGGACATAATTAAGTTACTTGTAAATAGTTTGATCCATTGAATCTTTCACTTAAGATTTGTTAGGTAGGACAAGAGAAGGGCTAATTTTCATCCATTACTGAGACAAGACCGTTATGAATGCTTTACCCAGTGATCGGTGCCTGGCTCGTGGGAACAGGTACTATTCTTGGCCCTGTGAGCATTGGGTATTATTCCTTCTTATCCTTTAAGATAAGTAAGGATGTTTCCCCATCTTTTGTTTTATGCTGCACAGACATGCACTGATCGGTAGGTACCCAGCTGAACACTGAAGAACTTTCTGCAGATCACTGGGATCTCTCTCATAGTATCTCTCTTTCCCCTCTAATATTCTGGCCTGCAAAGTCCAGCCACCTTCTTCTCCCTGGACTTTCAACCCTGTCTTCTCAATCCAGAGTCTGCTCCTGCTGGTATCCCTCTTCCTGTGCTATGGCCTGGGAGCTGTGATCGGGCAGTAAACTCAAGTAGTTAAAGGGCTCACATCATTTGCTTCCTATCTCCAAGCAAACACTGTCCTTCATGACTGATGTCCGGTGTCTTGAAAAACAGTATGTTATATACTTTATTCACAGAAAGTATGTCTTTTATGACCTAGCCTCAGATGTCACCTTTGTTATATCTTTCTTTCTTTTTCTTTTCTTTTTTTTTTTGTTGAGATGGAATCTCGCTCTGTCGCCCAGGCTGGAGTGCAGTGGTGCAATCTCTGCTCACTGCAAGCTCTGCTTCCCGGGTTCATGCCATTCTCCCACCTCAACCTCCCAAGTAGCTGGGACTACAGGCGCTAACCACCACTCCCAGCTAATTTTTTTGTATTTTTAGTAGAGACGGGGTTTCACCATGTTAGCCAGGATGGTCTTGATCTCCTGACCTCGTGATCTACCCGCCTCGGGCTCCCAAAGTGCTGGAATGACAGGCTTGAGCCACTGTGCCCAGCCACATTTTGTTATTTCTACCATATTCTACTGATTGGAGAGGAGATATTACTGAGGAGATATTACCCAAATAAATAAATATCTGAAAACAAGAATCACTGGAGGCTGGTCACCACACACACATAGTAAATACACCAACTCAGAGAGTGAGAATTAGATTGGGCAGACAGCACGAAGCCAGGAAACAGTGCACAAGAAAGAGTTGAGAGCCCTCAGAAAGAGTTGGGACAGAAATAATTCCATTCTACTCTCTGTTTTCTATAAACACCTGTGTCCCAGTTGAGCTCTCTTCACATTGTTTCACTATTATTTAAGTGCTAGTCTCCTCTATAAATTGAGAATTTCTGGAAAGCAGAAAATATCTCATTCATATTGGGTTCTCCAAGCTTCTCATATCATGCCCAAATGACAGTAGTAGCTTAAATGTGGTTTCTTGAGTGGAATCGAATTAAATAGTGTAGAACAGTAAATTGACTAATATCTATCACGTAGCACTAAATGTTGAGATATGCTAAGGTGGTAGTGGCACAATAAAGGTAATGATGATTTTAAAACACTGACCAGAACCACAAGTTAGGGACAGAGGCCAAGAAGGTCCAATCCAAAGCTGAGACTATTGTGGCAATTCAGGCATAAAATGGTAAGGTTTGGAATACATAGAAGTAAGAAGTGGGAATAAAATGAAAGATGAATCCCACAACCATATGAAGAAAATAATTGATAGGACTTATTGCGAGTTGGGCTTGAAGGGAAGGAAGGGTCAAGATGATTGTAGGGTTTCCAGCTAAGGAGACCTAAAAGTTGTGGTGTCATCAAAAAAGTAACAGTGCTCGGACCTGGATACATCACTCCCCTCCCAAAGTTGTTCTTCCTTTATTTCCTATCTTAATAAACTAAGCTAGAAATCTTGGAATTATTCTTGATTATTTTTCTCCTTCTTACCTATGAATCAAGTTGGTTACTCTTGCAGCTTGGAATTCCCAAGAAGCTGACGCAGATGGAGTTAGTGTGCGGCAGGCTTATTAGGATGTGCTTCTAGGATCAACCCTGTGTAAGGGACGGAATTGAGGCAGGATTAGACAGAGGGAAAAGTGGGGCTCATGTGGACACAATGGCAGCCTTGTGGGGTTTCACAGGGAGGACTGGAGTTAGATGGTCCTTCAGAGTGGCCCTGAATTGGACCAAGTTGACCAAGCCTTCATGCCCTCACATCACTGTCATTGGGCTTTGGGATGGGAAGTGACCTCAGGCAAGAAGCTGTGTGCAACTCAAGCAATCCCTGATGGGACTGGCAGCTGAAGACTGCCTGCTCATGGCATTCTCAGTAACTGGGGCAACAAGTCGTTCACTGATGGGTGTCTGAATGGCATGTTGTGGTGTGCACATCATGACCATCCTCAAGTCTCCATCCCAGCCTCACCAGTTATTTGCAGTTCCCCTTACTTCTTTCCTGAATTGCTGCAACAGGGTCCTAGCTTGTCTCTCTGCTTACTGTCTTCAGCATTCTTTAATCCATTTTCCACACTACTGTTGTGATAATCTTTCTAAATCTAGATATAATCATGCCATTCTTCTCCTCAAAACCATTCAAGAGCATCTCATCACTTGTGGGATTCACAATCTGGACCTCCATCCTAGCTGTACTCTGGCCCTGAAGAACTATGTGGAGTTGGTGCTAGGCTTTCACATGCCATCTGTTTATTTATCCGTCAGATACCTTCCCCCTTGGACCTGACTTTTTGCTTAGCTAACTCCTCTTACCCTGTCTTTCCAGACTCATCTCCTTTATGAAACCTCCATGATTCTGCTACCCTAGGTTAAGTGGCATCCCAATGTGTTATTATAGCCCCCGGTATATGTCTTTTTGTAGCATTTATTACATGATGCTCCAAATGTCTATTTCCAGAGATTCATCTTGTTGAGAGTTGCAGACACAGCACCTAACACATGGCCTGGTGTGTAGGGGGCTCTCAAATGTTTGGACAGTAAATGAGTTAGTCAAACAATTGCTTAAAAATATATTCTCCCATCGGTGGCTCACGCCTGTAATCCCAGCTCTTTGGAAGGCCAAGGCAGGCGGTTCACAAAGTCAGGAGTTTGAGACCAGCCTGGCCAATATGGTGAAACCCCGTCTCAATTAAAAATATAAAAATTAGCCGGGTATAGTGGTGGGCACCTGTAGTCCAAGCTACTCTGGAGGCTGAGGCAGGAGAATCACTTGAACCTGAGAGGCGGAGGTTGCAGTGAGCTTAGATCATGCCACTGCACTCCAGCCCAGGCAACAGAGAGAGACTCTGTCTCAAAAAAAAAAAATGATATTCTCCCAATTTTATTCTCTGGATTACCAACAACCCTCTTTTGGACATCAGCAACAGGGTTTTTAGAAGCAGAAATCAGTCTTTTTTTTAAATGTTTTTCATTATTTATAAGAAATTTTGTGGGTAAATAGTAGTTGTATATATTTATGGGGTACATGAGATGTTTTGATACAGGCATGCAATGTAAAATAATCACATCATGAAGAACAGGGTATTGATCCCCTCAAGCATTTATCCTTTGAGTTACACACAATTCAATTACATTCTTTAAGTTATTTTAAAATATTCATTTGAATTATTATTGACTACCATCATCCAAGTGTGCTATCAAATAGTGGGTCTTATTCATTCTTTCTATTTTTTGCACCAATTAACCACCACAGGAATCAGTCTTGAAACTGAGGTTTGCTTACAGACTAGGTCTGATCTTCGCGTAAAAATATTACCGTCTACCAAGTTTAGCCAAGGAGCTACTTTGGCTCATGATTGAAGATCTTCTCTGTGACTGCTGATTAAGGTACCTAGGGGAGGAATTTGCTCACTGTTCTGACACCAGCGTCTAATTTGCCCTCTGCCCTCTTCCTCTCACAGCGCATGGAGTAAATCCCAGAGCAGAAGTGGGAGGGAATGTGTGTCACCCCCACCCCAACCAGAGCTGCCCATGCAGATGCAGAGCTGTGTGGATGTCATTTTCTGCCACTGGGTTCTGGGTTCTGGGTTTCCAGACTGGGTGAGAAGAGATAGTAAGACTTGGAGGGTCCCCCTGCCCCCGCCCCAGCCCACTGTTTCCCAGACCCCACTGCTTAGTTGGCTTCCTCCCTGAAATGAAAGAGAATCTAGCAGCAACACACAGAGAACCCTCTACGCCACTCATCAGAGTTGTTGACAATCATTTAGTGCTTCCTCACCTATAAATCAGGGTTCTAGATGAGGTTTACACTTCCATCAGCAGTAATCCTGCTCTCATGGGGCCTTCTAGCTTTCCCAGGACATCTACATGCAGGAGCTTAGAGACTGATTATGTGGGTGACAATCGCCTCTCAATAAATCCTCACACCTTATCCATCTGTATTTGTTTAGAATTACTCCAAAAAGAACTCTCAAACAGAATTCCATATTGCCTTAAATACTATTGGCTTTTTGGAAGTCACAAGGACTCTTTGGGAAACTTTAAATAATTTATTTTACAAGGCCATCCTCTGTCCTGGGAGGTTTTCATGTTGAATTCTATTAACAGCTTTTGTCTTCTGTTATAATGCATATATTAACAATTAAAAGCCATTTAAAGTAATTGATTCAATTCACTAAAGCCAACAAATTAATTAACTGATGCATAATTAATCAGAGCAGCAAGGCATCCATTCTTCAGGGACCAGATAGGAAAGCTGTGATTTGTGTGCTCATCAACAGAGTAGATACAGTCAGCTGTGCTCTTGAACCAGATACTGATACAATTGGGGTCATAATTTAAGGGTCGAAGGATGTTCAGCCCACAAAAGGAACTCTCGGCCTTGGCAGCTCTGTTCAACATGAGGCAGTGTTACACCATTGTATTAGTCAGCTTGGGCTGCCATAACAACAAAATGCCTGGCTTACATGACAGACATTTATTGCTCATAGTTCTGAAGGCTGGAAAGTTCAGTATCAAGGTGTCAGCAGATTTGGTTCCTAGTGAGGGCTCTCTTCCTGGATTACAGATGGTCTCCTTCTTGCTATATCCTCACAAGGCAGAGAGAGAGAGAGAGAGCTCTGGTCTCTCTTTCTCTTATTATAAGGTCAATAGTCCTATCATTTCCCACCCACCTATGACCTCATCTAAGCCTGTACATCTCCCAAAGACCCCATCTCCAAATATTATCACACTAGGGGTTAAGGCTTCAACATATACATTTTGTGGGGACACAAACATTCAATTCATAAAAATCATGCTCTGACCAGGTTTTTTTTTTCTTTTTTTTTGAGATGGAGTTTCGCTCTTGTCGCCCAGACTGGAGTGCAATGGCCAGATCTCAGCTCACCACAACCTCCGCCTCCCAGGTTCAAGCAATTCTCTTGCCTCAGCCTCCCAAGTAGCTGGGATTACAGGCATGCACCACCACACCCGGCTAATTTTTGTATATTTAGTAGAGACGGGGTTTCTCCATGTTGGTCAGGCTGGTCTCGAACTCCCAACCTCAGGTGATCCACCCGCCTCAGCCTCCCAAAGTGCTGGGATTACAGGCATGAGCCACTGTGCCTGGCCCTGACCAGGTCTTAAGATAGACACAGAACTATTGCATATCAGAGCTGGGTGATCCTTATAGTCTGTCCTTGTCTGTTCTCAACACATACAGGTTGAATATCTCTTACTCAAAATGCTTGGGACTAGAGTAATTTTGGATTTTTGATTTTTTGGGGGATTTTGGAATCTTTGCATATACATAATGAGATATCTTGGGGAAGAGATCCAACCCTAAACATGAAATTCACTTATTGTTCATCTACACCTTATACACATAGCCTGAAGATAATTATACAGAATATTAAAAAAAAGTTTTGCATTTCCATTGTGTACAATATTACCTTTTTTTTTTTTTTTTGAGACACAGTCTCGCTCTGTCGCCCAGGCAGGAGTGCAGGGGCGCAATCTTGGCTCACTGCAAGCTCCGCCTCCCGGGTTCATGCCATTCTCCTGCTTCAGCCTCCCAAGTAGCTGGAACTACAGGTGCCCGACACCACGCCTGGCTAATTTTTTTTTGTATTTTTAGTAGAGAGGGGTTTCACCGTGTTAGCCAGGATGGTCTCCATCTGCTGACCTCGTGATCCTCCTGCCTCAGCCTCCCAAAGCGCTGGGATTACAGGCGTGAGCCAACGCGCCCGGCCCTGTGTAGAATATTTTCAATAATTTTGTGCATGAAGCAAAGTTTGTGTACATGAGGTGAGGTGTGGGCATTCAGAAAGTTCCAGATTTTGGAGCATTTTGAATTTTGGATTTTCAGATTAGGGAAGCTCAACCTATAACAGTATACTTAAACTGTGATCTGAGGAAGGTGTCTATCTGTAATTTATTTCTGGTCTTTGAGGGAATGAGTCCAGAAATTGACAGTAAGCATTTAGAAACTCTGATGGCAACTTGACAGAGTAATTTTATGATGTCTGCTGTATCTAATATTTAAAATTTGGGGCTTATATTTTTATGCCCTTTTTCATTAAATTTCTCTCATAACTCATTTTTATCATGTTTAAGTTTCAATGGGCAATGGATTATAGATTGTAAAAAAGCAAAGCAAAACAAAAACAATTCGTCTTTCCCACAGATATTTCTCAAAGCACTGCTTTGGATCATTCCAGAAATCTTTCAGCTCAAACCTTGCAAAATACTATCTTGAGCTGAATATGTTCTAGGGGAGATAACATGAGCTCTAATATGCCTTTGCAACTGTGTTAGAAAAGGAGATTTAAGATCCCTCGCATTTTCCTCTGGAGGTGCTACTACGCGTTGCAGAGTTAAATGCGATCTACAGAATAAGATGAACAAAGTGTTATCAAAGCCATGTAAGCTGTAAATAACATAGCTGCACTTATACTCATTTTGAACATGTGCCTACTGAGAGGGTCACGAGTTAACTGTGAAAAGTCACATTATTCTACAATCACCAGCCACAGTTGCACATTTGGGTGCATTAGAGTAAATCACAGTGAATTAATTTCCTGGCTCAGATAACAAGAGTGCCCCAGACCTAGGACCTTCACTTTGGGCTTTTTGGTGAGAAAACAACAGAAAAGAAACCTAAGAGTCATTATTTGGGATTGTGGGATGTTGATAAACGAGTTAGAACAGAAGTAGTTAGCCATTTCCAGCACTTTACTAATAAAAATGGAGAGAGTACAGCTGTTGCTTTCACCTGAAGTGGAATAGACACTTGCTGGGGGCTGACTTTACTTTGTCCTTGGTTTGGGGTAATGAGAATGCCTTCCAGCAAGTTTGCACAAGACATTTCAGGATGTAGGAGCTGTAATCACTTTTATAGCCCCTTGGATGGGATTTAAGGTAGGCTTGTCTTGACAATTTATAGATTTGTTTGTTTGTTTGAGTCTCGCTCTGTCGCCCAGGCTGGAGTGCAGTGGCACAATCTTGGCTCACTGCAAGCTCCACCTCCCAGGTTCACACCATTCTCCTGCCTCAGCCTCCCGAGTATCTGGGACTACAGGCGCCCGCCACCATGCCCAGCTAATTTCTTTTTTGTATTTTTGGTAGAGACGGGGTTTCACCATGTTAGCCAGGATGGTCTCCATCTCCTGACCTTGTGATCCACCCGTCGCAGCCTCCCAAAGCGCTGGGATTACAGGCATGAGCCACCGTGCCCGGCCTCAACAATTTATAGATTATTGTGCATAAACATATAGACCAAGCTTGTCTAACCCACAGCCTGCAGGCCACATGGAGCCCAGGACGACTTTGAACGCGGCCCAACACAAATTTGTAAATTTTAAAACATTATGAGATTTTTTTTTTTTTAGTTCATCAGCTATTGTTAGTGTTTATGTATTTTATATGTGGCCCGGGACAATTCCTCTCCCAGTGTGGCCTAATGAAGCCAAAAGACTGGACATCACATGGGACATTGAAAACCATATGGGACAACTACCCACAAATCCATCCATCACCTCTCATTCCTTGAACTCCTACCATATGCAGGAGCCTTGATTTGGGAGTGAAAAGGTCCATGACTCCACTTTTGTGTGTAAGTGGTCTTTGAAATATGATCTCATGATTTTAAAAAGTAAAACTTGTATTCCAAAAATAAAAGTTGCTTATTGCAAAACAGCTACCATATTGCCTTGTCATAACAGAATAGAAATCACTCACTTGAGATTGTACACGGATCTGTTTAGTTAAATGAATGGAGGCAAACCTAACATACTGAATCAGGAGTGTTATATTTCCAAAAACCAAGTAAGCCACTCAATTTAATGTCCCTGGTGCTTTTGAAATCACTCAAATAGCAATGCAGAAGATCAGTAGTGGAGAAAATCAGAAAGATCTGGGTTCAGCTCCTAACGTCACCACTTTCTAACAATAGAATCTTGAATACTTTATTTGACTTCTCTGAGCCTTGTTTTCCAAATCTGTAAAGTGGATATAATGATACCTATCCTTAAAGGTTAATTAATGGCTAACATTTCTAGAATACTTCTAATATACTAGTCCCTGTGCCAAATATTTACATAGTTTTTTTTTCACTTCCCCTCATAGCAAACCTTCAAAGTTAAATAGTGTGGTGACCTGGAACCCAGATTCAAACACTCAACCATGACAGCTTTAAAGATAAAGTATATAAAGGACTTAGCATAGTGCCTGACATATAGCAGTTTCTTAATAAATGAAGTCATTGGTCTATTACTATTATTGCTACTAATGTGCAATAATAATAGACAAAAGCAACGTAGAGGTGAAAGTGCAGACGCCTGGCCTTTGCCCTGGGGTTTCCCCTCTGCTGAGGAATCTGTGGCTGCTCAGCTTTAAGGGTGCAGGGAGGTGGCCACATTCCTCAGGCCCCAGCCCTGGCCTCAGGCATGAGGCAACAAGGAAAGCAGGTTTACCTTCAGGGCAATCCTTGGGAAAAGAATAATTTTAGGGACAACTAGAAGGCTCCGTGGTCTCTCAAATATCTCTCCTAAGGCCTGGATGCTGCCTAAAACTCATTTCAGGGTAGCCACACCACTCATCCTGCTAGGACAGTAAGAAAGCTCAAATACGCCAATACCCAGGAAAGGGTACACAAAATGTGAGTATAGTTCAGGCAAACAGCATAAAATGATATGAGATCTTAAGAGCTGTGACACTAGAGACTTTTCTCTTTTTTAAAATTTTTTTATTTCCATAGGTTTTTGGGGAACAGGTGGTGTTTGTGGTGTTTGGTTACATGAGTAGGTTCTTTAGTGGTGATTTGTGAGACTGTGGTGCGCCCATCACTCGAGCAGTAAACACTGAACCCAATTTGTCTTCTTTTATCCCTCGCCCCCCCACCCTTTCCCCCTAAGTCCCCAAAGTCCACTGTGTCATTCTTATGCCTTTGCATCCTCATAGCTTAGCTCCCAATTATGAGTGAGAACATGCAGTGTTTGGTTTTCCATTCCTGAGTTACTTCACTTGGAACAGTGGTCTCCAGTCCCATCCAGGTTGCTGTAAATGCCATTAATTCACTCCTTTTGATGGCTGAGTAGTATTCCGTGTGTGTGTGTGTGTATGTGTGTGTATATATGTGTATGTGTGTGTATATATTATGTGTGTTTATACATGTGTATGTGTGTGTGTGTATATATATACATATATATATCACAGTTTCTTTATCCACTTGTTAATTGATGGGCATTTGGGTTGATTCCACATTTTTCCAATTGCAAATTGTGTGACACCAGAGACTTTACAACGCAGGAGAACAATGGTCACCTGGCATGGGTCAGAACGAGATGTTATTGAAAGAAGAGAGGGGAGAGAAATGATGTCGGGGGTGTTACAGTTTTACATCTTGCTGGCATCTCTTGTCTTCATCTGTGTGCAGACAGGTGACATATTGTGAGGAAAGGGAAGAGGCTTCCGGAAGAAGCGTGCCGTGCCTCAGTGCACCTCAGCGGGAACTATGCGGCCACGTTACCCAGCTACGCTCTGCTCCTGTGGGGGCCTGGGTGTATGTGTGGTCCCTGCCCCTCCGCCCTCTCCTCTACCTTTGTACCACATGTGGCATAATGGTTATCACAGGTACCTCCCTGGGTTCTAATCCCAGCTCCCTGCCCTGCAGCTGCCTGAGTTTGGAAGGTGTGTGAGGATGAGAGGATCCCGGCCTCACGCCCCGCTCTGCACCTGGCATGTGGTAAGCAGTTCCCAGACAGTCTTCCCTTAAAGCCCTCCCAGGAGGCTGTTGGGCAAATCAGAAAGAAAGTGTTTGGGGTTTGATATGAGAAAAAATAAACATAGGAACCAAAATCACCCTTTCTCCCCTCTTCTCACCAAGTGGGGTCTCCCCCGCTTGCTCCCCTGCCCAGGACGAAGCTAGGCACTTGAGACATGGAGGGGACCTGGCGAGACTGAGAGAGAATCAGGAAAAAGCACCAGGGAGCCCCTGCCATCAACCCTGCAGTGGCACCACATGAAAACCCAGAATGCCACTCCCCCCGCTTCTCCAGCTCCTCTCCAGCCTGGACTCCCTCAGACTCAAGGGCCATGCGGGGGATTACGGTGGGGGATTGCAGTGTGTCACCAGGCCTGTGACCACACAGGAAATGGCCAGCATAGTCAGGTCACCATCCTGAGCTTTATCCACCTTCACAGGAGCCCAGGCAGCCCTGCTCTGCCCTCCGGCCCTTCCAGTCCCAGGCTGTCCCTGGCTTCTGGTAGGGACTGTAGCATTCTCCACGACACACATTTTACCCACATGGGAAGTGGTTATGCATTTACTGAGATTACACAGTTTCTAAATGTTTGCTTTCTGCTTCATGCAGATTCAAATCAGAGATGTATTTCTTTGACATGAATACAAGTCTTTTAAGACACCAACCTTGCAGGCCAGAAGGAAGGGGTTCCCCCTGCCACACCCTCTCTGTGACCTGGGGGAGTCACCTCTCTCTGCTCTGATTCATGATTTTCTCTGGAGGTAAAATGAGAGGGGTGCAGGACACGATCTTTCAGGACAGCCCCCACTCTAATTCTCCCTGGCATTGGTCAGGACAGTGGTGTCAAATGAAATTCTATTTCCCAGGCCTCAGTTTGCGCATCTGGACACTGAGATGTCACCGCCTTGTGACAATTTACCTAGTATGAATATTAGTGAGCTTGACACTCTCTTTCCAGCTCTCGCTAAGTATCCCTCACACCATGTCCCCATCTCCCCCAAGAAAAAAAGGGAAAAATGAGAGTTTTAACTAGTCTCTGGTGCTGTGTGTAGGCTGAGACTATCTGATGACAAAACCAGGATAGGATGACTCAGTCAATATACATTTAAATTCAGCCAATAAAAAATATTCAGAAAAGCCTGTGGAAGCATCATAGAGTCAACAAATGTCTGCTGGGCCTCTACCATGTGCTAAGGTCCCTTGGATAAATTGAATTAATAGGTTCCTTCTGGAGGAATGTACAGTGTATTATGTGGAGATAAAAGCACCAATCCAAGTCACTCTCATTCAAGGTTAGAGGGGGTAAGTGCCACAAAAGAGATACAAATTAAATACCATAAGAGTGGCCAGGCGCGGTGGCTCACGCCTGTAATCCCAGCACTTTGGGAGGCCGAAATGGGTGGATCACGAGGTCAGGAGATCGAGACCATCCTGGCTAACATGGTGAAACCCGTCTCTACTAAAAATACAGAAACAAAATTAGCCGGGCATGGTGGCGGGCAACTGTAGTCCCAGCTACTCGGGAGGCTGAGGTGGGAGAATGGCATGAACCCAGGAGGTGGAGCTTGCAGTGAGCCGAGATCGCACCACTGCACTCCAGGCTGGGTGACAGAGCAAGATTCTGTCTCAAAAACAAACAAACAAACAAACAAACAAACAAACAAAAAAAAACCATAAGAGCTCAAAGGAGAGGAAGTTACTTGTAGCCAGGGATCAGGCCACCCTGACACCCTAAATCCTCGTGGTAGGGATGGCTTTGTGGAGAAGGGGGCGTGAGGGATGAGCTCTGAGGGAAGGTAGGATGTGGATCTATGAAGGTAAGGGTGGGGTGTGGAGGAAGGGGAGGGGGTCATTCCAGAGGAGAGGCGTGGTGGGAGAAAAGGAAGTCCAGGGGATACCCATGGCAGTGGATGGTGCCATTAGAAGGGCCTGGTCCTGGCCGGGCACGGTGGCTCATGCCTGTAATCCCAGCACTTTGGGAGGCTGAGGTGAGTGGATCACCTGAGGTCAGGAGTTCGAGACCAGCCTGACGAACATGGTGAAACCCCGTCTCTACTAAAAAATACAAAAATTAGCCAGGCATGGTGGTGGGTACCTGTAATCCCAGCTACTCAGGAGGCTGAGGCAGGAGAATCACTTGAACCCGGGAGGCAGAGGTTGCAGTGAGCCGAGATTACACCATTGCACTCCAGCCTGGGTGACAAGAGGGAAACTCCATCTCAAAAACAAACAAACAAACAAAAAAGAAGGGCCTGGTCCTGAGCAACGAGGTTAAAAATGCTGGCTGAGATCTTAGAAAGCCTTGAACTCGGCCGGACATGGTGGCTCACGCCTGTAATCCCAGCACTTTGGGAGGCCGAGGTGGGCAGATCAAGAGGTCAGGAGATGGAGACCATCCTGGCTAACACAGTGAAACCCCGTCTCTACTAAAAATATAAAAATTAGCCGGTCGTGGTGGTGGGCGCCTGTAGTCCCAGCTACTTGGGAGGCTGAGGCAGGAGAATGTCGTGAACCCGGGAGGCGGAGCTTGCAGTGAGCCGAGATTGTGCCACTGCACTCTAGCCTGGGTGACAGAGCGAGACTCCGTCTCAAAAAAAAAAAAAAAAAAAAAGAAAGCTTTGAACTCTAGAACAAATAATGCATGCCCTATTCCTAAGTCATTAGGAGACAGGGTGTTTTGCAGCAGGAAAAGACATGTAGGAATAGAAGAGGGGGGAAGGCAGAGAGAAGGGGCTCTGTGGAGAGAATACTGCACTCATCCAAATGAGACAGGATGGTGGTTGGACTATGGTTCCATTAGCGATGAGAGAGAAAAGGGTTAAAGCAGCAGGACCACACGTCTCTCCAGGTTGCCAGGAGTTGCCCCGGCTTGTGCCTGTTGCTCTGGTCTTATGATTAATAATGCTCTCTTTAACTCTAGTTAAAGGTGACACTGAGTTGGCTAAGCGCAAGGGAGCAGCAGTGAAAAAGAAACAGATTTTGGAGGAAAAACAGTCTGGTTGTGGCTATATTAATTTTGAGGTCCTGTTTGGGCTTCTGATGGAAAAAGGTGACAATAATACAAATGGCCATCATGTGAGTGCTTACTCTGTGCCAAGCACAGTACTGACTCCTTCACTCTTCGCTGTCACCTTATGAAATGGTACTGCTATCCTCCTTGGATAGGTGATGAGACTGTGCAGAGAGTGTCATGTGGTCAGGAAACAGCTGAAAATTCCGGCCTTGCCCTGGGGCAAGGATTCAGAGACAAGGACTGGGGGCCTACCGGCCAAAAAGAGGTGGCCAAGGCCAAGGGGCTCAGTTCTGAGTTGTCATGGCAGGCTGGAGAGTGAAGCAAATGATAGGAACGGAAACAAACATGGAAACAGCAGAAGAAGAGGAGGTCAGGAGACCCAGAGGGAAGGTTCAGCTGGAGGTGGAGAAAACAAAGTAACAGTGTCATGAGAACCCGGCAGGAGAAAAGCTAAGACTCTCACCAAACCTGCGTAGGAGGTGTTTGTTGTGCCTTCCAGGTGGTGATGAGTTAAAACCTGAGTGTTTTTATTACACTGTGTGACTGCTACTGTTTTGAGTACTTGTTTTGCAGACTCTAGGAAATGCAATAGCTGTGAAGTTCCTTTTTTCTCTTGTTAGAAGTAATAAGTTACTCTGCTGGAACTACTGGTATTCCAAAATGTAGAATAGGTTAGAAATGATTTTCTCTTTCAGTTCATTTTATATTCTTCCTCCTTGCTCCTTGAGGAACTTGATCCTTTTATGCTGAACCTATCTTTTGATTCGGGACAGAAATCGAGGATTTCTCAACTTAGGAACTATGGACACTTGGGGCTGAAACATTCTTTTTCTTTTATTTGAACATCATAAGATGTTCAGCAACCTCCCTGGCCTCCACCCACCAGGTGCCAGTAGCAACCCTCCTTCCACAGCTGCGACAATAAAAAATGTCTCCGGACATTGCCCGTTGTCCCTGGGAGCAAAATCTCCCATTTGAGAACCACTGTGATAAGCTCATTAATACGAAGGTGTAGCGACTTAATATGTTATTTCTTCAATGAATCTTTCCCTTTTGCAAGTGGAACTAAGAAGCCACGCAGGCCCGCAGAAATATCAATTTCTTGATTTTTCTGCAGCCCAATGAATCTCTACTTTAAGCTTCCTGATGGCAGAAATACAATCCATATAATGGATAGACTTGGTCATCTTCAGGATTGGATTTGACCAATTCATTTCAGGGTTTCTCCTTGAGTCCTGGGCCATTTGCACAGTGTTGTGACATCAGTCAGGAGGGAGCTGGGCTTCTTGTCACCACCTCCCATATAGCTAGAGGGGAGGCAGCCAGTGTCTACTTCTCTTGTTTCATCTTCGCCTCCTTACCTTCCCTCTTTGCAAGCTTGGAGGAGGGAGGGGGAAAGGAAAGGATCTTGAGCTTAAAAGCCAAGAATCTACTGTCTTTGTTCTCTGGTTCTGCGAGGATAACTTCCCCCTAAGACAGTGATGAATCATTGCTAGCTGCCTGGGTGGAGGAAGGCCCTGGGGCCCAGTGGAGAAATTGCCTGGAAAGAGAACACATGGCTTAATATCCTCCTGCCCTCCTCTCTTGGCACTCCTCTGTCTGCAGGTACCACTGCTCTGGGGATACATACAAAGCAGCAGTTTCCAGGCAGGGCTCCATAAGCCATATGATACTGCACAGGGGCCCTTCATGGATCTCATTCCACCGGGCTTTTGGATGGATAAATACAGGTCATAGGTATGGAACTTAAAAAATCCATTTCTCATCATCAGTCATCAAAACTACATTGAAATACATATTATAAAGCAGCATCTCTTCCACATCTCTACAGACCTGTGGATTACAATGAGAAATCTGGGAAGGTGTGTCAATATGAAGCCGAATGTTACTAAATGTATGTATTTGACCTATAGAGAACAATCATTCCCTTTATACTGGGGACACAGTAAGACAGTGAAAAATAGCACTGCCTTCCCACACCTATATTTAAGAATAAACAGCATCGAGCATTTATCCAGCACTGAAGAGCCTACCTCATATGGTCTTATAATTACCAAGATAACTATCTTTCTTTAACCCTCCACACCTCCTACCCTATCCTTCCTCACAGTGATGAGCTTGCTTCCAATTTCACTGGGAAAATAGAAGCGGTGAGAACAGAGCTCACACAAGCTCCATCTGCCTGTGCCTGTGTTCCTTGTCTCTCTCCTGGTATCTGGAGGAACTGCCCAGGTTCCCAGCAAGACTAGACCCATCCTCATCAGACCCATCTCTTCTCGTCCTTAAGAATTCCTTCATGCAAATGGATGGGCGTGGTGGTGGTTAACGCCTGTAATCCCAGCACTTTGGGAGGCCGAGGCGGGTGGATCACTTGAGATCAGGAGTTCAAGACCAGCCTGGCCAACATGGTGAAACGTCGTCTCTACCAAAAATACAAAAATTAGCCAGGTGTGGTGGTGAGTGCCCAGCTACTTAGGAGACTGAGGCAGGAGAATCACTTGAACCTGGGAGGCGGAGCTTGCAGTGAGCCGAGATCGTGCCACTGCACTCCAACCTGGGTGACAGAGCGAGACTCCATCTCAAAAAAAAAAAAAAAAAAAAAAAAAGAATTCTTTCATGCAATTAATTCTCCTGGAAGTAAATTCACTCTTTCCTGTCTTGTCAGTCTTTTTATTGTTTTTTCCACATCAGAAGAGTAAACAAAATTTATTTTCTTCCATATCAAAGGGGGAAAAAACCCTCTATGGACTTTGTCTTTCCTCCACTACCACTTGCTTTCTCTCCCTCCTCAGGGAGGGAGAAACCCCTCAGCAGGGTTGCTTAGTATTGCCTTCTCTGTTCTTTCATCAACTTGCCTGGTCAGCTTTGTGAGCAAAGGCACCAGGAATCTGCAGTTGCTAAGCCCCAGAGTCAGCACCCACTGCCCAGTCTCAAACATCACTCCCTTCTTCCTGACACTCTCTCTCCACTTGGAATCCAGAATCCCACAGTCTCTTCTCTTCCTCCCATTCTGCCTCGGTCTCCCGGCCATTTCCCTTTTTCTCCCACCTCTGCATATGGCAGAGTCTTTGGATGTGCTCTTGCTGTCTCTTGGAGAGCTCAGCTAGTTTTTTGACTTCAAATGCTCCTACTTACTGGTAACACCCCAAATTTATGTCTCCAGCCTGGACTTCAGACTTCAGTACACATCTACCTGCTTGGAATCTCCATCTGGATGCCTACAGACATCTGAAATGAAAATGCTTCGCCGGGTGCGGTGGCTTACGCCTGTAATCCCAACACTTCTGGAGGCCGAGACGGCCGGATCACAAGGTCAGGAGATCGAGACCATCCTGACTAACACGGTGAAACACCCGTCTCTACTAAAAATACAAAAAAATTAGCCAGGTGTGGCGGCGGGCGCCTGTAGTCCCAGCTACTCGGGGAGGCTGAGGCAGGGGAATGGCGTGAACCCAGGAGGCGGGGCTTGCAGTGAGCCGAGATCCTGCCACTGCACTCCAGCCTGGGTGACTGAGCGAGACTCGTCTCCAAAAAAAAAAAAAAAAAAAAAAAAGAGAGAGAGAGAGAAAAAAGAAAAGAAAATGTCTCAAGCAGAGCTCCTGCTCTCCCCCACCCACCTACCCCACCACTTCAAACCCGCCTCTCTACTTTGTCACCTGAGTGAATTGCAATTCTATCCTGCTGATTGATCAAGCCAAACACCAATGAGCAATTCTTGACTCTCTCCCGTAATCTATTAATACATGAGATCCATTGGCAATTTCTATCAGTTTTACCTTCAAAATTTATCCAAAATCTGAACACTTCTCACTTTCTGCACTGCCACCATCCTGGTGAGCCCACCATCCCGCCATTGACATTGCCCCCTCTCATCTCAATGCAAGAGGTGGGTTTGAATGGAGGTTCAAACTCGCATTAGACCTGTGGTCCTCACACATTTGGTCTCAGAATACTTTCTTCCCTTAGAAGTGAGCGACTGGAGACCCCTAAAAGCTCTTGCCTATGTGGATTATATTTATTGATATTGCTGTATTAGAAATTAAAGCTAATCGCTTCTTGGCCTTTTGGCTAAGATCAAGTGTAAGAAATTAAAGCTGAAGTTTAAAAAATAATTCATTTTAAATAATAATAATAAACCTATTGCATGTTAACATAAGTAAAACAAATTTATAAAAAATAACTCAGCTGGGAGTGGTGGCTCACGCTTGTAATCCCAGCACTTTGGCAGGCCAAGGCGGGTGGATCACAAGGTCAGGAATTCGAGACCATCCTGGCTAACACGGTGAAAACCCGTCTCTACTACAAATACAAAAAATTAGCCAGGCATGATGGCAGGCACCTGTAATCCCAGCCTCTCAGGAGGCTGAGGCAGGAGAATCGCTTGAACCCAGGAGGCGGAGCTTACAGTGAGCCAAGATCGTGCCACTGCACTCCAGCCTGGGCGACAGAGCGAGACTCTGTCTCAAAAAGAAAAAAAAAAACAAAAAAAAACAAAAAAACACTATTTTCCAAAACAAAAAAAAAAACTGAGAAAAGTAGCAGTATATATTTTTGGAGAGCACATTTTGTAAGTTTCTTTAATGTCTGGATTAATAGATGAATTCTCCATTTTCTACTTTGAATCTGTTGCAATATATGTCGTGTAGCCTCTAGAAAACTCAACTGTGTAATTAAGAGAGAATGAGAACAAAAAGGGAAAATCATGTCTTATATTACTATGAAAATAATTTTGACCTCATGGGGATCTCTGAAAAAGTGTCGGGGGCTCCAGGAGTCACCCGATCATGCTTTGAAAAATGCTGGGGTAGAGCACATCACACTTCCGCTCAAAACCCTGCAAAGGCTTCCAGACATAGGATGAATAACAGCCAGTGTCCTGACAGTGGGCTTCAAGAACCCGCATGGCCAGTGCCCTCCCTTCCTCTGTCCCTGGCACAGTGGCCACCCTGTGGGTCCTCGGACATTCTGGGCATGCTCCTGCCTCAGGATCCTTGCACCTTCTGTTCCCTCAGCCTAGTACACTTTTCCTTTGGTATCTTCTTGGCTGGCTCCCTCATCTCATTTCAGGATTTTACTCAGACGTCACCTGTTCAGTGAGGTTTACCTGGATGTCTCTCTAGTACTGCAACACTGCCCCTCCCCCACAGCTCCTTTGATGCTCCCCAACTCCCCCACCTACTTTATTTTTGCCTTAGCATCAATCTCCATCTAACTTACTGCTCATTTTACAATTTATTTTTGTTTACTTCTCCTCCACCTCCAATCACATCCTCACTAGACTGTGGGCACTAGAATGGTACAGTACATAGTAGGCGCTGAATAAAATTAGAAGCATGAATGAGCAAATGAATGTCTACATTCTAGCTGAGGAAGTAGAAACTTAGGGAGGGCACGACTTTCCCTGAGTCACAGAGCTAGTGGATAATACAGCTGAGTCCTGGAGGCGGGTCTGCTGGCTGCAAAGTCTGGGCTCTTTCAACCACACAGCCAAAAATGCAGGCACATGTGCACATTCAATTGCATGATTGAGTTCAGGCTGACTCAGACGTCAGGTGTTTTCAAGGTCTAAAGGTGCACCCCTCTTTGGAATGCCCCTGGCGATGGTGGAATATACTGTCTTCATTCTACAGATGAGGACAGTGACCCAGAGATGTAACTGACTTGCCTAGAGTCACAGGATCCACAGCAGGAGTGAGAACCCCGTGGGGCTTCCTAATCCAGCGCTCCAAGGAAATGCAAGGATATTGGTCATGGGTGACTCAATTTAACCAACAGTAGCTTGGTTAGACAATCTGCCTTTGGATTCATTCATAGTTAATTTCTTCATGTTTGCTTGGATTCATGATGCCATAATTCATGCTGTCTGGTATGGTTTGGCTACAGAGACATGCAATAGGGCATGTATTTTGTGGTTTGGTGACAAATCAGGACACACGTGCAGTGCTGCTGTGAGCCAAGCCAGTTTCCTCAGGGTCAAGGCCTTGGCTGCTGAGCTCAGGTGCAAAACGCCTCTGCTCGAGCTGCTTAGAGCTGTGACCACTGCAAGAACTCACGCACTCCTCAGTGCAGCCATGAGCTGGTGATGACGATTCCAACTCAAGCTTGGAATGTCTAAGTAACTTGATAAAATTTGGAAGCTAGTGAGAAAACCAAGGGCACAACATACATCTTTCTGATTCTAAACTTCCTGCTACTGGCACCTCTTAAAGTAGATTTAATGTGCCTGGCACTCCAAGTTCATAGGAAAAGCAGGAAGAGAGGGCTTAACTCACCCCCACACAGCATCCCTAGGAGGGAGTCATGTTAGACAAGGAGAGGAAGGGAGTAGGCCTTATCTGCTGGCCTTTTCTTATACTTCTCTTCCTGTGTCTTATGTCAGATTTCCTTTCAAATACTCCAGGGGAAAAAAAAAGGTGTGTGTGTGTGTGTGTGTGTGTGTGTGTGTGTGTGCTGGGGAAGGGACTTAGATGAAACAAGATTGACAAAATGTTGATGACTTTGAAGCTAGATAATGGAGCTGTGAGGATTCATTACACTATTCTCTTTATTTTGTGGATGTTCAGAATTTTTCATAATAAAAGGAAAAAGGGAAAGGAGATGCAGCTAAAAAAATGCTAATCCTCTGGTTGTTTATAATCATGAAATACAGGAAGTATTCAAAATATCTAACAATAAGGGATAAATTAAATAAAAAAGCCTGCATCTGATCCATGCATTTAGGTGGCTGTAATAATATAAATGTAATTTGTTGATGCTGAGACTATCCAAATGTGCTAGCCACAAATAAATAGTAATATTTAGGAAAAGATTTATATCAAAATCTCATTTCGATTTTAGGTGCATATTTTTATGTATATGCTTGTGTTTGTATATGCATTGAAAGAGATCTGGAAATAGTAGCTCTTCCTGCGAAGACTTAACTTTATATACTTAGGTAATGTGTAAATTTTCCAAATAAGAGTGAATCACTATTGCAGTTAAAATGTTTGACATTTTCTAAAAGCAGGTCAGAAAATGCCATGTATAATATCATCACATTTTTGTTTTTTATAAAAAGCAAGGAAAAAGAAGAGCATCGGAGTTGGATCCTGGACATAGGATGTGGACCAGAGCACATCAGCTGGGGGCATTCTGGGAGAAAACCTTGGACCTGTCACATTTCTGTTTACCCAGAACACAGAGCTGGGGAGGGGGTTTTAGTGCCCAGTGCAGTGCTGGACTCAGCTGATACTTAACTAAATTTAAAAAGCTCCCCACTACTCTGCCCTGGGAATGTGCATTCCCTGAACAGAGGGGAGAATTGAGTTCATTATTTCCTAGACTGGAAAGCTCTGATGAAAAGGAGATCTCCTTTGAAGAGAGAAAGGCAGCAATGAACAGAACAGCAGGAGGAAGTCAGCTCCTGAGAGTACTGCCGGCATCTGTCTAGTTGACAGCTCTACCAAGTAACAACGTGCAGCACCTTCCAGGGGAGAGGGAGCTGGGGCTGCCGATGCACTTTTACTCAAAGGAAAGGCCAGAGTATAAAGTAAACAACTGCATTAGAATGCCATATGCACTCTGTGCAGGTTAGTTACGCACTCAAGGGGGTTGTAATTGTAGACATAATTGTAGCAGCAGATTCATGGTGTCCGGCTAAATGGAAAATCTGTAATTCAGACCACGAAGTAGGCAGCTGGGTTTGTTGCTTTAGATAACATAAATGTAAGGTCAGATGTGCTACAGTGTGAAGCTCCCAACCGTATCCGTTTGCCATCATGGAGAAGATATGCTAATATGTCAATGCAATACTAATGGGACTCCATGGATTCTATTACTCAAGTGTCTCCAATCAATTAGGGGTTTTAACTTAGTCATACAGACATAAATATCCTTTAATACCAATTAAGGCCACTGTTCATCATCATGATGGCTTTATCATGGTGTGTGTTTTGTTTTGGTTTGGGTTTTTTTTGCTGCTGAAATTTTAACAGGGAGGAAGACAAGACATTCTGGACAGAGTGGAAGATTCCTGGTCCCTCGACCCACACTGGTGTCAAAGAATGAAAATCACTCTCGTGCTGTAAGTGTTCCATCTTCAAGTGCTCCTTAAGTTTGGGGAAGGCGAAAGAATTCAATGGGACAAATATTTTTCAATAACCTATTTTGAGTGAGGAACTCTGCTAGGACCTAGACTTTATTTGTTACACCAAATACATAAATAAATTGAAAGCCCTCATCTTCTGATATGGTTTTCAAAGCTAAATAGCATGGTTATCAGTATTGCTCATTGGTATTAAAAATTACAACCCCTGCTTCAGGATTTAATTGAATCTATGACAAGGAGAAAACTCAATTCCAGAATCATGTTCATATTGCTTCTACTGTCACAACCTTTCCCTTCTTTCCCATATAAAAATCTGCAGCAGGGGACTTTTCTGTTCCAATTGCCCTGCAATGGCATGATCCTCCTTGGGATATGTTGTGTGCAATTTCAGGGAGTTCTCAGAGTCCCTGACACCTTTGTCTGAATCCCAGGTTAAAATAAGTATAAGTGAATACTGTTCATCTGACCATCTATCCAGCCATCTATCCATCCATCCATCCATCCATCCATGCCCCATCCAACCTCCTATCCATCCTGCCACCCATCCATTCATCCAACTATCCATCCATCCATCCATCTCTCCATCCTCCCACCCATCCATTCATCCAACTGTCCATCCATCATCCATCTACCCATCCTCCTATCCATTATCCCATCCACTCAATTCTTCCATCCATCCATCTACCCAACCATCTACCCATCCACCCATCCATCCATCCATCCACCCACCCATCCATTCTCCCATTTATTCATCTACCTGTTCACCTGTGAAACTCATTTTTACCCATCTTAGGAAGTGGAAATTGCCCTGAGACAAGGAAGACATTTGGTAAATCACAACTGACATCACATACATATTTAAATATTTATTAAAACTCATAAGGAGTTATATACATTTCAGATGTTATATAATAAATATTCAGATCAATATGTTCAATGGAATCAATGTTCCAAACATTTGTATTGTATACGTAATCAATAAAAAATGTTAAGCATCCTCAATATATAAAAATACATTCGGCCAGGAGCGGTGGCTCACGCCTGTAATCCCAGCACTTTGGGAGACTGAGGTGAGGGGATCACGAGGTCAGGAGATTGAGACCATCCTGACTAACATGGTGAAACCCCGTCTCTACTAAAAACAAATACAAAAAAATTAGCTAGGCGTGGTGGCCGGTGCCTGTAGTCCCAGCTACTCGGGAGGCTGAGGCAGGAGAATGGTGTGAACCAGGGAAGCGGAGCTTGCAGTGAGCCGAGATCACACCACTGTGCTCCAGCCTGGGCGACAGAGCGGGATTCCATCAAAAAAAAAAAATTCTACATATTTAGATGTATACGTATATAAATGCTAATATGTTATACAAATCATAAAGCATACATAAATCACAAATGTTTGAAGGATGACTTTAAACTAAATGGAAAGTCCTAATATTTTCTGCCCTCACGCTAATGATCATACTGTGTATCTTGGAGGTACACATTTCACCCTAGAGGCCCTGAGTTTGATGTTACTTTTTGCTGCCTGCTTGCATGAGTAGCAAATCCCATATTCTACACTTGAGGAGTTCTAAGAAATAAATACTTCTATTTTCTCCTGGACTCTTTGTTGGAAAGTGATATTTCCCTTGTCCTTTCATGTGAGCAGAGAGTGTTTTCTTGAAATGTATGGGGTGATCAACCTCTTTGTCCTCATAAGTTCAGTTTAACAGGAACTGGACACATTATAGGCAATAGGACAATGCCTCAGCATTCATGGAGCTTGGAGGTTTATCAGGGAGACGAACACACAGATGGTTACGGCAGTGTGCTGAGGGCTGTTTGGGAGCACAGACGAAGGCGCTGTAGGTTGTCCATCCCTGTCCTTCAGCAGATTGATGGTAAGACTCAGGCCACCGCCTAGACTTGCCATCGAGCTGCCTCTAAGAACTGTTGCTTCTTTGTAAACCCCAGTTAAATCACAAATTAGACTTCCGTACCAGAACTCCTATGTTGCATTCCTTGGCCATTTTGAGAGGAGAAACAAGCATATACATACAGAATAAACTAGCCATTCAACTACGTTCCTATAGTTCTTCCATCAATTCACTTACTTTTCCACCATTATCAATGTTGTCATCAACAGCCCACCTCTCTCCACAGTGGGTAGTGGCATCCCTAAACCATTATATCAATTAAAAAAATGAGGAATGGGCCGGGCGCGGTGCCTCTTGCCTGTAATCCCAGCACTTTGGGAGGCCGAGGTGGGGAGATCATCTGAGGTCAGAAGTTTGAGACAAGTCTGGCCAGCATGGCCGAAAACCCCGTCTCTACTAAAAATACAAAAATTAGCTGGGTGTGGTGGCAGACGGTGCCTGTAATCCCAGCTACTCGGGAAGCTGAGAATCACTTGAGCCCAGGAGGCGGAGGTTGCAGTGAGCCAAGATCGTGCCACTGCACTCCAGCCTGGGCGACAGAGTGAGACTCCATCTCAAACAAAAAAAAAATTGAGTAACGGAGACCACCAGAGACTTATGGTAAAGTGAGGGAGTGCAGGAGAGCTTTGTTTCCTCCCACGGAGATAAGAGGAGTGCCCCCCCCCCATTTTATTTGCCCTCACCCACCACAGCGCCTGGGACCTAATAGGATTTCTACCAATGTTGGATGAAGGCAACTGGACATGAGTAGTTCTGGATGTAAGTCAGCTTTTAGGGCAGAAGTGAAAAATTAGGTTGGGGAGACCTACAGACAGCGATGGAGCTTGGAATACTAAAACGAAGATAAGTGACCAGGGTAAGTTTTTGAAGCAAACGTGGGCAATAATGAAAATAATCTTGTCACCTACCTCCACTGGGCGTTCACCATACCCAGAGCACAATACCAATTGCTCTGTCTCGGTAATCTCAATTATCTTCACAGAAGGCTTGGGAATTGGACATTTTCATTTTCATTACTTTATAGATGGAGAAACCAAGGCACAAAGAGGATGAGTAAGTTGGACACTAATAGAGAGCACAGCACCCTTCTACCCCAGCTCCCAAACCCTGCCCATCACATTAGCGCTCCTATCTGGGATTGATGCAGTCAAGCAACATCTGTTAAGAAAAGCCAAAGGAAAGAGATGGAGAAGCTACAGGCTGCTGGGTCACTGTGATGATGGGGAAATAGACAATGCTGGGAGGCGAGTGGTTAGAAACAAGAGAGAGCAAGAGTCTTTCTGCCTGACTGTTTGCTTAAGCAGTCTTTGTGCAGATTCTCCTGGATGTCTGCACATCGCCAGAAAGTCAGGACAACATAAACCCGCAGCAAATTCCCCTCTACGCAGCATGCGTGCAAAGTAAAGCCGCAAATCTGTGCCCACTGCATTTCCCTAGAAGGCTGCAGCCACAGGACAGCGGGCCGTGTTGCTCCTGTAAGGCGTTTTGAATACAAAACAAAATCTGATCATATCTTAATATGTTTTATCCAATTTGACCTTAGCAATGTTCAGCAGTAGAAACATTTGCGGGTGTTGAATGACAGAGCAAATAGTCTATTTAGAGAGCGAGCCAATCAGTCCTTCTCTCAGGAGGTTTGATCCTCCTTCAGTGTTGCTGGAGTGGATCAATGTGGATTTTTACAGCTGCTGAGGGATTGATTTGGAAACACCTTTGCATGCAGTTTAAACAGCAGGGGTGACTTTTTTTTATTTTTGAGAAAATAAAAACAACCTAAATCTTTTTGTTTCCTTTTCATGGGCTCATAGGTCTGAAACCCAGCTTCTTTTTGTTGTACGGGTTCGCTTTGTGCTTCTGGGTGTGACACACACGTGAACATAGCAGATAGCTGAGCCCTACCTTTGGATCTTGGGTGGGTGACAGTGCCTAGTGTGCTCCTAAAAGGCCAAGACCTGGGCCTGCCTTTCTCAAGCCTGCTTCTGCAGAGACACAGAAGCTCCAGTGCAGCCCTGCTTAGAGAAAGGCTTTGCAGGAACTTTTAAAGAGCCAGGCCATCCATGTCATCTGACATCCTCGGTCCTAGCAGGTTGTTTTTCCTACAATCATCCCCACTCCCCATCCCCTGTGGACCTCTGTTCCTTTTATTCACCATTTTCCAGGGTGGTGTCATTTTCCTGCAGAACAAATGGGATTTGATGGGACAGAGGAAGCACTGAAAGTTGTCCCCAGAGAGTCTGACCATAGGGCTATAGTGTTGAAAGCAGGGACTATGAACAAAGACCTGGATCCAGTCGTAGCTCTGATCTGTATCCATGTAGGACCCTGGGCATGTCATTTAGCCTCTCTGAACCTAAGTGTCTTCATGTGTCAAATGAGGAAAATAATAATATCTTGCTGGTACTCAGGCCTTTTTTTGTTACAAGAGACAGAGAATCTACTCAAAATTGCTTAACCAGAAATGGGGCATTGGCTCCTATACTACAAGGGCAGGGGTGGAGCTTAGGGCACACGCACCTCGGGTTTGAATCTGTCCTGTCTTCCTCCTTGTCATGTTACCTCATTCTCTCTGACTGTGTCATGCACATCACTAAGGCCAAGGCCACAGGGAACTCACATCCAGGCAACTGTGGGCCTGGGAGACAGAAGGGGCGTGTTCCCTCCAGGGCCAGCCAGAAAGTGCCCACAGCGGGGCTCTGATTGGGTTTGCTGTGGCCCCAATCCCATCCCTGAATCAAGCACTGGACAGGGCTGTGGCATAATTTAATGGGCCCAAATTCTCCCATGGAAGGATGTGGGGGAGGTGTGGTGAGTCAGCAAAGACTTGAGTCACCATGTCACCTCACCGCATCATGGTCCAGGTAGAATGCACGTGTACAGAAAGCACCCAGGCGTATTGCCCAGTGCAGAGGAGTCACTCCAGGACTGGTAGCTTATTCAAGGGGCAGGGGCCGGCCTAGGGATGCTGCTGCTGGGGATCTCCTGGGAGCTGGGGGTCGGTGTTTGTAGCTGGAGAGGAGCTGGAGGGTGTTACCTGGATGTGGTCTCGGGCAGCTGATGAAGCTGCACCTGGGCCCATGGACTGCTGTGGGAGTCTGTGGACACTTGTACATGCTCACCCACATACACTCACTTTCACACTAACACTGTTACATGCACTCACACACAGACACAGGCCCTTACACACTCACATGTGCTTGTACATACACTTGTGCATGCTCATACACATGCACACACCTGCACACACTCATGTACCTGCTTGCACACACACTTGCACACACATGCTCAAACCCAGCCCCTCCACACCAGACTGCACTGGGTTGCTGAGGCAGGGAAGGGGTCCTCTGGGAGTGGGGAGCATCCCCCTGAGGGCATCCCAGATGATAGGTATTTGTTGAGATTTTGCTAGGAAAGAGACACACCTTAATGGGTGACTGAGGGGCCTTTTATGACAGGACTGCTTACAACAGCAGGGGCCCAATGTAGGAAAGCCAGGAAGATGAGCTGGAGCACACAGGGCTAAGTCACAGCAGAGCAGGATGCCATCCTCAGGCCTGTGGGGGCGTGGGAGGGACTGCTGGCTGTGGGAGAGGGCTGTCCCACAGGAGCTGGGGCTTTGGCAGAAGCAAGGAAGAAATCCCCCTGACCTCACTCTCCCACCCTCTGAGCTCTTGCCGCTGCCATCCATTGGTCCAACCCAGCTGGCCCCAGTGGGAGGTTGAGATGGCCCATGCTGGTGGCTCCCAGAGCTCAGAGCAGGATGGGGAAGGTGGAAAGGGCATCCTAAGAGCAAAGGGAAAATAGCTGACACCACATGCAGGGGGAGTACTCCAGGGAATGAATGGGAGTCTCTCCCGACAGTCCCCAGGGTCAGAGGGATGTCCCAATGCCACCAGAATCGAATCCCTAGATATGCAGCTAGTTCAGTAGACTGCTCTCCCTTCACCCCGTAGCCCTGGGCCCTGTGGGGTCAGGGGTTAAAGGATAGAGCCAACTGCTTGAATCCCCCTCTGCTGTGTGACTTTGGGCCAAAGCTAACCTTTAGGGGCCTCAGCTTTCTTCTCTGTGAAATGGGGATAATCCTACCTCATAGGATTATGATAAGGATTTAGATAACACACGCAAAGCTCCCAGGACAGTGCTGGTAGATGTTCCCTATACTCTAGCTATTACTATTAGGTTTAAAGGGAAGTGACTTGGCAAGTAAATCCATGTTGAACATTTGTATGGCTTCAAAAATGCAAGGGAAACCTTCCTCTGTGGGCTCAATACACAAGAGCTTTCATGTAACATTTTGACCATGGATATAGTGCCTGAAACCAGCCTCTCTAACTTTCTTCTCTCCTTTTTTGACCACAGGCACAAAACTCCTTGGTGCTTTCTTGTTCTTTCTTTCTTTATTTTTGATGGAGTCTTGTGCTATTACCCAGGCTGGAGTGCAGTGGCGCAATCTCAGCTCACTGCAACCTCCACCTCCTGCGTTCAAGCCATTCTCCTGCCTCAGCCTCCCAGGTAGCTGGGATTGCAGGCATGTGCCACTACAGCCGGCTAATTTTTGTATTTTTCATACAGACAGGGTTTCACTGTGTTAGCCAGGCTGGTCTTGAACTCCTGACCTCAAGTAGTCTGCCCGCCTCAGCCTCCCAAAGTGCTGGGATTACAGGCGTGAGCCACCGTGCCCGACCACTTTTTTATTCTAACATGAAGCACTTACTGGTCGTCCATCATGGATATAGTAATGTAAAGATGAATTATACAGTCATAGGACTTCAAGCTGGAAAGAATATTGGAGATTATTTCATCAGTCTCCTATTCACAGTGAGAAACAGGCCCAGAGGAGTTGAAGGATAGCACAGGGCAGCACTCAGCTCTTTCCAGCCTTGATGATCTTCCCGTCCAGACCTCTTCTTGGTCTGGAATATTCCCTTATGGTGCAGGGGCTCCCACCCCTGACTGACCAGCAGAGGCACTTCGGGATCTTATTAAAGATTCATGAGCCTACCTGTGAAGATCTGGATTTTCCAGGTCTGGGTCCAGCCTAGGAAGCTGGATTTTGATCAATTGCCCCAGGAGTTTCTGATGCTCAGTCAGGTGTGTGAACCAACATAATGAAGCCCACGTAGGACATAGAAGGACTATGTAGACATGGAATAATGGAAAGAGCACCCAAGTTCTCACTGGCTTGGAGGAGGGCAACTGGTTGTCCTTTCAGATGGATTTTATGGCTTTTTCCAGTCTAAACTCAGGGCGTTTTGGTACAGGCTCTCATCAACTTCACATCACACCCCAACATTCTTTGGGGTTTTTTTTGTTTGTGTGTTTGTTTGTTTCTTTTTTTGAGACGGAGTCTCGCTCAGTCACCCAGGCTGGAGTGCAGTGGCGCCATCTCAGCTCTCTGCAAGCTCTGCCTCCTGGGTTCAGGCCATTCTCCTGCTTCAGCCTCCCCAGTAGCTGGGAATACAGGTGCCCGCCACCACGCCCAGCTAATTTTTTGTATTTTTAGTAGAGATGGGGTTTCACCGTGTTAGCCAGGATGGTCTCGATCTCCTGACCTCGTGATCTACCCATCTCGGCCTCCCAAAGTGCTGGGATTACAGGCTTGAGCCAACGTGCCTGGCCCATTCTTTGATTTAACTGTTGTCTTTTTCTAGAACAATATCATGGGCTAGTTGTCCACCAAGAATAATTGTAGCCACACTACTTTGGCATAAACTAGAGGTTGAGTTACTCTGCATTATGGCTTATGGCTAAAGGTTGCATAATTTAGGAATTATGTTGTCATCCTTTACCTCAATAGTTCCACTCTCCTTGGAGAAGCTGGGAGGTTCTCTCATATTTAAGGTATGTGTTTCTTTCTGAAGACAGGGTCTTGCTTTTTCACCCAGGCTGGAATGCAGTGGCGTGATCACAGGTCACTTCAGCCTCAACTTATTTGGCTCAAGCCTTCCTCCTGCACAGCCTCTCAAGTAGCTGAAACTACAGCTGTGGACTATCATGCCTGGCTAATTTTTTTTTTTTTGAGATGGATTTTTGCTCTTGTGCAGGCTGGAGTGCAATGGCGTGATCTCAGCTCCCTGCAACCTCCGCCTCCCAGGTTCAAGCAATTCTCCTGCCTCAGCCTCCCGAGTAGCTGGGATTACAGGCATGCACCACCACTCCTAGCTATTTTTTTTTTTTTTGTATTTTTAGTAGAGATGGGGTTTCTCCATATTGGTCAGGCTGGTCTCGAATTCCAGACCTCAGGTGATCCGCCCACCTCGGCCTCCCAAAGTGCTGGGATTACAGGGGTGAGCCACCGTGCCTGGCCCATGCCTGGCTCATTTTTTATTTTATTTTTGTAGCAATGAGGTCTCACTATGTTGCCCTGGCTGGTTTTGAACTCCTGAGCTTAAGGGATCTTCCTGCCTCGGCCTCCCAAAATGCTGGGATTACAGGTGTGAGCCACCGGGCTGGCTGACGTGAATGTTAGCCCCATCTTTTACAACACCTAATAGAGAAATACCATGTGACCTCTGATCCTGTCCCCCATTCCCACCCCCAGGCTGCTCCGGTTCTATCCCAATCTGGGGAGTGTTAAATGTCCTCTTTTAAAAATGCAAATCAGATTGAATCATTCCCTGGCATGGCATCCCCTATTCCTTATCAAGACACACAAGCTGCTATGCTAAATTCACCTCTCTTGCCCTGTGCTCATTTTATTCTGGCCACAGGAGGCTTTCTTGAACTTGAACTTGCCAAGCCTGCACTTGCCTAGAGCAGAGATCGTGTGGATTGTCTTACATACATAGTGCAGGTGATTATTCCAGGCCATTCCAAGTAAAGTTGACCCTTCAACAACATGGGTTGGAATTACATGGGTCTACTTACTTATACTCGGATTTTTTTCAATAAATATATTGAAAAAATTTTGGAGATTTGTGACAATTTGAAAAAAACTCACAGGTAGATAAACTGCATGGCCTAGAAATAACAAAAAAAAAAAGGAAAAACTGGGTATGTCATGAGTTCATATAATATATGTAGATACTAGTTTATCATTTACTATCATAAAATGTACATCTATTATAAAAAGTTAAAATTTATCAAAACTTACACACACAAACACAAACTGTACGTGGAACAATTCACAGTCAAGAGAAATGTACACAAATATAAAGATGCAGTATTCAATCATAATTGCATAAAACTCAATGTAGTACACACTGTATGGCTGTGATAAATCAGTAGTCATGTCTTGTTGCTGTTCCGGTGAGCTCAAGTGCTGTGGGTACCCGCTTAAAATGCTGTGTGACAGTAACCATCTCCATGTGAGCAGTTCATCCATCCAGTAAATTGCTTATTGTAGTAAAAAGACCTCTTGCAGCTCTTGTGTATTTTTCATCATGGTGCAATACCAAAAACCTTGTGTAACACCATGGGACCCAAATAAAGTGCCAGTAGTGATGCTGGAAGTGCCCCATGAAGCAGAGAAAAGTCAAAACATTGTAGAAAAAATTGAATTGCTTGATATGCACTGTAGATTGAGGTCTGCAGCTGCAGTTGCCCGCCATTTCAAGATAAATGAATCCAGAATAAGGAACGCTGTAAAAAAAAGAAAAGGAAATTCCTGAAGCTACTGTTGCAGCTCTGCCAGCAGGCATGAAAACTTTGCACTTTTGGTGAAATACCTTTTTATCTTGTATTGAAAATGCAGCTTTTATATGGGTACAGGATTGCTGTAAGAAAGGCATTCCCATAGATTCTAATATGATTTGAGAAAAAGAGAAGTCATTATATGATAACTTAAAGAAAAAGGAAGGTGAAGGATCTAAAGCTGGAGGATTGAATGCCAGCAAAGGATGGTTTGATAATTTTAGAAAGAGATTTGGCTTTTTAAAAATGTCAAGATAACAGGAGAAGCAGTTTTTGCTGACCAAGAGGCAGCAGATGAGTTCCCGGATGCAATTATCATTGAGGAGAAAAGATACCTGCTTGAACAGGTTTTTAATGCAGACAAAAGTGCCCTATTCTGGGGACAAAAATGCCACAAAGCACATTTATTAGTAAGGAAGATAATCCGGCACCAGGATTCAGGCAGGAAGGGATAGGCTAACTCTACTGTTCTTTGCAAATGCAGTTGGTTTTATGATCAGGACTGTCCTTATCTATAAAGTAGCTAACCCCAGAGCCTTGAAGGGAAAAGATAAACACTACCTGCTAGTCTTTGGCTGTACAAAAAGAAGACCTGGACAAAAGGAATCTGGATTGGTTTCATGAATACTTTGTCTCTGAAGTCAGAAAGTATTTTGCTAGTAAGAGATTGCCTTTTAAAGTTTTTTTTGATATTGGACAATGCCCCTGGCCACCCAGAACCCCATGAGTTCAACCCTGAAGATATTGAAGTGGTCTACTTGCCCCCAAATGCAACATCTCATGTCAGACTCTAAATCAGGGAGCCATGAAGACCTTTAAAACTTATTACACATGGCACTTTATGGAAAGGATGTCAACACTATGGAGGAAAACCCCAACAGAAAGAACATCTTGCGAGTCTGGAAGGATTACACCACTGAAGGTGTCGTTGTTGTAGAAAAAGCATGAACGCCATCAAGCCCAAAACAATTAATTCCTGTTGGAGAAAACTGTTTCCAGATGTTGTGCATGGTTTCATAGGATTTTTGACAAAGTCAATCAAGGAAATCATGAAAGACATTGCGGGTATGGCTTAAAAAAGTAGCAGAGAAAGTGTTTCCCCATGTGGATCTTGGAGAAATTCAAGTGCTAATAGATAAAACACCAGAGGAATGAACACAAGGCAACTTAACGGAGATGAGTGCTTCCAAACCAGCGCTAAGCTATGAGGAAGAAGGTTTAGGAGAAACGGTGCCAGAAAAAAATTGATATGAGACAATCTGGCAGAAGGGTTTTGATTATTCAAGACTCCTTTTGACTTATCTTACAACACAGACCCTTCCATGATATGGGCACTGAAACTAAAGCAAACAATGGAATAAGGATTGGTATCATACTGAAACATTTTTAGATAAATAAAAAAGCAAAAAAGATAGAAATGACAACGTTATTTCCATAAAGTTATGCCGAGTGTGCCTGCCTCTCCTGCCTCCCCTTCCATCTCGTCTACGTGCTCCAACTCTGCCATCCCTGAGATAGCAAGACCAACCTCTCCTCTTCCTCCTCCTCAGCCTACTTAACATGAAGATGTTGAGGATGAAGACCTTTATAATGGTCCATTTCCATTTGATGAATAATAAATATATTTTCTCTTCCTTATGATTTTCTTAATAACACTCTTTCTCTAGCTAACTTTATTGTAAGAATACAGTATATAATACACATAAAATACAAAACGTGTCAATTGACTATCTAGGCTTCCTGTCAAGAATAGACTATTAGTAGTGAAGTTTGGGAGGAGTAAAAATTTATTGAATTTTTGGCTGTGCAGGGTATCGGTGCCCCTAGCCCCCAAGTTGTTCAACGGTCAAGTATAATTCCATTTCCCTGGTCAGTCATTGGCTCAGAAGTGGACAAGCCTAAACCAAGCTGGGCTGGCGAGAAGGAAGGGGAATTCAGCAGGGGAGCATCTAGGAAGAGCTTCCTCACTGCTAAGGGGTGGGGAGAGGGTCTCATAGAGGTGCCCTATCCTGCTGGATACCAAGAGTGGGTATCAGTGATGAAAATGGCCAAGTAGAAAGACAGACCACATCATATTGCTAAGCTGCTAAATCAACCAACCCTGATGGTGGTCATATTTCTGAACTTCCTGTTATGTGAGATGATAAATGTCCTTATTATTAAAGGCATTATTTTTCTTCAGTAGAGATTTTTGCTTATAACCAAAAGCATCTAAAGTGTTTGCTGCTTTTCTCTCTGCCTTCCCATGATCCACTTATTATCATGATTCAGAATTCCCCTTTTCAGTTAGGCTATCTCTGTCTTATTTAAAACAGCAGCCCCTGCCCCTGATACAAATTGCCCTGGGACTTCTTTTTATGTCTTTCTTAGTGCCTGTGATGGTTAATTTTAGGTGTCAACTGGACTGGATTAAGGAATACCTAGAGAACTGCTAAAGCATTACCTTGGGTGCGTCCATGAGGGTGTTTCCAGAGGAGACTGGTCAGTGAACTGAGTGGGGAAGATCTGCCTCAGCATGAACAGCACCATCCAACCAGCTGGGGACCCAGATAAAACAAAAAACGGAGAGAAAAGGATGTTCTCCTTCTCTCTCCTGAAGCTGAAACATGCCCCACCTCCTACCCTTGGACATCAGAACTCCAGGCTCTCTGGCTTTGGGATTCCAGCATTTATATCAGTGGCCCCCAGGTTCATAGGCCTTCAGCCTCTCACTGAGAGTTATGTCCTTGTAACTCTGTGATTGCAGAATCAGCATCCCTGATTCTGAGGCTTTGGAGTTAGACTGAGCCACACTACTGGCATCCTAGGGTCTCCAACTTGCAGAAGATAACCTGTCATAAGATTTCCCAGCCTCCATAGTTGTGTGAACCAATTCCCCTAATAAATTCCCTCTCATCTACCTATAAATCTATCTCTCTATCTACCTACCTACCTATCCATCCACACTACTGTTTCTGTCTCTCTGGAGAACCCCGACTAGCACAGCGCCTATCATCATGTTAAATTATATTATTTGTTGTTTATTCAGTGTTTATCTCCCTGACTAGATGTAAACTCCATAAGGGTAGACACTTTCTCCTGTTCACCACTGAACAGGCGACACTCTATCCCCCACACTGAAACAGTGGCTAGCATGTAGTAGGTGCTCAATAAATATTTGTTGGGTTTTTTTCTAAATAAACATTCCTTGGTGGATAGAGGATTCTGCCTGGTGCTTCCTGTGGACCAGGGCATGAGAGAATACAGGAAGCTTGGGGTATTTCTTCCCTATTCTGAAGGGCATTCAGAGGCTAATTGGATGTTTCATGAATATTTACTGAAAACAATAAAAATACAGAGCAATGCGCTATAAAATATTTCAACATATGTATTAGTTAGTGTTTCTCAAACTTCAAACCCAGGCTTCCTTTAATTACTATAGAAATCTGCCAGCACAGCCCATCTTTAGGAAATGTCTGGCATCCCCCACGGGTTTGGGCCCTTCCTAGGAACCACTGTGTCTCCTGCACATTCAACCAGGAGCCAAGAAGTTTTCTTCGATGTTTACTTTGGGTTGTTTGCATTATAAATCTAATAGACGTCCCCAGCACTCTCTTTCCCTTCCATGCTTCAGATACATAATTGGGTTAAGAACCACTAATTTTCAAGCAAGCATATGTTTGCGTGCATTTTAGGAGTAATGTTATTTTCCAGTTTGGTTCAGGATCAAAATTGCCTTAGCCTCCCAGAGAACGTTGCCATCGAGTGCAAGAATGTCAGTGACCCTTTATGGACAGCTTACAGAACGCCAGGCAGTGGCACTGTGTGTAGCTCTTTAACTGTTTTATCTGATTTCTTTTTTTTTTTTTTTTTGAGGTGGAGTCCGGCTCTGTCACCCAGCCTGCAGTGCAGTGGCGCGATCTCGGCTCACTGCAAACTCTGCCTCCCGGGTTCAAATGATTCTCCTGCCTCAGCCTCCTGAGTAGCTGGGATTACAGGTGTGTGCCACCACGCCCAGCTAATTTTTGTATTTTTAGTAGAGATGCGGTTTCACCATGTTGGTCAGGCTGGTCTTGAACTCCTGGCCTTGTGATCCGCCTGCCTTGGCTTCCCAAAGTGCTGGGACTATAGGCGTGAGCCACTGTGCCAGGCCCTAATCTGATTTCATCCTTAGTCAGTTCGGGCTGCTGTAACAAAGTGCCATGGACAGGGTGGCTTAGAACGGAAATCTATTTCCCACAGTTCTGGAGCCTGGAAGTCCAAGATCAGGTGCCCCCATGGTCAGGTTTTTTCTTTCGGGCTGCAGACTGCTGTCTTTTCATTGTGTCCTCACCTGGTGGAAAGAGTGCCAGAGAGCTCTCTGGGACCCCTTTGACAAAGGCACTAATCCCATTCATGAGGGCTCCAGCCTCGTGCCCTTATTACTTTCTGCAGGCTGCACTTGCTAATACTATCACATGAGGGATTAGGATTTCCACATGTGAGTCTGGGAGAGACACCAACATTCAGTCCATAGCAGTCCCCTAAAGAATCAAAGGATCTAGAACTAGAAATACCATTTGACCCAGCCATCCCATTACTGGGTATATACCCAAATGACTATAAATCATGCTGCTATAAAGACACATGCACACGTATGTTTATTGCGGCATTATTCACAATAGCAAAGACTTGGAACCAACCCAAATGTCCAACAATGATAGACTGGATTAAGAAAATGTGACACATATACACCATGGAATACTATGCAGCCATAAAAAATGATGAGTTCATGTCCTTTGTAGGGACATGGATGAAATTGGAAATCATCATTCTCAGTAAACTATCGCAAGAACAAAAAACCAAACACCGCATATTCTCACTCATAGGTGGGAATTGAACAATGAGATCACATGGACACAGGAAGGGGAATATCACACTCTGGGGACTGTGGTGGGGTGGGGGGAGCGGGGAGGGATAGCATCGGGAGATATACCTAATGCCAGATGACGAGTTAGTGGGTGCAGCGCACCAGCATGGCACATGTATACATGTGTAACTAACCTGCACAATGTGCACATGTACCCTAAAACTTAAAGTATAATTAAAAAAAAAAAAGAATCAAATGAGGTGGGGAACAATATTCTAGATGAGGAAGTGAGGGTTAGGCAGATGCTGGCTAACTAGGCAAGGCCAGGCATGTCCCGGTCCTGAACCGGCACTCTGAACCATTTCTTTGTCGCTCAGTATCCTATCGAAGCCCATGCGGCCTCCAGTGTCCCTGGGACAGCGTGGAACCACCCTCTGGAGCGAAAGGAGTGACCAGGACCTCTACTCCCCTGTCTCATGCCTAATACACAGCCCTTGGCAGGAGGCAGCTGCAGCCAGCAGCTTCTGGCCCTGCGGTGGGGGTCTCCAGGGAGACGTGCAGCAGGCCCCCTTGGAGGGTGACAGCACTATAGTTGAGATAAGAAATAATGCAATTCTCCAGGCAGAGCTGCAGTCTTCTAGCCCATATAAATGATTCCTTTAGTGATTTTGCCAAGGATTGTGTTATGTGTGCTTGGGGAACCAACATAGCCTGAGAAACCGTCAATATTTCTGGAGAAGGGCAAGTGTAATCAGTCAAGCATTCCAGAAAAAATGTAGTCAATGATTTTAACAGCAAGTGGTTTTGACTATGAAAAGATTCAACTATGGGATTTTTTTGTTTTTTTCTTTTTCCCCAAGAATCACTCTGAGCAATTTCTTAAAGAATTAAAATGAAATGTTTCTCGGGTAACAAATCACCCAGTCTTACAGCTTGGAGCTTTATCACTCTCCAGCTAATGGGTCTGAAGAGAGATTTCAGAAGATTCTCGAGACTGCCGTAGAGCCCTTGCTGGCAGGAACACAGGGAGCTGCTGTGAGGACGTTACTGTTTTGGTTACAAGTTAGAAACAAGGAGAGGACTAATGGCACAGAGGACGAGAGAGTAGGAGTGCTTCCATCAAACCAGCGCAGGGCCTAGGTGCTCTCAGGGGCCAACTGGCTGATTAGGGGCTGTGGGCAAGAGTGGGCACAGCCAGGCCCTTAATGTACACACTCCACTAATATCTCCCTCTGTTACTCATCCAGATTTGGCTTGGTTTCTATAGTGGCTGTCTTATTATGGGGTCATTGGTCATTTTATGAAGAGCCAAAAGTGGATATCCATCCTAGAAGTGACATTTTCTTTGGAAAATAGAGTATAATGATTTACTACCAGGTTACTGAGTTTTGGAGACTGGCTTAAATTTGCAGTCCTAGGGAAACATTACTGACAGAGCCTTGCCAGTTTCTGAAAAATATCCACTAATGCTCTTGCCGTGGGAATTATCTTTGATGGGGAGAGAAGAGAAGGGTAAGCCAGGCTAAGAACAGAGCCAAAGGACACCCAGTGGGACTGAGGAAGTTACGACAAGCCCGCCATGGTTTGAAAGGAGGGGCAATTGGCTTTGACCTTGACTGAGCTGTCTCAGGCATCCGCAAGAAGGTTGCCCATTGTGAGCCCTGCTTGGAGTAAGTTCTGGCTTCCATGGCTTCACAGTGACCTGCATGTCTCTTGCATCCATCCTAGGTCTTGTCACACCTGTCATAGGCCACACCAGAATCAACAGCCAGTTCCAAGTTCCAAGTTCCAAGTTCCTGCCCTCTCGTAGCACCCAGATCTTCCCACAATAAGCTTACAGACTCCTATGTGCAGTTTACCCCCATGCCTCCAGCTTCCTAGCTTTCTGTAGGCCTCTTGTTCTTCCCTAATCTGTCTAGGCCCCACAGTTGATTATAAATCCTCTATTTCACCAAGACACTCCACCCCCTTTTGCCCTGTCTTGCAGACCCCTAGTCCTAGAGCATCACCACAATCTGTTTTCCCTTCCATATCAGTTGACCCTACAATTGGCTGTGTGTAATAAAAGCTGACATCAGTGGCTTCATTAAATGGAGGTTTTATTTTATTCCCCCATAAAAGAAATCTACAGGGCTAACAAGTATACATAGAATGCTCCCAACAGGCTCTTTCTCTTCATTCAGTCTTTGTTAGCATGTGGCTTTTGTCTTCATGCTTGTTGCCTCCTGGTCACCATGTGGCTGCTTCACCTCCAGCACTGCATCTGCATTCCAGGCAGGAAAGGGGAAGGAAGGGTAAAGGGCAAAGGGCATGTGCCAGCTGAGCATTCCCACAAACAAAACACAAACCAATTTAAAAGAAAATCTTTTCTGGAAAGACAAGCTAAGGACTTCTGTGTCCACCCCATTGGCCAGAACTCTGACACAGGCCTTCCCTGGATGCAAGAGAGGCTGAGACACGTAGAAGTTTGGGCTGGTCACATCGCCTCTCCAAACAGAAGGAAAGAAAGAGGGTGGGTGGAGCTGGGCTAGGCGGCCAGCCATCTCTGCTCTCCTCCCTCCCAGTCTGCAGCATAAAACAGCCACAGCAAATGCACGGGCTCCTGCCTGGCCCCTCAATCACTGCCTTCAGAGGCTGCCCACACCTCACTGTTGCCCTCAAGGCCCCTGCCCAAGCCCATCCACTTCATTATTCCTCTTTTGACAAGAACATCCAACCACCAGGTTAGGCCCCGCATGTGAACACACTGACGTCTTCTTTCCTAATGTCTCAGTGGATGAGTTCCCCTTTGCCACCTGCTCCGTCCGAGCTTCCACCTCCCACTCCTCGTGGACTTTGTTCCACTCATCATCAGCTGGCACGCCCATTGCCAGCTTCTTCCTCTCTACCAGCAGTTTTCCCACAGCCTATCAGCAGGATAATAGAATCTGTATCTTGTTGTGAAGATGACCTGAATTAATAAGGATTGGTGTTACAATGATGATTATTCTAAAAAATAAAGCAAAACAACAAAAACAGCCTTTAACCCTTTCTATGTCCATCTGCCTATGGAATCCAGTCGCTTGACCATCCCAGAAACACCCAGCTTTGACACGTTCTAAACCAAGGTCCTCTTCCTTCTCCGGCTCATTCATTGTTTTGGTGGATGGGACTCAAACCAGAACCCGAGGCCTATCCCAGCTCTTTCCTCTCCCACTCTGTCCCAACCCAGAAGTCATGAAATTGGTTGACTGAATCTCCTAAAGATTTTGGAGTTTGTCCCTTCCCTCTGTTCCTATACTCCCAGCCAGGTGGATCTAACAGCATCCCGTGTGAACTCCCTGGTGTGGGGCCTGCTCCCCTCAAATCTCCTCCACATCACTACCTGGGCACAATGTAAAACTCAGACCTGGCTGGGCGTGGTGGCTCACGCCTGTAATCCCAGCACTTTGGGAGGCCGAGGTGGGTGGATCATGAGGTCAGGAGATCGAGACCATCCTGGCTAACATGGTGAAACCCTGTCTCTATTAAAAATAAACAAATTAGCTGGATATGGTGGTGGGTGCCTGTAATCCCAGCTACTTAGGAGGCTGAGGCAGGAGAATCGCTTGAACCTGGGATGCAGAGGTTGCAGTGAGCCGAGATCATGCCACTGCACTTCAGCCTGGGTGACAGAGTGAGACTCTGTCTCAAAAACAAACAAGCAAACAAAAAAATTCAGACCTGCTCACTCACCCCACACAGAGGCATGAGGGGCTTGCAGCAGCAGGGCTCATGGGTGTTTTTCCCAGAAAGCTTACTTGGATGATAGCTAAATAAAGTTTAAGCAAGAACTTTATTTGTGAAACTACTTATGTTTAAACGAAAAAAAAAAAAAAGCAGAGCTCCCTTCTCCCACATGGATCTAATGGGCAGAATCTGGTTTGGAACACAATGCCTGGTATGTTTGGGATGAGTGAGGGGTGCAGCTGGGAGCAGGCCCGTGGTCTCCTCCCCACTCGCCGCCCTTCTCACTTGCTGCAGTTAGCACTCTCTCATCTGGACTGAAATCCCGACAATAATAAGCATTTCTTCCCCTGTGGATGTTCAAGGGCAGAGCTACACAGTTCAGAACTGGAACTCATGGTATTTGTAAATCCGTGTTAAGCCGGAAATCATGCTTGTAAGGATAAGGAGAAAGCCTGTCTTTAAGTGGGAACTTTTTGTCAAGGAGCTTACAGTTTTCTGATTTCAAGTCACTTTCCTAAAGTCTGTATTAGACTGTATTAGGTCAGCAAGGGGTGGGGATTATCATTGTCATCTGACAGAAGAGGAGACGAGATAACAGAGAGGAAGGTTAGGAGCAACTTGTCCATAGTGGTGGATCAGAAGGATTTGGACCAGATCGGATCCCCACACAATAATCTCTTCACAGCTTACATTTCTTAGGTGAAATACAGCTTGCCATAAATCTGTAAGGGTGAAAGGCAGATTGTGGGTTGGGCATGCTACCAAATTAAGAAGGTTTTCAGGGTTAGCGTAAGGGAAAATAGGAGGGGAAAACCTGTAATGTGGAAGACAGCTTCTTCCAGCTCTGCAAGCACAGTCTGATGACCCTCTATCTTTCTGCTTGTAATCTTAAGGTTTCTGCCAATTTACCTAACAAATCATCTGTACATTCACCCCGAGAAAGTGCATTCTGATTCTATGGGCTTTAGGGAGGAAAGGACATTCTGAGGCAAGGGCTAAGTGCCAGATTCTTCCCAGCAGTCAGCATGAGGCAGTGGGCCCAGTTCTGCTGGTGTTTTCTCATTCCTGGGGAGGAGAAGAGAGGATGGGTGGCAGATTGTGATCTACAGAGCCCAGGAGCTAGGTGGTGTGATGCAACTGGAGGCAAATAGGTGACAAATGAAAGAACTATCCTGGAACCACAGATTTTCCCTATTATAATCTAAAATCTTAAATGTTAAAAGCCAGAGAAAAATAACCTGGAATAAAGGCCCCTTGGGTTTTGTCACTGCTTAAATCCCCATCTTTATCTTCTGTGTGCATTCCCAAGGGAACCCTCCGTCTCAGCCACACTGAGCCACACTTCATGAGCCACCCTCTCTGAGGCTTCTACCTCTCCTCTGCTAGCCCCACTTCCTGGGATGCTCTTTATTGCCTTCTCTGCATGCTTGACTTTTACTTGCATTGCAAGATTCAGTTTTCCAGAACAGCAAAGCCTTTTGTATATCTACTCTCCTATAAAAGAAATAAAAACACTACCAAGAATTGCCAAAATCAATTTTGTTGGAATTCTGGAAATTAACTAAAGGCTTGCAACAATCTGAGGAGGGTTTATTCAAGAAAAACAGCAGAATCTCGTCAGAACAGGTTTGTGGCATCTTTACTTGCCCTAATCCCATGCCCCTCTTGAAAACCAGCAGCCACTAGAGGAGACAGATCAGGGCTGGAGTTCCCCTAAAGCCCCATCCCTAGAGAACTGTCACTATTTGACCTGTCTAGAAAGTCACTGAAAAACTCAGTTTTTCAAGACTTGCCTTTATTTCACCTGACTCCGAGTTCCATCTCTGTGAACAGTTCTACCTCTAGGTAATTTGCAGAAAACAATCAGCAACAATTGTTTAATATTGGAGATTCCTGTGGCAATGTTAGCAGTTAGGACTAACAAGATGCTGACAAAAAAGCTTAAAAGGATAATTATCCTGATCTGATTACTACACGTTATCACGTTATATACATATGAAAACATCACTATGTACCCCCATGAATATGTATAATTATTTTTCTATTAAAAAAATAAAATTTAGGCTAGGAGTGGTGGCTCATGCCTGTAATCCCCACACTTTGGGAGGCCGAGGCAGGCAGATCATGAGGTCAGGAGATCAAGACCATCTGGCAAACACAGTGAAACCCCATCTCTACTAAAAATAAAAATTTAAAAAAAAAATTAGCTGGGTGTGGTGGCGGGTGCCTGTTGTCCCAGCTACTCGGGAATCTGAGGCAGGTGAATGGCGTGAACCCGAGAGGCAGAGCTTGCAGTGAGCTGAGATTGCGCCACTGCACTCCAGCCTGGGCGACAGAGTGAGACTCTGTCTCAAAAAATAATAATAATAAATAAAAAATAATAAAACTTAATTAAAAAATACATCTAAGCCCACAATTTTTTATTTATTTATTTATTTTTGAGATGGAGTCTCCTTCTGTTGCCCAGGCTAGAGTGCAGTGGTGCCATCTAGGCTCACTGCAAGCTCTGCCTCCCGGGTTCACACCATTCTCCTGCCTCAGCCTCCCGAGTAGCTGGGACTACAGGCGCCCTCCACCAAGCCCAGCTAATTTTTTTGTATTTTTAGTGGAGATGGGGTTTCGCCATGTCAGCCAGGATGGTCTCAATCTCCTGACCTCATGATCTGCCCACCTCGGCCCCCCAAAGTGCTGGGATTACAGGCATGAGCCACCACACCCAGCCACATTTTTAGAGATACAAAAAATAAAAAGCTTGGCCGGGCACGGTGGCTCATGCCGGTAAATCCCAGCACTTTGGGAGGCCAAGGCAGGTGGATCACAAGGTCAGGAAATGGAGACCATCCTGGCTAACACGGTGAAACCCTGTCTCCACTAAAAATACAAAAAATTAGCCGGACATGGTGGCAGGCACCTGTAGTCCCAGCTACTCAGGAGGCTGAGGCAGGAGAATGGCGTGAACCTGGGAGGCGGAGCTTGCAGTGAGCCAAGATCGTGCCACTGCACTCCAGCCTGGGCGACAGAGCGAGACTCTGTCTCAAAAAAAAAGAAAAGAAAAGAAAAAACAAAAACAAAAGTTAGCTGGGCATGGTAGTGCATAGTGCATGCCTGTAATCCCAGCTACTCAGGAAGCTGAGGCAGGAGAATCGCTTCAATCCAGGAGGGGGAGGTTGCAGTGAGCCAAGATTGCATCACTGCACTCCAGCCTGGACAAACAGAGTGAGACTCCATCTAAGAAAAATGAAAAAGGAAAGTAACTAGGCAAACAAACAACAATACCTGCAACAAGAAAACCTGGGGAAGGGTGGGTAATCTGATATCCATAGTTGCCACATTCTATTATTTTAAATGCCCAGTTTTCAACAACAACAAAATGAAACAGACAAAAATTGGAATGTATGACTCATACACAGGTAGAAAAGCAGTCAATGCCTCTGACCTGGGTAGAGTGGCATCTGGCTGTGACATTCATCTCATATCAGCCAGGGACAAAGCAACCCCTTGTTTATTTCAGCTTGGCCTTTTGTCTGTGCCCATGCCTGGTTCATGCCTTGGACACACTAGGGGAACACAGTAAATACAAACTTTCCCTGAGGAAGCATAGACAACAGACTTACTAGACAAAGACTTTAAATTAGGTGCTATAAATAGGCTCAAAAACTAAAAGAAACTACGTTCAAATAATTAAAGATATGTATGAGAATGGTTTCACCAAATAGACAATATCAATAAAGAGAAGAAAATTATTTAAAAAGAACTAAGTAGAAATCCTGGAGTTGAAAATGAAAATAATCAAAATATGAAAAATTATCATCATATTCAAAGGAGATTTGAGCTCGTAAAAGAAAGAATCAGTGAACTTTAAGACAGGTCATTTGAGATTACCTAGTTTGAAAAATAAAAGGAAAAAAGAATGAAGGAAAATAAACAGTCTCGTATACCTATAGGACATCATCAAGTGTACCAATACAGGTAAAATGGAAGTCACAGAAGGAGAGGAGAGACAAAAGGAGAAGAAAGAATATTTAAAGAAATAAACTGAAAACTACACAAATTTGATTTAAAAAATCAATCTACACATTCAAGAATCTTAATGAATTCCAGCTAGGCACAGTGGCTCACGCCTGTGATCCTAGCACTTTGGGAGGCCAAGGCGGGAGGATCACCTGAGGTCAAGAGTTCAAGACCAGCCTGGCCAACATGGTGAAACTCCATCTCTACTAAAAATACAAAAATTAGTTGGGTGTGGTGGTGGGTGCTTGTAGTTCCAGCTACTTGGGAGGCTGAAGCAGGAGAATTGCTTGAACCTGGGAGACGGGTTGCAGTGAGCCAAAATCGTATCATTGCACTCCAGCCTGGGTGACAGAGCAAGAGTCCATCTCAAAAAAGAAAAAAAGAATCTTAAAGAATTCCCAATAGAATAAATCCAAAGAGATCTACATGTAGACACATCATAATCAAGCTCTCAGAAGCCATAAATAGGACATCAATGCTCATATATCAGCGTTCTTCACAATAGCCAAAAGGTGTAAATTTCTCAAATGTCCATTGGCAGATGAATAGACAAACAAAATGTGGTATATCCATACCATGGAATATTATTTAGCTAAGAAAGGATGAAAATTCTCACACATACCATAGCGTAATGAATCTTGAAGATATTTTCCTTAATGAAATAAGCCAGGCACAAAAAGACAGATGTTGTATAATTCCACTTATATGAGGCACCTAAAACAGCCAAATGTATAGAGACAAAGAGTAGAATTCAGGTTTCCAGGCATTGGGAAGATGGGAGATTTGGGAGTAATTGTTTAATAGGTGCTGAATTTTAGTTTGGGAGGATGAAAAATTTCTGGGGATGGATTGTGTGTTAGTCCATTTTGCATTACTGTAAAGGAATACCTGAGACTGGGTAATTTATAAAGAAAAGAGGTGTATTTGTCTCACAGGTCTGTAGGCTGTACAAGTATGGAACCTGCTCAGCTCCTAGTGAGGGCTCAGGAAACTTTTACTCATAGCAGAAGGGAAGGGGAGCTGGTATGTCACATGGCAAGAAAGGGAGCCAGAGAGAGGAAGAGAGGTGCCAGTCTCCTTTAAACGATTATCTCTTGCATGAACTACAGAACTCACTTATTACTATGTGGAGGGCACCAAGCCATTCATGAAGGATCCACCCCACAACCCAAATACCTCCCACCAGACCCTACCTCCAACAAGGGAAATTATATCATTTCAACATGAGATTTGGAGAGGATGAATATGCAAATCACATCAGATGGTAGTGATGACTGAACAGCCATGTGAATTTACTTAATTTGAAATACATGTGTGCTTAATGTGAATGCCACAGAATTGTACACTTAAAATGGTTAAATGATAAATTTTATGTTATGTATATTTTACCAGAAACAAAAACAAAGACAAAGAATGAATCTTAAATGCAGCCAGAGAGAAGTTATTCACCACATGAAAGTTTATAAGTGACTTCTTATAAGAAACCATAGAAACCAAAAAGCAATGGGATTATATATATAAGTACTGGAAAAAACTGTCAACTAAAAATTCCATATTCAGCAAGACTATATTTTAAACAAAAATGAGAAATTAAGACATGCCCAAAAAAACAAAAATGAGAGAATTTGTTCACTAGTAGGTGTGTTCTACACAGAATACTTAAAAGGAATTCTTTTGATTGGAATTGAAGGGCACTAGAGAGAGACTGAAGTCTACATAAAGAAATAAAAAGCACTGGTAAAGATAAACACATAGGTAACTGTAAAAGGTGGTATAAATATAGTTTTTGTAACTCTTTTTACTCCTATCTAATTTAAAAGATAACTGTATAAAGCAATAATTTTAAAACTGTGTGAATGTGCTTATAAGGTACAAGGATATAATTTGTTTGAAATCATAATGAGAAATAAGGAGAAAGATAGTGGAGCTATATTGGAGCAAATTTTGGATACTATTGAAATTAAATTGGTATTAATCTGAGCTAGATAGTAGCAAGTTATAACATTAACTGTAATCCCCAGAGCAACCACTAAGAAAATAATTCAAAAGCATGTAGGAAAAGAAGCAATAAGGGAATAAAGATGCTATACTAGAAAATATCTATTTAATTTAAAGAAGTCTGTAGTAGAAGAACAAAAAGACATAAGATATACAGAAAGCAAATAGCCCAATGGCAGGCATAAATCCTATTTTATAATAATTACATTAAATGTAAATGAAATAAGTATTCCAATCAAAAGACAGTGGTTGGCAAAATGGAAATAAAAAACACCTGATACAACTATATGCTGTCTACAAGAGATATGCTTTAGAATAAAATCACAAACAGGTTGGAAGTAAAAGGCTAGAAAATATATGCCATAAAACAGTACTAAGAGAGAGCCAGAGTGGAGCTAATATCAGACAAAACATACTTTAAGACAAGTTTTACTAGAGAAAAAGGAGGAGGTTTTAAAATAATGAGTCAATTCATCAGGAATATGTAACATTTATAAACATGCACACACCTAACAAGGGAGCCCCCAAAACAGATGAAGCAAAAACGGACAGAATTGAAGGGAGAAATAGATGATTCAACATTAATACTCCAAAACTCTAATATTTCATTTTCAATACTTGATAGAATGATTAGGGATAAGATCAACAAGGAAATAGAAGACTTGAAAACAGTATAAACCAACTAGCCTATGCAGACATTTGTGGAACACTCCACCCAACTATAGCAAAATTCACATTTTTGTCAAGTGAAACATTCTCAAGGGTAGACAATATGGTAGGCTGTTCAACCAGTCTCAATAAATTTAAAATATTGAAATAATAAAGTATGTTTTCTAATTGCAGTGGAATGAAATTAGGTCTTTTAATAGAAGGAAATTTAGAAAATTTACTAATATGTGGAAATTAAATAACAAAATTCTAATAATAATAGGTCAAAGAAGAAATCATAAGGGAAATGAGAAAATACTTTGAGATGGATGAAAATGAAAACAGCATACCAACGTTTATGGAATGCAGTGAAAACAGTGCTAAGAGGTAGATTTATAGCTGCAAAGGACTATATTAAAAAAGAGGAGAGATTTCAAATCTTTAAGTGAAACTTCTACCTTAAAAACGAGAAAAAGAAGAGAAAACTAAACCCAAAGCAAGCGGAAAGGAGGGAAACATAAAGATTAGAGTGGAGATGAATGAAATTGAGACTAGAAAAACAATAAAATGAAGCCAAAAGTTGATTCTTTGGAAAACTTAACAAAATTGACAAACTTTTAGCTAGAGTAACAGAAAATGAGAGAGAAGACTCAAATTACTAAAAGCAGGAGTGAAAGAGGGAATGTTACTGCCAACCTTACAGAAATAAAAAACGGCTATAGGCCAGGCGCAGTGGCTCGCGCCTGTAATCCCAGCACTTTGGGAGGCCGAGGCGGGCGGATCACGAGGTCAGGAGATCGAGACCATCCTGGCTAACAAGGTGAAACCTCGTCTCTACTAAAAATACAAAAAATTAGCCGGGCATGGTGGCGGGTGTTTGTAGTCCCAGCTACTTGAGAGGCTGAGGCAGGAGAATGGTGTGAACCCGGGAGGTGGAGCTTGCAGTGAGCCGAGATCACGCCACTGCACTCCAGCCTGGGAGAGGGAGCGAGACTCTGTCTCAAAAAAAAAAAAAAAAAAAGGCTATAAGGGAATACTATGAGCAAGAGTATGCCGGTAAATTAAACAACCAATATGAAATGGAAAAATTCCTCTAAACACAAAATCTACCGAAACTGACCCAAGAAGAAACACATCTGAATATACCTATAACAAGAAAAAAGATTAAATTAGTAATGAAAAATCGTCCATAAAGAAAATGCCAGGCCAGATGTCTTCATTGTTGAATTTTATCAAATGTTTAAAGAAGAATTTTATCAAATGTTTAAAACACCAATCCTTAACAAACTTTTCCAAAAAATAGGAGTGAAACTTCCCAATTCATGACGGGATCCCAGTTTTAACCCTGATGTTCAGACACATACATAATAAAGGAAACTGTAGACAATATAGCTTATGAAAATAGATGCAGAAATCCTTAACAAAATACTAGCAAGTTTAATATAGCAATATATAAAAAGGATTATGCAACATCACCAAGTGGGATTTATTCTAGTAATACAGGTTGGTTCAAAATACAAAATTAATCAGTGTAATGCATCATATTAATAGAATAAAAGACAAAAAACACATGATCATCTCAATGGATGTAAAAGCACTTTTAAAAATCCAACAGCCTTTCACATTAAAAGCATTAACCAATTGAGAATAAAAGTAAACTTACTCAACTTGATAAAACGCACAGCTAACATCATAATTATGAAAGACTGAATGCTGTCCCCCATCCCCAGATTAGGAACAAGATAGGAATGTCCACTCTCACCCCTTCTATTCAAAGTTGTACTTAAGTTCCAGCCAGGGAGAGAAGATGAGAAAGAGAACTAAGCCTCAAGATTGGAAAACTATCTCTATTCACAGATGACGTGAACTTGTATATTGAAAATCCTAAAGAATCCATGAGAAAATCTATTAGAACCAATAAAATATATTCAGCAAGGCTGCAGGATACAAACTCAATACACAAAATTTAACTGTATTTCTATATACTAGCAAAAAAGCAAATCAAAAGTGAAATTAAGAAATCAATTCCATTTACCATAGCATCAAAAGGAATACATTTAACTAACAAAGTGCAAGACTTGAATACTGAAAACTATAAGACATAATCTGAAGGCATTTAACAATACTGAAATAAATGGAAAGAAATCACATGTTTATGAATTGGTAGGCTTAATATTGATGTCAATAATCTCCCAAATGACCTACAAATTTAATGCAATCCCAAACAAAATTCCAATTGCCTTCTTGAAGAAATAGACAAGATGGTCCTAAAATTCATGTGGAAATCCACAGAACCCAGAATAACCAAAACAATCTCAAAGAAGAACGACAAAATTAGAGGACTCATACTTCTCAATTTCAAACTTACTGTAAAGTTACAGTAATCGAGATATGAGATATTGGCACAAAGATAGATAGACTTATAGATAATTGCAACACAATTGAGAGTCCAGAAATAAACCCACATATTTAGGGTAAATTGATTTTCAAGAAAGCTCAAAAAATACAAAAGAATTAAGTTGTACCACTATCTGCATCTCCCACCATACACAAAAATTAACCTGAAATGCATAATAGACCTAAATGTAAGGCCTAAAACTGTAAAACCCTTAAAAGTAAACATAGGCATAAATCTTTGTAAACATGGACTAGTCAATAGGTTCTTAGCTATCACACCAGAAGCATACCCAATAGAAGAAAAAAAAATAGATCAATGGAACATCATTAAAATAAAAATTTTTGGCTTCAAATGACACCATCAAGAAAATGAAAAGACAACCCAAAGAATGTGACAAAATATCTGCAAATCATGTATCTAATAAGGGACTTGTGTATATAAAAAAACTCTCACACTCAAACATGAAAATAACAGATAATCGGCCGGGCGCGGTGGCTCACGCCTGTAATCCCAGCACTTTGGGAGGCCGAGGCAGGCGGATCACGAGGTCAGGAGGTCAAGACCACCCTGGCTAACACGGTGAAACCCCATCTCTACTAAAAATATGAAAAATTAGCCGGGCATGGTGGCAGGCACCTGTAGTCCCAGCTACTCGGGAGCCTGAGGCAGGAGAATGGCGTGAACCTGGGAGGCGGAGCTTGCATTGAGCAGAGATCGCGCCGCTGCACTCCAGCCTGGGTGACAGAGCGAGACTTCATCTCAAAAAAAAATATATGTATAGATAATCCAATTAAAAATGAGCAAAGGATTTGAACAGACATTTCTCCAAAGAAGATATAAAATGGCCAACAAGCACAGGAAAAGAAAAGATGCTCAATACCATGAATCATTAGGGAAATGCAAATCAAAAACACAGTGAGATACCATTTCAGACCCACTAGAATTGCTAGCATAAAAAAAGATAGAGTATAGCAAGTATGAAATGTCCACAATAGGTAAAGACATAGAAACAGACACAGATTAGTGAGTGGTATGGGGTGTGCAGAATGAGGAGTGACAGCTAGTGCCTACGCATTTTAGGAGGGGGTGATAAAATTGTTTTGGGACTAGATAGTGGTAATGATTATGCTAAAATTACTGAGTCAGACACTTAAAAATTGTTGATTTTGGCCAGGTGCGGTGGCTCACGCCTGTAATCCCAGTACTTTGGGAGGCCGAGGCAGGCAGATCACCTGAGGTCAGAAGTTCAAGACCAGCCTGGCCAACATGGTGAAACCCCATCTCTACTAAAAATACAAAAATGAGTCGGGCGTGGTGGCAGGTGCCTGTAATCCCAGCTACTCGGGAGGCTGAGGCAGGAGAATCACTAGAACCCAGGGGGTGGAAGTTGCAGTGAGCTGAGAATACGCCATTGCACTCCAGCCTGGGCGACAGAGCGACACTCTGTCTCAAAAAAAAAAAAAGCTGATTTTTGATATGTAAATTACAGCACAATAAGCCTATTATATATACTTTAAAAAAATAGGTTATCCAATGCAAGGCTCGTCTTCTAATTCTCTTTTTCACTTTCCCCAGGCTTAACACACAATTCCCGCCCCTAGCATAATGTGCTTCTCCATCTCACTTGTTCTAATGGATTGCAGCCCCTTATACAGTGACTAGCATAGCACAGTGAATAGTAATTTTGGAAGACATGAATGGCTTTTATATTATTTATTTCTTATTATTAAAAACACTTTTATTTGAGATTCAGGGGGCACATGTACAAATTTGTTACATAGGCATATTGTGTGATGCTGAGATTTGAGGTATGATTGATCCTGTCACCCATGTACTGAGCATAGTATCCAATAGTTAGCTTTTCTCCCTTGCCTGCCCTCACAGTAGTCCCTGGTGTTTATCATTCCTATATTTATGACCATGAGTACCCAGTGTTTAGTTTCCACATATAAGTGAGAACATGCAGTATTGGGTTTTCTGTTCCTGAGTTAATTTGCTTAGGATAGTGGCCTCCACCTGCATCCATGTTGCTGCAAGAGATGTGATTTCATTCATTTTTATGGCTGTGTAGTATTCCATAGTGTATATGTACCACATTTTCTTTATCCAACCCACCATTGATGGGCACCTAGATTGATTCCATATCTTTGCTATTATGAATAGTGCTGCAATGAACATATGAATGCATGTGTCTTCTTGGTAGAACATTTTATTTTCTTTTGAATATAAACCCAGTAAAGAGATTGCTGGGTTGAATGGTAGTTGTGTTCTAATTTCTTTGAGAAATCTCCAAGCTGCTTTCCACTTGGAGCTTTCCAAGTGGCTGAACTAATTTACATTCCCACCAATAGTGTATAAGTGTTTCTTTTTTTTGTGCCACCTCACCAACATCACCTGTTTTTTGATTTTTTAACAATAAGTATTCTGACTGGTGTGGGATGGTATCTCATTATGGTTTTGATTTGCATTTCTCTGATGATTAGTGATGTGGAGTATTTCTTCATGTTTTTTGGCCACTTCTATGTTTTCTTTTAAGTGTTTATTTATGTCTTTTGGCCATTTTTAATGGGGTTGTTTTTTGCTCAGCCTGCTAACAAAACCTGGCAAAGACGTCACAAAAAAATAAAACTATAGGACAATATCCCTGATGAATATAGACGCAAAAATCCTCAATGAAATATTGGCAAACCAAATCCAGTGGCACATCAAACAATTAATTCACCATGATCAAGTAGGCTTCATTCCTGGGATCCAAGGTTGGTTCAATGTATATGAATCAATAAATGTGATTCACCACATAAACAGAATTACAAACAAAAACTGTATGATTATCTTAATAGACATGGAAAAGTTTTGATAAAATTCAACATCCCTTCATGATAAAAACCCTCAAGAAACTAGGCATCAAAGGAACATACCTCAAAATAATAAGAGCCTTCCTTGACAAACACATAGTCAACATTACACTAAATGGGCAAAAACTGGAGCCATTCCCTTTAAGAACTGGAACAAGACAAGGTTGCCCACTCTCACCAGTCCTATTTAACATAGTACTAGAAGTCCTAGCCAGAGCAATTAGGCAAGAGAAAGAAATAAAAGGCATTTAAACAGGAAAAGAAGTCAAACTATCTTTTTGCTGACCATATGATTCTATACCTAGAAAACCCTGAAGAAACCACCAAAAGACTCTTGGAAATAATAAATAACATCAGTAAAGTTTCAGGATACAAAATCAATGTACAAAAATCAGTAGCATTTCTACCAATAATGTTCAAGCAAAGTGCCAAATCAAGAATGCGGTCCCATTTACAATAGCCATAAAAAAATAAAATACTGGCTGGGCGTGCTGGCTCACGCCTGTAATCCTAGCACTTTGGGAGGCCAAGGCAGGTGGATCACAGGTCAGGAGATCGAGACCATCCTGGCTAACACAGTGAAACCCCGTCTCTACTAAACATACAAAAAGAAATCAGCCAGGCATGGTGGAGGGTGCCTGAAGTCCCAGCTACTGGGGAGGCTGAGGCAGGAGAATGGCATGAACCTGGGAGGTGGAGCTTGCAGTGAGCCAAGATTGTGCCACTGCATTCCAGCCTGGGAGACAGAGGGAGACTCTGTCTCAAAAAAATAAATAAATAAAAAATAATAAAAAAATAAAAAAATAAATTACTGGCAGGGTGTGGTGGCTCACGCCTGTAATCCCAGCACTTTGGGAGGCTGAGGCAGGCAGATCACGAGGTCAGGAGATCGAGACCATCCTGGCTAACACGGTGAAACCCCATCTCTACTAAAAATACAAAAAACTAGCCAGGCGTGGTGGTGGGCGCCTGTAAGCCCACCTACTCAGGAGGCTGAGGCAGGAGAATGGCGTGAATCTGGGAGGTGGAGCTTGCAGTGAGCCAAGATCGCGCGCGCCACTGCACTCCAGCCTGGGCGACGGAGCAAGACTCTGTCTCAAAAAAAAATAAATAAAATAATAAAAATTAAAATAAAATACCTAGGAATACATCTAACCAAGGAGGTGGAAGATCTCTACAAGGAGAACTAACAAACACTGCTGAAAGAAATCACAGCTGACACAGACAAAGGAAATACATCCCATGCTCAAGGATTATAAGAATCAATATTGTGAAAATGACCATAGTGCCCAAAGCAATCTACAGATTCACCATTGTTCCTATCAAACTATCAACATCCTTTCTCACAAACTTAGAAACAATGATTCTTTGGACTACTTAATGCTCAGATTGTTTTTGGAATGAGTTGACCAGTGTGGTCACCATCTGGGAGAACTCAGGAAGCCCTCGCAGCCTCTGTGAGCAGAAGTGGGTTTCTCTGTGAAGGAAGTCTGACGATAATGCCCATTCTGGTTGTCTAGCTCCTCCCCACCTCCACAGCAAACTCGGGGTTCTGGGGCCATGGGCTTGGGTAGGGATTTGGGGTCTGGGCTGATGGAAGGAGCAGGGTGAGCAGTGCCCAGACAAGCACTAGTGTGTGGGATGGAGATCCCAGACCAGAGCGGAGGGTTTGAGCAGAGGGCAGGAAGCAAAACTTGCAGAGACTTCCTGAGCAGCTGAGTGCCAGCTGGGGGGTCTAAAATATCCACTGGGTTCCTGGGGACAGGAGAGAAACAGTCACAGGTTCTGAGCTGGCTGAATTATGGGTGTCTTAAGGACAGCCAGAGCCCTCATGTGTGAGAAGGGTGAGAGGTGTCTTTAAGAAATGGCCCCCTACACCTGTAATAATATGGGTAGAGAGGAAAGGAAATAGCATTTTGTTGGCCCCTGGAGGCCACAGGGCAATGGATGGGAATCAATAGAGGCAAGAGATGCAGATATGAGCATGATTGCAATTCCCTAAAGGATGACATAAGGATGCTCACCATGTGCCTGGTATGGTGTTAGGCACGATTCAAGGATTCCTCATTTAATTCCCAAAACAACCCATAGGACAGGTACAATTATGTCACCATTGGAGATGAGAAAACTGAAGCTGGGGAAGTGGAAGTTAGTTACCCCGGTTCTCTCAACTAGTAGGTGCAGAGCTGGGATAAACAGACCAAGTGCTACTCAGAGAGAAGACTCTGCTGGGGGCCTGCAACCAAGAGGTCTTGGCAGCTCTCCTTCACCCTGGCTTAAGAGTAACAGGAGGAAGATGCACTTGAAACAATGGCAGCACCAGGCATATCTCTGGGTCCTTGCTCGATTAGATTTTTAAGTCTCTGTCTTGTACTTGCCAGCTGCAAGCTCTGGATTTGGGAGGAGTCGAGACGAGACAGGCTGAAGAGGCAGGGGCAGCAAATCCAGGTATTGTTTCACTGAGATTAAGGACAGAGAATAATAGCCTGTAAGTCTGTTTTGAACACTCAAAGTGCTTGCCCATCCAGAAAGACTGAGCTTTGAAATCTAAAACAAGTAGAATCAAATGTCTTTTGTAGCCAAAATGGAGAAAATTAATCAGCTTATAATATAATATATACCGAGGCACCTGCAGCCTAAAAGAAAGGAAACAAATCCAGGGATAAATCAGACCTTAAATCTCTCATGATTCTGATAGATGTGTATTTTTGAAAAGGAATGCTTTGGGTGTGTGTTTTGCTGGGAGAAACTAGGCCTATTCAAAGCTGTTTTGGGTGTTGTGGGTTGGGGGGTGGCAGCTTCTCCGTGCTCTTGTGTGCATTTCCCCAAAGCTACCATGGACATTGTTTCAGGGGCTGGGGCAGATCTGTGGTGCCTAAGTGATTTCTTTATAATCTTTCCAAAAGCATGTATCAGTGTTCATGTTATCAAACTAAAAGCATGTAATCCATTCTATGCTTACATTTATATTAAAAGCCTCACAATATGAAGACTAATGTGAATGGGATATGTAATTTGATGATTAAATGATACAGATTTCACAGCGGAGAATTTATTTTCAGATTCTAATTAGAGCCAATCTGAGCCCTGTGGATTCTTGTTAACTCACACAGATTATCTTGTACATTATAATTTTTTTTTTAGACGGAGTTTCGCTCTTGTCGCTCAGGCTGGAGTGCAATGGTGCAATCTCAGCTCACTGCAACCTCTGTCTCCTGGGTTCAAGCAATTCTCCTGCCTCAGCCACCGGAGCAGCTGGGATTACAGACATGTGCCACCATGCCCGACTCATTTTTGTGTTTTTAGTAGAGAGGGGCTTTCACCATGTTGGGCAAGCTGGTCTCGAAATCCTGACCTCAGGTGATCCACCTGCCTTCGCCTCCCATAGTGCTGGGATTACAGGCTTCAGCCACCGCGCCCAGCCAGTACATTATAATATTAATAAAACTCTTTTTCCTGTGTCATTTCTGGACAGAGAACCTAAGTGGGTGATTGGATTGAATGACTTTCCCCTGGGAGTTCCCAGTCTCTGGGGCCCGAGGACAGGTCTGCGGCTGATGCACACAGCATGGGAACCCTCACCAAAAGTCACCAAAGATCACAGGATTCTAGGGAAAGGACTCAGGCTTCCGATGGTGGCTGAACCGATGTCCCTGAGTCCCCTTACCACCCCGTCATCCCAGGAATCTATTTTCTTGAAGAGGTTACTTTGTGCACAGGAAGGGGAGAGTCAGGACTTGCTGTTTCTGCCAAAAGAGAGGATCCTTTCTCGGTGCTAAAAATGTGCAGTGATCAGAATTGCTGTTGACTTAGGTCATCTTCATCCCAGTGACAGGGTGGCTATGGTACACTTTTTTTCAAGGTGTTAGACCAAATACCTTGTGCCAAAACAAACCAGTGTCTCAGCTAATTGAGCATGCAGATGTCACCAATTCACCAGAGTCGTTAGTACGCACCGGCTCAGGACCTCTGAGGCTCCTGCTTACGTAGATGCGAGAAGTGTCTGAGAACCAGCAATGGGTCTCTCCCCATCCAGGTCACCTACAGGCAGCCCCAAGTCCTGAGGAGGGGGCTTCTCACATTCCACTGAAGAAAGAAGCTCCAGCACAAAGCACCCAGGATGGAACCAGAAATTGGAAAGCTGACAGCCCCACCCCACGTAATCCAACCTCCCCACTTCTCCCTGACCCCATCCTGGGGTGTAAATAAATAATTGAGAAAACACATTTTCTCCTGAAGTTTGTCTAATTTCCTATTTCTAGAGACTGGGAGAGCACATGCATTGTTCTCTGCTGAAGACAGTTTTCATATAAATAAGGGATTCACTGTGACTCCTTTCACTGAAGTTAAAATTCCATTTAAAAGTAAATTGAGTTCCTGAAATATATGTATTGGCAGCAGGGGCTACCACAGCTGGTATTACATTTTACATTTAACATAGTGCTGTGTGCTTTGACAGATTCCAGACTTTTTCCTACATAAATCAATAGAGTGATGTTTGAAGAGCTCAAATCTATCTTTCATTCTTCCCCCTACTCCAACCCTGTATTCTGAAACCCATAAAGAAGTAACTTTCTAGCAGGTGTCATTTCGTTGGAGAGTATTATTTACAGCATTGGACTGACTGCAACACCGTCTGTAACTGCAAACTCACACAGGAAATGCTAGGAGGAAGAGCCAGGATTTTGCTTCTGAAAGGAAGCATTCTAATGCATTTTTAATGGTATGTGTGTATATGTATGTGCAAGCATGTACGTGTGTGCACATATGTGTGTGTGCATGGGAGCATTTGTGGGGGGGTGTGTTCATTATGTGCATGTGCATGCACATGTGTGTGCACTTGGGTGTGCAAAAGTGTATGTGTCCATGTGTATGTGTGTGTGTGCATGTATACGCATTTAGGTGTGTGTAATCATATGTAATTTTTTCATGACTCCTGTGACCTGACCGTGGTGGACATAAGTATTCTAGGGAGCCTCCAGCTGAGGCAAGAACCATCAGGATCAGGCTTAAGGGTCTGGAGGAGGCAGGGGATGAACAGTGGTGGGAATCTAGAAGTTTCCCAGATGGCGTGACTTCTGCCTTTCAGGAAAAGAAGCCATGCCCCTACCTTCTCTCACCCTCAGGAAGCCAGGGTGCCGACCGGGTAATCACATTCTAGGTGGGAGAGCTGGTCTCATTTTCCAGAGGATGGAGCTTGGAGCTCCACACAAGCTCGTGCTGAGAAACGGGAGTCTCTCACTGGCCACATTATTTTTTAATGTAACGGGAAGGTGAATCTTTGACTAGAATCTTTTTTTAAGACTAAGGATCCATAATTTTTTGCCCCAATGGAATGACGTGACTTGCAGCCTTATGTTCTACAATTGGCTGATAGATTTAAAACAATGGGTAAGTAAAGAACCGGCTAGGACCTTTGACTATTTAACATTTTAGATGAAGCCAGAGTTGCCGGGTCATGACGGTGCTCCCTGACGGCTGTAAGCGAAAGCAAGGGTAGGAAGGGAAGACAGCAGAAATTTCGAGCTAGGAGCTGACCCAGTTGTTCATGTCTGCATAGCCCAAAGAGTGAAGCAAGTACAGAGCTGTCGCAGCAATTCTGATATTTCAGGAGATCTTCATTGTTCTCCTCCCCAGCTTGTCTTTGAAGAGAATATTTTTTCTTTTGTTTTAGTCTGAAACATGATTATAAAAATTCACAGAATATTTAATCTCTTTCTGTAATGGTTAATTTTTTGTGTCAACTTGACTGGGTTAAGGGATGCTCAGATAGCTGGTAACACATTGCTTCAGGGTGTGTCTGTGAGGGTGTTTCTGGAAGAGATGAGGATTTGAATCAGTGGACTGAGTAAAGCAGATCCGCCCTCACCAGTGTGAATGGGCCTCATCCAATCTATGCAGGACCCAGAACAAATAAAAAGATGAAGGGCGATTTGTGCTCTCTCCTCTTCAGCAGAGTCAGCCCTCTTTTCCTGTCCTCAGACATTGGGGCTCCTGATTCTCAGGGCCTTCAGACTCTGGGACTTACAACAGTGCCTGACTCCAATCCCTGTTCTTGGGCCTTTGGCCTGACTGAATCACACCATCAGCCTTCCTGGCATACCAGCTTGCAGATGACATATTGTCACTTCTCATATTCTCATATTGGGACTTCTCAGCCTTCATAATCATGTGAGCAAATTTCCACAATAAATCTTCTTTTATCTATCTGTCTGTCTGTCTATCTATCTATCTATCTATCTATCTATCTATCTATCTATCCGTCCATCCGTCCATCCATCTATCCTACTGGTTCTGTTTTTTGGAGAACACTAACACACTTTCCTTGGCTCTGTGGTGTAGATTTTCACATACTTTATTCTTTTCAATAAATGATATTCATTAGAAAGAGAATCATATGTGATTTAAGTTTGAGAAAAGAAAAACAGCTCTGGGCAGTCTGAGCTCTGTGACACTTGCAGGCCCAGAGAGAAATGAATATGCGGCTTCAGTCATGCCCATGTCCAGGGGCAATTGTTTAAAGTCATTTTGTTCCCAACTAACTGCCTAGCCCATTATCTTCGTGTTCCTGGAATTTGTGATACAAAGAACAATGTATTGCCAATCAATAGCTTATGCTATTTTAGTGAAATTTCTGGAAAACAACTAAATAATTTCCTCCTGTTCTCCTTTGAAAATCCACTTGTAACTACCACTAATAAGAGTGTATATTCAGGGCAACTTGAATCTAGGCTCCAGGGTTGTGATTCTCAAGTCTGGCCCATATAAACTCTCTACTTATATTACTTTTGCCTCAATTTCTTTCTTTTAGATTGGCAGATTGTATTCCTTGACAGTCGGTGTATTCTAATTTTGGGGTCAGAAATGAGAGTCACTCCTGTGACTCCCTAGGAAAGAGGAGTTGTCTCTGTCCCCTTGACTCCACCATCACTGCCCACATTGGCCCACATGCTGGAGCACCAGAAAAAGCCACGTTTTCACGTGGGTTGAGCTTGGAGTTACACATACGTTTTTCCTAGGAAATGAGAACTCTCTGGTCTAGTTCTTATGTATTCTGGAATATATATATTTGGTCTTTCTTGGTGGAGCAGAATAATCTGAAATTTAGTTTCTTGCAGGGAGGGAAAAGCAGCTACTTAGATCCCAGGCCTGGACAAATGAGTGTTTGCCAGATCCAGCTCCAGCCCCGCATAGTGGAGTTCTGCTTTGAGATTTGGGATAAAGCCATAGGCAATTCAAACAATCCTTAGCCTTTGATTTTGCTAATCACTGTCCCTCAGAGACATAGGAGGGGGCTGTGATCAAGGGTTTAGTATGGACACTCCTGACTCCTTTATCAAACTCTCTCAAAATACTTCCTGGTACTTTCTATCTCATTATCTAACAGCTCTACCAACAGGTCCCATGAAGAAATAGATTGTGGGAGGGAGGTGGGAAGAGAATTGAATCAACCAGGATGCATGGCTAAAAAATTGAATTAGAGGAATCTCACTTAAATTCACCAGCCAAAGAGAAGTAATTTGGTTTACACAGAGGAAACTAATCCCATCTACTACTCACTGTCCCTTGGACTGTCTAGCTGAATTCTCTACAAAGATGAGATAGAAGGCGTTAAACAATTGGCTGGCTCCATGGAGGTGTCTGATGAGTTGTTACCAGCATACTTTGCTCTTCCTCCTGCTAGCTATGCTCTAAAATGAGACCCCCAAAGTGCAAAGCATAGAGCATCCATCACTAGTATCCAAATCCTCCTCATTCTTCAAGATCCAGTTCAATTTCAAAACCTCCCCTATGTGCCAGGCCATAGCGATCCTTCCAGCACCATTCAGACCATGATGTGACTGTTCATGCTGTTTCTTAAGTGCTTATTTTCATCCAATATGATTCCTCTTCTCAACTAACTTATAAACACCTTAAGTGTTGCTACCATAGTTTATATTTCTCTGTTCCTTACACACAGTTTAGCACAGTGCCTTGAATATAACATGTGCTCATATACCATTAATGGATTTTTAAATGAAGAGTCTAAAAAGCCTGGGATTGAAAGAATCTGCTTGGATTTTTCATTTAAAAAAAAGGAAAACCAACGGCTCAAATCTTCATCAGCAAGGCTAGTCCTGAATTGCAGTGAGGGCTTCCTTCGAACTCTTCCTGGCACATTATCTCTCCCACCTACTTGTCTCAAACATCAGTAAACTAGTTAGAAAATGATCTATTTTTTGGATAGAAAGTCCATCAATTCAAAATACATGGTTTTTTTCTTTCATTTTTAACCCTAAAATTGGGATGCATTTTCGACTGATGGCCCTTATAACTGGCAGCACGGTTTCCCCATCTTAATGTTATATAAAATAATGGTGTGTCTTATAATCAATGGTGACTTAAAGCTGATGAAATATGGTGTGTTTACATCTATCATTTATCATATGCTTATCTAGAAATTAATCTATGCAGTGGCCTTTGCATGATGAATGAATGTGGAAGGTGTCCATAACTTTCATTAAAATGGGACAGTCCTGGCCAGGCGCGGTAGCCCATGCCTGTAATCCCAGCACTTTGGGAGGCTGAGGTGGGCAGATCACCTGAGGTTGGGAGTTTGAGACCGGCCTGATCAACATGGAGAAACGCCATTTCTACTAAAAATACAAAAGTAGCCAGGCTTGGTAGCTCATGCCTGTAATCCCAGCTACTTGGGAGGCTGAGGCAGGAGAATCGCTTGAACCTGGGAGGTGGAGGTTGTGGTGAGCCAAGATCACACCATTGCACTCCAGCCTGGGCAACAAGAGCAAAACTTCGTCTCAAAAAAAAAAAAAAAAAAAAAAGGGAGAGTCCTTTATGCCCTTCCTTCCTCCTGGTGCTACTGCCATGCATGTTCTTAGGTGTCCCCTGAGAGGTTGTAGGACATCAGTGGACTCAAAAGTGGGGAAAGAGAAACTGCATAAATGGAAGGAACAGTGAGGAAGGCATTCAGGGGGAGATGTCCAGGCACAGTTGAATCCAGGCATAGCTGGTTTGCTTGTCATTTCTACTTCCATTTTAACCTCCCTTTATTATTTATTTGTGTTTATACTGCCTGAAATTTCACCAACCTGTGATGTATTGAAACTTTGGGACTGAAATAATGATCTTCTTTAAAAACACAAATATCAGAGTTAGTGATTTCTCAACCTTAATGTGTCTTACTCTGTTCTTCTTACATCAACTGAAATCAACAACATCAATGGGGTAGTACTATGGTTTGGGATCTAGCTTGTTTGACTAAATTTGATCCCCAGTGTGGTGGTGTTAGGAGGTGGGGCCTCGTGGGAGGTGTTGGGTGTGAATCCCTTATGAGTGGCTTGGTGCTGTCCTCACGGTAATGAGTTCTTGCCCTTGAGAGACTGGATTAGTTCTCAGAGAAACAGATTATTTCCTGTGAGAGTGGGTTGTTATAAAGCCTGGATGCCCCTCAGTTTTTCCCATATTTGCATGTGTCTATCTTCTCTGCCATGTTGTGACACAGCATAAAAGTTCTCGCAAAAAGCCAGGGCTGTACCCTTGAATTTTTGAGCCTGCAGAACCAAGAGCTAAATAAACCTCTTTCTGTTATAAATTACCCAGTCTCAGGTATTCTTTTATAGCAATGCAAAATGGACTAAGACAGGGAGAGTGGAAGAGAGGAACAGATGGCATGAAATACTCTGGGGAATTGGATGGGTTATTTGGGACTAAGTCTTCAAAATAGGAGTTTTGATGTGGACAACTTTGGCCTCAGTAAAAGCATAGATGTGTTGCAAAGAGGAAGGATGGGGAAATTGGAGGTTTTCAAGCTGGCCTTAAGCAAGAAAAAGGAGAGAAAACACATCTCCCTCTTGCTTCTTTCTCTAGCACAGGTGTGGCAAACGAGATTGCTGCATTGGCTGTCCAGCATTTATCCTCTCTTGCTTTTTCTTTTTCATTCAGGCATTGACCATTTCCTATACAGTCCAGGAGCTTCAGGGAGAGTGTATACCTTCCCCATTTCCTGATTGGCTTAAGTCAATGAGCACATCCCATCCTAGAGAAAGTGTTTAAAAATGGACATATGACCCAATGTGGGGACAATGAGATTGGTATGTCTGAGAAAGAATCTCCTCTCTGCTTCTGAGAAACCCAGTGGAAGGAAAATTAGCTCTGGACAGTATAGGGTAAGGCTGTGATGTCCCATCCTATTTTAGGTGACATGAAATTTTGCAGGTTGATCTGGAAGCCTAACCAACGTGTATATCTATTTTTTTTTTTTTGAGTCTTGCTCTGTCACACAGGCTGGAGTGCAGTGGCGCAGTGGCACGATCTTGACTCAATGCAACCTCCGCCTCCTGGGTTCAAGCGATTCCCCTGCCTCAGCTTCCTGAGTAGCTGGGATTACAGGCACCTGTCACCATACCTGGCTAATTTTTTGTATTTTTAGTAGAGACTGAGTTTCACCGTAGTAGCCAGGATGGTCTTGATCTCCTGACTTCATGATCCGCCCGCCCTCGGCCTCCCAAAGTGCTGGGATTACAGGCGTGAGCCACCGTGCCCAGCCATGTATATCATTTTTACAGTAGAACATTTTCCTCTTGGGAAAAACAGTTGACTTCAAATAAACTTTTGGAAACCAACCTGTTCATCAATTGGAGAGTAACAGTGGTAATTTTTGAGTAATAAGAGTCATTGATATGTACCAAAGAAGTGAAGAATATTTTTTACAATATTTCAAAAATTTAAAATGACATTGTGTCCTGAAGTGATATATTAGAATTGAAGGGAATATGACACTCTGATTTAAAAATGCAAGAAACTGAAGTAATTTATGAAGTGCTGGCAGCTAGCTTCACATCCCCTCTCACTGCGTGGGCTTAAAATTACTTTGGAGGCTTTGGTGAGAAGCTTTAGTGCATTGTGTTATGAAAGTACCAGGTTCAGGCTCCAACAGCAGGAAGCAAGCGCTGGCCCAGGTCTTGGGAAGAGATCTGCACAGCCTGGTCTTGACATATATAGAGATTAGGTCTTTTTCAGTCCAATCTTGTCCAAGGAAGGGGCCCTAGAACCTCTGAAGGTTGAGATCCATTTGGATCCAGAATGATCTGAAGGGTCTGCTTTAGCTGTGGGTAATCTTCACACTCACATGATAAAGCAATAAAATAATAATAATAGCCAATGGTTTTAGGGTTCTTTACAGTTTGTAAAGTGCTTTTACATGCATTATCTCATTTGTGCTCAGGATAAGTAGGTCCCTGTTCCAGAGAGCAGCAAGCAGGTCATGGAAGCTCACATGTAGTACAAAGGGTCTCACAGCAGAAAAGGGATCTAACGGGCTTTCCTGACTCACAAACTTAAAACTCAATCTTATGAATGAATCCAGATGCCTCCACCATATCTTGCCTTGTGCTTTACCAAAAAAATTGGGACCACCATGTTGAGTTCCTTTATTTTCCATCTTCTACATTTTGATGTATCCTCACAATCATCTGCACTCTTTCCTTTTTCTCTCATCTTAACTGAATGGAAAGATCACCCCCTACTCCCACCTAAAGCTAATAAGTTTGCCCGTGTTAATCCCTCCTGTATCCTTCCTTAGGTCATCTTTTTGTCTTGTCTCCTGCCTCCTTCCTCTTTGTCTACAATGTGTTGACCTCTGCCCTATACTAACAAACAAAGCTTTTATCTGTGGCCACTAGCCTTACCCTTTTGCTTCCTTCCTTTTCTTTCCTTGCTGTTTAGAAAAAAGCAGTCTCTACCTGCAGCCTCACCAAGAATCCTTCTCCCTTCCCCATATATCCAGTCTCTCCCCAAGAGTTGTCAGCCCACTTTTGTTCCTTTAGATTGATTTCTTCTTCATGCCCCAGAAAACCATCCTAATACAAGCCTTTATTACCTCTGTTATGGGCTAAATTGTGTCTCCCCCAAATTCATATGTTGAAATCCTAACCCCAGTATTTCAGAATGTGACTATATTTGGAGACAGGTCTTTAAAGAGATAATTAAGGTAAAATGAGGTCATACAGGCCAGCCCCCAACAGGTATAACTGATGTCCTTATAAAAAGAGGAGATTAGGACACAGACATGCACAGAGAGAAGACCATGTGAGGACACAGTAAGAAGGCGGCCGTCTACAAGCCAAGGAGAGAGGCCTCAGAAGACACCAATCCTGCCAACGCCTTGACCTCAGACTTCCAGCCTCTAAAACTGTGCAATAGTAAATTTCTGTCATTTAAGCCACTCAGTCTGTGGTACTTTGTTAGGGCAGCCCTAGCCCTCTAGTACACCTAATTAGCTGACTAGCCATTTGTTATGCTCCCAGTTCCTTCCCTTCCAATGACAATGTCCTTCTGCATGACCAAGGACAAGAATAATTTTCCCAAGTTGCCATGTTAACCATGTGATTCCCCTTCTCAAAAAGTTCCAATGGCACCCTTCTTACCTGCATAAGTTTGAAGTGCTTCATCCTGACATTTAAGGTGCCCACAATTTTGCTACCATTGTCCTTTCCAGAATCAGATTCTTTAACATCCTACCTGAACTTTCTGCTTCTTTATTTTATTTTATCTATTTTTTTATTTTTTGAGACGGAGTCTCACTCTGTCACCCAGGCTGGAGTGCAGTGGTGTGATCTCAGCTCACTGCAAGCTCCGCCTCCTGGGTTTACGCCATTCTCCTGCCTCAGCCTCCCGAGTAGCTGTGACTACAGGCACCCACCACCACACCCGGCTAATTTTTTGTATTTTTAGTAGAGACGGGGTTTCACTGTATTAGCCAGGATGGTCTCGATCTCCTGACCTCGTGATCCGCCCGCCTCGGCCTCCCAAAGTGCTGGGATTACAGGCGTGAGCCGCCGCGCCCGGCAACTTTCTGCTTCTTTCATATTCACCTCTGCTTCTTCTGTGCACTTCCCGTCCCCGCCACCCCTCCGCATCCCCATTGATGGAATTCTGTCCACATTTCAAGGCCAGGACCAAATGACACCTCCAAAAAGCCTTGCCACAATTTATTTTTCTTCTAAATTACAGAGGACAATAATATGTATTTCACTCACAGGGCATATAATCCACTTTGCCTAATTTTATTGTTATGAACACTCTGGGAATAATTCATCAACTAGACTGTAATCACCTGGAGGACAGAAATGAATATTTTATACTTTTTTTCTTTTTGTATTCTCTCTACTTCTTGCTAGAATGCTTTATACATTGCAAGGGATCCATAACTATTGGTAACAAATTAATAAAACCAAAGTACAGGTTAAAATGAGTATCTATTATTCCCTCCTTCCAAGACAACACAAATGATATTTTGGAAGATATTGAAATGTGGGATCCAGCTCTATATTCTACAATGGTTCTTATTTATTTTTATCTACCTATTGTCTTGGTTTTTTATTTATCTATCTCCTATATCTTACCTATGGATTGTTTTGGTTTGTATTGGTTGTGAAGAAGTGTTAAAATACTGCTCTTCTCTGCTTGGGTTCTCACTTAATTACTTTTGTAATATAGTCATTGCATTATTTGAAGTAAGCAGTTCCTGTATAACTTCCATGACAGAGTGTACTCATATCATGAAGATTAGAAAAATGGATAGCAAACTATTTTTATTATATGAGTTATTAAGGAAAGCGTACCATTGCTTTGTAACTTTTTATTCAGAGAGGCTTTACTTTTGTTTACTGTATTGCTGCATAATTCCCCTGCTCCCTACCCCAACGACACTCCAGAATAGCTATAGCTTTGGCAGTGCTTGCTGGCTACACAAATATATCACTGCAATTGGAAAAATATCACTGGAGGGACAGGTCCAGGTTTGAAAATAGGGCAATTAGCTCTCAGCATGAAAAGGTGTGTCAGATGCTCCTGAAACTGAATGACAGATAATGCTGGCTTGAGCCAGGCATAACACCAAGGGCCGATGGTGTTCACGTAGAATTCCTCCTGACTTGTTTCTGCCAAAAAAGATCACTTCTGAACTGAATTCCACTGCTCACCCCAGGAGAATTTGCCAGTAGGTAGTTGTGCAGACGTGTGTGTATATATGGGGTCAAACATTCATGATCTCTCATTGTTTTCTTCATTATTATGAGGAATTCTGCTGCACAAATCATATGTTACTCTTCAGAACAAACCATCATGGTAGACAGTTGGTGTCTGCATCATCAATAGTCCCTTCCTTTGGAAGACTGCCTTGCCCCAGTTCCTGCTGATTTGCCCCAGCTCCTGTTGATTTGCCCCAGCTCCTGTTGATTCTGGGTTTGTGGTGGGGATTCCAATCATATTCCTGAACACCCGACTAACCGCCCTGCAAAATCCTAACACCAGCCTCACACCTGATGACAGGTCAAAGTAGGGAAATGTCACCCAAGCTGGGCCAATGAGAATTGGCCCTGGGAATTCTCTATACTGAAGCAGGAGTGAGCGGCTCTTTCCTCTGGGGTTGCTACTCTTGACAGGACATAAGCCTGGTTTTAGCAGTACCCCATGACAAATAGATCTAATCTGTTTGGATTAGGGTGAGGGAAAGAAGCCAATTTACGAAGATAAGCAAAGATAGACTGGGAGAGAGAGAGAGAGAGAGAAAACGGTGACATTTGCCTCACTGTACCCACCTTTCCCTAAGACCATCTCTCCAACTATCTCCTCAGTCACATGCGTGGACAAATCCTCTTTTCTTCATTTCCATATTAGCCTAAAGAGCTAGATTCTGGAGAAGAGGGTGGTGGTGGTGATGGGCTGTGGAAAGGTGGGGCACCACCTTGCAGTGAGTATCAGCCCTTTGCTTGGATGTGCCAGGAAAGGTTAACAGGGGGTCTGGAGTGGTCCCGTGGTGTCCTGGGTCAGTCTCATGTGAGCTGGGCTACCAGGTAGGACAGCCACAGTGGCTGGCTGTGCATGGCTTTCTAGCATATAGCTTCTATTCCCGATTCTTTCAATCTAGCCAAGGAGATAAGACTTAACACTCCAAGTAATAGAGAACAATCGGGGCATGCTGGTCAGTCCTCCAGCATTCACAGCATGCCCATTGATGCTGCAGGGCTGTGGAGATGAGGGACAGGTGAACTTGTAGAGTCACTGGGCTGTCACTTCGTCTTGTAGGTCCTTGATCATGGACCAGCCTGAAGGCTGACTAGAGTTGGTTCTCAAATGGAATCCCAACTGTTTAGGTGACAGGATAAAGCTATTATTCTCTTGACCCTTTAGAATTAGAATAGCTCGCAGTGTTTGATTCCTACTTTTCTTGAAGGTTCTTCTTTTTGTCTTACTCTGTAATTTTCCCAAGGATTATTAGGGTGACACCAAAAGTGCAGGGCAGACTCTGTGCTACTCCTGGTTTTGGCCAAACAGGGCACCTCTCTCTCACACTGTAGAGAAAAGTGTGTCTGCGGCCGGGAGCAGTGGCTCACGCCTGTAATCCCAGCACTTTGGGAGGCCAAGGTGGGTGGATCACGAGGTCAGGAGTTCGAGACCAGCCTGACCAACATGGTGAAACCCCGTCTCTACAAAAGATGCAAAAAAGGTAGCCAGGTGTGGTGGCAGGTGCCTGTAATCCCAGCTAGTCAGGGGGCTGAGGCAGGGGAATTGCTTGAACCAGGGATATGGAGGTTGCAGTGAGCCGAGATCATGCTACTGCACTCCAGCCTGGGTGACAGAGTGAGACTCCATCACACACACAAAAAAAAATTGTGTCTGCTTCCCATGAGGTCAAACGGGGGATGCTGATACTTGTTCTACCTACCTCACAGTATTATTGTGACAACCAATGAGGCAGTCCATGAGATAGCACTAAAGAAGAGCAAATAGCATAAAAAGTATTATCCATTGATGCCTCTCAGCTCCAACACCAGACACTTTACCCAAATCAAAGAATTATAACCTTGCAAATTTGCTCTGCATGGTTCAGCATGGTCCTTTCTCAGAAATGCCAGGACCAGATGGATGAGGTGGCCTCCATCCAGCCACTGTCATGGCCGATGATCTTGACAGGTCCTTTGACTTTTCAGTATTTACTCTGAAAGAACTTATGCAAGAAATCATAAATGAGACACTATAATAAAGCATTTGTTTAACTCTCTCCAATGTATAAAACTTTTATATTTACAAACTCACAAGATAATGCATCTTTAAAACAGATTAAAACTTTTTTAAAAAGATAAAGAGGGGGAAATAGAGCAGAGAGAAAAAGCATATCTGTGGCAAGCACTCTTCAAAACAATTTAAAGTCTCAGGGACTAAATTCTTTCCCTACATTATCAGGAACCCCTGGGAAGACAGAATTGATGTGGCCACCTCAATCCATCCCATGTGGGTACTTACATCTGGAGTGAAATAGTGAACAGCTTTTAAAGAGATGAATCCTCATTTCAGGAATGAATATTAAATTTCACATTTCATAAAAGTCTTGAGCCAGATCTACTACATGAAAAGTGACTCTCAGTTATTGTCATCTGCAATGAAAGAGGGAACCCTCCACTTGTTTCTTATTTGCATTGCCTGGATCATATTGGCAAAAAAAAAAAAAGCCATTTTCTCCTCATTTTCACCTCAGCTGTCCCTTGTATACTAAAGACACTATAAGGATATTTTAAACTCTGGCAGGGCAAAGAGGTCTCTGCATCTCTCATCTCTCAATATTTATCTAAATCTAACTTTGGTCATCAAGAAATGTATAGAATATGGTCTCCTGAGCTTCTTAAAACTTGTCTACCTAGTAAATGTGGTAAAATAAGACTAACCCTGTTGAATAAAGTGACTTTATGGTGGGGTATGCCTTTTTGTCTATATTTCCTCCCATCCTCAGAATGAATATGGGTTTGCTCAGGAAAACAAAGACCATTCTAGTTAGGTCAAGCAGGAAGGGATTTCATGGAGGGGCCTGGGTGCTTATCACACTATTGGAAGTCTAAAGGAGCAACAATCTAGGGGCCACCATGACATTCAGGTTTGCTGTTAGAGTTAAGAGTTGATGTTGCCTAGAGTGGATGAAACTAGAGACAATTGCTACAGAGTTCACAGACCCTCTGTAGACATGACATAAACAAGATGTCGAGGCTGAGGCTGCTGAATAACTCCTGTCTGGCGAGAGCATGACCATAACTTCCAGAGAAAGAGACAAAACAGGGCTTCTGTCACGCTTCCACTTTCCAAATATCAAGTGAGTTTATCTCATTGATAGGATTAAAGATGTATGCAAAGCACCTGTAGCAAGGGAGAAGGGGAAATGTCGTTTTCAAGCTTCTGGGCTGTGAAGCATAAGAAAAAGCAGAAGGCAATATATTGCCAAAGATAAACCAGACATAACCTTCATCTTAAATATTTCTGGTCTGGTGGCCAGGCACGGTGGCTCACGCCTGTAATCTCAGCACTTTGGGAGGCCGAGGTGGGAGGATCACGAGGTCAGGAGATCGACACCACGGTGAAACCCTGTCTCTACTAAAAATACAAAAAATTAGCTGGGCGTGGTGGCGGGCACCTGTAGTCCCAGCTACTTGGGAGGCTGAGGCAGGAGAGTGGTGTGAACCTGGAAGGCGGAGCTTGCAGTGAGCCAAGATGGTGCCACTGCACTCCAGCCTGGAAGACAGAGGGAGACTCTGTCTCAAAAAAAAAAAATTCTGGTCTGGTATCTTTCCTTCACCAACCACCCACCTTCCTGTCTCTCTCAGCCACTGTAGGCTTCAGGTTGGTCTTGCCCATTGTTGCTTGTTGTCCAATGCATTTCTTAGATAAAAGGCAGTGGCCACGTAGTCTTCAAAATAATTTCCCGTTCACTTCCGTTTTTTCTCCTTTGGACCTCAACCTTCCCAATCCCTTCTACCTCTACTTTCCCCAAATTTAGAAAAAATGCAGGCCAGGTGTGGTGGCTTACGCTTGTAATCCTAGCAACTTGGGAGGTCAAGGCAGTTGGATCACCTGAGGTCAGGAGTTCGAGACCAGCCTGGCCAACATGGTGAAACCCTGTCTCAACTAAATATACAAAAATTAGCTAGGAAACCCTGTCTCTACTAAAAATACAAAAATTAGCTGGGCGTGGTGGCGGGCACCTGTAATCCCAGGCTGAGGCAGGGGAATCGCTTGAACCCAGGAGGCGGAGGTTGCAGTGAGCCGAGATTGTGCCATTGCACTCCACCGTGGGCAACAGAGTGAGATTCCATCTCAAAAAAATAAAGAAAAAATGCAGGCCAGCCTCGGTGGCTCACGCCTGTAATCCCAGCACTTTGGGAGGCTGAGGTGGGTGGATCACCTGAAGTCAGGAGTTCAAGACCAGCCTGGCAAACATGGCGAAACTCCGTCTCTACTAAAAATACAAAAATTAGTTGGGGATGGTGGCACAGGCCTGTAATCCCAGCTACTCGGGAGGCTGAGGCACCCAGGAGGCGGAGGCTGCAGTGAGCCAAGATCATGCCACTGCACTCCAGCCTAGGTGACAGAGAAAGACTGTCTCAAAAAAAAGAAAGAAAAAGAAAAGAAAAAAATGCATAAGTAAACATCCTATCAAAGAATGGAAATGCCAATACCTATGAAATTGATTAGATTTAACAAGGAAGATGTTACCATCATGATGAAAGCTGTTGAAAAGCATAGTAGCTAGGTCTAGTTTAAAAGTGCATTAATTCAACGCAACATGTACATTTTCATGCAACAAAAGACCCACAGTGGCATTTTGACATGCTTCCCTCCCCTTGGATCCGATTTGTATGAAAAGTAAAACCATACTAAGAGACCATGAAGATGTCATGGGTGCGGGGGCTGTGACAAGATAGAGTGAGGAAATTTTATAAGGAACTTCTGGCAAAAGAGAGGAAATAAGCTGTGCTATGGTGTGACCTTTAGTGAAATTTTATGTCACATTTGAGCAATAAAAGGAAATGAGTCAACCGACTCCCTTCTCCCGTCTAGGCTGGGAGCCATGTGCTGAGGACCAATACTCCAGTCCCACTCGCTCCCTCTCCCGCCACTGCTAGGCTGGGTCACAGCCCAGGGGGGTGAGAATGCGGTTCTGTGAGTGTGCCAGGGACTCAACTATTGTCTCAGGGCTCCAAATCCCGTCCGCGCTCTGCCCTCTGAGGGTGGGGTTGAACTGTGAGCCACATCCTTGCTGTGCCTCCAGCTTCCTGTCAGGCTGTGCCAGTGGAAGGTGCTAGAAGGAACTGGTAAGGAGGGGAGCAAGGAGGGACTTGATTTTCCTGTCCATTCCCCATTCTTGAGTGTTCACACTCCCTCCCAGCCGTGTCAGTCCCTCACCATAGCAGCAGCTGAATCCAGTTTGCAGTGTTCCTAACACTCACAGAACCAACCTCATCACACACACCCGGAGACCGGCAGCAGCTGAGCAGCTCTGCGGGCCCCTGAGCTTTTAGGTCCTGGTGTCTCCAGCCTCAGGGGTGGCAGCCGCTCCCTGCTGTTACCTCCTCCCTGGCATCCACCATTATCCTTTTGTTTTTTTAGTTCCCCAGCTTCAACCGAATGCATGGTTTACAATTCTTTATTATTACATTGTCTCTCTTCAGATAACTGGTGTGGCTTCTGTTCCCTGGCTGAACGCTGGCTGATACCATAAACAAAATGGAGTTTTTGGAATAGTGGAGGCTTTGCATGAGTATTTGCTGAATGAATGAGTGAGTGAAGGAGTGAGTGAGCCAGTGCTCCCACTGCTGTCTGTAGCTGTCCATGCCCTTTGCACCTCGCAGGAGGAAACCAAGGCGCAGCTTAGAGCCCTCAGCCTCAGACTCAGCCTCCCTCGCCTTGTTGCCGCGACTTTCATCCAGCTTTGGGGCTCCCTCCTGTGGGCTCTGCTGGTCTCAGACAGGGCAGCAGACACAGTCTGGGCACCCCAGGGTAAACATAGCCCCGGCCAGATGCGCCCTTGTGTCTGCACGAGGCCACTTGGAGCTAACGGGGAGGGCCAGTCGAGCTCTGCGTGTAAAACACAGCGTTTCTGTTGTTTCTGCCAGGCCTTCACATACAGCTCCCAAACTCCGGCAAATCTCAAACGTAAATACCCTGCTCTAGGAAAGAAAGTAGCCAGGGGGAGAAGTCTGGTTGACTATTACCCAATTGAAGTCCCACAGTAGGAAGTAAATGAACCTGATTAAAGAAAATGGAGTACATTTCTGGCTTGGCAGAGAAAAAAATATATAAATAAATTTTTATATGGGCCTGAAATTTTCCCTTGTTACTTACTTAGGGGCTGGAATCCTAAAACGAGAGTGCCACCTGCTGACCATCGTCAGACTCCGATCCGAGCGTCGCGGGTATTTCAAGGCAGGTGCCCTGAGTGGCACAATGGGGGCCAAAGCATTCTATGTGAACACCGCACAAAGGATTCTAGGCGTGACTGCCGTGGCCATGTAGTTTCCACAGGGTGTTTGGCGCTGCCCAGAGTATGTGGACTTGTTACCTGTCCAGCACCAGGCACTCCTCTGTAAAAGTGCCTCTGTGAGGCCGGGCCCGGTGGCTCACGCCTGTAATCCCAGCACTTTGGGAGGCCCAGGCGGGCGGATCACCTGAGATCAGGAGTGGGAGACCAGCCTGGCCAACATGGTGAAACACTGACTCTACTAAAAATACAAAAATTAGCCGGCATCGTGGGGTGCGCCTGTAATCCCAGCTACCCAGGAGGCTGAGGCAGGAGAATCACTGGAATCCGGGAGGCAGAGGCTGCAGTGAGCCAAGATCGCACCACTGCACTCCAGCCAGGGCGACAGAGCAAGACTCTGAAAGAAAAAAAAAAAAAAAAAGGCCAGGCGCGGTGGCTCACGCCTATAATCCCAGCACTTTGGGAGGCCGAGACGTGTGGATCACGAGGTCAGGAGATCGAGACCATCCTGGCTAAAATGGTGAAACCCCGTCTCTACTAAAAATACAAAAAATTAGCCAGCGTCGTGGCAGGCGCCTGTAATCCCAGCTACCCAGGAGGCTGAGGCAGGAGAATCGCTGGAACCCGGGAGGCAGAGGCTGCAGTGAGCCGAGATCGCACCACTGCACTCCAGCCAGGGCAACAGAGCAAGACTCCGGAAAAAAAAGAAAAAAAAAGTGCCTCCGTGGAACATCTGGAGTATCCCTGCTTTCTGACAAAACTCTTGGCAGATGAAACTGAAACGGCACAGTTCATGAGTGGAAATAAGTGATTATGGCTTTGGATTAGATACAATAAGTAGATTAAAGAACCTGTGCCAGGGAACCATAGTGTGGTAGAGCCAGAAGGAAGCCTTCGAATATTCTTTGTGAGAAAGCCATAGTGAGCCTTATTTTTCAAAATAATTTCAACCTTTATTTTATACGCAAGGGGTACAAGTGCAGGTTTGTTACCGGGGTATATTGTGTGATGCTGAGGTTTGGAGTATGAATGATCCCATTACCCAGGGACTGAGCACAGTGCCCATTAGGTAGTTTTTCAGTCATTACGCCCTTCTGTCCCTCCCCACTCTTGCAGTCCCCAGTGTTGACTGTTCCCTTCTTTATGTCCGTGAGTACTCAATGTTTGGCTCCCACTTATTATTTTTTTTTTTTTGAGACTGAGTGTCACTCTGTCACCCAAGCTGGAGTGCAATGGACTCCACTCACTGCAACCTCTACCTCCCGATTTTAAGCGATTATCCTGCCTCAGCCTCCTGAGTAGTTGGGACTACATGCGCCCACCACCACGCCCAGTTAATGTCTGTATTTTTAGTAGAGATGGGGTTTCATTGTGTTGGCCAGTCTGATCTCGAACTCCTGACCTCAAGTGACCCACCTGCCTCGGCCTCCCAAAATGCTGGGATTGCAGGCATGAGCCACCGCGCCTGGCCTTGGCTCCCACTTATAAGTGAGAACATGTGGTATTTGCTTACGTTTCTGCATTAATTTGCTCAGGATAATGGCCTCCAGCTGCATCCATGTTGCTACAAAGGACATGATTTTGTTCTCTTTATGGCTATATAGTATTCCACAGTGTACATGTACACATTCCACATTTTTTTTAATCCTATCCATTGTGAATGACCATCTGGCTTGATTCCATGTCTTTGATATTGTGGATAGTGACCATGAATCTTATGAATGAGGGCAGTGGTTGACAGTTTGTAGTTGCCATTTTAGGGTATTGGAAAGGATGGTCCCATGTAAGAGCTTTGAAACTACTGGTGATGATGAGGATGATGATGATGGTGATAATAAATAGTGCTTGTTAGCCCCCTCCCTGAGGGGAGGTGAGACACATTTCCCAGTCAGTTTCCGAAACCCCCAATAAAAAATGTAGTACTTCTAGACAAAATTAAATGAGGATTAAAATGCAAATATGCCACAGAACAGAAAAAAACATAGACTCATTTGTGTAACTCCAAAGAGCAAAGTGTTTGCAATTAAATGACTTCCTGAAACAAGTTTTGGAGTGGTGCATGTGTGTGAGGACTGTCTGGCCTGGGTGAGCTAGAGATGAAAACCTGAAAAGGAATCGGGGGTGGGGATTTATTCCAAAGGCCAAAGGAAACACAAAAGGCTGGAGCGGCGCTTGACAGAGTCCTCCTGGCCATGACGTGATCACCATGGCTGATCTCAGATACATGCCGTGGGACGCTAGAACATGACTTTGCTTTCCTGCCAACTCAGCTCTTCTGCTGCCTGGCCTGGGAGAGTGTGAGGAGGGGTCTGTGAAAGCCACAGTCTTGCTTACAAACCAATAATACATAGAATCTCCAGGATAACATAATACCATGGTCTCCAAAGTATAGGATCATTCTCTGTTAAGTTTTCTTTTCAACTTTTTACTGCTTTATATTTATTTCATTGGAACTTATTCAGTATTGACATTGTTTGGACATTTTTCTTCTCCAGATCTCATGTTGAAATGTTATCTCTAATGTTGGAGGTGGGTCTTGTTGGAGGTGTTTGGCTCATGGGGGGCAGATCCCCAGTGAATGGCTGGTTGCCATCCCCGTGGTGATGAGTGAGTTCTCACTCTATTAGCTCGCGTGACAGCTGGTTGTTAAAGGGATACTGGAACCTCCCTCCCCTCTCTCTGTCTTGCTCCCTCTCTCACTATGTGACACGCCCACTCCCATCTTCTGCCATGAGTAAAAGCTTCCTGAGGCCTCACCAGAATCAGAAGCTGGTACCACATTTCTTGTACAGTCTGCAGAAAGAACTGTGAGCCAAATAAACCTCTTTTCTTTATAAATTACCCATCCTTGGGTATTCCTTTATAGCAACACAAAATGGATGAATGCAACAACTTTCTGGTAGGTATGTGATTTACCTGCTGTCCTACCACCAATTAAATTATATATATATATATATATATATATATACCACCAATTAAATATATATATATATATACATATAGCCCACATGTACTCATGCCATCTCTCTCTATCTACCATAAAATTCGTGAGTCTCTATTGATTGACACATAAGCAGAATCAAGTGATATTCACAGCAAGACACCACAGGAGCTTAAGGTGCTTCTGAATCATCAATGATTGGATTACATTCAGTGAAATTTTAGTGTCAAGTCTATTTTCTTGTGTTCTAATATTCTAAAATTGAACATCCACATTGCCAAATGTGACATTTGGTGACTCACTGTCAGCAAGGATATCAATTGACCAGCATTCCTCTTCAAGTGTGCCTACAGCTCATTGCAAGAGGGGGAAAATCAAATCAAATTAGTTCCTTTGTGGATATAACATTTTCACTTCAATAATAATTGAAGGCTTTCTGGGCAAGAGAAATATATCTTAAGGTAAAATCTCAAAAAAATTTAAGAATATCAAAGCATGTCAGTCATAATAGATATTTTTGTAACAATGATAACATTTTGACTTAGCAAAATTATATGGAGAGCCTACGGTACCTGACTTTGTGCTCCTCATCAGCAACATGGGGGAGAAAGAGTGGCTAAGATGTGGTCTTTCCTCCTCTGGGTACATTGTCAAAAACTGCCTCCTTCTGCAATCTCTCCATCCCATATTACTAACTATACCATTCACCCTGATTTATTTCTCCCCATAGCAGTAAATACTATCTGAAGTAATATATGATTGTTTACAAAGCAAAATAATGTAACACACCACTATTATGCATTTCTTCCTTATTGGTTTTCTTTCTCTCCTGGGAGAACACAAGGTCCATGAGAGAAGAGACTTTGTGTCATTTTGTGCTGAGTCCTCAGTGATGGGAAATAAGGTAAGTGTTCAATAATTATTCGTTGATGCCGGAATGATGATTGAACAAATCTATGTCAATACATATTTTAGTTTTTTTATACTGGGTAACTTTTTTATTTCGTATAAACCCAGATGTTTCTGATTTATGCAAAACAATTATTAAAATTTAGTAGGTACTTTAATTGTTATGCATAACACATTTATAAAAATGAAACATTTTGTAAGCCGTATATATCTTCCTAATTCATTCATTTCCTACCAAATTATGTGTCTCACATTATTAAACACATCCCTTGGGCAACCATCTTTTCCTTTGTAGTCATTGCAGTCATTTCACATTAAGATATATAAACTGCAGAAATATCATTAATTTGAAACAGGTCAGGTCCCGGACATTTATGGTAAGTGATCTACTGTGCAACCATTTACCGAGTGAATACTGTAAGCCAGGCAAGGGCCAGCACTTTGCATATGTTCAATTTTAACTGCATAAAAACTCTAAAAATAAATAATATCTGCATTTTGCAGATAAGAAAATGGAGACTTAGACCAGCTTAGTAATACACCTAAAATTTAACCTTGAATCAATGTTAGATCCTGGGTCAAACTTTTCTGAGTCCCATATCTAAGCTTTTCTATGAATATGATCATCCACATGGACACTTTTTTTATATAAAACAATAACAATAAAAAGTGTTGAAGTCTTTTCTCACATAAAAATAGAACACTGTTGTTTGTACAGACCATTAACATCGGCTTAGTCATAAAACTGACATTTTCTGCCATTGATTAGATATTTAAATAATTCATGACTGAGGCCTTCTTTAATTGGTAATTCAGGCAGGACAGGGCAGAGTAGATCACTATGAGTTCAGGGGTGCTGTGAACTCAGAAGTGTTATGAGTGCAGAGGTGCTATGACATCAGCAGTACAAAGAGATCAGGAATGCTGAATTTAGGGGTATCTTGAGCTCAGGGGTGCTATGTATTCAGGAGTGCTATGAGTTTAGGGGTACAATGAGTTTAGAAGTACCAGCTGAAGGGTGCTATGAGTCTAGGGGTGCTATGATTTTGGACAACTACGAGCTCCGTGATGTTATGAACTTAGGGATACTATGAGTTCAGGGGCACAATGAGTTCAAGGTGTTATGAGCTCATGTGAGGGCCACATTATAGCTTGTATGAACCCTAGGTATTTTTGCCTTTGTGTGACTTTCTCCATAGCAAGTATTAAAAATGATATTGTACAACTGTGTTGGTATAAAGATTAACAAAAAACAAGCTAGATTCACTCTTATATATTCATTATTATCCTATTCATTTCTCTTCTGATATTAAAATAAATTATAATTTAAACATTTTCATGGGCACTTAAAAGTATTGTGGGACCTGGGCCCTGTGCCTGCTGTCGGCCCCGATGCCTGGGGCTAGGCAGTGTGCCCGACACACGTGTATGCTCTCCACTTTCTCAATTTCAACTGCTAGAAAGTTACGCATTCAAATCATATGCCCATTAAGGTAAAATAGCATTAGAAGAATTGACCTTAGGTTAGTATTTTATATGCCATTTAAATTGACAAGAGCAGACATCCGTGTCTGTGTTCTCTGATGAAGGCAGGGATGCTGGGGAACACAGGCTGATCTTGGGGAGGGTCCTGCTGATCCAGCTCTTTGGGGAGACACTGCAGACCCCTCCCCTTCCCACAGTGGTACCTGGGACTTGCCTCGGCGATATCCTGCATTATCTGTCTGCACATCTGGCGCTTCCGCCATCTTCTGTGGTCGTTATGTTGTCTGTTTTCTCTACATATAACAACATACGTTCTTCTAAAAAACAGCATATTTTGGCCCACTTCCTTTCATTCTTTTTCCTAGCATCCATGCACACATGCGTGCACATGCGCACGTATTAACATCAGAACCGTGCTGTGCATATGGGTTAAGTTATGCACATTTCCCCTTGTCCTTAAAATGTACAGCTTTTATGGCTCTTCCCTAAGTCCGTGTTTTCAGTTTTCTGTTAACACACTAGACTTTACCTGCTTAAATATTTTCCAAAGATTTGGAAGTCATGTCCTATTTTAAGTCTAACAATAAGTTACTTTTTTTTATTTGAGATGGAGTCTCGCTCTGTTGCCCAGGCTGGAGTGCAGTGGTACAATCTCAGCTCACTGCAAACTCCGCCTCCCGGGTTCAAGTGATTCTCCTGTCTCAGCCTCCCTAGTAGCTGGGATTAGAGGCATGCACCACCATGCCCGGCTAATTTTTGTATTTTTAGTAGAGATGGAGTTTTGCCATGTTGGCCAGGCTGGCCTTGAACTCCTCAGGTGATCCGCCCCCCTCTGCCTCCCAAAGTGCTGGGAATACAGGCGTGAGCCACCTCACAGGGCCAATAAGTTACTTTTTTTTTTTTTTTTTTAAGACAGAGTCCCATTTGTTGTCCAGGCTGGAGTGCAGTGGCGCAATCTTGGCTCACTGCAGCCTCCAGCTCCCGGGTTCAAGCAATTCTCCCGCCTCAGCCTCCCGAGTAACTGGGACCACAGGTGCACAGGGCCATGCCCAGCTAATTTTTGTATTTTTAGTAGAGACAGGGTTTCACCATGTTGGCCAGGATGGTCTTGATCTCCTGACCTCATGATCTGCCCCCATCGGCTTCCCAAAGTGCTGGGATTACAGGCATGAACCACCTTGCCTGGCCATTAAGTTACTTTTAAGCTATAAGAACACTACCAGACATATGTTTCTCTAAGTACCAGAATAAAATCATGACATGGTAACCACTGTGCACCCCACATAAGATGGGGTTAGCATTGCTTTAATTCAACATCACCTCCCACATCCCAGACTTTATTAATAAAATCTGGAGTTTGAGACCAGTTTGTTCTTACTAAATTACCATTTTTCTATTAAATATAATTCCATATTAAATTTGAGATTGTCAGTACATTTTAAAACTAAATTTATAACAGAATAGGTTTTATGATATATTTAGTAGATTTCATTATTCACTATTAGTCCTTTTATATAAAAATTATCCATTTGTTAACAGTGGTTAATTGCTTAGTTGGCTCTAGGTCATCTAAAACAATTTTTACCAGAATAGCACATTCGTGCCTATTTCTTGAACCTTGCATATTCAAAAATATCTTTCTGTAGCCTTCACATGAAAAATAACTCAACTGGGCATATATTTTGGGCTTGCAACTATTTTCCTTCAAAACAGCAAATGTTCCTTCATCAGATTCTGGTATTTAATGATTCCCCGAGGCCGTCCTAATTTCTGAACTTCTGTAGGTAACCTATTTTTGCTGCCTGAATGCTTGTTGGGTTTTGAGTTTTCTTTTCTTTTTTTTTTTTGAGACGGAGTCTCTCTCTGTCCCCCAGGCTGGAGTGCAGTGGCGCGATCTCCGCTCACTGCAAGTTCCGCCTCTTGGGTTCAAGCCATTCTCCTGCCTCAGCCTCCCGAGTAGCTGGGACTACAGGCGCCCACCACTACGCCGTGCTAATTTTTTGTATTTTTAGTAGATACGGGGTTTCACCATGTTAGCCAGGATGGTCTCGATCTCCTGACCTCGTGATCCGCCTGCCTTGGCCTCCCAAAGGGCTGGGATTACAGGCGTGAGCCACCGCGCCCGGCCTGGGTCTTGTTTTCTTGATCCTCAGAATTCAAAAATATAACCACTTCTCGTGTCATTGATGTCTCATCCTGGTAACCTCCTTCTAATTGCACTCAGGTCGTTTTTTCAGCCTAGGCTCAGGAAAGGCCCAACCACCCCCATATCCACCTCACCCTCACCCTCCCACCATGATGTCTTTGGTGACCATTCCATCCATCTGTTCTACTTGACTTTCTTCCTGGGGAACAGCCCTAACTTCTTTCTGTCTCTGTTCCTCCTTTTATGCGTGTTCACTGTTCACCAGATGCCATATGTCATGCTGAATTCCCATATATATTTGTTGCTGTCCCAACTGTGGTACTCTGAGGAGATATTGTTATCCCTGCACTGCAGATGGAAGCCTTGCCCAGGTCCGCACATGTTGTAAGTGCTGGGGTTGAGCTTCAAGTCTGCGTGAGACACTGAATCTCATGCCCTTTCACCCCAATGCTGTATTTTCTTTTTTTCTGTCCATCCCACCATTTCCACGTGATTTCCTTTCCTCTCCATTCTCAGAGAGAGTCTCAGGTTTGTCTCCCTCACTAAGGATCAGATTTTCCAAGGTGTCATTTCTGATTTACCATCCCCACATGGATTAATTCAGCATTGAATTTCTCGTTTCCTTTAATACTTTCTTATTTTACTTATCTCGATTTTCTTTATCTGGGCTGCTTCCATATCAGTCTATTCTCCCTTTGACATTTTGTTCCATTTCAAAAAGGCAATTTGATTTTTTATCTAAGGATGATCATTGTTTCCTAAAATGTGTTTTAGGTTTTTTTTTTTTTTTTTTTTAGAAAAACATTGTTTCCAGTGAAATTTTAGCACGAGGCTGACTTTATCAGGACCATATGATTTTTTCAAAGACTACTCCTTTTTCTTGTTTCCTTGTCCAAGAAGGCAGAGCTCTACCCAGCACAAGAGAACAAGCACACTGTGTGTCCCCACCCCCACCCTTCCCAAGTGGCTGTCCCAGGAAGAGCTGGGGGACACACACAACTTTTCTGTCACTAGGAAGCCTACTGCTGGAATGTCTTTGCTAATCTATGAAGGGAGCTTTTCCTGTCTTTGCTGTCTGACCTTCTGACCCTTTGTAAAATTTGAGGATCTGAGAAATAACAACCTTGCAGCTGCCTAGACGCCAAGGCTCTTCCGGACTCTGTCCCCATTCATGGTGCTTTATTTGGGCCACTACACTACCCAGAACGAGCCTCCTCCAGAAGCTCCAGAATTATCTAGCTCAATCTAACAGCAGAAGTAGCTATCTGGGGAGGACGAATCTGACTGTGTCAAAAAGTAGCACCTAGAGAGTCGAGGCATGACATGTTCTGGTTTTACAGTTGATGAGGCTCTGACCCGGTGTGGAGCATGGAGAGGGATGGAAGCCAGTTGACCCATTCCTGAGGCCAGACCTGCATTGTCCACTGAGTGACATTAGCTCTACAGCTTGTGGAAGGTCTTCCCAAACTCTGGTAAGAGATTGGCTGTCAGTCCTAGTTTTAAGAGTTCCAAATATATTCTTTTCTTATAAATGGGCATTGAGGGAGACTGAATCAGGAGCTGCTAGCCAGGTGACCTTTTAAATTAGAAATCTTAGGCCAGGCGCAGTGGCTCATGTTTGTAATCACAGCACTTTGGAGGCCAAGGAGGGCGGATCACTGGAGGTCAGGAGTTCGAGACCAGCCTGGCCAAAATGGTGAAACCCTATCTCTACTAAAACTATAAAAAAAAATAGCAGGGCATGGTGGCACATGCCTGTAGTCCCAGCTACTTGGGAGGCTGAGACAGGAGAATCTCTTGAACCCAGAGGCAGAGGTTGCAGCAAGCCAAGATTACACCACTGCACTCTAGCCTGGGCAACAGAGCTAGACTCCATCTCAAAAAAAAAAAAAAAAGGCTGGGTGCCATGGCTCATGCCTGTAGTCCCAGCACTTTGGGAGGCTGAGGTGGGCAGATCATGAGGTCAGGAGTTTGAGACCAGCCTGGCCAACATGGTGAAACCCCGTCTCTACTAAAGATATAAAAAATTAGCCAGGCATGGTGGCACATGCCTGTATTCCCAGCTACTCGGGCGGCTGAGGCAGGAGAATCACTTGAATCCGGGAGGCGGAGGTTGCAGTGAGCCGAGATTGCAACATTGCACTCCAGCCTGGGTGACAGGGCAAGACTCCATTTCAAAAACAAAACAAAACAAAATTAGAAACCTTAGGCCAGGTGCGGTTGCTCATGCCTGTAATCCCAGCACTTTGGTAGGCAGAGGTGGGAGGATTGCTTGACCCCAGAAGTTCGAGGCCAGCTTGGGCAATCTGGTGAGACCCCGTCTCTACAAAAAACTTAAAAATTACCTGGGTGTGGTGGCACACACCTTTAGTCCAAGCTACTTGGGAGGCTGAGGCAGGAGGATTGCTTGAGCCCAGGAGTTAGAAGTTACAGTGAGCTATGATCATGCCACCACGTTCCATCCTGAGTGACAGAGTGAGACTCTTGTCTCTAAATTTAAAAAATAATAATAATAACAAAATAAAATAAAAAATAAATTAGAAACCCTCTGACATTTTCCTTCCTCCAACATAAAATATCACTGAATCACTGGATAACTTCAAGATAACATTGAAAGTTTTAACTATCTAATCAATAAATGGATAAAAGGGAATGATAATGATGTCCTCAATGTGCCTACTGCACTGTATGACTATTCAGTCTTAGCCTATCCATAGCTGGGACACCCACTTTGTAAAGCAAATCCAGGGACAACCTAATGTTGTGCTTCTCTTGTTCCTGGCCCTTCTCAAGATTCCAGGATGACCCATTCAAAACTCAGAAACCTCTGCTTAACAAGAAGACCCTCATCCTGGCACTACAGCACTAAAATCAAGCACTGTTCCAGAGACCACACCAAGCTCCCCTCTGAGGACCATGTTAAGTCTAGCGGGAACAGGGACCTGAAGATTCCCTATATCCCCCAGTGTAACTGGGTTCATTCAAGATATCTGAGTATTGGGTGGGGAGTGAGGTTATAGGAAGTAGCAGAACTCCTCACTGGATTTTTTATTTGAGTTAAATGCATTATTTCAACAACAATAACACCAAAACTTCTCAACTGCTGAGAGGACCAGTTGTGACAATGAGCTACTACTTAAAAATCTGCAAGGTTTTATTGTCAGTTTCAGCAGCTCTTATCAAACATTCTGGATACTTAAAACCAAATGATGAGGTCTGGCTGGCCTGGGCCTTCACTGCTGCCTGGCCACTGCTCCCCAGCATGAGGCTGGGGCTTCCCTGTGGTCCCCCATGTCTGCACTGTTGGAGAGTAGAGGACGGTCACCCCAGCTCTTTCATTTCTGTCTGCCAGGTGTGAGATGGCTCCTCTGAGTCACTGTCAGGACAGGCTCCTGCAAACCCTTCTACTGGACTGACCTGAAACCCTTAGGGCAGCCCAGCTCTCACGCATTGTGCCCTGGGGTCAAGGACTTGGATTCTTGACATGTTGGGCCTCAGACAGTTTCTGGGAAGAGCATGGCCTTTGGGAGCAATAAATCCTAGGTTAAAAATCCTAGCTCTGACATTTACTCATAGCTACCAAGTTACATGGTCATTCTCAGCCTCCGATTCCTCATGTATCAATTGGGGGAATGTGACAATTTAGTGAAGAAATAGATGCAAAGTGTGGAATTGCATCCCTCTCCGCCTGGCTGTTGACATAACTAGGACTACAAGTCTAGCCAAATGGCCAACTGGGTAGGACTATGATCACCCATATTCTTTCCCCTGCCCTGAAAATTTTCTGGCAGGAAAAAAACTATCAAACATGACTTCCAACACCAGCCCCCAATACTTCTTTCCATGTCTTTTATGATTAGGGAGGGTTGGGAGTTAATGAGCTGTTTGTGGGCCTTCAACAGAAATCATTCCCAAATAGCTTGGGAAGCAGGTTCCTGTTGGCATCTGTGAGTAACTCTGGGCGATAAAGAGCTTTTGAGGTGTCATGGGCTATGAACCTGGTACGAGTTCTTTCTGATCAGCCTGTTAGAGCAAAGCAAGTGTGCTTCCCCTCTTCCTGCCTCTCAGCCTCCCCTGCACAGACCAGGACAGAACAGCCACCAGGGAAGAACAGCCGCTGGCCCTGTGCCTGCAGGGAGACATGGCTCCTCTGAACCACTGTCAGGACCATGTCCTCTGGTCCTCTAGGAAATCATCCCCTTGAATCCAGAGATGAATATATTTACTGATATTATAAATATTTATATTTATTTACTGTTTTTTTCTGCTGATAATAGTACTATGTAACTAGATAGAAATATATCAAATTTCTCATTTTCCCTATGAGAATTTTTTCTTGATGGTTTTCTATTTATTTTTGAGATGTGGTTAAGAGAGAGCAAATACCAGAGGCGATATCAAGGGGAAGCCGTTAGAAGGATGAAGAATAGAGAGCAAGGTCTCTGGGGATCACAAGGTGGGGTGCAGGGCTGCAGCCAGAGGCAAGCGGTGGGGGCACAGCAGGAGATGAGGAGAAACAGCAGAGAAGGGTCTGCACTGTGGTGAACGCCTTTAACCCCAGCGCTTTGGGAAGCTGAGGCGGGAGGATCGCTTGAAGTCAGGAGTTCAAGGCTGCAATGAGTCTGGGTGACAGAGCGAGAACCCGTCTGAGAGAAACTGAAGCACAGCAGGCAAGGAAACAGCCACTCCCTGTGCTCAGGAGCCCTGTCCTCCACTCCCAGAGAAGCATGTGTTGTTCTGGGTGGTTGAACCAGGGGGAAAATGGGCAGTCTACGCATAACATATCAGAATTCTCCCACAATAAATACATATTACCAAATAACCTTTATTTTGTCTGGACCTTGAAACAAAACAAAACACAGATACACAAACAGAAAACCAGATGTCCAAGGGAATAACTACGTACATATGTACTCATTTTTACAGCTTTCTCAATTCCAGGGTGCCTGGAGGCTCCCAGCAGCCGCGAGGCAGGTGGATAGTTCACCGGCACCTGCCGTTCCAGAGGAGCTCTTTAAAACAGCTGTTTCGGGCACTTCTGTGAAGCAAGGGAATCGAGTTCTTGGCAGCTCCTTGTCCAGACAGTGACATTCCTGTGATACAGCCAGTAAAATCGGAAGCCTTTGACCTCTGGAGGCTGTGACAAAACCCTGCTTTCCTTGCAAATAACAGAGCTGATTATTTTCCAGCCTTTGATAGAGATTTGGCCACTGCCCAAACTTGTATAATTAGCATCCTCTACTTCTATCAACCAGAAACACCACAGACGGAGCTCTGGATCTACTACACAGGGAGAAGTATGCTATCTGGATCTGGCTAATTAGATAATTTTCATACTAAATGCATTGACGGATAACTTGAAAATTTACTTCAAGCTTGAAAGAATTGGGCGATGAACTGTTTGTGCAAGAGCAATCTCTATGGATTCTCTTTTGGCCTCCAGAGTTTCTTTTCTTTCTTTTTAAAAAATAGACAGAAATTTATTTGTTGCTCACAGTACTGGAGGCTAGGAAGTTCACCGTCAAGGTGCTGGCAGATTAGTGTCTGGTGTGGGACTCATAGATGGCACCTTGTTGCTGGGCCGGCACATGGCAGAGACGGGAAGGGAACTCCCTGGAGCCTCTTTTAGGAGGGCGCTAAGGCCATTCTGGAGAATGGAGCCCTCTGACTTCATCACTGCCCAAAGGCCTTATCTCTTAATACTGTCACATTGGGTATTAGGTTCCAACATGTGGATTTTGGGAAGACATTCAGACCACAGCAATATAAGACCACATCTAAGAAGTAACCATCAATTTCTTTTTTACTTAAAAAATTATAAAATTGATGTTGAATATTATATCAAAGCCCTTAGTATTTAAAGAGATGTTTGTGATTTTTTTCTTATGTAATAATAATAAATGTTTTAATACATATCCAGTGAACGTACCATCTTTGTAAAATTTATACGAAAACTTAGACATAGTGTATTTTTTTTGTTGTTGTTGTTTTGAGATGGAGTCTTGCTCTGTCACCCAGGCTGGAGTGCAGTGGCACGATCTCGGCTCACTGCAATCTCCACTTCCTGGGTTCAAGCAGTTCTCTGCCTCAGCCTCCCGAGTAGCTGGGATTACAGGCGCCCACCAGCATGCCTGGCTGATTTTTTTTTTTTTTTTTTTTTTTTGTATTTTTAGTAGAGACAGAGTTTCATCATCTTAGCCAGGCTGGTCTTGAACTCCTGTCCTCGTGATCCACCAGCCTTGGCCTCCCAAAGTGCTGAGATTACAGGCATAAGCCAACATGTCCGGCCGACATGGTGTATTTTTAAAAATTGCTACTAAGTTCTATTGGCTAACATTTGACTTAGGGTTTTTGCATTGATATTTATGGGTGAGATTTTTCTGCACAGTTGGGGTGTTTTATTTTTGTTAGATTTTAAATCAATGTTATACTGACTTCATAAAAGAATGTGAAAGCTCTGCTTCTTTTTTCCATGATCTTTTAACAATTTAAATAATGTTGATGTTATCATTTTAAGGCTAAGAGCAGAAATTAATGATTTGGGAGACAGAAAGTGGTAGAAATAAATCTGAGAGCTGTTTTTAAAGAAAAAAATTTCCAAAATTGTAGCTAACCAGTCAAGAATATTAAAAAAGCACACGTACACATAAAAAAATTTTAATGAGAAAACTGCAGATACAGAGAAACTTTACAGAACCATGAGACTAGCTTGGTCAACTCTACATAGATAAATTTGTAACTTCGGTAAAATAAATAACTTTCAAGGAAAATGTGTTACATAGACTCGTTAACTTTGGATAAAAAAATTGGCCGGGCACAGTGGCTCACGCCTGTAATCCCAGCAATTGGGAGGCCGAGGTGGGCGGATCACCTGAGGTCAGGAGTTCAAGACCAGCCTGGCCAACATGGTGAAACCCTGCTTCTACTAAAAATACAAAAATTGCCCGGGCATGGTGGCTTATGCCTGTAATCCCAGCTACCCAGGAGGCTGAGGCAGGAAAATCACTTGAACCCAGGAAGTGGAGGTTGCAGTGAGCTGAGATCGTGCCACTGCACTCCAGCCTGGGCAATGACAAAAAAAGCGAGACTCTGTCTCAAAAAAAAAAAAAAAAAAAAATCGAATAAGACAAATTTCCATTTAAAAGATGAAGAAAGCAGCCATACATAAATATATACTCGTTTCCCAGGTAAATTCTTCCAGGTTTTTCTTGGTAACTGAGAGACCTATGTGGGCCATTCAGAGCAGGGGTTGGGGAGGGCAGGGCAGAAGAATCCCATAGAGATTGGCAGTGACAGCAGCAATGTTGGTCCATGTCACACAGTCAGCCTGGTCTGTGGGTGAATTTGCAGTTCTGTGAAAGAGTGAGTGTGCAATTGTACAGCCAGAGAAGGAGACCGCTGGGACACTGTGACAATTGTCTTTGTCCTCGTTGAAGGTGGTGCTGTTTAATTATAGAATGAAAATAATCCAGAAATAGATACCAACTGCTTAATACATAAATTAGTAACCGTGCCATGAGTGGATAATGTGAGCAGTTTGGTCTTGAAATAACAGCTCTATTTTGTGTAAGCCTGAGAATTCTGAAGAAAGGCTTTCTATTTCCCTTTTTCTTTTATTGCCGTTAAATAGAAACCTGAAAGTTAACAAAGCCTCAGCTGATACCAGTCAGCTTTGTGAACAAGCAAACCAACCACCGGCTGGGAAGCATCTATTGTATGGCTCCTCAATTCACAGCGGAAACCAAATTACAAGGTGAGAGATAAGCAGAGACACGTTTCCCGGATCCTCAACCCAAGAAGGGAGCACATAGGAGGCTCGGGCAGATTCTGTCCGTGGAATGGGGTTGTGGGGGGAGAGAAACAGACAAAGAGAGAGAGAATTTGTATTTTCCTAGGTATCCATAAATCCATTATTCATTAATTAGAGGTAAACATGCCTTGTTGAGGGGTAAATCCCACCACCCAGAAGGAGCAGGATAGAGGGACCCCATTCCCTGACTCTCTAAGTCCCATGGTTTAGACAGCAGCCTTCCAGAGTGTTCAGCCATTCAGCTGTCTCATCAGGGAGTGCTTTAGATTAACAAATGTGAACATTCTAACATTACTGGAGGGATTATTACATCGTGTTAAATATTTCATTTATCTGACATCACCCTACTGACTCACTGCTATAATTTATTAAATCAGCCTCCAGGTAAAACTATTGGATAGTTTTGCATAGTGAGGCTCGACTTTCAGGTCCTCTTCCCCTATACCTGTAAATGTGCTCCTTCCCTTTCTGCTTCTATCTGGTTCCATTTCCCGTAAGTGACATGGGGAGGTGGTGGGTCCCAGGCCACGTGAGTGGTGTAGGTGGACAGGGTGAGAGGTAACTGGGGAAGAGAGGCAAAGGCAGGTGGGGTTCAGCACAGCTGGTGTCCATGGGCTTCTGGTCAGTCTGGTGGTCATCAGGGCTCAGGCGATCAGCATGGACGTAAGGGGCTGCCTGCACGTCTAGTTGCCTGAGGCTGGAGCAGGCAGAGAATGGACAACTTCCAACCTTGGACTAGTTGGAATGCTCCCATCAGAAGTCAGCTCAGGCTGAGAAACAAAGCAAGATCTCATCTCTACAAAAAAAGTTATTAAAAAAAAATTAGCCAGGCATGTTGGTGCACACCTAGAGTCCCAAGCTATTCTTGAGGCTGAGGCAAGAGGATGAGGCAGGGACATTGCTTGAGCCCAGGAGTTTGAGGCTGCAGTGAGCTGTGAGTGCACCACTGTACTCCAGCCCAGGTGACAGAGAGAGACCCTGTCTCTAAAAATAAAGAAAGAAGAGGAGAGGAGAGGAGAGGGAAAAGAAAAGGAGAGAAGAGAAGAGAAAAGAAAAGCAGTCATCAACAAGTGTTGTTACATTAAAAGCTTCCTGGTGGGACAGCAACACGCCTTTGCCTCGGTCTTCCCACGCATTGATTCGTGCTATAACTAAGTACTTTATCCTTTCATTTGATGAGTATTTATAGAAAAACTACTCTGTGCCAGGTATTTCAGAGGCATTGAGACCAAAGTTGGTCCCAGATATCAGGGACTTACACAGTCAAGTGGAGTAACTGCCATTTACCTTGCGCTGGGTGCATTAGAGAGATCATTTTCAATCCTTCCTGCAACTCTGCCATGATAAGTATTATAATCACCATGTTATAGAGGAGATGTTAAGTACCTTTTGTGAGTTTGCACTGCCAGGAAGTGACTGGCCTAGCATTTGGATTTACATCTTTGTGACGGCAGAGCCTGTGCTTTTTGTTGTAGAAAGAGATCCTTGGCCAGGCGAGGTGGCTCACGCCTGTAATCCCAGTACTTTGGGAGGCTGAGGCAGGCGGATCAAGAGGTCAGGATATGGAGACCTTCCTGGCCAACATGGTGAAACCCCATCTCTACTGAAAATACAAAAATTAGCTGGGCTTGGTGGCACATGCCTGTAATCCCAGTTACTCGGGAGGCTGAGGCAGGAGAATCACTGGAACCAGGGAGTCGGAGGTTGCGGTGAGCCGAGATCTTGCCACTGCACTCCAGCCTGGCAACAGAACAAGATTCTGTCTCAAAAAAAAAAAAAAAGATCCTGCTCACCCTAAATAAAGCTCAGTGACTGTTATCTTTCACTGGGCTCTCCAAAACCAAACAGTAGTGTACAGCCATCTAGGACTTCTCACTGAAGGAGTTTAAAAACGACACTTCATCTTTTTGCTCATTGAGGTCTAAGGGGAAGCGCTCAGCTTTTCTCCAGGATTACCGATATCTCTGGCCTTGGGTTATTTCATTGGAATCCTCTTCCACAATGTTCAACAACCACTACGTCTCTGCCCACCTGGAAACTGGGTCTGTTTGTTCTGGGAGGCTCTCTTCCAGGCTTTAATGGACAGATAAGCATGGTTATGGACCAAAATATTTCAGATCAATTGGCCATTTTAGTAACTTGAATGAAAGCCCCCATCTGTGAGAGTTAAGACAGGCATGCCCAGGCATTTGCATGGGACCTGAGCTGTGTGCACTGTCTGAGACAGGCCTGCAGAGATCTGAGCTCATGTGAAACTTACTGAAGTGCATTTTTTTTTTTGAGACGGAGTCTCGCTCTGTCGCCCAGGCTGGTGTGCAGTGGCGCGATCTCGGCTCACTGCAAGCTCCGTCTCCCAGGTTCACGCCATTCTCCTGCCTCAGCCTCCCGAGTAGCTGGGACTACAGGCGCCCGCCACCATGCCCGACTAAGTTTGTTTTTGTATTTTTAGTAGAGACGGGGTTTCACCGTGTTAGCCAGGATGGTCTCGATCTCCTGACCTCGTGATCTGCCTGCCTCGGCCTCCCAAAGTGCTGGGATTACAGGAGTGAGCCACCGCGCCCAGCCATACTGAAGCATTTTTATTTGTAAAATACAATGATCCTTTCAATCCCAGTCCTGATTTCATCATACTCCCCTTTCTGTTGCATGGAGCTCAGACAGCCTATAGCAGCATTTGAGTGATGGCCATGTCGTTTCTGCGTGGCACTAGTCCATTAAACTTAAACACTTTAGCACCCCTCACTGAGTGGCACTGTTTCTTCAGTTACTACTCCCTGATGGTTTTCAGACTGGATTCTTTTTAATTAGATCCACCAGGATAGATTATGCTGAGAAAGATAGTGTATCTTCCAAGTAGTTAACTGATCTTCAATGACCTCAGAATAGAAAGAGAGAGAAATAATGCTATTCTGTGACTCACATCTCAAAAGAAGAATCATAACCTTCTAATTAAATAAATCTATCTGGAACAATGCTTTCTCAACTATTTAAAAATAGGAAGCATATCCAAATCTGGGCAAAAGTCGGCATAACAAAATATGATTGGTGGCTGCTTCTGGATAGTAGAAATTAGTGGTGATATTAACTTTATTCTTGATACTTTTCCATTTCACTCCATGTCTGTAATAAGCATGTAATATTATCACAGTCACTACAAACACAGTAAACATTTTGTTAACTCTTAGTTTATAACGTGTTATCCAAAAAAGGCATATTTAAACTGTATTCGTGTTATGCACACATGAAGTCTCTTGAAGCTAGAGATTTAAGTTGACTTTTCAAGAAAGTCTCAGTTTTAGGCTTTTGTCTCTATCACCATGGCAAAACCTGAGCGGTGATCCTACTTAAAACTACAAATTCTGTGCTGGGCACAGTGGCTCATGCCTGTAATCCCAGCACTTTGGGATGCTAAGGCAGGTGGATCACGAGGTCAGGAGATAGAGGTCATCCTGGCTAACACGGTGAAACCCCATCTCTACTAAAAATACAAAAACAAAATTAGCCGGGCATGGTGGTGGGAGCCTGTAGTCCCAGCTACTCGGGAGGCTGAGGCCGGAGAATGGCATGAACCCAGGAGGCAGAGCTTGTAGTGAGCCGAGATCACGCCACTGCACTCTAGCCTGGGCAACAGAGCAAGACTCCATTAAAAAAAAAAAAAAGCCTAAAAATTCTGGGTCTCTTTTCTTTTCTTTTCTTTTCTTTTTGGAGACAGAGACTTGCTCTATCACCCAGGCTGGAGTGCAGTGGCATGATCTCCACTCACTGCAGCCTCTGCCTCCTGGGTTCAAGTGATTCTCCTGCCTCCACCTCCTGAGTAGCTGGGGTTACAGGCACCCACTACCACGCCCGGATAATTTTTTCATATTTTTGGTAGAGACAGAGTTTCATCATGTTGTCCAGGATGGTCTCAAACTCCTGACCTCAAGTGATCTGCCCTTCTCGGCTTTCAAAGTGCTGAAATTACAGGCATGAGCCACCGCGCACAGCCCTGGGTATCATTTTTGTTTTTTGTTTTTTGTTTTTGTTGAGACAGTCTTGCTCTGTCACCCAGGCTGGAGTGCAGTGGCGTGATCTTGGCTCACCACAACCTCTGCTTCCTGGGTTCAAGCGATTCTCCTGCCTCAGCCTCCTGAGTAACTGTGATTACTTGCCCAGCTAATTTTTGTATTTTTAGCAGAGACGGAGTTTCACCATGTTGGCCAAGCTGGCCTCAAACGCTTGACCTCGGATGATCCATCTGCCTCGGCCTCCCAAAGTGCTGGGATTCCAGGCGTGAGCCACTGTGTCTGGCCAAATATTTTTTAAAATTGTTTTAGATGCAACAGTGACCTGGCAAGTGGCAATTCAGAGGGGGAAGGAAGCAGGCATTTTCCAAAGCAAAGCATTTGCTAACTTAGATGAACGTGAACTTAGTTTCCATAGCTTTTTAGAGCATGAGGGAAAAGAGACAGAGCCTGAGTCGACCCCAGGTGAGAAGTCTGCCCCCATGCCTTGCAAAGAAAGCTCAACTCCATCCAAATGGCTAATCCTCAGAGTAAGGGGGAACTGGAAACAAACCCACATTCCTACCCCCAAGATAGCTAGAGAAACATCCTGTTTTCAAGATTGGGTATAAGCAAAGAAAAAAAACTCCACCTAGAATTCATAACACCATACTAGGCCTTAAGCAGGTATGAGCCCAAATTCACATCACAAGGGTCCTCGAAAGCTGTAATCCTATAAACTAGCTTAAAGAAGTCACACATAGGTGAGACCCCCAAGAGCCAACACAGGAAAATGCAAATCCTTTCTGGAGGGAGGAATTCCGTCCCCACTCCAACCTGGGTTTCAAGGGATTCCTTCAGATAAAAGCTCCACAGTCAAAATTCACAAAATTTACAAGGAAACAAGGCCTTCGAGCAAGACTCAACTGAACCAAAAATTAGCAGAACTGGAATAAGATATTATATATTGAAGTTATCAAACAATAAATATTTAAATATTTTAAATAAAATAGATAAAGGATTGAAAATAGTAATGAGGAAAAGATTAGAAAGAGATCTAGCAGATTGGAATAAGAGCCAAGAAGAATTTCTAAAAATTACAAATATAACAATGCAAATAAAAAATTGAATGAATGTTGTTCAACTGATCAAGACTTAGCTGAAGAGAAATTAGTGAACTGGAAGGTAGACCTGATGAAATTTTCCAGAATTTAGCCTACAGCAAAGAAACTGATGAAAAATAAGAAAAAGAGGTTAAGACCTAAGATACAGTGAGAAAAATCTAATAAACACTGAATGGAATTGCAGAGAGTGCAGAATAGGGAGAGGCACTCATGTCACCGTGCCTCTCCCTCTTCTGCAATTTCCCTATTCTGAAATTTCCAGAACTGACAAAAAAAAAATAAATCCATAGATTCAAGAAGTGAGTGACTCTCAACCAAGCCTGATAAATAAAACACTAACAAACAACATAATGAAAGTGAAGAACACAGCCTGGGCAACGTGGCAAAAGCCCGTCTCTACTAAAAATACAAAAAATTAGCCAGGTGTGGGCCAGGCGCGGTGGCTCACGCCTGTAATCCCTGCAATTTGGGAGGCCAAGGTGGGCGGATCACGAGGTCAGGAGATTGAGACCATCCTGGCCAACATGGTGAAATCCTGTCTCTACTAAAAATACCAAAATTAGCCGGGTGTGTTGGCACATGCCTGTAATCCAAGCTACTCGGGAGGCTGAGGCAGGAGAATCACTTAAACCCGGGAGCTGGAGGTTGCAGTGAGCCGAGATTGAGCCATGGCACTCCAGCCTAGGTGACAGAGCAAGACTCCGTCTCAAAAAAAAAAAAAAAAAGAAAAAAGAAAAAAGAAATTAGCCGGGTGTGGTGGTGTGTGCCTGTAATCTCAGCTATTCAGAAAGCTGAGAGGTATGAGAATCGCTTGAACCCAGGAGGCGGAGGCTGCAGTGAGCAGAGATCGTGCCATTGCACTCCAGCCTGGGAGACAGAATGAGACTCTGTCTCAAAAGAAAAGAAAGAAAAGAAAAGAAAAAAACAAAAAAGAAAGTGAAGAACAACATGGACAAGGGGAAACAGTCATGAAGTCGGTCACAGGTAAATGATACCTAAAAGAACTGCAATTAACTGGCAGGGGACCTTTCAAAAACAGCAATGGCAGACATCATACAGTAGGCACAGATTTTAATGTGCTGAATGAAAATAATAATCAGCCTATACCTGATTAAAATATCATTCAATAAGAACAAAACAAAGATATCTTTGATAAATCAAAACTAATAGTATTTTCCAATAACCACTAACATACTTCAAACCAACAAAATTCAAAAGGAAGCATAGCAGTTAAAGAAGAAATATGGGCCGGGTGCGGTGGCTCACGCCTGTAATCCCAATGCTTTGGGAGGCCGAGGAGGGCGGATCAAGAGGTCAGGAGATCGAGACCATCCTGGCTAACACGGTGAAGCCCCGTCTCTACTAAAAATATAAAAAATTAGCCGGGCGTAGTGGTGGGCACCTGTAGTCCCAGCTACTCAGGAGACTGAGACAGGAGAATGGCGTGAACCCAGGAGGCAAAGCTTGCAGTGAGCCAAGATGGCGCCACTGCACTCCAGCCTGGGCGACAGAGCGAGACTCCGTCTCAAAAAAAAAAAAAAAAAAAAAAAGAACACATCTCAGAATCAGTGATAGAGTCCAAGAGTTGGCACACTTTTTCTGAGAAGAGCCAGAAGGTGAATATTTTAGGTGCTGCAGGCCACTGAGGTCTCTGTTGCAACCTCTCAGCTTTGTTGTGGTGTGAAAGCAGCCAACACAAACTGTGAATGAGTGGGTGAGTGGCTGTGTTCCAATAAAACTTTATTTACACTGGGCAGTGAGCTGGATTGAATCTGCAGGCTGTTGTTTTCTGGCCCTGATAAGAGTTTAAAAGACACAATAAGAGGAGTTGCTTCACCTCTCACCTAACAATATTAATTCCAGCTTTTAAACAGACGTGGAAAATCCCTCTTGCAATGTGGTCTCTGTGGCAACTGACCCTGCGGACCATGTGTGAGGAGCTATTTCAGACAGCAGTGGAGCTGAGCCAGGCAATTCACACATCACCACATGACATCCAGGACACTACAAAGGCACTGTCACTGAAAGGCATGAAAGGATCTGGCCACTCAATTAGGCACCATCTTTTGACAAGCATTCCTTAGTCACATCCCTACAACTGGGCTTGGGAGATGCTGGAATGTCAGTCCCCAAGACCATAGAAAGCCCACTGGGTAATGTCCCAGTACAGTAGAGGGATTAGCCTTGTCTAAATATATTAATAAACACAGTAGAGAGCAGACAGGTGGCTCTACCTCATGACTCTTTAAATTGGAGACACAGAAAGAGCAGAAGAGGAGAGTGACATTAAGCCCCAGTAGCCAGTTAACGAGGAATGCCAGAGTTTGCAGCTTGCAGAGATGCCTGTTCCCAGAACCTCATCTCAGAAAGGGCTGAGGGGACCCCATGGAGAGTCCTAGAGTCCGAGAGGGAAGGGGTTGACATGGACCTCTCCAGGAAATGTGTCACGCAGAAGAGTGAAATAACTTCAGGGGAATCTGAATGGCAGCCAGAGTGAGAAATAGAAACAGGGAACCCTAGGGAAGAAACCCTAACAAACACAGGAGACTTATAGGAAAAGTGATGAATACCAGGCCTGGAGGAAAAAGGCCTTGGGCTTGAGAGGATGCTGCTGATGAATGAGACTGTTCAGAGCTGGTAGAGCTCTTGGACTTCTCTTGTGTCCCTGCTATTTCCAGTGAGGGGCAAATGGGAATAGAGTGCATGGATTCACGCCTCTTACAGGGTTTCCTGGGGCATGGAAGTCTCTATAGGATGAGATAAACTTTGCCCTACATTAATTTTTTTCCTTTTCATTTAGAATACATGGTGCAAAAAGCATTCTCCATGTCAGCAGCCAAAACAACTCATCTGGGACTTGCAAGTTCCAGCTGCCACGCTCGGCATTTTGATCCAGTGTTCCGGCTAAAGCTTGAAATGACAGAGCTGCTGCCATATGTGAAATCTGCCTTCGCTCTGTTTACTGTTTCATTTCATCCTTGATTTGCTGTCACTTTTAGGGGTATTGAACACATTATTGAAGGGCTAAGTGGATGCCTGCAACAGTCCTTAAACTGTCTTCGATTTTCACAGCCAGATATTTGAATAGAGTTGCTGCAACTGAAACCAGGGTGTAAAAACATTTATATTTGTTTATTGGAGAAAATAATCAGTAGAATATGACTACGCTGTTTAAAGACCTGTTTGAATCAGAGATTACAGACACTGTACCGGGACGGGTTGGCGTGTCTAAGCGCTGAGCAATGGAGATGCTGTGGAGCCTGGACCACGCTGCTGTGGGGATTGCAGTCCTGAAGCAGGTCGGAGCAGCCCTGCACAAGGGGATGGCTTCCAGCCTCAGCCAAGAGTCAGCCAGAAGATGGCCAAGGGAGAGAGGGAAACAAGGAGACGACAGGCCATCTGGACAACGGTAGACATCTTTCTGCCAGCAGGCACCTGAGGAAGAATTTCTTTCCCAGCAAACACACCAAGGAAGTCTGGGAGGGCACCAACACTTGCAGCCTAGAGCAGGAGCCGAGGGTGTCTGCAGGCCTGAGGTGGGAGGTGCACATCAGAGTCCACCTGACGCCAGTGTGGTGAGTTTGGGCACTAGACACCAGGAACCCAAACAGCCACCTCGGGAGACATAGGACCGCGCGGCTGTGCTCTGTGCAGCTGCAGTGAAAAGTCTGTGCTTAGAGGATTTAACTTCAGGCTGTCTGGGCACAAAAGACTAATGCTCTCCTAGAGGAGTATGTTTGTTTTGTTCCAGGAAAGGACGATTCTCACCATAACAGCAGGAATGGTGCAGAGGAAAAGGGAGGAAGCAAAGCAGAATATCAATGGAAGAGGCCTTCCCAGAACCAGGACGGAGATAATGCTCCCTTGACTCCTGGCCAGGCAGGCAGGGAGACGGGACTGCTGGGCAGGGATCTGCCTGCCTAACCCCCTCCTTCAGAGGGATTTGACCACTCATGGAAGCCTGTGCTGGAAGCTTGTGGGATTCAGCCAGCTCCAGTCCCACCCATTCCTGCTCAGCCCCCGTCTCCCATTTTCTCCAGCTTTGATTCCACACTGATTTGCGACTCTCCGCACATGGGTCAGTTCCCTTTGGCAGCATTCACCTGAGCCACAGGGAGAGGTGTGCCCCATGCTGCCTGCTGGATGCCCTTTCCCGGACAGGTGACGGTGGGCACACTCTTGGTGCCACTTCCCTCATGGATGAAAATGATGACCAATTAACAGGGTTGTCATGAAGATGAATTAAAAGATATAGATCACTATATAGTTCCTCAGGACAGGTTGAGTATTCCATATCTGAAATGCAGGGGACCAGAAGTATTTCAGGTTTCAGATTTTTTTGGATTTTGGAAATTTGCATAATTCATAATGAGATATATTGGGCATGGGACCCAAATCTAAACAGGAAATCATTTATATGTCATGTACACCTTATACACATAGCACAAAGTGATTTTATACAATATTCTTTTTTTTTTTTTTTTTTGAGACGGAGTCTCTCTCTGTCCCCCAGGCTGGAGTGCAGTGGCGCGATCTCAGCTCACTGCAAGTTCCACCTCCCGGGTTCAAGCCATTCTCCTGCCTCAGCCTCCCGAGTAGCTGGGACTACAGGTGCCCACCACTACGCCTGGCTAATTTTTTGTATTTTTAGTAGATACGGGGTTTCACCATGTTAGCCAGGATGGTCTCGATCTCCTTACCCCGTGATCCGCCTGCCTTGGCCTCCCAAAGTGTTGGGATTACAGGCGTGAGCCACCGCACCCAGCCAATTTTATACAATATTCTTAATAACTTCATGCAAGAAACAAAGTTTTGACTGCATTTTGTCTGCAACTCATCACATGAGGTCAGGTGTGGAATTTTCCGTTTATGGCGTCATGTTGGTAAGCAAAGTATTTCCAGTTTTGGAGGATTTCAGATTTCAGATTTTTGGATTAGGGATGACCAACCTGTAAGAATAACTATGTACGCTGGGCTCGGTGGCTCATGCCTATAATCCCAGCACTTTGGGAGGCTGAGGTGGGCCAATCATGAAGTCAGGAGATTGAGACCATCCTGGCTAACATGGTGAAACCCCATTTCTACTAAAAATACAAAAAAAAAAAATTGCCAGGCGTGGTGGCAGGTGCCTGTAGTCCCAGCTACTCCGGAGGCTGAGGCAGGAGAATGGCATGAACCCGGGAGGCGGAGCTTGCAGTGAGCCAAGATCATGCTACTGCACTCCAGCCTGGGCGACAGAGCAAGACTCAGTCTCAAAAAAAAAAAAGAGTATGTAATGGAGATCTAGTAAGATTTAAATGGACCTGACTCATGGTAAGTACTCAACAACTATTACTTATACTTACATAATTGTCATTATTTAATCATTATTGTTATTATTTCTTCCACAAACCACTAACTCAGACATACATGTAGCTAAACTGCGGCTAGATGATGATGTCCTCTACCAAACAGTAATGAGATGATACTGCCAATGGTGGCCGTGCTGTCCTCAAGCTAATCACTTATTTATTGAACTCATGACTGGAGGTTTAATTATGCATGCACCCTTAGTGTTAAAGTTAGGTGATGAGTGCTTCATATGTTTATTCTTTGGTTCTCAGTACAGTACTTTTTAATGTAACATAACTTTGCACTAAAGGCACTCCTTAATCAGGTGTACACACCTGGCATTCGATTGATAAAATGAATTTCAACTAAGGAACAAATTAGAAATTAATGATTCTTAATAATTAGATATGAATATATTCAATAGAATGTATTAAGTGCCTAATGTATGCTAGGAAGGTTATATGCTGGGTAATGCAGCAGTGAGATAGGGTAGGTATGTTGCCTGTTGTCATGAGAGATACACATTACACAAGGTACACATCTATCTGTGTGTGTGTTTGTACACACATTTATATAATGAATTCAATTACATTTGATGGTACACACATACATATAGACACACATATATGTGTCATTTCAATTGTGGTTAAGTACTATGAAGGAAAAGTAAAAGGTTTTCTGAGAAGGTCTATTTCAGCTAAAACCTGAAGGGTGAGTGGGCTTTGGCCAGGCAGATCATTGCATGGAGAGGGAACCGTGTGTTTGAAGGTCCTGAGCTAGGCCAGTGGCCCATGGCTTCAGGAGCTAGAAGGCCAGTGTGTGTGTACATTCCTGAGAGAACAAAATGTTGTGCAGCAAATGAAGAAGTAGTTGGATGGAGCCAGGGTCTGCAAGGGCTGGTAGATCAAATGTAAGGATTTTTCTTGTATTGCAAGCACATATTAAAAGTCTTTAAGCACTGGTGGAACATGATCCAATGTGCATTTTTAAATACCTCTCAGCTCCTGTGTGGGGGATAGATTTAAAAGGGAGGCCCAGGGAAGAAAGTAGGGAGACCAGATTGAGGAGGCATGGTAGTGGCTTGGCCAAGGAGCAGCAGAAGAGACGGAGAAGAGGATTTTGGGGGTAAAGCCTCAGGATTGGGTGATAGGTAAGCTGAGCAGATTGAGTGAGGCAGATGGCTGGAATGAGTCTCAGGGTTCAGGCTAGATGTAAGTGCTTTTCACTGAGATGGAGAACAAGGGAGAAGGATCATGTTTGAGGGAGAAAGAAGAAGAAATCAATGGGCTGGTTATTGGCACCAGGTGAGCCTCTTGTTTCTGAAAGTGAGCACAAATGTTTTAAAAAGATATGTATGACAAAAAAGACAAATTTTAAGATTTGTTTGTTCTAGGTCTAGAGTCTGCAACTATTGTATGGGTATTAGCCTGGTAATATTAAGAGAAGAAAGAAATATAAATGTTTGGCCATCCTTTGACCTATGGAATTGTGCACAATGTGCAATTTTTTTTTTTTTTTGAGATAGTCTTGCTCTGTCACACAGGCTGAAGTGCAGTGGCGTGATCTTGGCTCACTGCAACCTCCGCCTCCCAGGTTCAAGCAATTCTCCTGCCTCAGCCTCCCAAGTAGCTGGGACTACAGACGTGCACCACCACGCCCGGCTAATTTTTGTATTTTTAGTAGAGACAGGGTTTCACCATGTTAGCCAGGATGGTCTCGAACTCCTGACCTCATTATCCGCCATCCTCGGCCTCCCAAAGTGCTGAGATTACAGGAATGAGCCACTACGCCCAGCCCCAATGTACAATTTTTTATTTCCTTTGGTATCAAACTAACACTTCTCTGCATTATACAGTATCATTACGTTATATAAAATTTTGAGTTTTAAAGACTTCAAGTAGTGTGATATTAACTAAGTCTTGATTTTGCAAAAAATTCAGAATAATGTCAATCCTCTAAGTTTAAAAATATTAAAAATTATAGTTTCAAAGCCGATAAACCCTGTGAATTCTGAATTGTGTTTATGCTACTTTCTTATGGCTGTGTCATTTTAACTAGTAAACAGAAACACCCATCATTGTTTTCTAGAATAGTGATGAACTATGACAATTTTGAATTATGTGAGATATAGAAGAATACATTTTTGCTTACAATGGTACTTCCTATCTGCAGAATTATAAAATTTTAGCTTAGAAATGGCCTTAACCAAGCCCCATATATGTAGCTTTATGCAATGTTATGCACCCAGGAGAATTAGTGAATCACATCCTTCCAAATATTTCACATATATTCTCAAATGTATTATTTTAAGAGTCTTCCTTCTCTTCCTTTTTGCCTCTTGTTTTCCCAAAGTGTAGTTTTAAAAGTAAATTGTTGGCAAGTTTGTAGGTAGTTTTTAAACTGCAGTGGTACGTGAGTAGAACAGCAAATATCAAATCAGAAATTATTCCTTACATTTCTATTCCCCCAAGGAAGAACAGCCGCAAGATGGAAAAAGGCCTGTCATCATCAAAACACATATGGAGAAAATAGTTTCCCAGTGAGAAGATAAAATTCTGTGGCTGTCTCTGCAGTTTAAATTACGAGTGCAAGATTTGTTCAAAAGACCTCGTATGCATTAGCAAGATGTAAACAGCAATCAGATTATTTGATCAATATGTGAAAAAAGTAAGCACACATACATGCCAGTGGAACTCTTTCTTTGGTTTTCAAAATTATTTATCATTTTGTGTAACGGAAACAATGAATATCACACCCTACCATTCATCTCAGGAAGGAATTCCCCATCTCCTGGTGACTTGTGAGAAAACAGGTCACAGGTTATAGGATGGTTTCTCTGCCCCTTACCAAGAGTAAGAATCTACAGGGCCATCATTCCTCAGTATGCATGACTTTATGGCGTTTCCATGCCTGTGGAGAGAATGCAAGATGAGGCCAAAATAAAAGACGATTTTTAGCTAGAGTTCCAAAAGAAGGCTATTGCCCTCTGCTTAACTTAGAGAGATCTTAGTAATTCAGACAAGAAGTCCAATAGAATACACACACAACATATAGAGAAGCCTTTTAGGCCGCTTGCCAGCAAGACACCCTGCGTTGGAGCAAGTATCAGTAGTGTGTAGGTAGGAGAATGTGCAGGGCTAACTCTGAAATTCTGTTGATCAAATTTCACACTCTGAAATGTATTCATTAAATGACAGACTCAAGGAAAATTTTCCTTTCCACAGTGCTAAGAGGTAATCTAACACGAATGTTGGTTTTGCTATCCTTTGCTCCAGTTTTAAACATGTAGCTTGAAAACGTAATGATGTGCCCCAAGATAGAAACAAATTAAAACACATGGAGAAGGAAAAAGAGGGGAAAGGACATGAATTGAGACTTGTCCAACTATATTTCGGTGAGTCTTGTCCCATACTGTTACGGATCTGTACTTGATGACGATTAAAATTGCTGCCAGTTAGGAGAGTAGGCAGAGGGTAGGCTGCCTGTTAAATTGCTGCCAGTTAGGAGAGCAAAAGGCAGAAGTGCGTAAGTGTCCACTTGGAACACTTGGCCCTGCTAGCTGGAATTTCTGTGTGATTAGAGAAAACTTCTTTTCATCAACCAATAATTTCAAGGGTTTTCACAAATACAGATGTGAAATATAGAATAGTAATAGCCCCTTTATCTAGCATCTGGAAAAAGTAAGCATTACTGCATATGGGAATTTTTGAGATGGCTGAGCATAGCACTTTGAGTATCACAACTTCAAGAAAAAGAATCACCAGTTTTGACTGAAACCCTTCACAGGAGAGTCGATTTTTTCCTAACTTCTTCCTGTTTGTTTTGCTAGTGATTCCCAAATTTTATCTCCAACCCAGATCTCTTCCCTGAACCCTAGATGGCTTTCTCACTTCACTCAGAGCAAAAGCCAAAGCTCTTCCAATGGCCTAAAGCCTTCTACTAGCCAATCCCACCATCCAGGTGACTTCGTTACTCTCCTTGCACTCACTCCATTCAGCCATGCTGGCCTTCTTGTTTTTCCATGAACATGTCAGGCACACTTCTAACTTTCCATGGCTTTCTTTTCTGTCTAAAATATCTTTCCCTGAAATATCTGCATGACTGTCTCCTTCACTGCCTACAAGTCTCTGCTTTTTTTTTTTTTTTTTGAGACCGAATTTCTCTCTTGTTGCCCAGGCTGGAGTGCAGTGGTGCCATCTCGGTTCACCGCAACATCTGCCTCCCAGGATCAAGCAATTCTCCTGCCTCAACCTTCCTGAGTAGCTGGGATTATAGGCATGCACCACCATGCCTGGCTAATTTTGCATTTTTAGTAGAGATGGGTTTCTCCATGTTGGTCAGGCTGGTCTCAAACTCCCAACCTCAGATGATCCACCCTCCTCGGCCTCCCAAAGTGCTGGGATTACAGGCGTGAGCCACCGTGCCCGACCAAGTCTCTGTTTAAACGTGATATTCTCAGCAACCTTCCTGACCATCCTATAGCAAATCCCCCTCCAGCCCTATTCTCCCTCCCTGTCTTATTTTTCTCCATATGCTTATTATTAATTGGCATAATATGTATGTATGTATGTATTCATTCATTCATTATCTTATGACTTGAAGGTCTTACCTATGAATACATGAATAAAATATTTGACATTAACTCTGGTATCTCAGACAGGTTTAGAATAACTGAGATTGCACTTTGGGAGGCCGAGGCGGGCGGATCACGAGGTCAGGAGATCGAGACCATCCCGGCTAAAACGGTGAAACCCCATCTCTATTAAAAATACAAAAAATTAGCCGGGCGTAGTGGCGGGCACCTGTAGTCCCAGCTACTTGGGAGGCTGAGGCAGGAGAATGGCGTGAACCCGGGAGGTGGAGCTTGCAGTGAGCCGAGATCCCGCCACTGCACTCCAGCCTGGGCGACAGAGCGAGACTCCGTCTCAAAAAAAAAAAAAAAAAAAAAAAAAAAAGAATAACTGAGATTGACTTATAAATGACCTCCTAATAGAGTAGCACTGTATCATTCAGAAGGAAACTGTGATATGTCCAACATGTAGTCAAAGCGTTGTTTACAGTGCACAAAAATAATGTGGGAGTTCACTCTGGGCTGCCTATATAATGAGCCTGTGGGACCAGAGTTTCACTGTTTTTTCCAGAAGAGTAAATGAAACTCCAGATTGTCTTCTCTGGGACTAATGATGCCCAAGATCTCTCGGTGCTGAGTAGCTGGCTTTCTTTGGCAATTCCTAACACAAAAACCAGCCAAGAAGCCACCAAAGGGATTGATACAGTTTGGCCGTGTCCCCTTCCAAATATCATCTTGAATTCCCACATATTGTGGGAGGGACCCGGTGGGAGGTAATTGAATCATTGGGGCAGGTATTTCCCATGCTGTTCTCATGATAGTGAGTAAGTCTCACAAGATCTGATGGTTATATAAAAATGAGAGTTTCCCTGCACAAGCCCTTCTCTTGTCTGCTGCCATGTGAGATGTGCCTTTCACCTTCCGCCATGATTGTGAGGCTTCCCCAGCCACATGGAACTGTAAGTCCAATAAACCTCTTTCTTTTGTAAGTTGCCCAGTCTCAGGTACATCTTTATCAGCAGCATGAAAATGGACTAATACAGGGATCTAATTAGTGTGCTCATGATTTCCGTATAAAAAGGGAGAACTACCAGAGAAGTGAGTTCTCCTCTAGACAGACACACCTCCCATGCATGGCCAGCCAAATACCTTGTCCCTGGCTTCCTTTGACCCTCTCTGCATCAAGAGGAAATCTGGGAACCTGTGGCTTCTCCTCCTTGATGACTCTTGGCTTGTAAGTTTCTGCTTTCTTAATAAAGTTTATTCTTTAATTCATGGTTTTGGGGAGTTCCCAAGACCATCATCCAGTATGACAATTTGCTAGAAGGACTCACGGATCTCAGGAAATCTGTTTATTCAGGGATATGGTTTATTACTACAAAATGATATAAACAAAATCAGCAAAATAAAAGGAGCATATGGCAGAATCAAGGAAAGCCCAGGCACAAGTTTCAGCCGTCCTCTTCTAATGGAGTTGTAGAGATGGTGCTTAATTCTTACAGCAAGGATGTATGACAGCAGGTATAAAGTGCCACCCACCAGGGAAGCCCCCCTGAGCCTTGCTGTCCAGGAGTTTTATTGGGAGTCACTCATCATGGAGTGCCCATGTGGCTGACCTTTGTACTTCAGACTCCAGCTTCTCCAGAGGTCAGATGGTTAACATGTCACCCAAGGCCCACACCATAAATGACACTGATAGGACAGACTATCTGATGTGGCTCAAGGCCCCAGGAAAGTGCACCCTTTTATCAGGCAGGATGTTCCAAGGGCTTGGAGGTTATCTCCCAGGAACCATTCAAAACCCAAGCCTTTCTTTAGAATGTGCAGGATCTGAGCAACTGCTGAGCATTCAGACCTGCTGGGCCAACATTTTGATGCACACATACTGTGTGATTTTGTCAAATTCATCCTCAGCCTTTGCACAATAGGTGATGACTGTTAAGGAACCAAGATCACCTGACATAAAGATAAATCTGCTTATTCTTTTTTTTTTTTAAGACGGGTCTCACCCTGTCACCCAGACTGGAGTGTAGTGGCACAATCTCGGCTCACTGCAACCTCTGCCTCCCAGGCTAAAGCAATTCTCGTGCCTCAGCTTCCCAAGTAGCTGGGATTACAGGTGCCTGCCACCATGCCCAGCTAATTTTTGTGTTTTTTGCAGAGATGGGGTTTCACCATGTTGGCCAGGCTCATTCTGACTATCAGAAATGGAGCTAGTTTCCTTCTCCAGCTGTAGAAGAAAGCTGGCTCAAGTGATATTTGTTGTGGCAAATTAATCAACAAGAGCATGATAAGTTCATTCACAAACTGAGCAAACTCAGTTTTCTATAATCAACATATTATATAGTCAAATGAACAATAAAAAATTTCTGGGCCAGGCGCGGTGGCTCACGCCTGTAATCCCAGCACTTTGGGAGGCCGAGGCAGGCGGATCACAGGGTCAGGAGATCGAGACCATACCTGCTAACATGGTGAAACCCTGTCTCTACTAAAAAAATACAAAAAATTAGCCGGGTATCATGGTGGGCGCCTGTAGTCCCAGCTACTCGGGAGGCTGAGGCAGGAGAATGGCGTGAACCCGGGAGGCGGAGATTGCAGTGAGCCGAGATGGCGCCACTGCACTCCAGCCTGGGCGACAGAGCAAGACTCCGTCTCAAAAAAAAAAAAAAGAAAAAAAAAGATTTCTGTAGAAAACATGTCATATATATTTCTGGGAAATCAAACAAATTCTTTAAATCATTTATAGTAGAAGTTTATGAAAACAAGAGAGCATAAACATTAAACATACGGAAGACTGTTATCTTTCTTGGATAAATTCTTTGTTTATACTATTCCTGTGACTTCCAGAAAGGAAATCCTTAACTTTCTCATATATTGTGGCTGAAGAGGATAATACCAGAACTAGACTTTGAATTCTCAAAGTATATGGCAACAATATGACAGCAATATTATTTAAGAATTGTTATCATGTGCAATTGTAACCTATCCTTTCATAACTAAGGTTAATCAAAACCAAATTAAGTCCTTAATTTCTGATTTCCACAGTGTAAATAACATCAATTTGTAGCTTTGACTAAAACAGTGGAGGTGGAGAGAGGAACAACATTATTAAGAATCAAAGATACCAAAGACTTATTTTGCAGCTTCATATGTGTTGATTTGCAGAAGTTACTTTTGAAAATTTATAACAAAAATCAAATTTGATTCACATGTGCAGGTAGATAAGGAAGGGCTATGTAAGAGGTATGAATTTTATTATTGTATTTCCTCAACTCACACTTTGGAATACACTATGCTTTTTTAAACAAGAGGAAAGATTTCAGCTCTAAGTGCCCAAATCATTTAATTAAATCAAACCCAGAAGTGTTTTTGTTTGTTTGCTTGTTTTTAAGGGAAAGCATAACTAGGAATTTCATCTCGTCCAGAAACATGAATCAGAGAAGTGGTTAATCAGTCAATTAAAAAAGCGAAACAGAGGCTTTTCCCTCTGAGCTTCCAATCCATTAAAAAATTAGAGATGGAATCCAGGCAGTTTGGAGGTCTATAAACCCCTAGATTCACCCACAATACTGCTCGCTCTTTTTATATTTTTGAACATCAACCAAAATTAAAATTACCTTTTCTGGTGTGCTGGAAGGGATATCAAAGCACTCATACTGATCTCGACCCATCTCCACAATGCTCCACAGTGATTTTTGCTTTTCTTGAGTAATCACAGTAATTATAAGCCCAATATCTATTTACCAAGGCATTAAATCAGAGATAGAATGCAGTCATAGAATTTCAAAGCTGAAAGGAGTGTAAAGCAAGATCACCCCACCCTCTCTGAGGCCCAGAGAGGTGGGGTGGAGAGGTGGGTGATCTTGCATGCTCTTTCACTTTCTCATTTGTCCATTTGATACATTATTCTTATCTCCCCTATGCTGGGTGCAAAGATAACAGCCATCAAGGCGTGCAGTCTCCAGTGGCAGAGAGAGCCAGGAGCAGCTGAATCTGGAGACCAGAGCTTTCATTTTCCAGTGGGCACACGTTCTGCGAGACCAACTATTCTCCTGTTTGTGTTGTGATAGGAGACACCTAGAGTGTTTGTTAGGCCCACACATGCCAGGCCCTACCCTGGCTCACTGAATCTGAAAGCATGCCAAAGGAGCTGGGGCTCTACCCTTTTAACAAATGCACAGATGAGTCTAATCACCAGGCACCAGCAGGGCCCCTGTCTGCTGACCAGGGCCAGAGACCCGCCTCTTTCACTGGCCTCTTTCAATGGCCAGGCTCACAGCCCCATTGGCTTCATGGTCCTATATCTGACGGTTTAGGTAATAGCCGGCATCATCATTTCACAACCCAGAGTGAGCCACAGAATTACCTACTTTGCTTTAAGCAAAGTAAGAAGCCCAGGTCTAACCCAGACCAACTATATTAAAATCTTTCAAATCTTTTTTTTTAAATACCAGGAGGTATTCTGATGAACAGCCAACATTGAGAACCACTGCCAGCCCAGGGTCCTTTCTGAAACCTCGGGAAGGATCCTGGCCCATAATGTGGTAAAGGAGAGGCTTGGGAACACTTTTCGAAGCCAGGACACACAGTGTCTCCAGGTATCATGACTCCTTCCATGTGCTTGCCTATCCTCTTAGATTTTGGTAAAGAAAATAGAAAAATGAAAAGGGCAGATGTCACAAAGGTGTTATAAAGCAGCCTGCTCTGAGACTGTGGGATTCACAAATTTCCCTTCAAGACAAAGCAAAACAAAGGAAGCATCATGTCTGTAACTGTCATGCTGGACTGTGCATTCCCCACACCATTGCAGTAATGCCACATCTCTGCCATCCCATAATTTCACCTAAACGCCTTTGCACTTGTCTACACATCTCTTCGGGCAGGGCTGTCACAGGATTGCATCGTGTTTAGCTGAGCCTCACTCCTTTGCCCCCGTCCCATCATCCTGTCCCGATGTCACCTGCTCAGGCTCAGGACACATATGCACAGTAAGCGCCATGTGATCCATGTGCCTGCTCTCAGCTCAGAGCTTTCCCACCACCCCGCAGAGCCTCTTCTTAATCTTCTTGATTAATCTGCCACAACAAATATCATTTGAGCCACCACCCCCGGGCATACATAGGGTGGTGGGCATGACCTTTAGGAGACGGGAAGATAACAGAGACTTCCCCACAGTGCCATGTCCGGGCACACTGACTTCTGAGGAACCCAAGTCACTCAAGACCAAAGAACATGGGTGAGTAAGTGATGTCCCGTCAGCAGCTACAGCTCACACCCTCAAAGCTTGTATCGCCTTATAGTTTTCATAATCTATGTTTCTCTTAAGAGTTTCACCGGGCACGGTGGTTCATGCCTATAATCCCAGCACTTTGGGAGGCTGAAGCAGACGGATCACCTGAGGTCAGGAGTTCAAGACCAGTCTGGCCAACATGGCAAAACCCCGTCTCTACTAAAAATACAAAAATTAGCCAGGCATGGTGGTGGGTGCCTGTAATCCCAGCTACTCAGAAGGCTGGGGCAGGAGAATCGCTTGAACCTGGGAGATGGAGATTGCGTTGAGCCGAGATCATGCCACTGCACTCCAGGCTGGGTGACAGAGTGAGACTCCATCTCCAAAAAAAAAAAAAAAAAAGAGTTTCAAGAAATACCCTGATGGTACTCCAGTTTGCCTTTTATTTTCTGTCCTGTGCTGAAATAAGGAGTGAGTCTAGAGGCATATAGGAAATCAGCTCTCTCCTTGCAAGCAGATTCCTATGGCACTACTAAAAAAATCTGCATAGCAAGGTTCATGTTAATGGCTTTCGGTTATGCTTGCCTAATGATGCCCAAGCTCTTACAAATTCATTATGAGCCCTCCCTGCATCCTCTTTTTATTACTGTGCTGTTCTTTTTTAAAAAAAATCAGTAATGCTTTGGATTCAACATGTAACTAGACAGGAAACTTAAAAGAAACACTTGTAGAAAGTTCTCTTCTCAACAAGGTCGAGACTGTTCCCATTATTGTTTACAATAACTTTCACGTTCCTCTTAATTTTATTTTGTTTTCTTGAAATATAGGAAGGGGTTGTATTTTGGTATTCTTGGATTAGTTACAACTAAGACATTACCTCAAGGGTACTGGTACTTCATTGCACACTAGCTGGGTATTTTGTGTTTCTCAAATATATCTTACAGAGTACTGAAAATAATTCTTTTGTGGAATGAGAAAATCAAGACCATTTGGATACTTCAGTAGTAGATAATAATGCCATAATTTAGTATTTAGAATCTTCATAGTGGCTTAATTTAGCAGCTTTAATTTTTTTAGACCACTTCCTGAATTCATCTTCTCTTTTTCACCATTTGTACCAGAACCTCAGGGACTCCATCTAGACAGGGGACTCCCCCTAGCATATGAGAAATACACTCCAGTCCAGCCTCTGGGCCTCCGTCTCCCCAGTAATCTCAGGTGTCAATACCTGAATGTGCGTTCCAGTAGCTGAGCCCACATTCCTTTAATCTTCCTCTGTTTTTAATGAATGGCCCTCAAAATGCATATTCAGTATATGCTTTGAGCCATATGAAATACACTTTCAAAATGCAATATTCATTGCCAAAAGAAAAAGGTTGAGTTTAATGCATCTGTACAAATAGTGACAGCATTCCCTCTTTTATCTCTTTCCAGCACAAGCATGACTTTACTGTGAAATCCAGGTGCAGTCATGAAGTCGTTCTCTTTCCTTACTCCAGAAAGGCAGTCTATTAACTAAAGCCCAAGAATGGAGTGCATTTCTCTGTTAACCATTTATTAAGTCAACAAGCTAAGTAATGACTACATTTTTCTTTCTAATGTGCCTGCAGTATTATGCATTTAGCAATATTATTCCTTGAACAGATGTGTCTTTTCACAGTCGTCTTCCTTTCCTATGAACATAGGATTTCTTCATAATTGTATGCCTGTAAGCTGCAACTGTTTCGAAAGGTGCTTCTGAACACACACTGAGATCCCTCCATACTGAGAGCCAAGTGACATGAAAACCAAAACATCATCAAGAATGGGAGCAGCCAGCTCCCCACATCAAGCACCCAATTAGCTCGTATTCTTTGGCTAAGTATACTCCGCAGCCAATCCAGTCACCTCAGTGCTTTGATTTCAGAAGCTTTAGAAATACCTGGAGTTACTTGAATGTGGCAGTATTCAAAATACAACAGATAAGGAAGAAGCATTTCACAATCAGTCAGCAAACTATAGGATTTGACAGCGAAGACACTGAAGGTTATATCAAATTGTTTCCGCGTTCACATTTTGAATAACTAAGCACATTAACCAGTTTTGTGCTCAGCACTTCCCTTTATCAATAAAAAGGAGTATTCACAAAGAATCAATATCTAAAGCACATCGGGCAACTACTACACTTTTATGATTTCCTCAATGCTGAGTGTTAACAAAGAAAACCTTGCTACTATACTTTTGAAAGACACCAATGGAAGCTGACAACCAAATTGATATCATTTTTTTTCTTATAAAAAGTATAATGAGCTCTTGGGTCACCTTCAAAATATGGTCACATTCTTTCCCTGGAGTAGAGTTACTGTGGGATCAAGTGACTGAAAAGGCTAGGAGAGGAAATAAAATGATTGCTCAGCAGGACAAGTGCGGTGCTGCTGTCCTCGCCTGCGTCTCTGCCCACAGCAAGGTCATGGAAATTCAGCGTGAGCCCAAGTGGTTCTTCAGCAGCAGACACTCATGGGCATGATCCTGGCACTTGCTAGTGTTTGTCTGACAGCTGCGTGTGCTTCAGCCAAGGCTGCAGTAAGTGACCTACCAGGTTCTGCGGAGGAAGCCTGGCCCTACCATTCCCCATTGAGTCAGGAGGTCAAGTGAGAATTCCACTGATGTCTTTAAATAGTCTTGCCTGCAACAAGCTAACATGGGGGAGAATTCTGGAGTGTGCCTGGATGTGCCTGGCAGGGATAGGCAGGTCTCCAGTTGCTGCTAGAGGGGGAATTTGGAGGAGACTTCCTTAGCTGCCTCCAAATGATACCGGTAAGGTCTGTGTGCAATGGTTCAACAGAAGACCTCATGCACAAATGTGCTAATGGAACTATGGTATCTGGTGATAATAGCAGAAATTGGCTTCCTTCTTTTACGGGTGGGAAAATTGAATTGGGGTCTGTTGGGAAAAAATCACTTGCTCTATGAATAAGCTATACGGACCCCCTTTGAACAGCTTTTAGAAAAAGCAAGTATTTTTCACAGTAAAATTGCCTAAGCTCAGAACCTGAGAATGAGCTAGCCACTGCCTCAACACTCCGCTGCTCTTTCCAAATCAGGCGAGTGCAGAGGTGGGGAGGAATTAGGGTTTGATGGCTGCAGGGAATGAAGGGGTTGACTGATTTATCCCAGCTGTGCTATTTGCTTACTGTTCTCTGGTTACTGAGACTTTGGAGCTCAGTCTAGTCTACGCCCTATAGTGTGTTATTCTTGCCTCAGCCCATTGTTTGTATCCTTCTTGAGCAGGGATCACATCTTGCTGCACGTTGTAGAAACCACGTGGGTCTCTCTCCTTCTCCAACCTGGGAGCTCTGTGGTAGGAGGAGCAGGTGTTGTTCTTCTCAGGTTTCCCGCCCAGTGTCCGGACCGGAAAAGGTGCTAATAAATATAAGTTAAATTGAATTAAACTAGGAATACTGAGAAGTTATACAAGTGTTGGCAGCAACCCCAAATGCTAAGTCTTGGTATCATTTGCTATAATTTTGCAGACAAATGTGCCAAGAGATCAGAACAATTGGCTCTTTGTAGACCTGAAGGTACTTGATTTTCTTCAGTGTCATCTTTTCATTCTGATTCTGTAGCTCTAAACCAATATTAATGCCATGTGGCTCTTGGCTGCTGCCAGAGCAGTGAGGTCCAGTGACCTTTGGTGCAGGAACTCTGTCACTGCTTGCCCTGGTGTCTGTATTTCACTAACAGCTGTGTGCTCTTAAAATAAAAAAACAAGCTTCGTGTTTTTATAGAGACTTTTTTCCAAGGAGCTTTTAAATGTCACTAAACTCATTTTTTTTTTAACGTTAACATGGGAAAGTCAATATTACCCTCCTCCAAATTGTAAAAGGGTGATTACTTTTTTGCATGACTTGTCTATGTCTTTCCCCTCTTTTCTGCCTTTTGGTCATTGTTGGCCAAATTATCCCATTTAGTAGTTTATCTCTGAGAGGGCAGATGTAGTCATGGAGAAGTGAAATTAAAATGGGATCATTTGATGATTGCCTAGTGTCTAGCAAAGAAGTTCAAGGACATGACAATGAGTGGGACAGGACTGGGAAGGAAGGTTGAAATACACATTATATCAGTTCATATTTAATATCTGAAAGCCATCCTTCTACCCATTTACTCACCACCAGACATAAGCATGAGTGGCTTGGTTATTCCTCTGTAGCCGCATGAAAGAAAAATTTCCTATGATTGTCCCCCAGAACTCAAGGCGAAAACTCTGCCTCTTTTGGTCACTGGGGACAGAGCCCACTGTGGTTTGCCTTTTGGTCCCAAGTAATGTTTCACAGAGGCTGATGGAGGAACGTGTCTTGCCGTTGCCACCTGGCCACAGGTTGCTGATTCAAGGGCAGAAACTATCTGAAACCAGGTTTCAGCACCTCATACTGTACTTGGCACACAGTACTTAGCAAATATTTGCCTTTTGAATTACATTGAATTCAGACCTGTTAGGTGTCCACTCTCCCAAGGGCTGAATCTCACTGCTCCTCAGAAGAATCAGAACTGTTAGTTCTCTTTGGGGAAAACCAACCCCCTGTTTCAATTTATGTTTAGGATGAGATGAACATGATATTCCAGAGGTTATTAAGAACATACAGAGTTAAAAACAATCACCTCCTTAACGTGGATGTTCAACAGCGACTTAGCAAATATTAACAAAGGTATTGTCAGACACTAAGGATGAGAGTAGAAAGCTGAGACGAGAGAAGTACCCCGGTTGACAGAGTCCAGATGAGCTGCCTCCCATCCAGGCCTCCGGGACCCAGGTCAGGTGTGTTTTTTGTCCTTCAGGTAGCCGAAGAGCATCTCCAGGCCCCCCTCCACCAGCTCCGGCAGAGGCTTGGATAAAGGGTTGTGGGAAATGTGGAGCCCTTTGTCCATGGGATTCCAGGCGATCCTCACCAGTCTACACAGCAGGTGGAGTTCGCTCGGGAGGGTCTGGATGTCATTGTTGTTGAGGTTCAGCAGCTCCAGGCTGGTGACCAGGCAAAGCGACCTCGGGAAGGAGTGGATGTTGTTGCCCTCTGCGATGAAGATCTGCAGGCTGGCCAGGTGCTGGATGCTCTCAGCGATGTTTTCCAGGCGATTCGAGCCCACGTGCAAGAAAATCAGTTCCTTCAGGGAGAACACACACATGGGGATGTGCGCGAAGAAGTTGTTGCTGAGGTTTAGCTTCCTCAGTCTAGAGAGGTCGGCGAAGCATGCAGGGAGCTGGGACAGGCAGTTGTGCGACAAGCTCAGGACCTCCAGCTTTCGGCACAAGCTCAGCTCGGCCGGCACCTCTGTCAGGCAGTTCATGTTGACAAACAGGACCTTGAGGCACTGTAGGAGGCTCACTTCTCTGGGCAGGCTCTTCAGGCGGTTCCCGCACAAGTTCAGGACCACGATCCGGGTCAGTTTCCCCACCTCGGGAGGGAGAACCCGGAGCTGGTTGTGAGACAGATTGAGTTTCTGGACCTCGGACAAGCCCCACAGAAAGTCGGGGATGTCTGTCATTCCTCTCGTGACCAGGCTGAAGCTGACGTGGTGCATGCCCCGCTTCAGCAGGGACCGCGGGTCCCTTCCCGAGAGCAGGGCATCGTCCCACGGAGAAAACTTCTGTCTCCTCCCCGTGAACAGCATCCTCTTGGGGCCCTTATCCTTGGAGCTGGCCCTTGACTGCCTGGCCCCCATTGTACCTTCCCTTCTAGTCACTCTCCTCTGCCACCTCCCAGGCAGGGACCGTGTCCTCTCAGCTGCTAAAAGCCAGGCTGTTGCAGGCAGGGAGTGTGCGTCAGGGTGAGAACCAACTTGTGACTAGGAGGTCCTAGTGTGGAGAAAGCTGCCAGGAGAGTCTTGATCAGGCCTTGCAGGTATCTGAGACAGGTCCCTGGGTGGCTGCAGGAGCTGTGCCTGTTCCCCAGGGTTTAGGTGTTTTCTTTCTTAGCAGCTGGGCTGTAATGATATACTTGTCCAGGAGGCTGCTAAACTGCTCAAATCCCTCTGAATGCCACAAGGCAGCTGTCACTGTCACTCTGCCTGAGTTTTATTGACTGGGTACATGCAAACAGGTCACAGGAAGGCTGCATATAACTTTACTCTCTCAGCTTTTCTTGGGTATCACAGTTGAGCAGGGTGATTAACAAGCCCATCTCTAAAAAGAAGTAAAATGGAAAAACAGAGCAGGCCACACAAGTACGGACTGTTGGCAGGATTGCGGGAGCTCAGCCAGACAACTTTACAGTGAAACTGGGCTGGGTGCTAGTGACAGTTATGTCTCCAAAGCTAAAGATCATCAGATGATATCATAGGTCCCTGTTCCAAACCTTGATGAACTGTGCGTTTGTGAAAAGATAACAAAAGCAGCCCGGATACCTGGAATCTTCCAGGTCAAAGGTTTTTATCCTGTGCTTGTCAGAGGTGATTTAGTGAGAAGGGAGTTGTGGGGGGATCTCAACCCCTCACTCCCATTTCATCCAGAGAAGCTCTGGGCTCATGTGTCTTACAGAGACCTTCTGTATTTAGTAGGATGCACTTTAAGTGTTTGAACAGTCACTTGAGTGGCCACCTTAGTATGGTAAGCGCGGGCCACCTATTGTCCTGGAAGGATATGATGAGGCCCCCCTCGCTACACACCGTTCTCTTTCTCTCTCTCTCTCTTCTCCTCCCTGTCTTTTATTTATTTTTATTTATTTATTTATTTATTTTTCTTTTATTTTTGATGGAGTTTTTGCTCTTGTCGTCCAAGCTGGAGTGCAGTGGCACGATCTCGGCTCACTGGAACCTCTGCCTCCCGGGTTCAAGTGATTCTCCTGCTTCAGCCTCCCAAGCAGCTGGGATTACAGGCACCCACCACCATATCCAGCTAATTTTTGTATTTTTAGTAGAGACGGGGTTTCACCATGTTTGCCAGGATGGTCTTGACCTCCTGATCAAGGCGGGTGGACCTGCCTCGGCCTCCCTGTCTTTTTCTTGAATTAAAAAAGTTAACTTACATCTTAAGTTTGCAGAGTTAATTGTTGGTGTTATGGGCTGAACTGTGTCCCCTCACCCTGCCCTCAAATTTCGTATGCTGAAATTGTAACCCCCAGTATCTCAGAAGGCGCTGGGTTTGGCAATCAGGCCAAGTGAAGACACAGGGAGAAGGCAGCCACCTGCGAGCCAAGGAGAGAGGCCTCAGAAGAAACCAACACCTTGATCTCAGGCTTCCAGTCTCCAGAATTGTGAGAAAAATACATTTCTGTTGGTTAAGCCACCCAGTTTCTTAGAGCAGGTCTGGCAAACTAATATAGTTGGGGAGGAGGCGGACACACATCTGCATAGGTGAAAAATCCTAAAAATAGGTAGTGATTAAGGGGACAAGGGATATCAAGGAGCTGACCTAGGTTCTGAGCAAAGGGCTTGTGGCCCGTGGCAAGGGCTGGTTTGGCCTGGAAGGGTGAGATTTTTGCTGCTATATATCCTGGAGACCCCTGCTGCTCCTGGGACCCTGACCTCACAGGGCTGTTGCTACCAACCCAAGAGTTGTCACTGGGTCCTAGCTGGGTGCTGCCTGGGGAGCCTGGAAGTCCGTCCGCATCCAGGGCGCAGGATCTGAGCAGGAGGAGCAGCAGAGTTAAAAACAAGAGGAGGCCACTTCTTTCTCCGCACACCGTTGGAAAGAGATCTGACCCCTTTGACTGAGTCAGCCCCAGGGATTCTAGACAAAGGTGGAAACTTTGCACGTGCTTTTTATGGGGCCCTTGAGTGTTCTAGTTATCAATTGTGGTGGCCGGCGTGGGAGCAATGTGGCTAAATTTAGACTGTAAGTTTTTGGAGCAGGCCATGCCGTATATATGTAAATTTCATATGGTTCTGCTGGAAAAAAAAAAAAAAAAAAAGCTAGCTGTGCTTCCTCCTTCCTTCCATGAGCCTGAGAAATTATGCTAGAGTACTTGAAATGTGGGGAATTGCAGGACCTGGAATGGTTTGAGAAAAATATCGACAACTTTCTTCTTGTGGCAATTCTCTCTCTTCCCCTTAATACATTTTTTCTAATAAATATTTCTTGAGCACTTATCAATAGCCAATATTCATCAGATGTTCACTTATGTAAAAGTCTCTGTACGCCTCACTTTCTATGCAGAATGGGTATTAAAATTATCTCCATGTTACAGATGAGGAAAGGAAGATAGACGAAGGTAAAGTTACTTATGCAAAATCAACTCACTTCCCCAAAATCAACTAACTAGTCAATGGTAGAACCAGGATTCAATCCCAGTTGGTCTGCACAGAGCTCAGGCTGGGAACCACAAGAAGACGCTGGTCTTATCTCTGTAGAGAAGCAAAGCAACTCTGGCTAGGACGCGGCCCCTTGCTTTCAAGTGCCAGGGTGTAGGAATGAGGGAGCACAGGTCAAAAAATGACTACATTACTCCATGCATAGAAATAACTACACAGGGCTGGGGGCGATCACTCATGCCTGTAATACCAGCACTGGGAGGCTGAGGCGGGTGGATCACCTGAGGTCAGGAGTTCGAGACCAGCCTGGCCAACATGGTGAAACCTTGTCTCTACTAAAAATACAAAAAATTAGCTGGGCATGGTGGCAGACAGCTGTAATCTCAGCTACTCAGGAGGCTGAGGCAGGAGAATTGCTTGAACCCAGGAGGTGGAGGTTGCAATGAGCCAAGATCGTCCCACCGCACTCCAGCCTGGGCAACAGAGCTAGACTCTGTCTCAAAAAAAGAAAGAAAGAAAGAAAGAAATAACTACAGAGCTAGATACCAATCCTGCTTACTCTATGCCAGCATAACCAGGAAGAGCAAAAGTTAAACTATCATTCCAGAAAACTTCAGAGTGATGGATTTATCGCCTCCAAAAACAGTTCAGGTCTTCTCCAGAGAGTTTCTCATATATCAAATGGATGAGCTGAGTCACTAGCTGACTTGGTTTCTTCTAATTTTTTGAAATGTAAAGGCTGCCCACCCAGTGACTGTCAGTTATCCGGTCAGCACGTAGTTCTCTGAGAGGACGTTCCTTGTCTCTGCTCTCAGTCTTCTCCTCTATGAAATGGGCCATTTGGAGGGGATAATGGCCGAGAGCCCCTTCCCACTCTCCCAGTCTGATTCTCACTACAGATGAGGCCACTTGTGAGAAAGTGAAAGTCACATTTAACCCCCTTTCTGGTGAAAGTATGCAAAATCCAAGACAGCCTTCATTTTTGTAACTTTAATGTTCGTCCTGGGGAATAAACAGTAACAAGGAAATGTTGGCTTTAGGGTTCTCTATACTGTATAGACCACACATTTGACCTTTACCAAAAGAGACTTTTCAGGGCTCTCTGAATGGAATGCAGCTTGAAATAACTCTCAGAACATTGTTGGACAATTTTTTGAAATTCCAGGGCATTGTAAGTAATGTGATTATCTTTAAAACCTAAGGAGCCTGCAGAATAATTGAAATGCATTTAATATGCCTGACGTGTTTACTGCATTGCTGTATGTTCCAACTGATTGCTCCAACATATGAAAATCAATATGGATTATTTTTTTAAACCTAAGTAATATAAAACTGAAATAATGAGAGTATAAAATAGTAGGTTATGAAAACATCTGAAGCTACTCCTGAATTCACCCTAATGGAATATCTACGGGAAAGAATACTTTTTATTCTCACTATGACTTTTCAGCTTATGTCTGTACATCACATCTGTTAATTTCAGAAGAAAGAAATGTGTACCTCTAAATAGTTTATCAAAATAAACTTTCTACTGTTCAAAAATTTTAAAATAGGCCAGTTGCAGTGGCTCACACCTGTAATCGCTTTGGGAGGCTGAGGCAGGCAGATCACGTGAACCCAGGAGTTCAAGACCAGCCTGGGCAACATGGTGAAACCCCATTTCTATAAGAAATATGCAAATTAGCTGGGCATGGTGGTGCATGCCTGTAGTCCCAGCTACTAGGGAGGCTGAGGTGGGGAAAACATTTGAGCACTGGAGGGCGAGGCTGCAGTGAGCCATGATCGCACACTGCACTGGATCCAGCCCAGGCAACAGAGCGAGACACTACCTCAATAATAATAATTAAAATAGAAAATATAGAAAAGTGTGAAAAGAGATAACCCAGTTAACATTTTGCATATATAAAGCTAGATCTTTTACCTATGTATATTGGCTTCTGTTTTCCTTTACCAAAAAAAAATATTTTTTTTTTCAAAATCTGCCTTAGCCTAGGTTTCCTCAAAAGCAGAGCTTGAGGCAAAAGCTTATGGGGCTAATATTTTATTAAGGAGCACAATTGTGGGTAAGCAAGAATGAGGGAGGCATCAGGAGGGGGAGCAAATACGAGTGATGTGCTCTGAGCTGCCACATCTTTACATCAAACACAGCCTGTTGCTAGGTTTTGCAGAGATCTGCAGAGAAGCTATATTAAACAATTGTAGCTCAGAATGGTCCATGGTTAAGCATCTATGAAATGCATGCAATAGTAAAACCCAAAGCACATTTTAAAAAGTCCCTAAATCATGGTTATTGATGACATATGGCCCATAGTATAGTACTAGGACAGAGTAAGAACTCAATCAATGATAGTATATGGTAGCCATTACACACATACACACACACATGCCCCTGGAGTCGTTCAGAGAACATTCTCCATGTGTTTGATTTGGATTTTGTCCTTCTTTATGAACTTTACACTTTCTTTAAGCCCAATCAAACCTGTAACTCTGAAGCATCCCTCATTTATCTCCCATTCATCTTCCATGCAAAACCTTAGTTAGTGCTAGGAGCTGTTTGAGACACTTTCATACATTCTATCTGACACAAATAATACTTGGGAGATTGATATTATTAACCTCATATTAACTATGAGGAAGTTGAGCCTCACTGAAGTTAAATGACTCTCCAGGTTGCAAAGTCAATTACTACCAGCATCAGAATCAACACTCAGGTCTTCTGATTCTGACTGTGGTTCTCTTTCTACTACATGGAAACCTGTCTTCCTCTGCACAATTTTTTCTTAGTAAGGTGGCCAATTATTTTTCCAGTTAGAGCACCCCACAGCCTTCTAGCACACAGACAAGGCAGCAAGAGGCAGCATAATCTAGTGGTTAATGTCATAAGCTCTGGTTGCATGACCATCTTGGGTTTCAATCCTGGAAATTTCAGTCAAAGGCTGTGTGACCTTGGGCAAGCTACTTAGCTTGTCTGTGCTGTTTCCTCATATATAAAGTGGAGATAATAATACTACCCATTCATAGGACGGGCGTGGTGGCTACACTTGTAATCCCAGCACTTTGGGAGGCCGAATCAGGTGGATCACAAGGTCAAGAGATCAAGACCATCCTGGTCAACATGGTGAAACCCCCTCTCTACTAAAAATTAGCCAGGCATGGTGGCATGTACCTGTAGTCCCAGCTACTCGGGAGGCTGAGGCAGGAGAATTGCTTAAACCCAGGAGGCGGAGGTTGCAGTGAGCCGAGATTGTGCCACTGCCCTCCAGCCTGGCAACAAGAGTAAGACTCCATCTCAAAATAGTAATAATAATAATAATAATACCCATCATATAAGGTTGCTGTGGGAATTAAATGACTCTGTACAGAGAACACATAGTGCATGGTTTCATACATAGCAAGAATACCTGAAGATCCCAAGGAAATGTCAATTCCACGGCCACCTCTGGGTGCTCAAGGGCTGAGCACCTTCACCAGCAGGGCAAGCCTGGTCCCTTTCCTCTCCTATAACCTTCCTTTTGATCACACTACACCTCAATCAGCTATTCCAAGGGGCAAACATGCTTCTCTAGAGTGCAACACGCTTAGAGGCAGGTTCTTAGAGAGAGATCCGAATTGAAATGCTTCCCTCTGAAAGTCAAGATCCTCTTTGGAGATCATTTGTCCTCAGTTTGTTTACTCTCACTCTGTTCATTCAGCTCACATTTGCTGTCAGGCCAATTCTATTTCAAACCCCTTGTCTCCCTCAGAGCCCTGGAATAATCCCGAGGACACAGTAGGCACTCAATCAATGTTCATTGAAATGAACAAACATTTGGGCCCTGATGGAAGTTTCAGGTGAGAAAAGAACAATGAAGAGAGCCTTGAATATCCTGCTTGTTTTTAATTGCTTCTGTGTTACTCTATTTGTATATTTATCTGCTTACAAGTCCCTCCAGAGGACTCTGCATACATCCTGTTCACGGCTGACCACAGGATCCCTGGTTTGACCTCCATCACAGCAGCTCACTGAAAAAAGTTTTGTCAGACAAGCCAAGCCTCTTTTATCTTTAAGAGAAGACCTCAGCACCTTCTCCAGGGGTTGCAGTGAGCTGAGATCGTGCCAGTGCACTCTAGCCTGGCTACACAGCAAGACTCCATCTCAAGGCAAAAAGAAAAAAGAAAAAAAGAAGACCTCAGCACCTGCACCTTCTCAGGGAATCTGCTCGGCCCTGCTACGCCCTCCTCTGTAAGTGGGGATAATTGTGCCTCCTTTGTATAGGCCTATTGTGAGGATTAAATGGAATGACACAGGTAAAGCAAGTAGCTCAGCACAAAAGGGTCCTGATGCCATGTTACCAGCCACAGTAATCCATCCTTCCCATTGTGGCCAGAATGTTCTAGAAGACTGTTCCCATCAACCCACTGCTTATGGACCATCCACTGACACACCTGTGCCCACAAGCTGTCCATGCAGACCATAGTTGCATGCATGTTTGCATCACAACCTCACGCCTCACCGTTCACCTCTAACACACCTACTTGATATCCCAGAAGTACTGAGGTAGCAGCTGGCTCCCCTACACATGCCTTGGCATTTTGTAATGCCACTCCTTTGTTCATGCTGATCCTTTGCTCCACATGGCTCACACCCTTCATGTTTCCACATAAGAACAGTGCCCCCTCCTCAAGGAAGCCTTCCCTGACCACCCACCTTCCTCTAGGGCCATCTGGGCATCCTTCCTTACTTCCCAGAGCGTCCTAGACTTACCTTTGTCACAACACTACCACCTCAGATCTCAACTGGACCAATTTTGCCCCTCATGGGATGTGTGACAATATCTGGAGATATGTTTGGTCATCAACTGTGCAGGTGGTACTACCGATGTCTAGTGAGTAGAGGCCAGTGATGCTGCAAACGTCTTACAGATCAGGACAGCCTCCACAACGAAGAATTATCCAGCCTACAATCTCAATAGTGCAGGGCTTAATAAACACTACCATATGCCAGGAGTGGTGGCTCACGCCTGTAATCCCAGCACTTTGGGAGACGAGGCGGGCAGATCACCTAAGGTCAGGAATTCGAGACAAGCCTGACCAACATGGTGAAACCCTGTCTCTTCTAAAAATACAAAATTAACTGGGCGTGGTGGTGCATGCCTATAATCCCAGCTACTCTGGAGGCTGAGGCAAGAGAAGCTCTTGAACCTGGGAGGCGGAGGTTGTAGTGAGCCAAGATCGAGCCATTGCACTCCAGCCTGGGCAACAAATGAAACTCCATCTCAAGGAAAAAAAAAAAAAATATATATATATATATATATAGAAATCATCAGCTTTTGTGCCAGTCTCCTCCATTAGAGTATAAATACATTTCTTAAGGCTGGAGCTAAATCTTATTCATCATCATTTGTTCTCCTTGAGCCTAGGATGTTGCCTCATATGTGGTACCTATTCAATGAGCCCTGGTTTCTCCCCACTGTATCCTCTTATTTATGAATCAAACCTACTCTATTTTGAGAGGCTTACTGACTCTCTATCCTACTATGTGACCCATATGACCAGAAACATAAATAAAATTGCCTTGCTTGTCAACTGGTATCAGACTTCTATTTATCCAGAATTACACTGCTGACATTATTCATTCAGGGAAAGAGAACCTACAAGCAAGGCCATTTCATCTCTTTGAAATCCGAATGTCAATAGCTCTTGCCTGTCACCGAACAAGATACAGAAATTACAGGACTGGTACAACTCTAAGAAAACACTGAGTCTACTTTTGCTGGCCAGCTGCATTTTATTAAATCATCTCAGCAAATTCAAATTTAGCTTTTTAAAAAGCTACTTCTAGAAAGACAGTCATTTTGTTATTTTGCATATTTTCCTCTCAGGAAATCCATTTACTGGGCTAACCCTAGCCTTCAGGTATCAGTTTTCCTTGCATCTTCTTGTTTGTCTTCAATGGAGCTGGGTAACCAGTGAAGGCTTTTATAGTCCTGTTCGTTCAGTCCTAATCCATCAAAGTACACTTCATGCTTTACAGCACTAAAGGAAAGGCGAAATAAAGAGATGCTTTGATTAAAAGTCGAGAGAGTAATTAAATACCAATTCAGCCTTCTGCATATTAAGTTTATATCAGAAAGCAAGGTCATGAATTTAAGAGCAATGAGATTCTATATAATATCTGCATAACAAAGTAGCAGAGCTTTATTAAAGATCAAGTCTCTTTTTAAGAAGTTTTAAATTATTGTGACATTTCAGGATAATAAATTGATAAATGGCTAAAAACAAAAAAAAGCAAGAAGAGACACTAAGTTCAGTCAAGTGAAATATCTGAGATCCAGGCCTCTCTGATAAAAAGTTTAAAATATGCATAGTGTGTATATAACTTATCTGTTTAATAAATTATAAATTTGAATCTTATTTAAAACTCCCCAAACTACTTACTACTGTTTTAATTTCAGATTTGGTCTAGACTATCTTAACAAAAATAAATTTTTCCTCTTCATTGAATTGGTGAGGAAAAGTTAAAAAGAGTTGAGCCCTAGAGTAAGAGGAATTCCAAATTCAGTTTAAAATCCTTGGTTAAGAGTTGGCCTTTGTCCACATACATCTGAGCCACTGGGGCATGTTTTCCAGCTTCTTTCTCACAGTGGATTCTGAGGGAGCCCAGTCTTGGCTACAGTCTGTCTCACTGGGAACTCCCCTGTGCATGCGGAAAAATGTTGGTAGCATACATATCTGTGCCACTGGGGCAGGCTTGCCCACCAGTCTCCAACAGCAAACTCTGAAGGGGCCCATTCTCAACTCCAGCCCCTGTCACGGCAGTCAGGGAATGGTTCCACCTATCCAGGGATATGCCAGGAAGTTTGCTCCTGTCTGGGCCAATGGGACAGGCTTCTATACTTGTTTCCTGGCCAGCCTTCCCACAAAGGCTGATTACCCTCCTTAAGTCTTCCCCAGGTCCATCCAAACCGGGATACTGCAACAACCAACCTTGGAGTCTTTGTGAGACTTGTAGTAGGCCTGGGCTTATGGCTCCCTCTAGTGCTTAAATGGCTGCAGGTGTCACAGGCTCTGACAACAGTCAATCCACTTAGGTTTCTAGACAGGCTCACTGAAGAAGGATGGGCACAAATAAAGCCAGACTGCAAAGACGTGAATAAATACCTAACTCTTGAATGCACAGACATCAACGTACATCTACAATTATCAAGAACAGTCAGGAAATTGTGACCTTAACTAATGGACTAAGCAAGGCACAGTGATAGAATGTAAAGAGATGGAGATGTTTAATCTGACAGACAAGAAATTCAAAATAGCCATGTTAAGGAACTCACTAACTTCAAGAAAACACAGAAAAACAATTCAGAAATTCATCAGATAAATTTAACAGATACATTAAATAATAAAAAAAACCAGAAACTCTGGAGCTGAAAAACTACAATGAATGAAGGGAAAAAAGCCAACCAAGAGCAACAAAAGCAGAAGTGATAAAGTAGAAGAAAGAATCAATGAGCTTGAAGACAGGCTATTTAAACATATACAGTCATAAGAGAAAGAAGAAAAATAAATGAAAAAGAAAAACTCAAACTTATACAATCTGTGGAATCACATCAAAAAAGCAAATATTTAGGTTATTGGAGTTCAAGAAGAAGGAGAGAAAGACAAAAGGGTAGGAAGCTTATTCAAAGAAATAATTAAAAAAAAAAAAAGGGCTGGGCGCAGTGGCTTATGCCTGTAATCCTAGCACTTTGGGAGGCCGAGGCAGACAGATCACGAGGTCAGGAGATCGAGACCATCCTGGCTAACACGGTGAAACCCCGTCTCTACTAAAAATACAAAAAAATTAGCCAGGCATGGTGGTAGGCGCCTATAGTCCCAGCTACTTGGGAGGTTGAGGCAGGAGAATGGCATGAACCCAGGAGGCGGAGCTTGCAGTGAGCTGAGATTGCACCACTGCACTCCAGCCTGGGTGACAGAGCGAGACTCCTTCTCGGAAAAAAAAAAAAAAAAAAAGGCTTGGTGCAGTGGCTCACACCTGTAATCCCAGCACTTTGGGAGGCCTAGATGGGTGGATCACAAGGTCAAGAGATTGAGACCTTCCTGGCCAACATGGTGAAACTCCGTCTCTACTAAAAATACAAAAATTAGCTGGGCATGGTGGCACACGACTGGAGTCCCAGCTACTCGGGAGGCTGAGGTAGGAAAATCACTTGAACCCAGGAGGTGGAGGTTGCATTGAGCCAAGATTGCGCCATTGCACTCCAGCTTGGTGACAGAGCGAGACTCCGTAAAAAACAAACAACCAAAAAAGAAAAAAAAAAAAAAAAAAAAACCTTTTCAAACCTGAAGAAAGATATAAATATCCATGTAGAAAAGTCACCAATCAGGCCGGGCATGGTGGCTCACGCCTGTTATCCCAACAATTTGGGATGCCAAGGCATGTGGATCACCTGAGGTCAGGAGTTTGAGATCAGCCTGGCCAACGTGGTGAAACCCTGTCTCTACTAAAAATACAAAATATTAGCTGGGTGTGGTGATGGGTGCTTGTAATCCCCACTACTTAGGAGGCTGAGGCAGGAGAATCACTTGAACCCAGGAGGAGGAGGTTGCAGTGAGCCAAGATTGCACCATTTCACTCCAGCCTGGGCAACAGAGTGAAATTCCATCTCAAAAAAAAAAAAAAAAGAAAAAGAAAAAAATCACCAGTCAAATTCAACCCAAGACATAGCATCAAACACTCAAAGGTCAAAAAGAGAGGATTCTGAAAGCAGCAAGAGAAAATAAGAAAATAGTATATAAGGTAATTCCAATATGCCTGGCAGTAGACTTCCCCGCAGACACCTTGCAGGCCAGAAGGGAGCAGGAAAATATAGAGTGCTGAAGGGAAAACAAAAACAAAAACAAAAACAAAAACATTTAAGCAAGAATACTGTACCCACCAAGGCTATCCTTCAGAATTGAAGGAGAAATAAAGGCCTATTCAGACAAACAAAAAGCTAAGGAAATTCATCACTACCAGACCTGTCTTGCAAGAAATGCTGTAGGAAGTTCTTCAAACTGGAAAAAAAGGATGCTAATGTGTAACAAAAATAAATCTGGACGTATAAAACTCACTGTTAGAAGTAAATATGCAGACAAATTCAGAATACTCCAATATTGTAATCATGGTGTATAAATCACCTATCTCTTTAGTATGAGGACTAAAAGACAAAATGGTTAAAAATCATAATAACTGTAATAAATTGTTAAAAGATAGACAAAACAAAAAGATATAAACTGTGACAGCAAAATTCAAAGTGCAGAGGGAAATGAAGTTGCCATACATGGTTTGCTTTTTATTTATTTTCTTTGAGATCACAGTTAAGTTTTTATCAGTTTAAAATAATGTTTATAACTATAGGATGTTTACTGTAAAGCTCATGATAACCACAAAGGAAAAACCTATAATAGATAGGCTAAAAATTAAAAGCAAGAATCAAAACACACTACTAGAGAAAATCATTTAACCACAAAGGAAGACAGTGAGAAGAAGAAACAATGAAATGACAAGGATACATACAAAAAAGAAACTGCAAGCCAACATCCTTGAAGAACATAGATGCAAACATCCTCAACAAAATACTAGGAAACAAAAATCAACAACACATTAAAAATATTCTTTGTTATGATCTAGTGGGATTTATCTCAGGGATGCAAGGAAGTGGGATTTATCTCAGGGATGCAAGGATGATTCTACAGACGCAAGTCGACAAATATGATACACCACATTAACCAAATGAAGAAGAAAGCCATATGATTCTCTCAACAATCACAAAAAATTTTTTTTGAAAACATTCAACATGTCTTCATGATAAAACCTTCAACAAATTAGGTATGGAAGGAATGTACCTCAACACAACAAATGCCATACATGATAAAACCACAGCTAACATCGTACCTAACCTGAAAAAGTTGAAAGCCTTTCCTCTAAGATCTGGAACTCCACAAGGATGCTCACTGTCACCATTTCTATTCAATATTATGCGGGAATTCTTAGCCAGAACAAGCAGTCAAGAGAAAGAAATAAAAGGCATTCAAATTGGAAATGAGAAAGTCAAATCCCTGTTTGCAGATGACATGATCTTATAAATAGAAAACCCCCTAGAGACTCCACCAAAAAAACTAATAGGACTAATGAACAAATTCAGTAAAGTTGCAGGATACAAAATCCATACCCAAAAATCAGTAGTGTTTCTATGTATCAACAGCAAACTCTCTGAAAAAGAAATCAAGAAAACAATCCCATTTACAATAGCTACAAAAAAAATAAAATAAAATTCCTAGCAATAAATTTGACCAAAGATGTGAAAGAGCTTTGTAATGAAAACTATAAAACATTAATGAAAGAAATTGAAGAGGGTACAAATAAATTGAATGACAGCCTGTGTTTATGGATTAGAAAAATGAATATTGTTAAAACATTCATACTACCCAAAGAAATGTACAAACTCAATGTAATCCCTAGCAAAACACCAATGACATTCTTCAGAGTAATTTTTTTTTTTTTTTGGGGGGACAGAGTCTTGCTCTGTCTCCCAGGCTGGAGTGCAGTGGTGCGATCTCGGCTCACTGCAACTTCCACCTCCTGGGTTCAAGCATTTCTCCTGCCTCAGCCTCCTGAGTAGCTGGGATTACAGGCATGTGCCACCACGCCCGGCTAATTTTTATATTTTTTAGGAGAGATGAGGTTTCACCATGTTGGCCAGGCTGGTCTCGAACTCCTGACCTCATGATCCGCAGGCCTCAGCCTCCCAAAGTTCTGGGATTACAGGTGTAAGCCACCATGCCCGGCCCCTCGCAGTAATTTTTTAAAAGGCAATTCTAAAATTTATATGTAATCACAAAAGACCCGAAGTAGCCAAAGTGATCTTGAGCAAACAACAAAGCTGGAGGCATCATATTGCCTGACTTCAAAATGTGCTATACAGTTATAGTGATCAAAATAGCAGGTACTGGCATAAAAACAGACACTTCGACCAATGGAACAAAATAGAAAAATCAGAACTAAATCTCACACATCTATAGCCAACTGATTTCTGACAAAAGTGCCAAGAACACTAATGGGGAAAGAATATTCTCCTCAATAAATGGTAAAATTTAATATCCACATGCAGAAGAACAAAACTAGACCCCCATCTCTCACCATATAAAAAATTAATTCAAAATGGATAGAGACTTAAATTTAAGACCCAAAACTATTAACCACTAGAAGAAAACAGGGGAAATGTTTCATGACCTTGGTCTAGGTGAGGAATTTTTGGCTAGGACCTCAAAAGCACAGGCAACAAAAGCAAACTAAAAAGTTACATCTAACTAAAAAGCTCGTGCATGGCAAAGGAAACACTCAACAGAGGAAAGAGACAACCTACAGAATGGAAGAAAATATCTGCAAACTATGCTTCTGACAAAGGGTTAATATCCAGAATATACTTGGAACTCAGACAAATCAGTATAAAAAAAATTGTGATTTAAAATGTGCAAAAGACCTGGATAGACATTTCTCAAAAGACACACAAATGGTCAACAGGCATATTTAAAAATGTGCAATATTACTTATCATCAGAGAATGCAAATCAGAACTGCAATACGTTTGGGAGGCCAAGGCAGGCGGATCACCAGAGGTCAGGAGTTCGAGACTAGCCTGGCCAACATGGCGAAACCCCATCTCTACTAAAAATACAAAAATTAGCTGGGCATGGTGGTGCACACCTGTAATCTCAGCTACTCGGAAGTCTGAGACAGGAGAATCGCTTGTATCCAGAGCAAGACTCCGTCTCAAAAAAAGAAGAAAAAACTGCAATAAGATGTTACCTCACTCCAATTGGAATTACTATTATAAAAAAGACAAAAAGTAACAATTTCTAGAGAGAATATGGAGAAAGGGAAACTCATATACTATTGATTAGTACAGTCATTAAAGAAAACAGTATGGAGGTTCATCAAAAAATTAAAAATAGAACTACCATATGATCCAGCAATCCCACTTCTGGATATATATCCAAAGGAAATGAAATCAGTATGTTAAAGAGATTATCTGCACCCCCAAGTATATTGCAGTACAATTCACAAAGCCAAGATATGGAATTGACTTAGGTATCTTTCAATAAATGAATGGACAAAAAAGTGTGGTGCATATACACAAGGGAATACTATCCAGCCATTAAAAAAAGAACGAAGTTGTGTCACTTGTGACAATGTGGATGAACCTAGAGGACAATTGTTAAGTGAAATAAACCAAGCACAGAAGGACAAATACCACATGATCTGACTGATATATGGAATCTAAAAAAGCTGACTTCATAGAAGTAGAGAGTAGAATAGTGGTTAACAGAGGCTGGAGAAGATAGTTAGGAGGAATGGGGAGAGGTTGGTGAACATGTTCAAATTTCCAGTTGGGCAGGAGAAATAAGTTCTGGTGTTTATTGTACAGTAGGGTCACTATAGTTAACATGATGTATTGTATATTTCAAAATAGCTAGATAAGAGTCTTTAATATCCTCATCAAGGCTGGGCATGGTGGCTCACGCCTGTAATCCTGGCACTTTGGGAGGCCGAGGCAGGTGGATCACGAGGTCAGGAGTTCGAGACCAGCCTAACCAACATTCTGAAACCCTGTCTCTACTAAAAATAAAAAAAAAATTAGCTGAGAGTGGTGATGTGCACCTGTAATCCCAGCTACTCAGGAGGCTGAGGCAGGAGAATCACTTTAACCTGGGAGGTGGAGGTTGCAGTGAGCAGAGATCGAGCCACTGCACTCCAGCCTGCGCGACAGAGGGAGAGTCCATCTAAAAAAAAAAAATCCTCTTTACAAAGAGATGATAAGTGTTTGAGGTGATGGATGTGCCAATTGCCCTGGTTTGATCATTACACAATATATACATGTATCAAAACGTCACATCATAAATATATAAAATTATGATTTGTCAATTAAAAACAAAATAAACTTTAAAAAAAAGTTGGGCTTATCGATCCTAGCTCTGCCAAGCAGTGCAATCTTGGGCCAATTACTTATCCTCTCTACACCTCAGTTTTCTCCTCTGGGAGATGCTTTGAGGTTTAAATGAGACGAAGCAGGTCAACTGCTCAGCATGGATCCTGACACATAGTAAAGTAATAGGTAAGTATTAATGATGTGATTACTATTAATATTACTATTGTTATCCTACTAGTTTTGAGACTCTAGGCAAGTTTTCAGCCTTGCTGAGCCTTAGTTTGTTCTGGGGGACGTGGAGGGGGAACTCCATAAGTAATAGTTATCATCATCATCATCTTCATTACCATGGACACCAGCATCTTGGTGGTTTCTGGACTTTTAAGTGACTGCATTTTAGCTGAAAGAAAGGGAGTTAAGATGCTTCTATGCTTAAAAGCATCCATGTAAATGTATATACAAATTATATATGTATACAGGCAAGGACTGAAAGAAAACAGGGAAGAATAGAAATTGATTTGTTTGGGTGTTCAGCATGTGGATAAAGTTTTAAACTTTTCTTTGATTTCTACTAATATTATAACTGTATGTAATAATAGTGCTTTAAATAGGTTGATTATATACAAAGTATAATGAATCATCATACACCTATCGTCTACCTTCCCTATGAACAATTTATTTTATAATCATGATGGAAAATTCAAGTCAGCACTGCGGCCAAATATAGTAACTTTCATGAATAAATGAGGCAATAAAAATGACCTAGGATAAGCAGGTGAGGAGTAGGAAACAGGAAATAAAAAGAATTAAAGGATTGGCTCAACTGGAAATGTCCAGCTGGCTCAAAGTAATCACAAGCAAACCCAGCGTGTTCATGCCACATCATTCCGTCTATCCATTCAACAAGCATTTATAAAGCCCTTGTTGTGCACGAGGCCAGGCATGAGGTCCTATGCAAAACAAGAAAGCTACGGGGGAAATAAAGGAAAATGAAGACCAAGACCGTGTTCTCAATGATCTCCTACTCTAAATCTAAGCAAAGTATTTTAGTGTGGGGTTATATTAAATACATGCCGTAACAGAAGCACGTCCAAGTTGTGATGGGAACAGACCAAAGAAGGTAGACGCTCTGCTGGGGATGGGAACAGCACAAGATTCAGAGGAGGCAGCTGGGCACGGTGGCTCATGCCTGTAATCCCAGCACTTTGGGAGGCCGAGGCAGATGGATCATCTGAGGTCAGGAGTTTGAGACCAGCCCGGCCAACATGGTTAAACCCCATCTTTAGTAAAAATACAAAAATTAGCCAGGCGTGGTAGCGGGTGCCTGTAATCTCAGCTATTTGGGAGGCTGAGGCAGGAGAATCGCTTGAACCCAGGAGGCAGAGGTTGCAGTGAGCCGAGTTTTCGCCAGCCCGGGCAACAACAGCGAAACTCTGTCTCAAAAAATAAATAAATAAATAAATAAATAAAAAAGATTCAGAGGCGGCGTAAGTTGGGGTTAGAAGGCCAAGGAGAAGCAGAGGGCTGAGCCTGGCAAGCCGAGTAGTCCAGGAAGGGCGGAGATGATGGAGAGAGCACTGGAGACTGCAAGAGCCTGGGGAAGCCTGGAGGGCAGGATGCAAACAGGTGAGAGGAGAGGCAGCAGAGCAGGCAGGAAGAGTGGAGAGGCTGAATATCACAGAAGAGAAATAAAACACGCACTCCATCCGTGTCGCTGTTCTCGGAATAATCTTGAAAGAGTTCTTCGATTTGAGTTAGTTAATGACTTGGCTTCATGTAACGGTGATTCTGCTCAACTTAAGTTTCAAGAGGATTTTATTGTTCTGGTTTCATACTTTTAGAAAATACATGGCTTTGCTTACAGGCCCCTGGGGTTTAATGACTATGCATTTAGGCGTTTGCAAGATTTAATGGTTTAATACTGCAATAGATTTTAAATATCTCCTAAAAATAATTAAAAGGGGATAAAAAGAAGTCATGATTAAGTACTGAAAATGCTTTAAAATTTTTGCAGTTAGGTATCATGTCTAATTAAATAAACTCTATTTCCACATTAACACATCGTTTGTAGCACTATGGTGTCATTCTCAGGCACATCAGACTGGCCCCCGTATCAGAGCCATATTCTGCTGCTTGGATCACTCATTTTTGAAAGTCCCAGAGAGATGGTCAGGTGTGGTGGCTCACAGCTGTAATCCTAGCACTTAGAGAGGATGAAGTAGGAGGATGACTTGAGGCCAGGAGTTGGAGACCAGCCTTGGCAACATAGCAAGATCCTGTCTCTACAAAATTTTTTTGAAAAATTATCTAGGTGTGGTGGCACGTGCCTGTAGTCACAGCAATTCAGGAAGTTGAGGCAGGAAGATCGCTTGAGCCTACGAGTTTGAGGCTGCAGTGAGCTATGATCATGCCATTGCACTCTAGCCCGGGACACGGAAGGATACCCTGTCTCAAATAATAATAATAAATAACAAATAAAGGAGGTCCCAGAGAAAGGTGTCTGTGCACTCCTGCGTGCTGGCCCAACTAAGTTCCTGAGAGTGGGACTTGCATGGGGAGTTGAGAATTGATGGGACCTCAACCACCCAGTTTGGAGGCTGAAAGCACAGGAATGCTTTGCCCAACGTCCTATCTGGATACCCCATAAAGTGTAAGCCCAGCAGAGAGAACAGAGAGCTCAGAGCTAACCAAGGAGTGGGGAGAGAAAAAATTTTGAATTCAATTGAGTTGAAACCAAAAATTACTGCAAAATCACTGAATTTAACTACACTTTTATGGATGTTTTTGTGTACTTGTTTAGTTATCAGGCAGCTGTGAGGGCTTGAGATGGATTTAGGTTTAGTTGTAAGAAAGCAAGATACTTTTTCATAACTCAAATAAATAACAATTTTTTGACTGAAAATCATGCATGCTCTATCTACAGAGCTTTTCAAAATTCAAAAACACAGTTAATGAAAACATTATGAGAAAGAAAGCACAACATACTTTTTTGAAAGGGAAAGAAAATCAACCTTTGCCATGGTTCCTGGCGCTACAAAAAATTTGTATATTTGGATTCAATTTGTCCTGGGTTCAGTAACTTGGAACAGTTCATGTGGGCTTTGGTTCCGTTCACATCCCTGTAAGTATATTTGCCCTTCAAGAAGCAAATATGCCCCCACAAGAGGAAGTTTAGAAAGGTACCTTATGCCCCACAAAATCTCTTCTCTCTGTAGGCATCTGGAATACCCAGGCATAGTTATATTTTCTTTCAGAGGCTTCTGTTTTCTGTGTACACGGACATAGAAGAACCCAAACTTCATTCTCACCCTGAGGCGTTCTGATGAATTTCCATTCCAGGCAGAGGTGGATTTACCGTGAAGCTAACACAGCTTAAACTTCAGCATCCCTCACATGCCTGGGACACTCCCAGGGCACTACGTGAGGCCACAGTCTATGTTCACATTGGAAACAAACTATGTAAAAGTTAGGCATTTTAGCTACAATCCACTTGGAATTCTGTCACACTTCCCCTCAGTTTAGGTGGCACGAGAGTGGCCAAGCATTTTTGGGGTGTAGCCGAAGGGAACTTGGATAAGAAATGCATCTTTTTTGGGTTAGGTAGGATGTATTTATGTGATTTGTGGTCACCTTCATGGATAATGAAGTTATTCTTGGCCATTCTGGTGTCAGAATATATTCCAGGGTAATTATCACCACCCACCATGTATCTCAGTTGGTGTCATAACATGAAGGTTCAAAACCAGAGGACATGGTGAGATACAAATGAGTCCCATGGCTCCTAGCACCAGAAGCTAACTTGTGAAAAATTCTTCCTCTTGGCAGATGTTGTGGTGCATTGTTTGCAAAGTTGGCTGCAAAAACTACTTCCATACTGCACTGTCATTTGTTTGCAAAGTCTTTGCGGTGTCTTCCATAAAGTGCACCCTTTATTTCACCATACCTCAAATCTAGGCTAGAATTTGGGCTTGACTTGACCAACAGAACCTTGTGGAAGTGGTAGATTCAATTTTCTCCAGGTGAGTAATTTGCCTAGGGCATAAGAGGCCAGGTAGCTTTTTTTTTGTTCCTTATGGAAATAAGATCTTGCTCTGTCACCCAGGCTGGAATGCAGTGGCACCATCAGGCTCACTGTAACCTCGAACTCCAGGGCTGAAACAATCCTCCTGCCTCAGCCTCCCAAGTAGCTGGGACTAAAATGTGTGCCACCATGCCCCGGTAATTTTTTATTTTTTATTTGTAGAGATGGGATCTTTTGTGTTTTTTTTTGTTTGTTTTTTGAAATGGAGTCTCGCCCTGTCGCCCAGGCTGGAGTGCAGTGGCACAGTGGCGCAATCTTGGCTCACAGCAACCTCCACCTCCTGGGTTCAAGCGATTCCCCTGCCTCAGCCTCCCGAGTAGCTGGGATTACAGGCATGTGCCACCACGCCCGATTAATTTTTTTTTTGTACTTTTAGTAGAGATGGGGTTTCGCCGTATTAGCCAGGATGGTCTCCATCTCCTGACCTCGTGATCCACTTGCCTCGGCCTCCCAAAATGCCGGGATTACGGGATTACAGGCATGAGCCACCGCGCCCGGCTTTTTTTTTTTTTTTTTTTTTTTTTAGACGGAGTCTCGCTCTGTCCCCAGGCTGGAGTGCAGTGGCACAATCTCCGTTCACTGCAACCTCCTCCTCCCAGGTTCAAGCGATTCTCCTGCCTCAGCCTCCCAAGTAGCTGGGACTACAGGCGCACACCACCACCCCCAGGTAATTTTTGTATTTTTAGTAGAGATGGGGTTTTACCATGTTGCCCAGGGTGGTCTCGATCTCTCGACCTTGTGATCTGTCTGCCTTGGACTCCCAAAGTGCTGGGATTACAGGTGTGAGCCACTGTGCCAGGCTGAGATGGGATCTTGCTATGTTGCCTGGCCTCAAGTTATCCTCTCACCTCAGCCTCCCAAAAAGATGGGATTATAGGTATGCGCCACTGTGCCTGACCATCAACAGGTAGCTTTTACACCCACCCTATTTCTGCCATGTGAAGAAGCCCAGGCTAGCTTCCTCAAGGATGAGAGGCCATAAGGAAAGGGATGCCCAGCTGACAGCCCACACCAACCACCAGATACGTAAATGAGCCCATGTGAGCTCATTCAGCCCCACTTGAGCCACCAGATGGCTGCAGCTTCATGAGTAATCACACATGAGGCAAGCAGAACCACCCAGCGGAGACCAGCCCAACTTGCTGATCCATAGAATCATGACAAAATAAAATTGCTGTTGTTTAAAGCCACTGAATTTGGGAGTCATTGTTACACAGTAATAGATAACTGACACAAACATGAAAAGTTGGAAGCAGTGGATTTGGTTCTCACCACACCTAGTCAAATAGAAGTTCTCTTCTGTCAGGAGTGCAATAATGCAGTGTATCCAATTGTAAACGAATCCTACATTTTCCTTTATTGCCTGGCTTGCTTGTCTCTTTTTTTCTCCCCAGGCAATGACATATTTTTGATAAAACTCAAATAAGCCTTTTTTTTTTTTTTTTTTTTTGAGACAGGGTTTCACTCTTGTTGCCCAGGCTGGAGTGCAGTGGCACAATATTGGCTCACTGCAACCTCCGCCTCCCGGGTTCAAGCGATTCTCTTGCCTCAGCCTCCCGAGTAGCTGGGACTACAGGCGTGCATCACCACACCTGGCTAATTTTTGTATTTTTAGTGAAAACGGGGTTTCACCATGTCGGCCAGGCTAATCTTGAACTCGCGATCTGCCCGTCTCGGCCTCCCAAAGTGCTAGGATTACAGGCGTGAGCCACCGTGCCCCATCATAAATAAGCCTTTTAAAGTGCAATTTGGAAAGATGCTTTGAAAAGTTTCAGTATAAGTGAAAGTTACAAGTTTCAATACAAGTAAGAAGTTGGACATTCCTGATTTGAATTCATAGGAGTACCTTCTTTTGCCATCCTTGACTTTATTTGTTCAAGTTCATTTAAGTAAAAAAAATGACTGAAGGATTTTCTAGAGAAAAGGAGCCTAAAAAGAAATTACAATTAAATGCAATGTGTGATCCCTGATTGAATCTTAGACCAGAAAAAAAATTATTATTTTTATTTTACTATAAGGACATTAGTGAGATAATTCTGAAACGTATATAATATGTGTGGATTAGTAATAGTATCGCATCAATGTTAATTTTATACTTTGAAGACCGTACTATGGTTATACAAGAGAAAAATTATTTTTTAAAAAAGAGGAAATACACATTGAATCATTTAGGGGCAAAGGGGCATTATATCTTAGTCTCAAGTGCATAAATACATGTTTGCTTTTTGTTGTCTTTGTTGGTTTTTTTTTTTTGAGACAGAGTCTCACTCTGTCACCCAGGCTGGAGTGCAGTGGTGCTATCTCAGCTCACTGCAACCTCCACCTCCCGGGTTCAAGTGATTCTCCTACCTCAGCCTCCCAAGTAGCCAGGATTACAGGCATGCGCCACCATCCCTGGCTAATTTTTGTATTTTTAGTAGAGTTGGGGTTTCACCATATTGGCCCGGCTGCTCTGGAACTCCTGACCTCAGGTGATCCTCCCTCCTCGGCCTCCCAAAGTGCAGGGATTACAGGCATGAGCCATTGTGCCCAGCCACATATTTGTTAAATATCATATATATAACAGAATAGTAAAGCAAATGAGGAATGAGGGAAAATGTTATCATTTGGAAACACTAAGTCAAGAATATATGGAACTCGACCCTTTTGCAACTTTTCTCAAAGTCAAAAATTATTTCAAATAAAGTATTAATTTAAAAAATATTTTTGAGGCCAGGCATGGTGGCTTATGCCTGTAATCCCAGCACTTTGGGAGGCCGAGGTGGGCAGATCACAAGGTCAGGAGTTCAAGACCAGCCTGGCCAACATAGTGAAACCCCATCTCTACTAAAAATACAAAAAATTAGCCGGGCGTGGTGGCCAGCAATTGTAATTGCAGCTACTCAGGAGGCTGAGGCAGGAAAATCACTTGAACCCGGGAGGCAGAGGTTGCAGTGAGCCAAGATCACACCACTGCACTCCAACCCGGGTGACAATGTGAGACTCTGTCTCAAAAAAAAAAAAAAAGTCTTTTTGAAACAGTGAAATGTGAAACAAAAGTGATAAAAACGAACAATTAAATAAGTTGAAATTATTCTGTCAATAAGAAACAGATTGTAAGACTCAGAGATGGGGAGACAAGAGGATAAGACACTGAAGTTTTAAATTGGAATGGACATTTTTTAATTCTTAAAATGAATAAAAGCGCTGTGTGTTGCGACAGCAGGAAGGGAAGAGAGTAGTTGAGCAGAGCAGTCAGAAAGAATGAAACCTCTCGGCCTCTGCTAGAACATGCTGGGTTTGCCTTTACTCACCAGCCTTGAACCAGAGGCCCCAGGAGAGGAGAATTTTAGTGTTGGCAGAAGGACTCTGAGGGCCATCTCCGCTAAGCCCTCCGTTTTATAGCTGAGGGGCCTGGAGATTCCGGGAATTAAGTAAATCACTCAAGGTCAAACAGGCCATGACAGGCAAAGCCAGGTCAAGTCTCTGGCTCCTCATCCAGTACGTTCTGCGCACCTGATCTTCAAGCTCTCAGAAGTGCTACCTGTCCGTCCCTGTGTGTGGGATTGGGGGAGGCTCGAAGGCAGTGTATGGAGGCGAGGGGAGGCCCATGGGGCAGAACCTGTCACCAAAGGTCGATTCAAGTCAAGCACTCAGGGTAAAAAGAAACTATGAATTTGTTTCCTGTGTTTTTATCATTCTCTTTAAACAGCACAATGCTGTTGCTTTAAAATGTAGTATTAAAAAAAAGTGGGGAAGGGGAGGAAATATAAGAAAACCTAGAAAAAAAATATTTGAAAGTGACTCAGCAGAGCCCAGAGAAAAGAAGAGGAGGAGGAGAGGAGAAGAGGAGGCTGTTTCCTGTTGGCATCAAAATCTGGGCCACATTTTTCCTCTGTAACTTGGAGTGGCTAATTTGCTTAGTAGCGGAATTGTATTGTTAAGCAGAAAAGTTTACTGGTAAAATCTCAGAAAGGCTGGAAAGTTTAGCAGCAGAGCCAGAGCCCACAATTGGCCTCATGGGAGGGCTGCCTGTTAGAGGCCGCAGGGGTTTTGTTTCCTGGGACAACTGGAAACAAAACTCATGTCCCAGATGCATTCCCACATGTGCTCACGTGAAACAATGTGGAGGCAGAGGCCTCTGTCACCAACAGTGGCTCAGGGCAGTGTGAGCTTCTCCTTCCTCATCTACCATCTCCCTCTCACGATGTTTGTCCCCAAAGGACTTGTACTGACTTTTAGTAAAAAGGCTGCAGGAGAGGTGGAAATGGGAGAGTTAAGGTTGAGATGTGGGAGAATGTATTTTACATATAAATGGGGAAAGTTTTCTTTTAAAAGATTATCGGCCGGACGCGGTGGCTCACGCCGGTAATCCCAGCACTTTGGGAGGCCAAGGTAGGTGGATCAAGAGGTCAGGAGATCGAGACCATCCTGGCTAATACAGTGAAACCCCGTCTCTACTAAAAATACAAAAAATTAGCTGGGTGTGCTGGTAGGTGCCTGTAATCCCAGCTACTTGGGAGGCTGAGGCAGGGGAATCACTTGAACCTAGGAGGTGGAGGTTGCAGTGAGCCGAGATCATGCCACTGCACTCCAGCTTGGGCGACAGAGCAAGTCTCCTTCTCAAAAAAAACAAAAACAAATACAAACAAACAAAAATAAAACAAAAGAATATCTTAGACATCACATTTCTGTTTCTTTTACTCCTCTTAAAAAAATGCATACAAGTGCTCATATGTCCTGGCCTCCCCTTTGAGAATTATTTCTGTATAAATTGATTCCTAATTCAAGGAAACTGCCGTTTTCAAGCACAATGGGAGAGAAGAGGCTTAGCCAGGAAGGAGCTGGTCCTCCATTCCTGGAGCCTTGGTTTGCTCTCTGCAAATGGGAGGATGGTAAGGGTTCTGCGTGACTTTAGCATTGAGTCTGGCACATAAGACGCACTCAAAACACGAAAGCTGCCATCATGTTCATTGTCTTTCTTCCCCCTTTCCATACAAAAATATACAGGTACGTATCACCTCTTTTTTATCTAATTAAATGAAATCAGGGCAAGCACTATGGAAATCAAGAAGCCCATTAAAAAAATTAGACAGTCGGTGTCACAGGAGTTGAATCTGCTTTGCGTTATCTTACTCTCCCCTTCTGATCTGTTTGTGAGCTAAATGCCTGCTGTTTCTATTTCTCTCTCATTCAATCTGTCACGACTCCTATGGGGGGAGATGCCAAGTTCTGAGCTCTGCCCCGAAGCAGCAGCCAGGAGGCAGGTGGGAGATGCGGTGGGGTAGGTGGAAAATTGAGGATGCAATTTGAATTTAGGAGGGCAGAGTAGACTTTCTGCTGTGTAGTGATTTTTATTAACTGATTGCAAGGCTTAGCATAATCCCAGGAATGACATTTTGCAGGTTTAATGCTTTCAGCAGTTTTATCAGCTAGTTAGATTACCCCCAATGACACAATAAAACTCTTTTATTTACTGAAAGTTTATAAGACATTGAGCCCTGGGCATTCTTCCAAAGACTAAAAAAGACAGTGAAAGTGAATGGAATAGAAAAATAGATGGAGGGAGAGAGAATGATAGAGACAAAGATGGAGAGAGAGAGACAGAGAGAGAGAGGAGGAAAGGAAAGGGGAGGGAGGGAGGGAAGGTGGAAGGAAGGGAGGGAGGGAAGGTGGAAGGAAGGAAGGGAGGAAGGGAGGGAGGGGAGGGAGGGAGGGGGAAGAGAAAGGGAAGGAAGGAAGGAAAGAAGGAAGGAAGGAAGGGAGGGAATGAAATATGGAAAGAACATAGGGTTTGCTGACTGACTGAGAGTAGGGTCTGGGAGGGACTGGAGAAGGTTATGGTCTTTGAAAGCCCTTGTAGGAGTATGACAACATTTAGAATCAAGCTGACATAGCATCATCTTTTTTTAGAAGAGTATTCAGGAAAGATTTTGTTTTCAGCAACTTAACAAATATCATTTGCAATGGGCTAACCACAGTCAAGTCCTTACATATAAAGTCCTGCCAAAATGTTTCACAGCCATCCTTTTGGAGCCAAGTAAATTATTTTTAACCAGTAGACTCTAAAGACTCTCTGAAGTAAGTCATCAAACAGAAGTCTGTGTTTTTCCACTGTTGATTCTAATCTCATAATTCAGAACAGTTGAAATGTCTAAACATCCACAAAGAACATACAATGAAGCTTTGCATAAATCTAGCACATTAAGCCAGAAGGAATCTCCAATCTCTGGTTTACTGCCTCTGAATTCATAGATAATTGAACTAAGACCCCAAGCTGTTGGGTGCTGCCCCCAGACACACACAGCCTTGGGCAAGCCAGGGCTGAACTGAACCCCCACGTCAGACTCCTGCCTCAGCAACATTTCACTCCACTCCACTGCCCTTTCCTGAAAACACTTTAAAGTAACCCCCTTCTCAGGGATATTTTATTTCAAGCGGAATCAAACCTTCAGAATGAAAGGGATGATGCTGTAAGTGGCTGACTGCAGGCTTTAGTCACAGGGAGAAATAGTCTGGACATCAGTGTGGCCTCCCTTGTGCCTCTGAGATCACCCCATGAAGAAAGGTGTTTGCCTGCTCTCCCTACAAGTCAAACTAACTTTGGGGGAGAAAAGGGAGAAGCGGGGTGGTGTGCAGAATGCTGATGTTTATGTGGAGCCTCTTAGCCCTCTTCCTCCTCACAGGAAAGGGAAGGAGGCCCTGGAGGAAGGGCACCATCATGACATTGGGTGCTGGATGGAGAACTCCCTCTGCAGTGGGGAGACTTGGCTTTGAGGCCGGCTCTCCCAGTGACTGTCTGCGCAACTTGCCTCTCGCTCTGAGCCTCCAGTTCCTCTTTATAAACTAGAGAGGCCGTCTACAGTAGAGCTAATGGAAACAATTCAGTGGGATAACAGACACGATCGCCCACTGTAAGCCAAAATTCACCATACACGTTTGAGTTGTTATTATTATTAATCGGGGCACTTTTTCAAACACTGACCCCTCCTCTGGCTCTTGGCACCCCTAGCAAGTTAGCAAATGCCTAGATGGGACTATTTAGTGTGACCAAGTTAGTATAATCTTTAAGAGAAGGGACTTTGGTGTTTGACAAATCCGGGTTTTAATCCTCATTTGACCATTTCCCCTTATGGTGCATTGGACACATTCTTTACTCTTTCTAAGCCTCGGTTTCCTCATGTGTGCAGTGGAGATGGAAAAACCAGCTCTGTATCTCTCAGGCTAGTGTAGGGATTCAGTGAGTCAGCACATGTGCAGCGCTCTATTCAAGGCTGGACATTCCTAACTGCCCTAAAAATGTTAACTAATTTTATTAGTAAAAGAAATGAGCTCCCTCTCCCTCTCCCTCTCCCAACCCTCTCCCTCTCCCTCTCTCCTTTGCACGGTCTCCCTCTGATGCCTAGCTGAGGCTGGACTGTACTGCTGCCATCTCGGCTCACTGCAACCTCCCTGCCTGATTCTCCTGCCTCAGCCTGCCCAGTGCCTGGGATTGCAGGCGCGCGCCGCCACGCCTGACTGGTTTTTGTATTTTTTGGTGGAGACGGGGTTTCGCCGTGTTGGCCGGGCTGGTCTCCAGCTCCTGACCGCGAGTGATCTGCCAGCCTCGGCCTCCCGAGGTGCCGGGATTGCAGACGGAGTCTCGCTCACTCAGTGCTCAATGGTGCCCAGGCTGGAGTGCAGTGGCGTGATCTCACTCGCTACAACCTCCACCTCCCAGCAGCCTGCCTTGGCCTCCCAAAGTGCCGAGATTGCAGCCTCTGCCCCGCCGTCATCCCGTCTGGGAAGTGAGGAGCGCCTCTGCCCCGCCGCCCCGTCTGGGATGTGAGGAGCGTCTCCGCCCGGCAGCCGCCCCGTCCGGGAGGTGGGGGGCGCCTCTGCCCGGCCACCCCACCGTCTGGGATGTGTACCCAACAGCTCATTGAGAACGGGCCATGATGACGATGGCGGTTTTGTCGAATAGAAAGGGGGGAAGTGTGGGGAAAAGAAAGAGAGATCGGATTGTTACTGTGTCTGTGTGGAGAGAAGTAGACATAGGAGACTCCATTTTGTTCTGTACTAAGAAAAATTCTTCTGCCTTGGGATCCTGTTGATCTGTGACCTTACCCCCAACCCCGTGCTCTCTGAAACATGTGCTGTGTCCACTAAGGGTTAAATGGATTAAGGGCGGTGCAAGACGTGCTTTGTTAAACAGAGGCTTGAAGGCAGCATGCTCGTTAAGAGTCATCACCACTCCCTAATCTCAAGTACCCAGGGACACAAACACTGCGGAAGGCGGCAGGGCCTTCTGCCTAGACTTTTGTTCACATGTTTATCTGCTGACCTTCCCTCCACTATTGTTCTATGACCCTGCCAAATCCCCCTCTCCGAGAAGCACCCAAGAATGGTCAATAAATACTAAAAAAAAAAATAATAATAAAATAAATGAAAAATCTTCTTCTCCATGTGACTAATAGACAGAATTTGGTCCTGAAGACTAAAACTAAGGCAAAATCAAAGCGGATGTGACTGGAGAGGCTCACGTGCCATGGACTGTGCTATTTCCATGGCATTTAGCAGAGGATACGGTCACTGCCCATGTGGTGAAAGTTGTGAAATTGGAGACCCAAACTCCCCTGAGTCTAGTGCCCACTCTAGAATCCCCCCATTCTCGCTACTCAGCACAGAGCAGAGTTTAGTGGCCCCCATACAGTGTAATTGGGGAATTCATACAATAAAATCGGGAATATAAATTAAGTTGTATTCATATTATTTAATTGGATATTAATATCCAATTTCACTTGGAGATTTATTATTGGGTGATTTTAATTTAAGTAGAAGGACATACTTATTTCTTAAATAGATTATCATTGCAGTATTTTAAGCCGTATTATTATTAATCATTATTCAATGATTTACTGTAAATTAGTGCAACCCTTAGGGGGAAAATGGGAATGCCAATGTGAAGTGTTCAATCCTTGCTTATAATCTGAATATTTTGTACCAGGGTTGGAATGGAATTTTTGAGAAATGCTAACAGACCGGCACCTTGTATCATTCTGGGGTGTGTGTGTGTGTGCGTGCGCGCGGGTGTGCATTTGCATGCACATACTTATGCTTCATATAAAAAAGATGCTGGTATTTTGCCTCAGGAGCCAGGGAGCAATGATGACGGTGTTCTGTGACAGCTGGAATCAAATGTGAATGTGCAGCTGCTCATCAGAAAGCCGCTCTAGCCTCCAGAATAAAGAGGAAAGTGCTTCACCAGGCCCCATGCCAGCTGGTCCCTGCATTTCCCCGAGGTTTCTGCTCTTCCAGTCTCTGGTAGCTGTGGCCAGTCCTGCCAGTGAGCTTGCCCCCCTTAACCCCAGCCACCTGGAAAGCCTTTACCTCCAACCTCCCCTCTGCCCTGGTAATGCTCATGAACCCCGTACGTAGGTTTCCCCTTAGGCATGGATGTTTGCGTTCTCAGTTGGATTTCTCTGACTTTGTGATCTTTCTAGAGCCTCAAGTGCCAAGTAAAGGCTAAATATATTTTAAAGATTACCTACCATGAGCTATTTGGTTTTGGATGAAAAGTTGTAATGTTTTGAGTAGTTTACCTGAGTACTTTGGGTATTTGACTTTTGTTTCAATCATTATTTAGTAATGTTATTTTTTAGTGTTCTTCATGGGCTATTTTTTAACCAGTTAAGAGCTTTTGGCCGGGCGCAGTGGCTCATGCCTGTAATACCAGCACTTTGGGAGGCCGAGGTGGGTGGATCACCTGAGGTCAAGAGTTCGAGATTAGCCTGGCTAAAATTAAAATTAATTTAAAAATTAGCCAGAGTGGTGCCAGGCGCCTGTAATCCCAGCTACTCAGGAGGCTGAGGCAGGAGAATCACTTGAACCTGGGAGGCAGAGTTTGCAGTGAGCCGAGATCGCGCCACTGCACTCCAGCCTGGGCAACAGGAGTGAAACTCCGTCAAAAAAAAAAAAAAAAAAAAAAAAGGAGCGTTGGTGTGGGAAACAGAGGTTAGAAATCCAAAGCCATGATTCTTTAAATGTATGAAATGGAAATGAGAAAATGCATAAATATATAGCAGCAGATGATGTAAAGCTAGAGATTAGAATGATAGGAGGTACAGGAGAACTAGAAGAGGAAAAGAAGTCTCTGTGCACAGTTACTATACTTCTGCTGGACAGATTTCACTGGAGTATAGGCTATCTATGAAACAGTGGCTACTCCATATGCTAAACAATTCCTTTGAACAGTGGTCTGAACTGTTCTGTTAGATTCTGTACAAGATCAGCGGTTGGCTTGAGACCTGTGTGGCCTTAGGTCACGAAGGCACTCCTCATTTTTGACCTCTTGTGCCCTCAGAATTCCTGAGAAGCAAACATTTTTCACAAATTAGTGAGAGACTGAGAGGTGAAGCTGGCTGGGCTTCTGGGTCCGGTGGGGACTTGGAGAACTTTTCTGTCTAGCTAAAGGATTGTAAACATACCAATCAGCACTCTGTGTCTAGCTAAAGGTTTGTCAACGCACCAATCAGCACTCTGTAAGAATGCACCAATCAGCGCTCTGTGTCTAAATACAAGTTTAATAGGGTCTCACTCTGTCACCTAGGCTGGAGGGCAGTGATAAGATCACAGCTTTCTGCAGCCTTGATCTCCAGGTCTTAAGCAATCCTCCCACCTCAGGCCCTTGAGTAGCTGGGACTACAGGCATGTACCACTATGCCCAGCTATTTTTGAATGATTTTTTTTATAGAGATGGGGTCTTGCTATGTTGACCAGGCTAATTTTGAATTCCTGGTCTCAAGCAATCCTCCTGCCTCGGCCTCCCAAACTGCTGGAATTACAGGCATGAGCCATTGTGCCCAGCCACCCCTGCTTTGAATTCAACATGTGTCTGATTATTTTCCATTTTTGCATTGTTGTTCTGATAATGGAAGAAAACTTGGCTGCGTTGCACATATTGATAATGTAGCTGAGACACCAGGGGTTCGGCCTAGGTCCTGCTGCTTGCCACACAGAAAGCCAATCACTGAGACTATAAGTACTGCCAAGGAAGATGGCTTTCAGCAGGTGCTGCAACCAAAGAGATGGGAGTTCAGTCTCAAATCCATCTCCCTGACTAAAACTAGGGGTTTATTTAGCAGGGAAGAAATGTAACAACATGTACGAAAACAGGAACTAGGGAGGGGCAATGAAGCAATCACGATGAATGAGAGGTCCAGCATTGGCTGTGTGTGACCTGGTGAGTTTCATTTCTTTGTGAGGCTTCAGTTCTTTGATACTCTTTTGAGAGGCCTGAAGGTCCTGTACTGAGGAAAGAACTCAGATAAAACAAATAAAAGTTTCAAGCTTGACTAGCAGAAGGGTCAATTTTTATGTTTATCCAGAAGAACTGTCTCTGGGACTATTGGGTCAGTTTTAATAGTACTTCATTAAAAACTGTATATTGGCTGGGCGCAGTGGCTCACGCCTGTAATCCCAGTACTTTGGGAGGCCGAGGTGGGCGGATCACCTAGGACCCGGAGTTCGAGACCAGCCTAATCAACATGGAGAAACCTTGTCTCTACTAAAAATACAGAATTAGTTGGGTGTGGTGGCGCATGCCTATAATCCCAGCTACTCGGGAGGCTGAGGCAGGAGAATTGCTTGAACCCGGGAGGCGGAGGTTGCAGTGAGCTGAGATGGCGCCATTGCACTCCAGCCTGGGTGACAAGAGTGAAACTCCGTCTTAAAAAAAAAAAAAAAAAGTGTGTGTATATATACATGTGTGGGTTTTTTAATATATTATTTGATTATCCACATGTAATTTTTGCCTTATAGGCTAAGTTTAGACTTTGATTCCCATTTAAAATGTGATTCAACAATGCTATGGTCTGACTAGTTGTGTCAGACCAAAATTTGTATGTTGAAATCCTAACCCCCAAGATGATGGTATTAGGAGGTGGGGTCCTTTGGGGGGTGTTTAGGTCATGAAGATGGAGTCCTCACGAATGGATTCATGCCCTTATAAAAGAGGCCCAAGGGAGCTGATTGGCCCCTTCCACCACGTGAGGTCCCCTAGATGGTACCATCTATGAGGAGGGCCCTCCCCAGACACCCAATCTGTTAGCACCTTGCTCTCGGACTTTCCAGCCTCCAGAACTGTGAGAAATAAATTTCTGTTGTTTATAAGGTACCCAGTCTAAAGTATTTTGTTATAGCAGCATGAATGGACTAAGATGTACAGTATAATAGAAGGAGTGAGGCCGGGCGTGGTGGCTCACGCCTGTAATACCAGCACTTTGGGAGGCTGAGGTGGGCAGATCATGAGGTCAAGAGATGGAGACCATCCTGACCAACATGGTGAAACCCTGTCTCTACTAAAAATACAAAAATTAGCTGGGTGTGGTGACGTGCACCTGTAGTCCCAGCTACTCGGGAGGCTGAAGCAGGAGAATCGCTTGAACCCGGGAGGCGGAGGTTGCAGTGAGCCAAGATCATGCCACTGCACTCTAGTCTGGTGACAGAGAGAGATCTTAAAAAAAAAAAAAAAAAAAAAGAAGCACTGAGTATGTTTGACGTGGTCTGGCAGCATTAAGGGTGGCTTCTATTGGAAGTGGCAGTTAGGCTGACGTGAGAGATTTAGCCAGGTGAGGAGTGAAGGCAAAATTGAAACGAGGGAATACATTGTGTGCAAGAAGATGGAAAAGCCCAATATGGCTGGAGCAAATAAATAATAAGGATGATCCACACAGGGCCTTTAGGTACTTTGTCTCTTTTCACATGCCTTTTGTTTAAACATAGTTATTTCTATTTTGCCAAAACGGAGACCAAGACTTAAGGAAACAAATAATTTGTCTTGGATGGCATAGGTATTTACTACAGAGTATTTTCTTTCTAATGGTGAAATTAAGAATCCTTCTGTCAAATTCTAAAAGAAATTGTGACATTGTTACAGTTATTCTGGCTTTGTCACAGATTTTTTTTTGTAACTGTGGGCAAGTGGACTTACTTCTCTACATGTCTGTTTTCTTGCATGCAGAGGAAATGTTTGGATAAAGGTCAGGTTCTATGAGTGTAAACGTGTTGCCAGCAGAGGCCCTGATCGTGTGAGCAGAGAGCTCTGCCTGCTGCACCAAGAATGTTCCCTCTTGCCCTCTCATACTTGAGTCTCCCCTGGGCCCGTTGCTTATTTCTTGGCTTGGCTTCCTGTGACATAGACACCATCCTTCTTTCACCTTATTTTCCTACTAAACCACTGGACCATTAGGACTATAAGGCTGCCTCAAATGTGTACCCCTTGCTCCAGCTCACTTTTCCTGCCCATACCACTGAGCAAGCAGCTGTGGCCAGGCTGTCCTGCCCCTCTTCCTGCCCAGTTCCATGTCTGCGTGTTGGGATCCATTCTCTTTGGTAATTGCCACTATAGGTTCTCCCTTCTCCTCAACACTTAGCTTCCTTAGGCTTCCAGAACTACATTGACTGTCTTCACTGCCTGGAAACTCATTTTCCTTGCATTTCCCCATTTCCTCCTGCTGCTGCGGAGTGGCCTGTTGAAACTCTTATTCCTCACATAAGTGCCCTTCTCTCCATGTCTCTCACTTCCAATTCCACCGTCAGCACTGCATGCATGACTCTGAAAAGGCAACCCCCTCCTGCCTGCTGTCTAAAGCTTCAAGACCACATTTTCAGCTCTCAGTTTTGGACATCCACTTGGACTTTATAGAAGCATTTCAAAGTGAATATAGTTAATATTGAACTTTTTTCCTCTTCTCTTTAAGCCCAGATTTCCTTTTAAAAAAAAAAAATTATCACTCTACCAGGAAGGAACCCTGGCTAACTATGAACCATTCTTAACTCTTTTCCCTCCCTCTTCCTCCATCCAATCCATCACCAGAACGTTCTTTTTCTAAATTCTTCCTCCCTCCCTCTCTTCTTCTCGCCTTCCTTCCCTCCCTTCCGCTCTTCCTTTTCTTTATTTTTGTTTTTATTTTTATTTTTGAGACAGAGTCTCGCTCTGTCCCCAGGCCAGAGTGCAGTGGCACGATCTTGGCTCACTGCAACCTCCACCTCCTGGGTTCAAGCAATTCTCCTGCCTCAGCCTCCAGAGTAGCTGGGACTGCAGGAGCGCACCACCACGCCCAGCTAATTTTTGTATTTTTAGTAGAGATGGGGTTTCACCATGTTGGCGAGGATGGTCTCGATCTCTTGACCTCGTGATCCTCCTGCCTTGGCCTCCCAAAGTGCTGGGGTTACAGGCGTGAGCCACTGCGTCTGGTCTTTCTTTCTTCCCTTTCTTCCTTTCTTTCTTTCTCTTTCTCTCTCTCTCTCCTTCCTTCCCTCCTTCCTTCCTTCTTTCCTTCCTTCCTCTTTCTTTGTTTTGCTCTCTGTGTCTTTCCTGTCATTCCCTCAGCAAACTGGTTCAGATATCCTTGTTATCTCTTGCTGGGGCCTTTGCTGTTGTCTCCTGTCTGATTTCCTTCCCACTAGTACTTGGGCTATTCAATTAATTATTCAGAGAGCTGCCAAATTAACATGAATAAATCTTGAAAGCATTGTGTTAAGTGAAAGAACACAGACACAAGAGACTACATACTTTATAGTTCCATTTATCCTAGGAAAGGAAAGGCTACTGTGATGGAGAGAAGGTTAGTAATTGCTATTACCCAGATGTGGGGGAAGAAGACTGACTCTAAAGGGGCACAAAGGAACATTTTGGGTGAGCAGAATGTTTTATATCGTGACTGTAGTGGTGATTACACAATCATGTACATTTGTCAAACAAAACTCATGAACAATTCGTGAATTTTATGAAATGTATGGCTGATTTATACCTAAGTATATATGTGTGTGTGTGCGTGTGTATGTATAAACATGGGACTCTATGCCTTACACCCGCAGGAGACATTGATTCGCTTTTGCCTATGTTGCATGTACTTTGTTTAGTGTAACTGTTTTTACTGCAGTGACCACAATTACACAGCACACATCCCTGCCTCCCATTCTCTCACCTGTGTTCTACTCCAGGTGCCCTCTGGAGGGCAGGATTTGACATCTTCCTGAACAACTTGGAAACTGTTGCAGCCAAGCTCTATGGGGAATATGACAAGATGATCTAGTTCTTTCTCTGGTGAGTCTATTTAGGAAGTGTTAACATATGAATAGCTTGGAAGTTCAGAAAGCAGCTCAAAATGGCCCCTGTTTCCCAAACCCAGCCCCCACCTATTAAGCCTGCTCATGTCAAGGTCCAGTTCCACTGTCACCTTCTCCTTAAAGCCTTCTTTAGTCATTCCATCTCATGGTGATCTGCTCTTGCATGTCTGAACTCTGATGCAGAAGTGATGGAGAAAATTTATTCCACCAGAATTCCCATGTGGAAAATCACTGGAAAGAATACTTTGAGAATCTTAGATTGAAAATGAGACTCGAGGCCGGGCGCAGTGGCTCAGGCCTGTAATCCCAACACTTTGGGAGGCTGAGGTGGGTGGATCACGAGGTCAGGAGGTCAAGACCATCCTGGCTAACACGGTGAAACCTGGTCTCTACTAAAAACACAAAAAATTAGCCGGGTGTGGTGGCGGGCGCCTGTAGTCCCAGCTACTCGGGAGGCTGAGGCAGGAGAATGGCGTGAACCCGGGAGGCGGAGCTTGCAGTGAGCCGAGATCGCGCCACTGCACTCCAGCCTGGGCAAGAGAGCAAGACTCCATCTCAAAAATGAAAAAAAAAAAGGAAAATGAGACTCAAAGTGAATAAATAAGTAACAAAGATGACCACCACACTGCCTTCTAGGGAGGTTAGAACCTGTTACCTGGCGAGCCCATAGTTTTGCATAGCACACGGTTTGGGACTGCGGGTTTGGGGTACAGTTGCTACTACAATGCTGAGGTTTTTTTCATAATGGAAGGGAGAGGCATTTGAAGCTCCCTCTGAGAAGAAATCTCAGAGTGAGGGGGGAAGCCAGAAAGGCTGATACGGGTTACTGGAAAGATGAGAGGCAGCATGCCGGCAGTTGTATGACTGAGAAGTGACTGGAGAACAAGAAGGTCTGGGTGAGATGTTCCAGTTGTTTGCAGAGGAACATGTGGCACAGCCCCCTTGGACATCTCCCCCACCTGATGCTCGCAGAGCTTCCCTTACTCACTAGTGCTGTGGCCTCAACTCTAGGAAGACATTTGTGCTGCCTCAGGGGATAGAGACAGCATGTGTACAGACATCTGGAAGATGAGAGGGAATGTCATCTGCATTCCTCTTTTTTTTTTTTTTTTTTTTTTGAGATGGAGTCTTGCTCTGTCGCCCAGTTTGAAGTGCAGTGGCGCTATCTCGGCTCACTGCAACCTCTCTCTGCCTTCTGGGTTCAAGCAATTCTCCTGCCTCAGCCTCCCCAGTAGCTGGGAATACAGCCGGCCGCCATCATGCGTGGCTAATTTTTGTATTTTTGTAGAGACGGGGTTTCACCATGTTGGCCAGGCTGGTCTTGAACTCCTGACCTCAGGTGATCTGCCCGCCTCGGCCTCCAAAAAGTGCTGGGATTACAGGCCACACCCGGCCATCTGTGTTCCTCTTGAGTGAAGCTGAGTGTGTGTGTGTGTTTGTGTGTGTGTATGTGTGTGTACAAGTGAATGCTGCTCCTCTGGTAAAGCACCAAATTCTAAGTATAAGACCTGGTCTTAGAAATAGAGGAGGAGGCTGGGCGTGGTGGTTCATGCCTGTAATCCCAGCACTTTCAGAGGCCGAGGTGGGCAGATCACCTGAGGTCAGGAGTTCCAGACCAGCCTGGCTAACATGGTGAAACCCCATCTCTACTAAAGATACAAAAAATTAGCCAGGCATGGTGAGTGGCAGGCACCTGTAATCCCAACTACTCAGGAGGTTGAGGCAGGAGAATTGCTTGAACCTGGGAGGTTCAAGCAATTCTTGAACCTTGGGCTGCAGTGAGCCAAGATCTCACCATTGCACTCCAGCCTGGGCAACAAGAGCAAAACTTCATCTCAAAAAAAGAAGAAAAATGACTGGGTGCGGTGGCTCACACCTGTAATCCCTGCACTTTGGGAGGCCGAGGTGAGTAGATCACAAGGTCGAGATCGAGACCATCCTGGCCAACATGGTGAAACCCCGTCTCTACTAAAAATACAAAAATTAGCTGGGTGTGGTGGCGCACTCCTGTAATCCCAGCTGCTCAGGAGGCTGACGTAGGAGAATCACTTGAACTTGGGAGGTGGAGGTTGCAGTGAGCCGAGATCGCACCACTGCACTCCAGGCTGGTGACAGACCAAGACTCTGTCTCAAAAAAAAAAAAAAAAAAAAAAGGAAAGAAAAGAGGAGGAGACAGACAAGATGCATAAATACAAGGAACATGGTTAAAGAGCCAGGTCCTAACTGGAGCCCAGTGTGAATAGTTGGAGAAGGGAAGCATTTTCTTCTTTGCACTTAGTAGGTTCTCATGAACTACAGACTGATAGTAGTTGTCACTACTCTGTCTACACAACTTCCCAGGTTTCCCTCTCACTAGGGAGTGCATGAGTGGGCATCCTAGCCTACCCCTACAGGGAAGTGTAACCCTCTGTTGCTAGGCTTCTATTCCAACGTTGCTGTTTGATTCGGTTGGCAGTTTAAAAAATAAGCAGAAGTCTACAAATCAACTCAGATCAGATTTGGAGTCTGCAGAGACAGCCAGGGCCCCAGTAAAAGCTGGTAGCACCTTGTAATGAAACATTTATTAGGAGTGTGGTTTTGCAAATGACAAATCAATTTAGAGTAACGTTTCTTCTGGTGGATGGAGAAGCGCAGCTGGGTTTCACACTCATCACAGGCTGACATTTCCTTGAACCGCCTAACTTCAGCCTTGCATTGTGTAGCAAATGTGTGACACAAATGTAGCACAACGAAATGCTCCTGCAAGGGCACAAACTGCTCTAATAAGGCCAGTGCAGCAGCCTGTGTGCGTCCAACATAAATAAAGCATCAGCAGATTCAGGAAAACAGAAAGCGTAATTGAACTGAGATGAGGACAAGAGTCAGGTTTTGTAAGACCATCCCAAAGTGGATGCAGTTAATGGATTTATCATTTCTTCTCAGATAAAGGCTGAATGGTTGAGTAGGCAGCCTTGGGAAGCCGGTAGCAATGAGGGAAAGATCACAGACACACAGAACTGCCAAGCAGCAATCACAGATGCTCTTGTTGGAGACATTTTTTTAAAGGCTTGGGAAATGAATGGAGAGACAAGCAAGAAAAAAAAGAAACAGGATGGAGGTACCTTCTGTTTCACAGAGAAATCCTAAAGCTGTGGAAAAACCATTCTCCCGCCAGGCACGGTGGCTCACGCCTGTAATCCCAGCACTTTGGGAGGCCGAGGTGGGCAGATCACAAGGTCAGGAGTTCCAGAGCAACCTGGCCAACATGGTGAAACCCCGTCTCTACTAAAAATCCAAAAAAAAAATTAGCCGGGCGTGGGGGCAGGTGCCTGTAATCCCAGCTACTTGGGAGGCTGAGGCAGGAGAATTGTTTGAACCCAGGAGGCAGAGGTTGCAGTGAGCTGAGATCGCACCATTGCACCCCAGCCTTGGCGACAGGGCGAGACTCTTAGCTCAAAAAAAAAAAAATGTTTTCCATCACAGCATTTGACTCAGAATCCTTATCAGGGACTGTAGCTTACGCACGTGTGGAACACCTGCTGGATACCTAGCACAGTGCCTCACCTGTGGAAGTTACCCAGCAAAGGCGTGTCACACTGTTTTAACTTCATTAATTTTCTGTTCTTTCTTTCTTCCCAATCCTTGGTTCCCACTGAATATGGCTTTGGCTTAACAAAATCCTAACACCTGATTAGAAGTAGACGGGCAAGCAGAAAAAAGACAGGATTGTGTAAAGCAGAATCAGTATAAACAGTAAATTCTAAACTCTCACTTCTAGTCAAGATGAGATGTCTAAAAAACAGGACAAAATACACAAAACAATGGTTTTCAGACATTGGACGTCAAGCAGTGCAGGACACTGACCCCTGAGCTAGAGGACACCAACAGGGTGAGCCCTGCTCGCCCAGCTCACTTCCTGGAAAGGAGGGAAGCAGAAACAGATGGTTCAGGAGACAGTGCTGGGAGTATGGGGAGGCCAAAGTGGCTAGAGTTTGCAGGGGAGGGAACCGCAGAGATGAGAGTTACACAGAGAGAGAGAGCACCAGAGACCTGCTAAGAGGCCCTCCAGCCAGTGGGTGAGCACTGATGGGTGTATGCATGTGATAAGACTACCCAAGGCCCGGAAAAAAGCCAAAAAATCCCAAAAGGATTACAGAGGCCAATCGCTTCAACTCACACAGGCCCAGCAACAGCTTGCGATCCCGAGTAGAAAATCTCATACTTCACACCACATCAGGCAGAGTACTTACATGGTATTGCCTCTGCAGTGGGGAAACTTTGTAATAAGGTCTACTTTGACCCAGCCAACAAAGCTTCAAGGTATGCTACAAAAGGATTGAACTTTCTTCAAGTAACTAAATGGCATTCCAGAACAAAGCTCAAAAACATCCATTGTGAGAGAAAATATCCAGCATCTAACAAATTAAAATTCATAGCAAATGTATTTGTAATAGCCAAAAAATGGAAACAAGCCAAATGTCCATCAACAGGTGAAAGGTTAAACAAATTGTAGTATAATCCACACAATGGAATAGTAGACAGTGATAAAAAGGAACAAACTGCTGATACACGCAACAAAATTGATGACTCTCAAAATAATTACACTGAAGGAAAAAGGCCAGGCTAGAAACAAAAACAAATAAGAGTACATACTTTATTTTCCCGTTTATATAAAAGTATTGAATATTCAAGCTAATCAATAGGGACAGAAAGCAGATCATTGGTTGCCTTAGGATTCTGTGGCCTGGAGGGGAATTACCAAGGCTATCAGGAAAATTTGAGGATTTCGAATATGTTCATGATTGGATCGTGCAGACAGTTTCATATACATATACACACATTATGTTAAATCTTACCAAATTGTATAGTTTAAACACATACAGTTTATTTTATATTGGTTATATCTTATTAAAGCTTTTTCCTTTTTTTTTTTTTTTTTTTTTGAGACAGAGTCTCGCTCTGTCGCCCAGGCTGGAGTGCAGTGGCATGATCTCAGCTCACTGCAAGCTCTGCCTCCCAGGTTCACGCCATTCTCCTGCCTCAGCCTCCCGAGTAGCTGGGACTACAGGCACCCACCACCACACCAGGCTAATTTTTTGTATTTTTAGTAGAGATGGGCTTTCACCGTGTTAGCCAGGATGGCCTCGATTTCCTGACCTCGTGATCCGCCCACCTCAGCCTCCCAAAGTGCTGGGATTACAGGCATGAGCCACCATGCCCGGCCCTTAAAGCTTTTTTTAAAGTAAGTTTATCTCCTCAGTTGTTTAAGTAGGAAAAAAAAAGTATTTCCTTTTTTAATGGAAATGCTTAAGTTTTTAGACAAATATTGCTTTCATTTTCTGATTTTCACACAGATGCTGTGAATTCAGGAGATTAAATGTTGCTGTTTCCCTGTTTAGAGAATGAGGCTAATTTCCCAGAGGTGAGCTGGTTTATTCAAGTTCACACGGCTTGGTGATGGAGGTAGAATCACAGTCACAGTTCAGGTTTTCTGACTCCTGGAGTAATCACAGTGGCTCCTCTGCTTAGTTACAAGTCTCATGGGGAACATTGCAATTGGGCTGTCAGAGATTCTGTTTTCATCAGCCACAATGCAGCCAATAAATCCCCAAGATCATTGTACTTTCATGGGTTACTAGATTTGGAATAAAACCAAAGTTACAAGTGACAGTTTGAAGGAAATTTCAATCACAAAATGCAAAGTGTGTTGCACTCCAGCCACCCCGGATGAGTTATTGGCCAGTTTATTGATCATGTTGGGTAATCACTGTAATCCCTAGAGCTCTCAGAGTGAGACCTGTGTAATAGAGCACATGTAATTCTCAATAAAAGCAGAAGCCCATGAAAGGAAGTTTTCCTTGTAACACACTCTCCTTTGAAAGTCTAATTCCTAGTCATCATCTTGTTACTAGATCAGAACATATGGCTATGTTTTCTCTCCAAATATATCTGTGAGTTTTTCCTTTATCTCAAATAAGTCCAGCAACCAGAGAAGGACATGGATTGCTCCTACAGTTCCAAGCTCTGTGCAGTAAGATTTGAATACATGAAAAAAAAAAACATAAAATTCTATTTCCTTGCTTTATGCCTCACCAGCCAGGTGCCTTGGGCAAGAGTTTCACCTGAGCACCAATTTTCACATTCTGTCTAAGGGCAGATAATGTTTATGTATGGAACAGTGTTGGTCTTCCAAGTTTTTCTAATAAATGTGTATAGACGATCACTCAAATTGTTGCTTTTATTTTCAGTTTCCTACCCTATACTGTTATTCTCAAAATTTCCAAGCTAGACAAAATTTTCATTCCTTCTTTGTGTTTTCAGCTGGAATCCTGTCTGCAATAACATCTCCTCATCTCCAGGCAAACTGGGTTACTCTTCACCCCTCTCTGGTCACCCCGCCTGACTCTGGCCTCAGCCCTGACCATCCAAGCACTTTCCTCACTGGGATTTACCCAAAATCACAGGTCCCATTTCATGCACTCTTCCTTCAAGCTCCATTTTAAATCTTTTACAAATCTTCTCTGACTACTTAATGAGCCCATTTAGTTCTCTGTCCTCTACCTTCTCACATTATTGGAAGTGCAAGTTTCCTATTTGCTTATCAATTCCAGCTTTTACTGTCATCATTTTTTTTTTTTTTTTTTTGAGATGGAGTTTCGCTATGTTGCCCAGGCTGGAATACAATGGCGTGATCTCGGCTCACTGCAACCTCTGCCTCCTGGTTTCAAGCAATTCTCCTGCCTCAGCCTCCTGAGGAGCTGGGACTACAGGAATCTGCCACCACACCTGGCTAAGTTTTGTATTTTTAGTAGAGATGGGGTTTCACCATATTGGTCAGGCTGGTCTCGAACTCCTGAGCTCAGCCTCCCAGAGTGTTGGGATTACAGGTGTGAGCCACTGCGCCCGGCCATTACTATCATTTAAGGACATGTCTATTTCCTTCATTTTACAATCAGCACTTGAAGCAGTATTAGATTTTACTCAAGTTTATAGATTATACGAAACCTGTCATCTGGGCAATTCAGTAATATGGAGCAGATACAAAGAGGTGTGAGGGAAAAACTATTATACCATTAAATTCTGCCTGCTTTTGAACTTTATGTAAAAATGGGGCCATGCTGCATGTATTTTGTGCTGACTGGCTTTTTTTTTTTTTTTTGAGATGGAGTCTCACTCTGTCACCCAGGCTGGAGTGCAGTGGCCGATCTCAGCTCACTGCAAGCTCCGCCTCCCAGGTCACTCTAACATGGTGAAAGCCCATCTCTACTAAAAATACAAAAAATCAGCCGGGCGTGGTGGCGGGCGCCTGTAGTCCCAAGCTACTCAGGAGACTGAGGCAGGAGAATGGCGTGAACCTGGGAGGCGGAGCTTGCAGTGAGCTGAGATCGTGCCACTGCACTCCAGCCTGGGTGACAGAGCGAGACTCTGTCTCAAAAAAAAAAAAAAGGAAAAAGCTTTAATAAAATATAACCAACATAAAATAAACTGTATGTGTTTAAACTATACAATTTGGTAAGATTTAACATAATGTGTGTATATGTATATGAAACATTTACATCTGTAAATGGCCTTGTGTACCTGAAAATAATTTGTCTTCCAGCACTGTTGGGTCTGGTGTTACATGTGCATATATTTGGTCAAATTATTAAATGTGTCATGTTCAAGTCTTCTCTATCATTATCAAATTCTTCATGCTTATCATCTCCTGAGACAGATATATATTCTTAGTTATGTCAACTTTTAAAAATACATTCACAGCTATAGTGTAGAAGTTGCAAAAGATGCATAAAAGTTTTAAATTGTTATATCTTCCTAGTTAACTGGAACTTAAATCAATAAGAAGCCCCCTTCACGTTCATCCATGTTGGAGCAAATGACAGAATTTCCTTCTTTTTTAAGGCTGTATGGTACTCTATTGTGCATATATACCACTATATACCATATCATCTTTATCCATTCATCTGCTAATGGACATTTAGGTTGATTCCATAAGTTGGCTATTGTGAATAATGCTGCAATGAACATGGCAGTGCAGACATCTCTTCGACATACCTAGTTCAATATTTTGGATAAATACCGAGAAGTAGGATCTCTGGCTCTTATTTAGTCTATTTTTAGTTTTTTGAAAAACTTCCAAAAAGGCAGGGACAGAAAGACAAATAATGCATGTCTTCACTTACAGGTGGAATCTAAATCACTTGGACTTCTAGAAGCAGAATGGAATAGGATGGTGGTTACTAGAGGCTGGGGTTGGGGGCCTTGAGGAGATATTGGTCAAAGGGTATCAAGTCTTAGGAGAAATGTTTTGCTTGGAGATCCAGTACACAGCATGGTGAATACAATTAATAATAGTGTATTGTATATTTCAAAGTTGCTCAGGCAGTACATTTCAAATCCTCTAACTACAAAAAAGGAAAGCATTTGAAGGAATGGATATGTTAATTAGTTTGATTTGTTATATTATGAATATATTGTATTCATAAATCATAACATCACTTTGTGCACCACAAATATATACAATTATAATTTGTCAATTTACAATAAAATAAAATTCTTAAAAAGAAGACATAAAAAAGCACCCTGTCAGCCAGGCGCAGTGGCTCAGGCCTGTAATCCCAGTACTTTGGGAGGCTGAGGCGGATCTTCTGAGGTCAGGAGTTTGAGACCAGTCTGGCCAACATTGTGAAACCCCGTCTCTACTAAAAATACAAAAAATAAATAAAAAATTAGCCAGGCATGGTGGCGGGCACCTGTAATCCCAGCTACTCAGGAAGCTGAGGCAGGAGAATCACTTGAACCTGGGAAGAGGAGGTTGTAGTGAGCCGAAATCGTGCCACTGTACTCCAGCCTGGGTGAAGAGCAAAACTCCGTCTCAAAAAACAAACCAACAAAACCCACCAAAAAACAAAAAAACAACAAAAAAAAACCACACCCTGTCAGCTGGGCGTGGTGGCTCACACCTGTAATCCCAGCACTTTGGGAAGCTGAGGTGGGTGGATTATCTGAGGTCAGGAGTTCGAGACCAGTCTGACCAACATGGAGAAACCCCGTCTCCACTAAAAATACAAAATTAGCCGGGTGTAGTGGCACATGCCTGTATCCTAGCTACTCAGGAGGCTGAGACAGGAGAATCGCTTGAACCCTGGAGGCAGAGGTTGCCGTGAGCCAACATCACACCATTGCACTCCAGCCTGGGCAACAAGAGAGAAACTCAGTCTCACAAAAAAAAAAAAAAAAAAAAAAAAAAAAAAGCACCCTGTGTTACCAGTTTTGGGGGGTTTGTTGCCATAAGATCGATTGTACCTAGTATTTTTTTTTTTTTTTTGAGACAGAGTCTCGCTCTGTCACACAGGCTGGAGTGCCGTGGCACAATCTCAGCTCACTGCAAACTCCGCCGCCCGGGTTCATGCCATTCTTCTGCCTCAGCCTCCCAAGTAGTTGGGACTACAGGCACCCGCCACCACGCCCGGCTAATTTTTTGTATTTTTAGTAGAGACGGGGTTTCACCATGTTAGCCAGGATGGTCTCGATCTCCTGACCTCGTGATCCGCCTGCCTCGGCCTCCCAAAGTGCTGGGATTACAGGTGTGAGCCACTCTGCCCGGCCTATTGTGCCTACTATTAATAGGTTTCTTCTGGTTGGTGTTTACATGGTTTATCTTTTTTTGTTGTTTTACTTTCAACCTTTCTGGATCCTGTATATTTTAGATGCTTTTAAAAAATAGTTCCTGCAGCCAAGCATGGTGGCTGACACCTGTAATTTCAGCACTTTGGGAGGCCGAGGTCGGTGGATCACCTGAGGTCAGGAGTTCGAGGCCACCCTGGCCAACATGGTGAAACTCCGTCTCTACTTAAAAAAAAAAAAGAATTAGCTGGGCATAGTGGGGCATGCCTGTAGTCCCAGCTACTTGGGAGGCTGAGGCAGGAGAATTGCTTGAACCTGGGAGGCAGAGTTTGCAGTAAGCCAAGATTGTGCCATTGCACTCCAGCCTGGGCAATAGAGCAAGACTCCGTCTCAAAAATAAATAAAATACAAATAAACAACTTATAACTGTTTACTTTTAGTAATTTCTCTCTAAAATCATTGTCATTTTGCTGGAACTTTTAGCACATTAATATGAATTATAATTGGTGTTTAATTTGGATTTATTTCTACCATATTATTTGTGCTTTTTATTTGTTCATCCTGTTTGTTCGTTGTTGTTATTTATTTTTCTCTCATTTCTTGCCTTCTTTGCATTGATGGAATATTTTTTTCCTTTCTATTTCTTTGTTTAATTTCAATCGTTTTGGGAGTACAGGTGGTTTTTGGTTACATGGATCAGTTTTTTAGTGGTGGTTTCTGAGATTTTACTGCACCCATCACCTGAGCAGTGTACATTGTACCGAATATGTAGACTATTATCCCTTACCAGCCCCAACCTTCCCCTCGCTAAGTCCCTGAAGTCCATTATATCATTATTATGACTCTGCGTCCTCATAGCTTAGCTCCTACTTATGAGTAAGAACGTAACAATATTTGGTTTTCTATTCCTGAGTTACTTCACTTAGAATAATGGCCTCCAGCTCCATCCAAGTTGCTACAGAAAACATTATTTCATTCCTTTTCCTGGCTGAGTAGTATTCCATTGTGTATATATACCTCATTTTCTTTATCTCTTCATTGATTGATGGGCACTTAGATTGGTTTCATATGTTTATGACTACAAATTGTGCTGCTACAAACATGCATGTGCATCTGTCTTTTTCATATAGTGACTTTTTTTCCTTTGAGGAGATACCCAGTAGTGGGATTGCTGGATTGAATGGTCTATTTCTTTTGAAACAATTGTGGCAGTTATGCATGATATTTCTTTTTTATCGGTTTATTCATTTCTATTTTTAAAAATATTGAGAACCAACTATATTCCAGGCACAGTCATGGGTGCTTAGGAAAAGATTGATATGCAAAGTAGTAAAGGTTCCTATTCCTGGCCAGGTGCCATGGCTCACACCTGTAATCCCAGCACTTTGGGAGGCTTAGGTGGGTGGATCACCTGAGGTCAGAAGTTCAAGACCAGCCTGGCCAACATGGTGAGACCTCGTCTCTACTAAAAATACAAAAATTAGCCGGATGTGGTGGCGGGTGCCTGTAAACCCAGCTACTTGGGAGACTGAGACAGGAGAATCACTTGAACCCAGGAGGCGTAGGTGGCAGTGAGCCGATATCACGTCATTGCGGTCCAGCCTGGGGGACAAGAGTGAAACTCCGTCTCAAAAAAAAAAAAAAAGAAAGAAAGAAAGAAAAAAAAGGAAAAGAAAATGTTCCTATTCCTGTGAACCTCGTATTTGTCTGTGTGTGTGTATGTGTGTGTGAGAGAGATAAACAATAAACAATAGATATAATTAGCAAATTAAGTAGCATTCTAGAAAGTGATAAATGCTAGGGAACAGAGAAAAATAGAGCAGAGTGATGCAGCTGGGAGTGCAGGACCGTAGGGTTAGGGAGGGAGCTGCAGTATTCACTAGGGTGGGTCTCATAGAGAAAGCCACATCGTGAATGTGGAGGGCAGCAGGGATTTAGCCAAGTAGATGTCTGAGAGACGAGCACGTAGGGCGGCAGAAACTTCCAGTACAATGCTCTAAAGCAGCAGGAATGGTCAGGAGGCCAGTGGAGAGCACAGGAGATGAAGTCAGAGTGGTGACAAGTGCAAGGGCAGAAGGAGGACAGGGCAGGAGACGTGAGGGGTGGGTGGGGCGCCTGGGGTGGTCCTTAAGGACCATTGTAAAGACTCCAGCTTTTACTCTGGGTGAAATGGGAAGGCATCTCAGAATATTTTTAGCAGAGAACTGTTATGGTCTGACTTAACATTTTAAAAGGATCACCCTGGATGCTGTAAGAAAAACAATCTTGAGGGCCAATGATAGAAATGGGGGGACAGAAGCCAGTGATCCAGGTGAGAAGTGACACCGTCTCAGAGCTGCACCTTGGCAGTGGGAAGTGAGTCCTGGAGAGAGTTTTTAGAGTCACTCGCACTTCCTGATGGATTGAGAAAGAGATGTTTGGATTGAGCAACGGGGGCTTTGATGACATTGCCATCAAATGAGATGAAAAGGCGTTCAAGTGCAACAAGGTTTATTTTTGCTTTGTTTTGTTTTGTTTGTTGTTGCTTGTCTTTTGAAGGGGAAAGACGGGTTTAGGATGTGTGTAAATTTGAATTGTCCAACAGATATCCAAGTGGCGATGCCAAGTAAGTAGTTTGATATGTGAGTTTGGTGTTTAGGGCAGAGGTGTGGATTGAAGATAGACATTCCGGAGCCTCTGGCATACAGGAAGTATATAGTTGTCATTCCGGACTTTTTTTTTTATTATTATACTTTAAGTTCTAGGGTATATGTGCACAACGTGCAGGTTTGTTACATACATATACATGTGCCATGGTGGTTTGCTGCACCTATCAACTCGTCATTTACATTAGGTATTTCTCCTAATGCTATCCCTCCCCCAGTGCCCCACCCTCCAACAGGCCCCAGTGTGTGATGTTCCCTGCCCTGTGTCCATGTGTTCTCATTGTTAAATTCCCACATATGAGTGAGAACATGAGGTGTTTGGTTTTCCGTCCTTGTGATAGTTTGCTGAGAATGATGGTTTCCAGCTTCATCCATGTCCCTGCAAAGAACATGAACTCATCCTTTTTTATGGCTGCATAGTATTCCACGGTGTATATGTGCCACATTTTCTTACTCCAGTCTATCATTGATGGACATTTGGGTTGGTTCCAAGTCTTTGCTATTGTGAATAGTGCCGCAATAAACATATATGTACATGTGTCTTTATAGTAGCATGATTTATAGTCCTTTGGGTATATACCCAGTAATGGGATGGCTGGGTCAAATGGTATTTCTAGTTCTAGATCCTTGAGGAATCGCCACACTGTCTTCCACAATGGTTGAACTAATTTACACTCCCACCAACAGTGTAAAAGCGTTCCTAGTTCTCCACCTCCTCTCCAGCACCTGTTGTTTCCTGGTTTTTTAATGATCGCCATTCTAACTGGCATGGGATGGTATCTCATTGTGTTTTTGATTTGCATTTCTCTGATGACCAGTGATGATGAGCATTTTTTCATGTGTCTGTTAGCTGCATAAATGTCTTCTTTTGAGAAGTGTCTGTTCATATCCTTTGCCCACTTTTTGATTGGGTTGTTTTTTTTCTTGTACATTTGTTTAAGTTCTTTGTAAATTCTGGATATTAGCCCTTTGTCAGATGGGTAGATTGCAAAAATTTTCTCCCATTCTGTAGGTTGCCTGCTCACTCTGCTGATAGTTTCTTTTGCTGTGCAGAAGCTCTTCAGTTTAATTAGCTCTCATTTTTCTATTTTGGCTTTTGTTGCCATTGCTTTTGGTGTTTTAGACATGAAGTCTTTGCCCATGCCTCTGTCCTTAATGGTATTGCCTAGGTTTTCTTCTAGGGTTTTTATGGTTTTAGGTCTAACGTTTAAGTCTTTAATCCATCTTGAATTGATTTTTGTATACAGTGTAAGGAAGGGATCCAGTTTCAGCTTTCTACATATGGTTAGCCAGTTTTCCCAGCACCGTTTATTAAATAGGGAATCCTTTCCTCATTTCTTGTTTTTGTCAGGTTTGTCAAACATTAGATGGTTGTAGATATGTGGTGTTATTTCTGAGACCTCTGTTCTGTTCCATTGGTCTATATATTTGTTTTGGTTCCAGTACCATGCTGTTTTGGTTTCTGCAGCCTTGTAGTATAGTTTGAAGTCAGGTAGCATGATGCCTCCAGCTTTGTTCTTTTTGCTCAGGATTGTTTTGGCTATGTGGGCTCTTTTTTGGTTCCATATGAAATTTAGAGTAGTTTTTTCCAATTCTGTGAAGAAAGTCATTGGTAGCTTGATGGGGATGACATTGAATCTATAAATTACCTTGGGCAGTATGGCCATTTTCACAATATTGATTCTTCCTATCCATGAGCATGGAATGTTCTTCCATTTGTTTGTGTTCTCTTTTATTTTGTTGAGCAGTGGTTTGTAGTTCTCCTTGAAGAGGTCCTTCACATCCATTGTAAGTTGGATTCCTACGAATTTTATTCTCTTTGTAGCAATTGTGAATGGAAGTTCACTCATGATTTGGCTCTCTGTCTGTTATTGGTGTATAGGAATGCTTGTGATTTTTGCACATTGATTTTGTACCCTGAGACTTTGCTGAAGTTGCTTATCAGCTTAAGGAGGTTTTGGTCTGAGACGATGGGGTTTTCTAAATATACAATCATGTCACCTGCAAACAGGGACAATTTGACTTCCTCTTTTCCTAATTGAATACCCTTTATTTTTTTCTCTTGCCTGATTGCCCTGGCCAGAACTTCCAACAGTATGTGGAGTAGGAATGGTGAGAGAGGGCATCCCTGTCTTGCGCCGGTTTTCAAAGGGAATGCTTCCAGTTTTTGCCCATTCAGTATGATACTGGCTGTGGGTCTGTCATAAATAGCTCTTATTATTTTGAGATATGCTCCATCAATACCTAGTTTATTGAGAATTTTTAGCATGAAGTGCTGTTGAATTTTGTCAAATGCCTTTTCTACAACTACTGAGATAATCATGTGGTTTTTATCGTTGGTTCTGTTTATGCGACAGATTATATTTATTGATTTGCGTTTGTTGAACCACCCTTGCAACCCAGGGAAGAAGCCGACTTGATCGTGGTGGATGAGCTTTTTGATGTGCTGCTGGATTCGGTTTGCCAGTATTTTATTGAGGATTTTTGCATTGATGTTCATCAGGGATATTGGTCTAAAATTATCTCTTTTTGTTGTGTCTCTGCCAGGCTTTGGTATCAGGATGATGCTGGCCTCATAAAATGAGTTAGGGAGGATTCTCTCTTTTTCTATTGATTGGAGTGGTTTCAGAAGGAATGGTACTAGCTCCTGTTTATACCTCTGGTAGAATTCGACTGTGAATCCATCTGGTTCTGGACTTTTTTTGGTTGGTAGGCTATTAAGTATTGCCTCAATTTCAGAGCCTGTTATTGGTCTATTCGGAGATTCAACTTCTTCCTGGTTTAGTCTTAGGGAGGTGTATGTGTCCAGGAATTTATCCATGTCTTCTGATTTTCTAGTTTATTTGCATAGAGGTGTTTATAGTATGCTCTGATGGTAGTTTGTATTTCTGTGGGATTGGTGGTGATATCCCCTTTGTCATTTTTTATTGCATCTATTTGATTCTTCTCTCTTTTCTTCTTTATTAGTCTTGCTAGCGGTCATCTATTTTGTTGATCTTTTCAAAAAACCAGCTCCTGGATTCATTGATTTTTTGAAGGGTTTTTTTTTGTGTCTCTATCTCCTTCAGTTCTGCTCTGATCTTAAGTTATTTCTTGCCTTCTGCTAGCTTTTGAATTTGTTTGCTCTTGCTTCTCTAGCACTTTTAGTTGTGATGTTAGGGTGTCGGTTTTAGATCTTTCTTGCTTTTTCTTGTGGGCATTTAGTGCTATAAATTTCCCTCTACACACTGCTTTAAATGTGTCCCAGAGATACTGGTATGTTGTGTCTTTGTTCTCATTGGTTTCAAAGAACATCTTTATTTCTGCCTTCATTTCGTTATTTACCCAGTAGTCATTCAGGAGCAGGTTGTTCAGTTTCCATGTAGTTCTGCGGTTTTGAGTGAGTTTCTGTTTTTTTGTTTGTTTTTGTTTTTGTTTTTTTTGAGATGGAGTCTCACTCTGTCGCCCAGGCTGGAGTGCAGTGGCGCTATCTCGGCTCACTGCAAGCTCCTCCTCCCAGGTTCATGCCATTCTCCTGCCTCAGCCTCCCAAGTACCTGGGACTAGAGGCGCCTGCCACCATGCCTGGCTGATTTTTTTGAATTTTTAGTAGAAACAGGGTTTCACCATGTTAGCCAGGATGGTCTTGATCTCCTGGCCTCATAATCCGCCTGCCTCAGCCTCCCAAATTGCTGGGATTACAGGTGTGAGCCACCGTGCCCGGCCCATCACAGGTAAGTTTTTAAAAACATATGTAGGGAGGGAAAAAGAACAGAATAAAGGAACTAAGGTCTTCCATGAGGCACAGAGGGTTAAGTGGGAGATGGGATTAATTAACTCTCCAGCCGGAGATGGCGAGTGTCTCACATGGCCACATATTTCTGTGGCCAGCACAGGTGCATTTAAAAGGCTTGGGCAGGATAGACAGTCCCAAATAATCACTGCTGGAGGTAGCCAGGACTCCAAATTTGGATCCTATTCCAGAAATTACACACGTTAAGACTTAATTTGTTTTTCATCCATCAGATTCTGCTAATGAAAACTAATTGCCTTGAAACTCATTTTCTACATGTTTGTATCAGAAACTCTGTAGCTAACCCTGAATTATTGGATTTGTATTTCTGCCTGCAAATTCAAACAACTGTGAATGTTTCAGTTTCTGGTTCAATGCTTGATCTTCTCTTTGATCATTTTGTCGGATGCGAAAAATGGTAGGTTAATATTGAATGTTAACCAACTCTCGATGGCTTACATTTCTCAGTTTGCTTTGGTGGTAGCTTGCATCTAATATGGTAAGTGAATGCAGTTAGACTGTGGATGAATAACATTAGCACACGTTCATATTCAGTACTGGTAGAGTCTGAAGACGTGATTTCTCCTCTGTCAAACCTTCTCCACAATCTTTTTTTTTAGACAAAGTCTCACTCTGTCACCAGGCTGGAATACAGTGGTGCGATCTCAGCTCACTGCAACCTCTGCCTCCCGGGTTAAAGTGATTCTCCTGCCTCAGCCTCTCGAGTAGCTGGGACCACAGGCATGCGCCACCACGCCCAGCTAATTTTTGCATTTTTAGTAGAGACAGGGTTTCACCATGTTGGCCAGGATGGTCTCGATCTCTTGACCTTGTGATCCGCCCACCTCAGCCTCCTGAAGTGCTAAGACTAAAGGCGTGAGCCACTGTGCCAGGCCATCAAATCTTTATTGACTTGATTTCTCCATACAACTTGTGTCTCTGAGTAATTTGGCCTTTGGGTCTCTTTCAGTTTAACTTTCAAAGTCTTCTGGGTATATTTTTTCTCTTGTCTCATATTAACTCAGAATTATGCAGAATAATTTTCCATTTAGATGAGTGAGGCAACTAGGAAAGGCAGTAATTGATGTCACAAATGTCTTCTAAGCCTGGTTCAGACTCAGAGAAAGTTTTGAAAAGAAAAATTGGATACGTTTTTCTTTTCTTGGCATTTCATCATTTTCCCCAAACGTATTAATGGCAGTTATTGAGCCATATTTATTAATTTCTCATGAAAATTAAGTTATAATGAGAGGTGACAGAGTGCTGGCAGTCCTCAGAGCCTTCGCTTGCTCTCGGCACCTCCTCTGCCTGGGCTCCCACTTTGGCGGCACTTGAGGAACCCTTCAGCCCACCGTTGCACTGTGGGAGCCCCTTTCTGGGCTGGCCAAGGCCAGAGCCGGCTCCCTCAGCTTGCAGGGAGGTGTGGCGGGAAAGGCGCGAGGGGGAACCAGGGCGGCGTGCGGCGCTCGCGGGCCAGCTGGAGTTCCGGGTGGGCGTGGGCTTGGCGGGCCCCACACTCGGAGCAGCCAGCCGGCCCTGCTGGCCCCGGGCAATGAGGGACTTAGCACCCGGGCCAGTGGCTGCGGAGGGTGCACTGGGTCCCCCAGCAGTGCCGGCCCACTGGCACTGCGCTTGATTTCTCACTGGGCCTTAGCTGCCTTCCCGCGGGGCAGGGCTCGGACCTGCAGCCCGCCATGCCTGAGCCTCCCACCCACTCCATGGGCTCCTGTGCGGCCCGAGCCTCCCCGACGAGCGCCTCCCCCTGCTCCACGGTGCCCAGTCCCATCGACTGCCCAAGGGCTGAGGAGTGCGAGTGCATGGCACAGGACTGGCAGGCAGCTCCACCTGTGGCCCCGGTGGGGGATCCACTGGTTGAAGTCAGCTGGGCTCCTGAGTCTGGTGGGGACGTGGAGAGTCTTTATGTCTAGCTCAGGGATTGTAAACACACCAATCAGCACCCCATGTCTAGCTCAGGGTTTGTGAGTGCACCAATCGACACTCTGTATCTAGCTGCTCTGGTGGGCCCTTGGAGAACCTTTATGTCTAGCTCAGGGATTGTAAATACACCAATCGGCACTCTGTATCTAGCTCAAGGTTTGTAAACACACCAATCAGCACCCTGTGTTTAGCTCAAGGTTTGTGAGTGCACCAATTGACACTCTGTATCTAGCTGCTCTGGTGGGGCCTTGGAGAACCTTCGTGTGGATACTCTGTATCTAACTAATCTGATGGGGAGGTGGAGAACCTTTGTATCTAGCTCAGGGATTGTAAATGCACCAATCAGCACCCTGTCAAAACAGACCACTGGGCTCTACCAATCAGCAGGATGTGGGTGGGGCCAGATAAGAGAATAAAAGCAGGCTGCCCGAGCCAACAGTGGCAACCCACTCGGGTCCTCTTCCACACTGTGGAAGCTTTGTTCTTTCACTCTTTGCAATAAATCTTGCTACTGCTCACTCTTTGGGTCCACACTGCCTTTATGAGCTGTAACACTCACCACAAAGGTCTGCAGCTTCACTCCTGAAGCCAGCGAGACCACGAGCCCAGAGCCCACCGGGAAGAACGAACAACTCCAGATGCGCCGCCTTAAGAGCTGTAACACTCACTACCAAGGTCTGCAGCTTCACTCCTGAGCCAGCGAGACCACAAACCCACCAGAAGGAAGAAACTCCGAACATCAGAAGGAACAAACTCCAGACGCGCCACCTTAAGAGCTGTAACACTCACCGCGAGGGTCCGCAGCTTCATTCTTGAAGTCAGTGAGATCAAGAACCCACCAATTCCGGACACAATAATATTTTGTTCTTACCAGTAGTCTAGCAAAATAAGCTATTCTTTTAATAAACCCTGGAGATTATATTTTGATGTTGAGTGAGTGTTTTAAGATAATTAGATTCACTTTTATCTGTGTTTATTCAGATTTCATTATTTAAATGTATGCATGATAGTATAAAGTCTTTCAGTTACAAAAAGAATAACCAATATGTTATGTAACTTCTTCCTAATTGATAATTAATATTTTCACCTACAGTTTTTTATTCTGCCTGTAAAAATCTGCAATAAAATGAGGTTTAAATCTGAATTTGTGCTCCCTTCACAGGGTTCCTGTTAGCTAGTGTGAGCAGGTACTACCCCCATTATGTCGCTAAGGGGAGCTGTTGGTCCTTCATTACTCAGTAAACCAGTGCTGGCCTCTGCCTGGTCTGTGAAGCTACTTTCTGATTAGGAGTGGTTCATTATCATTTCATACTTGGCACAATTATGAAAGAACTCTGTAAGCGCTTATTCAGAGAGACAGCAAAGCAGCTAGGAAAAAAAAGCTGATAAACTCAATCAGATACCTTGAAAACTTCTGAAGAATATTCAGCTGGCTTACAGCTCATCATCAAATCCTAACAACTTCTCTAACAGAGAAAGTAAAATTATGAAAATTCCATACAAGGAACACATTTCATTAAAGTTGAAAGGGAGAGTAGGTTAAGAGTTACATGATGAATGGCCCCAAAACTGCTTATTAAAGAATAAACGGCCATGAAAATGTTGTCAATCAACAAGGCCTACTTTTTACTTTTTTCTCTTTTTCAATCCAATTCAAAAAATCCTGGTTATACCCAGCCCTCACCAGCCAGGGGGTGTAAGGAAGGTTATATGAATACTGACAGATGAATTTTTGTTGGCTAGATAAACCCGTTTTGTAACTGCAGAATCTCAGCAGCATTTGGATGTCTTCCCCCAATTCTAGAATCTTCTTGGAGCACATCTGCTCTCGGGGTCCCCGTGTTTGCTCCTGCACGCTCCATTTTTTATCAACCTCCTTTTTCCTCAACTCAGTTTCCAGGCCTATCTGTGGGTATCCTCAGTCTCACTTGAAGGTAAGGAGGATGATTTGTCGAAAACGTTTAACTAATGGATTTCTCACTTCTTTCCGCTGGAAGTCACGTCCCATAGCAGTCACTAGACCATTTTGGAAGTGGGGAAGGTAGATCAGAACGAGAAATGTGGGCCGGGCGCGGTGGCTCACGCCTGTAATTCCAGCACTTTGGGATGCTGAGGCAGGCGGATCACCTGAGGTTGGGAATTCAAGACCAGCCTGACCAACATGGAGAAACCCAGTCTCTACTAAAAATACAAAATTAGCTGGGTGTGGTGGCACATACCTGTAATCCCAGCTATTGGGGAGGCTGAGGCAGGAGAATCGCTTGAACCCAGGAGGTGGAGATTGCGGTGAGCCGAGATCACGCCATTGCACTCCAGCCTGGGCAACAAGAGCAAAACTCTGTCTCAAAAAAAAAAAAAAAAAGAAAGAAAAAGAAAGAAAGAGAAATGTGGCCGGGCATGGTGGTTCACACCTGTAATCCCAGCATTTTGGAAGACCAAGGCAGGCGGATGGCTTGAGCCTAGGCATTTGAGACCAGCCTGGGCAACATGGTGAAACCCCTTCTCTACCAAAAGTACAAAAAGGAACCTGGCACAAGCCTGTAGTCCCAGCTACTCGGGAGGCTGAGGCGGGAGGATTGCTTGAGCCTGGGAGGTTGAGGCTGCAGTGAGCCATGATGGCACCATTGCACTCCAGCCTGGGTGACGGAATGAGATGTTAGCTCAAAGAAAAGAAAAAAGAAAAAGAGAAATGTTAAGAAAACTTCCATCTAGAAAGAGAAAGGAGGGACAATGGGAGCTACTGGCTCGTGCAGGGAACAGGCTGGAGCACGGGGGAGACGGTAGAGAAGAGGTCTGTTAAGGGCTGAACCGTGTTCCCCAACTCATCTGCTGCAGTCCAAACCCCAGTGCCTCAGAATATGGCTGTGTTTGCAGAGGGCTCTTTCAAGAGGGGATCGAGGTAAAATGAAGTCATTAGGGTGGGCCCTGATCCAATCTGACTGATGTCATAAGAAGAGGAAATTTGGACATAGAGACCCACACAGAGGGAAGACCATTGAGGACACAGGGAGAAGACAGCCATCCAAGCCAAGGAGAGACCTCACCAGAACCCAACCCTGCCAACACCTTGGTCTTGGACTTTAGCCTCCAGAACTGAGAGGAAATAAGTTTCTGTCGCTTCAGCCTCCTAGCCCATGATTCTTTGCTATGACACCTGCAGCAGACTGAGACAGGCCTGACTGTCCCTCCTGGCCACCGGGTTGTGGCCTGACTATGAACAGGCTGATGGGCGCTGAGGGCAGAAGCTCCCTTGTCCTGCTTCCCATTGGGATTCTGGGGAGAAAACCTCTTAGCATTCTTGATCCAACATGAGGTTCCTGTTAGTGTGCAATCCGTAGCATCGCTGGGCATGGAAGGACACATCTTCAGCTGCCCACTTCTCCCTCAGCTCCTGGGATGCCCGGCGGGTCCCTAATCCTGGCGTGGGCCACATGGAGGGTCCAGAAGGCCATTCACATGCGGGAGGATGAGCTGAGGGGGACAGTGGTTGCTATGAGGGAAAAACCTGGGCCCCGTAGGCCGACACAGCAGAGCAACTGCCCCGGCTGGGGAGCGCATGGAGTCACAGTTGGCTTCTGCTCTTTGGAGAGGGAGGTGGGGCCAGGCCAGCAGGGAGACACTGGGCCAGCTGACCTAAGAGGGTGGTGGCAGCAGATGGCAGCAGTGATCAATGACCAGGGTGACAGTCACTGTGGCTTAGAAGCCAAGGACACCGAGAGCAGCACAAGTCCCAGCTGCAGAGCCCAGGCTTCCTTGTCCAGGCACCGTTGGAAGACAAGGGAGAGGGTGTGGGTGTGGGGTGCTGAAGGAGGGAGTGTTTTCCTGTCAAAGGCAAATTGCAGCAGATGCAACATTCCCTTCGGGGCACAGGAGGGAAACTGTAGCTTTCCTCGGAATCGGCAACTTCCCATGCAAGGAGCCCAAGGGTGGCACATGCAGCCCTGGATTCCAGGGCCAGCCGCCACTTCTGCTAAACTGCAAAAAAGTCCCAGGTGTCATCTGGGCACCATGCCCAAATGGTGGAATTTCACTGCTGGGAGATGGCATAATCACTTGTCCCTTGTGAAATGTCCCCACGGTCCTTCTTCTTCTTCTTTTTTTTTTTTTCTTTTTTTTTTGACACAGTCTCACTCTGTCTCCCAGGCTGGATTGCAGTGGCGTGATCTCGGCTCACTGCAACCTCCACCTCCCTGGTTCAAGCAATTCCCCTGCCTCAGCCTCCCGAGTAGCTGGGACTACAGGTGCACGCCACCACACCTGGCTAATTTTTTTGTATTTTTAGTAGAGACGGGGTTTCACCATGTAGGCTGCACTGGTCTGGAACTCCTGACCTCAGGCAATCCACCCGCCTCGGCCTCCCAAAGTGCTAGGATTACAGGCGTGAGCCACTGTGCCTGGCCCCCCACTTTTTTTTTAATCTCCCTTTTCTCTTTTCTTTCTGTGTTATCAAATGCTAACTCCCCAAGGTGTCACCGAAACAATCTGTTGATAAGCACACAAAGCCCTGTAGATTCTGACTCTAAGGAAGAAGAGGCAGAGGCAGGAGGACAAAGCTGGCATTTTTATTGAGATGCTGAAGTCTGATTCCAGGTGGGTTTTCCCATTGAATGGGGCCTTGATTAGGCTTGGGTGAGGACCATGTTGTAATAGGTGAGGATTGCGGGATGACACAGCAAACCGGTGATTCTGAGGCAGGGTTAAAAGAGACTTGAGAGGGTTTGATGTTTTGTATTGAAAAGCTGATGGGTCTTTCCAGAAGACGCTGAAAAGATAAAGTTATCTACAGCTCTGTGGCAAGAGTTTTCTGGAATAGTAAACTCATGTTGACGAGGACAAACACGCCAGTGAAGTCACGTTCCTGTAGACAGTGAGCTGTGTGGTGTAGACAGTCCCGGTTCTCAATCTGGTACAAGAAAGCCGTGGTCCAGAGGCAGATGAGGCAGCGTGGCCAAGCAGAGCTGGTCTGCCTGGGCTCTCCAGGGCTCTGTCGCTTATGGCGTGTGAGATTTGGGGATAGTTGCCTCACCTCAAGGCCCGGAAGATAGCAAGTTCTTGCTGTTAATCTTATCAGAATCTATTCTCAGCCCTCAAAGGACTTCAGCATTCATGGAGAAATCAGATGTGCCGCAGGCGTGGCCTGAGAGACCCTGGCTCACCTCCGGGCATATCCTTGGGCAAGCAGGTTGCCGCACGTCCAGCCTCACCGCTGCCCGCCTGCAGTCTCTTCCGTGTGCTTCACAGGGCTGTCATGGAGAGCGCATGCAAAATCACAACGCTCAATTCTGGAGCCCTCTGCTATGAACGGCATCCCTAAGGGGCCTCCCATTCACTCCCCCATCTCTCTTACCTCCCCTTCCCCACCCCGTCTCCATTCCTCTGCCAGTTGCTCCCCTCCCACGCCTCTTCTGTTTCTCCCCTCCCTGCCTGTGCCTCTATTTACCCTTTCTGTGTATGTTTGGTTTCTTTTCAGGGTAAAACCGTTATTCTAGGCCTATGTTTGTCTAGTTTCAGCTGAAGACACCACATATGTTTACCATAGTTTGGCTTTGGCAACAGAGTCCTAGGGTCAGACCCAGGCTAGCTAGCTGTGCAGACGGAGGTAAGGTACCTAATGCTGCGCCATCTGTTTGCACATCTTAACGATGACACAGTGCCTGCTGTGTATAGAGGTGTATTCACGTTGGCCGGCACAGGCAGATGAAGGAATGCTTGACTCACCTCCCAAGGTCTCCCAAGTAAACCACAGGAACTACTTTGTCGGGGGCTTTGGGGTCTGTTGGACTAGCGGGCCAGGCTGTCTGCGTCCCAGTCGTGGCTCCACCCCTCAGGGCCAGGTTAGTGAGGCGCTGAGGAGCTCCACTTGGCACAAAACTTAAGGGGCCACCAAAAAACTTTGTAATCAAGCTGGATAATATCTTCATGCAGTCTTTCTAAAGATCTTATCAGCAAACTACAGCTCACAGGCTGGCCTCCTCTTTTACAAGTCATGTTTTATTTCAGAGCTGAGATTCGGGAAGCTCATATATCCGGCAGGTACCCGGTATTAATGAGGCTGAAGTCTGCATCTAGTGGGGAGACGCATTCTGCCTCCGTGGCCCCTCTGCTCAAGAAGCGTTTGCCATAGGCACTTGATCATCCTGTACTTTGGTTCCCAAAAGCACAGCAACAAGGAGAAGGCCGGCAGTGGGGGCTGGGAGTGAGGGGAGAGGACAAGGCTGAGGATTGTGGCTCTTCCGCCCTGGTAGCCCTGTGTCTCCAGGGTTGTTACCTATCCTGTCTCTTTCTCCTTGCTTTTTGTCCCGTATTTCCAATTCATTTAATAAGCAGTGTGTTTCAAATACTGTACTTTAACCTGTGAGCCTCTCTGTTCCTTGGTGTCTGTGACAGTTTGCCTGGCAGTGAACTTGGAGGCTCCCACTGCTTCAAGGAACTTTCCATAGGAGAGGGGTTTTGGCCTCCTCCCTAATGTTCAATTGATCCGGGACTTTTCTTATTTTGGGTGAGTCTAGATAAACAGGCCAAATATAGCACCATCGGGAAAAGACAAGGAATGCAGTGACTAGGCCGGGCGCGGTGGCTCATGCCTGTAATCCCAGCACTTTGGGAGGCCAGGGCGGGCGGATCACGAGATCAAGAGATCGAGACCATCCTGGCTAACGTGGTGAAACCCCGTCTCTACTAAAAATACAAGAAATTAGCCAGGTGTGGTGGTGGGTGGCTGTAGTCTCAGCTGCTTGGGAGGCTGAAGCAGGAGAATGGCATGAACCGGGAGGCAGAGCTTGCAGTGAGCCGAGATCACGCCAGTGCACTCCAGCCTGGGTGACAGAGTGAGACTCCCATCTCAAAAAAAAAAAAAAAAAAAAAAAGAACTAATTCTCAGTTGCTGCAGACACCAGAGTGGGAAAATCAAGAAGTACCTCCATGGAGTGGCCCCCAGACACATCCAGGAGAGGTGTCCTGCAGGGCCCCGCAGGGCTCCTCAATATTCTAGATTAAAAAAGACTTTAGGGCTGGGCGCGGTGGCTCACACCTATAATTCCAGTACTTTGGGAGGTCAAGGCGGGTGGATCACCTGAGGTCAGGAGTTTGAGACGAGCCTGGCCAACATGGTGAAACCCCATCTCTACTAAAAATAAAAAAAATTAGCTGGGTATGGTGGTGGGACCTGTAATCCCAGCTGCTTGGGAGGGTGAGGCAGGAGAATTGCTTGAGCCTGGTAGGCGGAGGTTGCAGTGAGCAGAGATCACACCATTGCACTCCAGCCTGGGTGACAGAGTGAGACTCTGTCTCAAAAAAGAGACTTTAGCAAGATGCAATGAGATTGCTCAGATTGCATGTGGTTGAGATAAACAGGCTCCCCCGCCACTCCCACCACACATATCCTCTCCTTAGCTAATAGGGCTTACAAAGACTCTCCCTGAGCCTAAACAGAGTACCAGCAAAGTCAGACCCTTTTTTTTTTCTTGAGACAGGTCTCCCTCTGCTGCCCAGGTTGGTGCTCAGTAGTGTGATCCTGGCTCACTGCAACTTCCACTTCCCAGGTTCAAGCGATCCTCCCACCTCAGCCTCCCAAGTAACTGGGGCCAGGCATGCACCACGCCCAGCTAAGTTTTGTAATTTTGGTAGGGACGGGGCCTCATTGTGTTGCTCAGGCTGGTCTCAAACTCCTGACCTCAAGTGATCCTCCTGCCTCGGCCTCCTGAAGTGCTGAGATTACAGGTGTGAGCCACTGCACCTGGCTGTGAGCCGCAATTTTCACAGAAAACCAACCAGGGCTCCAAACGATCCAGCAATTTAAAACAATGCAACATTCCAAAGTGCGAGGTGAAGTTATCTTCTCCCCAGTGCTTTCTGAACCGAGGAAATATTCAGCTGATGCACGTTCCTGCCCCCAAAGGTATAGCGGCCTCTCCCCTTCCCACTGACAAGGGGCATGTCGTCTTCTCTTCAGCAAAACTGTAGGCTTGAAGGCCAGCCTGGCTGTTGTCTTGAGAAAAAAGTTTCCAGACTCCCCAGCCCCGTCTTAGCACAGCAGCCAGCAAGGAAGTCTGTGCTGCTCAGAGCAAATCCCTGGGCTTGGCCAGCCTCCAGGTGGGGTTGGGTGCCGGGTGCCGGGGCTGGGCTGAGGGCAGCCTGGGGGGCGCTCAGGTCACTTGGGCTCCTGTGCCTTGGTTTCTTCATCCATAGGGAGGAGAGGATATTAGGTAAAATATGTGTGAAGGCTAAATGGGCCAATATGAGCACCTTCCCACCTGGGCACCTACTAAGCGCTGCACACACATGAGCCATCATGGCATGGGGCAGGGGGGCTACTCTTTGCCATAGGGGAGAGAATGGGAGAGACATCGCGAAAAAGGCAAACAGAAGTAGGACTCCTAGTTCCTCTCTCCAGACGCTCTGAAAGCGAAGGGAGGAGCTATCACTCTCCAGCCACCAGCCATCCCTGCGCCCTGGGGAGCAGTTCCAGAAAAGCACACGCAGGAAAGCATTCACAGTGATTCCGGAGTGGTGTGACCGTGGGGGCTGCTCCAGACAGGAATCCAGGGCAGTTGGGCCCTGGAGGCCCTGGCGGAGAGTGCAGAATGGGCTGCCGTGGCCTGGAGCTGTGCAGAGACCCCCACAAGGCTCCAGAGGAGAAGGCGCCTAGAAGCCCGGCAGGCAAAGAGAGGCTCAGGCCCGTGGTGGCAGGGGTTTTGGGGGTGGGGGTGTCTCAGAAGAGGCAGGGACTCCCCCAGCCCCTAGCCCCGGCTCAGCAAGCCGAGCTGTGTGGGTTCTCAGATGGCCACGTGGCCTGCAGCCCCAGCAACCGAGAGACCATGTCAGGGACAGCACCTGGGGGGCAGCACCCTCCAAGGACCCCCTGAGGTAGGGGTCCCCCATCCACACCTCAGAACGGCGTTCTTGAACCCAGTTAGCTCAACTTTGCTCTAGCCAAGTCCCCAAAATGCCCATAGACACCCCAATGCCACCAGATCTGAAAAAAGTTTTAGAAAGGGCAAGTTAGCGTGGAAAGACAGGATGCTCTGGACAAACTGCTGTTCAATTATCTTAATTTTGCCAACTTGATAAAAACAGATGACCTTCTGATGATATTACCGGGGTCCCTCCCAGGCCTTACAAGAGACTCAAGTGAGTGGGGAGCCTAAAGATTCCTTGGTCTCCCCGTAAGTCCTTGTCTACTGGAAAGAGCTGAAATCTAAAAGGAAACTGGGGATATGAGGAATTTTCCTCCCAATGATATCTCTGCCCAATTCTATTTGCCAAACCTAAGGTCTGGTCTCCATTGACAGGAAGGCCTAACCACTTGCTTTGAAAGATAAAGTAGATTGGGTAGTAAAGAGCTGCATATTAATGAATTAAAGCTTGCTTACAAAAACCTCGTCATCAAAAATGGGATTTGAGGCAGGTTCATAAAATACAATTATCCTTAAATATTCCCTTGGAAATGATTGTGCAGGATGTGAAGGTTAATCTCTGAGACCTTGGACTTTAAATTCTTAATCTAATTGTTGCCTATTTACTTAGGCTTCCTGACCTTTCATTGCCAAGCACTTTATTGTTATAGGCTTTCTGCTTTATAGGGTAGTTTTTAAAGTTTTAACTACGCTGGGGTAGCACATAGAGAGTATCTCATAATGGCTGCAAGCACAGTCTTTGGCAAAATAAAGCCACTGCAGGTTAATTAAGAAATTTAGAAGATTCTTTCACAGACAACTCTGTGCCCTGAGAGGAAAGGTTGTAATTAAGACAGATTCAGTGTCATTAGGATCATTTAAAATGCCAACACTTCAAAAAATGAAGACAATAAAGTCAGCAGGAGAACACGTAATATGCGTTCGAAGGGTTTATTGGATGAACTGACCTTGCTAAGAGCAAGGAAAAAGGAGCTTTTGTTCTTCCCACCACTGTCTTCACACCTGCACCCCCGATCTCCATTCCTAAGGCCTGGAAGATGTACTTAAGCTTTCCCTGTGACTTTCAGGGATTAGAGCAATCTCCTTCTCAGACATTAAAAAGTCCAGACCCATTAACTCGTCATTTACATTAGGTATATCTCCTAATGACGAGTTAATGGGTGCAGCACACCAACATGGCACACGTATACATATGTAACAAACCTGCATGTTGTGCACATGTACCCTAGAACTTAAACTGTAAAAAAAAAAAAAAAAAAAAAAAAGAGTCCAGACCCTTTGACTCAAAATGCAAACATCTCATTCAATGGAAAGCTTCCACGACGCAGGCCTGAGCTGGGTTTGGCAGCTCTAAGTTCATTTCTGGCTTCTCCAGGGCACGGTGAAGGGTGGGGCAGACAGGGAAAAGGGGCTTCTTGCGTGATGTTGTGGCCATCTGGTGCTGTGGCAGTGGTGTCATGATGACGGTCTGGAGGGCTGCTCTTGTGGGTTCTTCAGGCACACACACAGCTGGGGACATTAGATGTGGCCCCTCCCTGGAGGGAGCAAAGCAGCCTCTGTCTGACTTCCTAGGGCTGGCCCTCAGGCTCTGCTTCCACGCCACAGAGCCCCTGTCTGTTGGGGTCCCCTCTGTGAAAGAAGGTCTTGGGCAGAGGCATCTTTGAAGTCGGCTCCACCTTGGCTCACAATTTCCCCTCCCCTCCAGCAGTTCAGGTGCCGCCCCCTGCAGCACCACCTCTCTGTTGCTGGGGACAGCGTCCACCATCTCTTGCCTTCAGACTTTTCCAGGTGAGAACCAGGGGGTGGTCCCGGGGTGGGGGGCACCCGACCTGGGGTCTCACTTGCAGCTCTCACAAGGCCCTTCATCCTGCCCTGTTTTTCTGCCACAGGGCCTGGGGACCTCCCTCCTCAGCAAACATCCCAGCAGCAGAACACATCCTTGGGCAGTGGGAGAAGGGACTGCAGTCTATTCTCTTACACTGACTGCTGTTTTCAAAGAAATCACCTTTTCCTCCTACCATTCTCATCTCCTATTTATTTATTTATTTATTTATTTATTTATTTATTTATTGAGACAGAATATCGCTCTGTCATCCAGGCTGGAGTGCAGTGGTGCAATCTCGGCTCACTGCAAACTCCGCCTCCCGGGTTCAAGTGATTCTCCTGCCCCAGCCTCCAGAGTAGCTGGGATTATAAATGCGTGCCACCACACCCGGCTAATTTTTGTATTTTTAGTAAAGACAGGGTTTCACCATGTTGGCGAGGATGGTCTCAAACTCATGACCTCAGGTGATCCTCCTACCTCGGCCTCCCAAAGTGCTAGGATTACAGGCGTGAGCCACTGTGCCTGGCCCATTCTCATCTCTTTTAGATTAAAAGTGGATGAAAAGTGAGTGACATGCAGGGGCTGCAGAACTGGCTTTGGGCCCACCCTCAGCAAGTTCTGCCCAGATGGCCTCACACCACTTTCTAGAACACAGGGGCCATGGTGATGTATTGTTCTCAGCTTCAGGGCCTCACTTGAAATTCTTAGACAACATAGAAAGCCCATTATTTATGAAATTATACTTTATTATGATCTGAGGGAAATTCTTCATAGTGCAAATTCACAGAATGCAAATTCTTTACATCCTGGTATCATTGACTGATACAGGAAGTCGGGGCTGGCTGGAGTGCGAATCACCATGGCCATGTACAGTGTTGGACATCCACTGCGCAAAGACTTTTCATGAACATCTGATCTTCCATAGACATTCAGTTCACAATCTGGAGTCACAGACATTATCTTTTAGGTGAGGAAACAGACACAGGGACGTCATGTGACTTGCCCAAGGTTAACCAGCTGCTAAGTAGTAGAGCTGAGGTCATACCTCAGAGCTATTCTGTCTCAAAGCTTGTTTTATCACATATGCCCTCTGGCTTGATAATTATTATGAAAATATCCCTATGCTAGTGCTTGAGGCTGCTGTCAACTCTGTCTCTTGCTTCTTCCTCCAAAGCCCTGAGCAAATCAGTCAACTCAGTAAATGTGTTCATGATGGCTTAGATTGGCCTAATGTTAAACACAGCTCCTAAACTTGGGGACAGCATTCAAGGCCCTTAGAGCTTCATTGGGGAAGCAGCCTAATATCTGGGAGACAATGAGAGAGCAGGGGAGGCTGTGGAACAGCAAGGACAAGTGTGCAGTGGAGGCTGTAAGTGGCAAGAGGGAAGTCACTGGGACTGAGGGTCGTGGTGGGTTGAGGAGGAGGAGGGCTTCGAGGTAATCATGGAAGCACAGATAGGAGGGCGTGGAGGAGCACAAGGAGGTGAGGACAGGGTCTCCCAGCTCAGGTGCAGGTGATTAGCAGGGACATAAGCAGGGTGTGAGGAGGGCCGTGGCTCACTTTCCTGGAGCTTCCGTAACAAAGCACCACCAGCTGGGTGCTTAAACAGCAGTAGCTGATTATCTCAGAGTCTGAGGCTAGAAGTCCAAGGTCAAGGCATCAGTAGGGCCACGCTCCTGCTGAAACCCATAGGTGCTTCTTCCTTGCCTGTCCCAGCTTCTGGTGTTGCCAGCAACCTTTGGCATTCCTCGGCGTGCAGCCACACCACTCCAACCTCCGCCTGCATTGCCTTGTGGCCCTCCCACCCTGTGTGTCTGGGTCTTTTCTCCTCTCATAGGAGCACCAGTTGTTTGGGATTAAAGGCCCACATACTTCAGTATGACCTCACCTTACCTTAACTAACCACATCTGCAACAGCCCTTTTTCCAAATTACGTCGCATTCTAAGGTATGGAGGCTAGGACTTTATATCTTTTTGAGGGGGACACACTCAACTCTTGACCTGGAAAACCTTTGCTGGCTCCTCATAGCTTAGCGTTCAAGCCTAAGGACCGAGGGGCACTCAAGGTTGCTCAGTCTGTCCTCAGCCCCCTCTCCCTTCTTCCCATTGGTCAATCTACTCACTTTACATCAAGCTTCCTAGCCTCCCAGGCCAGAAGCACACTGTGGTCTTGGTGGGCACTGCCTCCTGTCCCTACACTCCCCACTCCTTCTGCTGAACGGCTCTTCATAGATCATGCTCAATATCACCTCCTTCACTATGCCTTGCTTCAGCCTTCACCTGGAGGAATAAGGAATTCCCTTATGGCATTTTCCTTACAGCCCTGTCACAGCACTTACTGTGTGATGCAGTCACCTAGCTGTGATCCCATTTTATCTCAGCCAATCACCGCCTTTGGGTTTGGGACTCACTGAGTGATAGGGTTGTTAGGATTGGTGGCCGTGTTCCCCCAGCCCCCCAGAACCACTGAACTCCTAATCTGGTTGAAGTAAAATGATGCATTTGATGACTGGCCAAACAATGTGATATCTGAAAGAAGATATTACCTTCCCACATGGTAGGGGGCGTGTGCTTCCAGAGTGCAGGCCAGGTATCTGCAGGTGACGTCTGCCAGGCTGGGCACCCAGGAGGACAAGTGATGGGGGTCACAGGCTCTGGCTGCTTTTGGACAGCTGTAGGGTTGTGAGGAAGAGGGAAGCAGAAGGAAAAGAAGGAGAGGAAGGCAATTCTAGGCAGCTACCACTGAAAAGGAAGAGGAGCTCTTTTGCCCAAAACCTTAGGAGAAGGATCCAAGGTGGGGGACAGGGTTTGGTGGGGCAGCAGGTTCTAAGTGTGCCACATGGAATACAGAATAAGAAACTGCATCTGGAGATAATGTTTCTTGGGGGATGATAGATTATTACCAAAGACAGATGAAGTAGTAGAATCACTCTGGTTCCACTCAGGAAGCCATGCTTGGTTTCTCCTGCTGCATGCATCAGCAGTGCCATCTATTGGGGCTCGGAGTAAACTGTCGTGGTCCAGAACACGTGAAGACTGAATTCTCTTTCACACCCAAACCCACAATTACTGCATTAGTATGTGTTCAGTATGACTTATTGCAGATTAGGATTAAACTTTAATGAGAAGAGACATTATGCATGGCTATAATGCTTTTTCATTTAAAACGATTGGGAGGGGTGAAGGGAGAAAACTGTGTTCTTTAGCTCTGAACAACATTTTATCGTTCAGAAACGAGAATGATGTGCCTCCCAGGCCTGAGGTCAGCCCAGGCACCACCCTGTCCTCGTGGGATGCGGTGTGGCAAGCTCAGAGCAGCTTGTGCACACTCCCATGTTGTAGAGAATCTCTTCACACACATATTCTAAGAGATTATAGGGAGAGAACTTTGAGTTTATGCAATTTCCCAGAACAGTCAAAAGTCCATGTTTTTCTTTTTATTTTGAGTTTATAGTAAATGTTGTCTCTGCCATCCCAGTGGCAGGCTCATTTTTGTTCCTCCCACCTCTCCTTGACTATAGGTTCTCCCCATGGGGGCGGTCCTCAGTCCTTGTCCCTCGAATCCCACGACTTTACCTGCCATGGACATGCTGATGACACATGCGTCTACATCTGCTCCCCCCACACCCCATCTCTCGGCTTACTTCCAAATCCACCTGCCTAAATGCCTATCAGTCATCTCCGTCTAGATGACCTGCAGGCGCCTAAAACTCAACACATCCAAAGTCAGTTCAGTATCCCCCTTAAATCTATCCCTCTTACTTTCTTTTTCTTGGCTGAAGGCATAACGCCCACCAGGTTCCCCAAGCCGGAAATCCTGGAACCGTTCATTCTTGCCTCTTTTGTCCCTTGAACCACAGCTGCTTCATCTGTAAGGCACAGTGCTGGGACTACGCAGAGTGCAATGGTTTACACAGATAATTCAGGAATCAAGAGTCCTTCAAACAGAAATGATAAAATAAAAGGTAACACTTACATAGTATGGCTTATGTGGCAGGCACTGCCCTAATAGTGATTTAACTACCATTCAAATGTATTGGTTCATTTATTCAATCAAATTCTCACTGCAACTCTGAGCTAAGTATGATTATTATTTGTGTTTTATAGATAAGGAAACTGAAGCACAGACCTGTTAAGGAACTTGATTAAAAGTTCATTGGGGCCGGGTGGGGTGGCTCACGCCAATAATCCTAGCACTTGGGAGGCCAAGGCAGGCAGATCACTTGAGGTCAGGAGTTCGAGACCAGCCTGTCCAGCATGGTGAAACCCTGTCTCTACTCAAAACTATAAAAAATTAGCTGAGTGTGGTGGCACGCACCTGTAATCCCAGCTACTCCGGAGGCTGAGGCAGCAGAATCACCTGAAACCAGGAGGCAGAGGTTGCAGTGGGCGAAGATCTTTCCACTGCACTCCAGCCTGGGCGAAAGAGTGAGACTCCATCTCAAAAAAAAAAAAAAAAAAAAAAAAAAAAAGTTCATTGGATGGTTGGGTAAAAATATATCATTGCTGCCTTTTGGGAGCTCATAGTTGTAGAGGAGAATCAGACAGGCAACAAACAACCACCTGTGTGGAAGTGTGGAAGAGCTGTAATGGGGGCATGTGGAAGGCTCCCGAGGACAGGGATATACTCACATATGCCTGAGATGACACAGGGACCTGCACTTTGTTGAGAAGGATGAACATTAGTTTGAGTCTCCCCCTTTCTCAATCCCAGTGTGTGGGATTTAATTCAAGCCTATCACATTTCATACAAGCCTCATTAGGGGTGTGTCATTCATGGTAGGCTCATTACGTTGCAGGAGCAACCCCCAAATCCCAGGGACCTCATACACTAAAGGTTTGTTTTCACTGACACCACACATCAGTGCAGGTCAGCTGGGGCCGAACTCAGTGCCATCTCTCGGGGTCCTGGGCTGATGGAAGCTCTGGCTGGACACAAGTTCACAATCGCTGCAGCAGTGATAAGGGGTTGTGGCGACTCACACATGGCCTCTTAAAACTTCCATCCAGAAGCAACACAAGTTAACTCCTTCCAGGTTTTGTTGGCCAAGAGAGTCGCATGCCCACATGGGACATCAAAAGACATGAGGAATTATAATCCTACCAGGTCCCTGAAGAAGGCAAAGAAGAGTATTTGTGAACTACCCTAAGGGCTGTCATGGGGCTGGAAACTGAAAGTATCTTCTCTGAACATGGTGGATTTGGGACTTTCCTGACTCAGGTGTGGAACCTAAGCAGCCTTGGCAGCAGGAGGAAGGAGGCTGTGCTGGGATGGGCCCACATTCCCATGGTGGCAGGACAGGGAGCGGTGATGCCGAGCATGGAGATAAAAATAACTAAACTTGGCTGGGCGCGGTGGCTCACGCCTGTAATCCCAGCACTTTGGGAGGCAGGCAGATCACGAGGTCAGGAGATTGAGAACATCCTGGCTAACAAGGTGAAACCCCGTCTCTACTAAAAATACAAAAAAAATTAGCTGGGCGTGGTGGCGGGCACCTGTAGTCCCAGCTACTCGAGAGGCTGAGGCAGGAGAATGGCATGAACCTGGGAGGCACAGTTTGCACTGAGCTGAGATCGTGCCACTGCACTCCAGCCTGGGTGACAGAGAGAGACTCCGTCTCAAAATAATAAATAAATAAATAAATAAATAAATAAATAAATAAATAAATAACTAGACTTTCATAGCTCTTACTATGTGCCTGTCACTACCCTAAGTGCTTTACATATATCAACTCACTTGACTCTCAAGCCTAAGGCCCTAATAATTGTAGAGCTATAGAAGAATCTCTCTTCAGAAGAATCCCTCTGGGAGGGTTTCTAGTATCTAACTTTTCTCTTCTTTTCCCTCTAACATCTCACCAGTATGTTGTGCAACATCCTGAACCCAAAGCAAAGTTGATAGACTGAGTAACCACATTCTTTTGTAACAGGGTGTATTAGTTTGGTGGGAGCTGGAGGATATGACCCTTCCTCCAATTTCCATTTGGAATGTGGCTTCAAGAGAGTTAGCCAGTATCCTGTCTCCAGGACAAACATTTGTATCCAGAGATTTGCACAGTGGCTAGAGAGACACCTAGCAAACAATTTGAGCTTATTAATCACTGGGGTTCACACATGAGTAAATTTGTTGAATGAATTTGGGTGAAGCCAGATTTGACAGAAGCCTGATTGTTGAAGGGACAGGGGGACCCCTAGAGAGAATGTGTAGTCAGCAACTGAGCATGAGAGTGGAGCTAGAGAAGCCTGGTTCAGGGTCCTAGGTGCAATGATACTCAAACTGGGCCACCCTGTTCGTATTCTGCTGCTAAAACACAATATACAGACTAGGTAATTTTATTTTTAAAAAGAGATCTGTTTGGCTCACAGAAGCTGGGACGTCCAAGACTGAAAGCTGCATCTGGCAAGGGCCTTCTTGCTGCATCCTAAGATGGCAGAAGGGCATCATGTGGTGAGAGACACTGAGAGAGAGGGAGAAAAAGTGGGCAGAACTCCCTAACTTATGAAAATCCCATTCCTGAGATAATGACATTAATTCCTTCGTGAGAGCAGAGCCCTTATCACCTAATCATCTCTCTAAGGTCCCATTTTTTTTTTTTTTTTTTTTGAGACGGAGTCTCACTCTGTCGCCCAGGCTGGAGTGCAGTGGTGCGATCTCCGCTCACTGCAAGCTCCGCCTCCCGGGTTCACAACATTCTCCTGCCTCAGCCTCCTGAGTAGCTGGGACTACAGGCACCCACCATCACACCCGGCTAAATTTTTTTGTATTTTTTAGTAGAGACGGGGTTTCACCGTGTTAGCCAGGATGGTTTTGATCTCCTGACCTCGTGACGCCCACCTCGGCCTCCCAAAATGCTGGGTTTACAGGCGTGAGCCACTGCCCCCGGCCTTTTTTTTTTTTTTTTTTTTTGAGATGAAGTCTCACTCTGTTGTCCAGGCTGGAGTGCAATGGCACGATCTTGGCTCACTACAACCTCTGCCTTCCAGGTTCAAGTGATTCTCCTGTCTCAGCCTCCTGAGTAGCTGGGATTACAGGCATGAGCCACCACACCCGGCTAATTTTTTGTATTTTGAGTAGAAATAGGGTTTCACCGTGTTGGCCAGGCTAGTCTCGAACTCCTGACCTCAAGTGATCCACCCGCCTCAGCCTCCCAAAGTGCATGGGCCACCACGCCGGGCCCAAAGAACAATATCTTCTATGTTATTTAAATAATGTCAAGACTAGACAGGAACAGCTTCCAGATGTGTGATGATAGCCCAATAAAACTAAAGACCAATCTTACATATGAATATTAAGGCCAAAGGAGCTAAATAAAGAATAAAGAATTATGGTAAATAATTCAGAATGCCATGACCAAGTGGTGGTTATGCCAGAAATGCAAAAAGAGAAAAATTATTAGAAAATACACTAATATATTTCACCATAATAATAGATAAAATGAGAAAAAGCATATGATATCTCTCTAGAGCAGCATGTCCAATAGGAAGATAAAGTGAACCACGTGGGTAATTTTAGATATTCTAGAAGCCACATTTCAAATAAGTAAAAAGCAACAGATAAAACAAATTTTAATGATATTTTATTTAACCCAATATATCTAAAATGTACTGTCCTAGCTCACCGCAATTCAGACACAAAATTTTCATTGGAAAAGCTTGATCTGCATTAAGATTTAGTGAAGTTTATGATACAAAAAAGTAGGTGTATATATCCAAGTTGCAAACATACTTGAGTTTTTCAGTAACTGAATTATCAGTCTTAAAATTTAGTTTAATTAAAATTAAATTAAAAATTCAGTTCCTCAATCACACTAGCCAAATTTCAAGTGTTTGTGAGCCAGCCACAGGAGGTAATGGTTACCTTATTGAACAGCACACTTCTAGATGACGAAAAAGAATTTGATAAAATCAGCATACATCCTTGAGTTTAAAATCTCTGTCTACCTCTCTGGGATTTCAAGCAGTTCTTTTTAGAGGCAACTAATGTTAACTGAGAGAAACCCTGAGGGAGACATCACTTGTATACTCCTTTTTTCCTTTTGAATTTGTATTAAGTTCATCATCTCACATCTCACAAATAAAGGGGGGAGGGGGGAGGGATAGCATTAGGAGAGATACCTAATGTAAATGACGAGTTAATGGGTGCAGCACACCAACATGGCACATGTATACACATGTAACAAACCTGCACGTTGTGCACATGTACCCTAGAACTTAAAGTATAATTTAAATATATATATATATATATATATATATATATATATATATATATATATAAACTAATCACTTTAAAATTTTTTTTGCTGGGTGTAGTGGCTCACACCTGTAATCCCAGCACTTTGGGAGGCTGAAGCAGGCGGATCATGAGGTCAAGAGATCGAGACCATCCTGGCCAACATGGTGAAACCCCATCTGTACTAAAAATACAAAAATTACCTGGGCATAGTGGCGTGTGCCTGTGGTCCCAGCTACTCAGGAGGCTGAGGCAGGAGAATTGCTTGAACCTGGGAGGCAGAGGTTGCAGTGAGCTGAGATTGTGCCACTGCACTCCAGCCTGGTGACAGAGTGAGACTCCCTCTCAAAAAAATAAAAAGAAAAAAAATTTTTTTTCATACAAAATTCTAACAAAACTTTTCATGAGTGTAAATGTCTTGGTAAAGAGTTTACTCTAGTGAGTGCAAATGTCCATGAGGTTTTTTCTGGGGGGGTGATAAAAATGTTTTAACATTATTGTAACAATGGTTGCATAACTAGTAAATTTACTATTAAAAGTCATTGAGTTGTACTCTTAAAAAATAAATGGATTTAATTGTATATAAATTATATCTCAATAAAGCTCTTAACATAAATAAGTTTACTCCATATATAGATTCATGTAGATAAAGCTATAACATATAGATATAGACATAGACACAAATACAGGTACAGACATAGAGAAAGTAACATAGAGATAATAACAAACATAACTTCCTGATTATCTATTATATATATATAATACTTATGGATATCATACTTAATGATAACAACTTTTCTAGACAGGCATTAGGGATCCCGTTTTACAGATTTAAAAAACTGCAGCTCAGAGATGTTGGGTGTAACTGATAGTAAGTGGCAGGGTGGAGATTTGAGCTTGGGCCATTCAAGGCCTGTTCTGGGTCCACTTTATTGCCTCTATTATGAGAATATCCCCCAAATAATCCAGCCTGGGAAGCCAGAGTACCAGAGCTTCCTGGTGTTCTATCCTGGGATGCAAACCATGAAACCATGGCTGATATCTGAAAGGAGGAGAAAGAGGGAAGATGTAGACAGTGGTTCGTGCCTCGGTGTGAGTCAGCGGACAAACATCCCCTCTAGAAACAGTGTCAAGCTCTGAGGAATGCCTGCCCTCCCACTGCATGCGCAGCCCGGGACTCCTGCTCCCTCATGTGCCTCAGTCTCCTGATTTGGGTCTTCCTCTCGCTCCCATGCCACACCCAACGTGTTCATTCCAACCCAGCCTTGTAACGAAGCCCTCCAGCCGCCACTGCTACCTAAAGTCATCCCACAGTTTACAGTTCCAATAGAACTGCAGCGAGCTCAGGACATCGGGAACTACCAGAGCAAGTTCTGCAAAACTGTCACCTTTTAAAGGGTTAAAGGTAACATGTACAGGTGATGACTGCTTTTTGCAAAGTTCAAAAGAACTTGGAGGAAGCAGTATGAAAGCAAGAGCTGGAGGTTTTTTTTGAGAAGATGGTAAAAGGAGTCAATAGCACTGCAAAGCCCTGCTGGGGCCTCCTTCCCCCACCAGCCCACGCCTCCAGAAATCAGAGCCACACTACGCCCCTGGCTGCAGTCTTGATAAAGTTTGCCTTGTTATCTTGAAAGAGAAAGACTTTGGGTTAGTGTGCTTTGCTTTGCTAAGGCTTTTATCAAAAGATAAGGCAAGCCGACTTGTGTGGAGGTTGTAGGGATCACCATTGCTAACACTGATAGGTTCAGGACAGGCCAACTGCTTGCCCTGACTGCCTCCTTTAGCTAGAAATTAGGGAGCAGGCATATGAACAGAGTCCACTGAAGACATTCCTCTTCCTCCTTCTCTCTCCCTCTGCTCAGAAATGAGCAGGCTCTACAATAACACTCTCAGAAGATGGAGAAATTGTCCCAGGTTGGGCCCAGAATTGGCTCTGTGAAGCAAACTAGGAATCCCCAGGTCTATTTCTTTGCCCCTTTGGAACACTTGGGAGGCCCCTGAAAGAGCACCATGTTAGTGCCCTCGAGCCATCTACCACCCTTCTGCCATTCGCTTTACCTTGTTCTGCTACCTGTCTTCATGACTTGCTCCCTTGCAAAGTATCTATTTAGTATTCAGATGTGAGTTAATTTAATTAAATCCCAGGAAGTAATGGAGATGGAGTTCTTCAATGGCTTCTTTTCTGGCACAAGACTAAATGCCCCAAACACTCAGGAAAGCACAGTAGTTAAAGTGGTGTCTCTCTTGCTTACAGTTTAATCGTTTCTTTTTTTCCTTCCCTAACATTAAATAGTACTTTGATTAAAGGTCACTCTTACACCTTAATAAATAAAAATGCTTACATTTCCCAAGTATGTTTATATTTCATTTCACATCACCAAGTAATCAAGTCCTTTTTTCATGTGACACACCCTAACTTTCTAATTAAATGACTGACATTTTATCCAAAACTTAGCCTTGAGAACGGGGAGAAGAAACAATGTATTCATCAATGTGTTGGTTCTTTTTGCTTGACACACAATCACTAAAAAGTCAGTGATACATAACTCAAACTTCCAATTTGTCTGTCCTGGAAACCATAAACTCTACACTCCAGCGGATAGCTCGACTGCATTCTTGTATTTAATGTTAATGTTAATCTGTTTCTCTTTCTTATAACAGAAAACTTGAAATTTGAGTAATTTATAAAGAAGACGAATTCATGTCTTACAGTTATGGAGGCTGAGAAGTCCAAGGTGAAGGGCCCACATCTGGTGGAGACTGTCTGCAGAGTCCCAAGGTGGGACAGGGCAGTCACCGCTTAAAACCCCACCTCTCTGCCGGGCGCAGTGGCACACGCCTGTAATCCCAGCTACTCGGGAGGCTGAGGCAGGAGAATCGCTTGAACCAGGGAGGCAGAGGTTGCAGTGAGCTGAGATTGCACCACTGAACTCCAGCCTGGTGACAGAGCAAGACTCCATAAAAAAAAAAAAACCAAAAAACAAAAAAACCCACCTCACAATAACGGGACTTTGGGAGCCCGGGTGTGGTGGCTCATGCCTGTAATCCCAACACTTTGGGAGGCTGAGGAGACTGGATCACCTGAGGTCAGGAGTTCAAGACCAGCCTGACCAAAATAGTGAAACCCCATCTCTACTAAAAATACAAAAATTAGCTAGGCATGGTGGTGGGCACCTGTAATTCCAGCTACTTGGGAGGCTGAGGCAGGAGAATCGCTTGAACCCAGGAGGCGGAGGTTGCAGTGAACTGAGATTGTGCCATTGCACTCCAGCCTGGGCGACAAGAGCGAAACTCCGTTTCAAAACAAAAAAAAAAAAGAAAGAAAAAAAGAAAAGAAAAGTTACTGTCTTGAGCCGAAGGACTGAAGAGTGGGTGTTGAGAGGAGATGGAACGGGGTTAGAGGAAAACCCTTGGACAAGTCCTAAATTTAGGGATGGGGTAATGTCATAGAGCTGTGGCAGAGACTGATATTTGCCTACCTGGCAATTATTCGTCTTGAAATTATTGCTTAGGTAAGGAACTTTGATTTTATTTGGTGTGAATAAATCCCCCACCTAACAAATTACATTGCCCAGCTTCCCTCGATGCCAGGACAGGGCACGTTCTGGCCAAAGAGATGTAAGTAAAAACGTGGAACTTGGAAGTAAATTAACTTAACAGAAGCTGAATCTGGAAGTCACACCTTTTTCGTTATTTTCCTGCTTGTTACCCTGAGTGCAGACATGTTGGTTGAAGCTCCAGCAATCGTACTGGGCCCTGAGGTGATATTCAGGTGAAGCCTCAAAGCGAGAATGATGGAGCAGAAAGAATGAAACACCCTGGGTTCCCGAAGATTTTCTGAAAGTCCTTATCAGTCCTGGACTAGCTACCTCTGGAGCTCTTCTGTGTGAGAAAACAAACACTTGTGTTTTTAAGCCATGATTGTATTGAGTTTTCTTTTATATGCAGTTGAATTTTATATGAACTGATATAAAACTGAACAGAGTCAATGGCAAAGAAAAGAGAGGCCAGAAGGTGAGCTTGTCGAGTGCAAATAGGGCCAGGGAATTAGAGCACGCTGAGGTTAAAAGACACACAATAAGGAGGAAGGTATTTTTGACACATGTGACTGAATGGCTATCAAGGTGATGTCCTCAAATCCAGCTCCTTTTAAAATCTTTTATTCCTTTAAGATCAAATTGAAATGCATGGGTCCCCACCCCATCGGCCTCACCTACCGTGGGAAGTCGGTGCCTGCTGCCATCTCCAGAGTGTCTCCTGGAGGAGGCCACGGTCTGGTCCCTGCTCACTTCTTGTTCAGAATCCCTGTCCTGAGGACCTCTCAGGGGCCAGGCAGCAACTTGCCACTTTCCTCTTCTTCACCTCCTCACCCTGGACACCACCTCCTGCCTCATCCCACAGAGCTTCTCAAACACAAGGCGATTTCAGCAGAGTGAGGTTTTGAAGTGCAACAGAACACACCTCTGTTATACAATTTCTCCACCTACAACTACAAAGAAATCACATTTGTGTGTGTGTGCGTGTGTGTGTGTGTGTGTGTGTGTGTGTGTGTGTATATGTGTAGTAGAGATGGGGTTTCACCATGCTGGCCAGGCTGGTCTCGAACTCCTGACCTCCAGTGATCTGTCTGCTTCAGCCTCCCAAAGTGCTGGGATCACAGGCGTGAGGCACTGCACCTGGACAAGAAATCACAATCTATGGCAGTTCCCTCATGGTCCTACCTCCCGCCGTTTCACTTGAACCCCTGCCAAGACCCTGCCCTCTCCTCTCTCAATTCTCCCATCCAGTCCAGGCATCTCACAACCTCATCTTCCCAGCTTCTCTATTAGGGAAAAATTTAAGGGTTGCATCATTGCTTTAAAAAATATTCTTGTGAGCACAGAAATTTGGTTTTCTTTGTTGTAACCCAGCCTACGGAGATTACCTGCGGGAGAACTCATCACAGCCAAAGGCTCGTATGGTGTTTTTACAAAACAAAAGGGACCTGAATCCCAGATCTCCATCCTGGCAACAGGAAAGAACAGGCTAAAGCTTTGAAATGAAGGTTTCTTTTTATTTATTTATTTATTTATTTATTTATTTTTTATTATTATACTTTAAGTTTTAGGGTACATGTGCACATTGTGCAGGTTAGTTACATATGTATACATGCGCCATGCTGGTGCGCTGCACCCACTAACTCGTCTTCTAGCATTAGGTATATCTCCCAATGCTATCCCTCCCCCCTCCCCCCACCCCACAACAGTCCCCAGAGTGTGATGTTCCCCTTCCTGTGTCCATGTGCTCTCATTGTTCAATTCCCACCTATGAGTGAGAATATGCAGTGTTTGGTTTTTTGTTCTTGCGATAGTTTACTGAGAATGATGATTTCCAATTTCATCCATGTCCCTACAGAGGACGTGAACTCATCCTTTTTTATGGCTGCATAGTATTCCATGGTGTATATGTGCCACATTTTCTTAATCCAGTCTATCATTGTTGGACATTTGGGTTGGTTCCAAGTCTTTGCTATTGTGAATAATGCCGCAATAAACATACGTGTGCATGTGTCTTTATAGCAGCATGATTTATAGTCCTTTGGGTATATACCCAGTAATGGGATGGCTGGGTCAAATGGTATTTCTAGTTCTAGATCCTTGAGGAATCGCCACACTGACTTCCACAATGGTTGAACTAGTTTACAGTCCCACCAACAGTGAAATGAAGGTTACTTTCAACTCGGTCAGATCTCAGACTTGGGCAGTTTCACTCTCCCTCTAAGTGGAAGGAGTCAGTGGAACATTGCTGTTTTCATATGGCCAGAGCAGCGGCCCAGGACTCATGATTCCTATTTCTCTTCCTGACTTACATGACAAAGTGTTAATATCTCTTAGACAATAAACCCTTGCATATTAATAGGTAATTAATATCCTCATAGAAAAGTAGCCATACAAGTTATTCAAAAAAGAAAACATACATATGGGCAATTAATTTATTAATTATTATTTTTATTTATTTATTTTTGAGACGGAGTTTCACTCTTGTTGCCCAGGCTGGAGTGCAATGGCACGATCTTTGTTCTGCAACCTCCGCCTGCAACCTCCGCCTCTCGGGTTCAAGTGATTCTCCTGCCTCAGCCTCCCGAGTAGCTGGGATTACAGGCGTGCACCACCACATCCGGCTAATTTTTTGTATTTTTAGTAGAAACAGGGTTTCACCATGATGGCCAGGCTGCTCTCGAACTCCTGACCTCAGATGATCCACCCGCCTCGGCCTCCCAAAGTGCTGGGACTACAGGCATAAGCCACCGTGCCCGGCCCTATTATTATTTTGAGAGGGAGTTTCATTCTTGTTGCCCAAGCTGGAGTGCAATGGCATGATCTCAGCTCACTGCAACCTCTGCCTCCTGGGTTCAAGCAATTCTCCTGCCTCAGCCTCCCCAGTACCTGGGATTACAGGCACATGTCACCCTGACTATCTAATTTTTTGTATTTTTAGTAGAGACGGGATTTCACTATGTTGGCCAGGCTGGTCTCCAATGCCTGACCTCAGGTGATCCACCTGCCTCGGCCTCCCAAAATGCTGGGATTACAGGCGCGAGCCACCGCGCCTGGCCAAATTTATTACTTAACATCTCTTAGCATTATGCAATCAAAAATGCAAATGTAATAACTATGTATACTTTTTATTATAATGTTAGCAAAGGCAACACTTTATTATAATGTTGACAATATGTCAGCATGGGTGAGAGTGGAGAGGAAGTAGCTATTCTCATACACTGGTAGTGCACATCCTTATTTTGGCTTGTATCCATCTGCCTCCCAGGCCTTTGGGGGCTTGCAAAAGCTCCAGATACCACAAGAGTAGCTTTGCTTCTTAGCACTGCAGATCATCTTGGCTTCCCTTCTGAAGGCCAGCCTCTGGCATGTGGATCTAGCTTCCCTAGCAGCTGCCCTCTACCTGCAAGGAAAGAGAAGTTAGCACCCCATGACCAATGGGAGACAACAGCTGGTAATTTCTCCGCCTCATTTTTTCCAACAGACTGTTCCAAGGCACAGTGGTTTCCTATGACATTTCCAGAAACACTCTCCTTGCAAAGCAACTGAGTTTTTGCAAGAAGCTATGACCAGCTGTGTAAAACATCTCTTTAATTTGCTCTCTTTCCTTCTTATTTCCTTTTTTCCCTCTTTCTAGCTCTCTCAAGACAGCAAACCCCCAATAGCCTATTCACATGTAAGCTATGCATCAGACTCAGTTTTCTAAGACACTAGAAAGATGGTAAAGTAGTATAACTTTTTTGGAGGACAGTTTGGCAAAACACATCAAATTGTAAAAGAATGTATGTACTTTTTATTGTGGTAAAATAAATAACATAAAATCTACCATTGTAACTGCTTTAAGTGTATAGTGCAGTGGCATTAAGTACATTCACACCGTTGTGCAGTCATCATCACCATCCAGAACTTTTTCATGATTGCAAACTGAAACTCTGTACCCATTAAACAGCAGCGCCCCTTTCTTCCTTCCCTCTAGCCCCTGGTAAGCACCAGTCTACTTCCTGTCTGTAGGAATCTGACCACTCTAGGTGCCTCAGATAAGTGAAATGACAGAGTATTTGTCCTGCTGTGTCTGGCTTACTTCACTTGGCATTCTGTCTTTAAAGTTCATCCATGTTGTACCATAACATGTGTCAGAATTCCCTTCCTCCTTCATAAGTCTGAAGAATATTCGATTGTGTATATATATATGTGTGTGTGTGTGTGTGCACACTACAATTTGTTTTTGTTTTTGTTTCTGAGATGGAGTCTCCCTCTTGTTGGCCAGGCTGGAGTGCAATGGCACGATATCCGCTCACCGCAACCTCTGCCTCCCGGGTTCAAGCAATTATCCTGCCTCAGCCTCCGAGTAGCTGGGATTACAGGCATGCACCACCACGCCTGGCTAATTTATGTATTTTTAGTAGAGATGGGGTTTCTCCATGTTGGTCAGGCTGGTCTCGAACTCCCGACCTCAGGTGATCTGCCCGCCTCCTCGGCCTCCCAAAGTGCTCGGATTACAGGCATGAGCCACTGTGCCCAGGCAACATGTATATACTTTGTAACACAGGAATCTCACTTCTAGAAAGTTAACCTGAGGAAATGAAAGGCATCTGCAGTGCTTCTGCCTAGTTAACATTTTAATATTCAATCTTCATTGATATTTGTGTTTCTCTGTTGATATATTTACACAATATACATTTTTGTATATGTACATACAAAAAGCTCAATACATTTTAAATGAAAGATACATGTAAAAGTCTTGAGTGACATTCCAGATATAACAGGTAGAGCACTAATGTCTTGTGAAGACATTTTCCGAGTCAAGCTGAGTGTCACCACCAGGTGACACACGACACAACATGTCACACCTCACATGTTGTTGGGGCTAAAAGAAGCGTCAGAACAAAACTAATCACACAGCGGTCATATTCTTGAATTATCTTCAGAACATAATGTTTTAAGCATTTAATCTTATCATATGTGTAACAGAGAATCTGACTGGTCTTTGTCCTCAGTTCCTAGGAGGTAACCTCTACACTCTTGGAATTTCCAGAGTGATTGGCATTTATTTGTTATTCATGGCAGGCCATGGGACTACACCTGACAGTTGATGCTAACCAGGTGACTTGTGCTGGGCCTCTCCATACTTTATACTGACAAGACGGCTCAGTATGGGGAATGGCCACAGCAGAAAGACCAACCATGTGATTATAGGACTGGGGCTTTGAGTCATGTAATATCAGTGTGACCTCTGAAGAAAGGCAGGGACTGGAGATGGAGTCACATGGGCAACGATTCAATAAGAAACACCATTAAAACTCTGGACACTGAAGCCCAGGTTAGCTTCCCTGGTTAAGAGTACTCTGTCCAGGGCCGGGCACAGGGCCTGTAATCCCAGCATTTTGGGAGGTCGAGGCAGGCGGGTCACTGGCAATCAGGAGTTTAAGACCAGTTTGGCCAACATGGTGAAACCCCATCTCTACTAAAAATACAAAAATTAGCTGGGTGTGGTGCATGCCTGTAGTCCTAGCTACTCAGGAGGCTGAGGTGGGAGGATCACTTGAACTGGGAGGTGGAGGTTGCAGTGAGCCGAGATCATGCCACTTCACTCCAGCCTGGGTGACAGAGCCAGACCCTGTCTCAAAAAATAAATTAAAAAAAAAAAATTGTGCCATCGATATACTGGATTGTTGGGGAAAAGGGGAGATGCATCCCTGAGGATGCCAGGAGGTTTGCATTTGGAATCCTCCCAGATCTCACCCTGTGATTCTCTCTCTCTGGCTTGTTTTGATTTGCATCTTTTTGTTATAATAAAACTGCAGTTGTAAATATAGAGCTCTCCTGAGTGCTATGAACCCTTTTAGCAAATTATCAAACCTTAGGGAGTCCATGAGGACCCCCAAATTTGCAGCCAGCTGGTCAGAAGTGAGGGCAGCCTTGGGAATCTCCAAACTTGTGGCTGGTATCTGAAGTGAGGCTGGTCTTGTGGAGGGCTGTGCCCTTACCTGTGATGTTTGGCTTAAGTTTGAGTGCCAAAGTAGTTTGCCTTTTAATATCATCATTTTCATCATTTTTGCTATTTTTTTTTTTTTTTTTGAGATGGAGTCGCGTTCTGTTGCCCAGGCTGGAGTGCAACGGTGTGATCTTGGCTCACTGCAACCTCTACCTCCTGGGTTCAAGTGATTCTTCAGCCTCAGCCTCCTGAGTAGCTGGGACTACAGGCATGCACCATCGTGTCCAGCAAATTTTTGTACTTTTAGTAGAGACGAGGTTTCACCACGTTGTCCAGGCTGGTCTTGAACTCCTGGCCTCAGGTGATCCACCTGCCTTGACCTCCCAAAGTGCTGGGATTACAGGCATGAATCACCTTGCCCGGCCTTTGCTATCTTGTAGTTATGTTTTTTTGTTGTTGTTGCTGTTGTTTTTTTTTTTTTTTTTTTGAGATGGAGTCTCTCTTTGTCGCCCAGGCTGGAGTGCAGTGGTGCGATCTCAGCTCACTGCAACCTTCGCCTCCTGGGTTCATGCCATTCTCCTGCCTCAGCCTCCCGAGTAGCTGGGATTACAGGCGCCCGCCCCCCATGCCCGGCTAATTTTTTGTATTTTTAGTAGAGATGGGGTTTCACCGTGTTAGCCAGAATGGTCTCGATCTCCTGACCTCATGATCCACTCGCCTCAGCCTCAGGCATGAGCCACCGTGCCAGGCATAGTTATGTTTTTGATAAGCATTAGGGGTTTGGTATTTATATGTAACAAGAAATACTAAATAATGATGAATTTGTTCCTGGTTAGCATTTTTTTTTTTTTTTGAGACGGGAGTCTCGCTCTGTCACCCAGGCAGGAGTGCAGTGGCGCAATCTCAGCTCACTGCAACCTTCGCCTCCCGGGTTCAAGTGATTCTCCTGCCTCAGCCTCCCAAGTAGCTGAGACTACAGGTGCCTGCCACCACGCCCAGCTAATTTTTGTATTTTTAGTAGAGACTGGCTTTCACCATGTTGGCCAGGATGGTCTCGATCTCTTGACCTCGTGATCCACCCACCTTGGCCTCCCAAAGTGCTGGGATTACTGATGTGAGCCAACACGCCCGGCCCTGGTTAGCAATTTTATGAAAACATTTGAATTTCAAGTCTAGATTAGCAGTAAGTAACTTGTCTTTGGAGAAGTATGTAAATGTTTGTTTAAGGAGGATGTTCATCACCAGCTTTTTTTTTTAAGATCCAAAGTTTGGAAACAATCTACACATCTATTTATAGGGGTGTGGAAAAGCAAATGGCTTTTGAAGAAATGCAGATAGCAAGTGCATACTAGACCATCTCTAGAGGATGTGGAACAGATAGATTTCCAAGTGGAAAGGACTGTTGAAGAAATGTGGTTTATTTATTTATTGATTTTTAGAGACAAGGTCTAGTTCTGTCACCCAGGCTGGAGTGCTGTGGTGCCATCATAGCTCACTGTAGCCTCAAACTCCCGGGCTCAAGCGATCCTCCTGCCCCAGCTTCTCAAGTAGCTGAGATTACAGGCTTGAGCTACCACATCCAGCTGTTGAAATGTGGTTTAGAAAGTCTTAGTTCTGGCTGTGCGTGGTGGCTCACGCCTGTAATCCCAGCACTTTGGGAGGCTGAGGCGGGCGGATCACAAGGTCAGGAGTTCAAGACCAGCCTGGCCAACACGGTGAAACCCCATCTCTACTAAAATACAAAAATTAGCTGGGCATGGTGGCGCGTGCCTGGAATCCCAGCTACTTGGGAGGCTGAGGCAGGAGAATCTCTTGAACCCGGGAGGCAGAGGTTGTAGTGAGCCAAGATTGCACCATTGCACTCCAGCCTGGGCAACACTGTCTCAAAAAAAAAAAAAAAAAAAAAAAAGGAAAGTGTTGGTTCCCCTGGAAAAAAAAAGAGAGACGCTTATTCCCCTCCATCCACCTCTCTTTCTACCCCTATTCTCCCAGAGCAGGAAATGCTAATCCCAGCGGTCAAGGGGTTGGTTAGGTTTCACTTGTTAGTTGGCAGGGCCACTGGGCACCAGGGGTCCTACGCTCACAGGGCTCTCCCTCTGCTGTGTTCTGTAGTTAAGCTGCTAGGACTCTCAGGAAGGCCCAGCTAAGTCTCTGCGCTCCTGCTCTCTCTGATTTTTTATTTGGTCTTCTCTTCCACTAATTCTCCTCCAGGAGCTCTCCACTTCCTCAATCAGTGAGCTAAACTGAGCCTAGCTCCGTGCTAGAGGACTGGCCATCTCTTCTCTTTCTCCCTTTCTCTCTGCAGGGTGACAATGCTTGTTAATGTGATAGGCAGAATTCTAAGAGTAATCCTCAGGGCCCTCTTCCTTGTGGGTGAAAACAGAATGTGTTTATCACTCCTGTGATTACGTTATGCTATAAGCCAAAGAGAGAATGCGTGAGTGGCCCTAATCTAATCACACGAATCCTTTAAGCTTAGAAAGCTTTCTCAGGCTGGTCGTAGAAGGAAAGTCAAAGAGATTTGAAGCGTTAAGAACAGCTCACTGTTGCTGGCTTGAGGATAGAAGAGGTCACGTGTGAGGAGGAACAGAGAGTGGCTTCTAGGAGCTGAGAGCAGTCCCAAGACAACATTTAGCATGGAAATGGGGACTTTCGCCCTGCAGCCATGTGGAACTGAATTCTGCCAATGAGCTGAAGGAGGCCAAACACAGATTTTCCCCCGTTTCCAGAGAAGAGCCCAGCCTTTGAGACCCTAAGCAGGGAAACCAAATGAGTCCACCTAGGCTTCTGACCTTATTAATTGTGAGTTAATAAATGAGTGTCGTTGTAAGCTGCTGGTTTGTGATAATTTGTTACGTACAACAGAATACTAATACAATGACCTATTTATCCTATCACTATTTGAACAGCATGAGCTACTGGGATTCCACTGAGCCTGTTTTCTCATCTATAAAACAGGAACACTAACACCAGATGGGTTTGTTGTGTGGTTTAAATGAGACAATGAATGTAGAAAAAAATTTTGTAGATTGTAAAGTGCTAAAGAAAATGGTGAAGTATTCTTGTTACCATTACTGAGCATGTACTTGAACTGGGCCCAGTTGGTGGCCTGGTGTCATCACTTTTTACCCATTAAGATTGGGCAGTGTGGGGGTTATAGTTGAAGTGGGGGACAGGGAGGAGGACACTGGCCAGGTTAGAAGTCTTCATAATCCATACCTAAGACTGAATTGTACATAGTAATTAATTAATTAATTATTAATTCCAAAGGCAAACTGCTCTCCTAGGTACTTTTTTCTTTTTTTCAAGATGGAGTTTTGCTCTTGTTGCCCAGGCTGCAGTGCAATGGTGCAATCTTGGCTCACTGCAACCTCCGCTTCCCAGGTTCAAGTGATTCTCCTGCCTCAGCCTCCCAAGTAGCTGGGATTACAGGTGCCTGCCACCACGCCTGGCTAATATTAGTATTTTTAGTAGAGACGGGGTTTCACCATGTTGGCCAGGCTGGTCTTGAACTCCTGACCTTAGGTGATCCGCCTGCCTCGGCCTCCCAAAGTGCTGGGATTACAGGCATGAACCACCGCACCTGGCCTCTTCTAGATATTTAAGAATGTAGTTCACATAAGAGGATTACAGCATCATTTTGAAGTATACTGTTATAGAATGTTTAATTGTCTCATCCCAAAAAAAATGTAAGAGGGAGATTGTCTTGCCCTTTGTGTTTTAGGTGTCTGTGTCAAGGCTGATCTTTCACAGCCATCTACTTCCTTGTGTTCTGCCGGCATTACTCACCAAATATCCCTTTTCTGCTGTCAATAGGGCTTCTTGTGTCTCAATCCAAGCTTTCCTGGATTTCACAGTATGTTAGTAACTCTTTCTCCTTGCCCTCAGATGTTGGGAGATGGTTCCATTTAACTAATGACTCTGGTGATCTTTCTGTTACATTTCCCACAATATCTAAAGCCCATGCATAGACATGTTTCAACCAGTACACACATAATGGAAGAAGGATTAGCATTGTTAGGATTAGATTTTTGGGACAAGCTAAGACCAGCTCTCATGTCTCTTCAATTGATTTTTTTTTTCCCTAAAAAGGATCAAGATGTTCTGAAAATGAATTAAATATATTATTGCCCATAGCCTAATTTAGAAAATATTAAGATAATAGTAATAACTTTTTTTTTTTGAGACTGAGTTTCACTCTTGTTACCCAGGCTGGAGTGCAATGGAGCGTTCTCTGCTCACTGCAACCTCCGCCTCCCGAGTTCAAGTGATTCTCGTGCCTCAGCCTCCCAAATATTTGGGATTACAGGTTATCTATATGAATGTTTTTTTCTGTTATTAGGTGAATGTTTGAAATAAAAATACATTATTATTATTATTATTATGACTAAATTTATTATTTGGAAAGGTTTTGCTTTTTTGTTTCCTCATTTTTTTTTTTTTTTTTTGAGACGGAGTCTCCCCGTGTCACCCAGGCTGGAGTGCAGTGGCGCCATCTCTGCTCACTGCAAGCTCCGCCTCCCGGGTTCACGCCACTCTCCAGCCTCAGCCTCCTGAGTACTTGGGACTACAGGTGCCCGCCACCACGCCTGGCTAATTTTTTGTATTTTTAGTAGAGACGGGGTTTCACCGTGTTAGCCAGGATGGTCTTGATCTCCTGACCTCGTGATCCGCCCGCCTCGGCCTCCCAAAGTGCTGGGATTACAGGCGTGAGCCACCGTGCCCGGCCGTTTTTTGTATTTTTAGAAATAGAGACGGGGTTTCACCATGTTGGCCAGGCTGGTTTCAAACTCCTGACCTCAGGCGATCTACCCTCCTCTGCCTCACAAAGTGCTAGATTACAAGCGTGAGCCACCAGGCCAGGCCTTTCGCATTTAATTTAAATATGCACATTATTTAATAGACTGTGTCAGATAACACAGCGTGGGACACGTCAGGAGTCCGTTCATTTAAAATTAAAGTTACCGGCCCGGAGCAGGGGCCCACGTCTGTAATCCCAGCACTTTGGGAGGCTAAAGCGGGTGGATCACTTGAGGTCAGGAGTTCGAGACCAGCCTGACCAACATGGTGAAATCCCTGTCTCTACTAAAAATACAAAAAAAAATTAGCTGGGCTTGGTGGCATGCGCCTGTAATCCCTGCTGTTCAGGAGGCTGAGGCAGGAGAATAGATTGAACCCGGGGGGCAGAGGTTGCAGTGAGGCAAGATCATGCCACTGCACTCCAGCCTGGGCAACAGAGCGAGATTTTGTCTCAAAATAATAATAATAATAATAAATAAAATTAAGGTTACCTAACATTTTGATGCATGCAGTCATTTCTGAAAGCTTAACTGGTTTCATTCATTAGCCACCTTCCTTATTTTTTTCTTTTATTAAATGTGTTTTATCATTCCTTTAGTGTGGTTATTAGTTTGTAACCTTGTTTTTTTTCTATTTCAGAGTATAAGTGCTTGAAAGGCAGGGACCATGTAATACTTATCCCTGCATCTCCTATAATTCTTGGCGCAATGTCTCACTCACTAGGTTTTATTTATTTATTTATTTATTATTTATTTATTTTTTTTGAGACAAGAGTCTCACTCTGTCGCCAGACTGGAGTGCAATGGCGCAATCTCCGCTCACTGCAACCTCCAACTTCCTGGTTCAAGCGAGTCTCCTGCCTCAGCCTCCCTAGTAGCTGGGATTACAGGTACGCGTCACCACGCCCAGCTAATTTTTTAATTTTTAGTAGAGATGGGGTTTCACCATATTGGCCAGGATGGTCTCAATATCCTGATCTTGAGATCTGCCCGCCTCAGCCTCCCAAAGTGCTGGGATTACAGGCGTGAGCCATTTTGCCCAGGCTCACTAGGTTTTTATTAAATTCAACTTAAAAAAATCAAATCTGCCGGGCGCAGTGGTTCACGCCTGTAATCCCAGCACTTTGGGAGGCCTAGGTGTGTGGATCACCTGAGGTCGGGAGTTCGAGACCAGCCTGACTAACATGGTGAAACTCCATCTCTACTAAAAATAAAAAAATAGCCGGGCATGGTGGCGGGTGCCTGTAATCCCAGCTACTTGGGAGACTGAGGCAGGAGAATCACTTGAACCCAGAAGGCAGAGGTTGCAGTGAGCTGAGATCACACCACTGCACTCACGCCTGGGTGACAGAGTAAGACTCTATCTCAAAAAAAAAAAAAAAAAAAAAATCAAATCAACCAAACAACCGAGAGGAACCAAGTTGGCAAAAATCTGTTGATATGTATATTTGGAAGAATATGTCAGTTAGGATGGTTTTGGCTGTAACAGAAAATACAATGGAAATCTGTTTAAACAATGTTTTCAATGTTATCTCACATGATAAGAAGTCTGGAAGTAGCTGGCTCCAGGTTGGTTAATTCAATAGCCCAGCAATATCATGTAGGACATAGATTATTGGCTCTTTCTATTTGCCATCTTCAGGGTGTCGGCTACTACCCTTGGTGGTCACAGAATTCTAGGCATCATATTCTCACACAATAATGTCTAAAGGCTGGAATAGAGGACACTCCTTCCTCCTGTCCCTTTTCTAAGACTAAATAAAATCAGACCAAATCATCATATTATAAATTAACCATAGAATAAAGGCTGCTCTGGAACTACCTTTAGAAAGTTTGAAAACAAATTTTGATAGCATCAAACTGCTCTCAAGTAATTTAACTACATGCCAAAACAAACCAAAGCATATTTAAAGAAACACAATAAAATCTAGCACAAAACAAAGTAAAAAGTAAAAACAGCAAGTACATTAAAAAATTACCAGGCATGCAAAGAAAAAGGAAACTATAACCCATAACAAATGGTAAAATCAATGAATAAAAACAGATCCAGAAATGACAAAGCTATAGTGACATGTTATACATACGACAAGACTATATAGAAATGCTTCATATGCTCAAAAAAAGTAGAGGGGAATGTGATAGAAAAATGGAGTATGTAAAACAAAAATCCAAATGGAGTTTCCAGAGATGAAAAATACAGTGAATGGAATTACCAGCAGATCAGACACTGCAGAAGAAAAGCTCAGCAAACTTGCATACGAAGCAACAGAAACTATGTAAAAATAATAAAACAGAGAAAAAGACTAAAAATCATAAGCGATAAGTGACCTGTGGGACAATATCAAGCTGTGTAACATACATATAATTTGAGTCCTGGAAGAGTAAATTCAGGGAAAATATAAAAATATTGGAAGAAACAATGGCCAAAATTTTCCTAGTTTGATGAAAATGATACAAACAAATCTAAAAATCTCAATGAACACGAAGCAGAATAGATAGAAAACCACACCCAGATACATCATAATTGAACTGCTGAAAACCAGCAATAAAGACAAAATTTAAAAAGCAGGCAGGAAAACAAGATATATTGCCTTCAGAGAAACAAAGATAAGAGTTATAGCAAAGATATAGATATCCAAAGATGAGTTAATACTTTCTGACTCCTCATCAGAAAATATTTAAATCAGAAGAGCAATGTCCTTAAAGTACTGAAATAAAACAATTGTCAACCTAGAGTTCTATTCCTGATGAAAATATGTTTCAACAATAAGGGTGAAACAAATTCTCCAAACAAGCACAAGCTGAGAAAATTCATCACCAGCAGATCTACAATACACAATGCATTAAAAGAAATTCTTCAAGCAAAAGAAAAATGAAACGACGAAAATTCAGATTTGCACAACAAATTCTATAACACCAAATATGGCAAATTTGTGAGTAAAATAAAAGATTTTTTTCCTTAGTTTTAAATTTTATTAGAAAAGTCCGTGCCTTTGTAAATAAAAAATAATAACCATGTATTGAGGTTTATAATATACATAGGAATAAAATGTGGAGCAACAACAGCACAAAGAAGTAAGTTGTAAAGTTTACAGCATTAACTAGAAAATGATACTAACTAAAAAGAAGCAGCATTAATAAGCCCTTATTAGACATAAAATTGAATAACTCAAAATGCTGAATCAAGCCAAGAGACATCAGAAAAGAGAAAACGAGGAACAAAGAACAGATTGGGCAAATAGAAAAGAAATAGGAAGGTATTAGGTTTGAACCCATCCATATTGATAGTTACATTATTTGTAAATCACATAGATTTTCCAATTAAAAGGCAGAGATTGTTAGACTGGATAATAAAGTTAGCCCCAACTGTATACTGTGAACAAGAAACTTACCTTAAACATATGCCTAGGCTAAAACTTAAAGGATGGAATGAGATATATCATGCAAACGTGAATCAAATGCAAAACATTTATATTAGACAAAGTAGATTTCAGAATAAGAAATGTGAGCTGGGATAAAAAGAGACATTTCATAATAAAAAAGAGGCCAATTCATTAAGAGGACATAACAACCATAGATATCCATACTCCTAGTAACAGAGTTTCAACACACATGAAACAAAAACAGAACTGAAAGGAAAAATTGGCAAATCTACAAATATTGTTGGGTACTTTAACACTCTCTTTCCAACAATAAATACAAAAATACACAATGAGTGGACAAGAACCAATCTATCCACCAATTTGACCTAGCTGGCAATCATTAAATACTCTGCCAAACAACAAAATACAAATTTTGTAAAAATGCACACATAGCATTTATCAAAATAGACCATATCCTGTACCATAAGACCAGTCTCAATAAATTTAGAAGAATTGAAGTCATACAAAATATATTCTCTAAGCACAACTGAATTAAACTAGAAATCAACAAGAGATAGATGTCTGAAAAATACCCAAACACTTGGAAATTAAACAACCCAAACACCTGGAAACTAAATACAAAATCAAAACACATCAAAATATGTGAGGTACAACTTAAGCAGTTGTTAGATGAAAAATTACAGTGAAACGCTTTTGTCAAAAAAGAAGAAAGTTATTGAATCAATCTAAGCTTCTACCTAAGGAAACTAGAAAAAAAACAGCAAATTAAACCCAAAGCAAGCAGAAAAATGAAAATAATAGAGAGGAGAAGTAGGTGAAAGAGAACACAGTAAAACAATAAAGAAAATCAATGAGACCAAAAGCTGGTTCTTGAAAAGATCAATGAACTTGAACAAGCTCTATGAAGACTGATGAAAAAAGAGTGAGAGAAAATAAATCATTGATATCATGGATGAGAGTAATGATATTTCTTGAAAACCTATAGACATCAAGATAGGTCCAGGCATGGGGACTCAAGCCTGTGATCCCAGAACTTTGGGAGGCCGAGGCAGGTGGATCACCAGAGGTCAGGAGTTCGAGACCAGCCCAGACAACATGGTAAAACCCCATCTCTACTAAAAATACAAAAATTAGCTGGGCGTGGTGGCAGGTGCCTGTAATTCCAGCTACTCGGGAGGCCGAGGCAGGATAATTGCTTCAGCCCGGGAGGTAGACGTTGCAGTGAGCAGAGATCATGCAACTATACTCCAGCCTGGGTGACAGAGCGAGCCTCCATGTCACCAAAAAAAAAAAAAAAAAAAACGGCTGGACGCAGTGGCTCACGCCTGAAATCTCAGCCCTTTGGGAGGCCAAGGCGGGCCGATCACCAGAGATCGGGAGTTCAAGACCAGCCTGACCAACATGGTGAAACCCCATCTCTACTAAAAATGCAAAATAAGCTGGGCGTGGTGGCGCATGCCAGTAGTCCCAGCTACTTGGGAGGCTGAAGCAGGAGAATCCCTTGAACCTGGAAGGCGGAGGTTGCAGTGAGCCAAGATCATGCCACTGCACTCCAGCCTGAGCAATAAGAGCGAAACTCCATCTCAAAAAAAAAAAGTAATAAAAAAATTAATATGAATAATTTTATGACAAAAATTGACAACTCAAATGAAATGGAAAATGTTCTTTAAAGACACACAGTACTCAAGAAGAAATAGATAACTTTAATAGATTTCTATTAATAAAGAAATTTAATTCATGGTTTAAAACCTTCTGACAAAGAAAACTTATGCTCATATGACTTCACTGGTAAATTATACCAAACATTTAAGTGAGAAATAATACCATCTTTTTACACAAAGTCTTCCTTTTAATAGACTAAGAGCAAACATTTATCAATTCATTTTATGAGGTCAGCATTACCTTGATACCACAAACATAACAATACATTACCATAAAGAACACTACCCACTAATATTTCTCAAAAACATTAATATAAAACTCCTTAACAAAATTTCAGCAAATTGAATCCAATAAAGCATAAAGCGCATAAATATTATTACTAAGTGGAGTTTCTCCAAGGGATGCAAGGCCAGCCTAACAAATTGGAAGAAGACCATGAGGAATGAACCCTTGCCAGACACCAAACCTGCCAGCACCTTCACCTGGACCTCCAATCCTCTAGAACTGTGAGAAATAATTTCTGTTCTTGATAAATGACTCAGTTGGTGGTATTTCTTTATAGCAGCACAGACAGACTAAGACAGTCACATGGTGTGATATTGCCTGTAGGTTTTTTGTGCAAGTACTTTATCAGGTTAAGTTCCCTTCTCTTCCTAGTTACGCAAGAGTTTTTATCATATAAATGTCCATTATTCTCAAATACTTTCACTGTATCTGTTGAGGGTGATCCTATGGATTTTCCCTCATAAATCGTGCCATGTAGGTGTCCTCCTACGACAGAACAGCAGAAGAAAGAAAAACCACATCCACAAGCCCCCCACCACCCCTTTTTTTTTTGAGACGGAGTCTCACTCTTGTCGCCCAGGCTACAGTGCAATGGCATGATCTCGGCTCACTGCAGCCTTTGCCTCCCGCGTTCAAGCGATTCTCCTGCCTTGGCGGCCTCAGACTCCCGAGTAGCTGGGATTACAGGCATCCACCATCATGCCCGGCTAATTTTTTTTTTTTTTTTTTGAGACGGAGTCTCACTCTGTCGCCCAGGCTGGAGCGCAGTGGTGTGATCTCAGTTCACTGCAAGCTCCGCCTCCCGGGTTCACGCCATTCTCCTGCCTCAGTCTCCTGAGTAGCTGGGACTACAGGCACCTGCCACCACGCCCAGCTAATTTTTTTTTTTTTTTTTTTTTTTTTTTTTTAGTAGAGACGGGGTTTCACCGTGTTAGCCAGGATGGTCTCGATCTCCTGACCTTGTAATTCGCCCATCTCGGCCTCCCAGAGTGCTGGGTTTACAGGCGTGAGCCACTGCGCCCGGCCTAATTTTGTATTTGTAGTAGAGACGGGTTTTCACTGTGTTGGCCGGGGTGGTCTCGAACTCCTGGCCTCAGGTGATCCGCCCACCTCGGCCTCCCAAAGTGTTGGGATTACCGGTGTAAACTATCGCGCCTGGCCCCACAAGCCCTTTTAATAAGGGCCCTAATCAATTCATGAGGGCAGAGTCATCACGACTCAATCACCTCCCCAAAGGCCCCACATCTTAATACAACCGATATGGGGATTAAATTTCAACATGAATTTTGGAGGGGACACAATTATTTAAACCATAGCAAAGACTGCTGTCCAAAGAGTGCAGTAGGGAAAAGGACAAAAAAGAAAGAGGAACTTCACAGTGGAGGAACCTGACAAACACTACATCGGCGGAGTGATCAAGATCAACATTAACAGTCACAGCTTGGCCGGGCTCAGTGGCGCACGCCTGTAATCCCAGCACTTTGGGAGGCCAAGGCGGGTGGATCACGAGGTCAAGAGATCGAGACTATCCTGGCCAACATGAGGAAACTCCGTCTCTACTAAAAATACAAAAATTAGCTGGGCGTGGTGGCATGTGCCTGTAGTCCCAGCTACTCAGGAGGCTGAAGCAGGCGAATCACTTGAACCTAGGAGGTGGAGGTTGCAGTGAGCTGAGATTGCGCCACTGCACTCCAGCCTGGCAACAGAGCAAGACTCCGTCTCAAAAAAACAAAAACAAAAAGAAAAACAAAAACAAAAAACAGTCATAGTTCATGTAGACTTTGTGTGTGTGTGTGTGTGTGTGTGTGTGGTATGATAGGATGTGATGAAAATGTCACTTTACCTCTGTCTTCTTCCTCCTAAGACCCATAACCCCAATCTGATCATGAGAAAAAAACAAAAGACAAATTCCAGTAGAAAAACATCCTACAAAATTCCTGATCAGTACTCCTCAAAACTGTCTGGGTGTCCGGGTCATCAAAAACAAGGAAAGTCCGAGAAACTTTCATAGCCAAGAAAATCTAAATAGATATGATGATTAAATATAATGTGGTGTCCTGTGGGATCCTAGAAGAGAAAAAGGACATAAGATAAAAACTAGTAAAAATTGAATAAAGTGTGGACTTTAGTTAATAGGAATGTATTGATACTAGTTAAATAATTGCAACAAATATACCATTCTAATGTAAGGTGCTAACAGTAGGGGAAACTGTACAGGATGGGAGAGTATGTGAGAACTCTCCTACCTGCTTACTTTTTCTGTAAATCTGAAAGTATTTTAAAAATTGTTTTAATTCAAAAGTTACCAGCCAGGCGCGGTAGCTCATGCCTGTAATCCCAGCACTTTGGGAGGCCAAGGCGGGTGGATCACCTGAGGTCAGGAGTTCGAGACCAGTCTGGGTAGCACGGTGAAACCCTGTCTCAAATAAACATACAAAAAATAACTGGGTGTGGTGGTGTGCAACTGTAATCCCAGCTACTCGGAGGGTTGAGGCACGAGAATCGCTTGAACCCAGGAGGCGGAGGTTGCAGTGAGTGGAGATCGTGCCACTGCACTCCAGCCTGGGTGACAGAACAAGATTCTGTCTCAAACAACAACAACAACAACAAAAAGTTACCATTAAGAAAATGAAAAGACAAGCACATACTAGCAGAAAATGGAAAAACATGCCTGATAAAGAATTTATACCCAGAATACATATAGAACTTTTATATTTAATTTTATATTTCATATTTTACTTAATATTAGGAAGACAAACAACTGAATTAAAAAGAAAATAGGCAAAAGACTTGAACAGACACTTCACCAAAGATCATACAGATGGCAAATAAGCACAGGAAAAGATGGTCAATATCATATCATATCATTTATCATTAGTAAATGCAAATTAAACTCCAGTGAGATACTATTACTAGAATTGTTGCTATTAAAAAAACCTGATAGGCCAGGCGCAGTGGCTCATGCCTGTAATCCCAGCACTTTGGGAGGCCGAGGTGGGTGGATCATTTGAGGTCAGGAGTTTGAAAGCAACCTGACCAACACGGTGAAACCCAGTCTCTACTAAACAATACAAAAAAAATGGCCGGGCGCGGTGGCTCAAGCCTGTAATCCCAGCACTTTGGGAGGCCGAGGCGGGCAGATCACGAGGTCAGGAGATCGAGACCATCCTGGCTAACCCGGTGAAACCCCGTCTCTACTAAAAATACAAAAAATTAGCCGGGCGTGGTAGCAGGCGCCTGTAGTCCCAGCTACTCGGGAGGCTGAGGCAGGAGAATGGCGTGAACCCGGGAGGCGGAGCTTGCAGTGAGCCGAGATCGCGCCACTGCACTCCAGCCTGGGCGACGGAGGGAGACTCCATCTCAAAAAAAAAAAAAAGAAAAAAAATCCAAAAAAAATTAACCGGGCGTGGTGGTGCATGCCTGTAGTCCCAGCTACTCGGGAGGCTGAGGCAGGAGAATCGTTTGAACCCCGGAGGTGGAGGTTGCAGTGAGCCAAGATCACGCTGCCAGCCTGCGTGACAGAGCAAGACTCGGTCCCAAAAACAAACAAACAACAACAAAAAAATTAAAAAACCTGTTAATACCAAATGTAAGTGAGGATGTGAAGCTACTGGAAATCTTGGAATTTTATATTGTTGATGGGAATATCACTTTGGAAAATACTTCTGCAGCTTCTTAAAGAGTTCATATATACTTACAATGCAATTCAGAAATCCAGCTTCACACAAAGATTTGCACTTGAAATTCAGAACAGGTTTATGCATAAGAGCCAAAAACTGTGGGTCATCTAAACTGATAAATAAATAGAGGTATACTTATACAATGGAAAGCTTCTCAGCTATAAAAAAGAATGGACTACTGACTCTCACATCAGAATGGTTGAATCTCAATAGCATTATGTAAAGTGAAAGAAAAGAAGATAAAGACAAAACACTGTATAATTCCATTTATTTATTTATTTATTTTTCCTATTGGAAACTTTTATTCTGTTTTGTTGATGCTTGAGGAAAACAGCTTTGCCCATAACTCACTGTGGCCTGGAGTCATGACACCAACTTATATTTGGCCAATTAAGAAAGAGGCCAGACTGCATTCTTCTTAGAAGGTCTATTCAGTTAATAAATGGCACTTAACTGATGTTTTTTGCCATATAACTTTAACAGGAACTCATAAGTTGCACTGATTATGCCCCAAGAGATAAGGGACCGGTGGTAATTCAGATGGGCACCTCTGAAAAGATTTATCAGTTTTCTGTCCCGTTCCAGCCAGATTTTTTGGAAAACCTTGGGGAAAGACTGAAATTCCCCACTAGGCTGAGACTGTATGCTAGTTTTCACAACATTAATTAGAAAAAACAAGAATCCCAGCATGGCACCCAACTGACCTCCACAGAGAAAATCATTGACCAAATGAGCACTGTGAGTCGTTGAGGTAGGCAGATGCTCCTTAATGGGACCTCGAAGGCCGAAAAACAAGACATTGTTGAGTCCATTCTGGAAAAGAATGGGCAGCAAGCCTCGATAACGCTCTCCAATTCTATGGCATTTCAGTGCCTTGAAAGCCTGATAAGTGCTGGTAAATTTGTCATGATGCTTGTGGTCTTGAAGCAATGTCTGAACTCTTTGCAGTGGAGTGAAAATTGCTTCTGCTGTCCTTGCAAGCACTGCCACCACGACACGGGTTGCAAACTCTGGAGCACTGACATGCTTGTGGAGAAGGTAGGATAAATCCTCATACAGACCAAACATAAGTGCAAGTGTAATTGTCTTTTGCATCAATTAGGGAAGGATTCCAGGATACAAGTTTCAAAATCCATCCCTTCTCAACTGAAGTATTGCATCCCGGGTTTTGATGCCATACAGCTGTTGTTGAAAGAGGACCTTCTGAATGGGAAATGTGATTTCTACGTGTTGAAGGCTGCACAGCAGCCACACAAGTCATGCTTCATTTCACCAACATTTATAATATGAGGTGATATATCTTGTTTTGAAGAAGTTAGCATTGGTGGCCTCTTTTCATGAGCTTCTGAATCCATCATGTTGCTTAAGATCTTTCTGGGGCTGGGCACAGTGGCTCACGCCTGTAATCACAGCACTTTGGGAGGCTGAGGCCGGTGGATTGCCTGAGGTCAGGAGTTCAAGACCAGTCTGGCCAACAGGGGGAAACCCTGTCTCTATTAAAAATACAAAATTTAGCCAGGCATGGTGGTGCGCGCCTGTAATCCCAGCTACTCGGGAAGCTGAGGAAGGGGAATTGCTTGAACCAGGGAAGTGGAGGTTGCAGTGAGCCGAGATCGCGCCATTGCACTCCAGCCTGGATGACAGAGTGAGACGCCATCTCAGAAAAAAAAAAAGTTTTGCTAGGTGCGGTGGCTCACGCCTGTAATCCCAGCACTTTGGGAGGCTGAGACAGGCGGATCACACAAGGTCAGGAGTTTGAGACCAGCCTGATCAACATGGAGAAACTCCGTCTCTACTAAAAATACAAAATTAGCCGGGCATGGTGGTGCATGCCTGTAATCCCAGCTACTCCAGAGGCTGAGGCAGGAGAATCGCTTGAACCTGGGAGGTGAGCCGAGATTGCGCCATTGCACTCCAGCCTGGGCAAAAGCGAAACTCTGTTTCAAAATAAAGAGATCTTTCTTTTTCATGAAGGACTTTTTTTTTTTAACCTGTAACACCATCTGAGCCTGGAGTTTTGCAGGATGTTAGCTTTTTGATAATGTTCCCAATTTCTTCCATTGTTATTGTTCTGTTAGTTTCTCTCTTCTGGAATCAATTCTGATAACTGGATTTCCCATTGCCAAGGCATCCTGCAGGACGGTGAGTGAGCCAGGGCCCATGCAGGCACCTATAATTCCATCTATATGAAAAATGTAAAAGGGCTAACCTGTAGTGACATAAAGAAAGACAGTGGTTTCCAGAAATAGGTGGCTGGAAACTGATTACAAAAGACAGTAGGCAACTTTTCGAGGGTGAGGAAAATGTTTTCTATCATGAATATGGGGGTGGCTGCAATTGTGTACATTTGTCAAACTTACCAAACTGTAAACTTAAAATTGCTGCAGTTTCTTTTCCATAAAATATACCTCAATAATGCTGATTAGGAAAAGGAGCTTGTATCTGAGCCAATCACTGGCAAACAGAATAGAATTACCTTGACCAACTTCAGTTTATCAAGATTCACTCCCCCGGGGTGAAAAAAAGCTGGTCTTCCCTCAAAACAGCCTGGAAGGAAGATAGGGTTACAATCAGCAGTGTCTTCTGCCCTGGGTCATCTATATGCAGACTTTGGAGAACACAAATGCCCTTATTGAAATGATGGACTCTTCATCTCATAATTAAAATCCAGCCTTTCATAGTAGTAATTACCTATTGAACCAAAACTGTGCAGAATGTTAATGAAAAATAGCCATTCAATTAGAAGTCACATATCAAACAAAACCTCCAGCTCAACAAGCAGGCAACTAAGGAAGAGTAGATTAAGCTACCCTGGAACAACTTGTGACACTGTGACCAACACATATGGTATGTGACCTTCTTTTAACTCTTCTTTTCCTTTGCTCCATGTGGGTTATTTTATTTTCAATCCTTGGCTGCTTAGCTTATCCTTCTGGCTTTGAAGGGAGGTCATTGTTGGCCTAAATCAGAGAGGAAAGGCATATGCTGCTTAGCTCTTGAAATGTTTATTTTTCTCCACTACATATGTTTTGCTTCCTTCTCTAATGTCTGTACTGAAATTTAAGAAGTCTGCCTTACACTGATGGTTCTCACTACAATGGGTCTAGGGTGGTCCCGGCTTCTCCCTAGCATTTTACGTGTGAGTTACAGAGCTATGCATAACTTCTGCTCTGCTACTAGTGATGCATTATTGGTACTTAAGGAATTAAGGCACAGATTAAGATCTGGTATCAGCTCACTTGAAACATCTGATATTTAAGAAACTCAATCTGATAGAAAAATAATCGGTGCATTCTTTTAGATTCTTTAGGTCCTAGATACCTTAGGAATGTAGGTAATCAAAAAACAAACAAGCCTGACCTCATTATCTCAGTCTCTTTTCTTCTTCAAAGCCCTCCCTGAGTTAATAAAGACGTAAAGCTGTGCCCTGGGCTATAAAGAAGGTTAATATGAGAATCTGTTTGAATAGCACTGTGTCTTGGAAACCTGTAACTAAAAGTATTGTCCGTTATGCTGATAATCCACAAATACATTCACTCTTGAAATTATTTAGGCTTCAGTGTTTGTCTCTGCAGATAAATGTCCATGTTTTCTTTCATTAGAACATGAAAACCTTGCAGTCCTTAGTTGTCAGGAAACATAAAAGCGAAACCTACCGCAGAATTATAATGATGAGTGTAGTGTAGATACAACTGAAATATTTGCTTTTGTAAATGGTCTCCGTCAGAGCCCCCGGCAAAGGCTCAGCTCTAGAGACCTGGGCCCTCCAGATAACATGACTCTAGACTCACTTCTTTCTTAAGGCCCCTTCTTGCCCCTAGTAAAGTTCTCATTCCACACCTGGAATTGGTAATGCATTGTCTCAGGACACACTTGGAGGACGTCTGGAGCAGAAGGAAAAGAACCTCCCCATCCTAGCACGGATTAGAGTCTCCTGAATTGGGGTCCTCAAGAGAACCCCAAGCTGCTCCAATAATAAGCTTCCCTGTTTGCCGCAAACTCCATCTGAATGGCTACCCTGTGGAAAGCAGTCCTGATTGTGCTTTGGATGCTGGCGTGGCTTGATCTTGCCTATCCCTGTCTTTCTGGCTCTCCATTTCTTCTCCATGTTCAGCGGGAATTCCTAGACCTGAGTTCTAGCTCTCATGTTTCTCCCAGCACTGTCCTAGCATAGTCTACAAGAATTTCTCTGTGGTCCTCGTTAGCACTATTTTCCTAATATTTCTGGTTCTCCCCCACTTACAGGCACATAATAGGGCCCCACTATCATGGTTTCTTGAGGTTAGGTATGACCAGGTGATTTGCCGTGGACTACGGAATATAAACAGAAACTTTAAGAGCCAGTGTGTGACTTACTTCTTTACTTGCCTCAGTGGGAAGCATATGTTGAAACGAAGCTTCCATCAGCTGGGATCCCCGAGTTACAATAGTGAACGGAGCCCACTGCTAACCCACAATAATCGAGAAAGAGATCTCTGTTGTTTTATGCTTCTGAGGTTTGGGACTTGTTTGTTACCGCAGTATAACCTAGCCTATCCCCATGTTATGTCCTCCCCTGGGTTGGTCTTTAATTTTTCTGTTTTCCCAGTATTGTATAACATTTTCACATCCCGTATTTCATTAGATATTTCAGGACTTAGTTTGAATTTTTTTTTTATTTTACACCTTATTATCCATCATTATTCTTAGCGACATCAACATCCATGTTTACAACCTTTAGCATCTTAGAATCATAGTTCCTGCCCACCTTACCTGTAGAACGTTTCTTCTTCATATCAGCAGTCACTAAATCAAACCTTTTTCCAAATTCCAATCTCCACACCCCTCTGCCTGGATTCATCTTGATTAAGCTACTAGAGGCATTAGGTGCCTGTTTCCTCATTGAAAAACAATGCTAATCAGCCTACCTTATCTCCTAGGGCTGCTGTGGGGATTCAGTGAGACAATGCACAAAAGCCTGGGCCCAGTCTCTGGCACATTACATGTGCTCAGGAGCTGCTTGCTCTAATAATTATTGTCATTATGATGTACTGTCAGCAACTGCTCTCTACCACACTCAATAGACTTACTCTCCATTCTTGATATTTTGTTCTAATTCTCATTTTGTTTTAAATTTCTAATTCTTGATCTATCAGCTTCCTTTGACGATGGAGGACTCCTGTGTTTTAGCTCCATGCATCTGGGCTGTGGCTCCCCCTAAATCACTCATCCCTTAACCTGGAGTTGACTGCAGATGCGTGAAGGAGCTCAGGAGGGCCAACAGAAGAAGCATCCAACTGAGCGCATCTAGCTGGCAACCCACAGAATCATCTTGAGGAAAATAAATGATTGTTGCTCAAAACCATTAAGTTTGGGGTTGGTTTATGATACAGCAAAAATGAAAGCACACTTTTTAGCTCTGCAAACTCAAGCAGGTTAGCCAGCCTCTGTGAATCTCTGTGGTTTTACCCATAAAACGGGAATCATATTTATCTTGCATAAGCTGGGCACAGTGGCTCACGCCTGTAATCCCAGCACTTTGGGAGGTTGTGGTGGGTGGATCACCTGAGGTCGGGAGTTCGTCATGGCCAACATGACGAAACCCCAACTCTACTAAAAATACAAAAAAATTAGCTGGGCATGGTGGCGGAGCCTGTAATCCCAGCTACTTGGGAGGCTGAGGCAGGAGAATCGCTTGAACCCAGGAAGCAGAGGTTGCAGTGAGCTGAGATTGAGCCATTGCATTCCAGCCTGGCAACAAGAGTGAAACTCCGTCTCAAAAAAAAAAAAAAAAAATTGTCTTGCATACGAGGATTAAGCAGCTGGCATAGTAATGGCTCAGCAAAGGGCATGTCAGTTATCTTCTCTAACTTTCTGGCGTCCTCATCATGACCATTATTTCCTCCTTTGTTCTTTCTCCTTCCCCAAATGTCCCTACTCCAGCTCTCACGTTCACTGGGTCAATCATGGATCCCCTTTTCAGGGAAGGTTCCACCATCTTCTAGGAGCCCTCTTGTCTTGCCTTGCTTTCACTTCAGTTCTCCATGACCTTTCTCTGCACAGTCTCAACTTGGTGAGCTCCTGCATATCAGTGACTTTGAGATCATGCAAAGAAGACTCAGTCCTCTGGCCTCAGCCACAATCTCCATCTGTCTTGAATTTCCAGCTGTTTTTCTAACATTGCCATTTGACTATCTGGTAACATCGAAATGACAACAATCAAACTGTGCTCATGATTTCCTCTCCCGTCGGTTCATCTTTCATCTAACCCTTCTTTTTTTCATTCTCAGAAAGAAAATTTTAACTCAACAATTTCCTTGATCGTCTGCATCCAATTAGTCACTAAGTCATGTTTCTTCGTTTGAAATCTCATCTGATTCCTCCTTCTTCATTCTCGCTCCACATTCCTCTTCTGTGTCCCCTACCTCCACCCACATGGCCACTTCCATTTCTCTTCATTCTGCTCTTTCTGTTTACTGCTAGCAGGTAGATTTTCATTAAAAAAAATTAAAAAAAAAAGATTTTTGTCTTGTTCTTGTGCTTAAGAATTGATAATAGGCTGGGTGTGGTGGCTCACACCTGTAATCCCAGCACTTTGGGAGGCTGAGGCAGGTGGATCACTTCAGGTCAGGAGTTTGAGACCAGCCTGGCCAACATGGTGAAACCCGGTCTCTACTAAAAATACAAAAAGTAGCTGGGTGGCTGGGCGCGGTGGCTGACACCTGTAATCCCAGCACTTTGGGAGGCGGAGGCGGGCGGATCATGAGGTCAGGAGATCAAGACCATCCTGGCTAACATGGTGAAACCCCGTATCTACTAAAAAAAATACAAAAAAATTAGCCGGGCGTGGTGGCGGGTGCCTGTATTCCCAGCTACTTGGGAGGCTGAGGCAGGAGAATGGCGTGAACCCGGAAGACGGAGCTTGCAGTGAGCCGAGATTGCGCCGCTGCACTCCAGCCTGGGTGACAGAGCAAGACTCCGTCTCAAAAAAAAAAACAAAAGTAGCCAGGCATGGTGGCCTGTGCCTGTAGTCCCAGCTACTCAGGAGGCTAAGACAGGAGAATTGCTTGAACTTGGGAGGCAGAGCCAAGATCATGCCACTGTACTCCAGCCTGGGTGATACAGTGAGACTCCTCAAAAAAAAAAAAAAAAAAAAGAATTGATAATAATTTCACATTGCCTCTGCCTCAAGCTCAAATTCCTTACCCCTGGTTTCTCCCTACACATATGGTTTACCTGTAGGATTCAAACATATCTCCCACATCTCACTAATTGCTCCATGCAAAGGGTCCTTTCTTAGTCCAATATCTCCATAGACAGATCCTGAGGCAAAGATGAAAATGCTGATGGTATACGCTTTGAGACATGCAAATCCATGGCAACGAAGAAGAAAATGAGGAGAGAGATGGGGAGCAACCTAGAGTGATGTGTGACTGCCTAATGCTGCTTCAAGGGAAGAAACCCAGCATGGACTTGGCAGGCGTGTCTGCACCCTGGACTTGTCCAAGTGGGCTGCTAGGAGAAACTGGGCCTGGCAGAGGTGCATAGTAGAGAGAAAAAGGAGAACTTCAGTCTAGCTCTCTCCCTCTTCTATTTCTCATTGGTCAAAATTCATCCCATGGGGAGTAAACTGACCCCCACTTCTGGGTTTCATCATCTGTCCCACTCTATTGCTACTTAGGGTGCCAGATTGTACACAGTGTGGCGTGGTGTTTCACCTAAGCCCATAAGTGTAGGAAGGAGGAGAAACTCCAATAACAGACAAGAAGCCAGACAGGAGAGCCCAACAGCCCCAGGGTGGGGGCCCATCAGATCTGCATCTCATACAGCCTGCCTATGGATCTGCTCCATCCAAACATTTCCAGTGTTGTCTCTATGCCCCTGCCAAAGTGATTCCCCACAACTTTTTCTGTTTTGTTGTGCCTTTCAAAATTAGACTTATCCTGCATTGACTGCTGGCTTTTCACCCCCTTCGTGGAGCTCTTCCTGTCCACCTGTGGAAGACAGGTGCCATCTTGCTTGTTGGCCAGCAGCACCCTCCTCCTCTCAGCACCCCCTTCTCTGTCTGGGGGAGGATTCCCCATGGGTAAAACCTTGCTTTCCTCTTTCTCACTCCCAGCTCCTACTGTGGAAGAGAAGGGAAGGTCAAGGCTTCTTCACTGCCTACCTGGGGCACACAATATAAGCTCAGCCAATCAGTGACTGGCTCTCCAGGCTCTGAGCCTTGAGCTGGTGAAACAAAGATGCAGAGAACATTTGAAGGTCAGACAGCTCCGGGTGCTGCAGTCTGCTTCAGCTAGACTGTTTTTGGTGGGTGACCTTGGCCGTGGATTCTGCTGCATAGCATCTGTGACTCTCTTGGTTCCTGTTTTCCAAGCCCTCCTCTCCAAGTTCCCATGGATTCTATGATCCCCATTCTCCCTGCTGTGACATCCCTCTGATTAACTTGCCTTTGTTTAAGGTGGCCAGAGGCAGCTTTTGTTCTTGTGACTTAGAACTGTTCATACTTAGCAGGTTGCATTACTTTCTGCCACCTTAGGACTTTTATACCATTTGGAGCTAGTTTATGAAACATGCTTAGCGTAACGCCTGGAACACAGTAAACACACAACTGCAACCAAACTACATTATTGTCAAAATCAACAAATATTTGTCAAGTTTTAGACACCGTGGGGGAGTGGGAAAACTAAATAAACTTAGAAGGAGCATATGTGTCTTCTTTAATGGGAAAAGTATGTTTATAAAATCAACAACAGTTGCAACAGAGATTGAATTACAGAGGGCGTCGGGTCCACAAGGGAGCAAGTGGTTGGTGAGTTCTGGAACAATCATAGAAGGCTTCCTGGGGGAGGAGACGTTTGACCTGGGTGCTGAAGAAAGACCAGGAATTCAAAGGTGGAGAAAGGAAGGGCTGGGCATCACACATAGTGGGAAACGCAGCTGAGCTCTGAAAGGATGGGGCTGCTCAGTGGGAAAGTGAACAGTTTAGGGTAGGGAGTGTGATTGCCTGGCAATTCTAAAGTCCCCTTAATGACCGTGGGCAGGAGTTGAAATGAGATGGGTCAGCATGATTCTCTAGCCGCCTTCAGTGGCCATGGTGCAGTCCATCTTCTCCCATATTCTGCTTAAATCTCCAACTCCACCTGCACCATGGTGGAGTTGGAGATTTAAGCAGAGTAAGTGAGACAATCGGTGTAAAGTATGATTTGAAGATTCAATACATGATAACTGTTATTATCCTGTCATTACTACTTCTTTTTTTTTTTGAGATAGAGTCTTGCTCTGTCGCTCAGGCTGGAGTGCAGTGGTGCAATCTCGGCTCACTGCAACCTCTGCCTCCCGGGTTCAAACAATTCTCATGCATTAGCCTCCCAAGTAGGTGGGAATGGAGGCGCCTACCACAATGCGTGGCTAATTTTTTGTATTTTAGTAGAGACAGGGTTCTAGCATGTTACCCAGGGTGCGCCCAGGCAATCCGCCCATCTAGGCCTCCCAAAATGCTGGGATTACAGGCGTGAGCCACTGCGTCCAGCCAGTGACTACCATTTCTAGCAAAAGATGCGGTTATTTACATTTTACAGAGGAGGGAAACTGAGACTCAGAAAAGCTAACTGACCTGTTGAAACGTCAAATCGCTAACAATTTCTAGAGCTACAATTTTAATTTCAGTCTTCTGACCTTCACATATCCAATGTGTTGCTTCTCAAGATTAAATGAGATCCTGTAAAATGCTTTCTGATGAAAGAATATTGTCTTTTCAGGCAACTGATCCTATTACTTAGTAACATCTTCTTCCTAAAATTTGAATATTGTCCTTGCCACTAAGCCAATGCCAGGTTTACGAGTTATTTAACTCAAATTTGGCTTCTTGATGATGAGTCTGGAGATATGTCATAAAATGACACAAGTGCGGATCGAGAGTCAAACACGAAGAAAAGAAGCTCTTAGAGAACCTAAAGTGTAAAATATTGTAGAATATTTGCCTCCATCGGGAACAAATAGTAGAAGAAATTAGTAAAAAGCTGAAGGAAGGTTGGGCGCTGTGGCTCATGCCTGTAATCCCAGCACTTTGGGAGGCCGAGGTGGGCGGATCACAAGGTCAGGAGTTCAAGACCAGCCTGGCCAATATGATGAAAACCCATCTCTACTAAAAATACAAAAATTAGCTGGGTGTGGTGCATGCCTGTAGTCCTAGCTACTCGGGAGGCTGAAGTGGGAGGATCATTTGAACTGGGAGGTGGAGGTTGCAGTGAGCCGAGATTGAGCCACTGCACTCCAGCCTGAGTGACAGAGCAAGACTCCGTCTCAAGAAAAAAAAAAGGCTGGGCACGGTGGCTCATGCCTGTAATCCCAGCACTGTGGGAGGCTGACGCAGGCGGATCACGAGGTCAGGAGATTGAGACTATCCCGGCTAACATGGTGAAACCCCATCTCTACTAAAAATACAAAAAACTAGCCGGGCGTGGTGGCAGTCACCTGTAATCACAGCTACTCGGGAGGCTGAGGCAGGAGAATGGTGTGAACCCAGGAGGCAGAGCTTGCAGTGAGCCAAGATCATGCCACTGCACTCCAGCCTGGGCGACAGAGCGAGACTCCATCTCAAAACACAAAACACAAAACAAAACTGAAGGAAGCTCCAATAATAGTGAGCGGTGTAATACAAGTGACACAATGACAAGTATCTTCATAAACATGTATTTCTGACTTTCTAGATAATTGGTGTCCACCTATAAAGTTCTTATTTTCGGGGGCTAGGCCCAGTGGCTTTGGGATGCTGAGGCGTGTGGATCACGAGGTCAGGAGTTCGAGACCTGGACCAACATAATGAAACCCCATCTCTAAAAATATATACAAAAATTAGCTGAGCACAGTGGTGCACGCCTGTAGTCCCAGCTACTCGGGAGGCTGAGGCAGGAGAATCACTTGAACCTGGGAAGCAGAGGTTGCAGTGAGCCAAGATAGCGCCACTGTACTCCGGCCTGGGTGACACAGTGAGACTCCATCTCAAAAAAATAAAAAAATAAAAATAATTAAAAAATAAAATAAAAAATTCGTATTTGCTGCTACCGTTGCAAACTTCGCTTTCGAAGTCTGACTTTCCTGTTGAAAGGCTGCATTGTTACAGATACCCAGCAGGCAGGGATGTCCTGCAGAGTCCTGGGGACAAATGCTGTCTACATGTCAGTATGAACAGCTGTCTTCTAGACCCCTCCAATTTGGCTTCCTCTTCCTCTATAAAAGAAAAACACACTCACCAAGTTCCTTAAGGACCAAATCCCTGCCAAAACCAATTTTTAAAAGTCTTTTTAGTTTTTGATATAGCTGGTTGCTATTTTCTTGTAACCTCCATCCACTCCTTGGCTTTAGGGAGATGCCCTTTCCTAGCTCACGTCTCCCCTTTGGGTCTCTAGCGCTTCTTTCTACATAAATAAGAAGACAGATAATAGTTCATCTCTTTGCAAATGTCCAACTGCCTTTTGTAACCATGTGTTGAAAAGCTCCATTAGAGCCAAACATTATCGTCTTATGGCAACTGTACAACACTCTTCCTAACCCATGGTGATGAAGATGATATCATAGAAGAAACTAATTATCGAATGTTTACTTGATGCCAGGAACTACGCTAACAATTCTGTGTTCATTATGTCATTCAATTCTCACCTTTTGATATACATCTTATTTTTATTCCCATTTTGTAGTAAAATGGGGATATTTTATAGTAAAGTGAGTAAACTGAGGACAAGTTAAATAATTTTCCACAAATCACCCAATCAAGTAAACGTGAGAGCTGGTATTCGGTCCCAGGCAGTTTGATTCCTGTATTTTTTAACCACTGCTTTTTCTTGCGTAACATCTTTGTTAAATCCTATTTAAATGTATTTTTTACATTATGCTCTGGAAATTCAGCTATGTAAATGTAAAATACTACAAGCCCCTTGAGAAGAGATTAAATGTCAAAAGGCAAACGCTGCCTGGTGCTGTGGCACATACCTGTAGTCTCAACTACACTGCAGGCTGAGGCAGGAGAATGTTTATGTTCCCCCCAAATTCATGTGTTGAAGCCCTTTTCCTCAGTGTGGCTGAATTTGGAAATGGGACCTCTGAGAAAGTGATTAAGGTTAAATGAGGTAGTAAGAATGGGGCTCTGATCCAATAGGATTTGTGTTCTTGTAAGAAGAGACACTTATGAAAGCTTGCTCTTTGTCTCCACCACGTGAGGTCACAGTGAGAAGGTGGCTGCCTGCAAGCCAGGAAGAGAGCCCTCACCAGAAACTGAATGCTGCCAGACCTTGATTTGGGACTTTCAGCCTCCAGAACTATAAGAAAATAAGTTTCTGCTGTTTAAGCCTCCCAGCCTGTGATATTTTGTTACAGCAGCCTGGGCAGACTAATACAGATTTAAATCTAGCTTTGAGGCAGGCTGGCAATGCAGTGCCCACCTGGTGATCTACCTGGGTGACTAAGTGCTCAGAAGAACAGGAGCCTGGATTTTGAGAGGCAACCAGCAGTCTGTTACCTAGGGCTATAAACAGAGTTCTGCCTATCACTTTATAGCCACTTTGTCCAAATTGTTCCCAGAGTTTATGGCACAACTTGCATGAAAACCAAAGCTTATAAACATCATGAATAGCAATTTTGTCCCTCTCCAGACGCCATGTTCTCCATTGCTATCCTCTGAGACCTCTATTCTTCCTTCTCTTTTTTCCAGTATTTCAGGTAATTCTTTCAAATTCTTCTATCTTCTGCTCTTTATCACGGGCACAAATGGAATCTTCAGGCTCTACTTCAATCCTAATATAGATACTCATTTTTCCCCCTAACTTCATCTCCACTTGCTTCCTGGGAGTAGTCTTTGCCTAATGTATTAGTTCCCTACTGCTACTGTAACAAATTATCACACACTTCTTGACATAAAACAATACAAACTATAAGATAACAATTTGTATTGTTATCTTATAGTTCCGGAATTCCAAAGTCCAAAATGGGTTTCACCTGGGCAAACTCAAGGTGTCCTTACAGCTGGCTCTTTCTGGAGGCTCTAGGGGAAGATCTGTGTCCTTGCCTTCCCAGGATCTAGAAGCTGCTCACATTCCAGGACTCATGATCCCCACCCCCATCTTCAAAGCCAGCAATGGCTGGTTGAGTCCTTCTCGCATTGAATCACCGAGTCTTCCTCTCCTACTCTCTCTTTCACTTATGAAGACTTCTACTGATTACATTAGTCCGCTTGGCAAATACTAGATAATCTCCTCATCTTAAGACTCTTATTTAATCACATCTGCAAAGTGCCTTTTGTCATGTAATATAATGTATTTCCAGGTTCCAGCCATTAGGACATGGGACACGCACCTTTGAGGGACCATTTTTGCCTCCCACCTCCAATTTGCTTTCATTGACTGCTAGTCCTTCCAGCCCTCACCCCTGCCTAAAGCGAAGGGTCTCAACCACCTTATTTCTAGCCACGAGACCTTAAGGAGCTTTTCCTATGGTCAGCCCCTCTAACTTTGTCCTAGATGAGACTCTGACACCATAACCAATTCTAGTAACTGACCTCTTGCCTCTATCCTTGTAACCAAGCCCCTAGCTTTACATCCAGGCCTTCTGCCTGGATCCCGGTGTGATGCTCCTGTGCCTAAGTCTCTGCCTTGTATCTCAGTCCTTTAGAACTAAGAGGCAGCCTTGCTTGTACTAACTCTCCAGAGAAACGGTCCTGTCCTGTATTCTGGGCACCGTGGCTGGATCCCTGCTATGTGGGTGTCAGGATACGAGGAAAAACACTTGCCAGGCCAGGCTTCTTGCCAGGCCAGAGTGACCACACTCTGAATGTGGCTCCCCCAGCCTGCTCAGCCACCAATGACCAGAACCTGGATTTTCTACATGCAGGAGCAGGTCAGTCTAGCTGTGTTTCTGAAACTTTGCTTCACATTAGAATTACCTGGAGATCATTAGAAATATCTAGATGTCCAAGCTGTACCCCATACCAATTGAATCATAATCTATCGGGGTGGAAACCAGAATCAGTATTTTTTAAATTCCTCCACTGATTTCAGTTTGCAAACAAGATGGAGAACAAGCAAGCAAGCTATGTGCTGGTCAAGATGTGCTCTGCCTATCCGCAGCATCAGCATCATGGGGAGCTTGTTAGAAATGCAGGAACTCAGGCCTGCAACCCAGAACTATTGAACTAGAATCTGGATTTCAACAGGATCACCCAAGGGATTTGAAAGCTCCAATTTAGCTCAGCCTGTGTGAGCCCTGGTTTTGAAAATGGTCATAATTAAGCTTTTTTTTTTTTATGTTAAAAAATATAATAGTATTAGTGAAATTACTGAAATACAAATTCATATTCCAGCACTTTGGGAGGCTGAGGTGGGCAGATCACTTGAGCTCAGGAGTTCAAGACCAGCTTGGACAACATGGCAAAACCCATCTCTGCCCCCGAAAAAGAAAAGTAATCAAAATAATAATACAAAGATTAGCTGAGTGTGGCAGTGTGCGCCTGTAGTCCCAGCTACTCAAGAGCTCAAGAGGCTGAGGTGGTCTACCATTGAGCTCAGGAGGTTGAGGCTGCAGTGAGCCAACATCATGCCACTGCACTCCAGCCTAGGTGACAGAATGTCTCCTAGACATTCTGTCTAAAAAAAAAAAAAAAGAAAGAAAAAAGAATTCATTCATCTTTATTATCATTTGACATGTGCAAGGCAGAGTGCTGGTGACTTCCATACATTGGCTCATTTAATGCTTACAATAAGCCTTCTTTTTTTTTCTTTCTGGAGACGGAGTCTTGCTCCGTCATGCAGGCTGGAGCGCAGTGGCCTGATCTTGGCTCACTGCAAGCTCCGCCTCCCGGGTTCATGCCATTCTCCTGCCTCAGCCTCCTGAGTAGCTGGGACTACAGGTGCCCGCCACCACGCCCGGCTACTTTTTTGTATTTTTAGTAGAGATGGGATTTCACCGTGTTAGCCAGGATGGTCTCGATCTCCTGACCTTGTGATCCACCCGCCTCAGCCTCCCAAAGTGCTGGGATTACAGGGGTGAGCCACGGCGCCCTGCCATACAATAAGCCGTCTTAGCAAAACTTTCCCAAACTGCCCAATCGGTACCTGGTCCTCCCATTCTTTATCTAAGTAACCAGATATTTCCTTGATGGCACTTATTAAATTTATGATTATTTTTTCTTTTTTCTGCCTTAACCATCAGACTGCATGCTCCACATGGTGGGAAATGTCATACGTCTTTCTCATTTCATGGTATATCCCTAGCACTGGCACTTAGCAGCCACTTAAAAAATGTTTATTGAATGAATGAAGTAGGCACCATTGCTATCTCTATTTTACAGAGGAGGAACTTGCCCAAGATGTCACTGCTAGTAAGCGTGGGGAAAGAATGTGAACCATCGCTGAGCCCAGCCTGAGCTTTTCTTCACTATCTAAAACATCCATACCTCTACCCATCTTCTGACCACCTGAACAAAACTGTTTACTTCTGTATGTTGGTTTTCTAGTTCCTTGTTTGCACATGTGCTTTTTAAAAATTATTATTATTATTATTTTGAGATGGAGTTTTGCTCTTGTTGTCCAGACTGGAGTGCAATGGCATGATCTCGGCTCACTGCAGCCTCTGCCTCCCGGGTTCAAGCAATTCTCCTGCCTCAGCGTCCCAAGTAGCTGGGATTACAGGAATCCGCCACCACGCCCGGCTAATTTTTGTATTTTTGGAAGAGATGGGGTTTCATCATGTTGACCAGGCTGGTCTCGAACTCCTAACCTCAGGTGATCTGCCCGTCTTGGCCTCCCAAAGTGCTGAGATTACAGGCTTGAGCCACCACTCCTGGCCACATGTGCTTATTTTATATACATAATTGTAATCAGAATGTCTATGTTATTTGGAATGTTGCATTTCTTAACATATGAGTTGTTTTTCATTGCAGAGTTTCACAATTCAAAAGTAGCTACATAATAGCCTGTTACATTGATTTATAAAGTACTTAACCATTTAAACTATCGCTTGACATTTAGGCATTTTCAATTGTTCATTATTTATAGGTGACTTTGAAGCAAGGATCTTTTTGTGTCCAGTTGAGTTGAATTTTTACTTTCTCACAAAATGTGAACATTCTTGTTATACTCATTTTCAACTTGAACAAGCCAGCCCTGCACTTTCATAGGGCTCTAGGTAATTTAGATATTTTCCAAGCATGCTAAAGATTGGAAAAATTTGTACTGCAGGGTTTTTAGAAGATGTGTAGAATTATGACATTTTTACTGCTGCATTTTATCCAAGTTTGTTCTGAATTCTTTTCATTGAAATCTTTTCTGCTTAATTTTGAGCAGTGATAAATAGTGCCAATTTGTAACTTTTGATGCTTCCTATTCACTCCCCAGAGGTGCTGACCACTTGCCTCCCTTGAAATTACACACGTGAGATCCCTGCTTGCAGTTCAAAGATAAGGTCCCATTGACCTCCTGCCTGAATTTCTAGGAACCCAGGATATGGGGAGACCCAGAATATGGGGACACCCCTTGTGATTCCTCCAGTGTGGTTTTTTTTTTTTTTTTTTTTGAGACGGAGTCTTGCTCTGTCGCCCAGGCGGGGGTGCAGTGGCGCTATCCTGGCTCACTGCAAGCTCCGCCTCCCGGGTTCACACCATTCTCCTGTCTCAGCCTCCCGAGTAGCTGGGACTACAGGCGCCTGCCACCGCCCCCCGGCTAATTTTTTGTATTTTTAGTGGAGACGGGGTTTCACCGCGTTAGCCAGGATGGTCTCGATCTCCTGACCTCAGGTGATCCACCCGCCTCGGCCTCCCAAAGTGCTGGGATTACAGGCGTTAGCCACCACCTCCAAGTTTGCTTTTGATCAACATCCTCTGTGATTTCAGCGTGGTGTTGTAAAGGACTATGGACTAGAAACCAGACATGGGGTCTAGCTCTAGACCAGACATTTGCTGACACTGAGAACTCACTTCCTTATCTCCTGGCAAGCATCTCATAGAGTTGTGAAGATCCCAAAAGATAATCTATATGAATGCTAGGTCTGTGTGTGCAGTTATTTCAGTGCATAAATGCTTATAATTCTGCATTTTAATAGCTATGTGCCTAATACTATAATATTTGATCATTTATTAAATACTAAGTTTACTTATTTAATAATTACTTAGTAACATTTTAATAGTTACGAACGTCTGCATTTTAAATTTAGTACTGTATGGAGTATTCACTGAACTATATTGCATCCTTTTAAAACGGCCAAACTATCATTTTGTTCCATGATTTTTAAAAATTAATCGATGGCTAAGTACTATAACTAAGTTCTACTCACTAGATGTGTAAGGAAGTGTCCTCAGAAAAACAGGAATTGATAGAGTTGTCAAATAGATTCACACAAGTGAGAGGAAATTATCTTCCTATCAAGAAAAAAAAACCCTGCAAAATAAGATGGTGGGATGATAATGAGATATTGTCCCTGTATATTTATATTGAGAAAATGTGAAATCTACAAAGTGTTATGAATACCTTTTTTTTCTTTTTTGAGACAGAGTCTCGCTCTGTCGCCCAGGCTGGAGTGCAGCTGGTGTGATCTCAGCTCACTGCAACCTCCCACTCCCGGGTTCAAGCAATTCTCCTGCCTCAGCCTCCCAAGTAGCTGGGACTGCAAGCGCGTGCCACCACACCCAGCTAATTTTTGTATGTTTTTAGTAGAGACGAGGTTTCACCATGATGGCCAGGCTGGTTTCGAACTCCTGACCTCAAGTGATCCACCCGCCTCGGCCTCCCAAAGTGCTGGAATTACAGGCGTGAGCCACTGCACCCATCCAATACTTTTGATAGAAAAAAAAAATCAGAGGAAATTAAAAATTCTTTATCGGGGACCAGACATAGTTTTAAAATAATAATAATTATAATAACAGCAGTTGAAGTTGCGTGTCAGGAGCGCGTCCTCTCTCTCCAGCAGTAAGGGTATCTAATTATAATAATTAAGTCCAAGTGACCTTGCCTTCTTTAGGCAAACAAAGTCGGGAACAAGTTGCAACTCATTTTCAGAAAAAATCCTCAAGTCCTCTGCCCACGGCGGAAAGGGCGGCGGGTCGGCCGAGCCTGGGTGGCTTCCCGAGGGGTCGCCTCTCGCCCAGCTCCTGGCAGGGGCGCGTGGGTCCTGGCCCGGGGACTGCAGGGCCGCGGCGGGGCGGGCAGGGTCAGCTGGGCACATAGTTTCTCGGAATCCACCCTCCCGGACCCCCGCAGCCCAGTTTCTCCTCCCCTCAGCCCACCTTCTCTGCCCACCTCCTACCCGGAGCCGGGGAGGCGGCCGCGGTCAGCCCGGCCTCCCCGACTTGGGGTCCGCGTGCGCCGGGACCCAGAGGCCAAGCTGGGCGCCCCCGGGGGAGGGGTCTGGGTGGCGGGGCCAAGCCGGGGCGGGACGGGGCGGGGCGGGGCGCAGCCGAGGGGTGTGTCCGAGGGCGGCTGGAGGGAGGGGCGGCAGGACTCCAGGAGCGGCGGGGCCAGGGCAGCGCGGACTCGCGTCCCGTGGAGCGTTCCAGGCGGGCGCGCGGCTTTCTCCCCAGACCCACCGAGTGGCGGCGGAGGCGAGATGCGCGGGGGCGTGCTCCTGGTCTTGCTGCTGTGTGTCGCCGCGCAGTGCCGGCAGAGAGGTGAGCCCGGCCCGGGTCCTAGGGTCCCTGTCCCCCGCAGGCGGGCGGGCGGGGGCGGCCGCGGACAAAGCCCGTCGCGTTGGGGCTGCTGGAGTCCGGGCGCGCATCCTGATCCACCTCGGAGTGGGTGTCTCGGCCACGTGGGTCTCCCGCGCTTGCCGGGGAGGGCTGGATGGGGACGCCGCTCCTGCCGGACGCTGCCCGCTCTTTGCAGGCTTAGGCTTTAACCTCCTCGGGCTTTGGGGTTAAAGCCCAGCCTCGCCTCTGGCTTTTGCGGGACTTCGCGACCCAGGAGCGCCATCTACGCGAGCAGTGCTGGGGGTGGCGGGAGCGGGGCGCCCGGAGCGGGGCGCCGGGGGTTGCTTTTAGTGCCCCGGCTGCGCGGGCGGGGGTGGCGGGGCTGTTGGCCGGGCGCGGGGGATGAATGGAGAAAGAGCTCTCCCGAGTCGCCCTCATTGTCCGGCTGCGCAAGCTGGGTCGCGGCGGCCGGGAAAGGGCGGATTCCTCGGGGCCCCTGGCAGCCAAGCGGGCTAGTGGGGAGAGACGCGGCGAGAAGGGCGCCCCTAGCCAGCCGTCCCGGGCAGGGGGACCCGCAGGCGGCGTCCAGGGCACTGATGCGCCTTCCCGACCCGCGCTTTTTGTGCAATAGGCGAAGTGGCCAAACCCGCTCATTCACTGCGCGGGATTGACCGTGGGCGCGCCGGGGCGAGGGACCAGCGGAGAAGGGAGCACCTTGCATGCGCGTTGCAAGGATTGAGAAGAGAAACTCAGAGCGAATTTTCATTTTCTGTTTTTGCGGGCGGGCGGAAAGAGAGAGAGAGAGAAGAAAGAAAGAGAGAGAGAAAGAGAAAAGAAAGAGAGAGAAAGAAAGAAAAAGAAAGAAAGAATTCTTTTCCCTTTTGGGGGACAACCCTAGTCACCCACGCCACCCCTAGAGCTGTCTTCGCAGCGTGGCTTCGTGTTGGCTAGGCAGTCACAAATATTTGTTGAAAACATCTTAATGTATGCAGCACATGACAATGGGCGTATTCCCACGAATATAAACTTCATTAAAAAAAAATTCGAGTCAAAAGTAGTGGGCGGAATTTGCAGTGCCCTCGTGGGAAACGTGTGTTTGGGCATTGTGCTGAGTTGTGAGCTCTGCAGAAACGCGACCATCTCATTCATTCAAGCATTCATGATGGAAGCACTGGACCGGAGCTGGAAACGCAGCATTGAATAGCTGCGAGTCTGCTGCGCAGAGCCAGGCTGGGAAGAGGGAATTTACATAGTTATCAGCCAGAAGAAAGGAGCCTTTGGGGAGGGAGAGGAGCCTTAAAGGATTGCGAGGGGACTCCTGTCTATCAGGCTGCTGAAGGTGAACAAGTCCCGGTTTCCCACAGGGTAGAGAAAGAGCAGCTTGCCTCAGCTTATTGTTCCCCGAAATTGAAAGTCTTAGACTGAGGAGATGGCCTGAAGGTTGTCCTGGCCCCTCGGGGCTCGGCACTTGGCCTGGCGGTTATGAGTGGTTTTTGGAGAAAGTGGGACCTCATGGGGCTTTCCTGCTTTGAGATGCTGCGGAAAACCTCCCAGGGCAGGAGCCCTTTAATGTTTCATATCGCATTCCCTGTTTGCCTTTTTGCCTTCCGCACCCCACCAACCCTCACCCTTCCTAACTAGCCTCCTTGAGCAGTTTTGATTTTTTTTTTTTGCAGTCTCCGGGCTGCAGGCAGGAGTGGAGTGGCACCATCTCGGCTCACTGCGACCTCCGCCTCCCGGGTTCAAACAATTCTGCCTCAGCCTCCCGAGTAGCTGGGACTACAGGCGCGTGCCACCACGCCCGGCTATTTTTTTTTTTTTTTTTTTGTATTTTTAGTGGAGACAGGGTTTCACCATATTGGCCAGGCTGGTCTCAAACTCCTGACCTCGTGATCAGCCCACCTCGGCCTCCCAAAGTGCTGGGTTTGCAGGCGTGAGCCGCCGCGCCCGGCCTGATTTTTTTTTTTTTTTTAAGAAACGATTTTGTGCCCCATGAATAGCATGAATGATTTGTAAAGTTGTGTGTTTTGGTCAATAATCCTGACCTGCAAATCACCTGCTAGTTAGTTGTCTGGTGTTATTTTTTAAAATAACTTATTATCTATTGACATTCAGATTGTTAGACGTTCCCTGTCATTTCTGCAGTCTCTCTGGGTTACCTTACAGCTCATAGTATATGACCTGATGGCTCACTTTCCTTTGAAATTTAATGAGTTTCAAGTGAGCTCCTCCTAAGTATTGAATAGGACGTATTGTGTTTGTAAAAATAATGTGTTAAATTCATAGCTGGCAATCACATAAAATTATGGTTGCTTCATCACTTTTGTTGGAAACTATCCCTTCTTTTTTTCTAAAATAGACAATTCTAAGGACAGAAAAAAATCTACAAGAAAATTCACTTCATTCTCATATATGACATAGTATTCAAATTTAGCAAGTATGTGCTCCACAGTAAAGTATGCATGCCTGAATGGATTTCAGAGGTGCGTTTTTTCTTTTCTGTCACTGTATTCTCTAAGGGCCCATGAAAAATATTGATCGTAGCAGTTGGAAACAAGGGTATGTGTAACAGAAGCCTCACTGCCCACCTCCTACATAGCCTGGACTTTAGTCCATTCTTTTTTTCCTTCTTCTTTTCCAGACATTAAATATGAAGCCTACATCTGTAGTTAATCTAGCATGATTGAGAATTCAAATGCATCAAGAATATTAGAATAAATACATATACTGATCTTTAGTGTCTTGTGCCACTGCTTTATAATTGCACTGCTTTATAAACTCATATAAAATGCTTCTGGGACCATTTATTTCAGGGTAATGATCCTTGAAATGCCCTACCATTTTATACTAATTCATTCATAAAATCCTATGGATATTCATTTTCATGTACAGTAAATTGTTATGGGGAAATAACACAAGGTCTGTCTTTAAGCTTCAGGTGTTTAATTCTCTGGCTTTACTAGCTATGGCAAATTGGGGACATAACGTGTGTTTTAGTTTCACTGTCTGTAAAATGGGAATAATAATAGTGCCTACCTGAAAGGGATGTTAATGATTAAATGAAATAATGTGAGAAAAGTTGTTAGACCAGTATCTAGTACAGAGTTAACCCTCAACAAGCAAGTTTATTTATGTTCATCACTGTTACTATTTTATAAAGAACTATATATTTTTAAACTATATTCTCCAAAATGCATAATTGTTTAGAAATTTGAAGTCTGGATTTGGAATCAAATAGTCTTGGGCTCAAATGCCAGACCTGTCACTTTAATTAGCTATGGCCATGGCTAAGTTTCTTAACTTCTCTGAATGTCAGCTTTCTATCTATAAAATGGATAGCATTGATACTATTAAATAATATGTGAAAAATATTAGCACAGTGTAGGGTGTGTCATAGGTACTCAGTGCATGATGGTTATTACTGTTACACCTATTGTACTTGCTCATCATCCTGGACATCATCTCTCTTTCATTGCTGAAATCCATTTGGTCATTGAGACTTATTGATTTTACCTCCTGAAAATCTGTGTAGTCTCTTTCCCTTTTTTCTTTTTTTTTTTTTTTTGAGACGGAGTCTCGCTCTGTCGCCCAGGCTGGAGTGCAGTGGCACGATCTCGGCTCACTGCAAGCTCCGCCTCCCAGGTTCACGCCATTCTCCTGCCTCAGCCTCCTGAGTAGCTGGGACTACAGGCGCCCGCCACCACGCCCAGCTAATTTTTTGTATTCTTTAGTAGAGACGGGGTTTCACCATGTTAGCCAGGATGGTCTCGATCTCATGACCTGGTGATCCACCCACCTCGGCCTCCCAAAGTGTTGGTATTACAGGAGTGAGCCACTGCCCCCGGCCTCTTTCCCATTTTTTATTCTCACTGCTGGCTAGACTTAGGAATTGTTTGTTTTTCTCAGGTTGTTTGTTTTTCTCAGGAAATAGTGTGATGGTTCACTCAGCAGGCCAGCAGCCTCACCTGTTCTCCCTCCTCAGCAGTGCCATCACTGTGATGTTTCTAGAAACACCATCTCGATAACCGCTCCTACTCTTGTTTAAAATTCTTCCCATTTCTCACCGTTTCTTTATCAAATTACTTAATGTTCCCCAATGTGACTTACTTTCCTTCATGTTTAAGCAAGTGGTCTTCTTCCAAGGTGTGCCCTTTTCACTCCACATCCTTCTCCAGGGCCCACCCTATAAGTTTAGATTATGTGCCCCAAACCCCTCACTTTATAAGATGCACAAAATGACAGTGTCCTGCTGTGTCACATTGGGGGTAAAGCAAGGAGGCTGGGACCCCAGCTGGCCTGCTGTCTCAGAGCTGAGAGGCATTATCTGGGATACGCCTGCACCTATTTGTAGCTAACTAATGTTTCCTGGCACATGGGCTCTTAAGTGCCGGACACATCTTTCATTTGGGTTCTAAAGAACCCTGGAAAATCTTCCCAGCTCTCTCTCTGCTGAAGTATTTGTTAGACAACCTTCCCTGTACTCACAGGGCTTTCCCTGCTCAATGCTATTGTCTTGCCTGTCATGGGGCCAATGACTTATCTGGCTCACCTTCTCTCTCGGCCTTGTCAAGGGCAGGGACTGTTTTATGCATATCTGTTCATTGCTTTGCAGTGTTTCTAGCAGTTAGTAGCCACTTCTTGTTGTTGAGCTAAGTTGAAATGAACATCTTTATTTAGGAATCAAGTAACTTTAAAAATATTTTGAATAGCTGGGCGCAGTGGCTCACGCCTGTAATCCCAGCACTTTGGGAGGCCGAGGCAGGTGGGTCACATGAGGTCGGGAGTTCAAGACCAGACTGACCAACATGGAGAAACCCCATCTCTACCAAAAATACAAAATTAGCCAGGCGTGGTGGTGGGGCCTGTAATCCCAGCTACTCAGGAGGCTGAGGCAGGAGAATTGCTTGAACCCTGGAGGCGGAAGTTGTGGTGAGCCGAGATCGTGCCATTGCATTCCAGCCTGGGCAACAAGAGTGAAACTCTGTCTCAAAAAAAAAAAATGTATATATATATATAAAATACATATATGTGTGTATATATATATATTTTAATAGATAATCCACATTTATGGTATGAAATGCAAAAGGTACTATAGGTAGAAAAAAGTTAAGACTTGGCTTTTTTACTCTCTTTTGAGGTAACCACTGGCTTTAATTTTTTGGATAAGCGTCTAAAGATGTTTCTTCAGGTAACTTTTAAAAGCAAGCTACATCATAAAATCTACTTCTTCCCTATTAGTGTAAGAGGGACACCAGTGATTTTCTGCCAAAACATGGATGCATGGAACAGTATCCCTCTGTCCACTGTCCTCCCCTCATACTAACTTCTTTACTGGACCTTGTGCTGGATATTAACACATCATTTAGTAAATGTATGTACTTGCAAACTTTTCACCTTGCAACTTGTCCTTCCAAGTAGGGCTTTGACAGAAAGGTATTGTTAGAGCAGTGTTTCCTAGATCTTTTGGGGTTTAAAAACTTGATTGATTTCATGGCATTGTACTACTTCTAAAAGTATTGTTTACTATAGTATTAATAAGCTATTTTTAAGCCATAGAGAATTTTAAAAAATATATTTTAGAATTTTAAGATTTATGATATAGAGAAGTTGAGTTTGAGAACAATTCTATTACACGTTAAGGATAAGTTAATGTATTGACCAATAAGTATGACTTATTACTGGAACACTATGGCAGGTACAGAAAATATGTATTTAAAAAAATTTCTAATGAAGAAGTTAAGTCTACACCTTGAATACAGAAATTAATTGATAGCGACTGGACAGAACTGTGGAACTTAGACCTTAGCTGAAGTTTTTCGTTACATTCTTCAGAAATATTTGGATGAACTAGATAAACTATCATCTCCTAAGAATGATGTATGTAGTTACTTACAAGTTTGCAAATAATTCTTTTACTTGTTTTATTTCTAAAATATCAATATGCATCCATGGACAATTGAATAAACCAAGGCATTGCAAAATTAACGAGGAGGAAAAACCCTTCATAGAAGTAATTTAGTTAAGGTCATGAACTTTGGTTCTGTTGGAACACGTCTGTCAGGGAGCTATTTCAGCATAAAACGCCACACGATAGCTGGATTCATTGTATTTTCATGTCCTTTATACTGGGTGTGACAGTGCCCAGAGTAACCATTTGATAATAAATAGCACAGAATCTTCCCACTTGTGTCTTTGTTTTCTCAAGGCTGGCTCAGGAGAGCTTTCTTTGGGTTAACTTGTTCCTCATCTTGCTTGGGGGCAGGAGGCAGACAATGGAGGCAGAGAGATTCCAAATCAGCTTGGGTAGATAACATTCTTGCCTAGGTAAGCATTTATCTCGAAGTGTTAATTCAGAAATGGTGGCAGAGAAATACCACTGTGAAATCACCAGTGTGACTTCAGTGTGCGTGCACATTTTTTTTTTAATCAACCATTTGAAGTTTGAATCTCTTCATTCCAGAAGTTATCTTTGAAGTCTGATCTGCTGGCCCAGCAGGCAGTATGACTGACATTCTTGTGCCAGAGAACCTCCTGTATTGCTGGTGGGAATGTCAAATTTAGATCAATGAGTATTTATGGAAAGTGCCATCTTTTCTCATTCCCGAAAGTATTTCCTGCATCTTGTTCCATTGCTCCATAGTTTCCTGCCAGAACTTCAGGAGATTCTCTATGACAATAGCAGTGTTAAAGAAGATGCTTAAATTTAGCAGATGATTTTTAGTTAAAAGAGAACAATTAGAAGTGGGGGGGGGGAGGGAAAAAAAACCCTCACACCACAGTTGATTATGGTACACCATACTTTTTTCTTTGTTTTTTCCTTTGACATGGAGTCTCACTCTGTTGCCCAGGCTGGCGTGCAGTGGCTCAATGTCTGCTGACTGCAACCTCCGCCTCCCAGTTCAAGCGATTCTCCTGCCTCAGCCTCCTGAGTAGCTGGGATTATAGGCGCCCACCACCATGCCAGGCTAATTTTTATATTTTTAGTAGATATGGGGTTTTGCCGTGTTGGCCAGGCTGGTCTCGAACTCCTGATCTCAAGTGATCCGCCTGCCTTAGCCTCTCAAAGTGCTGAGATTACAGGAATGAGCCACCATGTCCAGCCTACACCACACATTTAAATGTCTTCCAACCTTTTGGTAATGACAGAATTTTACCCACAACAAGTGGAATCTTGTTATCTCCAGCTCAGGACAAGGAATTCGTTCTTTCTCCAGATGGCTGCCCTCCCTGTTTCTCCTGTTCTTGGCATTCTTTTGGTTACCTAGGCTTCATTTCCTTTTCTGTTTTTCTTTTTCTGTATCCCCTTATCCAAATTGTCTCTCTTAATTTTGTTTCTTTCCTTGAAAAACTTCCTGATCTTTTTGTTTTAGTTTCTCTCTGTTAGCACTGCAAATGCCACCAGCCTCTAAACCAGCTGCTATAGTGTAACTAGCCGCTTTTTTTTTTTTGGCAGCGGGTGGGGGGATGGAGTCTTGCTCTGTCACCCAGGCTGGAGTGCAGTAGCGTGATCTCGGCTCACTGAAACCTCTGCCTCCTGGGTTCAAGCGATTCTTCTGCCTCAGCCTCCCGAGTAGCTGGGATCACAGGTGCGCGCCACTACACCCTGCTAATTTTTGTATTTTAGTAGAAACAGGGTTTTATCATGTTGGCCAGGATGGTCTCGATCTCCTGACCTTGTGATCCACCCGCCTTGGCCTCCCAAAGTGCTGGGATTACAGGCGTGAGCCACCGCACCCGGCCAGCCGGCTGCTTTTTATCGGGTCTGTGATGCTAGCTCGTGTCCTTTCATTTAATCCAGTCCCACACTGCAGTTAGAGTAACCCCGCCAAAATACCGCCTTCGTAATGTTCTCCCTCTGCTCCTGCCCACCTGCTATGGCCCTCAGTGATCCCTCCAAGTTCAGTCACCCCGCCCTTCTCCACACCTTTCTGTAGCTGAACTATTAGCTTCCATTGCAGGGGTCTCCTTCCTGTCTAACTGCACGTGGTATATTGACTTGCAGCTGTGTGATTTGGTTACATGACTCTCTCACCTGAAATGTACTCCCGTTTCCCACTGAAAACCTAACCAGACCACTCATGCACAGGCTGCAATATACCAACCCCAGGACAGCCTCGATGTGATGGCCTGTTTCAACTGTCTCACTTCTGAATCTGCATTGTATTTTGTGATAAATTGGAGTTCCCACCCAGCCAAAGTTGCCATCCGGTCCTCTTTTGAATGGCTGGTCCAGAATGACATGAGCCAGTGTCAAAAAGAAGGGACATTTCTGTTTCGAAGATCAAAACCTTAGCTCCCGGCATTTCTTTGAATACACAGACAACCCCAGGGGGGTTCTAGCATTAAAACCTGGGTCATTAGTAGCCGGAGGGCAGTAACACCGAGGAACTCCCCACAGGTAGTCAGGTTGCCTGAGCAACCATAAAGCCGGTCCCCGGACTCTGGATAACAAACCCAGCCCTGGCACCTCTCTGGGTATGTGGTCCTTCAGCCTCTTAGACTTTGTATCATCCAATCAAATGGATTGCAGTTGATTTGATCTGGGTAGGAACCAAAATCTGTGTTTCAAAAAACCTTTTCCCATTTTGTATCCAGAGGCACAAGAACCTTTCCAGTTGGTCTTCAAGCAGACCCTTTGGGTTTCTGGTTCAAATAGTTGTTTCCAGAACTCTTCCTGCCACTGCTTGCTTTCTGTCCTTGCTGCTGTGTCCTGTGATGGGCTAGCACTCTTTCCCCACCCGTCAAAATCCACAGTTTGTCTCTTCAGCCCTTTTATCTGAATCTCCAACTCTGCCATTTTTACCTTTGCTTTTGTACAAACTAAGTTTTTCCAACTCTTTGCAACTTCACCCCTGGCTTCATGGGCATACTTTTGTTCATTCTAGAAGTTTGGAGTGGGGAGAACTGGAGATAATGCATCCACATATGAATGCTTTTGGAAGCTCCCAGTGTTTTTCTTTAAAAGGGAGTTAGCTTTTTTTTTTTTTTTTTTTTTTTTTTTGAGACAGAGTCTGTCTCAGTGCAGTGGCATGGTCTCGGCTCACTGCAACCTCTGCCTTCCGGGTTCAAGCAATTCTCTTGCCTCAGCCTCCTGAGTAGCTGGGAATGGCCTGCCACCACACCCAGCTAATTTTTGTATTTTTAGTAGAGACAGGGTTTCACCATGTTGGCGGGGCTGGTCTTGAACTCCTGACCTCAAGTGATCTGCCTGCCTCAGCCTCCCAAAGTGCTGGGATTACAGGTATGAGCCACCATGCCTAGCTGGGAGTTAGCATTTTATTTTTATATTTATTTTTTTGAGACAGAGTCTCGCTCTGTTGCCTAGGCTGAAGTGGTGGAGTGCAGTGGTGCCATCTCGGCTCACAGAAACCTCTGCCTCCCAGGTTCAAGTGATTCTCCTGCCTCAGCCTCTTGAGTAGCTGGGACTACAGGCACACACCGCCATGCCTGGCTAATTTTTGTATTTTTAGTAGAGACGGAGTTTCACTATGTTGGTCAGGGTTGTCTCGAACTCCTGACCTCGTGATCCACCTGCCTTGGCCTCCCAAAGTGCTGGGATTAGAGGTGTGAGCCACCGAGAGAGTTAGCATTTTTTCTTTTCTTTTTTTTTTTGTTATTTTTTTTATTTGAGACGGAGTCTCGCTCTGTCGCCCAGGCTGGAGTGCAGTGGCGCGATCTTGGCTCACTGCAAGCTCTGCCTCCCAGATTCACGCCATTCTCCTGCCTCAGCCTCCAGAGTAGCTGGGACTACAGGCACCCGCCACCAGGCCCGGCTAATTTTTTGTATTTTTAGTAGAGACGGGGTTTCACCATGGTAGCCAGGACGGTCTCAATCTCCTGACCTCGTGATCTGCCCGCCTCAGCCTCCCAAAGTGCTGGGATTACAGGTGTGAGCCACTGAGAAAGTATTTTAGAGTTAACACCTCATTGGAGAGGAGAATAGTATTTCCTTATAGGAGTATTGTCATTTCTATTCAGTTTTTAAATTTTTTTTCATGCACTTGATCATTCATTTATTCACTCATTCATCCATGCACTGAAGACACTTTGGGACCTCCACTCCTCCAGGCCCTGGGTCAAGGATGTTCAAAGGTAGTGTGTCTGGAGAGCCCTGTTCTCGGCTGCCTTCCTCACTGTGAATCCAGGACACTTCTTGGCATTCTTAGTGTATTTGTTTTTGAAGTCCAAGGAACTGAAAAGTGCATATATCAAAAGGAGTTTTCTGGCTGGGGGCGGTGGCTCACGCCTGTAATCTCAGCACTTTGGGAGGCGGAGGCGGGTGGATCACGAGGTCAGGAGATGGAGACCATCCTGGCTAACACAGTGAAACTCCGTCTCCACTAAAAATACAAAAAATTAGCCGGGCGTGGTGGCGGGTGCCTGTAGTCCTAGCTACTCAGGAGGCAGAGGCAGGAGAATGGCGTGAACCCGGCAGGCGGAGCTTGCAGTGAGCCAGGATCACGCCACTGCACTTCAGCCTGGGTGACAGAGTGAGACTCCGTCTCAAAAAAAAAAAAAAAGGAGTTTTCTCCATAAGAAATGATGATCAAGTAAGGAGTTAAAGTCATAGGAGTGGACATTGCCATCTACGTTCTGCTTGCTCATATTCATGTAAGTTAGGGGTGAAATGAGTAGTCCAGGTCATGGGTCGAGGAAAGCGGGGGAGGAGGGGCAGAGGCGTGCAGCACTGGCTGGCTGCTTTATTGGAGGTGCGGGGTCAGCTTCTACATCATATGCCACTGTTGGTGGGTGGTGGCTGTTTCCCTTAGGCTTCCTTTCTTCCATGGAGAACTCAGAGTCACCTGCTTGGCCAGCACTTCTGTGTGTGTCAGAAGAGCAGACTCAAACAGTGACACAGAAGTTCCCTCTGTGGGCTGCACATTAAATTTCAATAATATCAATACCCAGGTCTTACTCCCAGGGATTATAGTGTGTCCGGTCTGGGGTGGGGGTCATATCATTTGCATTTTAAAAATGCTTCTGGCCGGGCGCGGTGGCTCACGCCTGTAATCCCAGCACTTTGGGAGGGGCCAAGGCGGGTGGATCACGAGGTCAAGAGCTCGAAACCATCATGACCAACATGGTGAAACCCCGAATCTACTAAAAATACAAAAATTAGCTGGGAGTGGTGGTGCACACCTGTAGTCCGAGCTACTTGGGAGGCTGAGGCAGGAGAATCACTTGAACCCAGGAGGTGGAGGTTGTAGTGAGCTGAGATTACGCCACTGCACTCCAGCCTGGCGACAGAGTGAGACTCTGTCTCAAAAAAAAAAAAAAAATGCTTCCCAGGTGATTCCACTGTGCAGCCAGGGTTGAGAACCACTCAGTTAACATCATAAACTTTGTAGGTGAATGCAGTTTACACAGCAATGCAAGGAGGCAGGATCTGCCACCATCCCTCGCTTTGTCTGTAGGGTGCAAGTTGGGGCATTGATCCCGTCCTGCCCACCGCAGCCCACAGACTAGTGCTCTGTACATAACAGATGTGGAATACTCGGGTCCCAACTGACTCTCCTCATTTCATGTCTATTTTCTGATATTCCCACAGCTCTGTGAAGTGGGGATAACAACACCCACACATCTCAGAGCTGTGAGTAATCCCTGCACTTAGAGACCACGTTGGATCAGTGAAGTGGCTCAGGGAAAGCCAGTTTCTTCTGTGTCCCCATTGTCCCTTGTGTAATGTTTTTTACTTGGAAAGTTCTCACCTGATGGTTCATTGTTGCACTTGTGTTTAAATGGGTTTCCCCACAGTTTAGTCTTGCTTTGCTGACTTGGTCATTCGCCAAGACCCTTCTTTGAAAAATACTCTTGATCATGTATGACATTTAGAGTCCTCAAGTTTTGGGATAAAGTCTGGTGTTGCAGAATTGGGTGTTGATTGATCTGGTGTTGCACTGAATTGTTCATTCTTTAACGAATTCATCCAAAATTTAAAAAGTGTCCTCCATATTCAGGCATTATTCTGTGCCGCATCCCTTCTTTCTCAATGCCTTTAAATGGACAGGTCACAGGAGCCTTTTCTTTGGGATTATCTGGGCCACCCCCTTCTTCCCTTATACAACCTGCTGATCTCCTCTTGCACCTTCTCATGTCTGGCGACTCCAGGGTCTAGCTGTCTTTATTCACCTACTGCTCCTGTCCTCTTCTGCTCTTGTTTGTTTATTTATTTATTTATTTATTTATTTATTTATTTATTTTTTGAGATGAAGTCTCACTCTGTCGCCGAGGCTCGAGTGCAGAGGTGCGATCTCAGCTCACTGCAACCTCCGCCTCCCGGGTTCAAGCAATTCTGCCACCTCAGCCTCCCAAGTAGCTGGATTACAAGCACCAGCCATCATGCCTGGCTAATTTTTGTATTTTTGTAGAGATGAGGTTTCACCATGTTGGCCAGGCTGGTCTTGAGAACTCCTGACCTCAGGTGATCCACCTGCCTCGGCCTCTTGAAGTGCTGGGCTTACAGGTGTGAGCCACTGCGCCTGGTCTGCTCTTATCTTTAATAATTGATAATTCATTATGCACTTGCTTTTCTGGCCTCCTTCAGAAGTTTTCCTCAATATTTGGCTTATTATTTCTCTTCCACCCAACAAAACGAGCCATTTTCCTTTCCATATCCCTGTCACACTCAGACATACATGCACACACACACCCCTTACACATCTGCCTATATTGACTTACAGACCAGCTGCCTACCTGGCTTCCCTGCTACAGGCACTTGGGGAGGTATCGCACTGAACCCAACCGAGCAGAGCCAGAACCTGGGCCTGGGCCCGTCTGCAGGGTAGAGCAGGTTCTTCTGGAAGGGCCAGTCCAGCTGCAAGTGCTGGGATGAAGTCCAATGTAGCATGTAATGTAACAGTTTTCCAAGAGCCCAGAAAGCTGTTGACATTGGAAGTTCCCTCTGAGTTAATGGACTGTGAGGTTGACCGTGTCATGCCATCCCTGTTGAATTGCTTCAATGGCATCTCATTCTCTATTGAGTGGGACTTCTAAGGCCCTGTGTGGTCTGACCCTGCCCAGACCTCTCCACAGCCTCTTCTCCCACTGCTAACCACATCTCGACCATTCTGTGATATCTGTAGTTCCATCACGGGAGCTTCATTTCACCTATGGCACTCTGACGGACTCCAGCCCACCCTGTCATCCTTCTTATTGTTTCCATAGCGATTTCTTTGTACATCTGACCAGTACACCATTTTTCACCTATTTGTTGACTTGCCTGTCTCTCCTTAAGGGCCGAGAGTTTTGCCTATATTTGTTATGCCTAGCACAGTGCCTGACATACAATGTAGATTCTGTAAATATTTGTTGAGTGAACAAATCCCAATACAGACAAGCAATGGAAATCTGTTAATAGTAGGTATTGGCTGGACGCGGTGGCTCACGCCTGTAATCCCAGCGCTTTGGGAGGCCGAGGTGGGTGGATCATGAGGTCAGGAGTTCAAGACCAGCCTGGCCCACATGGTGAAACCCTGTCTCTACTAAAATTACAAAAATCAGCCAAGCGTGGTGGCGGTCGCCTGTAATCCCAGCTACTCAGGAAGCTGAGGCAGAGAATTGCTTGAACCTAGGAGGCGGAGGTTGCAGTGAGCTGACATGGTGCCACTGCACTCCAGCCTGGCAACAGAGTGAGACTCCATCTCAAAACAAAAACAAACAAACAAAAATAATGGGTATTATTTAGAGACCAGACAGACGGACAGAGGGGTTAGGGCAGTAACTAGTGAGGAAGCAGAGCGAAGATCCGCTGGGGAGGGGCAGGGGCTGGCTCCAGAAGGCTAGGAGACCTCAGTGGGTCACCCAGGCAGGATTTTTTTTTTTTTAAGACGGAGTCTTACTCTGTCACCCAGGCTGGAGTGCAGTGGCACAATCTCGGCTCAATGCAACCTCCACCTCCTGGGTTTAAGCGATTCTTCTGCCTCAGCCTCCCTAGTAGCTGGGACTACAGGCACCCACCACCATGCCTGGCTAGTTTTTTTTTGGTATTTTTAGTAGTGATGGGGTTTCACCATGTTGGCCAGACTGGTCTGGAACTCCTGACCTCAGGTGATCCACCACCCATCTATCTCGGCCTCCCAAAGTGCTAGGATTACAGGCGTGAGCCACCACACCAGGCCTCAGGCAGGATTTAAAGGTGGAACAAGGAAGAATCCAGGTAACCAGACTAAGAAAGAGAATGGATAGAACTTTTGGAACCAAGGCCTCTGCTCACATTATTTTTTTTATTTTTTATTTTTGAGATGGAGTCTCGCTCTGTCACCCAGGCTGGAGTGCAGTGGAGCGATCTCAGCTCACTGCAAGCTCCGCCTCCTGGGTTCACACCATTCTCCTGCCTCAGCCTCCCGAGTAGCTGGGACTACAGGCGCCCGCCACCATGCCCGGCTAATTTTTTGTATTTTTAGTTCACCATGTTAGCCGTGATGGTCTTGATCTCCTGACCTCGTGATCCGCCTGCCTCGGCCTCCCAAAGTGGTGGGATTACAGGCGTGAGCCACCGTGCCTGGCCGGCCTCCACTCACATTCTAAACCAGAATACAAGGTCAGGAACAAGCCAGCAGCAGAAACAAGAAGTTCAGACACTCTCTGCACTCATGAGTGGAGTCCAAATATGGTTACAGAAAATCCACAGAATCTAGTAACCAGGAGGACCCTGATGACTTGAAGACATTATTAATCTGGCATGTTCTCATCTACCCAATCAATGCAAAGAAGAAATGGATTACATTTTTTGTAATAGGATTATTTACTGATGATGAATATTCCATTCAGCCTTAAAACTTACATTATACTCAACAAAAACTTATTTCTAGATTTAGAGCCACTGATCTCTAGCCAGAAATTCATTAACACACATAGTCAACAAGTATTTGTTGAGTATCTAGAAAGTGCCATACAGGTGACAGGTGGACCTTGTACTCCAGACCCCAGTGCTAGGAGTCAAGCATGAGAAGTGTCCAAGAATCCTACTAAGTGTGTTCCTCAGTTCAGATTTGGGAGCGGTTTCTGTTTCTGAAAGTCTCAGACACCTGTATCACTCCACTTATTGCTGTGGGATAGTATCATCGTCAACAGAAAGAGAATTGTAATTAAACACTACATTTCTACTGCATGAAGTCTCCTTTTAAAGAATATGACTTCAAAATACTCTAATGTGACTGCAGACTTGTTGGCATTTGCTGAGTAGTGATATTTTTACGTATAGTAGAGGTTTTTCTTTTTTTTAAGGGAACTCTACCTGCATGGCTTTAAAGGGCTTTCTTTAAGTGAGAGAACAGCTGTTCTCCTCCAGGCGTTCTGGGCTAAGACTTCCTCCTCCTCTCAGGAACAGAACAAAGGCATACAGAATTTATGTCATAGATGGATTTTTGTTTGATAAATATCACTTATTACTAAACAAAAGAATGGCCCATTCTCTTTAGAAATATGAGCATAACATCTCCTTTGTCTTTAGTGGTTTCTAACTTTGTTGGTTTACTTTTAATTATTATAATTGACTGAATTTAAATGGGCCGTGTTTTATATAATCAAACTTTCCTTGAAAATGTATGTATAAGATGGTTATTGGTAAAGGGAATAATTTCAAATTCAATATTAAAATAAATCCAAAATAATATTTGAAGGAATCAGCTAATAAAGAAAATAACCCTTTGGTCACTGTTGTAGGGGCCAGATGTGGTGGTCACACCTATAATCTCAGCACTTTGAGAGGCTGAGGCAGGAAGATCCCTTAAGCCCAGGAGTTCGAGACCAGCCTGGGCAACATAGGGAGACCCCCCCAGCTCTACAAAAAAAAAAAAAAAATAGAAATTAGCCAGGTGTGGTGGCATGCATCTGTAGCCCCAGCTACTTAGGATGCTGAAGCAGGAGGATCACTTGAGCCCAAGAGGTCGAGGCTGCAGTAAACTATGATTGCACCACTATATTCTAGCCTGAGCCACAGGGTGAGACCCCATCTCTAAAAATAAAAATATAAATAAAACGTGTATCCACTTTTTGGTGGATAATGGAAGCCACTGAAGAAGATGGAGGTACACGAGGATTGGTTAGTCCCTACAATCTGACCACATAGATAATCACAAGAGAATAACTTGGATCCAACACGCACTTCTGCAATACACATTATGAACATACCTTTACTAGCAAGCAGACTCATAACAAGTCCTAGGCCATATCCTTCAAACTGATAGTCACAGCTTTCTGTCTTTTTGGGTATTCAGACTTCTCTCTTGGTGATTGGCCGCCTTCCTAATGCTGGATACAGGACATTTCAGGGATCAAGCATCAGGTTCCATCAAATTCCTTCAGGATGTGAGTTTCAGGCCACATAAATTTATACCACTTACTTACAAGAGTGAGGAGAATCTCTGTTTTAACAGTTTTATTGTAGTATAATTTACATACCCTAAACCTCTGCCAATTGTTAAGTGTACAGTTTAATGTTTTTTAGTAAATTTAGAGTGCTATACAATCACAGTCTGGTATGAACCTTTCCAAGACTGCAGAAAGTGTCATCATTTTCATTTGTGCCCAGAAATCTTCTGCTGTCTGTACTTTGGGAAGTGCCTGTTCTGGAAATTTCATATACATGGAGTCATACAAAATGGAGTCTTTTTTTTGAGACAGAGTCCAGCTCTGTCATACCCCAGCTCTGTTTCCCAGGCTGGAGTGCAGTGGTGTGATCTTGGCTCACTGCAGCCTCCACCTCCCGGGTTCAAGTGATTGTCCTGCCTCAGACTCCCGAGTAGCTGGGATTACAGGCACCTGCCACCACCCCTGGCTAATTGTTGTATTTTTAGTAGAGGTAGGGTTTCACTACATTGGCCAGGGTAGTCTAGAACTCCTGACCTCAAGTGATCTGCCAGTCTCGGCCCCCCAAAGTGCTGGGATTACAGGTGTGAGCCACCTCACCTGACCAAAATGGAGTCTTTTGTGTCTACTTCTCTCGGTTAGTGTTTTCTAGGTTCATCTATTTTGTAGCATATGTCAATAATGTTCTACTTTATTGCTGAATGGTATTCCAGTGTGTAGATACACCACATTTTATTTATTCAGTCATCAGTTGATGGACATTTTGATTGTTTTCAGGTTTTTGGAGCTATCAAGAAGAATGCTGTAAACATTCACATACAATTCTTTGTTTAGATATAGGTTTCATTTCTCTTGAGTGAAATTCCTAGGATTAGAATATGGATCGTGTGGTAAGTTTGTGTTTTCCAAAGTGTCTGCACTGTTTTACAGCCCTACCAGCAGTGTCTGAGTGTTCCATCTTCCCCACATTCTTACCAACACTATGCATTACCTGATGATAGACATACAGTGAGTTCAAAGTGGTATCTCATGGTATTATTTTGTATTTCTCCAATGATTAATGACATTGAGCATCTTTTCAGATGCTTCTTAGCCATTCATATATCTTTGGTGAAATGTCTATTCAAGTATTTTGCCCAATTTTTAATCAAGTTGTTTATATTCTTAGTTAAGAGTTTTGCATATTTCCTGGATACAAAGTCTTTATCAGACATGTGATTTGAAAGTATTTTCTCCCAGTCTATGCTTGTCTTTTTTTTTTTTTTTTTTTTTTTTGAGACAAAGTCTGGCTCTGTTGCCCAGGCTGGAATGCAGTGGCGCGATCTCGGCTCACTGCAAGCTCCGCCTCCCTGGTTCACGCCATTCTCCTGCCTCAGCCTCCTGAGTAGCTGGGACTACAGGTGCTCACCACCACACCCGGCTAATTTTTTGTATTTTTTAGTAGAGACGGGGTTTCACCGTGTTAGCCAGGATGGTCTCAATCTCCTGACCTCATGATCTGCCCTCCTCAGCCTCCCAAAGTGCTGGGATTGCAGGTGTGAACCACCGTGCCTGGCCTATGCTTGTCTTTTTGTTTTCTTAATGGTATGTTTTGTAGTGCCATAGGTTTTTTTTATTTTTTATTATTTTTATGTTTGTTTTGATGAGGTCCATTTGATCAATTATTTTCTTTTGTGGGTTATTCTTTTGGTGTCATATTTGAGAATTTCTTTGCCTAATCCAAGATCTTAGGTTTTCTTCTGGAAAGTTTATAATTTAGCTCTTAAATTTAGCTCTTATGATCCATTTGAGTTAGCTTTTGTGTATGGTAAGGAGTCAGGGTGTAAGTTCATTTTTTTTTTTGTTTTTTTTTAAATTTATTTATTTTTTATTGATAATTCTTGGGTGTTTCTCACAGAGGGGGATTTGGCAGGGTCATAGGACAATAGTGGAGGGAAGGTCAGCATATAAACAAGTGAACAAAGGTCTCTGGTTTTCCTAGGCAGAGGACCCTGCGGCCTTCCGCAGTGTTTGTGTCCCTGGGTACTTGAGATTAGGGAGTGGTGATGACTCTTAACGAGCATGCTGCCTTCAAGCATCTGTTTAACAAAGCACATCTTGCACCGCCCTTAATCCATTTAACCCTGAGTGGACACAGCACATGTTTCAGAGAGCACAGGGTTGGGGGTAAGGTCACAGATCAACAGGATCCCAAGGCAGAAGAATTTATCTTAGTACAGAACAAAATGAAAAGTCTCCCATGTCTACTTCTTTCTACACAGACACGGCAACCATCCGATTTCTCAATCTTTTCCCCGCCTTTCCCCCCTTTCTATTCCACAAAACCACCATTGTCATCATGGCCTGTTCTCAATGAGCTGTTGAGTACACCTCCCAGACGGGGTGGTGGCCGGGCAGAGGGGCTCCTCACTTCCCAGTAGGGGCGGCCGGGCAGAGGCGCCCCTCACCTCCCGGACGGGGCGGCTGGCCGGGCGGGGGGCTGACCCCCCCACCTCCCTCCCGGACGGGGCGGTGGCCGGGCAGAGGGGCTCCTCACTTCCCAGTAGGGGTGGCCGGGCAGAGGCGCCCCTCACCTCCTGGACGGGGTGGCTGGCCGGGCGGGGGGCTGACCCCCCCACCTCCCTCCCGGATGGGGTGGCTGCCGGGCGGAGACGCTCCTCACTTCCCAGACTGGGTGGCTGCCGGTCGGAGAGGCTCCTCACTTCTCAGACGGGGCGGTTGCCGGGCAGAGGGTCTCCTCACTTCTCAGACGGGGCGGCCGGGCAGAGATGCTCCTCACCTCCCAGACGGGGTCGCAGCCGGGCAGAGGTGCTCCTCACATCCCAGACGGGGCGGCGGGGCAGAGGCGCTCCCCACATCTTAGACGATGGGCGGCCGGGCAGGGACGCTCCTCACTTCCTAGATGTGATGGCGGCCGGGAAGAGGTGCTCCTCACTTCCTAGGTGGGATGGCGGCCGGGCGGAGACGCTCCTCACTTTCCAGACTGGGCAGCCAGGCAGAGGGGCTCCTCACATCCCAGACGATGGGCGGCCAGGCAGAGACACTCCTCACTTCCCAGACGGGGTGGCAGCCGGGCAGAGGCTGCAATCTCGGCACTTTGGGAGGCCAAGGCAGGCGGCTGGGAGGTGGAGGTTGTAGCGAGCCGAGATCACGCCACTGCACTCCAGCCTGGGCACCATTGAGCACTGAGTGAAGGAGACTCCGTCTGCAATCCCGGCACCTCGGGAGGCTGAGGCTGGCGGATTACTTGCGGTTAGGGGCTGGAGACCGGCCTGGCCAACACAGCGAAACCCCGTCTCCACCAAAACCAGTCAGGCGTGGCGGCGCGAGCCTGCAATCGCAGGCACTAGGCAGGCTGAGTCAGGAGAATCAGGCAGGGAGGTTGCAGTGAGCCGAGATGGCAGCAGTGCAGTCCAGCTTCGGCTCAGCATGAGAGGGAGACCGTGGAAAGAGAGGGAGAGGGAGACCGTGGGGAGAGGGGAGAGGGGAGAGGGGAGAGGGAGAGGGAGAGGTGTAAGTTCATTTTTTGCATATAGATATCCAGTGGTCCCAGCAACATTTGTTGAAAATTGCCTTCGCACCTTTGCCAAAAATCAAATGACCATAAAAATAAGTATATACTTTTGGACTCTATTTTGTTCTATTGATCTATGCATCTGTTTTATGCTAATATCACACTGTCTGGACTTCTTTGGCTTTATAGTAAGTTTTGAAATAGGTAGTGTAAGTCATTCAACTTTGTTAACTTTTTCTAAAGTGCTTTAACTGTTCTAGGTCATTTGTATTTCCAATTGTATCAGCTTGCCAATTTCTACAAAAAAAAAAAAAAAAAAAGCCAGCTGAGATTTTGATAGCAATTGGATGGAACCTACAGATCAATTTAAGGAGAATTGCTGTCTAACAATATTGAATCTTCCCGTTCATGAATAAGAAATATCTTTTCATTCATTTAAATCTTCTCTAATTTCTCCCCCAAAATTTTTATAGGTTTTCTGTGAATAACATTTCTTTCATTGAATTTTTCTTGAATTTCTTTCATTCTTTTTTTTTTATTATTTTTTTTGTTCAAGTATTTTGTTCCTTTTGAATAAAGAAGCCTGGTGTGGATGGAGAGCTGATCCAGCCCTTCTGTGGCTCTCCTGTTTCCAGGATCTCGTTATTACAATTTTGGCTGGTCCAGCTATCGGTTGCATGCACCCTACTGGGACTAAAACCTCAGGCTAGCCCAGCTGTGAGCTTTCCCCATTCATTTTCTACCAAGTTCACTACTTTTGCTGATAAGATCATTAGGCATGTGCTTCTGCTCTGCTCTGAATCAAGCCAGCCTTCTCCATCAGTGGAGCTGCTGGCTTTCACGGCTAGCCCTGCCTTAGGAAACTCCCCTGCCGACGGGCTGGGGTAAGAATGGAGCTGCCTCTGCTGGAAGGACGCTCTCTTCCACGCATCTTACCCAAAACTCTAGCAGCTTTTCCTAAAGAAAAGCTTGCCAGTTTGTTGTTTGTCTTAAGATGATTTTCAGAGTCCTGAAATGGTTGCTTTTGAAAACTTTGTTCACTTACATAATTTTTTTGGGTGGGAGAGAATTTGTCAACTTCCTTATTATGCCATAGACAAAAGTTGCTCTATATTTTATATATATACACATATGGAATGGGGTGGGGGAGAGATAGAGAGAGAGAGAGAGAGTGTCTTGCTTGGTCACCTAGACTGGATTGCAGTGGTGTGATCACGGCTCATTGCAGCCTTGACCTCCTGGGCTCAAGAGATCTTCCCACTTCAGCTTCCTGAGTAGCTGGGACTACAGACACGCACTACCATGCCCAGCTAATTAAAAAAAAATTGTTACCCAGGCTGGTGTTGTACTCCTGGGCTCAAGCAGTCTTCCTGCCCCGACTTCTCAAAATGCTGGGATTATAGGTGTGAGCCACGATGCCCAGCTCTAAAATGTAATTGATATGGAGACCTTGACTACCATGAATTTCACCAGTGGAAATCTGTTTCCATTAGTCATCATGCCATTAACAATCCACTGATTTTACTAATATCCCATTGCTATATTCTCCCTGGTAATTAACAAAGTGCTGCTGTCATGGAGACAGAAAGAGCAGGGTGCCTCTGGAATGTGGGCAGTATTCCGGATTGGAGAACCACCAGCTAACTATCCAGGAAGACACATCACCTGTTTTAATACTAGCTGCTTAACCTGTGTCTCTCACACACACATATACCATACCACAGTCTATACTGAAGTATTTTCTTTTTTTTTGAGACGGAGTCTCGCGCTGTTGCCTGGGCTGGAGCGCAATGGCGCGATCTCGGCTCACTGCAACCTCCGCCTCCTAGGTTCAAGCGATTCCCCTGCCTCAGCCTTCTGAGTAACTGGAATTACAGGCGCCTGCCACCACGCCTGGCGAATTTTTTGTATTTTTAGTAGAGACGGGGTTTCACTATGTTTGCCAGGCTGGTCTCCAATTCCTGACCTCATGATCTGCCCGCCTGGGCCTCCCAAAGTGCTGGGATACAGGCGTGAGCCACAGCGCCTGGCCTACTGAAGTGTTTTCAAGCTATTTAACTGGATTTTCACCTTTAGTCAAACCTCACTCAGTTAATGTCTCCAGTTTGAGTAATTGTCAGCACACTGAAGTAAAGGAGAATTCCGTGGGAATTGCAGTCCCTGAGAGGAAACAGATGCCAAATTCAAAGAAGGGCTCTTTGGGCTGCTTGGGCCCATAGCCCCAGAAGCTGAAAGAGAGCTGGCACTCTCCTGGAAACCAATGAGGCCCTTAAACTTGCCAGCCTTCTTCAGAGCTGGAGCCTGGGGGCTGGAGACAGGAAGGGGAGGGCTCCTGGAGGAGAAGGGGTAGAAAGTGCAACCAAGAACTGAAAGGGAGAAAATTCACTGTTCTGTGTGTACATCATAGTGGGGGGTGTAGTGAGGATAGACCATTTGAGTACTACCAGTTTGTTTTAAAAGAAAATACATTAAACAAGGCTCGCATAAATGTGATTTAAGAGAGTAATCTATTAATGTGGTCCAGCCTGGGTTTTGATTCCTTCATTACCAAAGTGTGGACATAAAGTAAATTTTCCGTCACTGTATTATCATAATACAAATATAGGGAAGAACTTAGGAAATCAAAGGAAACAAATTGTTAATTTTTTAATGACAGCAGAGGAGAGAGAGAGAGAGAGAGAGAGAGAGAGAGAGAGAAAGGTCCTGAGGCAACCAGGGAACAGCTTGTCAATTTCTACAAAAAAAAAAAAAAAACAGTCAAGGGATATTGCTGGAATCGGATAGAATCTATAGATCAATTTGGAGAGAACTGCTATCTCACAATGTTGAATCTTCCTATCTACAAATAAGAATTATCTTTTTATTCATTTAGAACTTCTTCAATTTCTCGAAAAATGTTTATAGGTTTTCAGTGTATTGGTCTTGAATTTATTTTGTTAAAATGTTTTTCCTAAATATTTTATTCTTTTTGAATAAAACTGAGAAATTTATAGTTCTGGGCACTGCCTGTGTGGATGGGGCCTGAACTGCACTGGTTTGACTTAATAGATTTCCCTGGTTGTTACTGAGTTGAACTTGTTCCTATGTTGTGTCCTTAGTTTTGGAACCCTTGAAGTTTTTCCTCTTAACAGTAAGCCAAAAACCTTTGTTTTAACTGAAGTACCACATTGCCTTTAAAAATAGTTGCTAAAGGTCTCCAAGACTTGGATGAAGAGTGAGGAATCTGGAGTTCTAGTTAAATAGTGACAGAAAGCTGCTGGAAGGAGTGAGAGCTTATGAAGCAGTCTGATGATCTTGTGCCAAGTTTGGCTGAATTGGTTAAACTCAGGGTGTTTGAGCTGGAAAAAAGGTCCAGGAGATCATCTAATATCTTTTTTTTTTTTTTTTTTTTTTGAGACGGAGTCTTGCTCTGTCACCCAAGCTGGAGTGCAGTGGCGCAATAATCTAGGCTCACTGCAACCTCCGCCTCCTGGGTTCAGGCCATTCTCCTGCCTCAGCCTCCCGAGTAGCTGGGACTACAGGTGCTTGCCACCACGCGCGGCTCATTTTTTGTATTTTTAATAGAGACAGGGTTTCACTGTGTTAGCCAGGATGGTCTTGATAATTTCTTGAACTCAGTGCAGCATCCCCTGGGAACTTGTTAAATCGAAGTATCTCAGCCCCACTCCAGACCTACTGCATCAGAATCTGCACTGGAACCGGATACCCAGGAGATTTGTACATGTGAAAGTGGAGAAGCCCTTGGCTGGGCGTAGTGGCTCACTCCTATAATCCTGGCACTTTGGGAGACTGAGGTGAGCAGACTGCCTGAGCTTAGGAGATTGAGACAAGCTTGGACAACGTGGCAAAACCCTGTCTCTACTAAAAATACAAAAAATTAGCCGGGCATGGTGGCACACACCTGTAGTCCCAGCTACTCCCGGAGGCTGAAGTGGGAGGATCCCTTGAACCCGGGAGGCGGAGGATGCGGGGAGCCGATATCGTGACACTGCACTCCAGCCTGGGCAACAGAGAGAGATTGTCTGAAAAAAAAAAAAAAAAAAAAGTTGAGAAACCCTGCAGTAATTCTTATCTCTCTACCTTGTGCATAATTAAATCTTAGTTATCAAATGTGTGAATGCTAAAGGGTCATCTTCCATCTACCTTAATGTTATGGTATTATTAATCAACCTTAGATCATGTTAGCATTTTTCCTAGTGCTGTTCTCACATTGTGCACACCTCTCACAGAGAACCATAACATCTTTTCCACCTTTGCCAGGACTTGCTGTGCTTGCAGGTGGATTTTGGGGGAAAAGTGGAAGGTGCTGTATTGATCCCTACTAAACTTACTCTGGTTTTATTTTGGCCACTCTTGAGATTCCCCTAATTCCATGTACTTTTCACACATTTGATGCCTTTTTTTTTGACCGAGTCTGGCTCTGTCGCCCAGGCTGGAGTGCAGTGGCGCGATCTTGGATCACTGCAAGCTCCACCTCCCGGGTTCATGCCATTCTCCTGCCTCAGCCTCCTGAGTAGCTGGGACCACAGGCGCCCGCCACCCCGCCCGGCTAATTTTTTATATTTTTAGTAGAGACGGGGTTTCACCGTGTTAGCCAGGATGGTCTTGATATCCTGACCTCGTGATCCGCCCGCCTCGGCCTCCCAAAGTGCTGGGATTACAGGCGTGAGCCACTGTGCCCCGCCATTTGACGCCTTTTTAATACCATTATCTAAGTCAGGATTTAAAATATTGAACAAGGAAGTGTTGGGTACACAGCATGGAAAACCCAGTTCTCTGCTCCTCAATTCGGTATACTTTATGTTGCTTGCGTCCTTTTTAAAGACCACATTTTGGGAAAATATACTCCTTCCCAGGTTTTCCCCATGCGATTGCACCTGTGCGGTGAATGAGCATGTGCTGCCACCACAGGAAATTGATTCACATGGAGACCTTTGGGATGGCCAGCAGAAGAGACTGAGAAGTTGCTTGAGGGAAACCACGAGTCTGTATTATGATGTATGATGTATGTATGTAGCATGATATATGTAGCGTGGAGACCAAAAGAAACAGGGTTTAAGAAAGAGAGAAAGATCATTTTTGACAAAAGCTGCTGCAAGTTCAAGTGTACTGAAAGTAAACTGCTTGTTGGGTTTGCCAAGATGGAAGCTATGGAGACCTTGCAAAGGGCATTCTTTTTTTTTTTTTTTTTTTCCCGAGACAGAGACTCGCTCTGTTGCCAGGCTGGAGTGCAGTGGCCTGATCCCAGCTCACTGCAGCCTCCACCTCCTGGGTTCAAGTGATTCTCCTGCCTCAGCCTCCCGAGTAGCGGCGACTACAGTGCGTGCCACCACGCCCGGCTAATTTTTTTGTATTTTTAGTAGAAATGGGGTTTCACCATGTTAGCCAGGATGGTCTCGATCTCCTGACCTCGTGATCCACCTGCCTCGGCCTCCCAAAGTGCTGGCATGAGCCACCGCACCCAGCCGGCATTCTTAGTGATTAAAAGGAACAGCTTCTCAGTTGGAACTGAGTGAAGAGAGAATGTGAGGCAAAGAATTGGAGACAATGAAGACAATTCTTGTTATATACAGCCTTAATCTAGGAATAGCCTTTTGAAAAAGAGAAAAACTACCAGGTTCAAAGTATATGTGCTTATAAAGAGGTGGCTTCATTTCAGGGGAAAAATGGTACTAGAACTGAGAAAATATAGTGTTGTATCAATCCCAGTGAGAATGACACCAAAATAATTTAACTCTGTGCACCTGTGATCAGAGTGTTTTGTTGTTAAATATATTTGTCTGCCATTGGTGCATAAGGTAAAACGTAACTCAAATGATTTCTTTGTCTGTAAGATGACCCTTTAGATATGTACTGGAATAAAAGTAGCTCTAATCCTGTGGATCCAGCCACCTTGGGGTCTTCGTGCTGGTGTTCTGTTAGAGATGGTGATGCATTTGACATCTCAAGTGCCAAATGATTTGATCGGAGGTACTGGTCACTGGACATTTTTAAGGACAATTTCTTATTGCAGTTACCACTAGGCACATGCAGGACCAGTCATGTAAATTGAGGAGCCAGTGCAAAGTGAAAATGTGGGACTCTTTCTTTAAATTATTAAACATTTCAACAGTTTCAGCATAGCACTAAACGAAAAGTGATTGTGCAGGTCACATACTCATGAAATGGTCCTCAGCACATGCCCCGCGATAGTGAAACAAGGATGCTAAAGTTTTAAAGCATAAGCAAGTAAAATCTGTACAATCAAGTGCAGAAGTGGCAGAAGAAAGGGAAAGAAATAACTAAGACCTTCAGGGTTTTGTAGAAAAGTTCATGGCCTTTGGAAGTGTTTGGGCTGGTCAGAAAACTGGTGTTTTAAGTATTTAAAGGATATAAATATTGTAAGTGTCATAAATGATATAAGCAAAATTTAATATAGCTGCATTTTAATCCAACAGTGTTGTCATTATTCAACTTAAAGGCTGCATTTGCTTTTTTATTTTTCACCTGTAAGGATTTAGGAGAGAGGTACAGTGACTTCTCAGGACAATGGGAATGATATGAAATTTTAAATGTGTTGCATATTGTGGTGCTATTGTGTTTTGCGTAAGTGCAATAATAATTTTAATCAGGTAGAACATTTAAATTGTTGTCCTTGGAAACAAAAGAGAAAACTGCTTCACGATGAATGAATTAAAGTTCTTTTCTCTGCCAACTAAACTTGTATACTAAATGAAAAATCACAGAGTCATTGAATATGAGCATTTAAATGAACCATTGTGAGAGGAGTAAGTGGATACTGATAACATACTGTTTTTCTGCAGAAAATATTTGTGGTTAACTTGTTCATACCATGTGTTTCTCTTACAATCAAAACCTCTGTCTTTTTCAAGGACACCTTGAGCACATTGCTAGGGAAATGGAACTCTTAACAAAACCCTGCTAAATCCTTCTGCTTACCACCCCCTCTTGTTTTCTGATTAAACTTCTCTTCATCGTCTCACATGAGGGGGGAAAAGAAATCAACTTGTTAAATGCCAGACTCCCAGGAGTTTGGATTTGACTTTTCTCTCACTGTTTGTATGGGGTCTTTATTCCCTCCCTCCCTCCCTCTCTCCCTCCCTTCCTTCTCTCTCTTTTTCTCTCTCTCTCTCTGTTCTCTTTCTTTCTTTCAATATCTCTCCCTGTCTTTCTTTCTCACCACCCACATATTTTCTTGTCCTGTGTTGGAAAGGGCTTTGGTCCTTGCCTGGTGGAATCGCTAGAATATCTTAAAGCTTTTCTTTTACTAACAGCCATCAATGATTACTTTGGTTTAGTCCAAAAACCAAGAATTTGCTTTTGAAGGAGGGGGTTATTCTCCCCTTAGTGTTTCTGCATCAAGCTGAAAGAGCTCCCTGCTTAGAGTAAGTCAAGTCACCTTCCTTAAAAAAAAATACTCCCAGGTGTTAGAGATCTCTTTATTAGAGTCATAAAATAACTACTGGTTATTTTAAATAGTTCCCTTTGGAAATGAGAGTCTCGTTTTACATTAAACAGGCAAGACTTTGATATATTTCACATATTTAAGCCTTAGCTTTGATTTTTTAGTCATACTGAGAATACTGGTCTTTGAGACACAAAATGAGTTCATTTAGTAGTGGTTTAAAATAATTTTTAACTTATAACAAATAACTGGAAACAGAATTTCTTTAAGCAGGGGACTCCTGTTATGGGAACATGTTTGGTGGCAGGTTTCCCAGGGGAGAGGATCCGGGAATAAGGAAGCACTTATTGTAGGGTGCCATTGCCACTTGCTGATGGCTCAGAAGTGGAGCTGAGGCCTCTTGGAACTATGTAGTATTGGGAACGCATGTTCATGTATACTTAATTTTAAAACACACCTACTTTATGACACGTGGCTATATTTGTATTGTTTTCTGGGGAAATAAAAGGTTTGAGTGAAGATGAATTTCGCCACAACTTGTAAACAGCCCCCCTGAACCTGTTGGGGATGCATTGCTCCAAATCATTTCAGTTTAATCCTTCCCCCATCTCCACCCCTCACACCTTTCCTATGTGTTCACAGCCCTCAGCATTCACGGAGAACATGTCCCTGAAAACGTGCTGGAGCATCAAGTGCAAGAAATCAGATAATAATTATGTTTGAAGAGGGTGATTTTATTCCCCAGGAGAAATAAAACCTCGCTCAGGCAACAGGGGGTTTATTGAGGACCGGGGCTGGAGGCAGCTGCTGCCAGGCCCACGCCAGGTCATTGGGCCTTCGCCTGAGCTCTTGGCTTGAGCCCCTCCCACTCACCTTCACAATCCATGTGGGTGAGAGGTCATGGGCCTCCTGGCTGCCTTGTTCCTGAGATGCACGGGATCCTGGAAGAGGAGGTAGGGCAAGGACACTAGCAGAGTCACCTCACCACCAAGTGGAATTCTTCCTCTGCCCTTAACTCCTTGCACCTTCCCTACCAGCGTTTTGTTTTGTTTTTTTTGCCCAGGCTGGAGTGCAGTGGCACGATCTTGGCTCACTGCAATGTCCGCCTCCTGGGTTCAAGTGATTCTCCTGCCTCAATCTCCCGATTAGGTGGGACTACAGGTGCTTCACCACGTCTGGCTAATTTTTTGTATTTTTAGTAGAGATGAGGTTCACCATCATCTCCTGATGGTGGTCTCGAACTCCTGACCTCAAGTGATTCGCCTGCCTCAGCCTCCGAACGTGCTGAGATTACAGGCATGAGCCACCACCCTGGCCCCTAGCAGGTTTCTTTACCTTTATGGTCCCAATTAATCCCTTTGGCAGAGCTTGTGGACCTATTCTCAGCATGGTTTTTGTTGCTGTTTTTTTTAGAGACAAAGTCTCACTGTCTCCCAGGCTGGAGTGCGGTGGCGAAATCATAGCTCTGCAACCTCGAGCTCCTAGGCTCAAGCGATCCTCTTGCCTCAGTCTCCCCAGAAGCTGGGATTACAGACCTGAGCCTCCGTGTCCAGCCTCTTGACATATTTTTAAATGCATAAAGAATATATTAGACAGCAGGCACTGTGGCTCACGCCTGTAATCTCAGCAGTTTGGGAGGCTGAGATGGAAGGATTGTTTGAGGCCAGGAGTCCGACCAGCCTGGGCAACATTGAGAGACTCTGTCTCTACGAGAAAAATAAATAAATAAAATCAACCAGGCATGGTGGCATGCACCCTAGCCCCAGGTACTCGGGAGGCTGAGGTAGGAGGATCGCTTGAGCCTGGGAGTTCGAGGTGGCAGTGAGCTGTGATTGCACCGCTGCACTCCAGCCTGAGCAACAGAATAAAAACCTATCTCCAAAAAATAAAATAATAATAATAATAAATAATTTTTTAAAACAAAAAAAGTTAGAAAGAAAGCCAAGTATGTTGAAATTCAGTGTTACCCATGCATGGCTAGCTCCCTCTCATTTTTTACATAACCCGTTCAGTGTTACCTCCTGAGGTGCTTTCCCTTCTCGGCTTACGTGACAATTAAAAGATTGTGATTTACAAACATGCAGTTAACTTACAGGGGCATAAGTACTCAGTGTGGCAAAGCCAACAGCAGCAAGAACAATAAGATCAAATGAGAAAAGGGCAGGGAGGACGGAGGAGACGAAGGGAGGAAGGGAAGGGGGAACGGGCGAATCGTGCTATGAGGCCATGCCTTGACGAGCCCCTGAGCTGAGCTGAGGTCAGCCTTTCCTTTAGGCCTCTCACTGTGCACATTTTTCTGGGCTAAGAGTATTTCTTCTATTTCGAGGTATGTGCTTTTCATACCCAGTGGCCCCTAAAGGCCAACCCACTTCTTCTTCTAAAACTTAAGAGAAACAGAGATTCAAATATATGAGCTATAATCATGAAAGACTAATTATATTTGAGGAAACTTAGTGATACCCCCTGATAATATGAACATAATAAGAGCAGCTATTTGTTGAGATCTTAATACATTGTATGAAACCCTTTACCTACATGATCTCATTGATTGCTCACAAAAACGCCTGGGTGCCGTGCTTCTCATCATTCATATAGAGAGACTGGGAGGTAAAGCCCTCGGCCAAGGCCACACTGATGGCAGCCAGTAGACCTGGAATTCACACTGGGGGCTGCCTGACTTGAAGCCTGTGTTCTTCCTCTTTATCAATGCCATCTTTCCTAGGCACTAGCGATTTCAGAGTTTGGATTCCAACAAAATCCAAATACATATTGATATAAAAATACATAATTAGAATTAACATTTCCATTTGAAACCTGGACACACAGGTTAGACACTCAATATGCTATATTTGAATAGAATTTACTGTCTTGAAATAATTCCGCATGATGTAGGTTTACTCACATCCTGAGGAGTGGGCCAGGGGAAGGAAGAGCTGGTTGCCATGGGCATCGGCTGGAAGCAAAGCCATCCTCCAGGATCCTCTGGCTTCCTGAGCCAAGATGGCGTGGAGCATCATCTGTTTCTCTTCCAACTCATCTTATGGTGGAAGTTGTGAAGGAGCAACTTTCCTGCCAGTGCTCCACCCCTTATTCACCCATTCCTATTCTGGAAGATAGTGATAAAATCTGATTCTTAAGAATTGGAAGGTTAACCTATGAAGGGATAGATTTAAAGACTTGATGAACTTTGATTTTACCTGCAATACCTCAACCAGGACTTGTTACTGCTACCAAAATTCCCACTTATTATGACATTTTTGTCATCTTTCTGAAGTCATTACAGGACATTTTATAGACCTTTCTTTTTTTAGATGAAAGGGTCAACTTCAGTCCGACGCACAAAGAAGCAAAGAATAATAATTTTTCTCTCTATTTCTATTTGCTTCTTTTGTCCAAAAAGATCAAAGAATTACCAAATTATTTCTGTCCACCCTTGCGCACACTGAATGGAGAAAAGTTTTTCTCACTTCATTTTCTAAATAGAGAGATCATGGTGGGCAGATTTAGCTGGTAGTTTACTAAGGTAAAATTAAGAATCACAGCATCTCAGAAAAAAAGGACTCATAGAGATACTCATTTAATAGCTGAGGAAATTGAGGCTGAGAATTTGACTTGCCCAAAGACACAGAGTCGGCAGCAGGCTGAGTCTAGATTTTAGGTGCTCGGTCCCGTGCGCCTGTGTGGTCCCTGAGGGAGAGGCAGAGGGATCTCCTTCCTTCACTTACTCATTCTTCCACTCAGGCATTATCGTCATTCACGCGAGCCAGACACTGTCCTAGGGCCGTTTTTGTTTTTATTTTTTGGAAAAGGATAGTGGGGGAGAAGAACTGGGGAGAGACAGGTCAGTAAATTCATGATCTCTGTATGAATGATAAGTGCAGTGGGGCATGCTGAGCTGAGGTACAACCAAAGACATTCGCCTGGGGTTCAGGAAAGATCTGGACTTGGCTGGAAGGATGAATAGGGCGTGAATGGATCTATGAAAGGTACAAAGGGAAGGAAATTGAAATGGATCTAAAGAGCATGGAGAGGAGTCAGTGAAAGACGTTGTATCTGTTCCTGTCTGAATGCATGCCCTTCTATTTCTGCCTAGATGATGCCTGCTCATTTCTCTTGCTCTAGAACATCTCCTCAAATCTGTTTTCAAATATTGCTGCAGTTTTAATGTTATGTTTATCCACATCGGTGAGAAGAAGCTTCTCTTTCCTTCTTGGTTGTGAGAACCCTGGGGTCAGGAAAAGCTCGGTCATTCATCATAGTGCCCTGGGAGGTGCCTGGCACAGTGCTGCACACCTAAGAGGTGCTTGTTAAAAGTTTATTGACCTTAATCAAACATTCATTCTCAGCCGCTTTTTCTGACGCATATGTGTAAATCATAGATATGTTACTGAATAGGAATCCAGCCACCCTCCTAAAATTCATGTCATTAGAATACCTTAATCTTATTAACCTGGAATACTATGTTATTAGAATACCTTGATATTATTATCCTGGAATATTATTAAATAGTTCCAGAATTTTTCACTAAATCATGCTATTTGTAGTTGTTAGAGGTGCTGTTTTTATTGCTCAGTCAGGTGACTACCAGGTTTCAAAGAAAGTGCTGATTAACAGGGTAGCTTCTTTCTAATACCAGACTTCTCTGATCAAATTATAGATGTTCACTTGGGCGAATGGGTAAGATTAAGGGTAAAATAGGCCAGGAGCGGTGGCTCACGCCTGTAATCCCAGCACTTTGGGAGGCTGAGGCGGGCGGATCAGGAAGTCAGGAGATCGAGACCATCCTGGCTAACGTGGTGAAACCCCATCTCTACTAAAAATACAAAAAATTAGCCGGGCTTGGTGGCGGGTGCCTATAGTCCCAGCTACTCTGGAGGCTGAGACAGGAGAATGGCATGAACCCGGGAGGTGGAGCTTGCAGTGAGCGGAGATCGTGCCACTGCACTACAGCCTGGGCGACAGAGCAAGACTCTTGTCTCAAAAAAAAAAAAAAAAAAAAAAGAAGAAGAAGAAGAAAAAAAGAGTAAAATAAATGGAAAACAAAATGGATTTGTATGTTTTTTAAAGATCACAAATTTCTCAATTTAGATTGAGAAATTTAGAAACTTAAATTCCTACTTTTCCAAATTTCTCCATGGATTGAATAAGTAGCTTTGTTTTTCAAAATAAAAACTCCCAACACCAGAAGCCACCCTGATTATTCAACCCTATAAAATATTCATATTCTCTTGTTTCATTCTGGAAAAAAATGATCTGGAAATATTGCCTCAGATCCTGTAGCTAAGAATTGCAAATCATTTTCTTTTCAGAACATCACCTTGATTTTGAGTATGGATCAAGCAAATACAACATTTTCTAGAACTCAGAAACTTTTTTTTTTCCAAAATGGAAAAAAAACCTCATACTTCTCTTACACACAAATGAATTAAGACTTTGAATGCTTGGCTTCTGAATCATTTGAAAAATATTGGCAAAGAAGTTGTTGTAACAAGTCTCAGGCCTAGCCAACATTTTAGATGCTTTGGTTTTAAGACAGGGAAGATATATTCTGCTGGGAAGAAATCCAAAAACCTCTAAAAATGAATTATAAACTATCTGGAAGTGTCTCAGCTGTGGTAATTATGGTAGTAGCATTGTTGTCTGCCACCTTGGTGGCCGTTTTTCACCTAATGTTTATAAGAGAATCTTCCAGTAGGTTAACATGATCCTGAAATGCACTTCAAAAGGCCAAGTGTACAGAAAGGGTTTAAAAACAGTAACTGCTAGTGAGTGAGAAGGAATTTATTTCATGCTCGATGGAGTTTGGCTTTATAAATTTTTTAGCTGCTGGTTAAATCCACAGTAGAGGAATGATTCCATTGTGTGTCCTGAGTGGAAGAAAAAAGTAAAAATTAGTATCACAGTAACAGTAACTGAAGTGAATAACATTTCTCAACAAAAAACATGCAGACTAATTTATTAAGTCCTTGATGAAGTAGTGGGAAAACTGTGTCACGCCACATAGCTACAGTCCTCGTTCTACCCTTGATTTTTATGTGTAAAACCAAACATAGCTTCTTGGTACTGTCCTGATCCTAATGCTCCTTCTCACTCTCTGATTTCCTATCTCACCTCCTGCTCAATGGTCATGTGGTTCCCCTTTATTGAACTATTTCAGTAGTCTGCAATGAGTCAGCAACCTTAGGGACTTTAAAAAAAATTCTATTTACCAGTCTGGGCAAAAAGAGTGAAACCCCATCTAAAAAAAAAATAAAAATTCTGTTTAAAACATGCTTGCTCTAGTACACATTTCTAACCCCACAGCCCCACCGCCGCTTTTTTTTTTTTTTTTTTTTTTTTTCTGAGACAGAATCTCACTCTGTTGCCCAGGCTGGAGTGCAGTGGCGTGATCTCAGCTCACTGCAACCTCCGCTTCTCAACTTTAAGTGATTCTCCTGCCTCAGCCTCCCGAGTAGCTGGATTACAGGCATGTGCCACCATGCCCCACTAATTTTTTTTGTAATTTTAGTAGAGATGGAGTTTTACCATGGTGGCCAGGCTGGTCTCGAACTCCTGACCTCAAGTGATCCGCCCGCCTCGGCCTCCCGAAGTGCTGGGATTACAGGCGTGAGCCATTGCGCCCGGCCCCAACCTTCTTTCATCTTCTTTCATCTTGGAACAGATGTGGTTCTTTGCAACAAAAGGATAGTGATTAACTATGAAAAGGGAGTAAATATAATATGTAAGACATCATTTTTAGTGAATATTTTTTTCCAAATATTAGCTTATCTGAGAAGGAAGATTTAGTTTTAGTGAAAGACAACCCAAATATTTTTATGAAATTAATTATTTGAAGGTTTTACTTGCATAGGCATGCTAATGAAGTATATTTCTTCTAAATATACTTTCAATAAAAAAGCAATCTTTCTTTTTATTAAAAGTATATTTAGGGCCCGGCGCGGTGGCTCAAGCCTGTAATCCCAGCACTTTGGGAGGCCGAGACGAGTGGAGCACTTGAGGTCAGAAGATCAAGACCAGCCTGACCAACATGGTGAAACTCCGTCTCTATTAAAAATACAAAAATTAGCTGGGCGTGGTGGTGCGCATGTGTAATCCCAGCTACTCAGGAGGCTGAGGCAGGAGAATCGCTTGAACCCGGGAGGTGGAGGTTGCAGTGAGCCAAGATCGTGCCACTGCACTCCAGCCTGGGCGACAGAGACTATGTCTCAAAAAAAAAAAAAATGTATATATATATATATTTAGAACAGCCAGGTAAGAAACCTGTCTAGTGCAAAGAACTACCTGATGCTGATTACTATAACTGAGATATTATTCTCCAAAAACAGTTAAATTTATGTTCATGAGGTTTGAGCTGCTTTTTCTCAGTGGCTCAGGGCAAAGACTCCAGCATACACAGTGTGTGGTGCCTCCATGACTCCCTGGCCCCCTCCCCTCCTCAATAACACAAGACCCTGCAGTTACTCAGATTGGGAGGTAGTGGGGAGTTCTTTTGATGTCCTGCAACTGGTGGGGGTGAATAAGGAGCAAGTGGGAACATTCGTTAACTGGTGAAGTATTTGTTGTTAATAGAGAAATGCATTGTGAAGTCAGTTCTTGTAACCTTGGTTTCTTTTTCTTGCTTGACTAGTCTTTGTGAAGGGAATGGATAGAGTTGATTGTACTGTAAATCTAATTGCATGTATGTAATACAGAGCCAAAAAATGTCATTTTAGCTGTTTGGACAAAACGCTATAGTTTAAAAGCATATTTTATTTAAAATGATTAGCTGATAAGAGAAATTTGAATCAGAATACCTGAATATTATGGTCATAAAGGATGGAGGAAATTATTGTTTATCTTAGTACTAAATAGAATAAACGTCAGCCCCTGCTACAGGTAAGTACCACACATAAGAATGTATGTGTTACTGTAGGAGCTACATTATTACATAAAATATAACTGTCTAACTACTGGTTGATGAAAATAATAAATTGGGGAGCTGCATGATTAAACACAATGACTCATCTGGTTCCGCATAAAGCATTTTTTTTTCTTATTTTATATTAAAAACAAACGAAGTCCCTTTACAGGGATATGATAAAAATAAGCATCTTTAAGTTAAAAATGAAAATAAATATATTAAACATAGTATATGATGTAAGTTCATGCTATGTTTCAAAATTAAGAATAATGCTTTAGAGTACAAATATTAAATAACTATTTTATCTTGAGAGGGTAAGGACTTATTGACAGAATGGGGTCCTTCTATTTGACAGAATTACTAATAGGTAGTTCTGTTTTATGTAAAAAGTTTTTGAAAGACTACCTAATGTATTTTTTTAATAGATGCATGGTAAGGTTTTTAGTGTAGCAAGTGTTAGAGAAATAACCATTTTTGTTTGATAATTTAAAATTTAAAATATTTATAATGGAAAAGATCATTGAACGTATTAGGCAGTGCCTAAAAAATAACAGTGGAAGCCATGAATTCCTTCTGTGTTACTAAAATTACACTGTGCTATTTTAAATTTCACTGAAAAATAAACATTTCAGTAATGGTATTTCTATATGGTTTTTACAAAGAAAAGATTATATTCTGTGATCTTTTAAGATCAAGCTGTACTATGTTAGAGAAACGCCACTAAGCTGAGACCCTCGCAGTATGCTCTCAGCTCAGTGTCCATGCCTGGAGAATGTCTCTTCAACATCGCGTACACCATTGTTTCTAGATCTTTACAGAATCTTCACTGCTGCTATCCCCTTTTACCAAGATAAAGTTAAATCTCCAAAGAACCGAATGGAGGTACTTTTCTCACAGTCACCCAGAAATTGTTTCCTGAATAGTTTGGACCTGGTACTGATCTTGGCTGCTTAAAGATAAAATCAGCTGAGACAAAGGAACAGTACAAAGGCAAAGATCAATAATGACTTGAAAAGCATTTTGAAAACTGTATCTTTGTGTTCTAAAATTTTATTCAGCAAAGAAAACAGGAGTAAAGAAAGAGAAGAGAGAGACAAAAAAAATCCTAGATAATTATAGAAAAGACCTTGTAAATACTACCAGAGTCAACTGGACCAAAGTGAGGACAGAATAAATGCCCTTCTTTCAAGTGAAAGACGTTTGGATTGCATTGATAAATATATGCATTGGATCATTTGAAACTTCCCTTAAGGCCTGTTTCACAACATTTTATTGTAAACATTTTCAATCAGAAAAGTGGAAAGAATTGTACAGTGAACACCCATACTCTCGCCTTGGTTTTTTTTTGTTGTTGTTTTTGAGGCTCAGTCTCGCTCTATTGTCCAGGCTGGAGTGCAGTGGCACAATCTCCACAGCGGCTGAACTGATTTACACTCCCACCGACAGTATATAAGCATTCCCTTTTCTCCACAGCTTCTCCAGTATCTGTTGTTTTTTGACTTTTTAATAATAGACATTCTGACTAGTGTGAGATGGCATATCATTGGAAGCCAGCTTACTTTGTGGTGCATTTCGAAGTGAATTGGAGACATAAGTAGACTTTACTCCTAAACATTTCCGCATGTACATTGGTATTTATGATTCTTTTATTTATTTATTTATTTTTGAGGTAGAACGTGCACATACTAAGATACACGGATCTACCCAAATCTTACTTAGGTGTACTCATTCTATGATTTTTCACAATTGCATCTGCCTGTGAAACCCAAAGCTTTATCGAGATATGAACGTATTACCCTAGAAAGTTCCTCTGTCGTTTCATAGTCAATCCCCACCCCCTGCAACAATGGTTTGACTTTTCTCCGTAGATGAATTTTGCTTCTCCCAGAATTTCATATAGATGAAACCATGCTGCGTATACGGTGTTTGTGTAAGGATTCCTTCATTCAGCACATAGACTTTCAATCTCCTTTTGATTCACCTACCAAGTGGGATGGGGTAAGCTCATTCTTTGGATTTCAAGTGGCTCAGCTGATTTGGTAAATTTTCACTTTCAGGCCTGTTTCCTGCCATTCTCAATCTTGCCAGCAATGCTCACATCAGCACCAATGCCACCTGTGGCGAGAAGGGGCCGGAGATGTTCTGCAAACTTGTGGAGCATGTGCCAGGTCGGCCCGTCCGAAACCCACAGTGCCGGATCTGTGATGGCAACAGCGCAAACCCCAGAGGCAAGTGTCGCGCCTTTATTTCTGAAATTCCCATGGGAATGTACACTTTGTGAAATGAGGACTGAGACTTCTGTTAGGAAGCCATAAACATTGTGTTCACCTTCACTGCTCTTTGTTTCCACTAGCATTACGGTTTAGAACTTAAGAAATTTAAAGCAACAGCCGAGAGGAATTCATGTTTTTTATTTTCTTTCAACAGAACGCCATCCAATATCACATGCCATAGATGGCACCAATAACTGGTGGCAAAGTCCCAGCATTCAGAATGGGAGAGAATATCACTGGGTCACAATCACTCTGGACTTAAGACAGGTAGGTGAGCCCAGAACCATTGAAGAGTGTCTACAGGCTGCTGAGCTGTGGTCTTCTGATGACCTTTGGGAAAGTCTGGCTTCTTTCTGAACACATTTACATTCTAATCTCACTATTTCCACCAGGTGAAGGCAAGTGGTATACAGAAGGAGTCCCTGGTGCCATTTCTTGTCACTTTCATCATTCCCAGGTGTCTTCAGGGAGATGGGTGAAATTGCTTCCATATGGTTGATGTTCTTCGAAGCTGTGTCAACAGGGCACACTCATCCATCCAGGGTATCATGTCAGGCTGTTTGCTGGCTGCCAACAGATGCATGGGGAGGGAGAGGGGGAAAACACATGTATTTCCTAACTTTTAGCTTACTGTCTTGCTAATGTCATTGAGTAAGTTATTGTATAAGGATTATATAAGGCTAGAAGAAAAAAAGACAAAACGGTGTTAAACCTCTTGACTGTGTCTCCCCTGCCACATGTAGTCTGTCTGGGCCAGGTAAGCTGGAGTTGCCCAATAGTAACTTAAGCAGTGCCTTCAGCATGAGTGGGGAGAGGGAAGGTATGACTGGCTCCAGCCACACCTGCATCTCCTTACCTTGCTTCAAGTCCACATAGGAGGATGGAGAGAAATATGAGATGAGCCCCAGTTGCCCTGATGTTCCTGGGAAAGAAAAACAAAAGGAGTCTGAGTGGAAGGAATGAAAAAGAGAGATGGCAGGTGTTTTGGAGCTGTTGTCCTGGTTCTGTTTTGAGCTTTTCAGAAAAGCCATCGCATTAATTCTTATTTATTTCCATTCAGTTTCTCTTGTGTTAGAACTCATAAGTTTCATGTAAAATATGAGATCGGTTAAAAGACACAAGTAATTGTGATGTGCATTGTAGGATTTAAATAGGAATTATAGAGATTTAATGACAATCAGAATTCTTTGAATAAGTGATAGTTTTAAAATGTGCAGGAATTTTTTTTTATTTTTTATTTTTATTTTTTATTTTTTGAGACAAAGTCTCACTCTGTCGTCAGGCTGGAGTGCAGTGGCGCGATCTCGGCACACTGCAACTTCCGCCTCCCCGGTTCAAGCGATTCTCCTGCCTCAGCCTCCCGATTAGCTGGGACTACAGGCTCCTGTCGCCATGCCTGGTTAATTTTTTTGTGTTTTTAGTAGACAGGATTTCACTATGTTGGCCAGGATGGTCTCATCTCTTGACCTCGTGATCCGCCTGCCTTGGCCTCCCAAAGTGCTGGGATTACAGGAGTGAGCCACCAGACCTGGCCAAATGTGCAGGATTTTAAGAAGACAAGGTGATACTTCATATATTGATGTACAAGGAACTTGTGTTCTGTAATAATTACAGCAAATAAGGTAGCAAGATGTGCAGCTCAGGAGACATTTTCCAAGTTCAGGTTCACAGTATTATGAAAGTAAAATAACACTTTTAATAGCTTTCAGGTATAAGACATGAATTAATGTGACACTCCTTAATATTTTCAAATCCCCTTAAAGAAAAAGAGAAAAGAGCCAGGTGCGGTGGCTCACGCCTGTAATCCCGGCACTTTGGGAGGCCAAGGCGGGTGGATCACGAGGTCAGGAGATCGAGACCATCCTGGCTAACACGGTGAAACCCCGTCTTTACTAAAAATACAAAAAATTAGCTGGGCGTGGTGGCAGGCGCCTGTAGTCCCAGCTACTCGGGAGGCTGAGGCAGGAGAATGGCGTGAACCCAGGAGGCAGAGGTTGCAGTGAGCCGAGATCACACCACTGCACTCCAGCCTGGGCGACAGAGCGAGACTCTGTCTCAAAAAAAATAAAATAAAATAAAATAAAATAAAAAACAAAAAAAAATAAAAAGAGAAAAGAGCTTCTTTGAAAAGAGCTTCTTTGTTGTTGTGTTTTGTTTTTTGTTTTTTTTTTTTTTTTGAGACGGAGTTTCACTCTTATTACCCAGGCTGGAGTGCAGTGGCTGGATCTTGGCTCACTGCAACCTCTGCCTCCCGGGTTCACGCGATTCTCCTGCCTCAGCCTCCTGAGTAGCTGGGATTACAGGAGTGTGGTCTCGAACTTCTGATCTCAGGTGATCCACCGGCCTCGGCTTCCCAAAGTGCCGGGATTAGAGGCATGAGCACCACGTCCAGCCAAGAGCTTCTTTTTAACCCTGGCCTTTGTGTTTATCTCAGTGGTAAGAATGGTTCTCTGGAAGATTTCGGTTTTTCCCATCACCTTTCTGACATATTTTCCTTTTTCTAAAGGAAAAAGTAAAACTGTGTTCATTATTAAGAATGTGATATTATATGAGTTTGGCCAAATTAAGACCTGGACATTTTACATATAGATTTCAAACCTCTGTAAGTCTATCCTTTGTCTTGAAATTTGTCATGCTTGACTTCATCCTGAAGGGATGGACTAAGTTAGTCTGAGGAATTCCAGAAGGCAGTCTCCATTTTAGATGTTTAAGGCATTTTTAAAAAATAAGCATAGACAGCCAGGTGCAGTGGCTCATGCCTGTAATCCCAGCACTTTCGGAGGCTGAGGTGGGCGGATCACGAGGTCAGGAGATCGAGACCATCCTGGCTAACACAGTGAAATCCCGTCTCTACTAAAAAAGATACAAAAAAATGAGCCAGGCGTGGTGGTGGGCACCTGTAGTCCCAGCTACTCGGGAGGCTGAGGCAGGAGAATGGCGTGAACCCAGGAGGCGGAGCTTGCAGTGAGCCGAGACTGCACCACTGCACTCCAGCCTGGGCGACAGAGCGAGACTCCGTCTCAAAAAAAAAAAAAAAAAAAAGAAAAGAACAGAAAAAACCATAGACATATAGTTATAGGCTGCTTTAGGTAATTTTTAGTGTTTTAGGATATGCTTTTAAAATAAGATCACTTAAAATAATTAGTATTCAGAAATTTCTTTACCATTTACACAGTATAAAAATTCTGCTGTGCTTTGTTTTTTTTTAAACAAAGCACATTATGCTTATATCTGATCAAGCCTTTCTCAGATTTATTTATTTATTGAGCCTTTTTATTACAAACACTTTTGCATATGTAGAAAGCATATTACAGTGAATACACATATACCCACCCTTGAGATTTGGGGATTTTAAAACACTGGACCATGTTCGTTTCAGTGAATTGCAGTCATCACAACATTTTGCCAGTCCTTCAGTTTGTGTCTTCAAAAAATAAAGACGTTTGTTCTGATTAGATACCATACCATTTCAGCCTCCTTGGGCAAAATTAACAGTAATTTCTTAATAACTCTTTTCCCATCCACATTCAATTTTCCCAGTTTATCAACTAGTATCTTTTACTGCTTTTTTTTTTTTTTAACCAGGATCCAGTAAGGACCACTTGTTGCATTGGATTGCTATGCTTCTTAAATCTCTTCTCATCTGAATTGTCCTTCACTTAAAAAAAATGCTATTGAATATATGAATAGACCAGACCAGTTGTCCTGTAGAATATGCCACATTCTGGATTTGTCAGATTGTTTCTTCATGGTTTTATTTAACATATTCTTCTGTGCTCTCTATTTCCTATACACCAAATTCAGCTCTAGAGACCTGATTAGATTCCAGTTAAGTGTTTTTCAGAAGACCACATCACCAGCCATCCTCTCACCTCACATCAGGAGGCACCCAGGGCTGGTTGTCCCACTAGTAGTGGTGCTAAATTTGAATTCTCTCTGGGTGTTAAAAGTCAGGTTTCTTCCTTGTAATGTTACTTCCTTTTTTCTGTCCCATATCCCCATTGTTTCTTAGATCTCACTGACATTCAGATCTACAGCATGGCTACACCTTCTGATGACTTTTTTTTACCTTGCCAAAATCTGCATGTTTCCTTAGCCATTAGCCAACTACCAGTTGTTTTCTAGACTATATACTCCATGAGGGATGGGACCACAGCTGTCTTCTACTTTTCTTTCTCTGCCCTTTCCTTTCCTGGTTAGTATTTATAGAGAGATGTCTTATTCACTTCTGCACACCCAGACATTGGCACAGTTCAGGCACTGAGTCAATAATTGCATTATGGATCAGTACTTTTTTTTTTTTTTTAAATGGAGCCTCACTCTGTCGCCCAGGCTGGAGTGCATTGGCGTGATCTCGGCTCACTGCAACCTCTGCCTCCCAGGTTCAAGAGATTCTCCCACCCCATCCTCCCAAGTGGCTGGGACTACAGGCACACACCACTGTACCCAGCTATTTTTGTATTTTTAGTAGAGACGTGGTTTCATCATGTTGCCCAGGCTGGCCTTGAACTCCTGACCTCAAGTGATCTGCCTGCCTCGGCCTCCCAAAGTGCTGGAATTACCGGCGTAAGCCACCGCGCCCAGCCTAGTGCTTTCTTTCTTCCGTTATTTTTTTTTTGAGACGGAGTTTCGCTCTTGTTTCCCAGACTGGAGGGCAATGGCGCGATCTCGGCTCACTGCAACCTCCGCCTCCCAGGGTTCAAGCGATTCTCCTGCCTCAGCCTTCTGAGTAGCTGGGATTACAGGCATGCACCACCATGCCCGGCTAATTTTGTATTTTTAGTAGAGACAGGGTTTCTCCATGTTGGTCAGGCTGGCCTCGAACTCCCAACCTCAGGTGACCTGCCCACCTTGGCCTCCCAAAATGCCGGGATCACAGGTGTGAGCCACCGCGCCTGACCTTGTGCTTTTTTAAAAATTTTTTTTAACTTCCCCCCCCTCCTCTTTTCTTGTTCACAGTCTGAATAGAAAAGAACAAGGAACAAACCTTTTGGCTGCTTTGTTTCAGTACTATAAAAATGTAAAATCTAAAGTATAGATTTCTAAAGTAAAATTACAGGTAGACCTTAGTCTTATCAAGAGTTGTAAAACTTAATATTATAAATGTGTTTGTGTAACTTGGTAAATATCAGCTCTTGAGGTTTTATGACCAAATTAGCTGCATTCTGTGTTGGCAAATGCTAACATTGATCCTGTTCCTGATTCTCTAATTGATGACAGCTGTCAGAATTACAGCATTTTTTTTTTTTTTTTTTTTTTTTTTTTTTTTTTTTTGCCTCTATGTATTAGGTTTGGTTATCTGCAAGATAAACTAAAGAAAAGATTAAAAAGTAGTCTTATCAGAAGTCCATAAATGTTGTATGGTTTGCAATAAGGTTTAACTACTGTTTATTTTAGTAATGTATTACAAGAGGAATAATGAGATTTACTTCTTTGCTTTTTAAAAATAATGTCTACTATTCACTTCTTTCATTGATTCACAGTATTTTAGAAGATACACTGTCAGATATCTAGCAGTATCTTACTTTTAAAAAATTCATAGGAATTTCATGTGTGTGATATTTTTAAGAAAAGTAAAGCATAATAATCATCAACTTTAACAAATACAAAATTAACATATATGTTGTGGTCTCCATTAATAAAATGCTGCTCACCAAGTGGTTTAGGATCTCATATATCAATACTACCACTGAACAGTGATCTTTTTTGACAACTTAAAATTTAAGAGAAATTATTCTGAAAGAGCATGCACATTTCATGAATCTTGCATTTATAATTGTCCAAAATCCTATAGGTTCCACGAATTACAGGAAAATTTATTCCCTATGGTAGCATTTCTCAGTAGAAGAACATGAAGATTTCCTGTTTGAGAACCACTATTTTAAAAGTTAATACACTGTTGAGATGAAAAGATGTTCATCGTCATTATTCAATAGGGAAGTGAAAATCAAACCACAATAAGATACCCCTTCACACCCATTAGGATTGCTATATTGAAAGAGTTGGAAAATAATAAGTGTTGGTGAGGATGTGAAGAAAATGGAACCCTGTGCACTGTGGGTGGAAATGTAAAATGGCACAGTGTTATGAAAAACAGTGTGGTTGTTCTGGCCGGGCGTGGTGGCTCATGTCTGTAATCCCAGCACTTTGGGAGGCCGAGGAGGTCAGATCACGAGGTCAGGAGATTGAGACCATCTCGGCCAACATGGTGAAACCCTGTCTCTACTAAAATACAAAAAATTAGCCGGGCGTGGTGGCCAATGCCTATAATCCCAGCTACTTGGGAGGCTGAGGCAGGGGAATAGCTTGAACCCGGGAGGTGGAGGTTGCAGTGAGCTGAGATCACGCCACTGCACTCCAGCCTGGCGACAGAGCAAGACTCCTTCTCATAAACACACACACACACACACACACACACAACCAGTATGGTTGTTCCTCAGAAATAAACATAGAATTACAGCAATTCCACTACTAGGGAATGCCGTAAAGAATTTAAAGTAGGGACTCAAACAGATGCCAGTGTTCAGAGCAGCATTATTCACAGTAGCCAGGAGGTGGAAGCAACCCAGATGTCCATCAACCATCAACAGGTGAATGGATAGTCAAAACATGGTATGTGCATACAGTAGAATCTTAGCCTTAAAAAGGAATGAAATTTTGACACATACCACAGCATGTATGTACCCTGGAAACATTACGCTAAATGAAATAAGCCACACACAAAAGAAGAAATATTATATGAATCAATTTGGATGAAGTACCTGGAGAAGTCAGTTCATAGAGACAGAAAGTGGAGCGGGGTGGTTGCCAGGAGCTGGGAGGAGAGAGAATGGGGAGTTGTTGTTTAATGGGTGCACAGTTTAGGTTCGGAAGTTCTGGAGATAGATGGTAGTGATCATTGCACAACAGTGTGAATATACTTAATGCCACTGAATTCTACACTTAAACATGGCTAAAGTCGTGGTTTTTATGTTACGTATATTTTTCTACAACTTAAAAAAGTTAATACACTGTGAAATATTTGGTGTATTATGTCAGCCAGGGTCAGTCAGGAATATGGAAGCCACACCAGTCATTTAAAGGCACAAATTTAGTGTGAGGAATTGGTTTGACAGTGTGGGAGAGCTGGGAGAGGGAGCAGGAAGGTAACTTGGGGGTAGTAGTGGTGGAGGAGGCAGCAACGCAGGAGGGTGTGGTTATAGCACCTAGAGCCTGGGAAGAGAGTCTCCTATCTTTCAGAATGCTCTTCTGGGGGTCCTGGAAAGCTGGAGGCTGGAGTCAGCTGCTACAGCCCAAGGCAGAGGGCCGCTGCTGGGCAAGGCTGATAGGACCCGGAAGTAGACATGGGAGAAGTCCTGCCTCCCTCCAGCCCTCCAGCCTCCCACTAGTGTCGCCGTCAGGGAGCATCGATTTGCAGCGTCCCAGCCTCAGCATCCAAAGCTGGGCTGGCAGGTGCTTAGCAACCAGCGCAAACACTTCTTCTCAGTAGGTGGTCACTTGCACCAGTATACCAACAGAAACACAGAGACAGAGCAGCCCTCGACATCCTGGGGCAGGATTTTGTTATTATGGTGGTCAGCCACATCCTAAATATGCTCATATTAAGTTTTTTAGAATAACTTTGGAATGAAAATGCAAATTTTAGAATTCTCCTGGAGAAATCATGGACTGCTGTCTAATACATTACAAACTAGGTATTCTTGGTTCTCAGCCGAGAGACTGCATCAGGGCACCAGCTTGGTCCTGGGACCTTCAGGACAGGGATGGAGGAAATACAGAAGCAGTTCCATTTATGTATTAACTATTGGGTTTTGGTGGTGTGATGTGGTGGAGATGCATGAAGTGTGGTAGGGTGATATATACAAAGTGAAATGTGATAGCTTGAAGGATGTAGAGTACCTAACAAACTCCTCACATTTAATAAACATGAGTTTTCTTTCCCTCTGTCATATTTCTAATACACAAATTACTTTAGGTTCCCAAAGATCTTCAGATATCACCAAGGGAAATGTTAAACCAGGCCTTAATAGAATCTAATTACAGTTAGCTAACAGGATTAAGGAGTGCAGTTATGCAGATTTTGAGAAATTCATAAGTCAATAATTATTCTGTTTTTTCTGATTAGGAAATTAAGATGGAATCATCATAGAAAAATGGAAGATAAGATAAGTGTAAACAGGCAGAAACACATCATCTCTTCGCTCTGTAACAATCGCTAATTGATCCCTTGGGATATTTACTTTGTCATTTGCCTACAATTCTATGCATTTAATAATGCTACAACAATACTATCATGTATTACATACTTACTGTGCCAGACATTGTGCTATGCACTTGATCAGGATTATGTCATTGAATTCTCATAATCGCCTGTGACTTGGCTCCTGTTATTATCCCCTTTTGACAGATGACGAAACTGAGACTTAGAGAGTTTAAGAGGCTTGCTCAAGGGTAGGACTCACTGAAGCTTAAGAGCCTGAGCTCTGCATCATTGCACCACTCTGACCCTCCAGCTGAGACAGATTATGTGATATATAAATTTGTGTTCTAATGTTTTATGTAATTGTATAGCATGAACATTTCCCAGTATAACTGAAACTCATGATTAATAATTGTTAAAGCTGCATTAATAGTTTCTATATGGCTTACGCATCATTTGCCTAAGAATCCTCAGGCCTGACATTTTGGTGCTTTTTCTGTTATGGGTAATAACTTGAGCTTTCAGTGAAAAAAGGTTCATTTCGTATGTATACCAATGAAGTAATACAGTGAGTATCAATCATGTTTGAGGTTTATATGACAAATTTATGGTTAATTTTGTTTTGAGCATCTTTTGAAAGAGGAATGTTATTAACAGGTACATATATAGGAATTTATAGATATGGGTTATAGCATTTTTTTCCTCGTCCATGTTATTTCATCTGCTTTTCCCAGCAGTTCTGGAATGCGAGTGATCGCCTCTTTGCAGGTACAAAAATCACGGCACAGAGTAAGCAGGTCACAGGCTTGCCCAGAGTCTACGGCTGCAGGTGCTCAAGCTAGGCCTGGAAACCAGGACCTCTGGTTCCCTCTACACCATGCCACGCTGTCTCCTTGTCTTTGGTCTCCAATTATTGTTTTCCTTTGTTCTGACTTTATGGGGAGACTGGCAAGAGCTCTTGCAATTCCCTCTTGATGTTGGGAGTGTTCAGATTCTAGCCCTTTCCCTCTTGTTCTGTTTGCCTGCTCAGTAGGGTCCTCTCCCCTATGAATCCAGCAGGGTATTGACACTTCCTTCATGCTTTTGCAGTGGCTGATAGAATTGGGTGCTACCTAACGTGTTTTTTTTTTTTTTTTTGATCAAGAAGCAGGAAAATAAATCAGTTATCTCCTATTTTCCTTAAAAAACTTTTAAAGCCGGAGAACATTTCAGTGGGAGTGAGGGTCAGATTTGTGAGTAAAAATGTATAATAGTCTTTTAGAAGATAAGATCTGTTTTGTAAAAAAGGGAAGTTCCCTATGGCATTGAAAATAAAGCTGCCTTTTGGAGCAGTGCTTTATTTTATGTGTAGGTTTAATTAGGAAGTAGCACTTTGTTGTGGGAACATAATCACAGAGGAGCCTTTGTTTTATGCAAACTTTTAGACAAGAGCTGCTTGTGTGCTGGGTTTTGTAAAACCTCATTAATTCAGATGTCAGTTGTTTTTTCCCCCAAATTTCTGAAAAATTGACCAGTATTGAGTGAGGTTTATTATTATATCATTCAAATATAAAGTATTTATTAAGCACATCGACAAGGTCAACAAGAAAATAGGGAAATTTCACATTCTTAAGATAAAATCTTTAAAGATTTTTATTGCAAGAATTGCATCTAAATTGGAGCGTCTCATTACAAGTGAATTTTGGCTGTTCCTGGAAAGAGATTAGGCAGAAACCCTTCCTAGAAGCACTCAGATAGAAATTACTTTTACTGTATGCTTTTTGTACTCTAATGATTCTATTCCAGTTTTCTATTACTTCATACTGGCCTCCACCAATTTCAAATATTAAGGTTTCTTGAATTTGCTTGGTAAAATAAATAGATTGGAAGAAATCTTAAGCTCATCATTATGATTTGGAAGTAAGCCACCCTAAATTCCTGTCCTTCAGACATTTTTATCTGTGTTGTCATGTTCTCTGTGAAGCTACTAGACTCAGAAATAGGTCTTTCTTTTGTTTTCACATTTTCATTATCTCGTTTTATTTTCTCATGCATAGCTTCTCTGCTGGTTATCTATTGTGTAAGAAATCACTGTGAAACTTTATGGCTTAAAACAGCAACATTCATTTTATACCTTTCCTGATTTCAGTGGGGTCAGGATTTAGGAAAGGCCTGAGTGGGTATGTCTAAGGCTGCAGACCATGGGGGGCTAGACTTGGAGCAGCTTAGGGGAGAGGTTCTCTGGGGCAGCTGGAGGAGGGGGTTTGGGGCAGCTGGGGAAGAGGGTGCCAGACCAGCTGGGAGAAGGTTCCTGGGGCAGCTGGAGGCTATGTTCATGAGAGTTCAGGGCGTCTCCGTGTGGTCTTTCCACATGGGTGCCTGAGCTTCCTCACAGCATGGCGACTTTAAGGCAGCTTGCTTATAGGGCAGCTTGGGGCAGGAGGCAGAAGTTGTGTCCCCTCTTAGACCTGGTCTCCAGTCACACAGTGCCAGTTTCCCTGTGCTGTATGAGCCACCCAGTCACTCAGGTTGGCAGAGATTCAACTTGGGAAAGATAGACCAGCCTCACCCGTCAACCGGAGGAGGGGTGAAGAATTTGAGGCCTGTTTTAAAACTGCTACTGCATCAGCCTTCTGAAAGGGTCTTTCTCTAGGAGGCTTTAATCTTTGCAGCCTTGCATATCTTATCTTGTAGGGGCCGCACCCCTGTCTTTAGGTGAGGTGAAGAGCTTATAGGAACCAAACAGGAATGCACATACTGTTCTTTTAACGATAAGTGAGCTGAATAAGTGAAAACAATGGAGGCTAGGCTTTAGGAACAAGATGGAGTTTTTGTTTCTTGATACGATTTATATTTAAGCTTTCTCGCTTACATATTATCGGTGGGGATTGCCAAACAGTCCAGGATAACCATTTTGCCATTTGGCAGAGCTCAGTTCTCTTTAGATTTTGAGCTGCCAAGGTTTGGCTGCACTATTTCAGTGTTTCTACCCAGCAGGGCTTCCTGCATTTGGCCTGGGAGGATTCAGGGAAATCCGTGAAGACAGTTTTGCAGGATTGGATCACAAAATGCTTTTCATATCCCCAACTGTTTTGGCATCAAAGTAAAGATTTTTGTATATTTATGGGAAAAAAGGGAAGTCCGTTCTGAAATTATTTCTTCCATTATATTGAAGCTGAAAAAAAGGGGTAAGTTTTAATTTCTCAAGAGATATTTCTTTGAAAAATATAGTGCAGTTTGGTATCCATTCTAGCTTTTTTTTTTTCTTTTTTATGTATTGACTTAACTTCTACTCAGATTGTAGTATTTCCATCTTTAAAAACAAAGCTGTAACAACGTTTTTAAAACATGGCTTATAAAAACCTCAGCTAGGTCTCAGAATATCTCTTGTGTTTTTAATGTCTTCAGTGGACCTTTTCTCTACACAGAACTTCCTTTATTTTGATGTACTAGTAACAGATAATAGCAGAAAGTTTTTAAACTATAGAAAAATATAAGAAAAAAGTTATTTAAAAAATCCCCTGTGATTCTTACAATCAGGGGTGACCTTTTGCTCCATTGCATCATATCTAAGAACACTGAATATATTTAAGAAATCAGGGAATCTCTGTCTTGTGCATACTGGGATCTCAGGATTCATCGATGAACAAGACAACGATCGGATTCACATTAAGCCCTTAGTGCAAAGAAAGTGGACAACACATGGGCGGTTCCTTCAGTATGTTGGTTATTAGCAGTGATGAGCAGGCTCGCTTTCATTGCATCTTTAAAGGCAGGCCCCAGCTCTCAAGGGGCTTCTGGTCTGGTGGGGAAAAATAGGCTTCTGCTGAGTGGTGTAGAGTGTGCAGGGACCGGGGGTGCACAGAGAACACTTCAGAAGGACCACTTCGTGGCTCAGAGAAACAATGCAGGCCGGGCGCGGTGGCTCACGCCTGTAATCCCAGCACTTTGGGAAGCCGAGGCAGGTGGATTACCTGAGGTCAGGAGATCAAGACCAGCCTGACCAACATGGACAAACTCTGTCTCTACTAAAAATACAAAATTAGCCAGGCATGGTGGTGCATGCCTGTAATGCCACCTACTCAGGAGGCTGAGCCAGGAGAATCGCTTGAACCCAGGGGGCAGAGTTTGCAGTGAGCCAAGATCGTGCCATTGCACTCCAGCCGGGGCAACAAGAGCAAAACGCCGTCTCAAAAAAAAAAAAATGCGAAAAGGACCCACCGGAGGAAGGGAGGCAGGAATACAGAAGGAAGAAGCAGCAGGGAAGAGCAGGGTGGGAAAGGCCTGGAAATTAGAAAGCCTGGCATGTCTGTGGAGCTGACATAGTACATTCAGTCCTAGAATAAACATTTCCTCTCGTTTTTCTTTTCTATTTATTGGGACATAATTGACATATAGTGAAATGCACAAATCTCGAGTGTATAGTTGGGTGAGTTTTGATAAATACAGACACTTGTATAAGCCATTCCCTTGGTATAGAACGTTTGCGTCACCCCAAAAGGCTCCCCCACCCCCTTCCCAGCCAATTCCCCACTTGCTCTCCTCCCTCCCAGCAGCCAGAGGAACCGCTGTCCTGAATTTTTTTTTTTTTTCACTTTGGAAGAGTTTTGCCTGTGAGATGACTTCTTATTAATGGAATCACAGTGCGTCCTTTTTTGTGTCTGGCTTCTTTCTGTGAGCATGAGGTTTGTCAGATTCACATGCCATTGCTTGTATGAGTGGCTTGTTCCATTCATTTCTGTGTAGTAATTTCACTTTATGGATATAGCAACATTTATTTATCCACTGTCTTGCTGGGTATTTCCAGTTTTTGTCTATTGTAAAAATGCTGCTGAAAGCAAAGCAATCCTGGGCTCTTCTCCCAGGAGTCACTGTCCCGTGCTGCCTGCTGTCCAATATTTGAAACCCATTGTTTATATCCTGTGTCCAGAGTTCTAGCTGTTCACTGGAGGAGAGCCAGGTGCTACCAATTTCTTCTTCCTAGCGACCAGCAAAATGCCTGTAATAATTTTTAATGGAAGAATGATATTTTATCATTTGGCTACACAATAATTCATTTAACCTGTTCCCATTGGGAGACACTTAAGGTGTTTCCAATTTGGGGCTATTCTAAGTTATGCTGCAACAAACATTTGAATATTTTATGGCTGTTACGGTAGTTTATTTTTTAGTGTCGATTCCAAAAAATTAGATTATTTGGTTAAATGCTTAAATTTTTTAAAATGTGATCTTTATTGCCTTATTTTTTTCAAAAACATTGCTCAATTTATATGCTCAGTAACAGTGATAAAGTGTGTTTCACAATTCCTTGGTAGTATAGAGATCAGAATTTTCTTTTCTTTTCTTTTTTGTCCTATGCTAATTGAATAGCAGAGAATTTATTTGTTTATAATGAGTTGTCACATTATGTCACTGTACTGGACATATCTTTGGGAGGACTAAGCTAAATTCAGATGCTTAAACAATGTTTGGTCTGATTTATTATCTTCACATGTGTAAATTTTATGATTATTAATCTATTGAGGCAGTCAAATTGCTATAACACGGTGGTGACATTTTTAGATATTGAATATCAATATTAGAGGCTGGACAGACTTTTCAAGTCATATTCTAACCAAAGAGAAAGAACCGATTTGACTCTAAGTCTCATTATTTTGAGAAGTTCCAGTTGTCACAAGAATAACTATGGAACATTGGAATATTGATTAAAAATCTGATACCTTACCTCTGTATTGTGCATTTTATAAAGTGCTTTCCTGTTCATTATTTCATCTTATGCTTACATGAAAAATCTGAAAAATGTGTCGATTTGTATCCACGTCATTCACGAATATGCACTGGGATGTAGAGAATACATCCTCTGGATTTGTCGTTTTAAGCCTAAATCATGGAAAACATTCAATGTAGTTTTAAAGTTCTCTAGGCTATAGGAAATTAAAAATATATTACTCACCTATCACTACCTTTTTCCAGGGGAATATGGGTGATTGTGGAATTCTGACTCTGAAAGCATTGGTTTTGGTGAGATGACCAGGCTGCCAAAGTGCACTGAAGGTAGAGACTTCTTAGTGACTGGGACAGCTGCCTGTTGATGCCGTGCACCTCCTCAGACCTGTGGTCTCTTTGCAATTTGTATGCAGGCACTTAGAAAGCACTGACTCGCTCTGGCCTGACTGTTTCGGAAATGAAGCTAGGAAAACTGTGAGGTCAAATTTAAACCTGCAAATAATTAGCTGGATGGCATAGCTGTACAAACTGAGATAGCCCGGGAAATTTGGTAAAGCTTTAAAACTATTATACTTATTCGCTTCTGTTCAGCCAACTGGGCTGATTTTTGAGACAGAGTCTCACTCTGTCACCCAAGCTGGAGTGCAACGGTGCGATCTCAGCTCACTGCAATCTCTGCCTCCTCCGTTCCAGCCATTCTTGTGCTTCGGCATCCCGAGTAGCTGGGACTACAGGTGCGTGCCACCACACCTGGCTAATTTTTGAATTTTTAGTAGAGATGAGGTTTTGCCATGCTGCCCAGGCTGGTCTCGAACTCCTGGCCTCAAGTGATAAGTGATTCACCTACCTTGGCCTCCCAAAGTGCTGGGATTACAGGTGTGAGCCACCATACCTGGCCAACATAAGCTTTCTTATCAGTTGAGAATTACTAGAATATGTGTAATTGTTTTCTTGTTTTAAAAAATAATAGACTATTTTTTAGAGAAGTTTTAGGTTTACAGAAAAATTGAATGTAAAGTACAGAGAATTCCCCCACACCCCTCTGTACAATAGTTTTTGGATCAAATTTTGGCTAGTCGTTGTTTTTTTTTTTTTTTTTTTTTGAGATAGAGTCTCACTCTGTCACCCAGGCTGGAGTGCAGTGGCGCAATCTCAGCTCACTGCAACCTCCGCCTCTCGAGTTCAAGTGATTCTCCTGCCTCAGCCTCCTGAGTAGCTGGGACTACAGGCACGTGCCACTATGCCTGGCTAATTTTTTGTATTTTTAGTAGAGACGAGGATTCACCCTGTTAGCCAGGATGGTCTTGATCTCCTGACCTTGTGATCCACCTGCCCCCCTCCCAAAGTGCTGGGATTACAGGCGTGAGCCACTGCGCCCGGCCTTGGCTATTCTTAATCACCCTTTTAAGAGCAAGTGACTGATCCAGTGCAGTTCAACAGTTTCTAAGACCTTTTCCTCCGTAGTATTTACAAGACGATCATGAGAATTGTCAATCATATAATTTAAGAATTTTTGCTTTTCCTACTATTTAATGGTATGTAATCAGAAGATATTTATCTGTGTTCTTCATATGAAGGAAGCACAAAAAAATGTCAGTTAAATAACCACTTAGTAGGTCTCTAGTGGGATGAACAATATTTAGAATCATTTACAACTTTATACCAGTCTTGTATCAGTCTTATAGACTGAGCCAGGCAAGAAATGGGGCTGCCCGAACTTGCTGTTCAGGAAATGCCACCAAGGAGAAAGCATTGTGTGAACAATGGGTCTTTCACTGTAAAGTCCTGAGTTTGGGGCTCTGGTTTTGTATTTTGTGAAGTATCATCATGCCTTGCCAGAGCTCAGTAAGAATGTGACCGAAATCAGGTCATGAGAAAGATAAGATTTCAAACATCCCCTCGGAGCTGTTTGCTTGACCTCCACTGACTTAATTGGTTTCTATGGAGTTGGCCCCTGCCTAGAAATACTACATTCCTACTCATTTTCAACTTAGACAGCTCAGTCTTTCACAAGGTTGAATCTTCATACCATTCACTTTTCATCTCTTTTTTTTTGGAGGGGGTGTTATTATAAAATATGCATATCATAAAATTTACCATTGTAACCTTTTTTTGTATTAAAAATGGCATATTCTCTATTTTGCATACTTTAATTTCAGAACAAAATAAACAAAAAAAAATCCACAATACACAACATCCAATCCTGCTGTCAGAGTAGGGAGGGAATGGGGGCTTGACACCCTTGTTTCCTGCCTTCAATACAAAGACAGGAGAGAAAAAAACACTAGACATCAGCAGGGGGAGCCAGGTGGGACAGGGGCACTTGAGGCTGCAGTGGGAGCCATTTTAACCATTTTTAAGTGTACAGTACAGTGGCATTAAGTATATTGTGCAACCGTCACCACCATCCATCCCCAGAACTTTTTCATCTTCCCAAACAGAAACTCTGTACCCCTTAAACACCAACTCCACGTTCCTCTCTTCCCCCAGCCCTGGGTAGCCTCCATTCAGCTTTTGTCTATGAATTTGATTACTCTGGGTAATCAAGCTTACATAAGTGGAATCATATTCTATTTGTCCTTTTGTCTGGCTTATTTCACTTAGCGTACATAATGTCCTCAAGGCTTATCTATGTTGTAGCATGTATTACAATTTCCTTCCTTTTAAAGACTGAATAATATTCCATTGTATGCATAGACCATATTTTGTTTAGCCATTCATCCATCAACGGGTACCTGGGCTGTTTCCACCTTTTAGCTATTGTGAATAATGCTGCTGTGAACATTGGTGTACATGTGTATTCGAGTCCCTGCTTTCTCTTCTTCTGGATATATACCTGGAAGAGGAATTTCTGCATCATGTTGTAATTCTATGTTTAATTTTTTGAGGGACCACCATACTGTTTTCCATAGTACCTGCACCATTTTACATTCCCACTGCATCTTTTAAAAAAATAAACAAAAGCCTTCCTATATATTATGTATCCTACATATTTGGATATTCTCTTTTAAAAAATAAGCTTTAAATATTATGATTTGTCAGTTAGATACTCAGTGAAGTTAGATGTGTCTAAAGAAAAAGGAGAATCTTCAAGTAGAATATAGACCAAGGATCCATATAAAAAGTGAAATTTTACACACTCACAAGAAACAATACTTTCTCATCTCTCTAGTGCTAAAACTATCAACGATTCAGCTAGATTTAGGGCCCAAAGGAAAGAAAACACATAATTATTGTTTCTGGGTGTTGTAAATGTATAACTAATAGGTTAATGTTTAATGGAGTTCGTTAAGTACAGATTTGCACAGCTTTTCTGGGCAGTATCACCTGTTGGATTTTAGAGGCTTAATGATTAAGGGCCCCTTTTACTGTCACTGAGTGTGATGCTCGTGTGTTTTCTCATAATAAGGCATGCGAAGAAGGGATGCAAGCTGTAAGCTCTTCACCATCGCTCCATCAACTGGAGCAAAAACAGGTCAATGTGAGGACTAGGAGAAGAGGTGAAAAGAAGTTGAATTTTTAGCCAGATATTCTCTGGGACTGAGGCAAGAGCGGGGAAGTGTGGGCTTTGGGGCCATGTAGGAGAGAACTCTGCACTCTTCCTACAGTGGAGAGAGGGATCTGATCGAGCTGGAAGACACTGCTTGGCCTCTTTGTGTTTTCCTTCTCACTCATGTTTTGGCCTTTTAGAAAACCCTGTAAGACCCGTTGCTTTTATCTCTGCTCTGGTCTCTTGGTGTTTACAAAGTCAGCACCACCATCTCTCATGATTTCCAGGCACCAACATCCAATCCTGTGACCTTCAGCTCCGGTGACCCTGTAGCTCCTTGGTTTCAGTCCCTGGGATGGTCTAAGCGTTTTAACCACGGTGCACAAACATCTGCGTGATGGCCGACAGCCCTGGCCAGGCGCCCGCCGGCTCTCTCCTGCCATCTCTGCACTCCTTCCTCTGTGCTCTGCCCTCAGAGTTCCCCTCAGTGTCTTTCCTCACCTTTGCTCCAGTTACCTGGACATCTCTCATCTGGTTTCAGAGATACCTTCTCTTACCTTCAGGGAAGACTTCCCTGACTATCTGCCTTCTCCAGAGTTAATGGGCCTTCCCCCAACACCCAGACACTCTCACAGCCTCCACCCTTCTCCCTGGTGACTTGGTCAGCCTCTGGCTTTCCCACCAGGGCATTGGGTCACATAGACCTTCCATCCACTGCCATATTTGTGGCACCTGGCTTAGTCCCTGTGACAAAGCAGATGCTCAGTTAATGATGACTGGACGAAGCTTCAGTGAAAAATTGTTAGTGGGCGTCCCTTGTCCCCAGTGTCCTGTGTCCATGTGGAGTGTTCCTTTGCTCACCCCTCCCCCACCTGTCCTCAAGGGAGGAGCAGTCATTGCCTAACTCGGGGACAGCTGACTCTCTCCCCCAGGGCACAGTGTGCTCTTCTTTTCCCGTGCAGGCTGTTCTCAGACGCACAGGTACTGGCCCACAGGACAGAGCTTCCAGGGTGGGTCCACAAGCACCCACTCAGGCTGTGATGCAGGAGGGAGTGTGTCGAGCAGGCCTCCACCGCGCCCATCTACATCATATCCTCCAGTTTTGCTTTTTTATGGAATATTGCAGACTGCTTTTTCCAATCTCCATGACAGATTTGTGAGCCTACTTCCACATCAGAAGAGGAAGGAAGGGATGCCATTCATTGCCACCACTGTCCCAACATGAACAAATGGGGAACTGCATTTTGGAGAAAGCCTAGTGTGATTTCAAAGGCTTAGATGGTCCTAGGTGAAAACTTGATAGTTAACGGCCAAGGGAATCGTTAGGAGTTGGGGAATAGAAAAGGTGCTTTTTGGATTTCTTAGGTCTGAGAATGGCCTGTAACTGCATTTCACAAGTGGGTTTATATCATTCTAGGGGCACTTGGCTGTCATGTGGATCTTACAAGGTGGGGAAAAGAAATGAAGATCCTCACAAAGAGCATTTGGTGACATGCCTGGCTGTGGTTTTGAGGCTGTTCCAGCTAATTTTCCACAAATTTAGCAAAATCACCAAGAACACCTCGTCAACTTGAGCAACAGGAACAATTATAGGGAGAAATACATCGAGACTAGGAAGGGAAGACAACCTTTTACTTGTCTGTTCTGTTTCTTAGATAAAGCAGTTCAACACTTTTTGTGGGGGATGAGGGACAGGGTCTTGCTCTGTCATCCAGGCTGGAGTGCAGTGGCACCATCACGGCTCACTGCAGCCTCGACCTCCCAGGCTCAAGTGATCCTCCCACTTCAGCCTCTCCATGGCTGGGACCAAAGGCATGCACCACCATGCCTGCATGATTTTTTTTGTAGTTTTTGCAGAGATGAGGTTTTGCCGTGTTGCCCAGGCTGGTCTCAAATTTCTGGGCTCAAGCAGTCTGCCCACCTTGGCCTCCCAAAGTGCTGGGATTACAGGCATGAGCCACCACCCCCAGCCTGCACACTTTTTAAAACAACAATACTATTAGTCACCCTCAAATGGAAATGGTGACACCTGGACCGTGGGTCAGCTTGCGGGGTGGGCTCCTTTTGAAATCGCTTTTCTAATTGATGGAAGTCAGAACTGCTTCTGACAGGTGTTTGAAGTATTTCTTTCCTATCTTCAGATTACCGATCATGGGTTACTATTTACGTTTTAAATGGGCTCGTATCTCTGTGCCCTCTATTTGTCAGCAATCATCTCTCTTACTTTGGCTTTTCTTCAATGTCCACTTTAAGTATCTCAGCATGGTTCTGAAGGGAGCATTCCTAGATTGTCTGAGACATGAATTTTAAGAATTTTAAGGAAAGAAATCTGCTTGATCTAAATTTATCACTATTGGCAGCCTGTCCCTCCTCCCCTAATCAAAACAAAAAGCAAAAAGAAAAGGAGCAAAAAAGAGAAAAGTTACTGGACAAGGACATATTTTGTTTTGTTTTAATTTTGGGACATGTTTATTTTGCACATCTAATGGTAGCACCAAATTTAAAGAGAAACAAATCACGTTTTATTCTGAAATGTTCTTCTCGTTTATGAAGCTGTTTCTTTTTGTCTGTTGAGTATGCTGCTCCTAAAATGAGATAACAGTTAAAACTGCCAACTGAAATATAATATAAATGACATTTCAAGTAATTGCTCTGAGAAATGTATTTAAAATGTGTATTGCAGACATCCTTCCTTCCCTCTCAGCTCCCTAGCATCTCAGTTTTTGCTAGTTTTTGTTGCCACTTCACGTGCTGATAATTGACTAAGTGCTTTCGTGATTGACACGCTATAAAACTGGAAGTGAGCCATATCTGCATTGGTAATTAGCCTCCTATTAAATCACTGCTTCTTTATTCATGAGTAGTAAGTGTTAATTCAAATGGTCATTTTACATTTCATTCTCTAATAATTTCATGAGACATAAATCTCACAGAGCACAAAATCGCCACTTTCACAGGGATAACTCAGCAATATTATTTATCAAATGCACTTAACTGTTCATCTAAATCTCTTTTGTCTGGGAAAAGTTTATTTCCTTCATGCAAGAGAGAAAACATGCCTTCATTCACTGTTCAGTTACCACCGTGGAGGCAGGTAGGTTCTTTTATGGAGAATTTTCAGACCGGAGTCATGCCTGGTATTGAGCCCCATAGATTTCCTGAGAGCCTGCGGAGAACAGCTGCACTTTCTGTGGAGAGGAGAGGCTTCACTTCTGTCTGCACATGGGAAGTTGACCTCTGATGCTGGAAAATTAGGTTATCTGTATTTTTTAGACATCTGTGCCTGAGATGGATTTAATATATTTAAGTTAAGATTGAGGCCCACATGAACATTCCTGTCTGGATTCCTTTTCAGAAAGTGGCGTTTGATGTGTGCCTACTTTATTTATGTGACACTGTTTATGTGCATTCCAGTGATCATTAACAAAGGCTACTTGGTGGAAAATCGTGATGAAAGTGGATTTAAAAATGGCTGTATCAGCTGCAGGTTTAGCAAGACTACATTGACTCTGAGTCTAGTGAGAACCCCTGCATCATCAATTTGTGTTCAGCCAACCTTAAATCCAGAGAAAAGGCAGTTTAGTCAACCATGCAAAAAAAGGGCAAAAGAAATATTGTGGACTTTATTGGGACAAGGGTTTAATATTCTATATACTGGCCAGGCACAGTGGCTCATGCCTGTAATCCCAGCACTTTGGGAGGCCGAGGCAGGTGGATCACCTGAGGTTAGGAGTTCGAGACCATCCTGGCCAATGTGGTGAAACCTCGTCTCTACTAAAAATACAAAAATTAGTTGGGCATGGTGGCAGGTGCCTGTAATCCCAGCTACTTGGGAGGCTGAGGCAGGAGAATCGCTTGAACCCAGGAGGCAGAGGTTGCAGTGAGTCGAGATTGTGCCATTGCACTCCAGCCTGGGCAACAAGAGAGAAACTTTGTCTCAAAAAGAAAAAAAAAATCTACATACTAACAGACAGTCCTTCAGTTTTTCTACATTACATATAAGACCAATTTGTCAACACATGATTGGTGAATTCGGCCTGTATTAATCAGGTGAGACTGCTGTAACAAGTAGCACCAACTGGACAGCTTAAGCAAGAGACATTAATGTCCTCACAGTTCTGGAGGCTGAAGTCTAAGGTCAAGGTGTCAGCAGAGTCGGTTTCTTCTGGCTCATAGTGGCTTCTTCTCCCTGAGTCCTCACATGGTCTTCCCTCTGTACTGTCTGTGTCCTAATCTGCTTTTCTTATGACACCAGAAATATTCAAATAGGGCCCACTACAATGCCCTCATTTAACTTAATCACCTCTTTAAAGAGCCTATCGCCAGATACAGCCATATTCTGAGCTACTGGAAGTTAGAACTTCAATGTATGACTTTTGCGGGAAACAGTTCAGCCCATAACAGGGCAAAGTGAAGACAAATTGTATTTAGGTTCTTCATAGCACCCTTTGCCTGTTTATCAGACTTACCACTCTCAGGACCCCTAGTTTGTTTCCTGGTCTCCAGTTTGGGGACCTTGAGGACTATTGAGAGATTGTGGGAACAATGGCCCAGCATCCTAAGGAAGTCTTTGATCAAGATAAAAGTTAAGTAACTCCTCCCTTGAGAGCTTGTCCTGAAGTTTTTCACTACGGCTGTTCTTCCATTTAGTATCATTTTCTTATATATGACTAAGCTCTCAGAATAAAAGCTGGCAAAAGGTTGGTAAAATACTGGAACATGGTATTGAAATAATTATGGGCTGGGCCAGGCGCGGAGGCTCATGCCTGTAATCCTAGCACTTTGGGAGGCTGAGACGGGTGGATCACAAGGTCAGGAGTTCAAGACCAGCCTAGCCAAGTTGGTGAAACCCTGTCTCTACTAAAAAAAAAAAATTAAAAAAAATTGGCCGGACGTGGTGGCAAGTGCCTATAATCCCAGCTACTCGGGAGGCTGAGGCAGGAGAACCGCTTGAGCCCAGGAGGTGGAGGTTGCAGTGAGCGGAGATCGCACCACTGCACTCCAACCTGGGCAACAGAGTGAGACTCTATCTCAAAAAAAAAAAAAAGAAAGAAAGAAAGAATTTTGGGCTGGATGCGGTGGTTCACATCTGTAATCACGGCAGTTTGGGAGGCCAAGGCGGGTGGATCACTTGAGCCCAAGAGTTCAAGACCAGCCTGGGCAATATAGTGAGACCCCGTGACTATGAAGAAAATTGAAAAAAATCAGCCAGGCATGGTGTGGCTTGTCTGTGGTTCCAGAGATTTGGGAGGCTGAGGTAGGAGAATCTCTTGAGCCCAGGAGGTCAAGGCTGTAGTGAGCTGTGACCACGCCATTGCACTCCAGCCTGGGTGATAGAGTGAGATCCTATCTCAAAAAAAAAAAAAAAAAAAAAGAAAAGAAAAGAAAAGAAAGAAAGAAATGACACTGGTTAAAGTGAAAGGGTGGAAAAACTGGATTAGGGCTTATCCGTTGTCTCAGCCTGGGATTTCTTTCCTTTTCTTTGCAATATATAGAAGTAGTGCAGCATAGTGCTTAAGAGTACAAACTGCCTGGGTTCAATCCCTGCTGTATACAGTTTAGCACCTGTGAGATCCTGGGAAGATTACCTAACCTTTCTGTGCCCCAATTTCCTCATCTGTAATGGGGGGAAATGACAGTACTTACTTTGTAAGAAGAATGTTGTTGTAAGAATTCAGAGTTGTTGGGGCATGGTGCCTCATGTCTTTAATCCCAGCAGTTTGAGAGGCATGGATCATTTGAGGTCAGGAGTTTCAGACCAGCCTGGCCAATATGGTAAAACCTCATCTCTACTAAAAATACAAAAATTAGCTGGACATGGTGGCGTGCACCAGTAATCCCAGCTACTCCGGAGGCTGAGGCAGGAGAATCACTTGAACCCAAGAGGCGGAGGTTGCAGTGAGCCAAGATCATGCCACTGCACTCCAGTCTGGGAGACAGAGCGAGACACTGTCTCAAAAAAAAAAAAAAATTCAAAGCGTTAACAATCCTAATGAAGCACGTGGTATTGGTACTGGCCACAGTAAGTGCTTCGTGGCATTAGCATTCATTAATCTTTGTTTCTTGCACACTCTCCATCGTGTTCCCCCACCTAACAGAATAACTGGAAGAGCTGCCACTATGCTTAACATATGAACCCGGTCTCCAGGTGAATGTAGGAATCTTTTTGTTTGTTTGTTTCTTGGCATTACAAAAATGAAAGTTCAGTGACCCTAGGTGTGTGTGGACATTTGGGGGCAGGCAGCACGCAGGGTGGCTGAAGGGCTCTGGAGTTGACACCACCTGGTTTCTTTTGGGACCTGCAACTCAGTAGTTTGTTTCTTGACCTCTCTCTTCATCAGTTTCCAAATGTGTAAAATGGGCACAAAAACAATAATGGGGTTGTTTGGGATTAAATGTGATGATATATGTATAAAGCTCTTAACACGCACGTGGTAAACTTGTTAGTTCTTTCCATATTCAAGTGTGAAACTGGAAGACAAAGTAATTACATTCTGTTTCAGATGTCTTTGTAAATGACCTTGCCTTCTCTCCCTCCCCAATGGGCTGCCTGATCACCCTGGCTCATGTGGCGCCTCTGCTTTGTGAAGTCAAGTTTCACAGGTGCAGCAGTAATGGATGGTCACAACCCACATATTGAGTTCAACTTTTATGATGCAAACATTTACAAAACAGTTGGACAGTGATGAGTAGCTATGAGGATGTTCTCCGTTGTCCTCCTTGTCAAAGCCCCGAACACATTATTTCACTTCTGTTTTTTTTTTTTTGGAGACAGTCTCACACTGTCGCCCAGGCTGAAGTGCAGTGGTGCAAGCTCCACTCACTGCAAGCTCTGCCTCCCGGGTTCACGCCATTCTCCTGCCTCAGCTTCTCGAGTAGCTGGGACTACAGGCGTCCGCCACCACGCCCAGCTAATTTTTTGTATTTTAGTGGAGACGGGGTTTCACTGTGTTAGCCAGGATGGTCTCGATCTCCTGACCTCGTGATCCGCCCGCCTCGGCCTCCCAAAATGCTGGGATTACAGGTGCGAGCCACCACGCCCAGGCCTTATTTCGCTTCTAATGTGCTTTAGAAACAGCCATTGTCTTCGAAAGGAAAGTAGCTCATGCTCAGAGATAGCCAAAACATCTGACACACTGAAATCACTCGCAGACTGAAGTCGATTGGAGAATGTTTCTGGCAGGTGGAAAGAGTGACTATAATGAGATAGAATTGTTAGTCCTTATTGATTCTGTGGAATTCCAGAATCAGGGAAAAGAAAAACAAAGAAATAAAACCCAAGAAAATCCAGGCAATAAGACTCAGTAAATTAACAACTTCCTTCCCAAGACATACACATATATGTGTATGTGTGTGTACGTGGGTAAATTTTTTTTTTTTTTTTTTTTTTTTGAGACGGAGTTTCACTCTGTCACCCAGGCTGGGAGTGCAGTGGTGCGATCTTGGCTCACTGCAACCTCTGCCTCCCGGGTTCAAGCAATTTTCTGGCCTCAGCCTCCCAATTAGCTGGGATTACAGGCATGTGCCACTACACCCAGCTAATTTTTGTATTTTTTTAGTAGAGATGGGGTTTCACCATGTTGGCCAGGCTGGTCTCGAACTCCTGACCTCGAGTGATCTGCCCGCCTCGGCCTCCTAAAGTGCTGGGATTCCAGGCATGAGCCACCGCTCCTGGCCTAAATTTTTATATATACATATATATATTTACACACACACACACACACACACACACAGCTGACCCTTGAATAACTTGAGGGTTGGGAGTGCCAACTCCCAAGGCAGTCAAAAAATCCATGAATAACATTTGACTTCCGTAAAAGACTTAACTACTAATAGCCTATTATTGACTTGAAGCCTTGCTGATAACATAAACAGTTACCACATATTTTATGTGTTGTATGTATTGTATTATGTATTATATATGTATTTATGTGTTGTATGTTTATGGTATATTCTTAAAGTAAGCTAGAGAAAAGAAATTGTTATTAAAATTGTAAGGAAGAGACAATACTATATTTACTATTCATTAAGTGGACGTGGATCCATCAAGGTCCTCATCCTTGTCATCTTCACATTGAGTAGGCTGAGGAGGAGGAGGAAGAGGGGTTGGTTTTGCTGTCTCAGGGGTGGCAGAAGCACACAAAAAAATTAGTTTATAAGTGGACCTATGTAGTTTAAACCCGTGTTGTTCAAGGGTCAACTGTACACACACACACGTTTAGAGGTCCATTTACACACATGTATTGCATGGCTATTTTACAAATTAAAAGTACTGGACTTTGGTTTTTAAACAAATCACCCATATCCATCCAGGTTAGAGGAAGTCTGCAGTCAGTAGCAGTTCACCTGGAGAAAGGCATTTTTGTTTTTTGTTGCTTGCTACCCCAACCTGAGTTAGTAATCTAAGTTTACTGTCAGAAAAGTGAATGCTTGCTAAGGCTGAATAACTAAAACAGGGGTGTGATATTTTCACTACGTTCTTGACAATTCAGAAAACATTTAGAGTTCTCTATTCAATTCCTGGGAGCTGCATTTTAAAATAAAGTTGTGTCCAGAGCCTTATGACAAGGCAAGGATGTCTTGTTAAATGATGAATGTTTTCAGGAAACCAGAATACTGAGGATAAAAACGAGAGATTCTGGAGGTGATATATGATAGTTATGTTCAGATACTTGAAGGACAGTTACATGAAAGTGGAATCCAAGATCTTTTCTGCAGCTCCAGCATGTCGAATATTATGGGGGAGCTTGAATCAATGTAAAAAAAAGATTATCTGGCCAGGCATGGTGGCTCAAGGCTGTAATCCAAGCACTTTGGGAGGTCAAGGTGGGCAGACCACTTGAGCCCAGGAGTTTGAGACCAGCCTAGGCAACATAGTGAGACCCTGTCACACAAAAAAATACAAAGATTAGCCAGGTGTGGTGCTGCATGCCACTCTGGAGGCCGAGGTGGGAGGATCACTTGAGCCCAGGAGGTTGGGACTGCCGTGAGCTGATATCGTGCCATTGCACTCCAGCAGCCTGGGCAACAGAGTGAGACCTTGTCTCAAAAAAAAAAAAAAAAAATCCTCTAATGAGGGAGTTGTCATAAAACAAAAGGACTGTCTTAGGAGCTAATGAATTTCCTGTCACTGGAAGTACTTGCAGAAGGCCTGGGGTTTTTGGAGAGGTAATTCCTTCTCAGTTTTAGATTTTGGGCTAGATATCTACCAGGGTCCCTTCCAAATCCAGGATTTGTCTGGCTAGTTTCCTCCCGCTGCTAATAGTCATCTACATTCATTTTTTTTTCCCCCCAGTTTGTTTCCTCATTACTCTGGCTTTTAATTTTTTTCAATTAATAGACATTTTTGGAACAGTTTTCAGTTTGTAGAAAAATGAGCAGAAAGTACGAAGTTCCATACTCCTCACTCTCTCCCTTCCCTCCAGTTGCTCCCACTATTACCATGTTGCATTAGAATGGTACATTTGTTATCATTGATGAGACAATATTGATGCATTATTATTGTTGAGTCCATAGTTTACCTGAGGGTTCCCTCTTGGTGTTGTACATTCTGTGTGTTTAGACAAATGTGTAATGACAAGTTCCCACCATTAGAGTATCATACAGGGTGGTTTCACCGCCCTAAAAATCTCCTGTGCCCCACCTATTCATCCCTCCTTCCCTCACCCTGAGACGCTGGCAGCCACTGATCTTTTTGCTGTCTTCATAGTTTTGCCTTTGACACAGTGTCATACAGTTGGAATCATATAGTATGTAGCCTTTTCAGATTGGCTTCTTTCACTTAGTAATATGCATTTGTTTGTTTATTTATTTATTTATTATTTTTGAGACAGAGTCTTGCTCTGTTGCCCAGGCTGGAGTGCAGTGGCACGATCTCGGCTCACTACAACCTCCGCCTCCTGGGTTCAAGCGATTCTCCTGCCTCAGCCTCCCGAGTAGTCGGACTACAGGCATGCACCACCATACCTGGATAATTTTTTTGTAGTTTTAGTAGAGATGGGGTTTCACTGTATTAGCCAGGATGGTCTCGATCTCCTGACCTCATGATTCACTCTCAGTCTCCCAAAGTGCTGGGATTACAGGCGTGAGCCACCATGCCCAGTCTATCTATTTATTTTTTGAGACAGTTTCTCTCTTGTTGCCCAGGCTGGAGTGCAATGGTTCAGTCTCAGCTCACTGCAACCTCTGACTCCCAGGTTCAAGTGATTCTCCTGCCTCAGCCTCAAAAGTAGCTGGGATTACATGCATGCGCCTCCACGGCCGGCTAATTTTTTTGTATTTAGTAGAGGTGTGGTTTCACCGTGTTGGTCAGGCTGGTCTCGAACTCCTGACCTCAGCTGATCTGCCTGCCTCGGCCTCCCAAAGTGCTGGGATTACAGGTGTGAGCCATGGTGCCCAGCCATTTTTTTTTTTTTGATACAGAGTCTCACTCTGTAGCCCAAGCTGGAGTGCAGTGGTGCAATCTCAGCTCCCTGTAACCTCTGCTTCTGGGGCTCAAGTGATTCTCGTGACTCAGCCTCCTGAGTAGTGGGGACTACAGGCGCCTGCCACCACACGCAGCTAATTTTTTTGTATTTTAGTAGAGATGGGATTTTACCATGTTGCCCCTGGGTGTTCTCAAACTCCTGGGCTCAGGCGATCCACCAGCTTTGGCCTCCCAAAGTGCTGGGATTACAGACATGAACCACTGAACCCGGCCAGTAATATGCATTCGAGGTTTCTTCGTGTCTTTTTGTGGCTTGAGAATTCATTTCTTTTTATCATAATATTCCATGGTCTGCATGCACCATAGCGTGTGTTTCTATTTACCTATTAAAGGACATCTTGGTTGCTTCCAAGTTTTGGCAATGGTGGTGCAAGTTTTCCTGTGGACCTAAGTTTTCAGTTCATTTGGTTGAATTCCCAGGAGCATGATTGCTGAGTATGGTGAGCATTTTTATTACTGAGAATGGTGAGCATGTTTAGTTTTGTAAGAAACTGCCAAACTATTTTCCAAAGAGGCTGTACCTTTTTACATTCACACCAGAAATGAATGAGAGTTCCTGTTGCTCCACATCCTCCCCAGCATTTGGTGTTGTCAGTGTTTTGGATTTTAGCCATTCTGTAGATGTGTAGTGGGCTGACTTTTTTCTCAATTTTAGATGTGTTATCTCCAAATCACTATGAAAAATACTTTTAACACTACTATTAATGTAACATAACACTAGTATCTTTCAAGATCCAAATAAAGACATTGGAAACAAGAACAAGCTCTTATGTTCATATCAATATTGTTAATAATAATAATACTACATATTTATTTGTGAGTACTTTTTGAGTTCATTCTGAAAACAAATGCTACTAGGAGATTATTCACAAGACACATTTCTGATTAACATGTATGAGCAGTTATACTCCAAAGCTTCGATTTTGGCAACCAATGTATACCAGTTCTCTCAAGGTGCACTTTTGTTTTTGAACAGTTGCTACTGATTCTATTTTTTAAAAAAATTATTGTGTATATTTAAGGTGTACAACTTGATTTGATATACATATGCAATGTGAAAGAATCATCACAATCCAGATAATTAATATATTTATCACTTCACATAGTTACCCTTTTGTGTATATGATGAGCATACTTAAGATCTACCCTTTTAATAAATAAATTTCTAGTATACAGTACACTATTGTTACCATCCATTATATCTCCAGAACTTATTCATCTTGCATAACTGAAACTTGGTATGCATTAACCACCATCTCCCTATTCCCCTCTCCTCGCACCTCATGGCAGCCACCATTCTACTGTCTGATTCTAAGTTCAACTATCTTAGATTCTACCTTTAAGTTAGATCATGCAGTAGCTCTCATTCTGTGCCTGGCTTGTATTGATTCTGGATTGAGACTTTTCAGTGTCTTTGTTTCAGGTCTTTCAAGTTGCATATGTCATCATTAAAGCTGCCAATGCCCCTCGACCTGGAAACTGGATTTTGGAGCGTTCTCTGGATGGCACCACGTTCAGCCCCTGGCAGTATTATGCAGTCAGCGACTCAGAGTGTTTGTCTCGTTACAATATAACTCCAAGACGAGGGCCACCCACCTACAGGGCTGATGATGAAGTGATCTGCACCTCCTATTATTCCAGATTGGTGCCACTTGAGCATGGAGAGGTAGGTATGGTGCCCGCTGCAGCAAGATCTGTTTCCTCATCAGAGTCTCCCTGTCTCAGACTCAAAATTGATCTCTCTCAATACAAAGATCTTTAATATAACTATCTAGCTCTATTTAAAGTGGCCTTGAGTCATGTCTATTATAAGTAATTTCACAAACAATATGGTTTACCTTGTTGACTTCCTCTCTTCAAGGAGGCTCTCAGTCTTCACTCTGCTGTGATTTAATAACGCCCTTGGATCCTCCTTCAGAGCATCTTCCCCACAGCACCAGGGCAAGAATGTTTGTTGAAATATTAGAGAGCTAAAATGTCCCCCAAAGTTGTAGTTCCCTTTTCTCAGTGTTCTCCTCGGTAGGTGGTGAGCACTGGAGACTCTTGAAGTCTTGCAGCTTAGTGCCCAACATGCCCAGATTGTATACACTTCCTTGAAGTCAGAGTATAATGAGAAACAGCCCATTCTTTAGTAGCACCTGGCTTGATGAGATGAAACTACAAAAATTCTCCAGTGCTCTTCACAGCGGGAACTCTGCAGCGAGCTGTGAGTTGTTTCAAGGGCAGAGATTAATTAAGACAGCCTGTATCATTCAGGCTTTGTGGACTTTTTCTTTGTTCTTCTCGAAGCCTATTCATAACATTTTAAATTTGCTTCAGAGAAGTTGTAGCCCAGGGACAGATGCTGAAATATTCTAACCACTTGGAGAGAAACGGTCTTCTTAAAAGATTTTCAGCAATAATGCCATAATGTGATGAATGCCGTAGTCTTTGTTCTTCACATTGTAGTCTGGTTCCACATCTGATCTTTGGCAAGTGAGGGTTTTCTTTTATATCAAATTTTAAAGTTTGAGACATAATTTACATTCAGGAAAACATACAGATTTTAAGTATATAGTATATCTGAGACAGTGAAATAGATACCTTCAATAAACTGAAGACATTGAGATCATGGTAATTCACAAGTAATTAACAAATGTTAGACATATTTTTACAAGAAGCTAGTTGTTTTGTTTTGATTTTAGATGGTATCTCTAAAAGATTCTGTCCTGACATTAGACAATCAGGGCTATATTTTTGCATGCTTAAAATTGACATTTGTGGTCAGGTATGGTGGCTCATGCCTATAATCCCAGCATTTTGGGAGGCAAGGCAGGCGGATCACCTGAGTTCAGGAGTTCAAGACCAACCTGGTGAATATAGTGAAACCCTGTCTCTACTAAAAATACAAAAATTAGCTGGGCGTGGTGGTGCACACCTATAGTCCCAGCTACTCGGGAGGCTGAGGCAGGAGAATTGCTTGAACCTGGGAGGTGGAGGTTACAGTGAGCCAAGATTGTGCCACTGCACTCCAGCCTGGACCAAAGAGCGAGACGCCATCTCAAAAAATAAATAAATAAATAAACAATTGACATTCATCTATTTTGATGCCTTCATCTTCAGATTCATACATCACTCATCAATGGCAGACCAAGCGCTGACGATCTTTCACCCAAGTTGTTGGAATTCACTTCTGCACGATATATTCGCCTTCGCTTGCAACGCATTAGAACGCTCAATGCAGATCTCATGACCCTTAGCCACCGGGAACCTAAAGAACTGGATCCTATTGTTACCAGACGCGTGAGTATGGGACGGCAGTCCTGCCAAATAAAATAAAAAGATTCATTTTATTTAAAGGAACTATTATTTTTCTTCTTTCCTTTTTGGTTGTTCTTTCCCCGACATGTTGGCCTTTTTTCTTGCCAGCAGCTGTATCCTTATTTCATGTAAGATTGCTATGTTGTTACAGATGCTGCCTTTAGGTGATGGGCCAAAATCATATCCTTAGGTCCCTCACCCACCCCGTCCCCATAGTGCCATAATGTGGTGAATGCCATGGTCTTTGTTCTTCACATCGTAGTCTGGTTCCACATCTGATCTTCAGCAACTGAGAATTTTCTTTCATATCAAATTTTAAAGTTTGAGACATAATTTACATTCAGGAAAGCATACAGATTTTAAGTATGTAGTTAAGTGTGTAAGACTGGTGTCGCAAAAATTTTCATATCCCTTCAATAACCCAGGAGTGGGATTACTAAGTTATAGGGTAGCTGGATGTTTACCTTTTTAAGAAAATGCTAAACTTATATAAAAAGTAGTTGTATTCAGCTGGGTGTTGTGGCTCACGTGTGTAATCCCAACACTTTGGGAGGCTGAAATGGGAGGGTCACTGAAGCCTGGGAGTTTGGGACCAGCCTGGGCAATAGAGTGAGACCTCAACTCTATTTAAAAAATAAAAATAAAAGTAGTTGTGTCCGTTTTTGTAGTCTGACCAGCAATGTGTGAGAGTTCTGGCTGCACTACACACTGTTAGATATTTAGTGCTATCAGTCATTTTTATGCCCGCTGTTCCTGTGTGCGTGTATTGGCATTTTGTGACGTTAATTTGTGTTTCTCTGCTGACTAATGTTGACAATGTGCTTACTAGTATACGATCAGATTTTTTTTGTCCATTTTTAAATTGGACAAAAAATAAGCCTCCTTGTTACTGACTTATAAAAGAATTTTATATATTTTGTATACGAATCCTTCATCAGATATGTATATATTGCAAACATATCCGTTCTACTTGGTGTTTGCTTATTCACCTTCCTGTGACTTTGGATGAGCAGAGGTTTTGTGACGAATCCCAATTTACCATTTTTTCTTTTATGATTAATGCTTTCTATGACCTCAAAAAATATTAGCTTATCCCAAATTTACCAAGATATCATGGTAGGCTTTCTTTTAGTAGCTGTATAGTTTTAGCTTTTACATCTATAATTCATTTTGTATTAATTTTTGTGATTGGTGTGAGGGAGGAGTCAGAGTTTTTTTTGCTTTTGTTTTTTTTCCTATATGTATATGCAATTGTTCTAGCACCATTTGTTGAGAATGCTTTACTTGTTTTGGGGCCGTTGTTGAAAACTATTCAACCTTATTATTGTGGGTTTATTTCTGGACTCTCTACTGTTCTATAGATCTGTTTGTCTATTCTTGTGCCAATAACAAGCTTTCTTGGTTACTGTAGCTTTACAGTAGGTCTTGAGAGGTCAGGTTTCTTGTATTTCCTTATGAATTTTAGAATCAGTTTGTTAATTTCTGCAAAAAAAATAAAGCCTGCTAAGATTTTCATTGGGATTCCATTGATTCTTTACACCAATTTGTGAAGAATTTTATAAGACATTTTAACAATGTTGAGTCATCCAATCTGTGCACCTGATATATAACTTTTCACTTATCTAAATCTTCTTTAATTCTCTTTGGCAGAGTTTTATTGTTTATTTGAAAAGGTCTTGTTCAATAATGCTCAACAATGTTCAATAATGAAAAAAGAAGGCCGGGCACAGTGGCTCATGCTGTAATCCCAGCACTTTGGGAGGCTGAGGCGGGTGGATCACGAGGTCAGGAGATCAAGACCATCCTGGCTAACACGGTGAAACCCCGTCTCTACTAAAAATACAAAAATTAGCTGGGCGTGGTGGCGCATGCCTGTAATCCCAGCTACTCAGGAGGCTGAGGCAGGAGAATAGCTTGAACCCAGGAGGTAGAGGTTGCAGAGAGCTGAGATCGCGCCACTGCACTCCAGCCTGGGTGATAGACCGAGACTCTGTCTCAAAAAAAAAAAAAAAAAGAAATCAAGGCACACATAGTAAGACTAAACTGTTATTATTTGTAGATGACATGATTATGTATGTAGAAAAGCTACAAAGCAACTACCAGAAATAACAAGTGAATTTAGCAGTGTTGCAGTATACAAAATCAATGAACAAAAATGAATCACATTTTTAGTCACTAGCAATGAACAATGGAAAATGAAATCTAAAAAGAAGTCTATTAACACTAACATGTAAAAACATAGAGAACTGGTGAGTGCATTTCTTCAGAGGAAAGCACTTTGTTCTGTTAATGTGATTTACATTTCTTGATTTTTGTGTGGTAGATTAACTTTGCATTCTAGGGTAACTCTTACTTGTTCATGATCTTTTCTATAGAGTGCTGTATTCAATTTGCCAATTATTTTACGGTTTTCAATAATGAGTTTTGAAACATTACTGACTTGGTTTAAGATGCAGTTGGGGAATTCTTTTAGACTTCTTTGGGTTCTGATGAGCTAATTTGAGCCTAATTTATTTTAATTGAGCACAGGATTCTTTGTGCATGAAATATAATTTTTAAATGTACATGTAATTATATTTTAGATTACCAATAAAAACTCTTAAACTACATGAGATATTTGTTGGTGTGCCAACATTTTCATTTCACTGAAATCTAGGTTTTAATTTTTGTTCATAACTTTCTTTTTCCTTAGTATTATTATTCAATAAAGGACATTTCTGTTGGAGGCATGTGTATCTGCTATGGCCATGCTAGTAGCTGCCCATGGGATGAAACTACAAAGGTGAGTTCTAGTATTTCACATTTTACTAAAACTTCAAAACAGAAATTGTAGCTATAATATTTGCATTACTCTTTTTTATTCCAAACAAACATGAAAGGTATAAAATTATGCTCCAAAAAAACAGATTTTCAGAAATTTAACTTGTGTCATTTTTAAACAATTTCATTTTGCTTTGGAGGATATGTTTCTAATTAAGTTCTTACAATGATTTTTTTATGTGATAAAATATCCCTAACATAAAGTTTACCATTTGAAAGTGTACAGTTCAGTGGCCTTATTAATTTTGAAGCCCTTCTGTCTGTAAGAAAGTAAAAAAAAAAAAAAGTGCAATTATAAATTATGTTTATATTTTTTAGAAGAAAGGTTTTCTCTTCCTATTTTCTCCCCTTCCGTTTTTTTTGGTGCTAAATCAAGATTTAAAAGGGGCATGGTGGCTTACACCTGTAATCCCAGCACTTTGGGAGGCAGAGGCGGGTGGATCACTTGAGGCTAGGAATTTGAGACCAGTCTGGCCAACATGGCAAAACCCCATCTTTGCTGAAAATACAAAAATTAGTGGGGCGTGGTGGTATGCACCTATAGTCCCAGCTACTCGAGAGGTTGAGGCAGGAGAATGGCTTGAACTCGGGAGGTGGAGGTTGCAGTGAGCTGAGATCATGCTGCTGCACTCCAGCCTGGGTGACAGAGCGAGACTCTGTCTCAATAAAAAAATTTAAAAAAAAGATTTAACAGTTTATCTCTTTTAGCATTACATTAAATGAATAATATGACATCTTCTCCTTTTATTTTTTAAAATTTTTATTTATTTAGAGACAGTTTTGCTCTTGTTGTCCATGCTGGAGTGCAGTGGTGCAATCTCGGCTCACTGCAACCTCCGCATCCTGGGTTCAAGGGATTATCTTGCTTCAGCCTCCTGAGTAGCTGGGATTACAGGCACGTGCCACCATGCCCAGCTAATTTTTTGTATTTTTAGTAGAGATGGGGTTTCACCATGTTGGCCAGGCTGGTCCTGGCATCTTCCCTTTTAAAACACTTGCATGAAGTTACTTCTTATTTTCTTCTAATCTTTGTAATTCTTTACCTCTTGAATAGGACTATTCTGTTATCGATGCTGAAAAATCTGTAGATGAACACTAAGAAAATTATTAATAGGAGTTTCTAAACCCTTAATAAGTTCCATGTATATTTTTAAAAAAAGTTTTTATTAGCTAAGTCGTATTCTGGTTTTGCTTTATTCCTCTTCATTTCTGTTTGTAACCAGGTTATTTGTATATATTGGCATCTAAAAATTAAATGCCAGTTTGCTTTGATGATAATCATATATCCTCTGTTGTGAGGTTCTTGCCACATATTTGACAGATAGGTTCTTTTTACCATGAAATTAAGAAACATAAGCAGATACATTTTCTAATTCAGTTTTGGCTTCCTTATTGTGTAGAAACTGCAGTGTCAATGTGAGCATAATACTTGCGGGGAGAGCTGTAACAGGTGCTGTCCTGGGTACCATCAGCAGCCCTGGAGGCCGGGAACCGTGTCCTCCGGCAATACATGTGAAGGTCAGTATACTTAGAATCTGAAGGTCAGTACAGTTTTCCTCTTAATACGTCCCAAGTTTATGGTGTCTTAACAACTTTTATAGTTAGCAGGTAACTTGTTTTCTTAGAAATTTAAGTAGTTTCCAAAGCTGCAGATGACCTTAAAATTTTAACTATTGTGGCCTAAATGTATCTTTATGGGTTTGCTGTTTTATCTATGAGTCCCCCTTCCCGTATAGTCTATTATTCTGTATTAATTTTACTTTTGTTTTTGTTTTTTTACCATGGGATATGCCAGGTTGTATATTCTGTATTGATTTGGATTTAAGTTTTAAATAAGCAATATATTCACAAGATTCCTAGATCTAACAATATGTAAAAGTATGTAGTTAAAAGCATGACTTCCACTTCATCTCCCTCCTTCGCACTTTTTATTGTTTTCTAGTATGTCCTTCCTAAAATTGTTATGCATATAACGCATATGTTAACATATCCCTCCAGCCAACACAGTTCTTACGCAGAAGACAATGTACTATGCATGCCATTGTACATATCGCTTTTTTTTTTTTTTTTTTTTTTTGAGATGGAGTCTCACTCTGTCACCTACGCTGGAGTGCAGTGGCGCGATCTCGGCTCACTGCAACCTCTGCCTCCCAGGTTCATGCTTCATGCCATTCTCCTGCCTCAGCCTCCTGAGTAGCTGGGACTACAGGTGCCCACCACCACACCCGGCTAATTTTTTTGTATTTTTAGTAGAGACGGGGTTTCACTGTGTTAGCCAGGATGGTCTCCATCTCTTGACCTCGTGATCCGCCCGCCTCGGCCTCCCAAAGTGCTGGGATTACAGGCGTGTGCCATGGCGCCCAGCCCACATCGCTTTTTATATTTAACAATGTATTGTGAAATTCTTTCCATATTAGCAATTAGAAATGCTGTTTTTAAAAACAGTTGCACAGAATTCCATTATACAAATGTAGTATAATTTATTAAACAACCACCTATCGGCGGTTATTTTGATGGTTATTAGTCTGTTGTCCACACAAACAATGGTGCAGTGATTAACCCTGTATGTGTCCTTCTCAAGTGGGCAAGTACTTCTGCGAAATATAATCCCAGGAGATGGTTTGCTGGGTCAAATGGGTATGTGCATTTATTATTTTGATATTAATAGCTCTTCCCAATTGTCCTCCATAATACTGCCCATATCTTATTAAAATTACTTATTCTAGGATTTTAATTTAATCTAAAATCATAGAACTTACTTAGGGAGGTTAAGAGTTTTCTTTGTATAAGGCATGCTATGTAAATTAATTGAGATGTTAAAAATATTCTCCTAGCATGTAATTGTCACAATAAAGCCAAAGACTGTTACTATGATGAAAGTGTTGCAAAGCAGAAGAAAAGTTTGAATACTGCTGGACAGTTCAGAGGAGGAGGGGTTTGCATAAATTGCTTGCAGAACACCATGGGAATCAACTGTGAAACCTGTATTGATGGATATTATAGACCACACAAAGTAAGAGTATTTCTTTGCCATTGCTGATCTTCATCATCTTCCCCAGGTGGAAAAGAGACTTTGTCAAGTCTTAACCTCTGTATTGGAGACTTTTGTAATATTTCATTTATATCCTTGTTATGCCAGTAGTGTTTTTATATATATATTTCCTACTCTATCCTGCTTTTCTTGCTCAAAATAAGATGTCAGTCATTGTTATTTATCTTGAATTCAGGGGTCCATTAGCTATGTAATCCTGGGTCATAATACTAACTACAGATGTGAAAATTCAGCTATAACTAAAGCAGCTGTCTCTTGCCTGTAGGAGATGTTCAGCCAATCTTTTTTTTTTAATTTTTATTTTTTGAGACGGAGTCTCGCTCTGTCGCCAGGCTGGAGTGCAGTGGTGCGATCTCGGCTCACTGCAACCTCCACCTCCCGGGTTCAAGCGATTCTCCTGCCTCAGCCTCCCGAGTAGCTGGGATTACAGGCATGTTCCACCACACCCAGCTAATTTTTGTATTTTTAGTAGAGACAGGGTTTCACCATGTCGGCCAGGATGGTCTCAATCCCTTGACCTTGTGGTCCGCCTGCCTTGGCCTCCCAGAGTGCTGGGATTACAGATGTGAGCCACCACGCCTGGCCGTGTTCAGCCAATCTTTAATTGACTTGATATGTAGTTCTTACATGAGTCCTTGTGGTGTCCTGGTTATAACGTGGCTCTGAGAGACAGCAGCGCGAGGGGGGCTGGAGAGCAGGGATAATAGAAAAAGATGACACTTTGCTAAGGGTACTAACTACTGCCACCATCAAAAAGATGTTTGGGCTTCCTGGCTTGGGATCATCTTATCTTCCTCAAACCTAACCCCCACCCCCATGCACAAAATCATCGTAATAGTCCCATCTTGAGTAAAAAGCCAATACCTTCTTATTTATACTATTGCCAACATTGCTGTTATTTCTAGTAAGAGAATCCAGGGCAACCTCTGCCTTTCAGGTGTCTCCTTATGAGGATGAGCCTTGCCGCCCCTGTAATTGTGACCCTGTGGGGTCCCTCAGTTCTGTCTGTATTAAGGATGACCTCCATTCTGACTTACACAATGGTAAGTACTTGATTCACTTTTGTGCTTGTAATTGATTTTGTGTGTGTGTGGAAGATTTGCACATACTGGAACTAATGGTAATAGCCAGTTGGTAACATGATTATTGATTCTTTTGTTCACCAAGTACGTATCAAGCACCTACTATGTGTCAGGCAGTTTTTGAGGACCTGGGAATGTGTACTTAACAAGGTAGTCAAAGTCCTTGCTCACAAAAACACTAAACAAACAGGTACATGGGTAATATAATGCCAGGTCGAGAGGTAGTGTCATGGACATAAAGCAAAATTAGGACTCATGAATGGAGGGAGATGGGGTAATGAGGTGACAATGTTGGGGTGATGAAATGACATTTGAGCAGATAATTGAGCATTTGGTGAAGGAAGAAATAAGGCCCAGTTTAAAGCCATGCGTGGAACACAGTAAATAGCAATTGCTCTCCTTAGCTTTTAGAAGACATTTGGAGGGCTTTTGCATAAATCATCTCACAGATCAAGCAAGTCCTCCCATTAACTTGGTAAATGTCAGAGTTCTCTTTCCGTTTCAAAAACTGGCAAATTGACTTGCAAATACCAGAGTCTCCTGAATAGGTTGCGTCTGTTCAAAGACTCTTGTGACCCCATCAAGTTCTCAGCCACTGGCAGTTAAAATGGATATCGACCAGTAGGGATGGGTGGGCCCCCCAGCGATGGGGAGGGTAAATTACCCAACTGAATTGATTCTTACGTGCACCTGGTGAGGGGATGATGACGATGATAATAATGAAGATGATGATGGTGATAGTGGTGGTGACATTTACCCTCAATTGAGTTCATTTAAAAAAATATATCATTTAAACTTTGCAACCATAGCAGATAGAAATTACTTAACCCACTTTGCTGTAGCTCAGAGCAGTCAAGAAGGTTAACTGCCTGAAGGTTTCAAAACTGACATTAAAAGCAAAGATAGTGCTTGCTGCTCTCTGCCACTTGCCTCTGTGCTTTTTTTTTTTTACAAAACAGTTTTATAATTTACAACGATACAGTTCTCCCATTTGAAGTCTACAATTCATTGTTTTGGTGTATTGGTGCAACCATCACCACAATCTAAGAGTCGAACATTTTCATCATCCCATAAAGAAGCCCCTTACAAACTAGCTGTCACTTCTTACTTTCCTCCAGCCCCTTCTCCCGGCCCCTGGCAATCGTTAATTACCTTTTTCTTTGCAGATTTACCTATTCTGAACTTAGAAATGGAACCATATATGTTGGTTTTTGGTGACTGGCTTCTTTCATTTAGTATAATGTTTTCAAGGTCATCCGTGTTGTACCATGTATCAGTATTTCAACCCTTTTTATTACCAAATAATATTTCATAGTATGGACATACCATGTTTCATATATCCATTCATCAGTTGATGAACATTTGAATTGTTTCTACTTTGGGGCCATTATGAACAATGCTACTAGGGACTTTTGTGGGTGTATGTTTTCATTATTTTATTGGGTGTTTACTTAGGAGTGCAGTTGCTGGATCTTATGGCAACTCTATAACTTAACATTTTGAAGAAGTGTCAAAAGGTTTTCCAAAGTCACTCTACCATTTTATATTCCCAGCTCCCTCCACGGGTTTCATCTCTGTTTTCTTTCTTTAAACAAGGAATTGGCAAACTATGGCCCATGGGCCAAATCCAGCACACTGTCTGTTCTTATGAATAAAGTTTTATTGGAATGGAGATATAGCCATTTGCCTGTGTATTCTCTATGGCTGTGTTCGAACAATAATGGCTGAGCTGAGCAGCTGCAAATGAGACTCTGAGGCCAAAAAGCCTAAAATAGATACCCTCTGACCCTTTACAGAAAACATTTGCCAACCCCTGCTTTAAACCTCTTTTGCCTTCATGTTGGGTCATTGCCATTGTTGTCTTTCTAGGGAAGCAGCCAGGTCAGTGCCCATGTAAGGAAGGTTATACAGGAGAAAAATGTGATCGCTGCCAACTTGGCTATAAGGATTACCCGACCTGTGTCTCCTGTGGGTGCAACCCAGTGGGCAGTGCCAGTGATGAGCCCTGCACAGGGCCCTGTGTTTGTAAGGTAAGTGGGGAGGTCAGAGACACCCCTGAGCTTCCTTTGAGCTTCTCTGGAAAAGGAGTGTTTTCCATTGGCTCCAATGATCAGTTCTTGAGCAAAGTGGTAAGGTTTAAGCAGAACTCCCCTTGCCCCTTCTCTCCAAGCCACACCGAGTTGGCTGTATTATATATGCTTGGACTCACATGGGCATCTGGCTTCTTTTTTTGTACCTCTGGTAATGGTGATATATTCCAGAGGCATTTCTGTGACTTCTTAGAGGACACCAAACACTGCATACCTTTATATTCCCACCTCCTCTGTGGGCCTCATCTCTGTTTTCTTTCTTTAAACCAGGACTTGGTAAACTATGGCTCGTGGGCCAAATCTGACACACTGCCTGTTTTGTGAATAAAGTTTTATTGGAACAGAGCTGTATCCATTTGCTTATGTATTTTCTATGACTATGTTCAACCAATAAAGGCTGAGTTGAGTAGTTGCAAAAGAGATGCTGTTGACCCCTAGCTTAATTCTATGGTATTCTTTTCCAGCTTTGTATTCGGAAGAGAACCAGATTAACATTAAATTTCTGAGAACACCAATTAAACGCAGATATGCTATTTTGAGTGTCTGTTAAAAAGGAGTTGAATAGTCATAAGAAATGCATTAATATGGTGCCAGTGAGGGGTTTTATTTGGCCTTACAATATTAATAACAATTTCTTCATAATTCATAGGACATTCCATTGTACCTATGTGCTTATTCCCACCTGTGCAGTCTTAGGCACATGTTATATACTACTGGAAATAATCTTGAGCATTTATGAATAAGAGAAAATTCTATAGCTCTCTTCAGATTTTGAAATGCTGGAAAGATCAGTAAAAAAATGAAAAATTTAAAACAAAACAAAACAATTTAAATGGAATGACCGAGTTCTAAGATCTCCAGCCTTGTTCTTGAGTACAAAATCAAATTATATATAATTCAAAATCTCTATTCTGGAAATATTGACTTTATGAGGCCTCACCTTTACTTTGGACGTTTATTCACCTGTCTCTGTGGATCACCGAACACCTATCTTGTTAATGTCATTTTATTCTCTCTGGACAGACACATTGGTTTCAAAAGCTAATCTTTTACCCTAACTTACAGGAAAACGTTGAGGGGAAGGCCTGTGATCGCTGCAAGCCAGGATTCTATAACTTGAAGGAAAAAAACCCCCGGGGCTGCTCCGAGTGCTTCTGCTTTGGCGTTTCTGATGTCTGCAGCAGCCTCTCTTGGCCTGTTGGTCAGGTGGGAGGCGCCATCTGCGCGGCGGGATTTAATGAGCAGGTCGTATTGCACAAGCTTGGCACGAGCTGTGTGAGGAGGAAATGAGGATGACTTCCCGTGACACCACTCTCATCGCTATGCAATGATACTGACGTGGGTCAAAGGCAGCCGTCTGCCTCTCAAGATTCTTTATAGGTCATGTGCTTACTCCCACACACATTTCTCTATGGAAAAAACAGGATGATGTGGCACTAGAGAACACGTCTTGTTTCAATTTCTTCTGTGGGGAAATGGATTGGGTGGGGAGGTCGGCTCTCCCTCCGCCCGCCCCTGCTGCTCTCAGGCCTGGGAGCCCAGAGGGCCGTGGGGCCATGGGGATTTTCCAGCTCAAAGACGCTAAGGAGTAGGAGGCCCTCCAGTGGCGAGGGTGGGAACAGCGGCACGTGGTGCAGGGTTTAGGAATGCAGGCCAAGTTGTTTCCGGAACAGGGAGTTCTGGGGTGATGGGTTCAACAGGGGTGTCCAGTGGTGGCTAGGAGAGGTGGAGATGGTGTGATGGCTGCAGGCAAGGGAGGAGCTGCTCGGTAGGGACTTACCCAGCAGTGACTGCTGTGGACACCACGCTGGGGGGAGTACCATCACCTCTATGTCGGTGACGCATTGGGAGTATAAGATCTAGAGGTTATCTTTGTACATTTTTCAACATTTGGGTAAAAAGCAGGGGGCAACGAAGAAGAGGGAGTCAGACTTAGCAAGAGACATTTTGCTGAATGCATTTATGATGTTCTTTGTTGTTTTAAATCTAAAATCTATACCCATGGCCTTTATGGTTTTGCTCATTTATTTGCTTATACTGGATCTGGATTTGGAGTAGTGAGACTTGTTCTCAGGTCCTCCTGGTCCTTTACAAGTGGAAGGGTCAAGGGTCATGAGGTTCAGCAGCCACAGGTGTTATGTTAATGCCATCCCTAGAGAAGCTTTCTGGCCCATTTCTTCATTGTGAAAATATTACTGCTGCACTGGGTGAAATCTAAGGTAAGTTCTATTTCATACTTCAAAATTCTTGAATTTGTTTTTAAGGTAAACAGTATGTCCGGGTGGCTGGTCACCGACTTGATCAGTCCCAGGAAGATCCCGTCTCAGCAAGATGCACTAGGCGGGCGCCATCAGGTCAGCATCAACAACACCGCGGTCATGCAGAGACTGGCTCCCAAGTACTACTGGGCAGCCCCCGAGGCCTACCTTGGAAATAAGGTGCGTGTGACCCTGCAGGTAGCGATGTCTCAGATGAAGATCTCAGGGAACACTGAGAAAGAACTTGCGCTGCCTGCATTTTAGGTAGTCTCATAGGGCACCTGAGTGTTGGACAGCATTTCATAGCCTGTACTTGCATCTGATGATACAAAGAAGGTTTTCTAGCCTTGTTAGACTTTATGTTGTATTATTCAAATAAGAACTTCTGCTCTTCTGGTCTGGTTCCTGAGCAGTGTGTTTGGTGAAGTCTCATCCCCGTCTCTGAGATAAACTTTCTGGGTCCCTGGATCACTTGTTTATGAAGTGTTCCTCACATTCCCGCTTTGTTTAGTTTGCCATAGGCTCAGCTTAGAGCCTCCATGGCTTAGTGGAGGGCCTGGCATACAAGAAACAACCCAGGGAAGGTTCCAGCAATGGGACTGCTGTGCTGCTCCCTCACTTTGAGTACCGTGGCAGGCTGTGCTCATCTGAAGCTCACATTTAGGAACAGATGGAATACTTTCTGCTTTTGTTATATTTCAAGAAAATGCAAACTGGTGATTCTGCAATGTGGAGGTTGGTTTGTAGGCTTGGGCCTTCCTTGCAATGATGTGTTCCCATTCCCCCCTCCCCACTTATGCCGCATCTCTCCAGATTCTGATTGATACGAAAATTTATTCCCGAGAATGCATCTCAATTATTATAGCTCCCTGCTTACCTTCCCGGGTTTTTGGTTTTGTTTTGTTTTAAAGTAATGGCATACAGGCATGCTAGTGTAGTCTTGTAGCTTGGTACGCTTCTATTTAATTTGATGATATTTTCATTTTAAAACTTGTTTTGTATATTTTTAAGGAGTATTTATTTTTGAAAATTATTTTTTTCTCAAATTATAATCCTAGAACATGTGCTCTATTGATATGATTTTATCAACAGAGTTCAATGATTTTTTTTTCTCTTGATATCACTTCTCCAATTTTATGGTGCAAAGTTGGGTTCTGAACAATATATTGCTGTCATATACCCATCAGAAAGAAAATCTTAATTTTATATTGAAGGACATCTAATCAGAAGAAACACCTTTAGTCCTTTCTCTAACTAGCAAATCAGACATATTCTTTGTTGTCCTATGAGGAGGATGCTGAAATGAAAATGTGGAGATTGTAGACATGGGTCAAACTCCTCATCCCCTAAATTACTTAACCGAAGTAAATATCTATTGTGTGATTAACAAAAGTTTATAGTAATTTGCCTTGTGGTCTCTAACAAAGAGTACATTTTTCTTCTGTGCTTTCAAACAGTGTCCTGCATGTTGGTAATATTGATTAACCAAAATGTTTATGAATATACTCCCCTTTCACTGCCTTTAATGTGAATTTCCTTGTCTGTCATGGTCAAGGGGATAGTTGTAGCCTAGTTGTTTGCAGATGGATCCCAGTGACCACTTCCTCTTACTTGATTGTTGCTGTGATTGTCTTCCCCTTTCGTGTTCATTCTCGCTTAAACATTTCAGCTGACTGCGTTTGGCGGATTCCTGAAATACACGGTGTCCTACGATATTCCGGTAGAGACGGTAGACAGTAACCTCATGTCGCATGCTGACGTCATCATTAAGGTGATTGTTTTTGCTTTGATTCTGCTATAGAGCTTAGGGCTTAGTGGGCTGATAGTTTATGACTGAAAGTTACTAGGTGAGGACATCCCAGCAAGGAGCTGGTGGCCAGGTGGCCATTCAGTAGACCCTGGACTTGCGTGGGGACTACTGAGATGGTGAGTGTGAGAATCTGTCTTTGAGCCCATTTCTGGAGTTGCCTCAGGACAGCACCCGCCACTCTTCTCTTCATCTCCAGGGTGTACCCATCTTTTCACATTTAAAAAGAAAGGGAGCTGGGCTTGGTGGCTCATGCTTATAATGTAAGTGCTTTGGGAGGCTGAGACAGGAGGATTGTTTGAAGCCAGGAGTTTGAGACCAGTCTGGGCAACATAGTGAGACCCCCGTCTCTCAAAAAATATTAGCCAGGCACCGTGGCACGTGCCTGTAATCCCAGGTACTCGGGAGGGTGAGGCAGGAGGATGGCTTGAGCCCAGGAGTTCAAGGTTATAGTGAGCTGTGATTGCACCACTGCACTCCAACCTGGGTGACAGAGAGAGAGCCTATCTCAAAAAAAAAAAAATTTTAAGTAAAAAGGAGACAAATTTTTGCTCTGACCTTGAATCTTCTTTTTGAAGTCTCTTCTTCCCTGTGCCACTTTGCCTCTCAGATGAATGGATTAGGCAGTACTTGGCGGTCTGAGGACAGTAGACGTGTTGCCATACTTGTCCTCAGCCTCTGTCCCTATCCCCACATCCTCAGTCTCCATAAAAAGATCCAGCTCAGTCAGGAGGACTCCCCAAGTGGTAATGTCCCAGGGTCTGGGGCATGTCTGGGCAGAAACCACTCCAGGTTCTTGTCTCTCATGTCCTTTCACCTGGAGCTATCTTCACCTCCATCTCCAGCCTGACCAATTGCAGACCGCACACGGTAAATCACTTTTGTGAACAGCAACTTGATGAAAAGCTGGAGCTATGTTTACATACTTTTTCTACTTCTGTACTTTAGTTAAAGATTAGAGGTGTCAGATGGGTTGCTTTGATAAAAGCTGTGGGCAACTGCACGACTTTCTTTCTTTTCCAAGATCCCAGCGAAGTACACAGGCTTTCAGTTTATTACCAGAACCCCTCTAAAAATAATACAATGAAACACCTTTTCTCTGATAATTCTGGGCCAAGAGCTGTACACACCATTACACGTTTGCCACAAGAAGCTAGGCACGAATGAAAAACCACGTTGCTGAATACAAAATTTGATTTTATTTTTATTTTATCATTAAATTGAATGACAAATATATTTTCTCTTGTTTTTAAATGTTAGGGAAACGGACTCACTTTAAGCACACAGGCTGAGGGTCTGTCATTGCAGCCTTATGAAGAGTACCTAAACGTGGTTAGACTTGTGCCTGAAAACTTCCAAGATTTTCACAGCAAAAGGCAGATTGATCGTGACCAGCTGATGACTGTCCTTGCCAATGTGACACATCTTTTGATCAGAGCCAACTACAATTCTGCAAAAATGGCTCTTTACAGGTATGTATTGAAAATGGAGGAAAAACTTACGGTGAAGGTACTTCCATTTTATGTTTGTTTATTCATATATATTTAAAGCTCAACGTATTTTACATTCATTATATTAAGGACACAGCTACAGGATCTGGCTGTCTTAAGAATTATTAAGTTTATAAATGTAATTTTATTGAAAACGTAAGAACAGTTATCCACATCAAGTGTATCCAGTAGAAGACAGACTTGACATTAGGATGAGAAACTTTCAAAGGGGGTTTCTGGGAAATGCACGATGAGTTAGCGATTGTCTGGACCATGTTGCACCTGGTTCTCACCATCCTAATGTTAATGGTCTTAGCTTTTACTCAGTCCATTTAAGTGAACGTATCCATCGTTGGTCATTTGATTACTTTCGGGAGGACAATTTCTGGCAATGCCGTGCCAAGCATAAAAGTTGTATGCAGCTAGGCTGGGCATGGTGGCTCACACCTGTAATCCCAGCACTTTGGGAGGCCGAGGCAGGTGGATTGCATGAGGTCAGGAGTTTGAGACCAGCCTGGCCAACATGGTGAAACCCCATCTCTACTAAAAATACAAAAAATTAGCCAGGCATGGTGGCGCATGCCTGTAGTCCCAGCTATTCAGGAGGCTGAGGCATGAGAATCATTTGAACCCAGGAGGTGCACGTTGCAGTGAGCTGAGGTTAAGGCACTGCACTCCAGCTGGGGCAGCACAACGAGACTTTGTCTCAAAAAAAAAAAGTTGTATGCATCTAACACAAACATAGCATGACACATTTAAGGGTAATCTTTCTATTTGTGATAATTGAATGGATTAATTTTTCTGAGGTGCTTCAACTCCAAATAGGCAACACCAGACCTTTCCCACAGTCATCTATGGGCAGCAGCATGACTTTGTACCAAACATTGAAGGCATTTCCAGGGAATAATGATGGCTCCCAGATAATATATTGTTGTGAAAGACCTTTAGTTATTTACAAAAATCACATCACCCTTTTATTGGATTTAAGTCTTTTTTTTTTTTTTTGAGACAGAGTCTCCCTCTATCACCCAGGCTGGAGTGCAGTGGCGTGATCTCAGCTCACTGCAAGCTCTGCCTCCCAGGATCAAGCGATTCTCCTGCCTCAGCCTCCTGAGTAGCTGGGACTACAGGCACATGCCACCACGCCCGGCTAATTTTGTATTTTTAATAGTTTCACCATATTAGCCAGGATGGTCTCGATCTCTTGACCTCGTGATCCACCCACCTTGGCCTCCCAAAGTGCTGGGATTACAGGCGTGAGCCACTGCGCCCGGCCGGATTTAAATCTTTTAGGAGCCCATCTTCATTGAGATGTGAGATGTATTTGCGAGCGTGTGAGTCACATAACAATCTGTCTATTTGTAGGTTGGAGTCCGTCTCTCTGGACATAGCCAGCTCTAATGCCATCGACCTGGTGGTGGCCGCTGATGTGGAGCACTGTGAATGTCCGCAAGGCTACACAGGGACCTCCTGTGAGGTGACGCTTCTCTCTTCCTGTCTTTTTCCTTTCGTTCCTTCCTAAGGGGAAAACAGTGCACTGAAGGGGATGTCATGGCAAACATTTGATTTTTAGCTTTAGCAGCCCAATGTTTGGCTCAGTCTTTTTTGGGCAATAGAAATATTAGAAGTCACATTGTTTAAAAAAATCAGATTCCTCCACCAGGAATGGGCTGGAGCACCGGACAATATTCTGACTTAGTGCTGCCCTCTTGCCTTAGTCAACAAGAAACTTGCAATACTCATGCCATTGACTGTGTTTCTAAGGAGGATGGAACTTGATCATATCTGAACATTTACAAATCACCAGCATGTGACCTGGGTAGCTTTAGACAAGCCAGCCCTATTTTGAGACCTTTTATGGCCCCTCGCTATTTTACTTTGGTGGGCTCCACCTTACATGTGAAATATATGAAAATGCGCTTGGAATCCTCAATGAAAGTAATCTGTTGCTAAAAATATTTTGAAATCACTTGGACAAACATATTGATATTAATACCATAACAAGAATAGGCCGTAAGACTCATTGCACAACCATTACGTTTTTGTGTGTGTGTTTCTACCTTTAAAAAGAAATAAGGAACTGGATTATGGTGATGGTTGCACAGCTCGGTAAGGTTTTTACTAAAAGTCATTGAATTGTACACTTAAAATGGGTGAATTGTGTAGCATGTAAATGATACCTCAGTTAAGATGTTTAAGAAAAAAGACATTTCTGTACTCTGGCAACTGAGCAGTTTCTGTTTGTAACGTAGTGGAAAGAGGATGACTTTCCCTTCTCTTGCAGTCGTGCCTCTCTGGCTATTACCGCGTGGATGGAATACTCTTTGGAGGAATTTGTCAACCCTGTGAATGCCACGGCCATGCAGCTGAGTGTAATGTTCACGGCGTTTGCATTGTGAGTCTCTCACTGTAGTTCAGGTGCCCTCTCCTCCTCAATTCAGAGCCATTTGCTGTGTACAAGTGATTTTTTTTTAAGTGCTTCCTCCACGGAATAACCCTAGCCTCATAGACCCCAAAGAAAATTTACAGATTTAAGCTCATGTCATGAAATGTTTCCCGTTTTTTTTTTTGTTTTTTTTTTGAAAAAAGTTACTTTGGTAATAGTGGAAAAGGGATATACAACTTCATTATAGTTCTTTTTATTAGATTAATATAAAGTAATTGTTTTTATTTGCTGAGACTATAAAGCAATAGAAAGGTAAAAAAATGTTGTCTACTTATTAAATACAAAGCATAGGATCTTTAGATGACAGTGCTAATATTTATTTATTTATTTATTTGAGACAGGGTCTTACCTTGTCACCCAGGCTGGAGTGTGGTGGCACCAACACTGCTTACTGCAGCCCTGGATCTTCTGGGCTCAAATGGTCCTCCCACCTCAACCCTCCAAGTAGCTGAGGCCACAGACAATGCTAGTATTTTTTTTAAATCATGATATTACATAATATACCCTAAGAAGAAGAATAAAGTATAATCACACTCACTTATATACCATGCTTTATAGTTAGTTGGGATAAATTAATCAAACAGGTACTTCTTTCATGCAATATGAGTTGAAATAGGGCTTAAGAAATAGGTAGTTAATCTTGAGAATGAACTTTGGGGCAGGTGTGGGGCAAGACTTGTTTCTTAACTTCAATCAGGAATTCTTCTAGGCCCTATGCCCTGAAGCCAGGCCACACTCTGGGGTCTCATGGGTTTGATCCTCAGAGGTGGAGTGACTGCATATGCTGATCAGCTGTACCCTGGTCGCCTGGCAGGGAAATGTTCATGCTTTTTCCAAAAGAGATTGACTGAGTCACAGAGTTAGGGAAAATTAATTACCAGACCCAGGGAGAAGATCTTAGAATGATGTCCAGGATGGCTTATGTCCAGGATGGCTTAGAACTTAATTTTTCTTTATTCTGTAAGTAAAACTTTTGTTTTGCCCTTTGTTCTGTAAGTAAAGCTTCTGTAGGAATTGCATGAAGGGGTGGTTTACGGGCAGACTCAGTCCCTCCAGGATTGCTTTCCTCAGGTGCACAGCTTCCAACCGCTTGATGAGGTGGTTGCTTTTTTTTTCACCTCCTTTCCTTTGCCATTTGGGTTTGCAAGGCCTCCTGCCAGCATTTGGGGTGGGGTGGGGTGGGGGGTACAGCAGGCTGTGGTTCTGCCACTTATGTCTTTTGTAGCTAGGCTGAAAGAGTAGATTTCTCATGCTTCCATTAATGTATGTTTACAAATATATATTCACATTAAAGTGATAATGCTAAATAGCAACTGGCCTTAAAGCTTTAATTTTAATAAATAATAATTTTATAGCTTTAAACATGTTTTGGAAATAATTTTAGACTTACAGAAGAGCTATGAAAGAGTTACAGAAGTACAGAGAGTTCTGAAGTAACCTTCCCCCAGCATCCCCTAATGCTACCATCTTGCATAACTAGAGTGGAGTTATCAGAATGAAGAAGTAGCACGATAAGATGAACTACACCCCACATTCTGATTTCATCAGTTTTTCACTCATGCTCCTTTTTTTTGTAGGATCGAACCCAGGACCCCACACCATTCAGTGACTTTGCCTTTTTAGTCTCCTCTCCTCTAGGAAAGTTCCTCAGACTTCCTTGTCCTTCATGACTATGACACTTTTGAAGAGCACTGAGCATTCTGTGGAATGTCCCCCAGCCAGGGCTTGTCTGATGCTTTCTTATGACTAGGTTGAGGTTACACATTTTTGACCAGAAGACGTGGAGGTGCCGTGCCCTCTCATTGAGAGCAGATGGATAGGATATCATTGTGTCTTCTTCCTGGGGATCTTAATCTGGGTCACTTGAATTAGGTGATGTCTGCTAGGTTTTTCCACTCTGAAGTTACTATTTCTCCCTTCTTAATTAATGTTTGAGAGGGCAAAAATAATAAAAATTTAAATTAGAATTTAAGGAAATACAAAAAACGTGGTAGCATCATATATCTGTTAAATCTAACCTTGCTGGTTTTTTTTTTTCTAATATATTGTAAAAACAAGCTTGAATTCTTCCTTTTGTGTAGTTGTTCATAGCCCTGGGCCTTGCGTATAACTATCTAGCTTCCAGGAGTTAATTCTTTATTCACAGTTCATTAGAGATGAGGTTCCAGTTGCTCTTAGAGCCCCTGTTTTTCTCTCTGAGCTCTCTTAGCTCTTTATTCAAAGGAGAAGTCTGTGTATTTTCCTTGCAGCTTGGCATGATTTAGAAAAGAGAATGGCATCACAGTAAATTGTGCATGTCTTGGGCCCTCATGTCTTTCTTTTTTCAATCGAAAGATGTTTTTCCTCCCCAAGGAGAGGAATAGTCTCATTCCTTCACATACCAGATTCACCAACAGGGACAGTCAGGTAAAGGGCTGGTGGCACACGCCTGAAAAAGCACTGAAACAGACCCTCAGTGGGTTTTTCAACAGAACTACATACTAGTTTCCCCAAAGAGAAAGAAAGCACTATCTGACTCCTTGATCAAAGAAAACATACCATAGACATGTTCCAAATGAGCATTATCAAATATTTTTAAAATGAAATTGCAGTTACTCTGCAGAATACTTTTAGCTCAACCATGTAACCCTTTACTAAGACCAGTTGCATCTTGAATTAATTTGGATTCATTATCAAACCCAAGGTCCTATGAAGGATGGGAAGGAAAAAAGGGTCTAAGACTCTGTTGTCTGAGGACCAGCAGTGTGGGCATCACCTGGGAGCTTGCTAGAAGTGCAGAAACTCAGGCCCCACCTCAGATCCCCTGAACCAGAGTCTACAGGTAACCCAGGTGCACTTATTAATAGATTCATATTCCAGTTTAGATGCTCTGGTCTAGGATAACCCTAAGTAAAACTGATGAAACCCTGGAGTAAAATGGATGTAATACAAATGCTTACAATTCCAAATTAAATGTGGTATATGGGAAAACTTTCATCAACCTGAGGAATGATGGAAATGTATATGGTTTAGAAACTGAAAATACTAAATTGCTAGATGAAAAATGACCAATGAAAGTATGTAAAATGAGTGGCCGTAGGAGAAGGGGACACGGGGAAATGGGAGCTGAGGTGCACACCAAGAGGAGCAGCGACACACGTGTGCAGAACAAGCCCCGCTCCCTTCGAGCCCGTAGCTGCCCGGGGGTCAGTGCTGCCTGGTCCTGGCCCCAGTGCCGACCTCCGCACCCCTCCCCTTTGCTCCTGCACACCTCCTAACCACCGACTGCACTTTCTTTTAGAATGTTTTAAATGAGGGGGGGAAGGTTTTTCATATTTTTTCATGTATGTACCATTTCCAGTGCTCTTCATTCGCTGGTATAAATCTATGATTTCGTCTAGTAGGTATCACCTTTCTACAGCCTGGATTGTTAGCCTTTCTGTAGTGCAGATCTGCTGGTTGACAGATTCTCTTAACTCTCCTTTATCTGAAAAAGGCTTGCCTTCAGTTTTGAAATTGATTTTTACAGATTTCTCTTTCAGTACTTTAATATTGTTCTGTTGCCTTGTGGCTTACATGGCTTCAAGTGAGAAGTTAGTTGGTGGTCATCTGCTTATTTCTGTGTGTTATTCTGCCTTTTTTCTCTGCCTGCTGTTAGGAGGGTCTCTGTGTCCCTGGGTTTGAACACTTTGACTGTGCCTTGGTGTGTATTTCTTTATGCTGGGGTTTATTGAGCTTCTAGAATTTGTGAGTTTGTAGCTATCAACTTATGAAAAGTTTTGACCAAATAGCTTTTCAGCTTCCCACGCCAATCTAATTGCACGTGACATTGATCCACAGATGATAGAGGCTGGGATCTTTTGTTTTTTCCTGAAGTTTGAGTTTCTGTTGTTGTCTTCAAATTCACTAGTCTTTTCTCCTACAATGTCGAAGCCGATGCCCACCCATTCAGTACTTCATTTTGGATATGGTAGCTTCTAGTTCTAGAAGTTCTACTTGGTCCTACTTTATATCTTGCATTTCTCTTTTCACAGTTTTTATGTTTCCTTCAAGTCTTTGAGCATGCTTATAATAGCTTTTTTGTTTTTGTTTTGAGATGGAGTCTCTCTCTGTTGCCCAGGCTGGAGTGCAGTCACGTGATCTTGGCTCACTGCAACCTCTGCCTCCCAGGTTCATGCAATTCTCCCACCTCAGCCTCCTAAGTAGCTGGGATTACAGGTGCACACCACCACGCCCGGCTAATTTTTGTATTTTTAGTAGAGATGGGGTTTCTCCCTGTTGGCCAGGCTGGTCTCGAACTCCTGACCTCAGGTGGTCCACCCGCCTTGGCCTACCAAAGTGCTGGGATTACAGGCGTGAACCACCGCGCCTGGCCTATAACAGTGTTTTAAAAGCCTGCCAATTCCATCATCTCTATGATTTGTGGACATGTTTCTAATGACTGGGTTTTGTTTTTTTTTTCCCCTGATTGTGGATCGCTTTTTTTTGTTGTTGTTGTTGTTTCTCATGTCTAGTTATTTTCATTCCCCATAAAAAAAAACCCAGCTCTTTATTTGGAAATAATTAGGAGTTTACCCAAGATTTGTAAGAATAAGAGTGGTACGTAGAACACCTGCCATTTATCTAGACTCCCGTGTTGTTGCCATTTTCCCCATTTGCCTTATTAATATCATTATCTGTCTACCTATCTAATTATAGTATGTTTTTCTAAACTCCTTGAGAATAGTTTGCATAGACAATGGCCATTTTGGTGTGTATATTGCAAGAATAAGGCTTGTCTCTTGTATAACCATAGTACACTTATCAACTTAAGTCAATGTAACGCTGGTACTCTACTTTTTCTAACCTACCACCTGTTGCTCAGTTTTGTCAGTTGACCCAATTATGTCCTGTATAGCATCCTTCCCTCCAGCACAGGCCCCCATCTAGGATCAGATGTTGAATTTTATTGTTGTGTCTCCTTAGGCTTTTAACAGGAAATGTTTCTACTGCCTTTCTTTGTATTTTATGCTATTGGCATTTTGAATAATATAATCTTTTTTTTTTTTTTTTGAGACGGAGTCTCGCTGTCACCCAGGCAGTGGCGCCATCTCAGCTGACTACAAGCTCCATCTCCCAGGTTCACGCCATTCTGCCTCAGCCTCCCAGGTAGCTGGGACTACAGGCGCCCGCCACCAAGCCCAGCTAATTTTTTGTATTTTTAGTAGAGATGGGGTTTCACCGTGTTAGCCAGGGTTGTGTTGATCTCCTGACCTCGCAATCCACCTGCCTTGGCCTCCCAAAGTGCTGGGATTACAGGCATGAGCCACCGCACCTGGCCGAATATGATCATTTTTTTAAAAAAATACAATGTCCTTGGTTCTGGGCCCTTCTTTTGTTTCTCTTGGATTATTCAGGCCGGAATACTTTGTCAAGGATGAGTCTCTCAGAGCACTGCCAATGGGAGTCCCAGTGTCTGTCTGGCCCTCACTGGTGATATTAATTCTGATTACACAGGCAAGGTGTTGGTCAATTTTTCCACTATATATGAACGATTCTTTCCTTTTGCAACTAAAAAACAGTTGGAGGCGGACACTGTGAGACCACGTGCATATCCCACTCTTCATCAGAATTCCCCTTAGAGGTAGCAGTCGGAAGGTTCTGGCCGAAGCAGCACTTGCTGTCATGTTTGCAAAAGCTTGATCCTCCATCTCCTGCCCTTGTCCATGCTCATCAGTCAGAGAGAAAGCTCTCAGATTTCTCATTTATACAAATTACACTTGCTGATATTAATCTGAAAACAGGAGGCCTTCCTCATATAGCTCAGAGGTTGGTGACTGGTTTTAGCATTTTGTCTTTTTTTTTTCCGCTTGGACTTCAAGTTGCTTATAGATAAATCTGAAAATCCTTTAAGACAACCTGAGCTGATTCTTCTGGTGCATGTTCCTAGGCGTGTGCGCACAACACCACCGGCGTCCACTGTGAGCAGTGCTTGCCCGGCTTCTACGGGGAGCCTTCCCGAGGGACACCTGGGGACTGCCAGCCCTGCGCCTGCCCTCTCACCATAGCCTCCAACAAGTAAGCCTCGGACCTCATCAGCGGTTCCTGCCAGCATGGCCAGGATTCCCACCCAGATGCGTACTAATGACTTCAGAGCAAGACTGTGTGTGTAATACGTGTGTGAATTTTGCCCAGTGACAATTGATTTGGATTAAAGACAGAGGGGTGGGTTATTTTCTTGTAAACCAACGTTTGGCTTATGAAAGCAGGCAAGAAGAGGTGTGTGCCAGCAAGGACCTATACACGCCGTTTTCCCTCTTGATTCCTCTTGGTCATCAGTTGTTTCACAAGTATATGTTGTCTACTTACCAGTGGGCTAGGAGGTGGAGGGATACAGAGAGGAATAAAACATTGTCCCTCGACTTAGGGAGTTTTTGATCTAATGACCAAAATATGTACGCATGAGGCTAAACAAGAGCAGTCTAAATCCATTCATTGATTCAACAGATATTTATGGAGTGCCTACTGTGTCCTGAGTTTTACAGCAGGTGTTCTGAATAGCAAACTGTTCTCACCTGGCCGTGGGCCCCAGGGGACTCAGTGTGGTCGTGACTGTAGTGAGGCCTGTCCACCAGATGGTGGGGAGGAGGGAGAGCAGTGTCCAGCCTACCTAGGTGGGTGCAGGAAGCTCTTCTCTCAGATTTGCAGGAGAAGGAGTTTCACAGGCAGCATAGACGGGCGTTCTAGGCAGATGGAGCTGGGCGTGCCATGGCATGGCAGCAGGAACAGGCATCGCCCATTTGAGGAACTGCAGCAGGCCATGGAACAGAAGGCATGGAGGGAGGTGGAAGGAGATGTACCAGGCAAGGTCTTATAGTCACACTGGGGCAAGTGCATCCCACAGGCCAGCAGCTTAAAAGCCTCTGTCTCTCGCTGGTTTAACCTTTAGAACTCTTCCTTCACCCACTCTCAAAGAATTCCCAGTATATAAAAAGGATGCAGTCAGGGTTACTCATGATGAAATTGGGGGTGGGTACTGTCATCCACCCTGCACAGGATCCTCAAGGTTTAGGAATAGGGTTGGAAGGGGCATCCGTTAGCAGGGGGTCCCTGGAGAGGTGCGAGAGCCTCCTGACCACTTTGTGTTTGAGTGAGCTCACTTTTGCCCTGGTATGGGCAGTGCTCTGAGGTGGGAAGTCAGTGCCAGGGAACCCGAGCTGGGGAACCCAGCATCCTAGGAGCACCCGAGCAGGCCTCCTGGAGGAAGCATCAGCTGAGTTGGGCACTGGGGCTGAGCTGGGTTAACCCAGGCAGACAGCGAGAGAAGCAGGCGCGCTGTGGGCTGAGAATGAGAGGAGTAGGGAGCAGGGAGTGAGGAGTGAGTGTCAGTGCCTGGATCATGGGACCAGGAGTCTGTGAGGGGTTGAGACTCACAGGGTGGGCTGGGTGACCAGAGGCCCCGGATTCTGAGCTAAGGAGGTCTCATTGAAGGTCTGGAAGCACAGGAGTAGTAGAAATGAAGCATTTTAAATAGTTAGAAATTCGGCTTCATCCATTGGAAAATTTTGTTCATTTCTAATGTTTTGACAGTTTCAGCCCCACCTGCCACCTCAATGATGGAGATGAAGTGGTCTGTGACTGGTGTGCCCCGGGCTACTCAGGAGCTTGGTGTGAGAGGTACTCTGCATCCACTGGCTTCAACACATTTTCGAAATTAAATATAAATTCTATGTGTTTATTTTTAAATGCGTAGTTAAGTGTGGTTTTGGAGTTTTGATGCATAATTGTTATTTCATAGAATCATTGAGAAAAATCAGTATTTCATGTTTTAAAATTAATGTTAAACCTTACTGGGAATTTTTAAAGAACGGTACTCTTTTCCTGGCTAATCTGAGTTCTCATCAAGAACAATAGGCCGGGTTTGGTGGCCCACACATGTAATGCCAGGACTTTGGGAGGCTGAGGCAGGTGGATCACCTGAGGTTAGGAGTTCGAGACCAGCCTGACCAACGTGGTAAAACCCTGTCTCTACAAAAAGAAAAAAAAAACAAAAGGCCGGGCATGACGGCGGGTGCCTGTAATCCTAGCTACTTGGGAGGCTGAGGCAGGAGAATCACTTGAACCTGGGAGGTGGAGGTTGCAGTGAGTGGAGATTGCGCCATTGCACTCCAGCCTAGGAGACAGAGTGAGACTCTATCTCAAAAAACAAAACAAAACAAAAACAATAGGAAGCAGCAAGGAGTCGGTATCTGTGGTTCACACATTTGAATATTCCATTGCTCCGGGCTGTTCTGGAGATGACAGGTGGTTTGCTTTAGTAGCCGTCTTCTGGCTCCTGAAGGCCAGTGCTGTCTTTCCTATGTGTGCGTCTCAGTGCCCAGCTCTGGCTGAGCCTGCAGGAGGCTGTGCGGCATCCGGAGTGGTCAGGGGTGGGTCAGAGTTGGCCCTGGAAACAGGTGCATGTCCCCTGGATTTATGCCTCATTTTGGATGCTCTCCCCCTTCACCGCGACAGGTGAAGGAGATCTGGGAATGCCCGAGTGGGGAGTCATATCCCTTTCACAGTAAATCTCAGGGAACAGAGTCCGTCTGATTTATTAGCCATTCAGGGAGTCCCTGGATAGTGCGGTAAGGCCTTAAGTAACTGCATTTGTCTGATCCCACTTTCAATCTTTGATACAGATGTGCAGATGGTTACTATGGAAACCCAACAGTGCCTGGCGAATCTTGTGTTCCCTGTGACTGCAGCGGCAACGTGGACCCCTCGGAGGCTGGTCACTGTGACTCAGTCACCGGGGAGTGCCTGAAGTGCCTGGGGAACACAGATGGCGCCCACTGTGAAAGGTGTGCTGACGGGTTCTATGGGGACGCTGTGACAGCCAAGAACTGCCGCGGTGAGTGCGTGAGCGTGAAGTCAGGTCAGCTGTTTATTGCCATAGGAAGTCTTCAACCGTATAGTCACATGTGTCACACAGGGCCCCGCCTAGGAGGTCACACTCTCTTGAGGGGTTACTTGCATTAATGCTGGGTCTCTGATCAAATACAGACCCACGACCCAGTTCTTCCCTAGCTACCCTATCCTGAGCTTGGTTAGTCATAACCCATAGGGGTCAGTGGCCTGGAAAGATGCAGCCTGCCACCCGAGCGGCCAGTGTGACTTGACAGAGTTCCGGCTCTGCTCCCCGTGACTGAAATGAAAGTGGGGAAGCTCAGAGCCTGTCACATTCGTAAGGGAGATGCTTCAGAGGCTGCACGAGGCAGATGGGATTCCAAGATGAAGGGTGGGAAATGGTAAGACTGTAACCCCAGAAACTGCGTAAAGCACCGTGTGGTGCATCTTAGCCCTCTGTGCCAGAACTGCCCGACCCCTATGGCACTCTGCTGAATTCGATCCTTGAAATTATGGATCGTGGAGAAAACTAGATTCTCCTGCACAGCAGATGACCTGGCCGGAGGGATGATTCAGCCCTCAGATTTTGAAGGAGTGAAAGAACAAAAGTGGCAATTATAAATTATTTTGAGTATTTCATATAAACGCCAGTCATACTATGGTACTACGACATGGGGACACAAGAGGGCACCAGCTGTACAGAAAACATACTTTCCCAGGCACACGTGGAGAGATTGGAAATGTTTTATGGCCCTGGGCCAATCAAGCTGATCTCCAGCAGGTGGCCACCTTGACTGGCTATCATACCAGGATAATTATGATAACAGCATTTCTACAAGGCTTCACGATTTGTAGAATGTTTTTATCATTTTCATGTCATTTCTTTTCATCATTACTGCAAGCCTTGGTGATTCATTCCTCCGTTCATTCATTGTTTATTAAGTGTCCGGTATTTCCCAGACACTGTACTAAGAACTGCGACAGGTAGTTGGGAAATTGTGATTCAAGTCTACTGGGAAGCTACACATGATGATGGTATGGGGGGAAAACATACCTGTGGATCCAGGTGTTGGAGTCTCGACTAATGTGAGTTTTATTCCAGGACCAACTGTGTGACATTGGGCTAATTTATTAGCCTCTCTGAGCCACTATTTTGTTATTCATAAAATAGACATAATTATATGTGTATATCAAGGCCTTTCTGAGAAGTCAGTGCGGTAACATTTAAAGTTCTAGACATGAAATAAATGGCAGCTATTATAATTACTAGTAATAAACCAATTATTATTATATTTTCTAATATATAATATATATAATATAATATAATATATTATTATATTATATAATATATATTATATAATATAATATATTATTATATTTTCACTCCACTGCTGTCCAACAGAAATACAATGTAAACCACCCATGTAATTTAAAATTTTTTAGTAGTCACATTTTTCAATAGTAAAAAGAAGTAGGTGAAATGTATTTTAATAATACATTCTATCTGAGCTGATATATTAAAAATAAGCATTTTGTCATGTGATCAGGTTTTAAAAGTATTAAGCAATATTTACTTTCTTTTTTAGTACTGAGTCATCAAAATTGAGTGTATATTTTATAGCCCAGCTCAATTAGGATGCTACATTTTCCTCAGAAATACTTGATCTACATGTAGATTACAGAAAATTTACAATTGAAAAGGTAGTTCAAACATATTTAAAATTTTTCCGTCCTGTACCAAAAATTATTTTCTTTAATATTGGCATCCACATTGACAAAACCGCTTCAGTATTTAAATTTAAACTCAGAGATTTGGTTCTTCGCTTGCATCAGCCACATCTCCAGCATTTGGTAGACATGTGTGGTTAGCGGCCACAGGACAGGACTGTGAAGGTCAAGGCGATGAATGACTGTCGGGGGTTGCACTTGAAGGCACGGAGGCGGGCAGGCCCATCAGCCCAGGGTGGCCCGGGCTGCCTCCTGAAGGGGGTGCTGTTCATCTGAGACCTGAAGGATGGGAAGAAGAGCCCCAAGAAGAGTGACCAGCGTGGGAAGACGGGCCCAGGCAAGTAGGCAGGCCCTGCCCGAGGTAGACACTGGAGAGAGAGTGACCAGAATGGAAAAGACAGAGACAGGGAGGGGAGGTCTCGGGCTGATAGGTGGGAAGCAGCCACGTCGGAAGGGTCTCCTGTGCAGTGTTGAGGTGCTGAGGTCACCTCGTCCTCCCTGTCCTGGGACTCACCAGCAACTTGTGCAGACATGGAGTGGGCCAGGGTGTGATTGGAGCTGTGTGTTTGAATATCGCCCTGCTGCCAGCGTTGAGGAGGGAATGGCTGCCAGGGGTGTTGGGTTAGGAGACAAGACCCGAAATGAATCTTTCTGGTAAGCATTGATGAGGGCTTCAGGTAGGGCCTTTGCCATGGAGATAAAAGAGAAGACGTAAAATAGGTCTTGATGACAGGTTGGAAGGTGGAGGAAGGACGGTTAGAGCAGCTGGGGTTTGGGTCTGGGCCTGGGCTAGTAGGGCTGATGCTGACCAGGCTGTCTCTGGTTTCTGAACACTTAACAGCTTTTATCCTTTCTCATCCCTTCTCTCGCATCCCCTCGCTTCGATGAGACAAAGTCCTGTGAACTGTTTCTGCATATCCCACGAGCAGTCCTTCCATTTCTATAACAGGGTTCCCTCTGTGGACTTCTTGTAGGGCCCCCCATTCTTATATAATACTATAGTCTGTTAGGTTAAACCAAGTGCAAGTGCCGGTGTTGTGTGTGATTGACCTTCTCTAAAGCAAGCGCGTATAGTTCAACCCAGTATTTATCTGTTTCCCCTCACCCCCCATAACTCTCACTCACTTGAAGCTTGGTAGGAGGAGAAACTGATCGTCAGGTTCACCTCCTGCCTCTGCTGTGGGGCAGCGGCTGCAGCCGGAGGTGTGGACAGGCCGTCCAGGTAGAGTAGAGCACTGAGGGAGATGAGGGTGGTGAGAAACCTCACAGAACTCTAATATTAAAGGACTCTTATATTAAATAAGTTAAATGAGGATAATTTTTATATTGTGAGCTACTCCTGAGAATTAAAATATATATAAAGTACCTGGCTATTCAGTAATTGGCCTAAAATAACACTATTTTAAATTAGTACTATTTATAACATAAATACTATTTTAATTAAGAATTACTATAATAGGCCGGGCATGGTGGTTCACACCTGTAATCTCAGCACTTTGGGAGGCTGAGGCAGGTGGATCACCTAAGGTCAGGAGTTCGAGACCAGCCTGCCCAACATGGCAAAACCCCATCTCTACTAAAAATACAAAAATTAGCTGGGCGTGGTGGTGAGTGCCTGTAATCCTAGCTACTTGGGAGGCTGAGGTGGGAGGATCACTTGAGCCTGGGAGGCGGAGGTGGCAGTGAACTGAGATTGCGCCACGGCACTCCAGCCTGGGTGACGGAGTGAGACCCTGTCTCAAAAAAAAAAAAAAAAAAAAAAAAAGAATTACCATAATAATTATTACTGCAGAGAGAGAACTAGTAATAGCAGTGTGACCTATGGAAAGTTATCTAATCTTTCCAAGTTGTAGATTTCACACCGAAAATAGAGAACATTATTTCGCCTCCCTCCTTGGTTTGTGGTGAAAGTACAAAGAAATACTGAATGTGACAGGCACAGACTAACAGACACATCATACAGTGAATATGATTTTTTAAATTATCATCAATAGTTTACATTGATCATACTTGCATTGAACTTTAAATATTCCCCAGAGAAAGAGGCGGCTTGAAATGAAACACGGAGGGGAGACACACGAGAAACAAGAGGGAGGGCAGGAGAGTGGGCGTCCCAAATACCACAGGAAGAGGGCGATGCAAAAGGGAGAGGGAGGTCACGGGGTCCCTTCCGCAGAGCCACGGGGTAAGAGGGGGACCGAAGTCTGCTCCCTGAATTTGGTGCCTGGGAAATCTCTGGAGACTTTAGGGAGAACAGTTGCAGCAGACAAGGGGCCAGGAGGACACTATGCGAAACTTGGATTGGACGGACGTGCCAGGGAGGTGGATGTTCTGATGGAGGATAAAAGGGAGGGGGTGTCTTGTGTTTGATGGGGGCAGTGGAGAAGGATGTGCTGGGGAGTTAGCAGCAGAGTCCGCACGGTCCAGCTACGGGGTTGATGGAGCAAGTCCCTGAAGGGCACCGGTGAATGGGGCCTCTCGTGGGACTGCAGCATTAAGGCCCCCACTCCAGGAAAACAGACGGCCAGCCTGGCCTAGATCATGAAGGAGGCGGATCCCAGCACGTTTCCTCTGCCCCTGACCTTCCCATGTCATGTCCCATGTCCAGCACTCTTGCTGCAGCCTCCAGGTCGTGTTTAGGCCTTCCATTATTTGTGAAGTTTTTCTCTCTTTTTTCTTACATTGTTATGTCATGACACACACTGTACATGTTCTGAGTCCACACATTTATAAAGAGTGCCTGGGGGCCCGGCGCGGTGGCTCACGCCTGTAATCCCAGCACTTTGGAAGGCCGAGGCGGGCAGATCACAAGGTCAGGAGATCGAGACCATCCTGGCTAACACGGTGAAACCCTGTCTCTACTAAAAATACAAAAAATTAGCCAGGCGTGGTGGCAGGCGCCTGTAGTCCCAGCTACTCGGGAGGCTGAGGCAGGAGAATGGCATGAACCCGAAAGGCGGAGCTTGCAGTGAGCTGAGATCACGCCACTGCACTCCAGCCTGGGTGACAGAGTGACACTCCGTCTCAAAAAAAAAAAAAAGAGTACCTGGAATATTTTGTCAGGCAACATATTAAATGTTCTTTTTTTTTTTTTTTTTTTTTTGAGATGGAGTTTCACACTTGTCGCTCAGGCTAGAATGCAGTGGTGTGATCTTGGCTCACTGCAACCTCCGCCTCCCAGGTTCACGAGATTCTCCTGCCTCAGCCTCCCAAGTAGCTGGGATTACAGGCACGTGCCACCACGCCTGGCTAATTTTTGTATTTTTAGTAGAGATGGGGTTTCACCACGTTGGCCAGGCTGGTCTTGAACGCCTGATCTCAGGTGATCCGCCTTCCTTGTCCTCCCAAAGTGCTGGGATTACAGGCATGAGCCACTGCGCACAGCCAACATATTAAATATTCTAACTGAAGTGCTTATTAAGGGTTCCCCTGTGAATATTGATTAAATATATTTTGGACCCGTAAGATTGTATCACTTTGCAAAGGTAGGGAACTTTGTAGCTTTAAGCATCAATGTTGTAACTGTAGATAAAATGGAACCATCTGACCTGAAACTACAAATGACTCATGACTTAGAACTGGGATATCATATTTAATGAAAAGATATTTTTCATTAAATTATGAAATATAATATTAATATGTACTTATTTAGATTACGTTTTAACTGAGCTTTAAAATATTGAATATGTACCTGATTGGAATCAGGGCAAATGGCTAAGTTGATTTTGAAATCTCCATTGCATGTTTTTCATGGGAATTTGTAGCTCATTTAAAATATGTCGAGGAAGTCATGAAATTGGTGAAGCGAATTCGCTAATTATTGTCTTAATAGCTTCAATGTGTTTTTCCTGTGATGGATCCTTCCACTAACCCTGTTTCAGTTTACTCTTCAGAAAAATGCTAAACTTCTAAAGTTATTGCCAATAATATTATTTTTAGTTTTGTGATTTGAAACATTGAAAGTTTACATTTTTTTTTTCCTTTGGGGATGACGGATCTTATGATAACCATCCTCAGAAGTGAGGGTTAATATGTCTTTGTGTGCATGTGTTTAGCCTGTGAATGCCATGTGAAAGGCTCCCATTCTGCCGTGTGCCATCTTGAGACCGGGCTCTGTGACTGCAAACCAAACGTGACTGGACAGCAGTGTGACCAGTGCTTGGTAAGATGCATGTGACTAATTGACACCTTAGCCTTGGTACAGAGGCGATTGAATCCATGACTCAGAAGGAGCTAAGTCCCCAAGTGTATTAGTTTGTTCTCACACTGCTATAGAGATACTACCCAAGACTGGGGAATTTATCAACAAAGGAGGTTTGATTGACTCACAGTTTCGCATGGTTGGGGAGGCCTCAGGAAACTTACAATCATGGTGGAAGGGGAAGCAGGCACCTTCTTTACAAGGCAGCAGGAGAGAGTAACTGTCAACACTTATAAAATCATCAGATCTCATGAGAATTCACTATCACCAGAACAGCATGGGGAGCTGCCCCTATGATCAAATCACCTCTCTCCTTTGACACATGGGGATTACAATTCGATTTGAGATTTGGGTGGGGACACAGAGTCAAACCATGTCATAAAGTGTGGCTGACAAGTGCCGTGCCTGTCTAGAGAGTGGATGTTTGCTATAAAGGGATGGGGATGGTGTCATGAATACTTTATGATTCTATGAAATACCCTGTGTGTGTTCTGGAACATACTAATATGAGGAGTCATTTATTAAAACGTATGTTGGTTTCCACTTTCTCCCCCTTTGGTGAAACAGCATGGCTATTATGGGCTGGACTCAGGCCATGGCTGCCGGCCCTGCAACTGCAGCGTGGCAGGCTCCGTGTCAGATGGCTGCACGGATGAAGGCCAGTGTCACTGTGTCCCAGGTGTGGCAGGGAAAAGGTGTGACAGGTGTGCCCATGGCTTCTACGCCTACCAGGATGGTAGCTGTACACGTAAGCCTTGATTTCCTTGTTTGAGACTTTGTAGTCATTCCCAGAGCTTTCCTTGGGCCCTCCCTCTACTTCCAACTAATTTTGGTTAAGTGCCTTTACTTTTTCTCTTCTTTCCCTGGAGGATTTCATACCTTTTTTCTGGTTTCTGGTCCCTATCAGGGTACAAGCCTAAGTTTTGGTCATGGCTCTGCCGCCTACTAATTGTGGGAGCTTAGATTCATTACTTAACTTTGCTTGGCCTCAGTTTCCTCATCTGTAAAATGGGGATGCTAATGAGAATCTGCATTGAGAAGTTAGTGTAAGTGTTCTATATAAAGTCCTCAGCATGGCATTGGGCCTGCAGTAAGTGCTTAGTAAATATTGGCTCCCTCTGTGATCACCTAGTGAGGGCTTTTTCACTCTTTTCTCTATTTCCCCTGTCCTGTCCCCATTTCCCCGCTTCCCTCAGCATCTCCTGAGATGGAGGGCCGGCTACCTCCATGAGACATGGAGGGGTCTTGGGAATTGTGAGGCGTCTTTTAGGAGTGAGAAGAGTGGCTTGGACTCTTAATAAAAGGGAAATAACAGCATCAGCTCTTAGCCCTTTAATGACATCACCCAGATCTGTAACCCAGCATTCATCTTTATTTCAGCCTGTGACTGCCCACACACTCAGAATACCTGCGACCCAGAAACTGGAGAGTGTGTCTGCCCCCCTCACACACAGGGTGTGAAGTGTGAAGAATGTGAGGATGGGCACTGGGGCTACGATGCGGAGGTGGGGTGCCAGGTGAGCACTGTCATCCACGCTCTTGCTTAACTGAGAGTTGCTTTGCTGTAGCAAGTTTCAGGCCTGTTCTTCTATATATTTTCTGGACTTTAATCTGTTGAATAGCTTTGTGAATTTAAAAAAAAAAAAAAAACTCAATGTGGGCCAGGCACAGTGGCTCACACCTGTAATCACTGCACTTTGGGAGACTGAGGCAGGAGGATCGTTTGAAGCCAGGAATTCAAGACCAGCCTGGGCAACAAAGCAAGACCCTGTCTTTGCAAAAAATAACGATTAAAAAAAAATTTAGCCTGGTGTGGTGGCACACGCCTGTGGTCTCAGCTACTTGGGAGACTGAGGCAGGAGGATCACTTGAGCCTAGGGATTCAAGGCTGTAGTGAGCTGTGATGGCAACACTGCACTTCAGCCTGAACAACAGAGAAAGACTCTATCTTAAAAATCAAAAACAAAAACAATACACCTTAATGCAGATGATAGGAATCAAAGTGGAAGACAGGACACCCTTAAGACACCTTATTCTAGGTTTTCTTCAAGAACCTAGTTGTTGCATTGATGGTTAGAAAATCCAAAAAATGGCTGGGTGCGGTGGCTCACGCCTGTCATCCCAGCACTTTGGGAGACCGAGGTGGGCAGATCACAAGGTCAGGAGATTGAGACCATCCTGGCTAACACGGTGAAACCCCGTCTCTACTAAAAATACAAAAAAAATTAGCTGGGCGTGGTGATGGGCGCCTGTAGTCCCAGCTACTCAGGAGGCTGAGGCAGGAGAACGACGTGAACCCGGGAGGCGGAGCTTGCAGTGAGCCGATATCGGGCCACTGCATTCCAGCCTGGGCAACAGAGCAAGACTCTGTCTCAGAAAAAAAAGAAAAGAAAAGAAAATCCAAAAAATATTTGAGTGTCCTTTAATAAATATTGTGCAATGTATACTATCTTCCAAGAGAAAGTAATAAATCACTTTATTGGGGGTTTATGTCCAAACCATGAGGCCTCCAGTTTTCTATGTAGCCTTCTTCAGTTAAATTTGGGTATAGTTTGTGTTTTGGAAACAAGAGGAAATTACTTTTTTTTTTTTTTTAATTGAGACAGGATCTTACTCTGTCACCCAGGCTGGAGTGCAGTGACACCATCAAAGCTCACTGTATCCTCAAAGCTCACTGTATCCTTGACCTCTTGGGCTCAAGCAATCCTCCCGCTTCAGGCCCCCAAGTGGCTGGGACTACAGGCATGTGCTATCACGCCCAGCTAATTTTTTGATTATTTGTAGAGACGGGGGTCTCACTATGTTGTCCAGGCTGGTCTCAAACTCCTGGGCTCAAGTGATCTTCCCACCTCTGTATCCCAAAGTGCCATAATTGCAGGCGTGAACCACTGTGCCTGGCCTGATTTCTACAGTAATTTCGTTAGACTTGTTTTGACCTAGTAGATTTAATTTCAGTTCACAATTCTGGCCCCGTGCGCATGTGCCACTAAGATGCACAGATTTCCGGCAACACAATGCCTGTCTCCTGTTGGCACATGGCAACGTGAATCCATGCAGCAATAGCAAGAGAGAGATGGTTCATTTGTAGAACTTCCCCACATGTAGTGTTTTCCTGTAATTCAAATATGTGTGCATTTGGAAGCATCAAATCTGCCTTTTTAATTGAGTTGGTTTTCCCTTCTCTCAGGCCTGCAATTGCAGTCTCGTGGGGTCGACTCATCATCGGTGCGATGTGGTCACCGGCCATTGCCAGTGCAAGTCAAAATTTGGTGGCCGGGCCTGCGATCAGTGTTCCTTGGGTTACAGAGACTTTCCCGACTGTGTTCCCTGTGACTGTGACCTGAGGGGGACGTCGGGGGACGCCTGCAACCTGGAGCAGGGTCTCTGCGGCTGTGTGGAGGAAACCGGGGCCTGCCCTTGCAAGGTATTTACCATCCATCCTCCTCTTTCATCCTGTCTCTGGCTCCTCATCATGACTCCTGGGCTTTGACTACTTACCTAAGCAGCCAGGTTTTGGATGCTTTTCCTAGTGAGTTCACACTCCCTTCCGCATCTGAGTTCAAAGTCTCTTATGCTCCTCTAGAGTGACGGATGATTTTTGAAATTGAATTTTTACTGTTACTAGTGTCAGTTGATGGAACTGATTTGAAAACTGCCCTGAAGTTTTAATCATATATCCCAGAGGCTGAGTGGCTGCGTATCTTGAGTATGCAGGTGAGGTGGGTTTCTCAGGGCTTCGGGATTTGTGATGTGATCCCTGTGAGGTTATTGGGCTCCCGTATGTGCTGGCCACATTGAAGGAAATCGGGGTTTATTATTTTCCCAAGAGGTAAGACTTCAATGTCATTATAAGTTTTGTGTGTTTCCGTTAGTTTTCCCAATGTGCTTTGCTATTAGGAGGTCAGAGCCACCTCCTCTGGTCCTTTTCCCATGGGTGGTGAGATGGGAGCCCTCTGGCTTGATGATGGTAATGAGCTGATGGGTGACTGGAGATAGGAAGGAAAACTCATGTACATATCATGGCCTGGGAGTAATGGAAGCATCAGTCTCCCCGTTTTCGGCCTTATTTATTTATTTAGAGACAGAGTCTTGCTCTGTCTCTCAGGCTGGAGTGCAGTGGCACAATCTCGGCTCACTGCAACCTCCGCCTCCCGGGTTCAAGCAATTCTCCTGCCTCAGCCTCCCGAGTAGCTGGGACTAGAGGTGCCCACCACCACGCCTGGCTAAATTTTTGTATTTTTGGTAGAGACGGGGTTTCACCATATTGGCCAGGCTGGTCTCGAACTCCTGACCTCAGGTGATCCCTCTGCCTCAACCTCCCAAAGTGCTGGGATTACAGGTGTGAACCACCGTGCCCAGACTCTGCCACATCTTATGATAACAGCTGTGATGATAGACGAGTAGAGCAGCAGGCCTTGTCTTAATAATCACCTGGGCCAAGCACGGTGGCTCATACCTGTAATCCCAGCACTTTGGAAGGCTGAGGTGGGTGAATCACTTGAGGTCAGGAGTTCGAGACCAGCCTGGCCAACATGGCGAAACCCCATCTCTACTAAAAATACAAAATTAGCTGGGCATGGTGGCAGGCGCCTGTAGTCCCAGCTACTCGGGAGGCTGAGGCAGGAGAATCGCTTGAACCCGGGGGGTGGAGGTTGCAGTGAGCCAAGATTGTGCCACTGCACTCCAGCCTGGGTGACAGAGCGAGACTCTGTCTTAAATAATAATAATAATAATAATAATATAATAATAATAATAATAATATTTATCACCTGGCCGGTGGCTCTCACACCCAGGGATCATCAGAATCACCTGGAGACTCGAGGCGGCTTCCAGAGTTGTCTCGGGACATTCTCATCAGGGACTCTGTATTTTCCAAACACTTCCAAGATGATTCTGTTAATCATCTGTGTTTGAGAATCACTGATTGGATCTTTGAGAAAACTGACACTCAGAAAGCTCCGGGCCTGGCTAGAGGAAACTAATGTTTGTGCATCTATAATTATGTTTAAAATTATGTTTGTGCTCTATTTTGTCTCTGTTTGTTCAGAAATCACATCTCTTTTTTAGGCAAAAACGAGTCCTTTATTTGCTCCCCTGTAGGAAAATGTCTTTGGTCCTCAGTGCAACGAATGTCGAGAGGGCACCTTCGCTCTCCGCGCAGACAACCCCCTGGGCTGCAGCCCGTGCTTCTGCTCCGGGCTGTCCCACCTCTGCTCAGAGCTGGAGGACTACGTGAGGACCCCAGTAAGTCACACACAGCGAAAGTGTTCTGCTTCTAACCCCACTCCCCTGGGAGGTGGGTGGGGGTGGGAAACACAGCCAAGTGTTCACATTAAATTTTGCTCTTATGGCATCCAAAATTCTAGGAAGCTAATTTGGGTTAGAACAGGAATCAGAGCTCAGCTTCTGCTGGCCGAGGAAGTAAATGGAGCTTGAACTAAAGGCTGTCCATGTTGTTCCTTAGCTAATCTATGAAAAGCTTTCATTGGAGAGAAGATAGAACTGCAAAATCTCAGCCGTCTTCTGCATATCATTGAACGTTTCCCCAGCGTAGCAACAGTTTGGCCCTAAATGGCAGTAGTTTAAAGCACTTTCAGTTCATTTTCTTCCAGATGTTTAGTTTAAAGGAAAAGTCTTTACTGTTTCTGTTTTAATAATGAAGCTGTTTCATCTGTGAAACAATGATGGAATCTAAAGAATGAAACTGGAGTGGAAAGTTCGCATTTTGAAGTGCACTTTCCCCTCCTTTCGTGGTTTAGGTAACGCTGGGCTCCGATCAGCCTCTTCTGCGTGTGGTTTCTCAGAGTAACTTGAGGGGCACGACCGAGGGGGTTTACTACCAGGCCCCCGACTTCCTGCTGGATGCCGCCACCGTCCGGCAGCACATCCGTGCAGAGCCGTTTTACTGGCGGCTGCCGCAGCAGTTCCAAGGAGACCAGGTGAGGTGCACGCCCAGCCGAGAGCCAGTCGGTGCTTCCTAGGATATACAGAAATTGTTTAAAATCACCATAGTCTGGGCCGGCCTGTCATTTAAAGAAGTAGTTATTAATTTCCTCTTTTAAGTGGGATCAGAGAAGTTTAATGCTCATAAAAGTCTCCTCAAATATATGGTTCCTTAAAATTTTTCATTAATTTTAAAAGTTTTTTAAGTTCACGTTATATTAATTTGGTTCTTCCTAAAGCAGTCATTCAACAGACATATACAGTCATGTGTCACTTAACAATGGAGAGACATTCTAGGGGAATGTGTCATTAGGTGCGAAAGTTATTATTATAATCTCATGAGACCATGGTCGTATATGTGGTTTGTCATTGACTGAAATATCATTACGTGGTATGGGACCCACTGTGTTTACTGATATGCTCTTGGTACAAACCTAGGTGCTATGGCCTGGGAGTCCCTTTTCAAGAAATTATCACTCATTTGGGGGGAAAAAACTACTATAAAAGATCATGAAAGGCATCACTTGGATTTTTGTTTATATAAACATTGGAGTCTGTGTGTGAATTCACCCTGATCTTTACAATTTGCAAATATGCACCCAGTGCTCCTGGAGATAGAGAAATTTTTAATCTAAAGGAGCTTGAAAATAATTTGCATCACTACCACATTGATTTGTTATTTTGGAGCTCACTTTTGTTTGTTTTCTCGAAAGGAACTATATAACTTAGGTCAACTTAATAATCCATAATTAAATGGAATTAGAAGGAAGCAAATTCCAGACAACAAATTTCACCCATGTGATGTATTTTTAAGATACAAGATTTCTCTCTTATGGTGGCAGTCTTGCAATAAAATGTTTTTGAATGAAAGCTTTGTCAGAGAAGTAAACAACACTTTATTATTTGATAGCTCATGGCCTATGGTGGCAAACTGAAGTACAGCGTGGCCTTCTATTCTTTGGATGGCGTCGGCACCTCCAATTTTGAGCCTCAAGTTCTCATCAAAGGTGGTCGGATCAGAAAGCAAGTCATTTACATGGATGCACCAGCCCCAGAGAATGGAGTGAGACAGGAACAAGAAGTAGCAATGAGAGAGGTGATAATGGGATCTTTTCATAGAAGTTCCTTAAAGACATTGACTTTGCTATGGATGTAGTGAAAGATGAAAGCCATTAATAAGAGAATGAGCAGCCAGGTACGGTGGCTCACACCTGTAATCCCACCACTTTGAGAAGCCGAGGTGGGTGGATCACCTGAGGTCAGGAGTTTGAGACCAGCCTGTCCAACATGATGAATCCCCGTCTCTACTAAAAATATAAAAATTAGCCAGGCATGGTGGCACACACCTGTAGTCCCAGCTACTTGGGAGGCTGAGGCAGGAGAATCTCTTGAACCCAGGAGGCGGAGGTTGCAGTGAGCCGAGATTGTGCCACTGTACTCCAGCTTGTGCGACAGAGAGACCGAGCAAGAAGACCCTGGGATCAAAATTCCAGTGAGATTAGCAAGATCTCCAAAAACAGTTTGAATTTCAAATTCTCAAGAAATGTATATTAGTTTTATGTCAATTTAGTGGGCACTGCATCTTAAATTCTTTATCTTGGCGTACTATTTTCAACCTGCATAGAGATAGTGGTACAGGAGACTTTGGACTTGCTCAGATTTGGGAAGTGTTTATTCTTCCAGCAGATGTTTACTGGATGTTTGCTGTGTGGCTGGCACTGCCTTAGGTAATGCATATCTATTGATAATGGAACTGACACTGCGCCTGTCCATGGAGGTTTCAGGAGGTCTTTGTCAGTTACACTCAGTGGCATGCACAGAACATGGCTCATTTCTGGAGAAATTTATAAAAGAATTTATTCTTTATAAGTTTTATGCCTGTCAGAATTTGGCCTCTGAGCTTAATTGAATGTGTTTCTCATTCTACAGAATTTTTGGAAATATTTTAACTCTGTTTCTGAAAAACCTGTCACGCGAGAGGATTTTATGTCTGTCCTCAGCGATATTGAGTACATCCTCATCAAGGCATCGTATGGTCAAGGATTACAGCAGAGCAGGTACTTGGAGCTTCTAGAATTTTGACCGTTATTTTCATATTTGAAAGCAAACTGAAAGAATTTGACTCACTTCACTTCCATTACCTACTATTTTTATTAATCCATGTAGTTCAGTTCCTTACCAAAACATTGTTAAATATTAATATCATTATGGAATGTGCGAATTATAACTTAAAGTATCCACCTAGCATGCTAATGTCGATATAAAATATAAGGACATAATGTTGGAATCTTAGCTGAAGATAAAATGCAAAAAAAACAATTGCTGTTTCTGCACATGAAAACTGAAATGCCCATGTCTTCGTAGTGATGTATAAAGAATGCTGTCACCTACTCATCTCATACTTTAGCCCAAAAAGAAAGCCATTAGGTCTTGGCCAAATCAGCACTTCAAGAGGTCTTTTAGGTGTACTTGTGTCACATTATTTTTAAATTCTAAAATGTCTAAAGTGTGTCATGACAGTTAGTAATGTGCTTTAACACACTTCACTTACAATCACAAGCAGGAACTACTCCAAACAGGGAAGAAAGCTCTGGTTTCATATATATGCAAGTGTTAGGTCATGTGCTATGTTTCTAGAAAGTTTTTCAAATGTTAGCGTTTCCTCTCTTAACATGATGGCTGCACAGAATCTCAGACATTTCAATGGAGGTTGGCAGAAAGGCTGAAAAGCTGCACCCAGAAGAAGAGGTTGCATCTCTTTTAGAGAATTGTGTCTGTCCTCCTGGCACTGTGGGATTCTCATGTCAGGTACGGAGACTCTAGTCGAAATCTATTTCCTGGGTTTGAGTTGAAATGTGCTTGTTACAGCAACTCCCAGAGATGAACAGAACTTATGTGTATCTACTATATCATTTTTTTCTCTTTTTGAATTAAAAAGAAATTAATTTTGGTAAAATGTACATAACAAAATCTTCCATCTTAACCATTCTTCAGGGTACAGTTTAGTTGTGTTAAGTACAGTCACGTTGTTGTACAACTGTCACCACTATCATCCTCAGAACTTTTTATCATCCGAAACGCAAACTCTGCACTCATTAAACACTAGCTCCCCATTTCCTCTCTCCCCAGTGCCCCAAAACCACCATTCTCCTTTTGGTCTCTATGTATTTGACCACTCTATGGCCCTCTTATATGATATATATATATGCATGGCACATGCCTGTAATCCCAGCTACTCAGGAGGCTGAGGCAGGAGAATCACTTGAACCTGGGAGGTGAAGGCTGCAGTGAGCCGAGATCGTGCCATTGCACTCCAGCCTGAGTGACAGAGAGATACTCCGTCTCAAAAATAAATAAATAAATAAATAAATAAATAAATAAAAGTGGAGTAATACAGAACTTGTCTTTTTGCGAATGGCTTGTTTCACTTAGCATAATGTCCTCAAGGCTCATCCATGTTGTAGCATGTGTCAGAATTTCCCTCCTTTTTAAGGCTGAATAATATTCCATTGTACATACATGCCACATTTTGCTTATTCGTTAATCTGTCAGTGAATAAACTTGGGTGGCTTCCCCATCTTGGCTATTGTGAATAATGCCGCTATGAACATAGGGGTTCAAATATCTCTTTGAGATTCTGCTTCCAGTTCTTTTGGTTGTGTACCCAAAAGTGGACTTGCAGAATCATATGGTACTTGTATTTTCCATCTTTGGAGGGATGGAAATGGTATAGCTACTGGTTTTTCCTGTGCCATTTTCCATTCTCACCAGCAGTATACAAGGTCCAGTTTCTCACCAATACTTGTTAGTTTTTTTTTTTTTTTTGATAGTTGATACCCTAACAGGTGTGCGGTGGCATCACCTTGTGTTTTTTCATTTGCATTTCTCTGATAGAGATGTCGAACTTCTTTTCACATACCTGTTGGCCATTTGTATGTCTCCTTTGGAGAAGTGTCTATTCAAGTCCTTCACTCACTCATTAATCAGACTTTTTTGTCCTCCCTTTTGCACCCCCTCAGGACTGCGCCCCTGGGTACCACAGAGGGAAGCTCCCAGCAGGGAGTGACAGGGGACCACGCCCTCTGGTTGCTCCTTGTGTTCCCTGCAGTTGCAACAACCACAGTGACACCTGTGACCCCAACACCGGGAAGTGTCTGGTATGCTGGTTTGTGGGGGTGCTTGCCTGAGTTTAGAAGTAAAGTGGACGCTGAGTGTCAGATTTCCGGTCTAAGTCATAGCCGTGCCTTGGTTTAGTGAGAGGTTAAATTTAGCTAAATATAAAATATAAACCTATTTCCTTGAGGACGGCATAGCTTAGTGGTTCTGACCTTATCAGTGGAAATTCTTTTATAAATTTTCCTTTCTTGATGAATTTATCTGTGGGCATCAATTTGGGAATTATAGTCGTGCACCAAATAATGACATTTTCATCAACAACAGATCACATATAGGACAGTGGTCTGATAAGACTATAATACTGTGTTTTTACTGTACCTTTTCTATGTTAGTTATAGTTAGATGCACAAATATTTCCTGTTGTGTTGCAACTGCCTACAGTATTCAGTACGGTAACATGCTGGACAGGTTTGTGGCCCAGGAGCAATAGGCTCTACCATATGGCCTAGGCGTGTAGTAGGCTGTGCCATCTAGGTTTGTATAAGTGCACTCTATGACGTTCACACCGTGACGAAATCAGCTAGGGATGCATTTCTCAGGCAGTATCCCCATCTTTAAGTGATGGATGACTGTAGTTGCATGCCTTGTTTTTAATTGCAGTACTGGTTGCCGTAGTCAAAATAGATGAGAACTGTATACGATGAAGTTTGGGGGCTCACGTGGGAATTTTAAAATAAGTTAATGCCAGTGTTGAAAATGTATTTCTCTGTGTAAAGTATTGCCCTCTCCTTGCATTTTTTAAAAAAATGCATATTCTCTAGGGGATGATAACAGCACATTATTCACATGTTAGTGTGTGTTTGCTTCTCAGCCACCTTCTCCTAGGCCAAGATTGGTCTCGGGGACACATGGAGAGCTCTGACCACTGTAAACGACTAAGCGGCCCAGACAGAAGCCTCGCAGCCCTGACCGAGGACAAATTCCTGTGTCCATGATTTAGCTTAAGCCAATGAGGCAGATAACAAAATAATGTGATATTCGTTTCCTACTCCTGAAGCCTCATGCTTTACAGTCACTCAGGTGGAAACATTGATTACTAATTGTTCCAAGATTAACTCGCCTTGGGTAAAATAATGCATTGAAGGGAAATGAGCTGCCCACCAAGGACACACCCGAAGCCTCGGAGATCCTGGGTGTGGCCCAATCACAAGGAAACACTGGAGCCAAAACAGAGGAATTAGGACTGCAGGCTCCCAACCTGCCTCCCGCCACATTTTGATTCTGGTTTTCCCTCTTTTTGACAATTCCTGTCACTGAAACCCATTATAAACAAAAAATGGTGTCTGGGCTTGGAGGATGGGATTTCAGGGTTGCAGTGGTCCTTCTATTCTTGTCAGAGTCCCTTCACATTTTTTTATTATTATTATTTTTTTCAAGATGGAGGCTTGCTCTGTCACCCAGGCTGGAGTACAATGGCGCAGTCAGCTCACTGCAACATCTGCCTCTTGGCTTCAAGCAATTCTCCTGCTCAGCCTCCTGAGTAGCTGAGATTACAGGCGCCTGCCACCACACCCAGCTAATTTTTGTATTTTTAGTAGAGGCAGGGTTTCACCATGTTGGCCAGGCTGGTTTCGAACTCCTGACCTCCAATGATCCACCTGCCTTGGCCTCCCAAGGTGCTGGGATTACAGGCATGAGCCATCACGCCCGGCTGTCCCTTCAGATATTAAGTCTGAACTATAGCAGCCATGCCAGGCAGTAATTTAGTGTACATTTTACACACCTGCAACAATGGGGAGCTCACTCCCAAAACAGCTCTGCTCATCTTTGGGCAGCTCTGATTCTTTCTAAGCCAGTGCCCCTGACCATGCATCTGTTGGTGCAGTTTTATTCTTTGGAGCTGTTGAGATAAACCATGAGTTCAGATTATTCATGAAAAGTGATGGGATCTTAACAGATACCTTGTGAAACTACTTGATCAAATCCCTCTTTCCCATGTCCAAAGGCCCTGAATCTTCAGCCCTCCAAGTCACGTACCCTCACATGCCTGGAGGCCAGATGGAGTGGTCGTGGGTCCGTTCACCAGCCTGTGGTGTGCATGTCACTGTCTGTCTTCGGTATCCTGCCCTGAGCCTAACGCCTTTGCTCCCAGAGTCAGTGGGAGCTTCCCTCCTTAACTCGAGGTGCTGTGTCTCCATGGCCCAGCCTGGACAGGGTAGTCATACCTGCCCTGTCACTGCTGCCTCACGGCATTGACTAGACACAAGACCCTTGAACTCTTCCCATCAATATAGCGCCTCAGTCCCTTCTTCCTTGCTCTTTGAGCTCAGGACCTTCCCTTCCATCCTCAGTTTTTCAAATCCTTTTGTGGTTTAGTGCAGTTCATTTCCCTTCAACATAATCTCCTAAGCACTCCCCCTGTGCTTATTGTACAGGTAGATATGAAGACCTTTTTGGATCTGATTTTGTCATTAGTATATAGGATGTTCAGGTCACTGAGCATTTGGTGTTATCATAAAAATGATTGGGGCCGGGCGCAGTGGCTCACGCCTGTAATACCAACACTTTGGGAGGCCAAGGTGGGCGGATCACCTGGGGCTGGGAGTTTGAGACCAGCCTGACCAACATGGAGAAACCCCATCTCTACTAAAAATACAAAATTAGCCAGGCGTGGTGGCTCATGCATGTAATCCCAGCTGCTCGGGAGGCTGGGGCAGAAGAATCACTTGAACCCAGGAGGCAGAGGTTGCGGTGAGCTGAGATCGCCCCATTACACTCCAGCCTGGGCAACAGGAGCGAAACTCCACCTCAAAAAAAAAAGTGATTGATTGGAAGTATGCCTTGGAAGGGGCTGGGGAGACTGAGGACAAGGGCGGTAGCCTGGGAGCTCCTCGTCCTGGTTACCCACTCCCTACCACCGCCTTCTGGGAGATACGACTGAACCTTTTTACATCAGTGAAATATTGGCAGGCATTCTCTGTGAATTTCCCATAGCAACTAATTCAGCCCACACTTTGGTTCTCATTAGGGGGTCCTTGTTTCCCTGCCACTCTTGGGGCAGCTTGTCTTTGCTTCTCTAGGGAGCCCACAGTCTGTCGTAAGTCAGAGGGAGTTGGTGTTAGCCATGGAAAACCTGAAAATCTTCAATTCTCTCTCATCATCTAATATTTATTCCTTGTCAGGTTTAGGCCATGCCATTAACACTTTTACTTTTCAAGAGAGAGATTACAAATTTTACTTCTACAGAGAGATGAGTTTGAGAGGTCAGGTAGATCCCAGTAAAATTTATCCTCATCAGGGAAAAAAATAGGAATAGAACTTTAAAATGAAAAATACTAGAATTTTAAAAACATTTAAATGAACTTAAAATAGTCCTTTTTAACATGTAACAAGATGTCTTTCTGTATCACCTCTCACTGCCAAGGATAAAAGTGTGAGTCAGCCTGGGAGTTTGCTCAGGTGTTCCTCACTGATCCTGGAAACCTATTCAGCTGCATCAGACATGGAATCTTGTGCCCAGTGGCTGAGTAAATAGAGATGAATTGAGCAAATGCCAATTTCAAATTGGAATCAGATGGCAAGAACTGCTTGTTCTTTTAGCTTTAAAAATGTGTACCTTTTTGGCCGGGCACGGTGGCTCACGCCTGTAATCCCAGCACTTTGGGAGGCCGAGGCGGGCAGATCACAAGGTCAGGAGATCGAGACCATCCTGGCTAACACAGTGAAATCCTGTCTCTACTAAAAATAAAAATAAAAATAAAATTAGCCGGTTGTGGTGGTGGGCACCTGTAGTCCCGGCTACTCGGGAGGCTGAGGCAGGAGAATGGCGTGAACCCGGGAGGTGGAGCTCACAGTGAGCCGAGATAATGCCTCTGCACTCTGGCCTGGGTGACAGAGCGAGACTCTGTCTCAAAAAAAAAAAAACAACCAAAATAAGTGTACCTTTTTTAATAGCAAGACCGTAGGTCCAAAGGATGATATAAAATTTAACTGGAAATGCCACATGGGGTGGCTCGTGCATGTCGTCCCAGCTACTTAGGAGGCCAAGGCAGGAGGATCACCTGAGGCCAGGAGTTTGAGACCAGCCTGGGCAACATAGCAAGACCCCCTACCTGTACAAAAAAGTTAAAAGTTAGACAAACATGGTGGCGTGTGCCTCTGGTCCCAGCTACTCGAGAGGCTGAGGCAGGAGAATCACTTGAGCCTGGGAGGTCAAAGCTACAGTGAGCTATGATTGCACCACTGCACTCTAGCCTGGGCAACACAGGGAGACCTCGTCCTTAAAAAAAAAAAAGAAAGAAAAAAATTAACTGGAAGTTAGTTGTTGGTTGCAGTAATCTATCAGTGGTGCTCTAAAACCATGAGTTTTCTTCCCTCATTGTCTATTTCCTAAATCATCTATCCATTCTTCAACTCCTTACATGTGGTTGTTGAACCCTGACTGTGTGCAAAACTGGTGCTTCAAATTGTTTTTTGGGGCACTAAATATTTTAAATCTGTGTTTTAAGGTTCTGCAAACTGCTTTTAGGGCTCCTATGTCTATTTTCCTTAAGAAGAATGTACTAGTAATTTCTTGGCTGTAGTGGATGAATGCAGCCTTAGGATGAATGAAAGCCACAGAGCGGGAAATGTTTTCAGGATTTTAAGAATATGGAGGAAAATGCTCCCCTTTCCTGAAGAATATTTTTAAAAGCTAGCTGATATAAAACGTGGCAGTGCTTAGCTATTACCAGATAAGAATGATTTCTAACAATTTCCCATTTTTTCCCCCTTCCTTTAAATGTGGGCTCCCAGAACTGTGGCGATAACACAGCAGGTGACCATTGTGATGTGTGTACTTCTGGCTACTACGGGAAGGTGACTGGCTCAGCAAGTGACTGTGCTCTGTGTGCCTGTCCTCACAGCCCTCCTGCCAGGTGAGTCCCCACAGGGGCAGCTGGCATGCTGGGCTGCCCAGGGCTGCTTCCAGTTCAGCCTCATTTTCAAGGGTCTCTGAGTGGTCTGTTGTTAATGAATATTCTCCATTGGTTGCAAAAGGCTAATTTTAAGAAAAGGTGTTCATTCTCAAAAGCATTGGAAGAGAATCTTTTCAAAAGCAAAGTATCTGTTTTGGTATTGGATGTTTGGATGGAAGCAATTAAAGAAAGGACTTTTAGGTTTTGTTTTTTAAGACTCATTTTAGCCCACAGCATATGTATCCAATCTGCATGGAGATAAATTGCTATTAATTTTATTGATAATGATACAAAAGAACCCAATTACCATTTAAGGGAATGGGGTTAGAGTTTATATAAGGGAATGGGGTTAGAGTTTATATAAGCTGGTGCCTAAGTGCTGAAATACCACATGGTGATAAAATTGGGACTAGTTTCTACCTTGTACTTATGATGCTTGTACAGAATTACCTGAATGCAAAAGGGAACCAGAAATTTTAAGTGGGAATTAGAATATCAAAGAATCCTCTTTGGATCAAATGAAAATTATAACTCATCAATAATATTTTATTATTGCTTAGAATATTTGGCAAGGTATTGAACATACAAAGATCAAATGTTAACTCTTGGTATACTGCAATGAAGTATTCCTTTTAATATTTGTCTGAATCTTCTGTTTTTTATTGCCTCCAAGTAAATGATGCCTGATGGTGAGTACCAAATGAGAGGCACTATGTACACTTCCCTTGCAAGCTATGAAGCATCCTAAAATTTGTTGTTACTAGTGCTTATTTTTTATATTAAATGTATATATATAAATTTTGACTTGTCAATTCCACTTCTGTAGTCTGTGCTATAGAAATACTTGCATGTGTGTGTAAAGATGGATGTGTTTTTGCATTGCTTTTTACTCATGAGGAATAGGGGGAAAACGGAAATATCTACTTACGGGGAATTGATTATATACATTGTGTTACATTCCTAGAGTGAAATATTTTACAAACACGGAGAAAAGAATAAGGTATATCTGTAGGCACAGAATTGGAGAAATGGCCAATTGAAGTATGTAATTGAATATGGAGTGTGATGCCATTTTGGAAAAAATTCATATCCACGTCTATTCATACCCATATTATAGGTGGCTATATATGTGCCCAGAGAAGTATTGGGAAGGACATTCTACCCTACTACTTTGCACGTTTCTGTGCTGTTTGAATATTTTACTTCTGCAATCATAAAAAGGTTATAAACATCCCCAAAGTCCGCATTAATAAATTAAAGTTTGTGCTATCAGGAAGAGATTGTCAGGTTGTGAACATTCTTGTGTGCTCTGAATCTCAGATGCCCTAAAACACACGCTTTATTTTCTACATATTTTGTTTCCACTGAAGTCTATCCCTTTACTATTTTAAGGAGGAAAAAGAGTCGGAAGTGGTATGGGGCTGATAACTGACGCTGGAAACTTCATCTTGCTAACGAAAAGGAACCAGACTTGGCTCTAACTGGTTTTGTTTTTTATTGTTGTCTCCAGTAGTTTGCATGCACCCAGCTCAGCCTCTAGATGGCACATTGGTAATTTAAAACGTGAAGGCAGAGGGTAGAGGATGTTGAGAAAAAGGAGTAAAACAAAAGCAGAAATCCATGAATGAGGAGATCAAATCCCAGTCGATGATTAAACTTTGAGAGGCTCTGTCATTTTGCTTATGGCAGCCTACCACATAACTCCCTGCCTGCCTTTAGGTGCATCCGTTCTCCAGTTCTGCCTTATTTCCTTGCCTTTGCCTCCCTGGCTTTCCTTCCTCGCCTTTCGTTACAGTCAATAAAGTTCTTTTCGTCAGCGTGTGTTCAGCCATCTTCCCTCTGCTGTTTTTCATGCTTGCTCATAGTTGTTTCAGCTCTCTTACCACCTTATCACTTAGTAAGCAAAGACCCTTTTTCCTTGGGACACTCTCTTGTTGGGTGGCCAATTAGTGATAATCCCTAAGGTCAGTCTTCTTCCACTTAACATTCACATGATTGTCCCTGGACAGGGTCTTATGAATGTCTTTTGGATACAAGATGTGTGTGCACTTACTGATTACTTTTATTTTCCTTCTTTTTGCCAGGTAGATTGTAAGCTCTAAAAAGCTATGTGTAATCACATAACTTTGAGACCAGTATGGTGTATCCTAAGAGTAATGAATAAGTACCTTAAGGAAAGATGGAAATTGTATATCTGAAAATTCAAAAAGAAATTCTTTTCCTCCAGTTTTAGTCCCACTTGTGTCTTGGAAGGGGACCACGATTTCCGTTGTGACGCCTGTCTCCTGGGCTATGAAGGAAAACACTGTGAAAGGTACATGGGTGGATTGTCATGTGGAAATCCCTGGGCACTCTGTTTCTTTTATAAGGTATTGGGCATATTTACTATAGTAATCTGGGAGCCATTATCAATTATCAGTTTGGATGTGCTTGATTGAAATAAGACCTCATTACTGTTCCAGAACAAGTTTTCCCAAGGTGAATGGATCTGTGCTTTGCATTTCATTTGGCGGAAATGATTACTGTCGCAAGTTAGAAGCTGGTATTGACCATCCTGTCTGCACCTATGTCCCTTCCTTTCTGTAGGTGCTCCTCAAGCTATTATGGGAACCCTCAAACACCAGGTGGCAGTTGCCAGAAGTGTGACTGCAACCCGCACGGCTCTGTCCACGGTGACTGTGACCGCACATCTGGGCAGTGCGTTTGCAGGCTGGGGGCCTCGGGGCTCCGGTGCGATGAGTGTGAACCGAGGCACATTCTGATGGAAACAGATTGTGTTTGTGAGTATTTCTCCTCTAAATGTGTAAAGATGGTTTTTCCTCCCAAATGTGTCGGGAAAGAAGTGGTGACGGCACGCTAAAGTGTCTGCAGAATAAAAACATCCTATTTTATTTTCATTTTCTTATTTTCTAAGCATAGATCACTGTTGCATCTGCTGAACTGAACCTTTCATCATGTGTTTTCCAGCTGAGGCAGGAGGTTCTAAGATAGCAGTTTATTCCTCTGGCACTCAGAGCAGCACAGTGATTTCAACTTTCTCCTTTAGTGGCATTAATATTTCCTTTAGTGGAGCCAGGAGTGATTTAGTGCAGGAGAGGAAACAGCTTTGTGGGGTTGTCATTTGTGTTACCCCAATTTCATGATAGCTTCCACTCGTGACTATCATGGACTTAAAAAAAAAACAAAAACAAAAAAATGGAGTCTTGCTCTGTCCCCCAGGCTGGAGTGCAGTAGCACAATCTCGGCTTATTGCAACCTCCGCCTCCTGGACTCAAGTGATTCCTCTGCCTCAGCCTCCCGAGTAGCTGGGATCACAGGTGTCCACCACCTTGCCTGGCTAATTTTTGTATTTTTAGTAGAGACAGGGTTTCACCATGTTGGCCAGGCTGGTCTTGAACTCCTGACCTCAGGCAATCCGCCTGCCTTGGCCTCCCAAAATTCTGGGATTACAGGCATGAACCACCATGCCCGGCCTGTCGTGGGCTTTTGTAAACTTTTTTTCCAGTTCTGATTTATTCTACCAGCAAGTGCATGAGATAGTCAGCTTGGGATGTCTTCTCAGGGGTTAATGGGGAAGATAGGGAGGCCTGTTAGGACCATGGCATTGGAGGTCTTTTTTGCTTTGACTTTTGTGTGGGTTATAAGCACAAACACCCCCACTATTCTCTCCAGTGTCCTTCACTTGTACTTGTGAAAGATGCATTTGCAAACTGCCTGAGGAGGTGACAGAGCAGGCTGTGGAAGGGAATGCTGGGATTCAGTGCAGTGGGTCCTAGTTAAAGATGAGCCAGGCAGCATAAAGATGGGGGCAGAAGAATGAAATGTGTGCCATAACTCCCTGCCTGTCTTTAGGTGCATCCGTTCTCCAGTTCTGCCTTACTTCCTTGCCTTTGCTTCCCTGGCTTGCCTTCCTCGCCTTTCATTACAGTCAATAAAGTTCTTTTCGTCAGCGTGTGTTCACCCCTCTTCCCCCTGCTGTTTTTCATGCTTGCTCATAGTTGTTTCAACTCTCTTACCACCTTATCACTTAGTAAGCAAAGACCCTTTTGCTTACTGGGCGCCACTCTTGGCCTCAGCTGTTTCTTTCTGTGTGACCTCTGGGAAGTTACTTATCTGATCTGAGTCTTGGCGTCATCATTGAATAGGGGCCTAGCACTTCCTGCCGTGCCACCCATGGCACAGTTGGAGTGAGAATGAGATCAGATGTGGTGCACGGGGTCTTGGAGTGTACTCTGACCGCATGTGTCATTTTCACAAAACAACTTGCGCAACTCCATGAAAAAATGGGCAGACCACATCGCATTAACTTTAACTCTCCTTTTTAAAAATTTGTCTTGTAGCCTGTGATGATGAGTGTGTAGGTGTGCTGCTGAATGACTTGGATGAGATTGGTGATGCCGTTCTTTCTCTGAACCTCACTGGCATTATCCCTGTCCCATATGGAATTTTGTCAAACCTGGAAAATACAACTAAATATCTCCAGGTAGGTACTGGAAATACAGAGATGAACAGACACTTGTATCATTAAGGGATATAGTCATTGGGAATGGTGGGAGTCATTCCATGTGTCCTCCCCACATTGTGAGAGCCCAACTTCCATCAGCCCCTGCGGGCAGGTGTCCAGTCTTTCCTTGACTGTGACCAGTGACAGGCACTTACTTACTTATCTCACACGCTAGCTTGTTTCACGGTGGGACAGCTCTCATCATTTCAGTGCTCTCTGGAGGACTCCTCATCAATGCTGCCCTCTGTGGCCCTCATTCTGCCTTTTGGGATAAGGCCAAGTCCACTTGCTCTTCTGTAAGACAACTTTGGGTATTTGCAAACAGCTGCCCTATTAGAAAAGCAGAAAATAGGCCAGGCACGGTGGCTCACACCTGTAATCCCAGCATCCCAGCACTTTGGGGGGCCAAGGCGGGTGGATCACGAGGTCAAGAGATCGAGACCATCCTGGCCAACGTGGTGAAACCCCATCTCTACCAAAAATACAAAAATTAGCTGGATGTGGTGGCGCGTGCCTGTAGTCCCAGCTACCTGGGAGGCTGAGGCAGGAGAATTGCTTGAACCTGGGAGGTGGAGGTTGCAGTGAGCCGAGATCACACCACTGCACTCCAGCCTGGCGACAGAGCAAGACTCCATCTCAGAAAAAGAAAAAGAAAAAGAAAAAGAGAAGAAAAGCAGAAAATAAATCTGAACAGTATCTTCTTTAAGGTATATTATTTTTAAAGTGTATTATTCTTCACTGCACTAAAGTTGCAGGGCACAAAATCTCTCCTCCCTGGAAGGCTACATTAAATGTCTGGCAGTAAATCATAGTTTTATGTTTTCATCAACAGAGCCTGGGTCAAAAAAGGGTGAGGAGTTAAGAAATTAACTTAGTAGACAGCATCCTACTATAGCACTTATTTATTTTTATTATCTTATTTATTTATTTTATTATTTTTTTGAGACAGGGTCTCCCTCAGTCACCCAGGTTGGCATGCAGTGGCGCAGTCATGGCCCACTGCAGCCTTAACCTCCATAGCTCAAGGGATCCTCCTGCCTTAGCCTCCCAAGTAGCTGAGACTACAGGCACACACCACCATGCCTGGCTAGTTCTTTTATTTTTATTTTTAATAGAGATGAGCTCTCACTATGTTGTGCAGGCTGGTCTTGAACTCCTAAGCTCAAGAGAACCTCCCACCTTGACCTCTCAAATTTCTGGGATTATAGGCATGAGCTACCACGCCCGACCTACTTTTAATTCTAATTGGAAAACAGTGTGATTCTTAAATTTTGCTTTATATATGCGTTAGAATTTGACATAATCTATGCAGTGCACCAGGTAGCAATAAAAGGGATGGCCATTCCTAAATGCCTTTTCTTAGATAAGAGTTTTCCTCAAACTTAGGACTTCCTTAGGTGTGTGCGTGTGTTTATGTGTGCGCTGGGATGGGGCTGGTTCTTGAATCCGTCTTGATTTGCAGTGGTCTTTTCTCTATAATGGTAGTTCAGAAAGGTTAGGGACCTCTAAGAGATGTTTTTATGTTATACTTTCCTCAAACGTCACAAAGTGTTTTTGAAAAATGAGAGCTTTTACCTCTATAAAAAAAAGAATATTTAACTTTTTTTTCCAATCACTATATACACGATCAGTATAATATCTGCCAGTCTTGGTCCCAGGGATATAACTATTTTATATATATCAAATAAGACAAATATTTGATTTAAATTTTAACTCATTTTGAATGATTTGCTCTAAATAAACCACTTGTCCGTTTTCTTTAAATAACTTTTTGTGTTTATGTAAAGTATTCATCAAGTTTTAAGGTTGAAATAAAATTATACAAGAAATTAGAAGGCTGTTGGCATAAATTAAGCACTTTATTTTTCTTTATTTTTAGTATTTATAAAGTCTTTCTTTATTGAATTCTTTTGTAGTTTAGCCTAAAAGGCATTTTTTTCTTAGGTGTTGCAATTATAGTTAAATTTGTGTGACTCTGCTATTGAGATAAAGCCAGACTTTTATCTGAGAATTGCAGCAGTATCAGATTCTGCTGAACACAACAGATTTTAAATTTATATCTATATCAGAAATATAATGCAAAGGATGGCAGTGTAGAATCATGTCGCTATAATCGAAACCTAAGTAAATGTGATCCATTTTTTTTTAAAATGACAGTTCCAAGGAAAGAAGAATTTCTTTCTGTGAACAAAAAAGAAATGCAAGTGCTTCTTAGTTAAGAATCAGAACATTTTACTTCGAAGCATTGTAATTTGTTTCCTCCATTCTTCCTAGGAATCTTTATTAAAAGAAAATATGCAAAAGGACCTGGGAAAAATTAAGCTTGAAGGTGTTGCAGAAGAAACGGACAACCTGCAAAAGAAGGTAAATTCTTTCCATAACCAACCAACCTTCCTCCTGGTCCCTCCCATCAGCCCTCCTGAGCAGTTGCCTTGGGGCTGTCTGGAAGGTTCTGATTAGATCATGCCAGCCTCTTCCTCCCACGAGCTGTGCTCCAGGTACTTAATCATCAAATTGGTTTTGACCCTGCCAGTTTCTGTGGTTTAGTGGGAAAAGGCTCCCGACTTAATGTCTGTTGTCATCTCTGCTGAGGACAGAGTTGGGCAGTCTCTTGGCTCTGACTTTCATTTTCTCCTCTGAAACAAAGGTGGGGCGGGGATGAAAAGATTGCTGAGGTTTCTTCCTTCTCCTAAATTCATTCAGTAACGAAGTACACGGTGAGCCCAAAAGCACGGACTGAACATCAGTAATGCTCTCTGCAGCTTGCTGGGTGGAGCAGGGAGGGCACAGACCTCATGATGAGGCATCTGTGCAAACTTCAGGCTTCAGGCTGGGGTGGTTCTGATTTTAGGGCCCTGAATGGCAAGTGAGCTTGTTTTTCTGTCATCAGGGAATTATTTATTCTGTTTAGCCTGTGCCAGAGGAATGGCATTTAGTGACCTAAAAAAGAATCTCCCCTTCTGCAGATGGTGAGGAAGGATTATTGTCAAATTTACTGTTTTTTCATTTATGAATTTTGTATGTGTGTGTGTGTGTGTGTGTGTGTGTCTGTACTGTGATGGTGTATCTATACATATGGATGTCTAATCTCCATCAACACATGCACACATACACAAACATCACCCTAGGAAGTATAGTTTGGCTCCTGTTAATTTAGAATTAACGATGTTTTGGAAAGAGTTGAAGGGTTTAAGTTTGGGTTTAAGTACCTCATCAAGCAAACATTTGGTTGGAAATAGGCTGATTAAAATAAATTCTCTGTATCCGTTATTCTCTTTGGTCTTGACTAGAAAACACCAAACTCAGACTGGGTTACTCTACATTCTTGGAAATTACAAACAACCTTTCCTTTAACAAAGAGTAAAAATCCCAGTAGAAATAACAGCTGAGGACAGCTAAGTGTCAGCCTCTGGGCTGCTGACTTCCTGGCTCTCGTCTTGTGTAGTTCTCGTAGCAGCCCTGGGAGGTAAGCGTTGCTGTTTCCCAAGTGTTACAGACAATGCTTGGAGATGTCTGGGCCTGTCCACAGCCTGGAGAATCAGGTCTAAAATCAGCTTGCCTGACTCCGTGTTCTTAACTCCTAGAGACTAACATCTCATAGGCCATACAAATCAGTAAGGTTTACTTTCTATATTCTGTATATTTGGGTTTTAAAGTGAATCGAGGGCCCTCACAGTATAGCCACTAGGAGAATCTGTAGTTTAATACACAATTAGCCTGCTTTTAAAAACATACCCATCTTTTCTTATGCTGAGTGAGTTGTAAATTATTTCATTAACTACTTAGTCCATTTCTAACCCCAAAATATTAAGCTCGGCTTGCATGATAATGCTCATCTTTACTCTATATTCTGGAATATATGTTGTTGCTTATAAGCGGCAACAGTGGAATATTACAACTTGCGTATTATTTAAAGTCAAACTAATTACTTAAAGTCAAACTAACCTGAGACTTTATTTTTCCACCAGCTCACTAGGATGTTAGCGAGTACCCAAAAGGTGAATAGGGCAACTGAGAGAATCTTCAAGGAGAGTCAAGACCTGGCCATAGCCATTGAGAGGCTGCAGATGAGCATCACAGGTAGTGTGGGCAGTGTCTAGTTTGAAGTATCTGTGCTTATCTAGTAAGAAGTCACCATTGCTTTATTAAACATATGAATAGATGTATATCTCTTGCATCGGGTTTCCGGAACCAGAGGGGCTGGAATAGTTTGGGGATCCTGAGATGTGCAAACTTTAGTCTTTGACTGAGAGTTTTAGCTTTAAAAAAATGCATATTTCTTTTTTTATTTTCTGCATTATGCCTAAAACTTAGATCCTAATTCTCAAGCCCTGTTATGGTAAAGTTAGTATGGTAGCTCTCCATCCATTTGCCCAGAATAGGAGCTGACAGGATTTGGGACTTCAGTTAGGTACCAAGTATATCCATCACATTAGAATAATTTAATCACTTCTCAGTTGGGTGTGCTGTGGCTTTTAGCATACTATTTTCAGTTTTCTGGCTACCAGAAACATATGATCGCTCTTCTTTTTATATTATAGTGTAAGGGCTTAAAAAGTACAGAATCCAATAAAAATCAGACTTTATAGGGCAAAAGGTAAGGAAATTATTAGAACAAAGTATACTTAATAAAAAAAGTAGGATCAAGCATTGGTGGTTTATTTATGCAGTAAATATTTATTGAGAACATTTATTTTTCATGTGCAGATGTCTCTGCCAGGTACAAGGAAATGCTGAGGTTGACACCATGTCCTTGCCTTTAGGGAGTTTATTGGTGCATGAGAAGACTTTGAAATAGACCAGTAATCCCAAGTTCATGAATGTTTAGTTAGGGGATGTGCAGAGTACACTGGGATATGCCAGGTGGCCTGGCCTGACATGGAGGTCCAACTCAGCTTAGGTAAACAGAGCAGTCCTCAGCAGAGAAGTTTCTAAGTTCTTCACTTGGTACTAGCCACTTTTGAGAGGCTTATTAAATAATTGATGAATTTTCTCCATAGAAATTATGGAAAAGACAACTTTAAATCAGACTTTGGATGAAGATTTCCTACTACCCAATTCTACTCTTCAGAACATGCAACAGAATGGTACATCTTTGCTAGAAATCATGCAGATAAGAGACTTCACACAGTTGCACCAAAATGCCACCCTTGAACTCAAGTAAGTTTCTAATTACTGTGTGCAATGCAACCAAGTAGAGAGAGAAACTTGCACGCTATCTCCAAAGGAGAAGGAGGCATCGTGGAAGAAAAGTGCTCACTGGAAATGAAATATCCTAAGAGAGGAGAAGGGGCCCTGTGGTCAAGTAAATGAAGAGATGGGTACTGACCCCTCCAAATATAGAAAGGTGTAATCTGTGCAGTCAGTGTAATCTATCTTTGTGCTATCATGCGGTAGCTTCTGTCCTTTTCTGTGATTCCGGGATGTTTCCACTTAGCACAAACAGCATAGCCTCATGGTACTGTAGATCAAGGATAAGGCAGTAAACTCTCATAGAAAAAAATCGTTGGTGGCCACCCATACCATGAACTCTAAGACAGGTCAATGTTATGCCAGAATAATTGAGCTTAGTTATATAAAAAAGTATAGTTACATTGAAACCCACGATGTGAAGTGACACAGAGATCACAAAGCATTCTTACATACAGTCACAAGGAGTTTGGAGTTTCCTTTCCAGCTTTTATCTTAGCATTTCCACACAGGTATTACTTGATATACTAGCACAGGCTGTCTCTCTGCAGGTTGTAATGAATGTCTGAAGTGCTGTTATAAATAGTTACATGATACTTTATTAAAACTCTACTCTGGACGTTACTATCTAAACTATAATCTAATGAAATGATATAGTCATGTGAGATATTTAAACTTTAATATTTTGCTATTTTAAATTATGTTGTGAGGGACTTCTTATTCAAATGTTTTATATCTTTTTCTATATTGAAATATCAAATATTTATTTATACTGTATATATCTCTTCTTTTTCTGTATTTCAGATTATTTTCAGGGTAGATATTAAGAAGTAGAATTATTGGCTGGGCGTGGTGGCTCACGCATGTAATCCCAGCACTTTGGGAGGCTGAGGCGGGCAGATCATCTGGGATCAGGAGTTCAAAACCAGCCTGGCCAACAAGGCAAAACCCGTCTCTACTAAAAATACAAAAATTAGCTGGGCATGGTGGTAGATGCCTGTAATCTCAGCTACTCGGGAGGCTGAGGCAGGAGAATTGCTTGAACCTGGGTAGCGGAGGTTGCAGTGAACTGAGATCATGCCACTGCACTCCAGCCTGGGCGACAGAGCAAGACTCCGTCTCAAAAAAAAAAAAAAAAAAAGAAGAAGAAGTGGAATTATTTAGTCAAAGAATTTGTGTTTTGAGGATTCCTAACATGCACTTCCAAATAATTTTTTTTTTATATTTTTTAAAAACAATGTTCACTGCCACCAGCAACACACTAGAGGGTTGGGTATGTGTCTTTTTTCATCATAGAGCATAATTTTTGACGTTGTTGATTTGTTAGGTGAAAAACAAAAGGAGGTGCTTACAGTTGGATGGAGTTTGGAGAGAGGACTAGTAATCTAATTACTAGAATAATAGGGCCTGGAAAGGGCTCTGAGAGAACTAGGATCTAAAGGCCTTGCGCAGGGGGAATGAGAGGAGGACGTGGTCCTGGGAGATGGGCGTGAGCAGCTGTCTGTGGAGCCCCTCCTCTGTGCCAGGAGAGTGCTGGCTTCTCTTCTCACATTGTGTTCTGTGATCATCTCAGTCTTTCCAAGTAGGGGAGAACCCAGTTGAGGAAACTGAGGCCCAGGGAATATAAGTAACTTGCCCTATGTTAAGCCCCCGGGACAATATGAAACCTGACCACAAACCTGAATCTGTTTGAGTCTAAACCCTATTATTTTCCCACCCAGAACAAAAGGAAGTACCATTTGAGACCCATTCCATAAAAGATGGGCAGGTGGAATTTGGACAGTCGGAGACATCGAGGGCCTTTCAGGGGCGGGGAAACGAGATCTAAGTCTAGCATAGGTGGAGAGCCATTGAACAAGGGAACACTGGAGCCAAAGAAGCTCAGCTGAAGTTTGCATCGAATTTGAGAGGCAATGGGTAGTGGTGACAGAAGCCAAGGTGCGAACGTTAGTCCTGCAGCCCCGACTGCACACTGAGGCTTCAGCTGTGCTCTTCTCGGGCAGCTCCAACCAGGGCTTCCCAGGACCTGCCCACCCTGGAGGCGATGCCCCTGGGTGGGGCTCTGCTCCCTAACCTTCCTCAGCCCCCCACACATCTGAGTTGGTGGGGAGCATGTGAAGGATGGAGATTCCCAGGCCCACCCTGCAGATCCTAGAGAATCATTTTGTGGGGCTCTCCCCTCCCACCGTTACCCTTCTGAGGTCAGTTCATTCATTCATTCATTCAGCAAAGTGACCTGAACCCTGGTTACAAGCATTGTGCCAGGAGTTGGGAACATACAGGGGAACAATAGAGCCTTTTGCCCACTAGGAGCTCCTGGTCAATTTAGGGAAAGTTTATTTTCTGAATATGCACTTTAAATACAATAAGAAAGTTTAAAATAGAGGTCAAATTTTCATCTATAGGATGATGTTAGTATCTAAACCACAATCACATGAAATGATATAGTCCTTAATGACTTGAACATGATTAACCACCAAAAACAAAACAAAACAAAAAACCCAGCACTCTTCATTAGCTTCTTCTAGCAAAATTGACAGAGGAAACTGGTGTTTCTCAAGCTATGTGCCTCTATAACACTAGTGTCCCATGAACTCCTGGGCAGATTCCTTGAACAAATATTAACCTTCCTAGGATCTGCAAGGCAGGCCTGGGACTCTCCATCCTTAACAAGCTCCCCAGCAACTCAGATGTGTGGGGGGCTGAGGAAGGTTAGGGAGTGGAGCCCAGCCCTGGGGCACTGCCTCCAGAGTGCGTGGTTCCTGGGAAGACCTGGTTGGAGAGACCTGAAAGGAGGTGGGTAGGCAGGGCCAGCCCCCACCCCCACCTGTTCCCCTCAGTGCCTCCTGACCCTCCCCTATTGGCGAGGGCCTCTAGGATCCCTTTAATTTGTAAGTTAAAATACTACTAAAGAGACCTTTTATTTTAAAAATCAAGAGTTTAAAATGTATTCTCTGGCCTCCACTTTCTGATTTTCCATAGATAATCCCTATATATATGCCATTTCAAAATACATGGATTATTTTAGGAATTATCTGCTTTTTAATTATAATTCTTAAAACATTGGTGGTTCATGCTGAAGCATGGCAATTGTATAGATGAGAAGTTTAGCACACAGACTGATTACTTTTCATGCTGGGTCGGGGGTCTCCAGAACTAACACCACATTCAGAGTTTCACCAGGACCCCCAGGATTCAGCATATAACTGTACTTACAGCTAAGATTTATTAAGGAAGTCCAGCCAGATGGAACAAAAGGACACAGCAGAGTCTGGAGAAATCCCTGAAGTCCTCTCCCCATGTGGGATCCCAGAGAGCACTCCTCCCCCAGCAAGAAAAATGCAGCAACATGTGTGTGATGTTTCTGCCCAGGGAAGCCTGTCAGAGATGCAGTATCCAGGGATTTTGTTGGAGCTGTACTGGTAGGCACCCTCTGCCTAGCACATAGCAAAAGTCGACTCCCAGAAGGAAAGCAGGTGTTCAGCATAAACCATGTTGCTTGCACAAACAGCCCAGGTAGTGAGCTACTCTTAGCAGTTAGGGATCAGTGGGAACGCAGCCCACCTCGCCAGCAGGCCTTTCAGAGGAGAGCAGACTCCATCCAGCCCGCCACGTTGACTCTTTACTGTACACTTCGGATTATTGTTTGTAGCTGTTTTTCAAATGATTTCCATGCTGGTATCTCAGACCTATTAAAAGATTTTTTTTTTTTTTTTTTTTTTATTGAGACGGAGTCTCCTCTGTCTCCCAGGTTGGGGTTCAGTGGTGCGATCTTAGCTCACTGCAGCTTCCGCCTCCCGGGTTCAAGCGATTCTCCCTCCTCAGCCTCCTGAGTAGCTGGGATTACGGGCACCTACCATCATGCCCGGCTAATTTTTGTAATTTTGTATTTTTGTAGAGACAGGGTTTCACCATGTTGGCCAGGCTGGTCTTGGACTCCTGACCTCAGGTGATCTGCCCGCCTTGGCCTCCCAAAGTGCGGGGATTACAGGCATGAGCCACTGCGCCCGACCAAAGATATGTCATTAAAGAAGCACATTCCAAGACACAGTGTCTACTAAGGAGAGCCAAGTTCTGTACTGCAGGTCTTCTCAAAGCTTTTAGTACGCTGACGCACATCAGCAGCCCCGTGGAGGATCCGGCTCACTTCTTTCACCCTGGAATATTTGTTCAAGGAATCTGCCTGGCAGTTCATGGGACATTGGTGTTGTAGAGGAACATAGTTTGAGAAACACCAGTTTCCTCTGTTAATTTTGCTAGAAGAAGCTAATGAAGTGCTGAGTGGGGTTTTTTTGTTGATTAATCTTGTTCAAGTCATTGAGGACTATGTCATTTCACCTGATTGTAGTTTAGATAGAAGAGTCATCTTGTAGATGAAAATTTGGCCTCTGTTTTGAGCTTTCTTTTTTCTCTTTTTGAGACACGGTCTCACTCTGTCACCCAGGCTGGAGTGCAGTGGCGCAATCTCAGCTCACTGCAACCTCCACCTCCCAGGCTCAAGCGATTTTCCCACCTCAGCCTCCTGGGTAGCTGGGACTACAGGCACGCACCACCATGCCTGGCTAATTTATTTTAAATTTTCTTAGAGAGATATCTTATTTAATAATAAGGAATAATAGATTCATGATCACACATTAGAAATATATTGGGTTTATTTGTGTTTTCTTACGTATGTGTTTTAGTTCTTGTTGCCTGCTCATAATGCAACGTCTTTATTATCGTTAAAAATTATATCATTAAAAATTATAAGTGCCGATGTTATTCTAATAATGTCAGAGTTCAAATTTATAACCTTGAAAAATGTTTTTGGTCGTGTCTTAACCCAGTGACCTGACACCTGTGAAAGCTGAGGGTGTTTTACAGGGCATTTTCCATAGAATTTTTCAAAATTGTCCTGACAAATTAAAATGAAGAGTTAATAGGATATACTCCACCACTGCAAGGATTTGTAGCATGAAATTTTATTATTCTATGCAGCTATAAATTCAAAATTGATTTAAATCAGCAATTTGATGGCATATTTATAAAGACATAGGAAAAAAATCTTTTGGTATTCTAAAGCTTGCATTTATCCATGGTACAAATCATATCTTTTTGTCAATTTGAATTTGAAAGCTTTTATGAAATCTGTTTCTTCTTAACTAGCTGCAGAAAATCCTTTTATCGTATATATAAATTGGTAAATTCTTAACAAATCACTGAATAGCTTTCTTTCAATTTCTTGCTGTATTATATATAATGAAAGATTGCAGTTCCCATCAACACAGAATGTTGTCCCAATTTCCTGAATCCAGATTCATGGAGATGATCTTTTTTAATTCCATTACTAAAATGTATTAGAAAGTTTAAGTGTTCGGATTCCCACAAAGCCCACTGGACCCAAGTTTACCAGGAAATTTGGGGAGGTGGGATTTAATGAGCTTCATCATTTATAAAATCATCAGAGCTGCTGATAAAAGAAGTAAAGCTTTGGGCCGGGCGCAGTGGCTTACGCCTGTAATCCCAGCACTTTGAGAGGCCGAGGTGGGCAAGTCACCTGAGGTCAGGAGTTTGAGACTAGCCTGGCCAACAGGTGAAACCCAAACCCCGTCTCTACTAAAAAAAATTAGCTGGGCGTGATGGCAGGCACCTTAATCCCAGCTACTTGGGAGGCAGAGGCAGGAGAATCGTTTGAACATGGGAGGTGGAGGTTGCAGTGAGCTGAGATCAAGCCATTGCACTCAAACCTAGGGGACAAGAGCAAGTCTTCTCTCAAAAAATAAGAAGTAAAGCTTTGAAAGCTTCAAGACTTGTGCCTGCTTGTGGTCATCCTAACCGGCTTAACTTGAAATACACATGAGATGAAAGATCACCGTGCCTGTAAATTTCAGCAAACTATATGGGAACATGGAACATCACTGTGCACTTATATAAGTACCATTTACTTCCTGTCATGAATAAATGTATCTGTGAGATGCACCACTAAAAAAAAAAAAAGACAATTTGTTAAGGATAAAATATAAACCTGCCATACCTGTAGCTATCTTAGAAAAATTGTTTCCATTCTTAAGAAGTTATGATGTATCACTTACAATTTCAAAAAGAGACTAGGCATAAATACGTAAAAATTTTTTCCACTATTATTTCAGAGATAGGAGCTTTGTTGTTCATTTACTTACTATGTGAACCATTCATATTTATCAGGGCTGCTGAAGATTTATTGTCACAAATTCAGGAAAATTACCAGAAGCCGCTGGAAGAATTGGAGGTATTGAAAGAAGCAGCAAGCCACGTCCTTTCAAAGCACAACAATGAACTAAAGGCGGCTGAGGCGCTCGTGAGGGAAGCTGAGGCAAAGATGCAGGAAAGCAACCACCTGCTGCTCATGGTCAATGCTAATCTGAGAGAATTCAGTGTGAGTCTCACTTGCTCTCTCCTTCTCAATTAGAACAGGTAACAAAATACTCCAACGTAAGCAATTAAAAGTGAGCCCTGGCCTGGCTGGGTGGCTCACGCTTGTAATCCCAGCACTTTGGGAGGCCGAGGCAGGCAGATCATGAGGTCAAGAGATCGAGACCATCCTGGCCAACATGGTGAAACCCCGGTCTCTACTAAAAATACAAAAATTAGCTGGGCGTGGTGGCATGCGCCTGTAGTCCCAGCTACTCGGGAGGCTGAGGCAGCAGAATCGCTTGAACTTGGGAGATGGAGGTTGTAGTGAGCCGAGATCATGCCACCGCACTCCAGCCTGGCAACAGAATGAGACTCCATCTCAAAAAATGAAAATAACTTTAAAATAAAATAAAAGTGAGTCCCATGCACTAACTTCTGCACGTAGCATTAGGCACCAAAGGTCAGAAGCAGGGTTGCTTTTATGAAGCACCCTTAAAATGCCGTTTCTGCTGCAGGATAAAAAGCTGCATGTTCAAGAAGAACAAAATCTGACCTCAGAGCTCATTGTCCAAGGAAGAGGATTGATAGATGCTGCTGCTGCACAAACAGATGCTGTACAAGATGCTCTAGAGGTAAATTACATCTCAGCACAGCCACAGTACAGTTTTTAAAGAATCTTCACACATCTTTTCTATATGCACACATATCTGTTATTAAGTAGATGTGCATATATTTACAATATTAATTTCTCCATGTAGCACTTAGAGGATCACCAGGATAAGCTACTTTTATGGTCTGCCAAAATCAGGCACCACATAGATGACCTGGTCATGCACATGTCCCAAAGGAACGCAGTCGACCTGGTCTACAGAGCTGAGGACCATGCCGCTGAGTTCCAGAGACTAGCAGATGTTCTGTACAGGTAGGAACACGCCTTTGTGGGAACTCAAGAGCTTGCAGTCTATTGATCGGAGAAATAGATGGATGTTTCTATTCACAGTGATGGGTCACTCTTCCTTTGTGTAAAAATGAGCACTCCTGTTTTATTTACCTGGCAAGTTGGATTTCCTTGTGTCTGCTAACATAGTTTACCATTGGCCTACATATATGGTGGAAAAATGCAAATAACAGGAGAAGACTTAAAACACATAATATGCTACAGTATAATATTAATATAATAAAACACATATTATGCTACAGTATCAAGCCATCAAGGCTTTATTAAGCACCTACTGAATGCTCAGGGCTTTGTTAGGTTGCAGGTGGAACAGAATGAGGTTATTAATTTCTTTACAGATCTTGCCTCTTTGGAGTTTATTATTTGGTTGGAGGATGTGGCTGCCCACTCTCTACCTATAGAAGTGTTGGGAGTCTCTTTTCCAATCCCTGAGAGATACCACCTCCAATTATTTTCTACTGCCTGAAAGTCTGCCATTGTAATACAATTACTTTAACTTATATTTTTTGGATATTTAAAAAATATGTACTCAACTTGCTAAAAATTCCTTTAAACGAGAAGCACAATTTTAGCCATCCGTTTCAAACTTGTCTGCACATTGGAATCACCTGGGGAGCTTCTTAAGCCACCGATGCCTTTGTCCTTTAGCTGCCTTCCCCCCAAAGATTGTGACTTAATGGGTCTGGGGTGTAGGATTTTGTGATTTTTTAAAAACCCTCAGGTGATTCTAATGTGCTGCAAATGTGGGAACCAAAGTTTTAGGTGTTATCAGTGATTTACATAATACTGTGAGTTAATTGGTAAATTTCTTTCTTTAAAATTTGCTATGCGTTATGGGTGACAAGTCTGACCACACTGGGAAAATGTATGTTCTTGTGCATGTTCTGTGGAAGGGGAAAGATGCGTGTCTCCTTATTGGAAAAATGCTGACATAAAAGATTAGTTCACACAACAAAAGCAATTAAAAATCGTATAAGATAGAATATTGCATAAATTATGCGCTAAATTGAGTACTGCTTCCTAATATGTCTTAGGGATCAGTAGTGGAAAATGGCATTAGATACCAGCTCCTCTCTTCTCATCAGTTTTCATCATTTCCCCCAAAGAGAAAAAAATATTCTGACTCCATACCTAGCTAAAACAAAATCTTTATTACTTCGTATGAGTAATAGAAACAATTTGTTGTGATTTAACACAAAGTTAAATAATTATCTTTTATTTATAAATCACAGAATTTTGCCAGTCCAATAGTAACAAACAATAGCTGCTAATATTCGGTCTGGGAATTGCCCGACTCAATAACCTTGGAAAGAAAATGAAGTGAGTTACTCAGCAGGCAAAGATGTGCCCATTGCCAGACTTTATTTTCAAGACAGAGAGCACTGGATGACATTGTGCCATTACCAGTTACCAAGTTCCTAAGCAATGTGCCCACTTGTTAGAATGATGTTAAGCTGATTGAAATATTAGCTGATCTTCCTCCAAAATCTCTAGTGAATTTTGTAAAATTGTCGTATGCCATTAGAGGGATAAGATTCAGCGGCCTCAGGTATGCTTAGAAACACTTCTTGGAGGTTACCAAGTATGTTGCAGGAAGTTTATAACCAATGCAAGCATGCAGTGGCGCCCTAGACACGCGCAGGGGATTGGAACAGAGATTGAGGAATGCTGAGGGCAGCTGGTGGAAAGTGATGAATGGTCGTCTAAGGGAAACAGCAATAGTCTCTTCTTGGGTATTGATTGAATAGCAGTTCTGAGTGTTATGACAAAGTGGCTACGGCTTCTCAAAGATTACTTTTGAAGTTACATGGGAACCCATAGGTTGTTATTTTTTATGGATGATACTCTTCTAAGGGGAAAGAAGATAGGAGGCTTTCAAAACTGGTAGGCATTTATGATTTTTGTGAGTGAATTGGCAAGTTTGATTTAGTTTATCATAACGTATCTAAATATGCTGCTTTGATAGTGGCCTTGAAAACATCAGAAATGTGTCCCTGAATGCCACCAGTGCAGCCTATGTCCATTACAACATCCAGAGCCTGATTGAAGAATCGGAGGAACTGGCCAGAGATGCTCACAGGACTGTGACTGAGACGAGCCTGGTAGGAAACGACGTGGCTTCTTTTTCTGGGCTCTGTGGGAGATTTTTCTGTACCGGGTTTGAGCAGAGATTCAGTGGCCCCAATTTCTGCCTATTAACATTCTTTTCTGGTGGAATCTGTTTCTGGCTTCTGTCATCATATGATCTGTGTTTTAATTTTTTAAGGTCATAAATACTTCTTTATACAGACTAGAAACCAGTGTGGAGATGAGAACAATCTCACATTTCCTTGCGCTAAAAATGATGATGCTACTTGATACCTACTGGAGACATTTTTCTATAACCATGGTGAAAATCTTTATTGAATGGCTGGTTTCCTTCCTTATCTACTTAAAAATGTCTTTGTTTTCTCTTGCCTCAGCCATTTTAAATTGTCCCTACCTGGTACCTGGCTGACTTTCTTGCTGGGAATGTGTCTGGGGGCTACTCTGATGGAGTCACTTCCTCTGTCCCCAGCAGGACTCCACCCTGCCCTGCTCTCACCACGCTTAAGTGGTTCTGTTTTCCAGCTCTCAGAATCCCTTGTTTCTAACGGGAAAGCGGCCGTGCAGCGCAGCTCCAGATTTCTAAAAGAAGGCAACAACCTCAGCAGGAAGCTTCCAGGTCAGTATGTGGCTCGGACGGTGTAGACAGGCAGAGTGAGCGTGAGCGTCTCGCTGAGCAGCCTCTAAGAATGTTCTCCTTGCATGCAGCAACTTGAAGCTTAGCATTTCTGTGTCCCATTTATATTCCAATTTCCTATCATATAAATTTTCCTATCGTATAAACTTCCTATCATATAAACTTCATATAATTTGGCATTTTTATTCTAGTGATATCTGTTCCTTTATTGTGCAGTCATCTCTATCTTTAACCTGTCCATAATCCTCCACTCATTGCCTTAGCTTGGAGCCTTCACTGTTCTTCCTAGTGTCTGTTGGGTTATCTTTGATTGCGTGTGCTCCTCTAGTTTTTCCTTGAGGAGATGTATTATGCTTGATATTTCTTTTACCTTTCTCATGGAACTAATATCATATTAGACTCATGGTAGGTTCTCATTTAATAATCATTAAATTAAATCCTAATTGATTTAGCCATTTTTCAAAAAATACCTATGCAGTTTAGTTTGTCCTAAAGTTTCAAGAAAGAATGACTTGGCATATGTAAGAGCAATCCATCCAATAAACATGAACCAAAGTGGCAGCAGGAATCTGTTATGTAAGAGAAACTACGTAGGCCTACAATTTTTTATAACAAATAATGTGCTTTCCACCTTAATATATTCTAATAGATCAAAAATACCAAGATTTCTGGAGGAGTAAATAGTGGGCCAGGCACACAGCTCATACCCTTTACAGGTGACTTACTTCCGAGTCTAACACTGGATCCTTCCACAGCTGTCTGAACTAAAGGCTTGGATATGTACATAATTTTTTTTTCTCATTGAGTGACACAGTTTAAAATTTATGTTGTCATCTCACAGTATCGAAAATGTATAATGTGTTGATGGGCTGTAATTTCAGTCTGTACAACTAGAGGTACTTCATAGGTAGTGAAATTGGGAGCTTGCTGGCAATTAAAATTTCACGTTTTAACCATGTGCTCAAAATCCAAATGTGATTGTATGTTATGAACAGAAATTTTAAAAGTAAAAGCTGTGATCAAACTTGAGAAGGAGGTTGAGTTGAGTTCCAGTTGGGTGGCCAGAAGGGAATAGTAGGGGATGGAGGATTGGCCAGAGATGCAGGTGGGAGACTGTGAGGAAGACTCCCAGGTAGGAGCCCACCCTAGGGGTTTTACAACCCAGAGGAGAAAGGTGGCCAGGATTCAGATGGGAATAGAAAGTTAGTGTGTCTGATTAAGACTGAGTGACTTAAACACAGCTCTTCATCCTTGAGCTCTAGTAAAATTGGACATGAAATTTAAGTAGAAATATTAGTGAAAAAGTCAACAAGCAAAGTAGAGAAAATGATCGAGCAAGCTAGAAACACATTCTTAATTTCTTTTTTTTTTTTTTTGAGACGGAGTCTCGCTCCGTCGCCCAGGCTGGAGTGCAGTGGCACGATCTCAGCTCACTGCAAGTTCCACCTCCCGGGTTCACGCCATTCTCCTGCCTCAGCCTCCCAAGTAGCTGGGACTACAGGCGCCCACCACCACGTCTGGCTAATGTTTATTTTTATTTTTATTTTTAGTAGAGACGGGGTTTCACTGTGTTAGCCAGGCTGGTCTCAATCTCCTGACCTTGTGATCTGCCTGCCTCGGCCTCCCAAAGTGCTGGGATTACAGGCGTGAGCCATCGCGCCTGGCCCATACTCTTAATTTCTATAATGAGTGGTGCTCAGTCTTGCTGGAAAAACTGTCAATATTGGGAATCTCTTTAGAAAGCTATGAATTCTGTCGATGGTCAAGAATGATAAAGCTGTTGCCTAGGCAACTTTTTTGTAGGCTAACCTGAAAGGAAACATTTTTCTCCCTTTAAATAGGTATTGCATTGGAACTGAGTGAATTGAGAAATAAGACAAACAGATTTCAAGAGAATGCTGTTGAAATTACCAGGCAAACCAATGAATCACTCTTGATACTTAGAGCAATTCCTAAAGGTAAGTGGAAAGGACTTTCTTCTGTAAATAACGTCTTCTCATTGTAAAAGCATCACTCAGGAACATAAGGAAGTCCTGCCTCAAGACTGATAAAGGCTTTAGCTCAAAAATGAGACTAAGATTGGCAAAATTTTTACTTGCAAAGGAATATGATTTAGAAATGAAAATCATTGGTTTTTAAAATAACATCACAATACTTGCATCAAGCTACTAGAATTATAGTCTTAAAAACAGAGACTGCATAGTATCTGAATTGCTTACTTTTGAAATGGGATTGACACATTGCTTAGAGGAAGAAGGACCATTGAAAGAAGTCAGCAAGTAAAGAAGCTGGAATGTGCTTTACCTGCCTAAGGGGAAAATGCCAGATTCATTATCAGTGTGGCGAACTGAAGACTGCTCGCTTGGCCATCTTCCTCAGTGAGGCAGTAAAACATTAGGCTCACTGATCACTTTAATACTGATGGTTTAGAAATGTGGTATTCATGAAATTTTTTGGGGGGGTCTACAGTAATTTTATTGTAACAGAGAAGCCAGGCCGCAATAAGTCTACATGATTAGAGCAGATGGTGGTTCTTTCCAGTGGGTGAAGCCTGAACCCGGCTAGCAGCACACATTTTTTGAGACAGAGTCTCGCTCTGTCGCCCAGGCTGGAGTGCAGTGGCGCGATCTTGGCTCACTGCAAGCTCCGCCCCCCGGGTTCACACCATTCTCCTGCCTCAGCCTCCCGAGTAGCTGGGACTACAGGCGCCCGCCACCGTCCCCGGCTAATTTTTTGTATTTTTAGTAGAGATGGGGTTTCACCGTGTTAGCCAGGATGGTCTCGATCTCCTGACCTCGTGATCCGCCCGCCTTGGCCTCCCAAAGTGTTGGGATTACAGGCGTGAGCCACCGCGCCTGGCCTAAAGTTTTAAATAGGATAATTTTTTTATGTGTAATACAAATGAATCGTGCTGCACCTCAAACTTCTCTTTTGTTCTTTTGTTGTTTTTTACTTTGAAAATTTCAATTGTTTTATAGAGACCGTGTCTTGCTATGTTGCCCAGATTGGCCTTGAACTCTTGGCCTCAAGCGACCCTCTTGCCTTGGTCTCCCAAAGTTCTGGGATTACAAGTGTGAGCCACTGTGCCTGTCCTCCTTTTTTTCTTAATAAGCATCTTTTGAAAAAGTCTTATAAAGTGCTTTAAAGCCATTAAAAACAGGAAGCCCCAAAGTCCTGTTTGTAAGCATGGAAGTTACCTGGGGAAACTGGGCATGCTGCATTGGGCTTACTTCTTACTTTGAAACAATGGAGCATTTTCTGATCCGGAAGATTTTTTTTTTCCTTTTCTTTTTTTATAAGGATGCCATGGTATATTTTGACTAAATGCTTAATAACGTTTTTATTTGAAAATAATTTCGAGCCTACAGAAAAGTTTCAGGAAAAGTAAAAAGGCCACCTGTATACCCTTTTTCCAGCTTTTTCTGCTGTAAATGTTTTGCCCCACTTGTGATTAAATGCTTCGAAAATGAATGATAGTGTCTTTTAAAAATCCTCACCCAGATTTTCTAGAATAACTGAATTCCAATTTACCTTGAGTGGCTGTTTGGGCTTTATTCTGCTGTTACTTCTAGCAGCCAGTTGATGCTATGGGCAAATACCTCTTCCTTTAACTTAAGACATTCCCACCTTAGCTGCAGACCTAGGATCCAAATCCTTATTATCCAGACATGAAAGGAGGTGGAGGACATGTTTCATGAAGCTGAGAAAGGAGTGATGGAAAAGGACCCAAATAAAGAAGTTCAGCTTATTAAGATGTAAGACACAGCTCACACAGCGATTGGCCATTACTTTTGTGATCTCATTGTTTATTGAAATCATATTCCAGAGAAGTATTAACAAAAATTATTTCATTTGTCCCTAAAAGGGGATAGTAGAGCATATGATATGCAGCTTTAATATTGCCATTAGAAACAAGAAGCTCTTAGTTCATTGACCACTGCCCAAAAGAAAAAAAAGCAAACAGACAAGCCTCAGTTTGTGTTCAGCATCAGTAATATGACAATAATATATTTCTGTGCGAAATTACATTTGTTGTCGTTTTATTCTTTTCTCTGTGTGTAAGCACCAGAAGTGCATGCTTTTATATACATTTATTTTAGGTATAAGAGACAAGGGAGCCAAAACCAAAGAGCTGGCCACGTCTGCAAGCCAGAGCGCGGTGAGCACGCTGAGGGACGTGGCGGGGCTGAGCCAGGAGCTGCTGAACACATCTGCCAGCCTGTCCAGGGTCAACACCACATTACGAGAGACACACCAGCTTCTGCAGGACTCCACCATGGCCAGTATGTCAGCGCCCTTCCTTCCAGTCATGATCGTCTGCGTCATGCAGACGTGGAGCTAGCTAAGCACACAGTGGTGCGTTTTTCACAACATTCCTGAAAAGTAGAAGTATGCTAACATCTGGATTAGCCTTTATTAAGAGAAGGACCTTGGGAAATGCATGCTACTTGTGCAGTTTTCATCTTTGTACCACAATGTCATGGCTTTGATTGTTAGGGTGTTGTTTTACCAAGTGCATTGTTAATGGACAATTAATTATCTTGTTTTTCCCTCTCCCCAACTTTCTTGCCACCCCTTGCCTTCTTGTATTTGTTAGCTCTGTTGGCTGGAAGAAAAGTCAAAGACGTGGAAATTCAAGCCAACCTTTTGTTTGATCGGTTGAAGCCTTTGAAGATGTTAGAGGAGAATCTGAGCAGAAACCTATCAGAAATTAAACTGTTGATCAGCCAGGCCCGCAAACAAGCAGCTTCTGTGAGTTTGGGGCCCCGTGGCTTTCGTAACTGGGCTCTCAGTCATGTGGGGTCCCAGGGAATTCATGCAGACATGGCCCTCAGTCACACTGCGCCCCTTAGGGCTTCCAAAGACCCAGATCCCAATAATCTGGGCTTCCTCATAGCCCTGTCTTGGTATATTTAAAGCCAATAACTAGCTTCATTTTCTTTGAGTTCTGCTTTTGTTCAACATGCTTCAAAATGTTGTTAGCAAAGAGATTTCCATGTCTTTATGGAGATTTATCATTATAGACTAAATTTAAAACTATTAGCCTGGACAGTGCGGAACATGTCAAATCTACGTGTTAACATCACTCTTAAGTTTATGGGTTGCATGTGGTGTTAGTTCTTCGTTTTACCAACTTAGTTTTAATAATCCAAGTATTCCTTAAAATGTTTGTGTAGTATGGGCCTCATCCTTGAGGTGTCTGAGAAAACAGTTTGTATGCAACGAAGGCTGCACAAATCCAGGTCACTAAATGCCTGAGGCACTGGACACCTGGAGCAGTTCACACATGAGAAGATGTTTTACCCATGGCACATGGCACTGGCTGTGCCCTAAGGGAAAAAGTTTCCTTTTGAGAGAATGTGCAGTCGTCATGTGATTGGGGACTTCGAGAGGATGAATGCAGCCTCTGGGCTTGCATTTGTCCACCTGAGGCTTTCTAGGGAAGAGAAAGGAGCACAGGGCTCTGTCTTTTCCAAAACCTCAAGTGTCCTTGCTATTGGAAAAGGAATGTTGGTTTCCATGAGCTCTGGCTTGCATCTGTTTCAGTTACAATTGCTAAATAAATACAGGCTGGGCCTGGTAGCTCACACCCGTAACTCCCACAATTTGGGAGGTTGAGGTGGGAGGATTGCTTGAGGCCGGGAGTTTGAGATGAGCTTAGGAAACATAATAAGATCCTGTCTCTACTAAAAAAAATAATAATAATAACCAGGCTTGGTGGTGTGAACCTGTAGTCCCAGCTACTCAGGAGGCTGAGGCAGGAGGATTGCTCAAGCCTAGGAGTTCAAGGCTGCAGTGAGCTATGATCACGCCACTGCACTCCAGCCTGGGCAACAGAGCAAGACCCTAAATAAATAAATAAATAAATAAATAAATAAATAAATAAATATAAGCCCAAGGAATGCTTCTTGATGCTAGGTTAATACCAAACTTAGACTCTTTAATGTAAGATACATATGCAACGAATTACTAGTCAAAGAAATATGTAGTAAGTGCAATAATTGCTCTATAAATATCTGCTGAGTGAATAAATATATTACCTCTCCATTTATTCAACAGATGATTATCAAATACCCTCTTTCTTTGTGTCAGGCGGAAAGATTCCAAGGTGATAAGATCCTTGTCTTTAAGGAATTAAATCTTATATGAGCAAGACAGTTTCCTATATAAAATAACTTATTAAAAACTAACACTGATTTTCTCATATTTAAACACTTAATGAAATCATTTTTGTTACCATCTGATATGTCACTTCATGAAACATGAACCATTGTATGTTATCAAGAGAGGAAACCTGCCTCAGTGAAAATTCATTACAGAATAGCATTGTTGAGCTGCTGGTGAGCTGCCGGTGTGTGTCACTAAATGATGGGGACACTTTCATTTTCCTTCTACAGATTAAAGTCGCCGTGTCTGCAGACAGAGATTGCATCCGGGCCTACCAGCCTCAGATTTCCTCTACCAACTACAATACCTTAACACTAAATGTTAAGACACAGGAACCCGATAATCTTCTCTTCTACCTCGGTAGCAGCACCGCTGTAAGTTATGGACCTTTGGAAAGCGACACTGAATCTTTTATGCACTTCTAGATTTTTCTGAATTTTCACTTATTTGACGAAAAAAAAATAGGCCTTAGTGAAATCTCTAAATCTCCCATAGGGACTAACCTTTGTTAAAATGGTAGCATTAGATGAAAAATGAACAAACTACCAAATGGAATGCCTGTGAGAAGGAAAGTGGCGTTTCTGAAGGATGCCATCTTAATTGTAAGCCTTGGGGATGGAACTTTTTTGTGATTCCCCCGTTGACCCCTGGAGTGACTGAGTAGCAGAATTGTCAAGCTTCTGTCAGGTTTTTCTTGCCAAGGATTCCAGTGGTCTCCAGATGGCAAGTGCCTATGAAAGGTCTTCGATACCTTGGCTGTGCCAGTGAGAACAGGTCAGAAGCCTGGGGTGTGTAGGGCAGAAAATGTTAACGGGCACATATAGTATCTGAAATGTCTTCAGGAGATGAGATGCAAAGTGCATGCAAGTCTGTGACAGGGGTGGGACCTCATGGCTCCTGTCTTACTGCATATTTCACATCCATTTCTTACCTCGGAGACTGGGCAAAGGAGCAAGCTCAGTGCCTTCCCTGGTGCTCCCTGTGGACTGCCTGTGACCTGCAGCGAATTTTCCTGGGGACTCTGTGGGAGACATTGAGGAGGGCCATGCCAGGCACGCAGGGAGGCGCTAATGTCCCCGGGGCTGTGAGTCATGCCCCAGCTCCAGGGAAGGGACCATTTCAAACAAAAGAAAATAGATTTGGGGGGTTTGCTTTTTATGTATTTATTTTTAAGAAAAGAGAAAACCCCGTAAGAATTGACTCTGTAAAGTGTTGTGGTGGTCAGCAAACAGTCCAGTGTGTAAACTGATCCCCGTTCATTCCTCGCCCCCCAGTCTGATTTCCTTGCAGTGGAGATGCGGCGAGGGAGAGTGGCCTTCCTGTGGGACCTGGGCTCCGGGTCCACACGCTTGGAGTTTCCAGACTTTCCCATTGATGACAACAGATGGCACAGTATCCATGTAGCCAGGTAGAAGAGAATGTTCTCTCAAAGCAGCTCTCTTTTTTAAAGTGTGTCTCATAAGTAATTACATGCTTGTAACATCATATAATAGGCTTTGAAACTTCTGGAAAGTCAGATTATAACCAAACAATACTTGGTTTAGGTTAGCTGTAGAAATAAGCATTTGTGGCCAGTGGCTCACACCTGTAATCCCAGCACTTTCGGAGGCCAAGGCAGGCGGATCACCTGAGGTCAGGAGTTCGAGACCAGCCTGGTGAAACCCCATCTCTACTAAAAATACAAAAATTAGCTGGGCGTGGTGGTGGGTGCCTGTAATCCCAGCTACTCAAGAGACTGAGGCAGGAGAATTGCTTGAACCCAGGAGGTGGAGGTTGCAGTGAGTGGAGGTCGTACCACTGCACTCCAGCCTGGGCAACAGAGCGAGACTCCCATCTCAAAAAAAAAAAAAAAAAAGAAAAGAAATAAGCATTTGTTACAAGTGACAGAACTTCTTTTTTAAGGCTGAATAATAGTATTCCATTGTGTATTTGTGTATAAAACCACATTTTCTTTATCCATTCACACATTGATGGTTAATCATTCCACATCATATCCAAAAATCATAACAACATTTTGCACCTCAGAAGTATATACAACTATAATTTGACAATATATAATAAAAATTAATTCAAAAAATTTTTTTAAAAACTTAAGGTTTGGATTTTTTTCTTACTGCAGGAGAAACAAACTTTGATACCAAAATCAACAATCAGAAGAAGAAAAAACTGAAAAGCTTAGGTTACCTTTAGAATGTCTAAAATGTCTAAAAGTTTAGGTTACCTTTGGAGACCAGGCATGGTGGCTCACTCCTGTAATCCCAGTGCTTTGGGAGGCCGAGGTGGGAGGATTGTTTGAGCAAGAAGGAGTTTGAGGTTAGCCTGGGCAACATAGTGAGACTCTGTCTCTAAAAAAAAGTTAAAAATTTATCCAAGCACAGTGGTGTGTGCCTGTAGTCCTAGCCACTCGGGAGGTTCAGGCAGGGAATCACTGGAGCACAGGAGGTCAAGGCTGCAGTGAGCAATGATCACACCACTGCGTTCCAGTCTGGGCGACAGAGCAAGACCCTGCCTCTAATAAAGTTAAAAAGTAAAGAATGTTACTTTTAGAAAGTCTACGTGTAAGGCAGCCAACCTGGTAAAATTCCTCAGGAGAGAGGTGTAAGGTGTGGCATGGTAGACATTGCATGTGGCTGGCAGCACATTGCACTTAAGTCAAGGACAGAAAATAAGGATGCAAGTGGGGGGTGCATTTTCTTAAAATTCAGGCACAAAGCAAAATTCTTCTTTTTAAAATCCTTCAGAGGTAATCACTTTTGAGCAGCTTTAAGTGTATGTTTTCACTTTTCTATAATATTATGGTTTGTTGGGATTTTTTTAATTTACAAAATGGGATAATATTTACGGAGTAGACATATCTTCAGATACAGTTTAGCTCATCTCAGATGTTTTAAGCAGGGACACAACATGATGAAATTTCTGTTTCGGAAGAGACACTCTTGAAGATTTCGGGCAGTAGGCAAGACTGGAAGCCAGGAGGCCAGCAGGGGGGTGCTGTTGCAGGGCCCTTGGGGAGAAGCAGATGGTGGGTGTGAAGGAAACGGGATTGTATGTGCGCTGACTGGAAATTCTGAAAATTTCTTTTGCAATTCTTTGTAACCCTTAGATTTGGAAACATTGGTTCACTGAGTGTAAAGGAAATGAGCTCAAATCAAAAGTCACCAACAAAAACAAGTAAATCCCCTGGGACAGCTAATGTTCTGGATGTAAACAATTCAACACTCATGTTTGTTGGAGGTCTTGGAGGACAAATCAAGGTAACATTACGAAAGTTCTTCTGAACAGGACTGATTGACTGATTTTACCTATATATAAAAGTCATGGGCCGGGCGTGGTGGCTCACGCCTGTAATCCCAGAACTTTGGGAGGCCAAGGTGGGCAGATCACCTGAGGTCCGGAGTTCAAGACCAGCCTGACCAACATGGAGAAACTCTTGTCTCTACTAAAAATACAAAATTAGCCGGGTGTGGTGGCACATGCCTGTAATCCCAGCTACTCAGGGGGCTGAGGCAGGAGAATCACTTGAACCCTGGGAGGTGGAGGTTGCAGTGAGCTGAGATCGCGCCATTGCACTCCAGCCTGGGCAACAGGAGCAAAACTCCATCTCAAAAAAATAAAAAAATAAAAGCATATGTTTAGATGGTTGAATATATCCTAAGCAGATGAAGATGTTTCTGCTTTTGTTTTGCTTTCTGACAGTTCCTCTGCAGAGTTAGGCTGGTTTTGTACAGTAAAGGGTGATGCTTCATCAGTAGCATAAATGGAGAAAAAGCCAATGGCTCATCTTGCTGTTTGGGTTTCTTTCCCAGTGATGAACAGGAAATTCAGTGCTCCACGTTAATTTCTGTAAAGTTTCTTTATCTCTAGTCTAGCTCTAGTTAGTGGTCAATTAATACTAATCAGTGTTTAGCAAAAAAGCCCACCATATTTATTTTATTATATCAGTTCTCCTCTCACCAAATATAATTGTGTTTTTTGGATCTGGTTCAATGCTCTGAAGTGGGAGTCTAGGTCTCAGGTCCAGCTGGGCCCTCACTACCAATCACATTCTCTGGCTCTCTGTTTTCTCACTCGTACAACACGATTCTCTCCATCAACCCTAGTCACTGAGATGATCTTTAAGATCCTGCCCAGTTGTTACTCATTCTAGGATTCCACTTCATAACTGAAAGGAAATCCAGTGATTACAAACTGGCTTTTTTCTAATGTGGCTCTCTCAAAATTTGGATCTGTTAGATTGAAGCTCCCAGAGAGAAGTTTTGTGCACTTGGAGAATGTATTTTGCTTGGTCAGCTTATATATTGGTTATGTTTGTTTGCTTGTTTGCATTAGAAATCTCCTGCTGTGAAGGTTACTCATTTTAAAGGCTGCTTGGGGGAGGCCTTCCTGAATGGAAAATCCATAGGCCTATGGAACTATATTGAAAGGGAAGGCAAGTGCCGTGGGTGCTTCGGAAGGTAAGATGTCGTCACGGTTTAGCACATAGTATGTTATTCTGTTAACATCTGAGAAGTGCTGAAAGAATGTATTAATACATGCACGTCAAGGAATAGAGTTTGTGATATCGCTGGTAGGTGTTTAGCTGCCAATTACAAAGCCATGCTTTTTCATACGTTTATTGTCAAAAAAAAATCCTGTGACATTGGTATAATGTAGATTATACCAATCTACATTATATTATTATATTATATTGTCAGATGATATAATGTAGATTAGTTACTGAGAGAAGCACAGGTATCATTTTTAACCCTTTAAAAAGAAGTGCTCTTTTTCCTATGTCTTTTATGCTTTGATCATGGATCATAAACCCTAAACGTTTCAGACAATTTCTCAAACAACCTTCTGTCTCAGAGAGCCACAACCAAATCTTTATAAATCACTGTACATTTTTATTTTGAAAATATCTCCAAGGATAAGAATTTTTTCACGTGTGGTCAGTTTTTACAGCTAAGTACTTTCCAATTCCGAACCAAGTTCTATAATTCCAGAAATAAAATGCATTAGGAAATAGAGAAAAATGAGTATGTTTCTGCATATATTGATATAAAGGCATTCAATGACTTAACCTTACCAAGTGCAACATCTTCCCCCCCAACCCATTATTTTATAACAAAATAACTGCAACTCCTTAAGTATATAAAACCTGTTTTCCATCACTTTAGTAATTAAGACATAAATTGCTTTTTTCCGTTAGAGAAATGTAACATCTGATATAATTTCTCTTGTCTAATGGGCTGCTCTGTCCAGATGGATATCTGCAATTATCCAGTGACAAGATCAGTTAAAGCAACTCACAGCACATTTAGAAACTCACGGGTGAATTTTTCATTTTGTCATTGTCAGGTCTGTAGTTTAAGCCTTCTCTTTTCCCCTTCCTTCGCTTGTTTAAAAAGTTAGGACCAGGCGGTCATGGTGGCTCACGCCTGTAATCCCAGCACTTTGGGAGGCCGAGGCGGGCGGATCACCTGAGGTTAGGAGTTCGATACCAGCCTGATCAATATGGTGAAACTCCGTCTCTATTAAAAATACAAAAATTATCTGGGCATGGTGGCACATGCATGTAGTCCCAGCTACTCAGGAGGCTGAGACAGGAGAATTGCTTGAACCCGGGAGGCAGAGCCAAGATCATGCCACTGCACTCCAGCATGGGTGACAGAGCGAAACTCCATCTCAAAAAAAAAAAAAAGTTAGGACCAGAGGTTTGGTGATTGTAGCCTTAAGATTGAAAAAGAATATAGGGTTTGGAGTCTTGAGTTTCTCAGGCTTCTGGCCCAGGTCCCCCACCAAAATTTTCTTCCCTGACTTTGGATAATAAGTCTCTTCACCTCACTGAGGTTTGGTTTCTTTTTCCAGAAAAGAAAAATGATCATCGTTCTTGTCTTACCCACCTCTATAAATCACAGTGATGAACACACAACATGATGCGTGTGAAAATGCTTTATAAACTGGAAACACTTTACCAGTCTTCACCACTGGTCTCCTACAGTGATGTGGCTTTGCTTTGTAGATAAATGTCACAGGATTTTTTTTTGACAATAAACGTGTGAAAAAGCATGGCTTTGTAATTGGCAGCTATGATAAAAAATGCTGTTGCCTCGTGAGGTAATGACACACCCTGCTCTGGAACTTCAGTGGAAAGAGCATCTGAATTCAGGCTCTCTGATCCGCCACTTTTTCCTTATTCTGTGTTTCCAGCAAGGAACTCTTCCAGCAATTTAGTAATTCTAACATGAAAAACACCCCGACCCCTAGACTCTATCCCCTCCACTGACCCCAGATCATTAACCTCACTGTTAGAAAGAAAAATGGTTAACAGAAATTAAACATTTCTAGTATGAAAAAGTCCCCCTACTTTACCTGTGACCATATCCTCTATTTTCATCAGTCATTTCCAGAGGTATTTTGAAATCATTGACGTCAAGCTACAGCACTGAATGAATTGAATGATTTCCGGCTCTTCTTTTTTTGTTGGGATGAGGAAGTCAGCTTTTTAGGTGGTCACATGTTTTGTTCCCCTTGAAATACCTGGCCTGCCTCCGGATTTCCACACACCCTGGACCTTTGGGTCAAAGATGCTGCCCTCCTGCCAACTCGAGACTGGCTTTTTGACGGAGGGCTGGCCACCCAGCTGAGTAGTAGAACCACATTGACTCATCAGCTCAACCAAACTAGGGTCTGATTAAATATGTTTTTCTGGGGACTGAACAAATCCACTGTTATATTGGCCAACATTTCCAAAAATACGTGTTTGTAAAGAATGCTAGTTTGGTGTAGGGTATTAATAGGTATTGTGTACTGATCATAAATGTTTGGGAAACACTGAGTTAAAAAAATAAGCATGTTTCTTGGCTGCGAGGCCATCGGAGCCTTTAATTAGCATTAATATGCTGACATGCATGGTAACCCTGTCCTGGGGAGAGGCTAGAGTTGCAGCATTTCCCAAACTCACTTGAGCTTGAACCCTTTCTGAAAAGGTACCTCTGGGTGAGGGTCACGCCTGTAATCCCAGCACTTTGGGAGGCCAAGGCAGGTGGATTGAAAAAGATTAGCCAGGCATGGTGGCGTGCGCCTGTAGTCCCAGCTACTCCGGAGGCTGAGGTAGGAGGAGCACTTGAGCCCCTGCACTTCTGCCTGGGTGACAGAGTGAGATCCTGTCTCAAAAAAAAAAAAGTGCATCTGGAGTTGCATCTGCCTCGTAAAACATATTTTGTGAAGTGCTGATATAGGCACAGACTGGCACTTTACGTCTGTTTGTAAATTGATTGAACCGTCTTCATTTTAGGTAACATCCCCCACTGCACCCCTTCTCCTGTTAGACAAGAACTTTAGTTCAAAGAGTTAATACCCTAATTCTAGTAACAATCCATTTTAGCAGACTTAGATTATAATTCCTTGTCCCTTTCTGTTTGTGTATAATTTGCCATTATTAAATCATTAGTGTAGCCCATCGATGTCCTCTAAATTTTTAAAAAATTTTTGACTGTTTACTCTTAAACGTGATTTATATTACCAAGTAAATGAATTGAAACTTTTTTATTCCTCCTTGAATATATTATTACACTTGTACATGGGGTCACTCTGTAATTATGAGCAGTCTGTTATATTCTCAAAGGATGCTGCAGAATTAACCACTGATTCTAACAGTCCTCATCAAAATCAATATGGAAAGACCCTTTATTTAATTAACAGGCATAATCCTTGTATTATTTACGAGTGGACATTGTGAGAGAGTGCTGGCTACGTGGCTGGCCTTTGACACGAGTCAGTCACCTGCGTTCCGGGCCCTCTGCTAGGTACCGGCCATGTCCACATACATCACACATTTATGTCCTCAGACATCTCATGGCGTAGGGGAAAATGCCTGTATAGAAAGCAGAAAATGCATGGGCTGTGGCAAGGGGCCAGAGTTGGAGAAGCAGCATCCCAAGCCCGGGCCAGGGTTATCTCATGCCCTCGCATGACGGCAGCAGGGCATGCTAGTAGGTCAGCTCCGGATTATCCACATCTCATGAGGGAGCCCTCGGAGAATCAGGGAGGTCTGGTGATTCTTCCAGACTCACGGGGCTGAGCGCTGGGGAGGGCGGACGCTCTCCTAATTCCAGGCTCCCACTTGAACCTGCGGGTGATGGTGGCATTTCCAAGGCTGGAACAGAGCTGTCCACAAAGTGCTGTGATGAACCGAGCTTTCATTTGTCCTGGGCCCTTACCAAGGCAGAGACCCACTTGGGGAACAGGCACCTGGGCCGACTGTTGAGGCACATGTGCCTCTGGTCATAGTCTGGAAACTGGCAGGGGCTCTGGGAGAAGTTCAGGGAAGTGACTGACATGGGGACAAGCCTTCGGTCATGTTCAGTCATCATTTCATTTGAGGTCCCCCTCTTCGTGGCCACCTCACTCCAGCAGGCCCTGTTTGGGGAGAGAACCCAGTAGCAGAGCCCCCGCGTTCTTGAGAGAGGAGGGCTCACAGGCTCTGGGAAGGGAGAAAGCCCCCATGTTTTTGGGAGAGGAGGGCTCACGGGCTCTGGAGAGGGAAGGGCCATGCACTGAGGACCAAGACAAATTTCTGGAGTTTTGTTTGAAACCTGGCTTTGTGATTTCTTGGGGTGTGTCCTTGAACAAGGTACTTTAATCTTTGAGGCTCAGCTTTTCATAGGCAGAAATGAAGACCGGCCCATCGAGGACCTCCGAACACTGCAGAATAATGAGAGAAAACATCTGTTGTGTGCCAGGCACTGTTCTAAGAACTGCCTGGGGCAGCCCTCCCAGAGAGGTTTTATGGTTATCCCTGTTTTATAGCTGAAGGAAAGGGCACACAGAGAGGTTAGGTGAGTTTTCCAAGTTCACACAGCTAGTATGTTGGGGACCTGGGATTTGAACCCTAGTAGTCTAGCTCTAGAGTCTCTATCCTCCGGCACATGCACTGTGGTTGGCCAAGAGGTAGAACAATGGAACATATGGCTAGGAAGCCACAGGCTTAAGAATTAAAGAATTAAACCATAGTTGAAGAATTTATCTAGAGTGCATTTCTTTTAAGTTATAATTCCTCAAAGAGACCACATGATGGAAATTTTTGAAAAAGCAAGAGTGCAGGTAGTTATAGTTATACATTTGAAACCTCAGGTTTCACAAAGCACTATTTTTTGTTTTGTTTTCTTTTATCATCCATGGAAACGATTTTACTGTTTGGTTAGACTGCCTTGCTTGGAAATGTGGCACTGAGTTTTGTTGTTACACCTCTAACTGGGAACAGTTCAAATTCTTACCCAAAAACTATCCTCATCCAAGTTTCACTCTCAAGCCTCATGATATTCCAGAAAATTATTTTTGGAACATAATTATGATCTGTTCCAGATGAATGGCTTTGCGATTGAATAGTGAGTCAAGTCAGCCTTTTGCTCTGTTGGGGGAGAAGACCAGAAAACACACTCACCTGAAAATGCCCTGGGCCGTATTATATCCCTGTTTCAACCTACGTACTCATCTCTAAGTATGATATGGGTCTTTAAGCTCATCCTGCAGATTTTTGAGGATGTCAGTGATGATTGTTTTGTGAAGTGATGCTTCTGGTATATGGGCACATACTTGCTTTCCATCATAACTCTAGTTTCCCTAAGGTATTAGATAAAACCTCATCAGCAAAGTGAAAATGTCAATATAAAAATTATTCTGAAGGCACCAGAGTTAAGAGAGGACAGTTATATTAAAGGAGATTAGAATAAATAAATCCAGTTGATAAACTGAAATATTTATAGCAGTTATCCTCCTGTAAAGAAATGTATTTTTACCACAATGAATACTGCCTACATTAACATTATTTTCCTTATAAAGCAGCTGGGCATTTGTCTTGCATCTTCACATGGCAAGCATATTTTTAAATATTATCATCTACACTTGTTATGAAAGTATGGAACTAATAGCTCTACAGTGATCTTTGTGAAGGAGAACTCAGTAAGTGTGTTCTTGGTTCTTTCTACCCTCCTGAGAATGGATTCTATTTCATCTCTTCTGCTTTGCAGCTCCCAGAATGAAGACCCTTCCTTCCATTTTGACGGGAGTGGGTACTCTGTCGTGGAGAAGTCACTTCCGGCTACCGTGACCCAGATAATCATGCTTTTTAATACCTTTTCACCTAATGGACTTCTTCTCTACCTGGGTTCATACGGCACAGTAAGAGTGTTTGTGCGGCCCTAGGCCCTACTGTATACACACATTTAGATTGCTATGTGGTTGTTTATGTTTAATGAGGATTTACTAATTAAATATGTACATATGTATACCATACAATTTTTATGAGCATATGCTAGTATTAATATATGTGTGTGCTAAACAATTTCCTCATTTTAAATTATTTATTATCATTGTAGAACCTTTAGAAAAATATAGAAGAACACCAAGTAGAAACTAGCCTTCTAGTCTTTATAGATATCAATTCAACATTTGTTATTAAATTTCGAGCTCAAATAATATGTCTTGTTCTGGGTTCACTGTGACCACCGTGACATTGTTTGAATTCCATCCATGGGAATTTCATGTTCTTGTTTGCATCTCATGGGCTGGTGATTTCTGTCTTTCAGTCTTTTGGTTTTATTTTTTAGAACGGGCCCCTTGTCAGTCTCAATGAAAAAGATACGAGGAGATTCCACTTCTCTTACTGAATTGTGGATTTTGGTAACAACAGATGACATTTCATTTATATTAGTGTAGTGTTCTAGAAAGCCTTCGTGGGCATTTTTGGTTTCGTAGCCGATAGACCTCTGGCTGTGGGGCCAGATCCAGTTTTCTCAGTTTGACTTTAGAAGGTTTCAGCCATCCCTGACTTGAAGGGAAAGGGAAACCTGGGATAAAGCTATAACCTGGGGAACTGTGTTCTCTTTTTTACAGAAAGACTTTTTATCCATCGAGCTGTTTCGTGGCAGAGTGAAGGTTATGACTGACCTGGGTTCAGGACCCATTACCCTTTTGACAGACAGACGTTATAACAATGGAACCTGGTACAAAATTGCCTTCCAGCGAAACCGGAAGCAAGGTAGGGACACAGATGGACTCACCAGATGTCGGTCACCCTCATAAGAATAGAAATCTTTTCAAAATCAGCATTCTTTTTTTCCACAGTAGTTTCCTGGGTATTGAATGATAGTCTACTTGGAAGCCAGTGTTGTCTTTGGAATACTAACCAACAGGATTCACATTTTGCTGGAGGAGGGTTATACTTGTATTTGCCTGTGATTTCCAAGTGTGTTATTTAACAGTAAATGCTGGATTGGAATCAAGAATCAAATCCATTCTGTTTTCTTCCACATGCATACTGCTCTTATTTAGCAATGTGTATTGACTTTGATAGAGAGGATTTTCACTTGTCCTTCAATAGCCAAGAACATTAGCTGATCAAATTCGCAGAATCTAAAAGAATATGCATTTGTAAATGAGCTTTGTTGCCAGAAGTTTGCATTTTACCTTAACATGGAAAGGGATTTTCCTTTTCTTATCTCTTGCCTGTGCTCTCCTTTTAGGAGTGCTAGCAGTTATCGATGCCTATAACACCAGTAATAAAGAAACCAAGCAGGGCGAGACTCCGGGAGCATCTTCTGACCTCAACCGCCTAGACAAGGACCCGATTTATGTGGGTGGATTACCAAGGTCAAGAGTTGTAAGGTATATTAAACTGCAGAATTTTCATGTCGCTGATTTCCAACTTTATTAGCTTGCTAGGGCTGAGAATGGACTGTATCACAAACCAGGTGGCTTAAACAACACTAATTTATTCTTTCCCAGTTCTAGAGGCTGCAAGTCCAAAAGCAAGGTGTTGGCAGGGCTTGCTTCCTTTTGAGGGCTGTGAGAGAGAATCTGTTCCATGCTCCTAGCTTCTGGTCGCCTCAGGGATTCCTTGGCCTGGGTCCTGTGTCCACATTTCCCCTTTTTATAAGGACAACTGTCATGTTGCATAAGGACTTCCCCTAATGACCTCATCCTAACTTGATTACCTCTGCAAAGACCTTTTCCAAATGAAGGCCACATTCACACATAAGGAGGATCAAGACTACCACATCTTTTGGGAGGACACGGTTCAACCTGTAACATCTGCTTCTATTTATTCAGAGTACTCTATGCCATGTGATTTGAGAAGTAAAGCAGGCCTTCTGCAGAAAAATTAGTGATTTTATATGTATTGCCTTTAGAACGTCTAAATCCTGTTACCGTGCAATATTTGGAGACCCTACTTGCTGTCATACTTCATCTCCCTCTCTCTAGACATTTTAGAGAAGTAGATCTCTTTTAAGGCAAAAGGAAAAAAAAAAAAAGAAATCATGCTTTCTGCAGACTTTTCTGGATTCTCCTTTGTGTGGTTAGACTGAATAATGTATGTGCAAGTTGAAAGACCAGCATCAAGAAGTGGAATGAAATGGCACAGGACACACAATGGAATCCTTGTGTAAGACTGATTCATGTTGAGCTTTGTGATTTTAATGATTTACAGAAACTTTGTGTGGCTGGTTCATTGTCCTCAGTTTTGTAATTTTGGTTGTAATTAAACTCTAAGGTTCTTTCACACCATTCAAAAAAGACATTTGTGAAAGTCCAATAGTCAAGGTAAGACAGCTTGCAGGGAGTGGGGTCATTAGATGTCCAAACTGGGCCATTCAGCGTAGTGGTTAGCAAATGTCCATTTGTAGCAGTGCTCTATCTTTAGGTCAAGTTCTTTCATAGACTCCTCTTATGTGGCACAGAGCTGCAGCCATTCAGTTGCTATGATGAGCAGCCTTTTGTAGAGAGAGCCACTTCTCCACTGTGCCCCTTCTCTTTGCCAGGTATCTTAGAAAGTCCCAGGGAACACAGTTTGCAACCACAGCCGCCTCCTGATCTTAGAATTGAATCCATTTAAACCTCAGCGGAGTTGGTCACTTGCGAAGTCTTACCTTCCTGCCAAGACGGAGCCAGGACTGGAAGCTGTCTCCAGATCCCATCCCAGATTCATGCCCTGTCATGCTGGGACCAGGACTGGGGTGTTCCTGTAGCCTCGGCTATGTCCTAGTACATCTGGACTTTGCCCAGACGGCCCAGTGTAGACAACGCAGGAAAGGACAGAAGCCCATATCACAGATGTTCTCAGTAGAAGGGACTTAGGTGTCATCAAAGCCAGCCTCCTCGTTTACATGGAAAGAAATTGAGATCTAGAAAGGCTGAAATTTGTCCAAAATCATATAGTTGCTTAATGGTCCATAGCTCATTGTTCAACATGAGAAAAAAAAAAAATGAGGTGTGGCTGTAACAGGAAACCATGTTATTGCAAAGCTCTCCTGTGAAGAGCTGGTACAGAAGAGTGCAGCTGGGAGATGTTCAGTGGTCTCCATATTTTGGAAATTAGAGCTGGACTACATTATAGCCTGACCTCAGCCAGGAGTGTGGAGACTTCTGGTAAGAAAAATATGATATTGACTTGAACATTGAGAAGTAGAGTTTCGGATAATCCCAGACTTCACCAAATACAGTTACTTCCTTTAGGACAAAGTTCATGGATATGCAACGTAAACAACAGCCAATGACTTCCTTTGTTAGCAGTCAGATCCTGGCAAATAGCATTACCTGCACTTGTCCCCATGGGAAGCAAACATTCTACTCTACATGGAGACTGGATTATAATCTATGTGCTGCAATGCACTGTGCACTGTCTTTCTTATAATTGGCCTGTGTTTTCTGTAGGTAGCCATCCAAGTAGCCAAACTCACTAAGTTTGATCCCTTTCTCTAGTCCTAAGGAGAGTAAGAGAGTATTTGTTTGACCTGAAGTTCTCACTATCAATATTGCTCTTAGAGGGAGGCCAAGACATTTCTGCAGAGTAACACATGGAAACAGGTATTCCAGAAGTATAGGGTTCCCCCCACCCCCCGCCCTTTCTTGTTTTGGGGGGCAGGATCTTGCTCTGTCACCCAGGCTGGAGTGCAGTGGAACAATCATGGCTCAATGCAGCCTCAAACTCCTGGGCTCAAGCAATCCTCCTGCCTCAGTCTCTGGGACTACAAGTGCATGCTACCATGCCTGGCTAATTTTTTATTTTTTGTAGAGACAGGGTCTCACTATGTTGCCCTGGCTTGTCTCAAACTCGTGGGCTTAGGTAATCCTTCTACCTCAGCCTTCCAAAGTGCTGGGATTACAGGCATAAGCCACTGTGCCTTGCCCAGTGGCTTTGTATTCCTTCTTTCAAAAATGGAATTTAAAAACCCAAATTTTGTGATTGTTCTCATGCCCTTCCCTACAGGAGAGGTGTCACCACCAAAAGCTTTGTGGGCTGCATCAAGAACCTGGAAATATCCAGATCAACCTTTGACTTACTCAGAAATTCCTATGGAGTGAGAAAAGGCTGTTTACTGGAGGTAGGAAACATTGTTATTAATGTTCAAATGAGTTTCCATAAGTGTCCATTGATTTATCAACATCATAACACAACAAACCAGTGGGGATAGAAAAGAGATGATGGGGAAATCAGCAGTGTCCTCCCCACGGAAGGTTTGGCCGCAGCTAGGAACTCACCATGCTGTTCCATCTCCTCTGTGTCCAGCCCATCCGGAGTGTTAGCTTCCTGAAAGGCGGCTACATTGAATTGCCACCCAAATCTTTGTCACCAGAATCAGAATGGCTGGTAACATTTGCCACCACGAACAGCAGTGGCATCATCCTGGCTGCCCTCGGCGGGGATGTGGAGAAGCGGGGTGATCGTGAGGAAGCACACGTGGTGAGTAGGGCCAGTGCTCCTGAGCCCCAAGCTCAGGAAATTACTTCGGGAAACAATGAGTGGAAAATGACTGACTCATAAACATTTATTGTCACCGTGTTCCTGGTTGTTTATGGATGTGCATTTTCAATAAGTAAAAGTTATTGTTGCTGAATGTCATCCCATTATGAATCAATGATTTCTCATATTGCATAATCCATCTTCATTGTCTGGTGACTGAGGAAAAAGTTATTTGCTGTCTACCTCTAATTTTTTAAAAACTCATTCAGATAGCATATACGGAGTTTTCTTCCCCATGTTGTGGTCATTTTTCTTCATTCCAAGGCCAACAGCAGTCCTTAAATCCTGTCGAGGTCTTCAGTCTACTGCTGGATGAAGCAAGACTTTCTTTATCTATTATAGGATTGAAAGGAGCAGCAAGGGAAATGTGGGCTGTGATAAGCACAGTAAACTAACAGGGGGAAAGGAGAGAAATGATGACCATTTTCCTTATTTATGTTCCTTTTCAAGAGCATAGGTGATATTTCCCCATCCTCTGCTCAAATTTGTGTCTATCACATAATTTGAAGAGACTTTACAGAATGTTAGCACACTGTCTTAATCAAGTTGAGTCCATGCAGCTAAAATCTATAGAATGCCACCTTGTACTCTGCAGGGTACTTTACAGACATTGCTGTGTAATTAATCACAACCATGCTGCAAGGGGAATGCTGCTTCCTACATTTTGCTGAGGAAGAAATGTGCTGAGAGAGCCTAGTAAACCTGACCAAGGTCACACCACTGGTATGAGTCACAGTCAGGACTGGAACACAAGTTTGCAGAACCCAAACATGTCACGACATACTTGGGGAAGGGCTGACAGTGACTACGACTGGTTAATGAGTTCCACTGATCTTTTTTTTTTTTTTTGTAGTTGAGCTGAAATTCATATAACCTAAAATCGACCATTTCATAGTGAACAATTCAGCAGCGTTTAGTGCATTCACAATGTTACGAGGCCACCTTTCCTATCTAGTTGCAAACATTTTCATCACTCAAAAGCCTATGCCATTAATTAGTCACTCCCCATTCTCCTCTCTCCCCACTCCTGGCAACCACCAATTTGCTTTCCGGCTGTATAGATGGATTTACTATTCTGGATATTTTGTACAAATGGAATCATATGATGATGTCTTGCATCTTTCACTTAGCATGTCTTTGAAGTTCATCCCCATTGGAGCATGGATCAGTACTTCATTCCTTTTTATGGCTGAGTAATATTCCACTGTATATACATACCACAGTGTGTTCATCAGTTACTTCATGGATGAACTTTGGGGCATTTCTGCCTTTTAGCTATTATGAATAAATGCTGCTATGAACATATGTGGATAAGTATTTGTTTGAGTCCCTGTCTTCAGTTCTTCTGGGTGTATACTTAGGAGTGGAATCACTGGTTATATGATAATTCTATGTTTAACTTTTTGAGGAACTGCCAAACTTCTTCTCCATTAGTCTTAGTAAGGTTACCTTCAAATCAAAGTGTGCTTACTAAGTCAGCAAAAAGGAATGATATTAGCCATTGCTAGCAAGGGTATTGTGAGATACTCACGTTCCAATTCTTCTAGTGTATAAACTACCTCTTTTCAATGTGTCGAAAAAAAATTAAAAGCTTTAAACATTTTCACATCCTTCAAATGTTTAATTCTACTTTTCATAATGTTGGAAACAACATCACAGGCAAAACAATTAAACATTCACATGTATGGTAATAAAAAGTTGGAAAATACTTTAAATTTCATTGATAAAAAGACAAATTACAATATATCTACTTATTGGTATCTAATGTAGCAATAAACCATAAATATGAGGCAATGCAGAATGGAAATGTTTGAAATCTTCAGCAATAATAGCATAATGCAGAATATAAATTATATGAACAGAGATTAGAAAGTAACATACAAAATGTAACATTGTGACAGCTGAAGAGATTCTTAAGGAATTGCTCTACTCACTTGATGTTAATCTTCTCACGTTATCTTCATAAGATGAAAGTTTTCTAAATCATATAGTAATGTGTTTTGTCTGGGAAATTCTCTATGCAACCTCCCCAGCCCTTCTTTTCCGTCATGCTGATCGGAGGCAACATTGAGGTACATGTCAATCCTGGGGATGGGACAGGCCTGAGAAAAGCTCTCCTGCACGCTCCCACGGGTACCTGCAGTGATGGACAAGCGCATTCCATCTCCTTGGTCAGGAATCGGAGGTACTTGCACGCGGCCAGGCAGTGTGTAATGAAGGTGTGGTGAGCTCAGAGGGAATGTGGGAGGAACCTTGCGGTGGTGCCCTGGGCGGCTAGATGACTGGGGTCATCGGCATCCAGACGATTCTAGAACCTTGCTAGGATTCTTTCCTGGGAACCAGTTTCATCTGCTTTGTAATAAGATACTTGTAGAATTTTTATAATTAAACAACTTTAGCTCTGCCCTTTACTGGGGCCCAGCATAAATTGTCTTTACATTGGATTGATTCTGTGGCAAATAGTAGTACACTATTAGTAAATAGTATTATATCAATAGTAAATAGCATTATATCAACATTCCTGTATATTTCCCTCCAAAATATAGACTGAATGCTTTAAAAGCACACTGGGCATTTTCATCATAGGTAAAGAGGTTAAAAAAAAAAGAAAAAGAAAATCTCTCCAAAAAGCAATCTCATTCAATGGATATTTAATAACATTCCATTCGTTTCTGAAAAATCTTCAGTTGTGAGTTTTAATTTTCAAGATTCACCTTTTTGGTCACAGACAGTGTCTTGTTAAAATGAACCTTTAGGGAACTTTTATTATTCAGTGAGAACTTGTGGGAATTATGGACTAAAATGGAATTATTATTTCATTATGTTTAAAGCTTTTCATTTATTTTCTCCATTGGTCTTTTAGAATTATCACTGTCCAATTGGATGAGAACAATCCTGTGGAAATGAAGTTGGGCACATTAGTAGAAAGCAGGACGATAAATGTGTCCAATCTGTACGTCGGGGGAATTCCAGAGGGAGAGGGGACGTCACTGCTCACAATGAGAAGATCGTTCCATGGCTGTATCAAAAACCTGATCTTCAATTTGGAGTAAGTGTACCTGCTCTCTGCATGTTCTTGCACTTTCTGACCTTTCATGGTGAGTGCTAACACTAATCTGAAATCTCATTGTACTGTTTGAGATTGAAAACTTTGCAAATTCCCAAATAATGAGTGAACCCCATTGTTCTATCATGTAAGTCTCCCCAGATGGATTTTATTGGATTAGAATGTTAGACAGATCTGGTCATCATACTTTAAAAACCATCGCTGAACATTAGCTCTCTGTGGCTGTCCATAAAGAGCCGGGATTTTAATATATTTTTGACATGCATTTGAAGGAACATAGGGATTTTGTGATGTAAGTCTCTTGCTGTCCTGAGAGCATTGCTTTGAAGGAGCTGTTTACTATGGGGCTACTAGCAGCTTCAGGTTATCAATGGCTTCCCCAAAAACAATTACTGTATAATTAAGAACCAGAAGCCTTTGGGGGTCCAAGGCAGGCAGATCATGAGGTCAGGAGTTTGAGACCAGCCTGGCCAACATAGTGAAACCCCGTCTCTACTAAAAATACAAAAAATTAGCCGGGTGTGGTGGCAGGCACCTGTAATCCCAGCTACTCCGGAGGCTGAGGCAGGAGAATCACTTGAACCCGGGAGGCGGAGGTGCAGTGAGCTGAGATTGCACCATTGCTGCACTCCAGCCTGGGCGACAGAGTGAGACTCTGTCTCAGAAAAAAAAAGAACTGGAAGCCTCCATTCCCTGTGTGGAGCTCATGATGAGGAAAAGAACTGACATGTGCCCATGAGCAGTTCATTCCTCCTTGCTCACCCTCTGCCTCTGGACAGGGTGCTGATGGGACACAAGCTGTGCTCTGCTCTGTGGGACCAGCATCTGCCCAGGAACACCTGGAAGTGCCCTGGGCATCAGGAAATTGAAGCTCCCTCCTGGCTGGGTCACTGACTTGTCTAGTGACCTTGGACAAAGACTTGGATCTTTCATGGTCACAGTGTCCTTATCTGTGAAATTACCTCTTAGGAGTCCCTGAAATTTGCAAGAATAAAACATAGCGTTGGGTTTGAATACAATCATAATGTCAGAGCTCTGGTTTAGATTTTTGCACAGGTTTATGTTTATTCCCCCAGTTGTCTGTTCATTCATTCATTCATTCATTCATTCATTCATGAGGCATCCTCATGCTCCTGAAAGTCATGGGTTTGTGGACTCGGTAGAGCAGAAACGTTTCTGTGGAGTTCCCAGCTGTGCCCGGGAAAGTGCCAGGGGGACGTGCGCAGGCACAGGACACAGCACAGGAGCTGCAGAGTGAAAGTGCATGTGACAAGCGTAGCCCACAACCTCCTGGCAAGGGGAAGCACGTAAACAAGAAATCAGTGTTTCGTGGAGGTCACTGTGCAGCGCTTGGGAACTAGAGACAAAAACGTGTCCCTGAGGCAGCCCAGTCAAGGCTGCAGGAGGAGGCGATGGCATCGGAGCTGACCTGGGGGGTGCTCAGGAATGGCCAGGGTCTGACATGGGGATATGCTAGGCTGGGTGCCATTGCAAGCAGAAGCTTCAGACAAGAAATATTAAGATAGCATGTTTGGACTCTGAGTCACAGTGAAGGATTGGCACTTTGGTTACTCTAAGAGAAATATATACATGGTTTTTAATTGATTTTCATTGTACAGTTATCAGATGACTTGGGTTCATGGACTGGTTTGTGATATCCTAATTTTGAAAACACTCTCTTGTTTCTACCTAGACTTTTGGATTTCAACAGTGCAGTTGGCCATGAGCAAGTCGACCTGGACACCTGCTGGCTGTCAGAAAGGCCTAAGCTGGCTCCCGATGCAGAGGACAGCAAGCTCTTGCCAGAGCCCCGGGCTTTTCCAGTAGGAGCGGCTTCCTTTACTATCAGTCAGGTCCAGTCAGCAAAGGAGGGCCTAGGACAGAGGGAGTTAAAATGGGGCCTTGCTGTAAAGGTGCCTGCGAAAGCTGGAGCTGGAGCTGGAGCTGGAGCTGTGCTAAAAATCAGAGCGGGGACAGGGAGGGAAAGGGTGCCTCAAGCAACTCAGATGACACGGCCCAATCCATAGATTGTAGGCCCCAACACCCAGGCCGCGCATTGGGCTGATGTATAATATGCTTTTGGCAGAGCTTCTATAAGGACTCATTATCAATTTACATTTAGCCAGGAAAGCATGAAAATAAGTACTTCATGTAAAGCCATTGTGCACATATTTGTTGCTTTAAAAAAAAAAAAAGATTCAATTCATTAGGAAAAGCCAGTTCTGGCCAAATATTTTGAATGGCAGCCATTGCTATTTTTCATGTTCTCCCCTTTTGCTTTCTCTGTTTCCCTGGTTTAAAGTGTGCACTCTAATAATTTAGAAGATGGCAGAAGCATTCAAGAGCAGGACCTTCTGAGCAGGGCGAGGCTTTGAGTTCGGGGCAGTTTTCATGGTAGCATCTGCCTGTGCTGAAGCAGAAAACAGCATCTGGGACCCCCATGACTTGGGCACTCTTAGGACAGCCCGCAGATGGTTGCGTGGGGTTCAGGGGCCCTTCCCGCCTGGCTCCTCTTGTCTGCATCCTGCCCTGTCAGTGTGGACCTAGGTTCACACTCTGAGGCCCTGCAAAACATGTCACCTGTGGGCACCTCCAGTTTTCCAGTGCCTGGTCCGCAGCTCGTCTCGGCAGCTGCATCCTTAGGGCCATTCCCAAAACCTCGGGTCACGGCGGGGGCCTAGGGGGACAGCAAGGCCTTTGCCCCTTAAGCCTGATGAAAATTTGTAGGAGAGACTTCAGTGTCCTTATGAATTTCAGTGAAGCCGAGTGGGATTAAGGTGACAGACAGAAGCTCTAAGTGCTTTCTTCAGGGAGATAAAGCGCTGGCGAGTGCATCATTTAAACCGAAGATGGAGTGAGCGCCAACAGGCACTGGTGGTTGTTGCTGTTCTAATGGGATTGCTTCGTAGATGGCCCTTCATGGCGGAACACGCGTGTGTCAGTGGGGTTCGGGCTGCGGGTGGCGGCTGAGTGTCCCTGTGTGTCTCTTACAGGAACAGTGTGTGGTGGATGCAGCTCTGGAGTACGTTCCCGGCGCTCACCAGTTTGGTCTCACACAAAACAGCCATTTCATCTTGCCTTTTAATCAGTCGGCTGTCAGAAAGAAGTAGGTATCATTCTAACATCCTTATGCGGCGTCTCATTGCTAGATGTATGGGGGTGTTCTGCAGCCACAGAGTCTTTTCCAAAAGAACCTGCTTTTATTTTATGATGAAGTGCTTGATTTGCAACCAAATGGCAAAGAGAAGGAATTCAGTGTTGGTGCAAATCACAACGCTTTCATGGTGGTTCACTGGGGAGTCTGTGGTTTCTGCCTTTTCCCTTCTGGAGAGTGGCTGGCTTCCCCTTTCTGTGTGCATGTAAGGAAGCGTGTGGGCATCTAAATTAAGTCTCCTGGATCTATTATTGTCTGGACTTTCAACCCCATTCCACTTTAAGCATTCCCTAGTCTGATGTCTTTGTCTACCCAAACTCTTACACTGTGGTGGCCAAAATCCCGAGTGCCACACCCACCCCTCTCTGCACCTTCTGGCCCTCATACCTGCCTGTCCCTGGGACCCTTCTGCCAAGGGAAGATCTCAAGGCCTGGAGCTTGGGGCTCCCGGACTCCATGTTGCTCCTCTCTCCTCCTGAGGTCCTCCAGCTCACCTGCCAGGCTTGCCTGCAGTCTCTGCCATGCCCTGCCCGTCTTGTTGTCATTGGCTGTGCCACCCTGTCATACCCCCTTAGACCTGGGCTCCTGTCTGTCTTCTGCAGCTCCTGCCATCACTCTCTGTGAATTCAACAGCTGCCTAACACCTGACCTTTCTGTGCTCAAACTGTGATCTGTGGAAGGTCTTTCCCTGCTCCCTCCTCAGCCAGCCTCTTCCGTGGCCATACCCTTGACTTCTTCACAGGTATCCATCCCTCTCACAGTCTCGACTTTAAAAGCCTCCTATTAGCACACCCCTTTCTTCTTGTCTCCACTCTGTGCCTCCCCACTCCTGCAGTTTCTCAGCTGCATGGAGACCTCTAAGCCGCTAGCCCTAATGCCCTCCCACCACTATCTCCCCTCTTCTCTAGCCCCAAATCACAATTCATCCCCCAGATAGGTTCCAGGCCAGTGTTACAGGTGTCCTCTGCAAAATCCCCTAACCCTTTCTCTCTCCCACTCCTGCGAGCCCAGGTAAAAGCCAACATTCCGCCTTCTCTGTGCCAGAACCCACACGGGAGACCAAGGCCAAGGAGATGGATGTCTCCTTCCTAGCTGGTTTGAGCTGGATATCATAGCCGTCAATCTCAGATGGAGCCTCCAAACGACATGGGGAGCCAGTGCATTGCTCTAATATGTTCATGGTTTTTATTCTCCATGACTACTTCCTCATAGCTGCTCTTAGCTCAGAGCCCTGTGCACCGCAGTCCCTCTTCCCACCCCAGCTGATGACTTGCCTCGTTGAGAAGAAAGAGCTCCTTCATCCGTCCACCACCAAAAAGACCAGCCCCTGCTTTTGTTCCTGACCCTCTATCTCTTCTGCTACCACAGATGAAGGGTACTTGTTCCTAGCAAAGCCCACCCAGCCAGCCCCAGCTTGTCCTCTGGATCCCATCCGCCCTCTCCTCCTAGGACATGCACAGCAGCCACTCCTCACAGACCAGCACACAGATGCCGCTGTCACCCCATCGTCAGCAGTGACAGCAAGAGCAGCAAACTATTGTGCTGGAGGTTGACACAAAGATTTTTACACAGATGCCCTAATTTACTCCTCATAATTCTCCTATGAGGAAGGAATTGTTATTATCTCCATTTAACAGATAAGGAGATTGAGGTATAGGGAGCCTGAGGCATCTGCTCAAAGTCACACAGCTGGTAAATGGTAGAGCCGGGATTCGAACCCAGGCCTTCTGGCTCCAGAGTCTGTGCCTGTAGAGTAGTTTCCCCTTCTCCTCGGGGGATACGTTCAGGACCCCCAGTGGTTGCCTGAAACCTCGGCTAGTACCTAAACGTCATATACACTGTGTTTTCCTATGCATGCATATCTATGATAAAGTTGAATTTATAAATTAGGCACAGGAAGAGATTAACAATAATAATAAAATAGAAGAATTATAACAATATGCCAGCATCACTCCTCTTGTGCCTCGAGGGCATTATTGAGTAAAATCAGGGTGACCTGAACACAAGCCCCGCTGTACTGCCACAGTCGATCTGCGAACCTAGACAGCTATAAAGTGACCAATGGGCCCATGGCTCCTATGGTGTGGATCCGCTGGACACGGGCAGACATGGCTCCCATGGCGTGGATCCGCTGGACACAGGCAGACATGGCTCCCATGGCGTGGATCCGCTGGACACAGGCAGACATGGCTCCTATGGTGTGGATCCACTGGACACAGGCAGACATGGCTCCCATGGCGTGGATCCGCCGGACACAGGCAGACATGGCTCCCATGGCGTGGATCCACTGGACACAGGCAGACATGGCTCCTATGGCGTGGATCCGCCGGACACAGGCAGACATGGCTCCCATGGTGTGGATCCACTGGACACAGGCAGACATGGCTCCCATGGCGTGGATCTGCTGGACACAGGCAGACATGGCTCCCATGGCGTGGATCCGCTGGACACAGGCAGACATGGCTCCTATGGCGTGGATCCACTGGACACGGGCAGACATGGCTCCCATGGTGTGGATCCACTGGACATAGGCAGACATGGCTCCCATGGCGTGAATCCACTGGACACAGACAGGATTCACTTTCTGGGCAGGACCGAGTGGGATGGCATGAGATCTCATCACGCTACTCAGAGTGATGCCCAATTTAAAACTTATGTATTATTTATTTCCAGAACTTCCCATTTAGTATTTTCAGACCTCAGTTGACTGCAGGTAACTGAAACCTCAAAAAGTGAAACCTTGGAAGGCAAAACCGCAAATAAGAAGGGACTGCTGTAACCTCTGTGCTGCACTCCCTCTCTCACTTTGACTTCTAAAGCAGAACCCCCCAGGAGACGTCACATTCCCCCGCACACACATGCACAGTACCTGGCTCTGTTTCCCAGCAAGGCTCTTGAAAGAGCTGCCCTTTCCTCAGGGACTGTTTCCTCGTTTAACCATCCGGTCAGCCTCCCGCACACCCCCAGCTGCTCTTGAGAGAGTTACTCGAGACCCCTGTGCAGCTACATGGTGCGGAGCCCCCTGCACTGGGCTCTCAGCAGCCCCTGGACTTCCTTGGCTGTCACAGATGCACACTCTCCTAGTTCCCTGCTCTCTCTCGGCCCGCCTTCCTCAGTCTCCCAGCTGAGAGTGCTGGGCCCTTCCACACGCTCTCCCAGGATGGCCTTCTATGTTCCGATCACCTTAAAATGCCACCTAGATATGGCAGAACCTACCTGTGTAGCTCTGGCCTCCACTTAGAACTCAGGATTTGTGGGCCCACCAGCCACTCGAGATCTGCATGTGGACTGGGACAGGTTCCTCAGCCACTCAACATCTCTGTGTGGCCTGGGACAGTCTCCTGGGCCTCATCACCCCGAATGGAATTCGCAGGCTTCCCTCAGTCCTGCTCTCCTGCTCTTTGCCGTTGCCGCGGGCACAATCACCATTCACCTGGTTGCCCAAGGCCCAAGCCTAGGGGCTATTTTTCATTTCACTTTTTCTCACTCTCCAAATCCAGTCCATTGGCAAATCCTGTTGCTTCTTCCTCCAGAACGTTTCCTGAATCTGTTCTGAGTCCCCACCGCCACCCTGGTCTAAGCCACCCGACTCCCTCCCGTTGGCTGTCGTAACAGCTGCCTGATGGGACCCGCTTCACCCCTGACCCCCTGACCTGTTCTTCAGTTTAGACAGAGGATCTCTTAAAGGAATTCTCGGCCACTCCCCCTTTCAAAGCCCTCCTGTGACTTCCCACTGTGCCGAAAATCCAAACACCCTCAAAGCCCCTCCTCCCTATGTTGGAGCCACATCTGCCCTGGTGCTGTCCCTGGGTGGTCCAGTGACACCGTGGTCCCTCTGACAGGGCCTACCCAGGCGCAGCCTTCCTCCACACCTGCAGTAACTCTGGTTCCCCCACGGCCTCAGGTGGGCTTCCTGATGTCCCCTGCCATCAAGCTCTCACTTTGCAGGGGCTTGCCCCTTTCTGTCATTCAGACCTCAGCTGAGATATCAGCTTTGCAGAGTTACCCGCGTTGAATGCTTAAGGTAGCCACTGGTTGGCCTCTACAGGACCCACTTTACTGTCTGATGTGTTTCTGTATTAGTTTCATGAGCAAAGGGATCTTCCTCTTTGTTCACAGCTTTATCCTCATCCTGAAACAGTTCCCGGCAGACAGAGGTAGGCACTAATAACTCATTATATGAATGGATGTGTAAATGGATGAAGGAATGAATACCCCTCTCTCCTGAGATGTTCAATGTAAACGCTGAAACAATTGTTGGGTCCTCTTTTGAGGTTTTAAAAATGAAAAGTAAAAGTTTCCTTTCTCAACGCTGAGCACTTGTTTTCCCCAGGCTCTCGGTTGAGCTAAGCATCCGCACGTTCGCCTCCAGCGGCCTGATTTACTACATGGCTCATCAGAACCAAGCAGACTACGCTGTGCTCCAGCTGCACGGGGGCCGCCTCCACTTCATGTTTGACCTTGGCAAAGGCAGAACAAAGGTCTCTCACCCTGCACTGCTCAGTGATGGCAAGTGGCACACGGTACGATCTCAGGAGGCTTGTGGTGGCTGCTTCTGAGTTCTGTTCCATCTATCACTCGGGTTCACTCCATTTCTCAAAGGCACATTATCCCCATTAATCTCTATCTCGCCGTGTGTGTCTGGTGTCTCCCCCAGAGACTACAAGTCTTGAAGGCAGGGATCTTTTCTGCTTCCGAAATATCCCCAGGGCCTTGCTTAGTACCTGACGTGAAATAGACATTCAGCAAACATTGGCGGGATGAACAAAAGGTACTAGACATGTTCTTGACTTGGCAAGGAGTATGTAAAGCCTAGCCTCCCCTCATGGCATTTGCTTTCTGATAACCGGAACTCTGGAGCACTTTCTGGTGTGCAGCACGCTTTACCTGTGCCTGTAATCGGCCAGCTGGGTTGTTCTTGTCCACTGCCCAGAAAAGCAAATGCACTAAGAGTGGCAGGTTTTGCAGCAAAGAAAGAGTTTAATTATTGCATAGGCAACTTGCCAGGAGATAATTCTCAAAGCCGCCTCCCCAAGAATTCAAGGACTAGGGTTAAAACCTCGTGTAAACAAGGATAGTTTGGCAGCCGGGGGATAAGGAATGGCAAATGCTGATTGATTGGATTGGGGAAGAAATCACAGGGGGTCGAAGTTGTCTTCTTGTGCTGAGCCAGTTCCTGGGTAGGGGTTACTGCTCTGGGTGGTGCCATTTGGTTCATACTGAATGCAAAGTCTGAAAAATATCTCAAATGCCAGTCCTAGGTTTTACAATAGCAATGTTATCTATATGGGGCAATTGGAGAAGGTATAACACTTAACGACTATTGGCTACGTGATTCCTAAGCAATAAGTAGTTTAAAAGGGCAAAGTATAAACAATGACTGGTTAGAGTTTATGCCTACATCTTAGCAGGAGAAACAATGGCTGGTTAGAGTTTATGCCTGTATCTTAGCAGAATTCAGGCCCCTATCACAATTCCAACCTTGTGGCATTTCCTTAATTTTACAAAGGCGATTTTGGTCCCTGAGCAAGGAGGGAGTTAGTTTTGGGGAGGGACTGTTAACCATCTTTGTTTTAAACTGTCAACTAAATTCCTCCCATTTCGGGAAGGGACTGTTATCATCTTTGATTTAAAGTTAAACTATCCACTAAATTCCTCCCATTTCCAGAAGGGACTGTTATCATCTTTGTTTTAAACTATCAACTAAATTCCTCCCATAGCTAGGTTGAATTAGCAAAGACAGCTTATGAGGTTAGAAGCAAGATAGAGTCAGTTATGTCAGATTCCTCTTGCTGTCATTTTTCTATGTCAGATTTCTTTCACTGTTACAGTTTTTGCAAAGGCAGTTTCATACCTGCCTCCTTTCTTCTGCCAGGCTCATCCACTTTTCGTCACCAACTGTCTAAAAATTTGAACCTTCCTTTAGCATTGCATTCAGGTTGTTATAGCTCTCAGAAACAGATGTTGCATCTGTTAAAGTTTATACATCTGTTAAAAGTTTTTTCAGATTCCTCAAAAATTATGCATGTTTTCACTTTGCTGTAGGTCAAGACAGACTATGTTAAAAGAAAAGGCTTCATAACTGTCGACGGCCGAGAGTCTCCCATGGTGACTGTGGTGGGAGATGGAACCATGCTGGATGTGGAGGGTTTGTTCTACCTAGGAGGCCTGCCCTCCCAGTACCAGGCCAGGAAAATTGGAAATGTAAGCAGCATTTTCCATACTGACATTTTACCTTCGTTGTGTTCGTGTTTATTTTGTAGAAGAGCATACCTCACGGCATCTTTATGTTTAAATTACCTTGTTTGAACCTGGGGCTTGTGAAGAGGTTTACTTTGCAGGCATGTCCACAGATCGTGTGCCAGGGCCGCCCCTCAGAACCCGATCAGTCTTTCCAGCCTGTTAGTTAATGAACATCTCCCTTTCCGCAGCCACGTGGCCACAGCACAATTCAGGGAAGCCCAGCAAATGCATATTCGCACATTAGTAAACTCAGCATTTTTTGATTTCCACAATATTTCACTAAAATAATAGAAAACACTTCCACTGCATTATTAGCAAAGATACTCAAATGGTAGCTCTAACTTAGACATTCATGTGAAGTATTGTGGCAATTAAAGTTTTAAAACAAAAAGATTACATTTTAATGTGTTTTGCTGAGACCAGTCTGATGAAGTGGAAGGAAAATGTGTCCAAACCCTTCCCATTAGAATCACCACTGTCTACTCTTGCATGTCATTTGGCTTAGATCACCCACAGCATCCCTGCCTGCATTGGGGATGTGACGGTTAACAGCAAACAGCTGGACAAGGACAGCCCGGTGTCTGCCTTCACGGTGAACAGGTGCTACGCAGTGGCCCAGGAAGGAACATACTTTGACGGAAGCGGATATGCAGCTCTTGGTATGTGTTAGCAACACTCTCGAAGGCAGTCCCCGAATGAGTCTGTACTCTAAAGCGATGTGGATCCAAGAGTATAAGACAGGACCCACTGGACAAGGCTGCAGGAAAACCACATTGAGTTTAGTATTCCAGTTGATTCCTAATTTCTTGGCGTAAAAAGCCTTCTCAGGTCTTGTGCTATCTGGATGGCCTGACAAAGTCTCCCCCAAGGAGTGGTGTGACTCCTGACAGAGGCCAGACATGGGGTGCTAGTTTCATCTATAGTTTCCCCAGGTTCTGTAATGCACACTTACTGTCCAAGTTAAGAAAGGGCTTTGAATTAAAAATCAGCAGCATAAAATGTCTAGACCAGCTGGCGCCAGGGAGGCTGTGCAGAAGTTTGGGTGGGGAAGAGGGGGAAGCCAGCAGAACATCTCTCGTTCACTCTGTGCTTCCTTTCTCCTGTTCCTGGGGCTCAGGCTCCAGCCCTGCTGGGCAGCCCCCTCCATGGCCTCAGCTCCCCTTGCACCCCCCAGCTCTGGGCATACCATCTTCTCCCCTTTTCCCTTCAGCCCTGGGCATGGTAACAACTGCCTGCTGTTGTCAATAGCCCCACCCAGTGTGGCTCCTCGGCTTTTTTATCACCTGAATTAAAAAAGCATTCCATTCAATCCCCACCTTTAACAAACTTAGTATGGACTCTGATACACTCAGTAAATGATGATTCCCACAAGTACACAGATACTAGGAAAATAAAGTGGACTATTCTCGGATGATGATAAAGGGATTCCAGGGATCAAATCCCAACAGCCCACGGGAAAGACTGCCGCAGGGAGGACGTGTCCACAGGGTGAGGCAGGGCCACGTGCTTCTGTGGCCACAGATGAAGGAGGTGCCTGGCTCTGCTCTGACCTGGCTGACTGCATGCGTCTTCTTTAAAAGCTCCACGTCATCTCCCAGATGTGGAAGCCGAGGCTCAGAGGGCAGGAGTGACCTGCTGGTGGGGATGCAGCTGGATCCAAAGGAGGAGCTAGAGCCAGGTCCCCCAACCCCTAGCCAGGAGGCCAAATGCTCAACCTGGGCCTGGCAGCGCTCACCCTGACTTGGGTCCTCCTTGTGTGTTACAGTCAAAGAGGGCTACAAAGTCCAGTCAGATGTGAACATCACACTGGAGTTTCGAACCTCCTCGCAGAATGGCGTCCTCCTGGGGATCAGCACTGCCAAAGTGGATGCCATTGGACTAGAGCTTGTGGACGGCAAGGTGGGTGCTTCCTCTCCATGAGGGTCTTCCTCCCCCCAGTGTCAGAGACAGAGCAATTGAGAAACAGCAGATTCAAATTCACAACTATCTATTTTCATGGAGTCAAACAATGGTCCCATTACTATTTTAAAAACAGATATTGCTACAAGAAAACCTTTTTGGTTTATTTTTTAAAAGCTTTTCAAAAATAACTTTTTATATGTTTGAAAGTAAGCTTTCAGCAAAATTACAACTATAATACAAAGAACTTTTTTTCCTGAACCATCTGAGAATAAGCTGCTGACCTGATGCCCTATCCCTTCTAATAATTTTTTTTAACTTTTTATTTGGAAATTATTACAGATTCATAGGAAGTTGCAATGAAATGTACAGGGAGGGCCCCATGCACCATTCACCCAGACCCAGGTTTCCCAGTGGTAGCACTATGCATTTTTTTTCTTTTTGAGACGGAGTTTCGCTCTTGTTGCCCAAGCTAGAGTGCAATGGTGCAATCTCAGCTCACTGCAACCTCTGCCTCCCAGGTCCAAGTGATTCTCCTGCCTCAGCCTCCTGAGTAGCTGGGATTACAGGCGTGCACCACCACACCCGGCTAATTTTTGTATTTTTTAGTAGAGACCAGGTTTCACCATGTTGGTCAGGCTGTTCTCGAACTCCTGACCTCGTGATCCGCCCGCCTCGCCTCCCAAAGTGCTGGGATTACAAACATTATGCATTTTTCTAGCACAATCAAGATACTTAATTGTATCAATACTACAAGGCTCCCCCTTAATACCCCATCATGGCCACACCCAACTCCTGTACCCCTAATCCTAGGCAACCACTAATCTGTTTGCTGTCCCTCTAATTTCTGTTTTGCCAGTGTTATATAAATGAAATAACGCAGTAGGTATCCTTATGAGATCAGCTTTTCACACTCAGCCTGATCTTGGGAAGGTCATCTGGGTGGTTGTGCATATCAACAGTCCGTTCCCTTTTGTGGTGGCGTATTACTCTGTGGGATAGACGTACCATGCTATAATTTTTTTTTAATGTAGAACATGTTATTTTTTTCTGTGACTGTTCTGCCCTTGCTTTTCAGCCTCTCATGTCCCTCTCCTGCTGGCAACAAAATGAACTCCACAATTTGCAGTACTAGTCCTTTAGTCTCCTGCTTGAAAACCGCCTCCTTCACAGTTTCTCCCAGTTCTCACTTCCCTTCCTCTCCCCTTTGGGGCTGTCTGGGCGCAGGCAGGATGCGGGGAAGGGAGTCTCGATGGCCCTTTTCCTTTCTGTGGGCTCTCTAGTGGACAGCAGCTGAGCCATAGCCATATCGTGGTCTTCAGGGCAGCCTCTTACAGTGAGTGGTCTGGGGTCTCAGTGTTGCCCCTGCATGGGGGCTGCTCCTGGAGAGTTTGGCCAGCGTCCATTTCAGCTCAGGCTTCTCATCCTGGTTGTCATGAGTAGTGCCACCTCTTCATCTTCCCGCTTCCCCGTGGGGTCATGTGCAAACTTGGGGATTTCTGCCAAGCCACACAGAGGCCATGGGGAATCAGGGATGGTGTCTCTCTGGTCCTCTCTCTACCTAACTACATTTTACCAGCATTTCTGCAGCACTGTGGTCAATGTTTGTTGTTGTGGGAGTAAGATGCCTGAATTTTCCAACACTAGTGCCTCTTGGAAGGCAAGGAAAAAGTCTCCATGTTCTAGATTCCCCAGGACTTACCGGTTGTTTCTGGTATTTCCCTACTTACTCCCCGCTGGGTTTTGACCCCTAGGATATCCTAGAGTGGGGGTGGGGAGGATCTGAAAGGTCATGTCTGACCTTTTGCCCTTCACCTCTTTTCCGATTCATGACAAACCAGAACTAACTTGATGTCATATTGCTGCCTCTCTACACTGACTTACAGCCAACTTTTTCCCTCATCTATACTTTAAAAACTTTTGTATCTATTTGCATGTTTTTATGTGACATCTAAAAAATGTTACCAGGGCCAGATATGGTGGCTAACACCTGTAATCCCAAAACCTTGGGAGGCTGAGGCAGGAGGATTGCTTGAGCCCAGGAGTTTGAGACCAGCCAGGGCAACATAGCGACACCCCATCTCTATTTTTGAAAAATATTTTATTTAGATAAATAAAAAATTAGGAATGCAATCAGAAGTGTAATTGCTGCAAACAATGTAATTTTCTGTTGTATTATACATTTTACTTCTTATTGGATTATTATGCATAGTTCTTTTTTAACATTTTTAGTTGTTACCTAAGGGTTTATGACATATCCTTAATTGTCACAGTCCACCTAGAAATAATACTGAGCAGTTTCATATATAGCATAAGAATCTTCAAAAAGTACATTTGAAATTCTTTCCTCCTGTCTTAGTCTGCTTGGGGTGCCAGAACAAAGTACCACAGACTGTGTGGCTTAAACAATGGAAATTTATTTTCTTGCCACTCTAGAGACTAGAAGTCCGAGATCAATGTGTTAGTAAGGTTCTTTATTCTGAGGCCTGTCTCTTTGACTTACAGATGCCTCGTTCTCCCTGTGTTCTCACATGGTCTTCCCTCTGTGCATGTCTGTGTCCTAATCTCTTCTTATAAAGACACAGTCAGATTGGATGAGGGCCACCCTAGTCACTCATCTTTACTTAATTACCTCTTTAAAAGCTCCATCTTCAAATACAATCACATTCTGAGGTACTGGGGGTTAGGACTTCAGCATATGAATTTTGGAGGGCGGTCTTCAGCCCATAACACCTCCTATCCTTTGCAAAGCTGAGATCTCTTTACTTGCTGTGGGAGAGCATCTACAGTTCATCAGAAGAGAGTTAGTAAATATTCGCTCATAGGTGCTATCAATAGGTATGACCGGGCCAGGTGCGGTGGCTCACACCTGTAATCCCGGCACTTTGGGAGGCCGAGGTGGGCAAATCACCTGAGGTCAGGAATTCAAGACCAGCCTGGCCAACATGGTGAAACCCTGTCTCTACTAAAAATACAAAAATTAGCTGGGCATGGTGGTGGATGCCTGTAATCCCAGCTATGCGGGAGGCTGAGGCAAAAGAATCACTTGAACCCAGGAGGTGGAGTTTGCAGTAAGCCAAGACCGCGCCACTGCACTCCAGCCTGGACAACAGGAGCGAAGCTCCATCTCAAAGAAAAAAAATGAAAGTATGACCAGCACCTCCAGTAAGGCTATTAGCTCCTAAAATGTCCTAAAATTGAGGCCCTCATTTAAGGATGCAGTGTGCTCAGACTTGTGGTCATGAAGGTGGCCATTTGCGCTTTCTGGAATTTGGGGACTAGTATAACATCTGAATCTTTTTTTTTTTTTTTTTTTTTTGAGATGGAGTTTCGCTCTTGTTGCCCAGGCTGGAGTGCAATGGTACGATCTTGGCTCACCGCAACCTCTGCCTCCTAGGTTTAAGCGATTTTCCTGCCTCAGCCTCCTGAGTTGCTGGGATTACAGGCATGCGCCTAGCTAATTTTTTTGTGTTTTTAGTAGAGACAGGGTTTCTCCATGTTGCTCAGGCTGGTCTCGAATTCCTGACCTCAGGTGATCCGCCTGCCTCGGCCTCCTAAAATGCCAGGATTACAGGTGTGAGCCACCATGCCCAGCCATCATCTGAATCCTTTAAAAGGTTACTTTTCAAAACTATTTTCTGTTTCTCCTAGTTAGCTCTCCTTTTAAACATAATGCTGCAATTTTATCTACTCCAAGAGCTTATACAAATGGACTGTGTTCCTTAAATACACAAAAACTCACCAAGATATTTGCTTTTAGGTCTTGTTCCATGTCAACAATGGTGCTGGCAGGATAACAGCTGCATATGAGCCCAAAACCGCCACTGTGCTCTGTGATGGAAAATGGCACACTCTTCAAGCTAACAAAAGCAAACACCGTATCACTCTGATTGTTGACGGGAACGCAGTTGGCGCTGAAAGTCCACACACCCAGTCTACCTCAGTGGACACCAACAATCCCATTTATGTTGGTGGCTATCCTGGTATGTACGGGTACCTGCTCTTCCACTCAAAAGGGGCACTGTCCCTGGAGGAAGTCTTGGTTCAGGTGGATGTAGAATAGGGATTGAGAAAGGTACATGGTTTGGGTGACAAATCCTTTACCATTTTAGAAAGGCTATTTCAAATATCTAAGAATTCTTGGATAACTTAAAATAATCTACATACACAAGTTAATCATTGGGTAAGACTGTGAGAACATTGGGTCTGATATAAAGGCAGCCGTATGACTCTACCGAAGTAAATTTCATGACTGTCAGACTTGGGAGTCATTTTAGGGCTAGGGAATCGTTTTAGGAAACAAACTTGTGACTCATCTCTCTGGTCAATTTTGGATTAGAATTATGTATTTTAGATGTTCCAAGGAATTGTTGCAAATAATAAACACCTGTTGTATGACTTTTTTTAAGTTATAACTATGCCTTAAAATTTTATATATTAAAAGTTTTTGGCCAGGTGCGGTGGCTTACACCTATAATCCCGGCACTTTGGGAGGCCAAGGTGGGTGGATCACTTGAGGTCAGGAGTTTGAGACCAGCCTGGCCAACATGGTGAAACCCTCTCTCTACTAAAAATACAAAAATAAGCTGGACGTGGTGACGGGTGCCTGTAACCCCAGCTACTCGGGAGGCTGAGACAGGAGAATCACTTGAACCCGGGAGGCAGAGGTTGCAGTGAGCCGAGATCGCGCCACTGCACTCCAGCCTAGGTGGCAGAGCGAGACTCCATCTCAAAAAAAAAAAAGTTTTCTCTGAATTCTGCTAGTCACTGACACCACATATGTGGAAGATATTCTCCTAATTTTGATAGTGAAAAATTTAAAAAATAAAAAAACCCGCTTGAGATTATTTCTGTTGCTTTTGTGCTATGGATCGCATTTCAACAAAATTAAGCAAGATTTGTCTTCTCTTCTTTCCTGAACAGCTGGTGTGAAGCAAAAATGCCTGCGCAGCCAGACCTCGTTCCGCGGGTGTTTGAGGAAGCTAGCTCTGATTAAGAGCCCGCAGGTGCAGTCCTTTGACTTCAGCAGAGCGTTCGAACTGCACGGAGTTTTCCTTCATTCCTGTCCTGGGACCGAGTCCTGAACTTCAAGCAGAATCCTCAGTTGGAATCATTGCTAATATTTTGAGGAGAAGTGTATGTGTGAATTAAGAATCTCTTCAGTTCATATTTCATTTCCAACTCAGGTTAAGTGTTTCTGGGGAGAGATGTTGTGTTTACGTTACACTAAAACCACATGTGCAACAAATACCTCCATTAAATGGTCTAAAATGTAAATTGAATTCCCTGGCTCTCTTTTTAAACGTATTTTTAAAAAAATCTTTATACACATTGAATGTTCTGTTGATTACTTGATAGTATTTTATGTTTTTCATTTTGAGCTTTTTAAAAAAGTATCAATACAGATGATAACAGATCAGAGTATGAAGCCTTTTATTTCTTCAAGAAAACTCTAAGCTCCAATTTCTACAACAGACAAGCAATGTTCATTGATTAATTCCAGATGAGCACACCAGCTGTTTGCCACATAACCTTTTAGGGAGGCTCCAGCAAGTCACAGGGGCAAAGGGAGCAAAGGAAGGAGCTGGACCGTCCTTGGAGGTGGCCTTGTGCTATCAGGACCTCACCTAACAGCGCATTTTGCAGGACAGAAAAAAAGAAAAGATGGCATCATTTTAAATTAGTGCTTCCTTTATTGTCAATTTTATTTTCATCACTTGGAATGAAACAGTTTGCCTTAATCAGCTACTTTTCTGGTATAGTATGTGTAATTTGAAAAGAGAGAACATTTTAAAACCATGTAAGTATATTATTTTAATGGACCAAGCAGCTGTAGACCCAGATTTCTGAAGTCGCATTCAGTCCACATTCATTTTAGTTCTGCTCTGTGGCTGCAGCTCGGGTCACAGTGGCCGCTATCCGTATCCTTCAGAAAAATGATCCCATTTTCCAAAGGCTCACTTGAAGAGCAGTCTCCACCTGTCTTAGCCATGACCTGCTTTTCCAACATGGAGGAGGCCAGAATTAGTGTCTGTGTCTCTGAGAGATTTTGATTGGATAAACAAGGAAGGCAGCTGTGCTTCTGGTCCCTGTCCCTGTTCATTGCCTTCTTGTTTTTGAACCCTTATGGGGATTCACACCTCTTGATGTGTATATTTGAAATTTATAATTCTTTCCCATTTAAATACCTGCATGAAGATGTTTCTTAGAGAAAGGCAGCCGCCAGTTGTGGACGTGCTGTTTCTGTAGCACCAGCCATGGGAGGAATGCAGACTTTTCAAAGGCAGCTCCTGGGCAGCTGGGCTCAGAAGAGGCACCTGCCCGTCTCAGCGGCAGTGCACGTGCACCGAGAACCTCTTTGCTGGGCTGTGGGTGGTCTTTGGTTTCATGTTTCTGCGGAAACCAGCTACAGTGGGATATGAAGGCTCTGACATTCTAGATCCTGGCCCACCGTGTTGGGTGAGGAAGTGACCAAAACCAGGACATAGAGCACAGACTGTGGAGTTGCCTTGAGCTTTGCACTCCAGCCCTGCCTCCACCCGCTCTTTAACAGAGTTAAAATGGAGCATGGGCTTTTCATCAGTACAGCTGTTCACAAGGTCTCTCTGAAGGATCCCTCGGGGGAGAACCCACCAGCTCTCCCTTGGCCTTTCACAAGCACAGAGTAGAGTGACCTGGGTGTAGATCTGTCCCCGTGACCTTGAGCCTGTGCTCCCAGGTCAGACACCAGCTATGGTTCTCACTTCGGGTTCTCACACTTATTCCTTAATTCCTCTCGCCAAGTCTGGACTCAGGTTCTTAGAGAGGGTTGCCAGATAAAACACAGAACCCAGGGAAATCTGAATTTCAGATAAACACCACAGACATGTTTTTAGCGTAAGCACATGCTAAATATTGCACAGCTCCTGTGTTTTTCATTTGCTGAATCTGGCAACCCTACTTTGGAGCCCAAGGGCATAAAAAGATTATGATACCCTTTCCCTCACTGCCAAGCGATTCCAAATAAAAGCAAATCTATGTCTTAAAGCACATGCAACAAAACCTATTGACGATCATGTTTTTCTCATGACGACTTTACTGAGAGACTGATTTCTTTCCAAAGTCTAATTTTGGTGCCAAAAGTCCTTGTTTAGTCTGTCAATTAATGTAGTACTTTTTTTTATTCTGGCAAAATATAGAAAATATAAAATTTACCATTTTAAGCCATCTTTAAGCGTACATTTCCATGAAATTCAATACATTTATACGGTATGCAACCACTACCATTCATCTCCAGAATTCTTTTCATCTTGTAAACCTAAAACTCTGTACCAATTAAACAGTAGGCCCCCATTCCTTCCTTCCCTCAGCTCCTGGCAACCACCATTCTTTCTGTCTCTACACATTTGACCACTCTGGGTACTTCATATAAGTGACTTACCATAATAGCTTCAAGGTTCATCTCTATTTAGCATGTGTCAGAATTTCCTCCCTTTTAATTCTGAATAGCATCCCATTGTATGTATAGACATTATGCTCATCCATTAATCCCTTGATGGGTACTTGGGTTGCTGCCATCTTTTGGCTATTGTGAATAGTGCCGCAATGAACATGGATGCACAAATGTCTGTTCAGAGTCCCTGCTTTCAACTCTCTGGGGCATATATCCAGAAGTGGAATTGCTGGATCATATGGTAAATCTATTGGTAATTTTTTTTTTTTTTTTGAGACAGAGTCTCACTCTGTCATCCAGGCTGGAGTGCAGTGCTGTGATCTTGGCTCATGGCAACCTCCACCTCCCAGGCTCAAGCAATTCTCCTGCTTCAGCCTCCCGAGTAGCTGGGACTACAGGCGGGTGCCACCACGCCTGCCTAATTTTTGTATTTTTAGTAGAGACGGGTTTCACCGTGTTGGCCAAGATGATCTCAAACTCCTGACCTCAAATGATCCACTAAGTGTTGGGATTACAGGCATGAGCCACGGCGCCTGGCCCCTATTTGTAATTTTTTGAGAAAGAACTATACTGTTTTCCATAGCATGCAGCACTGTTCTCAAGCCTCAGTTTCTTCATCTGTAAAAAAGGTTGTGATACCAACCTCAAAAAGGTATCACAATATTTAGAAAATAGTATTAAAATTTTTTTCAGAGAGAGAGCACGTGGATAAGCCAACAGCATTGACCATAGTGAAATTTAATCCTCAGTCACACCTGCCTTCCAAGAATGTCCAACAACCGATGGATTTATAGGCAAGCATTGGTAAACATCAGAAAAGAGAAGAAAACTGACCAACTCATTTAACACTGATGGAATAACTTCATATGAAACAAGACAAGTATAAAACAATTACAGACCAACTTTACTTACGGACTTTGATGTAAATATCTTTTATAAAATACTAATAAATTCAATTCAGTCCTTAGGGGAAATGATAACTAAGTACATTTGCAAGCCCGTAAATTCTTCTTTTATTCTCACATGTGGTAATTTTTTTATTATGGTCAAACATTTGGCATAAGATCTACCCTCTTAACATATGTTAAATGCACAATATATTATTGTTAACTATAGGCACCATGTTGTACAGACAGCAGATCCCTAGAGCTTACTCAGCTTGCATAACTGAAACTTCATTTTTTTATTTATTTATTTTGAGATGGTATTTCACTCTTGTTGCCCAGGCTGGAGTGCAATGGCATGATCTCGGTTCACTGCAACTTCCACCCTCCAGGTTCAAGTGATTATTTTGCCTCACCCTCCTGAGCAGCTGGGATTATAGGCACACACCACTGAGACTCCGTCTCAAAGAAAAAAAAAAAAAAACCAGAAAATTAGTGATTCAGAGATAAGGAAGTTTCACTATTTTTCTTATAACAACAATACTACTTGGTACCTGTGGCACTTCCTTCTTCCCCAGTGGCAGAAACTTTGTAACGGCTGAGTATATATTTTTAAATGTCACACAATGCCCTGGGTGTGTTCCCCTCAGCCGTAATAAACTCCCTCTCCACACTACTACCTGCTTTTCCCGCTAGCTTGGAACTGTGGCTGAAGATAATTCTCCAGTACCTGCCTCCGTGATGTTCTGCCCTGCGTCCTGCCCGGGACCCTTTTCACAGCTGCAAGCTATGTTGTTACTTAGTTGTTCCTCATGGGACAGTCAGTCTCTAGCACAGTTTCTGAATGTCTGAAGGAAGTCAACGGGAAGCATCGGGTCAATTTCCTGCCTCAGACTGCAAAACGGATCTGGACACATCTCCCATCACTTTGTGATACCCATTTGCTTTTTCTTCTTGAAATTGTACTGTATGGAAGGTATTTCTCTGTCAGGTTCATATTTCACATAGTTTTCAAAATTTCAGAAGTATCACATACATCCCAAGTGCTCATGGCTCCCGTTTGTATTTAGTGGTGTGCAGGCAACATCTTCGCCTTCTGGTGCCCTTGGTAAGTCTTCCTGGTCAGCCCCCTGCAGTGCTGACTGCCCTGGAACTGTTCTGTTTCTCTTTTTTAAATTAATTAATTAATTAATTAATTTATTTATTTATTTATTTATTTATTTTGAGACGGAGTCTCGCTCTGTCACCCAGGCTGGAGTGCAGTGGCGCGATCTCGGCTCACTGCAAGCTCCGCCTCCCGGGTTCACGCCATTCTCCTGCCTCAGCCTCCGGAGTAGCTGGGACTACAGGCGCCTTTTTTATTTATTTATTTATTTTTAGTAGAGACAGGGTTTCACCATGTTAGCCAGGATAGTCTCGATCTCCTGACCTCGTGATCCGCCCGCCTCGGCCTCCCAAAGTGCTGGGATTACAGGTGTGAACCACCACACCCGGCCGGAACTGTTCTGGTTCTTAATGGCTCTAAGTTAATGCTGAGTTTTCCCCTCAGATTGGATGTTCTCCTCAAAGAGCCTCTAGTTGTTTTATAGCTCCTTGAAGGTCGATATTCTGTTGGATATTTCTTAGGCATTTCTCCCTGACATAATAGTTAATACAATAAGGACATGGCAGAGGTTATTAGTACATAATTATTAAACTGAATACTAGTTTCTCATTTTTCTCTAAACATACTTCAGCAGTGTCGTTTTTCCATAAATTTCAAAAGATCTTTGCAAATGTGATTCTTCTAACAAGCCATCGAACAAGCATTTAAACAGAACAGAATCATGCTCTCTTCGGTAGCACATATATTATACTAAAAGTGGAGCGATCCAGAGGTTAGCATGGGCCCTGTGCAAGGATGACATGCACATTCGTGAAGCATTCCATATTTTTAAAAGTCTAATAGAAAATTTGAGAAAGAATTTTAAAATGACAAAATCAGCCATTTTGCAACATATTCCGCAAAAAGATCTACAGGCTTAACAGTTTTCATAATATACAGTGAAGTTTTCAACTTAATATATCCTGAAATGTAAAAACTATCAGGATTTTTTTTCACAGGGTGACAATGGCAGCGCTCATGTTCCTTTCAAACCCCTTCAGTGTCCGACAATGGGAGCCATACCAGCTGTCTGAAGCAAAGGCTTGGAGGGGAACATAATGAAAATCACTGTTTTCTCTCTGAGTAACACATTTTTAAAATGATGTTGTCCTTTCACAGTATATGCTGAGCATAATGCTTAATTATAAAGTATTGAAACATGAACTCCAGTGTGAATGCTAAAGAACTGTGGTCTCTGTTCACATTGTTATAAAAGAGACAAGTTTATTTTAACGAGAACCGTTCTATGCATCAGGCATTTCATCCATGATTTAATTTTTAGCATGTGTTTGAAATGCAAATGTGATTTTCTGATATGAATAAAACCCAGTAAAATCTTTGCTAAAAATGGTACAATGCTGAATTGTGTCCCTGAAGGTGGTCAGAAGAAAACAATTAGAGGAAGAACATCAGTCAAGGGAGGAGGTAGGAGGTTGTAAAGAATAGACACACAAGTACCAGAGGATGCATGTGCGGCTTTGCCACCCAGACTAGAAGGTCGGCAGGACGTAGGTATGGATAGGGAGTTAGTGTGATTAATACTATGTGGCTTAAATGTAATTCTGCACCCTTGAGGTCTGATTAAATCGAACATGGAATTTAAGAAGTGTGAGTAAAAATGACAAAAGAATAAGTAGGAAATGATCAAGACCATTCACTAAGTCTTGCTAGGAAAAAATGTTCAAGCTTGGAAGAAGACTCAGTGGAAAGCTTTTGATTTAGGTAGCATTGGAAGCAAACTAAAGAAAATCTTTTTTAGTAAGCTAACCTAAAAGGAAACACATTTCTCTTCTTTTATTAGGTGTTACATTGAAATTGAGTGAATTGGAGGGAAGGAATCCTAAAATGATAAAATCACCAGGCAAATCATTGAATTACTGCTGATTCTCACAGTACTTCCCAAAGTTAAGTGGAAAGGGGTGTGTGTGTGTGTGTGTGTATTTAAACTGATATAACCACAGAAGATGGGATATAACTTATAGTCTGAACATAACGTAGTCTAATTTTTTACTAAAACAGACATCAACATTTTCCAGAGGCCGACAATAGATCCAGAGTCTGCAATACACAACATTCACAATGTCCAGGAAACAATTCAAAATCTCTTGATATACAAACAACCAGGAAAATGGTACTGATTCTTAAGGTGGAAAGACAATCAAACAAATACCAACCTCAAGAGAAAATTATCAGACAAAGACTTTAAAGCAGCTATTTTATCTATGCTCGTAAGGTCAGGGAAAGCACACTTCGATTGACTGATATGATAGAAGTGCTCAACAGAAAAAAGGAAAATTTAAAAAGGAAGCAAATAAAAAATATTGAAATGAAAAATACAATCTCTGCAGTCAAAAGTTAATCATTGGTTGGACTCAATAGCAGAATAAAGATGATAAAAGGAAAATTAAGTTGAAGGTAGAACAATGAAAATTATCCAATCTACAAAGAGAGATAAAGGGTTTAAAGAAAACAAACCCAGAGTGTCAGGTACCTGTGTGTTACCATCTAAAGGTCTAACATAGTGTAAGTTGAGTCTCAGAAAGAGAGGAGAAAAAGATTAAAATAGAAAAAAAATTTCAGCAAGAATGCCCAGAAACTCCCCAATTTAGTGAAAGACATAAATTTACAGATTCAAGACACTTAGCAAACTCTGGGCAAAACAAACTCAAAGGAAACAATCCCTATTAACACATAAGAATCAAGTTTCTGAATCCCAAGATACCTAAAAAATTCTTGAAAGTAGCTATAGTGGAAAAAAAAACAAAAAGCACACATTACATAGAGGGAAATCATGACTTTATGTCCATGATTTCTCCGAGAAACCATGAAGTCCAGAAGACAGCAGGACTACATCTTAAAAGTACTGAAAGAAAAGAGCTTCTCAACCTATAATTTTATATCCATTACAAATATCTTACAGCAATAAAGGTGAAATAAAGACATTCTCACAAGAAAGACAACAAAAAGAAGTCATTACCAGGTCCTACTCTTGGGCCCATGGAAAGAACTCTCATAACTCAGCATGAGATGAACAACCCAATTATAAATGATCAAAAGATTTGAATAGATATTTTACAAATATGAATGGCCAACAAACATAAGAAAACAGGCTCAGCACTATCAGTCCTTAGGGAAATGCAAATTAAAACCACAGGGAGATCTAACTACATACCTTCCAGGATAGCTAAAACTGTTGGAAGGATGTGGAGCAACTAGAATTCTTGTACATTGTTGAGGGGTGGGAATGTAAAATGCTACAACCACTTTGGAAAAAGTTTAGTAATTTCTTTAGAACTTAAATATACTTACCATATGTCCCAGGTAAGCTATTCTTGGCAAAGATTTATGGATAAATGTCAGAGCTTTATTTATACTAGCTAAACTCTGGAACTATCCCAGGTATCCATCAGTAGAATAGATGAACTGTAGCATATGCATACAAGGGAATACTATGTAGCAATAAGAAGGACTAAACCATGATACATACAACAATGTGAATGAATCTCAGAAATATGATGAATTTTAAAATGCCTTACACCAAAATACATACTTCATCATATTTGCATAAAATTTTTAGAAAATGCCAGGGGTTAAATGGAGGGAGGAATAGGTTACAAAATTGCATGAGGAAACTTGTTGGGCAATGGAACTGTTTACTATCTCGATTATGATGACCTCAGGGGTGTAAACAAATATCAAAACCCATCATTTTGAACAGTGCTGTTCAATACTACTTAATAATACCTCAGTAAGTTGTAAAAACTAATCAATTAAAAATGCGGCTTCCCCAAATCCTCTTTACTCAATAGCTATTGACTAAAATCCTCTCTCTTTAGTCAATAGCTAACATTGTGCTGAATAGTGCAAGTTTGAAAGCTTTTCCTCTAAGATCTAAGATCTAAGAAGCGAGACAAGGGGGCCGGGCACAGTGGCTCACTCCTGTAATCCCAGCATTTTGGGAGGCTGAGGTGGGTGGGTCACCTGAGGTCAAGAGTTCGAGACCAGCCTGGCCAACATGGTGAAACCCCGTCTCTACTAAAAATAAAAAAATTAGCTGGGCGTGGTGATGAGCACCTATAATCCCAGCTGCTCAGAAGGTTGAGGCTGGAGAGTCGCTTGAACCCAGGAGGCAAGGTTGTAGTGAATCAAGATTGTGCCATTGCACTGCAGCCTGGGCGACAGGGCAAGACTCCATCTCAAAAAGACAAAAAAAAAAAAAAAAGGCAAGACAAGAATGCTGCTTTTGCCACTTCTATTTAACATAGTCTTAGAAGTCCTAGCTAGAGAATTTAGGGAAGAAAATAAATAAATGAAAGGCATCCAAATTGGAAAAGAAAAAGTAAAATTCTCTCTGTTAGCAAACAATATTATCGTATATGTTAGAAAGCTCTAAATATTCTATAAAACAAACTCTTACAATTAATCAATAATTTCAGCAAAGTTGGAAGATACAAAATTAACCCACAAAAATCAGGTGCGTTTCTACATACGAACAATGAACAATCCCAAAAGAAATAGAGAAAACAATTTCATTTACAATAGCATTAGAAAGAATAAAATACTTAGGAATCAACTTAGCCAAGGAGCTGAAAGACTTATACACTAACAACCTTGAAGCATTACTGAGAGAAATTAAAACTAAGGGCAGCAATAAACGGAAAGATATCCTTGTTAATAAATAAGACTTAATACTGTTGAGATGTCAATATCACCCAAAGCAATCTACAGATTCCAGCAATGTTTTTAGCAGAAACAGAAAACAATTCTGAAATTCATACCGAATCTCAAGGATCCTGAATAGCCAAAACAATCTTGCAAATGAAGAACAACACTGAAAGTCACACACTTTCAAGTTTATAGAGATAGAAAGTAGAATAGTGGCTGCCAGGGTCGGGGGACTGGGGAGAATGGGGAAGGTGGAAAGTTCCGGTGATGGTTGCCCAACAATGTGAATGTACTTAATGCTACAGAACCACACTTAAGCGTGGTTAAAATAGTGAATTTCGTTACATATGTTTAATCACCATAATTATGAAAAAATAAATAGATGACAGCAACATGATTTTTCTTGGCAAAGCTCACCCACACTGAATAAATCCCCCAAACAGGCTGATGTTTGAAAGATCTGTGTTCAGGCTGGGCGCGGTGGCTCACACCTGTAATCACTTTGGGAGGCCGAGGCAGGCGGATCACCTGAGGTCAGGAGTTCAAGACCACCCTGGCCAACGTGGTAAAACCCCATCTCTACTGAAAATGCAAAAATTAGTTGGGCATGGTGGCGGGCACCAGTAATCCCAGCTACTCGGGAGGCTGAGTTAGGAGAATTGCTTGAGCCCAGGAGACAGAGGTTGCGGTGAGCTGAGATCGCGCCACCACACTCCAGCCTGGGCAGCAGAGCGAGACTCCATCTAAAAAAAAAAAAAAAAAGATCTGTGTTCAGAAGTGGAATTTTAGAAACATGTAGGTAGACATACAAAGCCATATTGCCAACATGTACTCATAGGAGAAATGTTAAAGTGAGTTTTTGTAACATAGCAGAAACTCTGTGACATTTAACATGCCCTATCCTACAAATTCGAGGACAGATTATCTTAAAACAAAGTCCTGTTTGTGATCGCTCCCAAGATAGTGTCTTGTATTTCTTTGTAGGTGAGTTTGCTCTCAAACTTCGCCCTCGCAGCACCTGTCATTGCAATTCCTATCAACTGCTCTGGGCCTGAGAATGAAAATTTATTCATTCATGAAAATTATTCTAACTTGGGTATTTTGGAGCTAGTGTGCTTTTTGGCTGCTAATACAATGTTATACCAAGTCCTACTTCATTAATCATTGTAAGATTTAAGGAAAAGATGAGACAAATTCCGTGAGCCACTAAGTTAGACACAGAGGATACCCATGCTTTGGTCTTAGGAAACAGCCCCAGGTGTTGACATTTGTTAGAAAAAATGCAGGGTGGTAGATTACAATCAAAGGGGAAAATACTCTGTGGTGCACAGCCACTGACACTTTAAGAGAAATGTAAAATGTTCAACTTCCCCACTTCTTTAGGGCCTTATTGAAGCTATTCAGAAAGAGAGAAGAGATGGAAAGAGAGAAGAGGAGGGTGAGATTTGTAGATTTCCAGAGATGAAGAGATGACAGACATCGAGGGATGTGAAACACTATCTCTTCAGGCTGACTCTACTTTTATTAGGCTGTTCTTGCATTGCTATAAAGGAATACTTGAGCCTGGGTAATTTATAAAGAAAAAAAGTTGAATTGGCACACGGTTCTGCAAGTTGTACAAGCATGGCACCAACAACTGCTTGGCTTCTGGTGAGGGCCTCAAGAAGCTTACAATGGTGGTGGAAGGTGAAGTTGTGGCGGTGCGGGGGGCAGGCACATCACGTGGAGAGAATGGGAGAAAGAGAGATAGAGAAGGCGGATGTCCAACTCTTTCAAACAACCAGATCTCAACCAAGAATGAACTGAGCGAGAACTCATCACCAAGGGGGGGGTGAGAAACCATTCATGAGGGATCCACCCCCATGATCCCATCACCTCCCACCAGGCCCCACCTCCAACACTGGGAATCGCATTTCAGCTTGAGATTTGGAAAGGACAAACATCCAAAACACATAATCAGTCATCATTCCTATACTATAGCAACCATAAATATTGCATCTTATTCAGCAATTCCAATTGGAAATATTTAGTACCACTACCCACAAAAGTTTCTTTGTACTTATTTACGAGTCCTGATGTTTTTGTTAGAAAAACATTGCCACCTGTTTTTACCCAGCCAGGTCTCAGCCTAAGTGCCACTGGGTCCAGTTTCTCTCATCTTCTGAGCAGTTGGCCTAAAGTGACCCTATGTTTTCCTTTTTTCTTTCTCCTCTTCCTCTTCCACACCAGTGCAAACAAACCTCCAGCCCTCGCTTGACGGTCCTACATTGTTTCAACCAGGCAAGCATGGCACATTTCATACCTAAAGATTCCAATCCACAAATGGATTTTCTTGTCATTACTGTATGACAGCCAATAAAAAATCCAGGTAAAACATTAGAGATAGATGATAAAAGGACTGACTGCATATGAAATTCCTTTAAGCACCTTTAAGAAGAAATCATGTTTAAAACGGAGATGAGCAAAGGAGAGCATTTTTATCTTTCCATTTGGGTCATGCAGAGCTGTAACCAAACCATAAGCTGGAAATGTGGGGCCCAGATCAATGTACTGAAAAGCAATAATAATGAAAATAATTCTTTACGTTTCTGGAGTTTCAGGGGTATAGAAAGAGTTCTAGAATTTTCACAAGTGCTCTTACATAGACCATCTCATTTTGCCATGATGATCCTGTGCAGCCGGCAGAGCAGGTGTGGGTATAGAGCACCAGCCCCTGTATCAGGTGCTAAGGATCCGATCCTAAGCTGAACAGGCATTTGCCCACCCTCACAGGGAGTGGAGTAAGTGAGATATAGATTAAGTTTTAAAAATGTATCAAAACTATATGTGGGGGACAAAACACAGCAGACATCTGGTACACATGGCTGCAGGGGTAACAGCTGCCAGGAGCCAAAGAAGACCTCAGCCCGAGCTGGGGTGCCTGGCTGTGGAAGTGGTGGTTCTTGGGGCGGGCAGAGTAGACCCGCTGCGAAGGGGTGGGGCCGTGGAGCCGGAAGAGAGAACGGCGGGGGCGGGGCCAGACGCAGTTGGCGTGTCTGTTGGTGAGGTGGGCGGGGTCAGCCTGCGGTGGAGGGGAAGGGCCCTAGAGCCGTGGGGAGAGGCAGCCCGTGGCCTGGAGCAGTGGTTGGTGACCTTTGGAGTGGCGGTTGGGCGGTTGGGCGGTTGCATGGGGCGGCCTGGGACTCGGGGGCGGGGTCAGTCATATAAGGCTGTGCCCAGCGCTTTTGGAAGCAGTAAGTCCAGCCCGAGGCTAAGGTGAGAGCGTCTGCCGGGACAGTGTGGCTGGACCCACGTGGCAGGTGCGAGGCAGGGTCACTGCGGATGGGAGAGAAGGCGTAGAGGCCTCAGGCCTTGTGGGGTGTCACCTAGAGATGCCCCAGGAGGGCTGGGGGGCCGGGGTGTTTCCAGTGAAGCCAGTTGGCATCCTGGCCGCTCTCTCCGAGTGGAAGGCAGAGGGAAATAATTGTATTCACGCAGGGTGGATCGGGCGGAGGCCGTCAAGCTAGCCGGAAGGGGCTGTGCTGTCAACCAGCGAGCGCAGGTGGCCTGGTGTAGACCCCGGGAGGCTGGGCGGGGACGCTGGGCGGGGACCTGGTTGAGGACCTGGGCGGGGACACTGGGTGGAAACCCTGGGTGGGCACGCTGGGCGGGGACTCTACAGGGCTCTCCCTCTGGGTAGTCACATTCACTTGTTGAGTTGGGTGTCCATCTCCTCTGCATGTGGATTTTACTGACTTCTTATAATTGTCCTTGGTAGAAATCAGTGATAGTTTATTCAGAACTGGGGATGAGCTCAGCATAGCTGACACAGGCTGAAAATAATTCCTATAGTTAAGAGAGCTGAGGAATTTCCCCAGTCCATGCTCGGAGAGTTAGTTTGCTGAATTGGTGGCTTTCTGAAAGCCTCTGCTCTTCTGGCATGTCTGTCGTCATAAGACAATATTTCTGCCTGTGGTACATATACCTCTGTGGGATCCTTAGGTGAGAGAGGAGTGGCATATGATGGAGGGTTCTGAGAGCATCAGTATGTCTGCCTCTGCTGATTGGCTTTTACCATTTTTATTTTGAGGAGGTGTTAACCACCGAAGGGAGGTAGAATGTTTTTCCCCACCAGAGGAGGCAGCGACCACGTCTCCTCTATGGAGGCATTCAAGAGCCGTCCAGCTGAAGCAGCATCACTGTCTGAGGTAAATACCTGGGGTTCACCATCTTGCACCAAGAAGATTAAAGACATGGACACATGTGAGTGGGTTGAGGAGCGGAAATTTTAATAGGCTGAAGAAAGGAGAGAGGAGAGCAGCTTTCTCTCTCTTTCTAGAGAGAGGCATCCAAAAGGGAAAAAGCCGGCCTGAGGTGGACCACAGCAGACTTGATAGGCAGGCTTGAGGAGGCGGCGTCTGATTTACACAGGGCCCACAGATTGGTCTGATCAGGTGTGACGTTTACATAGCGCTCGGGGAAGGCTGGTCGTCCCACCCTAATCTTATTAAACAAATGGGCTTTCTACTTGGCCAGTACCATCTTGTCTGCTCCTTACTATACACGCGGGTGGCAAAGACAGGAGAAGATGGAGCCACCGTTTTGAACGTGTCTATTCCCAGGTAACCTTTCTCTGTTGGCACAACCACCAGTATTAGCCTATGCAAGCTTCCAGCTTGCTTGTCTGTGCCTGCAGCTTGATTTTACAGGTTGTTCTTTGTTAGAAAAGAAAATGATTTGGGGCATTCCTTTTAATGCTTTTCATTAAAAGGAAAACCTTACCAAGGACTTCCTTATTCTGTCTGCCTAAATAATTTATTTTTAACTCTTCTATCACAGCTCGGAAGGCACAATCCACATAGGTCTGCATGGTCCACCGAGCTGCATACCCACGGGGCCAGCGGGAGGTGGGCAGCTGCTGGGCTCTCTTCTGAAGCAGGTGAGTATGGAGTCCCCTGTTTGTCTGCAAAGAAACAGACTGCAGACATTGCTGCAGTCATGGTCTCGGCAACGTCATCCCTGATCTAGTGGAAGGCCAAGGTCTCTTTCTAGCAACTACATAAGTAGAGATGGAGGAGAACACAAAACAGGAAGACAATTTTTCCTTTTTCTCTCATTTTGGGCCTCTTTTAATTACGAATGCTGACCTTTGTCAGGGAATCATTTTTAAGAAACCTTTCCTTCGTGGGGAGGAAAGTTATGCAGGTGGTTTATCCCAACCTGATTTCTTGACCCAAGTTACTGGGCGAGTTTTCTCGCCTGCATTGAATGCTGAGCCACACGGGAAGGAGAAGATTGTGCTTTCGCTCTACTTATTGTAATGGGAGCATTATTTTCTGATGGTTGTAAGACATTTGTCAAGCGATACAACCTACCCAATTAGGAGACTATCTGAAGAATCATAGCAATATTCAAAAGCTCCTCTCTAGTCTCCAAATGTAATGTAAACTTTTTTTTCTTTTCTTTTTTTACAGACAGGATCTCACTCTGTTGCTGAGGCTGGATCACAGCTCCCTGCAACCTTGAACTCTCCCTCAAGCAATTCTCCCCACTCTGCCTTCCAAAGCACTAGCATTATAGGCCTAAGCCACCACTCCCATCCACTGTAGTGTAAACTGTCTCCTTCAATGTTTCCAATAGTTGCGGAGCAGATCAGATAAGGGTTCTTCCTGTCTGTTGCTTCAAGTTTCATTCTCTCTTTAAACAATACAAGGTTGGCTTCCATGGTTCCTTCTTAAAGAATGTTGAAGGTGTGTCTTCAGATTCATTTAGTGTTCGTGGAACCCCAGGGAAAGCTGATGTAAAAACCTCTTTTTTCTCCCATATGTCTCAAAAAGTTGTATTTTCTGGGTCCAAGGGATCTGCAAGCCTCCTAAAGGCATTTCCATTGTCACTACCACCAGGTGTGAACTGTAATCTGGCACGTATAGTTCCAAGAACTGTCATAATAGATGCTGAAGAAACATTGTGAAGTTAACTCGCTGTTACCAACTGTGAAGTCATTAGCTAGAGGAATCTTGGGCGGTCTGAAATCTGAGATACTGTGGAAAGAACAGAAAGATCCTGTATCTTTCCTATAATTGTTCTACTGGAAGTTGTCATTTTACACAGGAGACATTCTGTTTTATTTATTTTCTTTTGAGACAGGGTCTCACTCTGTCGCCCAGGCTGGAGTGCAGTGTTGTTACCACAGGTCACTGGTGCCTCCACTGCCTGAGGACTGCTCAAGCAATCCTCCTGCCTCAGTCCCCTGAGGAGCTGGGGCCACAGGCCTGCACCACCATGCCTGGCTAATTATTTTTATTTGTAGAGACAAAGTCTATCTTGCCTAGGCTGATCTCGAACTCCTGGGCTCAAGTAATCCTCCCGCGGTGGCTTCTCAAAGTGCTTGGGATTACAGATGTAAGCTACCATGCCCGGCCTCACAGGAGACATTTTTGATGTCCCTCTTGACAGTCTACAAAAGTCTACAAATCTTTTTTTTTTTTTTTTTGAGACAGGGTCTTGCTCTGTCACCCAGTCTGGAATGCAGTGGTGCCATCATAGCTCACTACAGCCTGAGCTGTACTGAGCTCGAGGGATCTTCCCGTCTCCGCCTCCTAAGCAGCTGGGACTACAGGTACTTGCCCCCAGGCCCAGATAATTTATTTAAAAACTTTTTTTGTAGAGACAGGGTCTCACTATGTTGCCCAGGCTGGTCTCAAACTCCTGGCCTCAAACAATCCTCTACCTCAACCCCCCTAAGTGCTGGCATTACAGGCATCAGCTGCCATGCCTGGCTACAAATCTTAATGTTTTCCCCATGGCTTCTTTTTCTGGCGTTCTTTTCTCAGGTAATGGAAGTGGGCAGAGAATGATCCTTTCCCTAGGCTCCAGTGTGTAAGAATTAAAGAAAGAGGAAAGAAACACAATGGCTTGATGGTCGAGGACAGGTTTATTTTAAAGAAAACAAACCCAAGAGTGGCTTCTGGCTGAGTTAGATCAGAGGCATGCTCTCTTACAGACTAAGAGTTTTTAAGGATTCAGGGTGGGAGAGTTTATCAGAGGCTTGGACTGCTTCTGTGTCTCTTTAGGTGTGCTTATCTGGGAGGGAGTTGTGTGTCTGTTTCCATACATCTTCCTGCAGCTGCAGGCATACCCCCAGGTCTGCTTTTAGCTTCCCTATCTTAGTGCACCTGAAGGGAAAGAATGTGCTTATTAAGGCCCACTGTTATACTGGGGCCCAATGTATGAGGGTGAAGTTTGGCAATTACCCAAGAGACTTTCCCCCCACCTCCCTCTGTGCCTGAGCTGTCTCATCTATGTTTTACTGTCTGCTCTTTCTGTCTGCTTGTTGTTAGAAGAGAAGTGATTTTCTTGAAATGCATGAGGCTGGAAAGGGAGCTGGCACTTAAAGTGGCGGTGTTTGTCCGAGAGGATGGTGCTCCTGCTCTGTCACAGTGGGCATGGGGATTCAGGCCACTGCCACCGAATTTCAAGAGCCCAAGCACAGAGCCCAGAACTAAATTGTGAGGGTTTAAAAAAAAAAAAAGCTTTATTGAAGTATAATTGACATACAATAAACTTGAATATTTAAAGTGTACAATTTATGCGTTTGGGCATTTGTATATACCCCTGCAACCATCAGCACACTGAAGATAAGGAATATACCCATTACCCCTGAAAATTTCCCCATGCCCTTTGGAGCCCCTCCCTTCAACCCCTCAAATACTTAATGCGCTTTTTCCCGAAAGGCAAGAAGAAAGCTTCCCTACACATTTATCAAGGCTGTTATAATCCTGACTCCCAAACAAGGTAAGGAAATTGTTAGACACTTAGAGAACACTTTCAACTATTGTATTCAGATGTTAAAATCCTCAGTAAAATTCCCATAACAGTTAATTGAACAAACCAATTATGCAAAAACATACAATCAACTATAATTGCACCCTATAGACTCCCCTTTTTATTCTCTAATGTGTTATATTCCACTAAATCTTTCTTCATCTTGCCAGTTTTTCTTCTAATTTCCCTGCAGCTATAATTTTGGCTGATGCTATAGTTTGAATATTTGACCCTCCAAACCTCATGTTGAAATTTAGTCCCCAGTGTTGGAGGTGGGGCCTGGTGGAAGGTGTTTGGGTCATGGGGGTGGATCACTCATGAACGGCTTGGTGCTGTTCTCATGGCAATGAGTGAGTTCTCACATAATCAGTTCCCTCCAGAGCTGGTTATTAAAGAGAGCCTGGCATCTCCCCTCTGTCTCTCTTGCTTCCTGTCTCATCATGTAATGTCTGCACACACTGGCTCCCCTTCTGCCATGAGTGGAAACTCCTGGAAGCCCTCACCAGAAGTAGATGCTGTTGCCAGCAGAACCACGAGTCAAATAAACCTATTTTTATAAATTACCCAGCCTCAGGTATTCCTTTAGAGCAACACATATGGACTAAGACAGTGATGTTCTCAATTTACCCTGACATTGCATGCAGGCCGGCTGTTTCCTCTTAAGTTCCCGGAGTGGGAATGTGTTCCGGACAAAGGATGCTAGTGAGTGGCAGTCCCCTACATTTCAGAAGGAGCAGAACAATGAAAGAAGGAAGTTGTATTCAATTACAATTTCTTTAGGCCTTTCTAAAGTTTGTCAACCCCTTGAATAAGTCCATAGAAGTACCACAAGTGGGCCAGGAGTAACTTCATTTTGTGTCAAAGACAAAGACTTCTTGGACCTGGAGAATAGGGTCCAACAAATAGGCCTTCTACAATAAGGCATTCCTTTCCCATTTGGTCTGTCCATGCAGCTGTCTTAACATGATTCATGCTATTTAGGAGTGATACATGATTAAATGTTGAACATTCATCAACAGATATTTATCAATTGTTACCTTTCACCTGGACTGGATGTTGAGGTGAAAATGGAGAGAGTGCTTTATTAAAATTGCAAGGATCAAGAGGCATATGTGTTTTTAACCTTAAAACACTACAAAATGAAGGGCTAACTTGTACAGTGGGATGGAGTGAATGATATGGGCATCTGTTAAGATGCCATCTGTAACCAGGCTCTGCAGAATGTGTGCTGGCAGCCTTTGTGGTAGAGCAGCCCAGTTCACAAAGTGCTGTCACTGTGGGGATGAGACTGTGGGGATGGGTGGGTGGTGAAGGCATGGCAGATCTAACCTCTTGACTGAAGCAGAGGGACCCTGCTGTGCAGCAATGGGAGAGGAAAAAGGACAAAGTAGGTTGGGCCTGATCATGGAGAGCCCAGGGGAATTACCCCATGCCCATTTCCAGTCGGCCCCTGCTCCAAGCGACCCACTTTTCTAATGTATATCTCCATAGATTAGTTTTTCCTGCTGTTGAATTTCATGTAAGTGGAATCATGCATTGTTAAAGAAAAATTATTCATGACACTCATTAAAGATGATAAGGCAGATTTTAACATGGGGGACCTCCATAATGGGGTTTTGCAGTAGGGAAGAAAGGTTTGGCTCCACTCTGAACACAACAAGGACAACTGGGGGTTTCTAGCCAAGGAGCAGGGTGGGGCTCAGTGGATGGAAAGTTACTAAGAGGAAACATCAAAGCTAGGGAGGTTTTTGTTAGAGGAGCTCAACAGGATCTTTGCTCAAGGCAGGCCAGTATGGGAAGATATGAAGAGTGGGGGGTGTGGAATTTGATCAGATAACAATGGTGGGGGATTTTCGATAAACTGACCCAACAAGATTGTAACTCACCTAAATGAACCAAGGACAGTCTAAAGTTTAAGCTTTGAGGGCTTAGAGGGCCTCACTGGAGTTAGGTCAAAGAAAACCTTTGTCAGTATGGACTCATGTTTGACTTTTTGCATGCAACATGTTTTTGAAATTCATATTGTTGCATGTGCTCTAAATTCATTTTATTTTATTGTTGAGTAGTACTCCGTTATATGAATTAACCAAGTGTATTTAACCCTTTTCCAAGTTTTGTGTGTTATGAATAAAACTTCAGTGGACATTCTTGCACAAGTATTTGTGTGGATGTGTTTTAATTTCTCTTGGGTAATATCTTAGGAGTTGATTTCTAGGTTATAGGGTAGGTACATGGTTATGTTTATACTATATTGCCAGTTTTCCAAAGTAGTTCTGCTACTTTATACTCCCAACAGCAATGTATGAGAACGCCAGTTGTTGTATTCCTTGCCAACACTTGGTATTATGTCTCTTTTTAATGTTGAGCATGGTTTTTTTTTTTTTTTTTTTTTTTCTGGAGACCGAGTCTCGCTCTGTCACCCAGGCTGGAGTGCAGTGGTGCAATCTCGGCTCACTGCAACCTCTGCCTCCCGGATTGAAGTGATTCTCCTGCCTCGGCCTCCCAAGTAGCTGGGACTACAGGCACCCACCACCACGCCCAGCTAATTTTTTGTGTTTTTAGTAGAGACGAGGTTTCACCATGTTAGCCAAGATGGTCTTGATCTCCTGACCTTGTGATGCACCTGCCTCAGCCTCCCAAAGTGCTGGGATTACAGGCATGAGCCACCGTGCCCAGCCAATGTTGAGTATTCTTGTGGTTGCATAGTGCTATCACCTGGTGGTTTAATTTGCATTTCTCTGATGACTGATGATGTTGAGTATCTTTTTATGCATGTTGTCTATTTCTATACTTTTGTGAAGTGTTCAAGTCTTTTGTCCATTAAAAAATTATCTTTTTAAAATCAGTGATTTGTTAGAGTTCTTTACATATTCTGTGAATTATACACACACACACACACAAACACACACATTCTTCACCTAATCTATAGCTTTCCTTTAACAGTTTATTGACTGAGCAAAAATATTAAATTGTATGGATCCAATTTATCAATGATTTCCTTCTATGGCTAAGGTTTTTGTGGTCCTATTGTAGTGACACAGAACTGTGTGGTAGAGAAGCCTGTTTCCAATGTCTAAGGAAATGGAGCTCAGGACTATAGCAAAGCTCACTGCTATGCAGTGATAGAAATGTTATGCAAATGCAGAGCAACTACCGAAAATGAGCTGTATGTGTTATATAACATAAAAGGTCATAAATAAGATGTCATTGCCTGGAAGACTATGCAAGTGATTGTTAGTTGGCAAAATTCAGATAAATTTTTCAAAGGTGTCCCCTCCCATGTATCCCTTTCCAACTTCTTTCTGGTCAGAGAAGGTGTAATTTACTGCTGGGAAGAAGAGAGAAATGTGTCTAATAGAGCCTCCAGCTTCCCTGGAGCTCCTGATTCTTTTCCATCTGCTGTGTGCTTTGCTGTCAAACAACATTTTGTAGATGTCTTTGGAACTGAGATAATGCCAGCAGGGTTCCAAGTTGATCTAGTGGAAGAGATTGCAACCCAGCTCAGGGCCAGAACCTTCCAGGATGGCCAGAAGGGGACAGCAGGCATTTCCTAGTCAAGAAGGTAGGAATAGATAACCTCCTAAATATGCCCTTGAAGCCATCAATTAACTAGGAATGACAGCTTTCTTAGCTATGGAACAGAAAAAATACCAGTAACAGGGCAGGAAATATTACCATAGGATGACAATTGCCATTACTCTTCCAAACCTAGCATTTGGATCCGCCAAGAAAGAGAAAGGATAGAGATAGTGCATGGGGTGCATGGGCTTAGTTATCATTCAGGGCCATTCTGTGCCAAAGTCAGGAGCTATATCCAGGGAAGTAAATTAACCCTATGGGATGAAGCTGTTTGTGCGGGGTTTGTGAACAAAAGTCGTTTGAAAAGGAATTTGGAGGAAAGAGGCTTATTCCAGTGAACAGTTTGCAAACCTGGGAGATACAGCCTTAAAGGAAGGTACATTCCAAAGTACAAAGGGAGGGCTCTGGTTTTATAGTGACAGTGCCTGCCCAGGTGCCCAATCATGTTCATTTATGCAAATAAAAGATTCAAACTTGCCTAGTTGTGATTGGTCAATACAGCTGAGCTCTGGTTGATTGGTTGATACAGCTGAGATCTCCTTGGCTGGTTCAGGTGAGCGCAGCGTGTGGCAAAGTACAGCAGAAGTGCGGGTGGTCTGGGGACTCAGGGTGACCTCTAGTCAACTGCAGATGGCTGCGTGGCTCTATTCAAAATGTAGGCCCAGCTGGCCATCTGGGTGCCTCTTGAAGGAGTGGCTCTTTAGGGTTCACCTTTGTTTACAGGTGTCAGAAACGAAGAGACTCAAGAAAAGACTGCCTGCCCTACTCACCTTGACTGAGCGCTGACGAAGACCACGGGGCCCTCTGCGCTGCAAGGGCGGAGGTGGCCCAGAAGCCCGCAGTGCCCACGTGCAGGACCCAGGGTAGGGGGTGAGGCCGGACGATGGCACCCGCCCCGCTGGTTCCCAGCCACACAGGGAGGCAAAGCAAAGGCAGCCCGCGGGCGGATGGAGCTGCAGGGGCCGAGCGTCGGCAAGCCCAGGACGGCCTGGCGCAGGGTTGCGGGCGCCCGACCTCCAGCGTGGCCCGCGGATGCAAGACAAAGCTTTAAAGCCTCCGGCCGCACAGCCACCCACTAGTCCCCAGGTATGAGGACGGTCTGAAGAACCTCTCTCTCCTCTGCCTGCTGAAGAGTTCCAAGACAAGTAAGGCAACAGCAAGGACGACACAACCACACACCGCCACAACCACACGCCACCACCACCACACACTACCACAACCACACCACACACCTCCACAACCACACACCACCAACCCCACACTGCCACAACCACACACAACCACACACCACCACCACACACCAGAACCACACACAACCACACATAACCACAACCACACAACACCACAACCACAACCACACACCAGCACCACAACACACAACCACAACCTCCCTCTGAGCTGCTCAGGCTGCTTTAACCAACCAGTTTGGAATCCAATCAAAATCCTCTGCTGCCGTCTAGCGACGAATACCGGGAAAGCAGAATATATAGTAAGAAAGCTGTTTAAGAGGCAAAAAGTGATCGTCTAAAGGTTTGCAAGTGCAAGCCAGAAGAACCTGGTCATCCTGTGTTCATGACAGTGCCTTGAACTGGGTCACCCCGCACTTGCTAAGGGGCTGGTGTGGGATGTGACAAGAAGAAAGTCGTCAAGGGGACTCCAAGATTTCTGACTTGAGAAACTGAAAAAGCCACTGTTAACTGAGATTTTTTTTTTTTTTAATGTGGGTGGAACGGATTTGGGCATAAAGATTTAAAAATCCAGTTTGAAACGTGCTAAATTGGAATGTTTAAAAGGGAATACTTGCTAAACTGAGCAATAATTATGCTGTCTCCAGGTTAGCACGCGTCCCCTTTTAGGTCAAAGGATACAGAGTAGCAAGTATGTAGGAGGAACAAATCAAAAGATCTAATGAACAACATCGGGACTGTCGTTTCTATAGTGTGTTGTGTTAAGGATTTTTGCAAAATCAGTAGATCATAGCTGCTCTTGCCACAAGGCGGAAAAACGGAAAAATGGAAAAACGGGTAACTATGTGAGATGATGGATATATTAATCTGTTGTACTCTAGTAACCATTTCACTAGATACATAATATCGTGTTGAACACCTTAAATATACACCACCAGATTTATTTTTTAAAATAAAAATGAAACATGGCTTGAAAACCAAAAAAATTAGCTGTACTATAATTTGATATGTTAAACATTGTCATGCTGTTATTTGATGTAACTACGCCCATAATTCCCAGGATAAAAATATTGGAGTCGTATTAAGATTACTTGGACATTAAGTAATTGGATTGGTCAAGAGGTGAAAGGGAGATTACTGTCCCATAGAAAAAGTCAAATGCTGGTTCTCATATATATATCACTTTGCATATTTGTATGTTAAGTGGATTGAACCTACATCACATGGTGGAAGGACTGCATAAAAGGTTAACATAATCTTTTCTCTATCTCTGTGAAAATCTAACTGCAGGCTGTCTACCTCCTTTCCCCTGGGAACCTGGTGACATGAAATGTTTGCTTGAGAGCATTGCTTTTAGGAAAAGAATGGCCGATCTTAGGATGTATCTTTTCAAACTATGGTCTTTGTAACCTTTCTGTCCTGAAACAGAAAAGACTTCTCCTCAACTGGTTGGGTAGCGCAATGTATTGACATAGAGTTCTGGTTCTAGCTCCGGTAGGCACAGAAAGACCACCGAGATTAACTCCCCAGACTCATCCCTCTGTAAACTGCTGAGGACAACAACTGTGCTTGGCCCTGCCTTACTCCCGGAAGTGCACTTTGAAATCTCTGCATGACATCACAGCGTGTTCAAAAGATGAACAAGTGACTGCTATTTGGTGTTGTGACCAAGGAAACTCTCCAGACTTGTAAATTCATATTCTTCTTCAAATAGAGGTGGCTAAGAATAGCATCCCGGGATTCTTTATCATTTATGAATCCTTTTGCTTACAACCGTTGGCAAAATGGCGTGGGGTGACGTTAACTTGTCAAATTAATGTAGAGGGATGCTAACTGTTTATGCGCAGCATATTTTGTGCTTATCATCTGCATCACTAAATCATACTTCATGAATGATTTCATTACTGAGTCAAGAGTTGTAGGGTTAGAAATACTGTAACTGATCATGTAATTGACAACAGAATAACTGTGGATTACTTGTTAGAACTGGATCATGTTGGTAACCATTTGCAAAATAGCTGTTGTTGAAACCGAACTGTTACTGTTCGAAAACAAAAAGTTGCAGCATTGAAAGATTTATGGAAGCAGAAAATAGCTTCCACAACCCTGTTAGGCAATAGATTTTTAGATTGGAGAATTGGCGGACTATTACTGATGGGTATGGTAGTACCGATTTTGGTACTTATACATGCAGATTGTTATGTGATTGGATTGGTGCCCTGGGGTGGTGGAGTCTACACTGTAGCACAGGCTTGCACCTGCACAGTGATAAAAATGTTACGAGATGGAAGAGCAAAGCTCAGAATGAATTATCATTAGGTACAAGTTCATAAACACATTGTAAGAGTACACATACGGTAAAATCTTTCAAAATCATACCCCTACCAATTCTCCTCACTGCTTACCCCCGTCTGTAGGTATTGAGAGAAAGTATGATTTATGGTGGCAGAGATAAATGACATATCCAAGGGCCCTGCGTTGCCCCAACTCCTGATTCTCTTCCATCTGTTTGCATGTGTTGTTGTCAAAGAAATAATATTTTGAAGAGAACTTTGGAATTGAGAAGATGTCTTGCAACGTTGTCTGAGGAATATTACTTACTTCAAAGTCATAAAGATAACCTCCCCAGTCTTCTTCTGGAAGACTATACTTTTAGCTTTCACATTAAAGCCTGTGATCTAACTTGCATATATTGTACTTTTGTGAAATAGAAGTCCAGGTTCATCATGGTTTTTTTTTTTCCCAAAGGGATGTCCCGGTGTATTAGTCAGAGTACTCCAGAGAGAACCAATCATATATATGGGAAGGGATTTATTCAGGGGAATTGGCTCCCAAAATCAACGAGAGGTGGAAAATTCCCACCATAGGGGAATCTGCAAGCTGAAGACCAGAGAAACCCATAGCTCGGCTCATTCTGGAAGCAGCCCCAAGTCTGAGACCTAAAGTCTGAGAGCCCCTCGGGAGTCTTGTGGTGCAAGTCACAGAGTCCAAACCTGAAGAACCTGGAGTCTGGTAGGGCAGAAGGAAAAAAGGCATCTGTCTCTGGAAGGGAGAGAGAGAACAGAGAGGAGACAGCAGAGAATTCCCCTTTCTTCCACCTGTTTGTCCCAGCCAAACCTCCAGCCCATTGAATTGTGCCCACCCATATTGAGGGTGGGGCTTCTCTCAGTTCACTGACTCACAGGCGAGTCTCCTCTAGAAACAGCCTAACAGAAATACCCAGAGACAGTGCATCACCAGGCAACTAGGCATTCCTCAGTCCAGTCAACCTGACACCTAAAGTTAATCATCACACCCGGGAATCACAGCACTGTATTTTAAAGAGAATTTCCATTCCCCACTGAATTGCCTTGGCAGTTTGTGAAAAATCAACTATGTATGTATGCGTCTATTTCTTAACTCTAGTCTGTTCCAGTGATCCTTCTGCTTATCCTTACACCAATACCACACTGTACTGATAACTGTAGCTTTGTAATAAGTCTGGAAACAAGTAATATAAGTCCTTCAAATTTATCGTACTTTCTCAAGACTCTTTGATTATTCTAAGTCCTTTGAATTTCCGTATGCATTTTAAAATCAGCTTCTCAATTTCTACAACAAAAAAAGACTCCTGGAATTCTGATTTGGATTTCGTTGTGTCTACAGGTCCATTTGGGGGAGAATGCATGCCTTAACAACATTGAATATTGCAATACAGGAACGTGGACTATCCTTCCATTTACTGAGTTCATATTTAATTTCCCTTGGCAATGTTTGTAGTTTTCAGTAATTAGGCCCTGCTTATCTTGCTCTAAATTTATTTTTCTATATTTTATATTTGTTGATGCTATTGTAAGTGGTATTGCTTTTATAATTTTCTTTCCCAGCTGTCTTTATAGCTAATACATGGAACACAACTGATTTTTGTGATTGACCTTGTGCCTTGTGAAGCTGCTAAATGTACTTATTACTTCTAGTAATTGTAACTATTGATTACTTATGGCTTTCTTTACATAATCATATAGTCATATCATCTGCAAATTAAACAGTTTCATACTTCTTCCTTTCAACACTTTTTGCCTTTTCTTTTTCTTGACTTACAGCGCTAGATAGGATCTCCTGTACAGTGTTAAATAAAAATAGGAAAAACAGACACTCTTACCTTATTTGTTATCTCAGGGCACGTTTATTCAATCTTGGCACTACTGAATAATTCTTCTTTTTTTTTTTTTTTGACAGAGTCTTGCTCTTTCTTCCAGGCTAGAGTACAGTGGTGCCACCTTGGCACACTGCAACCTCCGCCTCCTGGGTTCAAGTGATTCTCCTGCCTCAGCCTCCCAAGTAGCTGGGATTACAGGCAAATGCCACTGTGCCTGGCTAATTTTTGTATTTTTACTATAGATGAGGTTTCACCATGTTGGCCAGGCTGGTCTCAAACTCCTGACCTCAGGTGATCTGCCCACCTCGCCCTCCCTAAGTGCTGGATTACAGGTGTGAGCCACCGCGCCAGGCCCAGGCTGGATAATTCTATGTTGCAGGGCTGTCCTGTGCACTGGAGCGGGATCAGCAGCATCCCTGGCTTCTCACCCATCAGAGGCTGGCAGCATCCTCTCACGCCCCGGTGCTGAAAAACTGATAAGTTACTCTTCAAAAACAAGAACATTTGGAAACAACATCGGTTTCCAGGTATTGCCAAATATTTCCTTAAGGCAAAATCATCCCTAGCATCACTGTGCCCTTGGAATAGTGAAGTAGAAGAATTCTCATACAATGTTTTTAGTTTTTTTCTCTTTATTTCTTATGGATAAAATGCAACATACATATTCTACTTAACAATGAAAGCTGATGGAACAGAAGAATCAATATTAGCTTTTGAGATGGGCAAAGACATAAAACATTGGCGTTTTCTAGTGTCATGATTTGTCAAATTAGTTTTAGAAAATAGTTGGTAAATGTCTGACAGAAAAAAATTTTTAATTAAGGTGTATGTAAGTGTGTAAAACTGTTAAAAATGCTTGAAAACAAACATTTTAATCCCATGACATATTATTTTTATTTGTGGAAAACAGTTAAAAACTGCCTGTCAGAGAAACTATTTAATCCTTTAACATAAAGTCTTTTAAGGCACATAAACATTTATGAAGAACAGTTGAAATATGCTCGCTAGGAAGAAGGGACATTTTAACTCATATGAGCTTTCAGTCAAGTGAAATACGTGGACAGCAGATGAAAATGCCTGAAAGAAAAGATGGACATTAATTCCTACTCCTGAACGCTTGCATCTGCACATGGTTAGAAACTCAAGACAATGAGCAGGACACAGAATTCTCTCAGAGTATACCACATAGATCACAGTTACACAGTATTTCTGGTTTTAAAGCTTTGCTGAAAATATTTTTCATCATTAAATGTATATTATTAAACATACACTGAAAGCTAACTGAAGTGATTTAAATAATAAGATTCAGGCACAGTTTGTAACAACAATTGTTAAAGTCCATTCATTTTTTTTTTCCCAAGAAAGGCAAGTGAGGTAGTTTATACTGTATAGACGTTGTAAATAGTTGATAATCCAGTTTGTTTAGAGATCATTGACTCCAAGAATCATATTTCCAAGTGAGCTGCTTAACAAAGGGATCTTCTTTTGCAGGATGGAGGAAAACAATGAATCAACTCTAGGATTTTTTTCTGAATAAGCATTCCTAAAATGTTAGTTCCCTCTAACACTTTCTCCTGGAGGACATTATTTTCCCAAGTGTATACCAAGAGCACTAGGAATGGGTGAGGGGGAGAAGCTCTTAAGGATAGCATGTAGAAGCCCAGTATCTGCCCTTCTTTTGTTTGCAAAGATATGAGTCTTTTTTATGAATTTATTAAATTTTTAAAAAACAACTCTTGATAAGGCAAAAATTCTTTCAATACTTAGATGACAGGCATCTTTGCATTTTAACTGTAGGGGTTTGTTTATTCTTAGGAATAAAATTGGTCAAAAGAACCTCCACACAAATATTAGTCTGTGTATCTACTAAAAATTCTTCTCTAATGAATTTGCCCTCTGATTAAGAATCAAAGTTATATCCAATGATACTAGTATTGACATGGCCTTCCATACATACATATATACGTATGGAAGTTGAAAGTTGCCACACATCCTTGAATAAACTAGAGTGATTATACTTACTGACTCAGCGAAGTCCCTGCCATTTAAAACCACATGAAAGTAGACAAGAATTTGTATTTTACTTGTTACCTATTAGGGATTTATTTGAAACTGGTGACAAGCTGAAGTAAATCTTAAAACCTTCAGAATTTACTCATAGGTTCTAATGTGTTTTCAGTCAAAAGAAATAAAAATTCTCAAATTAAAAAATTAAATGAACAGATTTGTGAATTTTCTACATAAACACAACAGAATTGAACCATTCAAATGCAAGGAAATACACTGAGAAATATCATTCAGTTTTCATATATACGCAGAAATGTAAGGTAGCTATTTGAAGAATTTCTTCCATACGTGGTCATAAATTACTGCCGTTTTACATCTTGGGATGTGGCAATTACATAAAGTAAAATGTTTACCCTTGTCTGAATTGCAAAAATGATAAAAGCATTTTTTTCAGAGTCTAGAAAGTCATTATGTAAAGTCATGTGCCACCAATTACCCATACATTAAAAATGAATAAAATGTAGGAATAAACATAAACTTATACAGAAGGCACGTTTTCTTTTAATGGGTTTTCAGGCAAAAAAAAAAATTCTCAGATGAACAAATTAAATGAATGGAACAAAATTCTAAATGCCAGAAAGTTATCTATATATTTTAATACAAGTGATGTTTTGTATAGATATCAAGGTGTAATAATAGTATATACAAGATTTCTTCTACAAATGGGCTTAAATATTATCACGTTTTGAGACTTGCGAAGTAGACAAAAAGATGTTTTCTGTATTTGTGAGCAACTTTGTCTACTGCTTGAATTGTTAAGAGAGAGTCATTTGGGTCTCATTAAAACCAATATAAATTCATCAAAATCTCAATCTATAGATTCCAAAAAAGCCAATGTATATATCTGGGATAAATGAGAACTCTGTCCCCATTTCCAGCTAATCTGAGAAGGACTATATCCATAGTCTCGAGGAAAGTCAGAGCTGTCCAATCCCTCAGCACCTTTTAGATTTGCTCCAAATTAGAAACGTGGGGACTATGTGTTCTGGGCAATCACAGGTCTGGAAAATGGCTCTGCAGGCTCTTGATAGTGAGACAGTGGTCATCTTACCAGACATGCATCTGATTTTAAGCCTCAGGCTAATCCACAATGCTCGGCCATGCCTATGATTAACAAACAAAAGCAAAATCTGCTTTTATAGTTTAGGAAACCTGGATAGAACAGTATTTTTCAGCATTCTTGGATAAAGCAGTTCTGCATTTTTAAATTGGGACTGCAGAAGTGACTGTCTATAGTTGTGAAATATAAAAAATGGTATGTTTGATCAGAAAAGGAAGCCCGTGCCTGGCACTTGGAAAGATACTGAGCATCATAACCGTAATGAGAAAATGTAGGCTCTGTGAATGTTAACTACAAATCAGGTTAGGAAAGCATATGACACCCTTTGTCAAACTAAGCTTCACTAGGAGGACCTGTGCTCATAGAAGAATATGCTTTAAAAGTATCAATTTTCCACAGTCGATGATGGAGAAAAGTTCATTTGCACCAGAATGCTGATAGTCACAATACACAGCCTGACATATATAACAATACAGTTTTCTGTAAACAGAAGTTCTTCCTCTTCCAATTCAGGAGTCAGTCAGAGCATAAATATTGCATGTTTCACTTTAGAAACTGATTCATTTTAGAAAGCAGATCTGGATTATTTTGCAGGGTAGAAATGAAGGCTATTTCTGGCATTCTTGCTCAAAAAGTCAATATATGTACATTAAGTATAAAAAAGGGTCTCTTTCACCTCTTTTGTTTCGTAGCATTGGCTACATAAAGAACATTGCTTATCCCTAGGTCTAGGGCCAAGTTCATTTCTGCTAGGAAGTTGAAATACTAGAAGTGATTAGAGTTCCATATTCTAGATTGGTCTTTCTTCTGGAAGGACCACATCATCTTTCCTTTACTTTTATAAAAAAAAAAGTCATGAGAAAGCTTCAGTTGAATTGGTGAACCGGCGCCTCTTCCATAGTTCATGCTTACAATGCCCACTGCTGAGGGCCAGAAATACTGAGAATGCTGTAGGAACAAATACGTCAAACACAGTGTTGTTTTTTCCCTACCAAAATGTAGGATCTTTTTGGCATATAATACATGATAGCAGCTCTCTCGAGGATATTTTAAGAACTTTGTTGGGGTTTAATCACCCATTCTGCTTGAGGATTTATACGATATACATCCAATATATAAGCATCTGGATCCAAGCAATGCTCTCCTAAAAGAAAGAGAAAGATCAGAGAATTAGTGTACATTTGTGTGTGTGTGCGTGCGCACACATATGTGTCTGTGTGTGTTTGTGAGGTTCAAATAAGGTTAATATAGTTTTCTTGGCCAAAGTAAGTAGACATATGTTAAGGTTTCTTAACAAACTCTTCTTCCCTCTTCTCCCTCTCTCCTTTCTTTTTTTTTTCTTTCTTTAAGACTGTGAAGTATGGGTATATCAAACAAATCTCATGTGAAATTTTGGAAGAAAGCAGACATACCATCACAGGCAAATTGTTCCCTTGCTTCATGGCATCAATTAGAAAATTATGGCAAGGGCTGGGCGCAGTGGCTCACACCTGTAATTCCAGCACTTTGGGAGGCTGAGGCAGGTGGATCACTTGAGGTTAGGAGTTTGAGACCAGCCTGGACAACATGGTGAAACCCCATGTCTACTAAAAATACAAAAATTAGCCAGGTGTGGTGGTAGGCGCCTGTAATTCCAGCTACTGGGGAGGCTGAGGCAGGAGAATCACTTGAACCTGGGAGGCTGAGGTTGCAGTGAGCCAAGATCGCACCATTGCACTCCAGCCTGGGTGACAGAGTGAGATCCCGTCTCAAAGAAAAGAAAAGAAAAGAAAAATATGGCAAGAACTTGTTTCAGGTATATTAGCATATAAACTCATCATTTATATGCTAATACATGTCCTCCAGTGGTTTTATAGATAGGTACTTGACCAGAGCTAGAGAAGATTCAAGTCAAGTTCATTTTAGGAATGGTCATTTTGTTTCTTTACTATGGACGTAAAGCCCATGGGCAGGAAATCCCAAAATGGTAACAACTAAAAGATCATTTCCTGGGGCAAACGTATTCGAAAGTCTTTACGTGCAGTGTGCTTGAAATGTATGCTGAAGTCTCAAACAAAACTACCAAGAGCTGGCCGAGCGCGGTGGCTCACGCCTGTAATCCCAGCACTTTGGGAGGCCGAGGTGGGCGGATCACAAGGTCAGGAGATCGGGACCATCCTGGCAAACTCAGTGAAACCCCATCTCTAGCAAAATTAGCCGGGCGTGGTGATGGGCGCCTGTAATCCCAGCTACTCCGGAGGCTGAGGCAGGAGAATGGCGTGAACCCGGGAGGCGGAGCTTGCAGTGAGCCGAGATCGCGCCACTGCACTCCAGCCTGGGCGACAGAGCGAGACTCCGTCTCAAAAAAAAAACAAAGCAAACAAAACAAAACAAAAAAACAAAACTACCAAGAGCTGTGTGAGTGCTAGGTTGCTTGATTCATTCACTTACCACATATTAATAATGCGCCAGGCACTATTCTAGGGGCTGGGTTTACAGCCATGTCTAAGAGCAGCACAAGGCAACTAACAAACAAACATGATATCAAGTAAGTCCACTGGTGATAAGAACATGAGAGAAAGACCAAGCATGGAAGGCATGTTCGGGAGGGTGCGAGGAAGGAGGGTCTCGCTGAGAGGCTGATTTATCCGCAAAGACCTGGCAGAGACCAGGGACTGAGAAGTGAGGCTGTCTGGGGGGAGGGCATCCTGGGGAAAAGTCAGAGCAAATGCAGAGGCCCCAGATCCAACCCTGTCAGGTGATTGGATTTACAGGTTTAGTGTTTAAAGGGACCCGTGGGATAGAAATCTCAGTGGCATCCACATACAGGTGTATTTAAAGCAGTGAGATGGATTGAGCTCGCCAAGGAAGGCAAGTGCAAATACAGGAGAGTTCCGAGGACTGAACCCTACCGTTCTCCAACCTTGAAAGGCTGAGAGGACAAGAAATAAGGGGCACAGGGTCTCCAGCAGCGCAGCTAGGAAAAGTGGGAAGACAGTCAGAAGCTTAGGGCATCCTTGAAGTCAGGTGAAGAAAGTGTTCTTCAAAGGAGGGAAAGATCAACTCAGGCAGTTCTAAAAACAGACGAGTTGTCTGGTGACCATGACAAGAGGGTGATTCTGGTGAAGTGCTGAGGGGCAGAGTGTGCCTGGAGTGGCTTCAAGAGATAACAAGGAGGAAGAAATTGGAGCGTAGACACTGATTCAAGAAGCTTTTGCTGTAAGGTGGAACAGAGAAATGGGAGTAGACTTAAAGGGGGGTGAAGAAATAATTTTATAAAGGTGAGGGAAATTGCCAATTTTTAAAATGCAGATGGAAATGCTACAGTTGGGAGGGAAAGGCTGATGGTGTGGGAGAGTGGAGGGTGCTGGTGAGAGGAGGCACTGCCCTCAGTGGGAGCACGGAGCACCCATGGGGCTGTGAGGATATTCACAGACCAAGCGGGGAAGTTTTGCTGATTCCTCCCCTGCTCCCCCAGGGAAATAGAAAGAATGAATTTGGGAGGAGAGTTAAAATAGGGAAGTTAATCAAAATGGTGTCATGCTTCTGAAAGTTCTTACAGTATTCTCTTTGTTTTGCAGAGTCTCCAGAGAGACTTTCCAACTTCAAATCACACTGAAAAGACCGAAGCCAGCCAGGCGCAGTGGCTCACACCTGTAATCCCAGCACCTTGGGAGGCCGAGGCGGGTGGATCACTTGAGGTCAGGAGTTCGAGACCAGCCTGGCCAACATGGTGAAACCCCGTCTCTACTAAAAATATAAAAATTGTCTGGGCGTGGTGGCGGGCATCTGCAATCCCAGCTACTAGGGAGGCTGAGGCAGGAGAATCACTTGAACCCGGGAGGCGGAGGTTGCAGTGAGCCAAGATCACTCCACTGCACTCCAACCTGGGCAACAGAGCAAGATTCTGTCTCAAAAAAAAAAGAAAAGAAAAGAAAAGAAAAGAAAAGCAAAGAAAAGAAAAGAAAAGAAAAGACCCAAGCCTACTCCATATCAACATTAAAATATTCTCATTTAAATTTTGAAAACATTTTAGAAAAGCTGTGCAACTGTTCCCACATGAGATAAAAATATCAGAAACCTACTGATTTTTAGTTTTTATCTGAGAAATTCATAAAACATACCTTTATGATTATAGCAACATATTTCTTTTAGAGTAATCAGAGAATTTAGCAGTAGAAATTATTACAGTATGCTTACCTATATTTCCTCCAATTTCATATAACCTTTGGTTCTGAATCTTAATACATTCTGATGAACCATGACTGAAAAAAATGAGAAAATAATATAATTTTAGTACTTTTTCCTGATCTGAGGTAAAAATGCATGTTAAATAACCAGGCAACAAACAATTCATTCTGCCTTGACGAAATGTGTCCCACAAAACTGTATCATGACTGAAGTTATGATAAAAATAATTGTTTTTCCGTCTGACACAGACAAGAAGCTGAGGCCCAGGGAGGACGGGACTGCTCCCACCAGGATGGGCAGCCGCAGTGCTCCACTACATAGAGCCCATTCAGGCCACAGCTGCCTGCTCCATTTCAGGTTAGTTACTGTTACTGACACATCAAGGCTGGACACGGAGCAGCTGCGTGTTTAGTACTGCCTTGTCATTGGCCATATTACTCTCAATCCAAAAGAAGTCAGGTTTTATTTCTGCATTTGCCAAAAAATTGAATGGAATTATCAGCCCATGTCACATTTCTCAGTTTGCCTCAAGCTTTGCAAGGTGTCTAAGGCTGACTTCATTGCAAGTCTCTGCCCCATAATAAAAGCAAGTCACGGCCGGACACGGTGGCTCATGCCTGTAATTCTAGCATTTTGGGAGGTTGAGGCGGGTGGATCATCTGAGGTCAGGAGTTTGAGACCAGCCTGGGTAACATGGCAAAATCCCATCTCTACTAAAAATACAAAAAATCAGCCGGGCGTGGTGGCATGTGCCTGTAGTTCCAGCTACCCAGGAGGCCGAGGCAGGAGAATTGCTTGAACCCGGGAAGAGGAGGTTGCAGTGGGTGGAGATCGTGCCATTGCACTCCAGCCTGGGCGACAGAGTGAAACTCCATCTCGAAAATAAAATAAAATAAAATAAAATAAAACAAAATAAAATAAACTATAAAATAAAATAAAAGCAAGTCACAGGAAACTATCGCTCAATTTAATTTTTCCACCCTAGACTAGAATGCTGGGTTAGAAGAGTCTGAATGACCATCGCTGACCTCCATCCCCATCAAGGAGTGACTTTCAGCTTGGTTACTTCAAATGATTGTCCTGGCCTCTCCACTGTGAGGAAGATGCAAGTGTGCCCTCTTTTTTTGTTGTTGTTTTTTGTTTAATTGAACTTTCATTTGAGGTGCTGTAGATTCACACGTAGTTTTAAGAAGTAATACAGGTGCATCCTGTGCACCCTACACCGATTTCTCTCAATAGTAACATCTCACAAAACTCTAGTGCAGTATCATGACCAGAATGTTGACACCCATTCAGGGAAGATGCAGAACATTTCCAGCCCCACAAGGCACCCCCTGTTGCCTCTTTATAGCCACATTCACTCCTTCTCCCCATCCTACCCTATCTCCATCCCTCACCCCCAGCAGCACTTCCCTATTCTACATTTCTGTAAGTTGGTCAATTCACAAAGGTTAAACAAATGGAAACACACAGTATGAAACATTTTTGTATTGCCTTTTTTTCCCCACTTGGCATAAATCCCTAGAGATCTACCCAAGTTGCTGCATTTTTATTGCTGAGTAGTATTCCATGGTATAGATGGGCCAGTTTCTGTAGTCACTCACCTGTTGAAGGACACCTAGGCTTTTTTTTTTTTTTTCCAGTTTTTGACTGTACAAATAAAGCTGCTATCAGCATTTGTGAACAGGTTTGTGTGTGAACATGGTCTTCATTTCTTTGGGATAAATGCCCAGGAGTGTCAGTGCTGGGTCATACGGCAGTTGGAGATTTAGTTTTTTAAGAAACTGCCAAACTATTTTATGGAGTGACTGCACTATTGACATTCCCACCAGAAATGAATGAGTGATCCCGTTTCTCTGTATCTTTGCCTGTATTTGGTGTTGTCACTATTTTTTATTTTAGCCATTCTCACAGGTGTGTAGTAATATGCAATTGTGGTTTTAATTTCCATTTCCATAATGGCCAACGATGTTGAACATCTTTTCATGGGCATATTTGCCATTTGTTTATCTCTTTGGTGAAAAGTAATCTGTATCTCCTTAGTAAAGTGTCTGTTCATGTCTTTTGCCCACTTTCAAATTGGATTGTTTGGTTTTTTTAACTGTTGAACTTTGAGTGTTTTATTTATATATTCTAGATACTAGTCCTTTGTTGGATATGTGGTTTTGCAAATATTTCATCCCAGTCCTTAGTTTGTCTTTTCATCCTATTCACATGGTCTTTTAGAGTATAAGTTTTCCATTTTGGTGAGGTCAATTTATCAATTTTATTTCTTATGGGTCACATTTTTTATGTCAAGCTCTAAGAACTCTTTAGTTTTAGATCATAAATGTTTTCTCCTACATTATTTTCTAAGGGTTTTATAGTTTTACACTACACACTTAAGTCTGTGATCCATTTCGAGTTAATTTTTGAATAGGTGTGAGGTTTAGATCGAGGTTTATTTATTTATTTTTTGCCTATGGATGTCCATTGCTACAACACCATTTACTGAAAAGGCTTCCTCCATCAAATTGCTTTTGTAGTTTTCTCAAAATCAGTTGCTGGAATAGTCAAATTCAGAGAGACAGAAAGGAGAAGAATGGTTGCCAGTGGCTAAAGGCAGGGAGAATGGGTATAGAGTCTCAGTGTGGGATGAGAAAAAGATTTTGGGTATGAATGACGGTGATGGTTGCACAACAATGTGAATGTATTTAGTGCTATTGAACTGTCCCTTTGAAATGGTTAAAACATACTTTTATGTTATGTATAGTTTACAATAAAAATCTTTTAAAAATCAGATGGGCCTATTTGTGTAGGTCAATTTCTGGGTTCTGTATTCTATTCCATTGATCTAAGTATCTATCCTTCCACCAATATCATACTATCTTGATTATTCTACCTTTTATATAATCAGCCTTAATATCTAGTAAAGTGATTCCTCCTACTTTATTTTTCTTTTTCAATATATTTTAGTTATTCTAGGGCCTGTGCTTTTCCATATATATTTGTAGAATAAGCTTGTGCATGTTTACAAAGTATCATGCTGGAATTTTGACAGGAATTGCATTAAACTCATAGATCAATTTGGGGAGAATTGATATCTTTACTGTGTTATCTTCCAATCCATGAAAATGATATGTTTCTCCATTTCTTTAGGTCTTCTTTAATTTCTTTCACCAGCATTTTGTAATTTTCAGTGTACAGATCCTGTAAAGGTTTACTTAAGTTTATACTTAAGTATTTATTTTTAGAGTGACTGTAAAGGGTATTGTGTTTTTACTTTTGGTTTTAAATTTGGTTTCCACATGTTCCAATGTGATTGATTTTTGTGTGTTAATCTTGTATCCTGTGATCTTACTGAACTGACTTATTACTTCTAGGTCTTTTTAAATTTTTATTTTGTGAAATTTTATATGTAGATAATTAGGTCATCTGCAAATAGACTTTTATTCCTTCCTTTATAACTTGTATGCCTCCCATTTCTTTTCTTTCCCTTACTACAGTGACTTAATATTCCAGTAGTATGTTGAATGAGATTGATGAATGTGGGCATTCTTATTCGTGCTCTTAGAGGGAAAGCATTCAATCCTTCGTTGTTAAGGATGATGTTAGCTGTAGGTTTTGTAGATAATCTTTATCAAGTTAAGTTCTCCTCTTTTCCTAGTTTTCTGAGAGTTTTTATCATGACTCGGTGTTGGATTTTGTCAAAGGCTTTTTTCTGTATCAATTGAAATGACTCTATGGTTTCTCCTGTTGATATGGCTAATTACATTGATTGATTTTTTAATGTTAAATCAACCTTGCATGCCTGAAAAAAAATCCCAGTTGGTTTATGGTGTACGATTCTTTTAATAAATGCTGGGTTAGATTAGCTATTTTGCTGATAATTTTTAAATTCTAAATTTATGAGAGATACTGGTCTGTAGGGCTTTTGTTTGTTTTTTTTTATGGCTTTTTTTTGGTATCAGGGTATTAATACAAGCTTCATAAAATGAGTTAGGGAGCATTCCTCCTTCTTCTATTTTCTAGAAAAGACTGTTCTAGATTAGTGTTAATTCTTTAAATGTTTGCTAGAATTCTCCAGTGAAACCATCTGGGCTTGGAGAGGTTTTAAAAACTTTAATATTATAGATTCAATTTCTTTAATGGCTATAGCACTATTCAGCTAGTCAATTTCATTTTGGTTGTATTTTGGTAATTAGTGGCTTTTGAGGAATTGGTCCATTCTAAGTTTTTGAATTTATTAGCTATAAAGTTGTTACAGTAATCCTTTTTATCCCTTTAATGGAAGTACTATATTAGTGATATCCCATCCTGTTTTTGATATTCTTGATTTGTGTCATCCTTTTATCTTTGTTAGTCTTTCTAGGAGTTTATCAATTTTATTGTTTTTTAAAAGAACCAACTTTTTGTTTCACTGATCTTTCTCGTTTTCCTGTTTTTAATTTCACTTATTTCTGCTTATCTTTATTTATTTGTTCCTTCGGGTATATTTTGCTCTTATTTTTGTAGTTTTTAGAGGTAGGAACTTGGACAGTTGATTTGAGATCTTTCATTTCTATCATAAGCATTTACTGCTATAAATTCTTCTCTCAGCACAGCTTTAGCTGCATCCCACATAATTTTATTTTTTAAATTTTATTTATTTATTCATTTTTGAGACGGAGTCTCACTCTGTCACCCAGGCTGGAGTGCAGTGGTGTGGTTTCGGCTCACTGCAACCTCTGCCTCCCAGGTTCAAGCGATTCTCCTGCCTCAGCCACCTGAGTAGCTAAGATTACAGGTGCCCGCCACCACGCCCAGCTAATTTTTATATTTTTACTAGAGATGAGGGTTCGCCATGTTGGCCAGGCTGCTCTCGAACTTCTGACCTCAGGTATTCCGCCTGCCTCGGTCTCCCAAAGTGCTAGGATTACAGGCGTGAGCCACTGTGTCCAGCCATCACATAATTTTATATGTTACAGTTTTACTTTCATTCTAGGTATTTTTTTTATTTTGCTTAAGACTTCCTATTTGACCTGCAGATTATCTAGAAGTATCTGGTTTAGTTTTAAAGTGTTTAGAGGTTTTCATGTTCTCCTTCTGTTACTGATATCTAGTTTCTGATACCTTTATAGTCAGAGAAGATGCTTTGTATGATTTCAATTATTTTAAATTTGTTGAGGTTTGTTTTATGGCCCAGGATTTGGTCTATCTTTCTGGATTCTTTTTTTTTTTTTTTTTTTGAGATGGAGTCTTGCTGTCACCCAGACTGGAGTGCAGTGGCGTGATCTCGGCTCACTGCAACCTCCGCCTCCCGGGTTCAAGCAGTTCTCTGCCTCAGCCTCCGAGTAGCTGGGATTACAGGCGCCCACCACCACGCTCAGCTAATTTTTGTATTTTTAGTAGAGACGGCATTTCACCATGTTGGCCAGACTGATCTCGAACTCCTGACCTCATGATCCACCCGCCTCGGCCTCCCAAAGTGCTGGAATTACAGGCATGAGTCATCGTGCCCAGCCTATCTTTCTGGATTCTATCTTGTTTTATTTACAGAATTTTTGAGTATATTGCTTTGTATGGCTTTGTTTGTGGTTTCTCTGGATATTACAGTACATGTGTAACTTATTGCAGTTTACTGGTATTGATGTTTTACTAATAAATGATGTGTACTTTCATTAGTTCTCTTTATCCTCACACTTAAAACATTAATTGTATTTATTCCTTTAAAAATTTTTATATTTCTATCATGGTAAAATACATATAACGAAATGTATCACATTAGCAATTTTTAAGTGTATAGTTTAGTGGTATTAAATATATTCATAATGTTGTACAAGCATAACCAGCATCTGTTTTCAGAACTCTTTTTATCTGTAAAACTGAAACTGTACGCCTATTAAACAATAATTCCCCATTTTCCCCTTCCTCTTTGGCCCAGCAACCACCATTCTATTCTGTCTCTATGATTCTGACCATAACTTAAGTGGCGTCACATAGTGTTTATCCTTTTGTGACTGGCTTATTTCATCAGCATAATGTTCTTGAGTCATCCATGTTGTAGCATATGTCAGAATTTCTTTCCTTTTTATGGCTGAATCATATTTCATTATATGTATATACCATATTTTGCTTATCCGTTCATCTGTTGATGAATACTTGGGATGCTTCCATGTTTTAACTATTGTGAATAATGCTGTGAACATGAGAGTAAAATGTCTCCATGAGCCCCTGCTTTCAATTTTTTGGCCACGTACCCACAGGTGGAATTGTTGGATCATATGGTAACTCTATTTGTAATGTTTTGAGGAATTACCATACTGTTTTCTACAGTGGCTGTAGCATTTTACATTCCCACTTCCCACCAGTGGTGCACAAGATTTCTTCTCATCTTCGCCAGCACTTGTTATTTTTATTTATTTATTTTTTAAGATAGCCATTCAAATGAGTGTAATAGTTCTATTTATTATCAGTTCTTTGAATTCAAAATCACATAAGTTAAAGGAGGACCACTGATGTATGCATAGATTTCATTTTTAAAATAGAAAGATAATCCTGATATTCTAGCATAACTAAATTTTACCTATTTTACTCTGAAATTATTCTAGCATTGAAAAGTGGTGGTTTTAAAAAAACTGGTAGGATCCTAGAAACAATTTTAAAATAAATATTTAATTTTAGAACTCTTTTAGATTTACAGAAAAACTATGACAATGGTATAGGCAGATCCCATATGCCCTACACCATTCCCCCATTATAAATATCTAATATTAATATAGTACATTTGTTACAATTAATGAACCAATATTGATACATTATTATTAACTAAAGTCCATACTTTATTCAGATTATCTTCATTTTAACCTAATGTTCATTTTCTGTTCAAGGATCCTATCCAGAATTTCACATTACATTTAGTAATTGCACGGTGCTGAACAGTGTCCCCCAAAATTCATGCCCACCCTGAAGTTCATAATTTGACCTTATTTGGAAATAGGGTATTTGCAGATGTAATTAAAGATTGTGAGATTAAATCATCCTGGATTTAGGGAGCACCTAAAATGAGTAAAGATGATGTGAAGATGGGAGAAGAGATTGAAATGATGTGTCTCAAGCCATGGAATGCCAAGATTGCTGGCAACCACCAAAAGTTATGCGGGAGGCATGGCAGAGTTTCTCCTGCTGAGCTTTTAGAAGGAATCAACCCTGCTGACATCTTTATTTCAGACTTCTGGACTCCTGAATTATGAGAGAATACATTTCCACCTTTTAAGCTACCCAATTTGTGGTAATCTGTTATGGCAGCACTGGGAAACTAATATAGTAGTCAGGTCTCCTTAGACTGCTCTGATAATTTATCATAGTTGCCTTAGTTTTGATGACCTGAACGGTTTCAAGGAGTACTGCTCAGACACTTTGTAGAGTGTTCCTCAATTGGGATTTTTCTAATATTTTTCTCATGTTTAGATTGGAATTATGTGTTCTTGGCAGGAAGACCACAGAGATAAAGGGCTGTTTTTTTTTTTTTTTTTATCATATCAAGGGTGTACCTTGATACTATCAACATACTATCAACATGACTCATCACTGTTAATATTAACCCGATCACCTAACTGAGGTCAGATTTCTTGGCTGTACAGTTGCTTTTTCCCTTTTTACACACTATTTTTTGGAAGGAAGTCACTCTGCATAGACCACTTAGGGAGTGGGGGTGCACCACCATTTTAAAATGTAATTGTCTTAAGTGTGTCCTCTACATACACTGAGCAATGTATCAGATGATGTAATTTTTGCTTCTCTCATCAAATGTGATTTAAAAAATGCATGAGAAGTAGGATAGTTTATAGCCCTGTTTGTACCCATTCTGATGTTCTCCTCTCCTTTTTGATGTTCTAAGCCTTGTTATAATTTCCTTTCTGTTTAAGAACTTCCTTCAGTCATCCTTTATGGGTCAGTTTCTTAGCAACAAATCTCTTAGTTTTCCTTCATCTGAGAATGTTTATTTCCCCCTCATTTCCAGAAGGACATTTTTGCTGAATATAGAATTCACAGTTGACAGTTCTTTCCTTTAAGTACTTGACAAATGTTATGCCACTTCCTTCCAGCCTTCATGGCTTCCGAAGAGAAATCTGCTATTATTTGAATTGGTGTCCTCATTTCTCTCTGGATATTTCAAAGATTTTTGTCTTTAATTTTTACAAGTTTAATCATACTATTTTGGTTTAGATTTGGTTTATCCCATTTGGGTTCACTGTTTCTTGAAGATGTAGTTTGATGCCTTTTCCTAATTGGGGGTGTATTTCATTATTATTCATTCAAATATTCTTTCAGTCTCACTCTGTATTTCCTTTCCTTTTGGGACGCTGATTGTATGATATTTAGCTCACTTGTTAGACTCCCGTAGGTCCCTGAGGCTGTGTTCATTTTTTTTTTCCGGTTTATTTCCTCTCTGTTGTTCATAATCGATAAACTCTATTGACATGTCCTCAAGTTTGCTAATTCTATCCGCTGTTATCTTCACCCTACTACTGAGCCCATTCAGCAAGTTTTTTACTTCAGTTTTTGCATTTTTCAGTTCTGTAAATTTCCATTTGTTGTATTTTTAAAGAACATCTATTTCTTTGCTGATATTTTCTACTTTTTCATTTGTTTCAGGAGAATTCACAATTGCTTGTGGAGGTACTTTTTGTGATAGTTGCTATAAAATTCTTGTCAGAAAATTCTAAAATTTGATTTAGTTTAGTGTTGACTTCGTGGTTTGTTTTTTCTCATTCATGTGATTTTGCTTTTATGAGTGATTTTGGGTTGTATTGTGAACATTTTGGATATGATATGTTGAGACTCTGGGGCTTATTTAATTTTCATTTTTTGGCATGTAGTCTTCCTGATGAGGTTTAGCATAAGGTCTGGGTGGGCAAGTATGTTCAGCTTCTTGCTGGGCCCTTTGAAAGCAGGACACCAACTGGCTCTGCCTCATTGTCTCCAATTGGGAGTGTAAGATCAGCTCCCTCCTGGGCTCTGCTGCCACCAGGGTGGGGGAAAACAGAAGCTAACACTTCCTTGTTGCTGCAGGCTGCAGGTGAAGCTCAGCTCCTCACTGGGCCCCACTGACACCAGAAAAGAGGAGGGGAGGAAGCAGAGTGTCAATTGTTCCCACATCCTAACCCTTTCCACCAGGTGTCAGGTGGAGGCTCAGCTCCCCACTGGGGCTTACTGGTACTAGTAAGGGCACCAGGGAACCTCTGCTTTGGCCTGCCTTGTTCAGTTTTGCTCATGTGGTTGGGGGAAGAGGCTCAGCTCCCTCAGGGCCTTACTGACATTTGTGCTAAATGGCCTGCCTTGCACTGCCTCACTGCTGCTGTGTTTCATTGCTGCTGGGTGAAGGTGAAAACTTAGCTCACTGCAGGACCCTGCAGACATGACCCTGGTTTGGAATCAGACCACCCACTTGGTTGTGTTAGGTGGCAGGTGGTGGATGGCAGATCCATTCCCTGCTTGGATCCACCGAAACCATGGGGTGGTGGCGTGTTTTTTCTATTGGTGTTTGGCTGGAGTAGGGCAGATATTGCCAGAAAGGTTTTCTGTGGTTAGGCCACCTCTTTACCTAATCCTTTGGCTAGGCTTTCCTTAGAGCTCTTTTTCATCTGTGCCTGTTGTCAGTTGCAGGTTGGAAGTTTCCGCAGTGCTCTGTCTGGGATACGTGGGAGGTGATAAGGAAACTCCCAGAACTCACCACCGTGTCATTTCTCAAGGCCTCTTCTTTCCACCTTTCAGAGTCTTTCTCTGCTTTCTGTTGTGTTACTATCCAGGGTTTTCTAGTTGTAAGGGAGAGTACCTGGAAGGAATGGGGCTTCTCCCTCCTTTTTTAACTTAAACACACGGGGGTCTGAGTAGGCAGTCAGAAATAAGCCTCTAGTGAAAGATGCAAAATTGGGGCCAGTTTACAACACTTAAACTGAAATAGGCCATAGTTCTAACAAGTAAAGAGAATGGATAGGGCAAGATTTTTTTGTAATTATTATTATTTTAAAAGTTTTTTCTTTCCATAGGTTTTTTGGGAACAGGTATTTGGTTACATGAGTAAATTATGTAGTGGTAATTTCTGAGATTTTGGTGTACCCATCTCCCAAGCAGTATACACTGAACCCAATTTATAGTCTTTTATCCCTCACCCTCTTCCCCCTTTTGCCCCTGACTCCCCAAAGTCCATGGTGTCATTCTTAGGCCTTTACATCCTCACAGCTTAGCTCCCACTTACGAGTGAGAACATATGATGTTTGGTTTTCCATTCCTGAGTTACTAAGATTTTTTGAACAAGTTGTTATAAAAGATTTGAGTCTCTCTGCAGTCATTAGTTCTAATACATTTTTATTAGAAACATTTTCTTTCTACGAAAGGTCTACTTGAGAGTACAAAGTCAGTTTTGTAGTATATGTAACTAAAAGTCTACTGGATACCCAAATCCCTTGAATGATATTTCAAGTCTCTATATGACTGCCTATGTGGAGATGTCCAGGCCAATAGTGAAGAGGAATACATGTTTGGGGCTCCTGTTGGTCTCTGTCGACTCTTCTCTTTCTTTTTTAACCCATTTTCCATTTAGGAAGGAAAGTGCAGCTCGCTGCCAGTGCAGTATTCTTGGAGCAAGTGGAAAACGGGTTAATGTGTGTGTGTATATGTGTATATATTATATATAAAATGTACAAGTCAGAAGTATACAACTTGATGAATTTTCACAAAGTGAACACATCATATAATCTAATACCAAAAGGAGAAAAAAAACGTTTGAGGCCATCAGCATGCCTTCCTGGTCACTATGCCTTCCTCCACCCCCTACCTTCCACTACACCCTTTAGTGGTAATTTCTGAGATTTTGGTGCACCCATCTCTCAAGTTTTTCTCCTGATGGTAGAAACACTACCGTCCTTACCTCACACCATAGATGACTTTTACTGGCTACTTTTCTTTTAAATTAAATTTTTATTGAGATAATTGTAGATTCACATGTGGTTTTAAGACATAATACAGAGAGATTCTTTGTATTCTGCCATTTTCCACAATGGTAACAATTCACAGAACTACAGCATAATGTCACAATCAGGATACTGATATTGATACAACCTACCTATCTTATTCAGATTTCCAAGTTTTACTTATACTCATTTGTGTGTGTGTGTATTAATTTCAGTAGAATTTTATAGAGGGTCAGTTATCCATCACCACAGTCAAGATCCCAGCACCACAAGTTCCAACACCATAAGGGTCCTTCATGTTGGCCTTTAGTGACCAAAACCATCTCCCTTCCAAATCATCCCTCCCAACCTCTGGCAACTAATCTAGTCTCCATCAATAAAATTTAATTTAAAAAATGTTATATAAGTGGAATCATGCAATATGTTAACTTTTACAGTTGGCTTTTTTGCTCAACAAGGCTACTTCTTTTCAACATGATTGGAATGCTTCATTTTAAGGCCATCCATCAGTCTCACTAGAGACAGCAAATCATACATGCTCTACAATGGATAAATGAGTGCTTCTCATCCTTTATAAACAAGAAGACAAATGTTTATTCTTTAGTAAGCATGTCCAGACAAAAATTGTCATGATCTGCGCCCCTTTAAGGTGATCATGGCAGATTTGCAAAAATAATTTTTGTAAGTATCATTCTGATTCTAAGAATTATTATTAGTATGTTTAAAGGAAAGTAACAGCTATGGTATCCACTTAACTACATAATGTCTATCTGATACAGGCATGTTAAAGTCAATGCAAGCCTAGGAAAATGTTATTCCTGAAGGACTATCAAGATATCTACAAAACTAACTTGCTATATTTTCATTCGAATAAAAGGTAAAACTCGGCTGGGCTCAGTGGCTCATGCCTGTAATCCCAGCACTTTGGGAGGCCAAGGTGGGCGGATCACCTGAGGTCAGGAGTTTCAGACCAGGCTGGCCAACATGGTGAAACCTCGTCTCTACTAAAAGTACAAAAATATTAGCCAGGCATGTGGTGCGTGCCTGTAATCCCAGCTACCCAGGAGGCTGAGGCAGGAGAATCACTTGAACCCAGGAGGCGGAGGGTGCAGTGAGCCAAGATTGCGCGATTGCACTCCAGCCTGGGCAAAAAGAGCGAAACTCCATCTCAAAAAATAAATAAAATAAAATAAAATAAAAGGTAAAACTCACTGAATAAATGAAGCTACGAAGATAGACAATACCTATTAAGAATCCCATTTCTAGAAATTCCTTTGAAAAACAACTTTTGTTGTTAGCAATCATATATCTACTAACTTCATTCTCTTTTTATTCTCGTAATCCACTGGTAAACTCCCTAAAGCAACAGGTTCTATATTTTACAAAAGGTCAAATTTGTAAATGCCTAGAAAGTTATTCATCTGATAAAGGTTTTTCCTTCTTGTGCAGAGACCTTCATTCACATTGACTCACCTGTTTTCATATTGAAATTTTGCCAATATGTCTTTGGCTTTGGTTTGATTGTTGAGTTGAATGGCCATGGACACCTTGGAGAGAAGTGGAGCATGGACCCGTATGACTCCTTCCGGCACGTCAGACTGCCAAGGAGGAGAAATTCAGTACAGTCTGTCAAACTAGGATGAATATCGGCTCAATGATGCACTTAAGAGATATGAAAATCAGTGCTACTCTGAATTAGGAAAACACATCACTATGATCAACATTAACCAGAATGGAACATTACTTTCTTTCTCAGCTGGAGACTCACTCATGACTAAACTTAACCTGGGTTTTTACTTTCACTGCACATGGTCAGGTCTTGCTATAATGACTTAAAATCTTAAGGGGGAAAAACTGGGTTATGACAAAAATCAAATGTTTCTATTTATGCATTTCTTGAACAAATTCCTAACTGAACCTGCTTTAAGCATAATTCTGTACTTCAATATATTTTAAGAAGACCAACCTTTTGAAAATTTTAAGAGTCAGTTAGAAAATATGGCTTCTCCAATACCCTATTTCTTTAGTTAGCAGCCATGAATGGCTGGTCCAAATTCAATTCCACATGGGCACTTGAAACGGGACCTCTCAAAGTGTGCTGAAAACACTGCAGGGCAGTGTAGGTGGCTGTGGGAAAGATAGTGTTTCTTAATTGTTTTAAATCTGTACCTTCTCAAAGGATGGTGATGTACACGATTTATATAAATGGACTCCCTAGAGTCACATTCTATCAATGTTCTATTGATATCCTAGAATAAATATGTTATGGTTTGAACTGTGTCTCCCCAAAAGACAAAATGAAGCCCTAACCCCCCAATACCTCGAAACGTGACCTTATTTGGAAATAGGTCATTGCAGATGTAATTAGTTAAGATGAGGCCATTACATATGAGGTTTAAACTGCAGTAGGGAGTGCCCTTAATCCAAGTGACTTGCATCCTTGTAAGAGGAGAAGAGACATGGAGACACAAGAAAGAACACCATGTGAAGATGGAGGCTGAGACCAGCTGAGGAATGCCGAGGATTACTGGCATCGCCAAAAGTGAGGAGAGGGGCAAGAAGCAGGTGCTTCTCTCACAGCATTCAGAAGGCGCCAAGCTTGCTGACACCCTGATTTTGGACTTTCAGCCTCAAGAACTGTGAAAGAATCATAAATGTCTATTGTTTTATGCCAGCTCATTTGTGGTACCTTGTTAGGGCAGCCCTAGGGAACTAACACAAAATATTTTAGAACAGAGTCAGTTCTTACAGTATTCTCCTAACATTACCAGCAAGGACCATGAGAGCAGGAGTTCAGGAAAAGATACCGAGGGATTTGGATCTGGGTGGGAGCCAAGTCCCAGGCTCATTGCAGCCAAGACTGTACTCCTAAAGTTCACCTTTGATCGTCTATGTCTTATTTCATCCAGCTCCCCAGAAGCCTCTCCGTATACAATACGTTGCACACTCTGACATTACTTACCGATGACTGCAATAATCTTATTCCTCCTATAACTTTCCACAGCATTGTAGCTGTGTATAGGAGGCCCAGGCACACATTCTGAATCATCAGCTAGTCAGGTCCCTCTACCATTCCTTTATGTGCCACATTGAAAATGTCAAGTTTGAAGGATAGTTCATGACCAACATTATACATAAATGTGGTGGATGTCGCCAGAGAAGACTATATAGGGAGTTAATGGAAGGGAAAAGAAATTATTTTTCTTACCATTCGTCTTGCCGAGGGTGATTTTTGCAGTACCTTTGAAGTCTTGGGGCTTGCAGTCTAAAAGAAACACAGTCTTTAGGAGTAATGTTGAGAAAACAAGCATATGTTGCTTTTGGAAGTGTAAACTGGTACAATCTTTATGGAGAACATTTTGGCAATATTTATAAAATTATAAAATGTATATGCACTTTAATCCAACAGCTCCACATCTATGCATTTATCCTATAAATATACTTCATTTGTGAACAATGATGTATATAGATGTTTGTTTGCTGACACACAGATTGTAACAGCAAAAGATCAGACACACACTGTTCACCAATATGAGACTGCTGAAATAACTTATTGTGTGTCTATGGAATAGCACGCAAAAGAAGCAGAGAAGCAAAGGTGCTGGCTTTGTGGACTGATATAAAATAATCCCCATGATTTGTTAAGTCAGTAAAGCAGGATGCAGGACAGTGTTTCCTGTATGCTACATTCATGTTAAAGGGGAAAGAACATACACTGATATTTGCTGGTAAGCAGATAGAGCATCTCAGAAGGTTTATACACCTGCATGTTCCTGTACACACACCCTGCCGTTGGTGATACTATTTGTCTCCAGGAGGGGAAGTCAGAAGTGGCTGATTTTTATTCTATGGTCTTTCCTGACTTCTAAATTTATAACTTGTTAATGAACTGTCTATTCCAATCAAAATTAAAAAATAAAAACACAATATAGTGGCTGGGCATGGTGGCTCATGCCTGTAATCCTAGCACTTTGGGAGGCCAAGGTAGGGAGATCATGAGATCGGGAGATCTAGACCATCCTGGCTAACACGGTGAAACCCCGTCTTTACTAAAAATACAAAAAAATTAGCCGAGCGTGGTGGCACGTATCTGTAGTCCCAACTACTCGGGAGGCTGAGGCAGAAGAATCACTTGAACCCAGGATGTGGAGGTTGCAGCGAGCCGAGATCGCGCCACTGCACTCCAGCCTGGGTGACAGAGCAAGACTCTATCTCAAAAAAAAAAAAAAAAACCAAAAAGCAATATAGTACAATAGTACGAAAGAAAAACTATTTCTTTGTCTTTAAGTGTTTGCTTTTATGGTATTTATAACCTTTATAAATACCATATCTTGGTTCTATTTACAATAAAACATTAAAGTGACATTGATATAGCAATGTACAGTTTACACACACACACACCGTGAGTCCATCCTAATGACAGCTCTATGAAACAGATAGATCATTATCTGCCCTCCCTCCCAATTTATAAGATGAGAACATTGAGGCTCAAAAAAAGAATGTAGTTTGTCCAGGCTCATATGGGTAGTAACTGACAAGGCCTGACCTGACCTCTGTTCCACACATTTAATTATACTGTTATGGTTTTCCAGAGTGAAAATGGCTGCCCCTCCATAAAAGCAATGGATGAACTGGCAAAAACTGTCAGTATTGACTCTTAGAATTCTGGATACAAATCCAAAGGCTTCAACTAGGGGAGTGCTTAAGTAAGAGGAAGAGCTGTGTGTCATTTTTACTTATGCTTTTCCATCCCTGCTCTCCAGTTCAGTGATAGCCTTGAAAATAACAGCCTGCATTTCTGGCATGGGTACTGGCAGGGAGCAGAATGGACCTCACTCAAGAAGTCTAATGATTTGTTCTCATCTGTCTGGTGGCTCCCTCAAAGACTGGCTCAAAAGGCTTGCCTTTACCTTGCCTAACTTGGAACTTGATGGGTGCTAGAGGGGTGTAATGTCAAAAACGTTTACAGGCAAGTGTTTTTGTCACAGCTGCCTGATGCAGTGGATCAGAAGAAATTGAGGAAAACAAGAGATAACTAAAAAGCTTGGGAGGCAAGGCTGGAGACTGAGATGCTTTGGAAAATAAAGGCTGTAAAAAGCCTTAACATATTCTTGAGAATATAAAGGCCATATGATTGAGAAACAGCTGAAAACATAAACTTCTGGCTGATCCTCAGGTTCTGTGCAAGCAGGAAGTGAGGACTCAGGCAGAATTAGAAACTGCTTGGCTGAGTGCTAAAGGTGTGCCCCAGCACACACACTGCTCATCTGCAAAGACTGGGAGGTTTTTCAGTTCCAGACATTTAAGAGAATCTCTGTCTAATCATTAGTTATCATTAACCTAATGGATCACAGACTTCCATAGTCACACAAAACAAAGAATACAGACTTTACAAAATCAGTTCAGGAGAAAAGTCATGAAGCAAACAAACAATAGGTACAAGAGCAGAAGCAACAAACCCTGAGGAGGGAGAAGAATCTGATTTCCAAAGTTGCTACATTATAATACTCAAAATGTCCAGTCTTCAACAAATAGCTGTTAGGTAAAAAAAAGTCAAGGAAATATTGCTCCTACACAAGGAGAAAAAGCAACAGTTTCTAAAGAAACTAAGGAAGTCCAGACATTGGACTTATCAGAAAAAGTCTTCAGGCTGGGTGTGGTGGTTCACTCCTGTCATCCCAGCACTTTGGGAGGCAGAGGCGGGCGGATCACCTGAGGTCAGGAGTTCGAAACCAGCCTGGCCAACATGGTGAAACCCTGTCTCTACTAAAAATATTTAAAAAATTAGCCAGGCATGATGGCAGGCACCTGTAATCCCAGCTACCTGGGAGGCTGAGGCAGGAGAATCACTTGAACCTGGCAAGTGAAGCTTGCAGTGAGCCGAGATGGTTGCAGGACATCGTGAATATACTCAAACACACTGAATTGGTATAATTTCAAAGCTTAAAATAGTGAATTTTATATTATGTGATTTTTTCTCAATTAAAACAAATTTTTTAAAATTTCATTTCTAAATAAAAGTATTGGTTCTACTTGATATGAAGTCACTTTGCCTATCATGAGTCAGAGAATACAGTCTTTCATCATGATTATGATAAATCAACAACACTCCCTCCTGCCTCACTGCCTTGGCATTTACTGTCCTTTTCCCTGGACTTTCACTCTTCCTCCTTTCACAGTGGTATCCATCCTTCAAGATACAACTCCAACCAGGCACAGTGGCTCACATCTGTAATCCCAGCACTTTGGGAGGCCGAAGTGGAAGGGTCGCTTGAGGCCACGAGTTCAAGACCAGCCTGGGCAATACAGCAAGACCCCCATCTCTACAAAATTTTTTTTAAAAAGTTAGCCAGGTATGGTGGTATGCATCTGTAGTCCTAGCTACTGGAGAGGCTCAGGCAGGAGGATCACTTGAGCCCAGGAGTTCGAGGTTGCAGTGAGCTATGATCATGCCACTGCACTCCAGCCTGGGTGACAGAGCAAGACTCCAACTCTATAAAAAGAAATGTAGCTCCAGGAAGGACACAGTGGCTCATGCCTGTAATCTCAGCACTTCGGGAGGCTGAGTCAGGCGGATCATCTGAGGTTAGGAGTTCAAGATCAGCCTGGCCAACATGGTGAAACCCTACTCTACTAAAAATACCCTGTCTCTACTAAAAATACAAAAATTAGGCAGGCATGGTGGCGCATGCCTGTAGTCCCAGCTACTTGGGAGGCTGAGGCAGGAGAATCACTTGAACTCAGGAGGCAGAGGAGTAAGACTCTGTCTCAAAAAAAAAAAAATGTAGCTCCAATGTTGCATCCTCAATGAAGCCATCCACAGTCTCCCACGCTAGAGCACATTCCTTGTCCTCTGCATGGCCCTGGCACAGCTGGCCTGGTGCTTCCCTACTGGGCCCCTGGGGCTCTCATATACATTTGTCTCCCACATTAGGTGTAAGTTCCTTTGAGGGCAAAGTAAATTTCAAGTATCTCCACATCCTCCTCAAGGTTGAATGCAATGTCTGGCACTTGTGATCATCCTCAAGTTAGATAAAAGCAGTAAAGTTAATTCTTCTAAAACTTGTTGGCATTATGTGCCTCCACACAAATAACTGTGTTAAAACAAAACTCTGAATTCCTTGGAATGCAATGAAGTTACACAAAATAATTTAAGGATTAGCTATTCCTTTACTAACCAATCAATGAAGAAATCTCTTTTCCCAAGTATTAGACATTTGGATACTGGATTGCCCTTAAATCAAGTTGACAGGGACTAAAATGTTGACTTTCAGCTTTTGCGAGAACCATTTTAGCCTTTCTGGTGGGATATCAAACAATCTTCCTGACTGAGATATTTCAAGAACTTTAACCAAAAAGCACATAACTCTCAACAAGATGCAAAGGCCACGGTACTCTGTTATGGACCCACTTTCCATGATGTTTATAGTTACAACACTCCCTGATCCTTGAGAATATAAAATGCTTGGTTCTAAATGACAAGCTACTTTGTGCCCCCCTTTGAGGAGTACAAATCTAGGCAGTGGACAATCGCCATGCCTCATTTGCTGTCTTACCTCCCGCTCGAGGGTCTTCCTCCTGAGCAGCTTCCTGACACTTGGGAGCTGCTTCTTCAATAGCATCGTGGCTTCATTCATTCTTCTTACTTGAGTGATTAAGAAAGATGGAACCTGGAGAAGAAAAATAGCTTGGACTGGATGGAAAACACTTGAATTCAAACTCCCTAGCAGATTGTCTTCAGGCATGGCAACTCCTCCCAGTCACTCGGTATCCTGGAGCCAGGAATGGTGGCATTGTCCTTATAAAGTTTAGAAAAAATTATGTGGATCCCTGTTTCAAAGGGAAACTGTGTTGAAGAGCAGCCCTTCCAGAAGGTGTAAGGCTGTCACAGCCACCTGGGGTTATCTTCTCATATTTCTTCCCTATGACCAAGGGAGTTGCCCAATCATGGAGGCTTTATGTTTCCTGGGGACATGGACTTCTGAGGGGGACCTGTCATCACTATGTCACTCACCTTCCACAAAATCTTCTGGTACTTAAGCATTAGGCGGATGATGTGGGCCGCAGTGTTTGCTAACAGTAATTCTTCATAATCAGAGTGTTTGCTTCTACTGAAGAAAAGGTTTGGTGCCATCACTGTAGAAATGTTCCACAGACTCATTCGGTTTTTTGATTCATTGGCAATCACTTTATTGAAGAATGTCATGAGGGCCTAAGAAGAAACAGCATTGTGTCATACAATTGTACACTGTCAAAAGTGCCCCTGATTGCTATCATTCATTCTATTCCCATTCACTCTGCTGCCAGAGAACTGTCAGAAGTATAGAATGGTTAAACGTACCATGTTTCCCCTCTAACTGGTTAAAAGTACTGAGAAGAAATGTGAGCAGTATATTCAACTGTCTGCTTCATGAAAGTAGCCATTTTAATGGATTTTATTATATTGCAGTTTCTATAAATGTGGTTTGCATTTTCTTTTCTTTTATCCTAAAAGAGTCTGACAAATGTTAAAATTAAATATAAACTGGGAAGAGAAAATGCTGCAGTTCAATAAACACGAAAGGTTGTTTTGCTGTGAAGGAAGAAAAGTAATTCTGAAAAATACCCTTAACTTAAAGCATTGCTGTTGAAAACTATTTACAATTTCCTAGGGAAAGGAAAATTCATTTAAACAACATAAGTATCTCATTCCTCAGCCCAAATGTAAACTCAACTAAACAATAAAAAAATTGAATTTTTGGGTGCTATTTTTCTATTGCTTTTCAACTTTGAAATTGACAGCTGGCCAAAAGCAAATGTTTGTGTGCAGGTCTTCTAAGCATTAAAAAAAATAAAGAATTGAGAAAGCTTAATATAAGTTTGCTGTGCTATCAAAGTATAAATACTAAATTCACCAAGACGACTGAAATCCCCAAAAGAAGTGCTCTTTGGTTTTCCAAGTTTGAATTCCACTGTACAGTATTTGCAATGAGAAAAACAGCACTAAATAGTAATAATAGTTAACATTCATTTGAGGGTTTGCTGTGAGCCAGGCGTTACTCTTAGTACTTTATATATATTCACTCATCATTATTCCAAACCCTGTGAGGTAGGTACTATTATTATTTTACAGATGAAGAGACCGAGGTGGAGTGCGGCTGAGCAGCTTTGTTCAGCTTAAGTGGCAGAGCCAGGATCTGAACGAAGGGAACCAATTCTTCAGCTAGAGTTCTTGACCTCTAACCCACACCAGCTGCAATCCTAGCTCCAGTCACAATTTAGAATAAAAAATTAGAGAGACAGAGAGAGAGAGAGAGACAGTGCATGTGTGTAACATCCTCACCAGTCCCGTGATGTTCTGGGGGGACCTTTTGTTAGAAATGTATTGAATTATTTGATAATTGCTGCATCCTCAGTTGTATGAAAGGGTAGATGACATTTTGACTCAGATATTTGATAACAGATGAATTTTTTTTTGATAAAAGAACACTCTGTAGACAAAGCGAAAAAACAAGCTAATAAATTTTCAGTTTTTGAAAAATTATTGAATTATATTAGAAAAGGACATTTTTATGTCATAGCTGATCTCTGTCCTTGCCTCAAGGATACATCTAATATGACCGACATATATTATAATTGACATAGATATTTTCGCTGTGTAGGAGGAAGGTCCTTACCACACTGAAATGTCTGATAAGAGGCAGCACTAAGAACCATCTTTGTTTTCAGCATTATGTTTACTGGCCTCAAAATTACCATCTCTTTTCAACTCATCCTTATCTCAATTTCATTTCAAAGATTCCAAATACCTGTTGTACTTAAAACAAATTTCCTATTGTATATAGAATGATTATCCAGAGAGCAAGAGAAACTTTGATTTTTACCAACATACAGCAAAGAATGAATGTGAAATAAAGAGAGAAAAATTGGGGATGAAACTATAGAATATGATTCTATCAAATGTTCTACTATATATCAGTGGAGAAACCACTTTTCTGCTTCATTTTCCTAATATGTAAAATGACCAAATTCTATCAGATGATCTCTAAAATTCTGAAATTCTAGAACTATTTAAATTGAATTATTTTCACAAATTTAAAAACGTGAACATGCTAGAAATTTAAACCAGTGATTTCAAATTCCTCCCTGAGGACGCTCATCAGAGTTTTCTTTCCACTTCAGTACACCAGACTAATGTGAGTAGTTGAGGACCAGCAATTATAGAATCTATTTTACAAGTTACATAATGGTCTTATTGACTTATGACATTGTTCTATTTAAGCCTTCATTTTTGCCTCTTCTACTCCTAACACCTTGCCCAATGCCTGACACAGGATAGACAGTCAACATCTCTGGGATGAATGGAGTGAATGAAACTTAAATGTTTAAGAACATACCGCCCGGGCGTGGTGGCTCACACTTGTAATCCCAGCACTTTGGGAGGCTGCGGCAGGAGGATCACTTGAGCCCTGGAGTTGGAGACCAGCCTGAGCAACATGGCAAAACCCTGCCTCTGCAAAAAATGAGCTGGGTGTGGTGGCACATACCTGTAGTCCCAGCTACTTGGAAGGCTGAGATGGGAGAATCACCTGGCCCTGGGAAGTCAACGCTGCAGTGAGTTGTGATCGTGCCACTGCACTCCAGCCTGGGTGACAAAGCAAAACTCTGTCTCTCAAAAAAAAAAAAAAAACAAGATACCAAGATCTCCACTCTTTCTTGTCTTCCTCAGGAGAAGGGCAGTGGGAGCACAGAAAGGCCGTGTGTTTGCAGCATGCTCAGGTGGCTCAGTGAGCTGTCATCTCCACTTTCATTTTCCTATATGAGCCATGTCCTCTGAGCAATAAGAGCCCCAGGACAAGCTGTGAGGTGGACACGACGTACCTGAGCTGCATCTCTGTTGGCATCAGGCAGCGCCATGACCATGAGGTGTAAGGCTTGAAACTGTACTTTGACGTGAGGCCCTCCTAACAAGAAAACAGAAATAGTCATACATTTTAAATAGCCCTGATGCATCCTGACAGCATTTCTTGCTAGCATCTGGTGGCACAGGAGGGCTCCTGACAGCTTTTGGTGGTAAAGACTCAGGTTTTGTGCCCAGCAATGTAAATTTGTTCACTTGGACAGGAGCCTCTGTCCATCAACTCCCTTTTCCCATCCCATGATGCCATTGTTGAGGCAGGTGGCCAACGAGATCCTCAGAATAATTCTGGATTTGGATAGCACTTCCCTTTCAAAGTACTTTCGCAGACCTTCCCTTCCTTTAATACTATAAATAGAAGTGAAGCTCACTCAATACAAGAGAAAATAAACCTTGCTTCCATATAATGAGGCAGAAAAGTATAAGTATTAGGAACACAGATTTAGAACCAGGTTTCAAACCTGGACTACTATTTAGTCGCTGTGTGACCTGGGGCAGGTTATTTAATCCCTGTTGCATCTACTTTATTATCTGTAAAATAGGAATAGTCATTGTATCTACCTCACAGGCTGTTATGAGGATTAAATGAGTTAATACATGTAGAGTGTTTAAATCAGTACCTGTACATAGTTATCTTTCTACATATTTGCTCTTACTTTTATGATCTATGACACTTATTCTAGATCTTCCATGGACACTTAGGGAAGGTGATGACTGTAGTTGGATCTTTGGAGATTGTTGAGTATTTTCTTCCTCAGTAATGACACAAGATGGCGCCAGAGGGTTGGCATTTATACTCAGGGATTCCATCCACAGCTGGATAATCCACGACCAGCTGTGCTGAAAATTTAGAATACACCAGAGAATCTAGGCTTTCCTTTGTCCCTCTGTATTTTCTTCAAAATGGTGTCTTGGTGGGGAGTTCTTGGAGGAAAGCATTATGTTCTGGAATCTCTGGGGAGTTCTCAAGTTGAAGGAAAATCTATTTCTATTCAATGGCTGGAAGGCAGTCAGCTGCTGGTGAAGTTAACTGAGCTGTATAGCAGTGGAAACACTTGTGACAAGCTAGTAGGTTACTGGAGCTGTGCGTGCTAGAGTTCAGGAGTAGATGACAAGTGTATACAACCAAGCAATATGGGGAGAGAGGGAGGATCATATTGTTGAAGAAAAATCCATGTGTAGATTTGTGGATAACTTGTATCAAATTTATAATGACGCAGGTCCAGGATGTTACTGAAAAGAGCAAATACACATTGCTGTGAGCTTGCCTGAATAATAGAAACTTTAAGAGCAAGTCTCAGTGCAAAGCATTTAGGGGCAGACAAGACATAATGTTAGTGCATAAACTGCAGGCTGAGGACTGTCTCTAATCTTCCAACGCAATTAAAAAAAAAAAAAAACAACTCTGGGGAAGAAAAAAACAAGAGATGCAGATGTAGGCTTGGGACCACTGTGTTTCCATTAACTTCAGAGAAATTAAGAAGCTCTTTTAAGTTAAGTTTAATTTGGCAAATAATCCATTTTCATTTTACTTAGGAAACCTGGCCCAACGCTGTTTTGTGATTAATAGTTTTGTAGTTAATTCATTTAATACATCCCCGTCACAAGTATTCTCTTTCCTGAGGTCATTATTTCCCCAGAAAGTTATTAAGCATGTAATGAAAGCATCTGAGGCTTGATTGATGATGATACTAGTCCTTTAATTTTACGGTCAAGTTTGGGGCCAAGTTTGAAAAGAGAAAGTAACGACATTAGTGGAAAAGGCTCTGTGTTCTCTGAGCTCCATTTGAGGGTATTGAGAGGGACAGCTTAAACACACACACACACGCGCTTGTTCACAATCCTCCCCTTCAGAGAATCTTGTTACAACTAGAGCTTACTTAGGTGGCAAAAAGGCCATTATTTCCTGCTGGTAGCAGGCCAGAACTCTGGGTTTCCTGCAGGGTTCGCTGGTATCAAATCAACCACCTGCAATATAGTATTTTTCACTTTCAAAGTCATACGAAGGAATGTGGACTCTTTGTGAACCCTTTCAGGATATTTCTCAGAACCTCTCCCTTCAGTGAAATGTACTGGCTGTAGTCAGATAGGCAGTAATGATGATACAGCATGCAGTAAATGCTACACAGAAGATAATTGGTCTCTGAAAATTACAACGTCACACAGTGTTTCTGAAAATTACGAAGTCATACCGATTAGGTCTTTAGTGAAGTATTTGGGTAAAAGCACAAAAACTATAAAGTATGTTTTGTAACTGACAGTCAGGGAATCATTTGGCATGGTTTGAACACAAGGATTGAATATTTTGGAGGATGAAAATTAATATATTCATATACCCTTCTTAAATATGATTCTCTGAACAGATCTGGAATTAGAGGTTTGAATCCTCCTTGCATAATTCAAACTACCAAAAAACAAAAACAAATGAGTGATCCAGAGATGGAAGGTCCTAATTCTGGTATAAACTTCACCCAAATCTCTGGCTGACCCACAAACCATGCGTGTGTGGGGTAACACGGCGAAGGATTGAACAACTGAACACACAGTTGAGCTCCTGCCCAAAAGACCACTGGCAATTTGAGTCCAGTCAAGCAAACTGCCGGCTTAAAAGAGCAACAATAGTAAAAGAAACCAAACAACATTCTTTGGAGAAATACTTCAGAATCCATAGTCTCCAAAGACTATATTCATAATGTTCAGAATAAGCTTTAAATTTACTTGACATACAAAGTAACAAGGAAAGTGTAACCCATTCTCAAAGAAGACAGAGACCAACCCTGAGATAACCCAGGTGTTAGAACTGCCAACAAGGACTTTTTTTTCTTTTTTGAGACAGAGTCTTGCTCTGTCGCCCAGGCTGGAGTGCAGTGGCACGATCTCGGCTCACTATAAGCTCCACCGCCTGGGTTGACACCATTCTCCTGCCTCAGCATCCAGAGTAGTTGGGTCTACAGGTGCCCGCCACCACGCCTGGCCAATTTTTTGTATTTTTAGTAGAGACGGGGTTTCACCTTGTTAGCCAGGATAGTCTCGATCTCCTGAACTCGTGATCTGCCCACCTCAGCCTCCCAAAGTGCTGGGATTACAGGCGTGAGCCCCCACGCCTGGCCGCCAACAAGGATTTTGAAGCAGCTATTGTACCTGTGCTCAATGATGTGAAGGAAAATATGATTATAATGAATGAAAAGATAGGTCACCTCAACAGAAAAACAGAAAGTATTTTAAAAGCACCAACTGAAAATTCTAGAACTGAAAAAATACAATGTCTGAAACAAAAATGAATGAAGGAAATTAGTAGCTCTTCTCTCTTTTTCAGCAAGTTTTTCTCATTAAAAAAACCCAGTAAGCTTACAAAGAAAATAGATACTGGTCACGGACAGCATGTGAATTAAAGCTTAGAAAATGACTGCCTTGCCTACAATATTCTCTTCTTTCAAGACACAAAAGATTATTTTATGAATCTGGTTTAGTTAAAACATTCAAAGATTTAGAACCTACATAATTTTTAGGACAAATTTTGCCATACAACTTAGGATCTATTATTTTCTTTCATTGTAATTTTTATGAAATTGTAGTTCTGGCCAACCTGAGAAGGTTGTACAATGGCAGATACAGACATCACCTGTTAAGTTCACACAACATTTTAAAATTTAAATTAGTGGCTGGGCCAGGTGTGGTGGCTCACGCCTGTAATCCCAGCAATTTGGAGGGTGAGGCAGGGAGATCACTTGAGGCTAGGAGTTTGAGACCAGCCTGGCCAACATGGCGAAACCCCGTCTCTACTAAAAATACAAAAATCAGACAGGTGTGGTGGCGCACACCTGTAATCCCAGCTACTCAGGAGGCTGAGGCAGGAGAATCGCTTGAATCCCGGGGGTGGAGGTTGCTGTGAGCCAAGATCGCATCACTGAACTCCAGCCTGGGCAACAGTGCGACACTCTGTCTCAAAAAAAAAAAAAAAAATTAGTGCCTGACACTCTCAAATTGAGAGTTTTCGCATTAAAGCCTGGATTTGGCTCTCAGTCTGGCACAGCAACCATTACGGAGAACCAAGCAGTGGTCAATGTCTCTAGATGGGGTGTGTCCTCTCAGTTTGGACACAGACCTTTTTGGTCCATGTAGAATCAACATTTACTTAGCATGCTCATACATATTTAGATTTGCAATGCCTGAACTCCCCAGGTTAACAGTTAAAGCCCCCACTATGTACCCCCATTCTACTTTTCCAAACTTTTCTCTTGTTACATCCTCCACAATATTCAACCTTTATGCTCAAACCATGCCAAATGATTCCTTGTCAATTACAACACACACTTTATAATTTTTGTGCTTTTGCCCACATACTTCACTTAAAGGCCTAATCTATATGACTTTGTAACTTTCAGAAACATGATGTGACTTTGTAATTTTCAGAGACATATTATCTTCTGTGAAGTATTTATTGCATGCTGCATCATCAGACCTAGGACCTCAGATTTAAGAAAGGCAGTGATGTCGTATTTTTTGATGCATTATCACACACCAGGCTCTATTCTAAATGACTTCATTCAATATCCACGGCAACCCTGACAGGTAATTATTATCTGTAATTTACAGATGTAGTAACTGAGGCTCAGAAGGTTTGATTGCATGGCTAACAGATGGTTGCACAGGAATCCAAATCTCAAGAGCCTGGTCTTTCTGCAAACCCCTCTGCCTTTTAATGATTATAAAACCCTAAACCAGGCTTAAGTATATAAGTATGTAAGTAGGTGACTGTTTGCCATCAAACTTAATATTCCACCAAGCACTGTCAGGACACAGCAAATCTATACATGAGCACATTTGATTCAGCATCTCTCTTCTGCTCTCACTTTATTGACCTTATATCTTAGCGTATTCACATATAACGTCTTCCACCTACTTTCCATTAGACTGATGAAGGCAGGTATATATTCCACAGGGAAGAGAGAGGTGGGTAGTTCTCTGAAAAACGCTTTCAACATTACTGCAGCTTCTCTATGGCACATTTTGTCCCATTTAAATTTATCAGCATTAAACTTGGCATCAAGTTCTTCACGGTATTGCTGTAAATCAAGGAAAACAGTCAGTATTCAATGCACTTTTACCACCTGACCCCATTTTCCCCTTCGAAAACTGTTCTTATATAAACTGTTTTTGTAAACAGACTGGTAAGGTAATGTCTACCAAGAGTAATTTTTTTTCAACATGATTAAGGCAAATAGCTATGTGAGGATGAATTTTTAAAAACAATTTTCTAAAATATTTAAAAAATAATGTTGATCTTGAAATAATTTTCTAATTCTACACAAATATAGAAGTTCTCTACTCTGATCACAGTTTCATTTCTGTGGTTTTGGCAGAATACCACTATTCCCACATGATAAATACACTGTTAGATTCTGACAAAGTCTCCGTTCCCCCTCTTTTCATAATCCCTTCTGCCATCCTCTCTTCTATTTCTAAATTAGATCAAGAAGGTTTGCCTCTCAGCCAGTTCACAAACAGAATGAGAAATATCCCAATAAAGTAACTCTGACCTCGCTGCAACATGCAAACCTATGACATCTTCCTGGAGCAGTGACAGCGAAGTTTTATTCCAAGACAGACACATGCCTTCCACATGTTTGCATGCTTGCCCAATCCTTTGTAAGGTTTGGAACACTGTGCAAATACTTTTAAAAAAACCTCTAAGCCTCCGTAAGTTCTACTTGGCTAACAAATTTTACATTATGAATTCATCTGATTATCAATGCCACTCAGGCTTCATGTTTCTTTTCAAAGGCAAACTCATTTTTCACTGCTCCTTTGAACTACAAGGTTTACCTATAATGCCAGCAGTTATAGTCAGTCTCCCAGCTGACACTAACTGCTCCAGAAAAGATACTTAGAAAGGGAACTCTAAAAGCTCTGTTTCTTTAAGACCTCTGCTTTATTCTCATGAGAAGCCTAATTCTTCTGGCCTTGAGCACGCACAGCCAGAGTCAGTGTGCACATCTGACCTTTTCCTAATAAGGATTAGCTCATTAACCAGCCAGACATAATCACTCTCTTGGCTCCCAGAGCCTGAAAACTGGAGGTCCCTGGCAGCACAAGTTTCTTGCAGAGATACGCATGATTCTGATGCACCCTCTAACCTCTACTGATAAGATCAAAAGGAGATTTCCATCTTGCCCTGGAGAAGCTTTCAATCTTATAGGAATACTTTGGCTAATCAAGAAACCCTCTGGTGATAAATACACTTTACAAAACCTTAAGCATAAATATAAAGTTCTCCCTAAAATGAAAGAGATAGAGTGGGCTCTGAAAAGAGGATGCATGAGATCCATTCTTTGCCTTTCGGTGTCCTGTAATCTAGTGGGTGGGACTATTTCATGAGCTGATACGACTCATTTAGAGTGCACATGCTATAAGAAAAGTCATGTATTGGTGCTATGCAGCCAGGAAAGAGAGGAGTCAAACTCTGCTAGGGGCAAGTCTTGAGGATTACAGGGAATAGGAAATAGAAGGGGATCCTGCTCAAGCAGTGATACAAATGCCAGCAGATCCAGTGTGTCTGGGGAACTCCAGTTCATTCAGCCTTGCTGGCGCATCTAGGGCAAGGAACAAGGCTGGAGAGCAGCGAGCGCCAGTGCTAAGGGGACTAGCCTTCACGCTGTAGGCAATGAGGCAGCCTGGAACATCTCTAAGCACGGGAATGGCAAGGGTAGATTTGTCTTTTCTGACAGCCAGATGGAAAAATGATTTGGGGGAGCGTGGAGCTTGGCATAGGTCGGGTGGGTGGAAGCGAGTGACAGGCAAAGAACCCAGTTATGAAGCCACAGCACCACTTCCAGGGAGGGATAACTAAGGACTAATCTGGATAAACAGTTGTAGGATAGAAAGGAGAGGAGGCATTGAAGAAATGCCCAGGAGGGAAAATTCTCAAGAATCAGTGATGGATTGAATATGAGACTCAAAGGGAGAAATAATCATCCGAGATGATTTTCCAAGACGATTTCCATCTGATTTGTAATGGGCAGGTGGCAGTGTTGTTAACAGGAAAAACACAGGAGGAGGAGTAAGCATTTCCCATCAGTCGCCTGGTACCACTGCAGTAAAGCAAAGGGGACATTGTTTTCCAAGTGCACAGGAAGCACCAGCGAGAGGAGAAGAATTCAAATTCATTTTCCACATACCTCTGCAAAGGAATCTATCTGAATCACAAATGTGGCCGTCCTAACCTGTGAGTAGTTCCCAGTCACCTAAGGGGCAACAGGGCACCAGGGTCAAGGGCAGGTGCTACAACCAGATCCTTTAGGCTTTTATCCGAACTCAGCAACTGACTAGGTTATGGTCTGTGCTTCAAGCTTCTCAATGTACAATGGAATATTAAAACGACATTCCCAAGATCAAAACAAATAATATCATGTAGAGCTCACAGGGCAGGGCCTGCCATGCTGACAGCTCTCAATAAACACCGCACTGGCTGCTCGCCCCTCCCCCACTCTCAGGTCTATTCTAACCTGCAGTGTCATTACTATGGGAATCCCACGCGTATGCGGCGTGACTGTTTAGGGAATAATACCGCGTCATACTGTCTGGATGGCTAGTATAAAGCAACACTGAGAGAAATAATGTCTTTTTTTGGTTCTGAACAGAGCTGACATTTCTGTGGTGGCCCCAATGTGAAACCATGTCAGCCGGGTATGAGTTTACCTTGCCAAAGATGGGGAGCACTTAGAGGTTCAGAAGCCCTGTTTTTCTGACCCCTGACTAGGCAAGGATGAGAAGTCTTGTCATTAAATCTCCCTTCAGCAAAAATGCAATGTGCCTCTATTTTGGAGGTAGTTTTATACAAATGCAAATGACCAGCCTAAATAAGCCAGGTGAGGTAATTATAAAACATTTAGAACAGCCTTGGAATGATTCAAACTAGTCAAAAAAGAAAATCTCGCATGTCAAACAGTCTGCCTCTTTCCATAAAATATATTCCCCGGTGTTTGGCTCAAATTTCTGTCATTTTTGAAAAGAAAATCATTGCAAACACCAACCAAAGCATTAAATTGGTTCCAAATGAGCTGAGGCCTCAAGTCTGGGACTTGGCTCCACAGCTGCGTGTTCCCTGTTTGGCTAAAACCAGCAGCTTCCTCCCAGGGCTGCTCCCCTGTCAGCCTCCCCAAGCAATTAAAGCACAAAGCCAGGCCAGACCGTTCACAGTAATGATACACTAGCGGACCACAGGGCTGGTATCATCGACTTGGTTCAATCCGAGGATAATTATAATGGAGTTTTTAGTAGTTTAGTGGATGAATTACAAAAAAGGAGGTAGTTTAAATAAAAAGTTTGAATAAAGGAGAGGAATAAAGAACCCTTTAATGCATCACGTTTCAATGTCTTTCTAACGGCAGTGTTTCCCGGTTTCTGTTCACTTGCCCAGATTTCTTTCACATTGGCCTTCCTAGGGCTCAAACCATGAAAACATCTGGATTACATTTTCCACTAATAAGTGATGGAATAAATTAGGCTGAAACTACATAAAACTGGGTAGGGGAGAAAAAAGACTGACCTGTATGTGGTTCAGGAATGCATGTGCCTATAATAACTTTCTGAAGGAACGATTAGCCTTTGAGAAGCATTTTTCAGTGGAAGATTAGCCAAAGAAAGGTAGCTGCTGCTATGACGTTAAACTTTGTGCACATAAGAAATGCCCTGTAATTTTTTTTTTATTATACTTTAAGTTTTAGGGTACATGTGCACAATGTGCAGGTTAGTTACATATGTATACATGTGCCATGCTGGTGTGCTGCACCCACTAACTCATCATCTAGCATTAGGTATATCTCCCAATGCTATCCCTCCCCCCTCCCCCCACCCCACAACAGTCCCCAGAGTGTGATGTTCCCCTTCCTGTGTCCATGTGTTCTCATTGTTCAATTTCCATCTATGAGTGAGAACATGCGGTGTTTGGTTTTTTGTCCTTGCGATAGTTTGCTGAGAATGATGATTTCCAATTTCATCCATGTCCCTACAAAGGACATGAACTCATCATTTTTTATGGCTGCATAGTATTCCATGGTGTATATGTGCCACATTTTCTTAATCCAGTCTATCATTGTTGGACAATGCTCTGTAATGTTTTCTCCTTTCGGTGATTTAGAAACAGGACATTTAAATCATATGCATTATGCATGTTATACACCCATGCATGCATGTGTACACAGGCACATACATACACACACACACATGCACATACACACACACACACACAGAGGAACCAGTAAGAATATGTGCAAATACAGTTTCCCAATTATGGACAGAGGTTTCAAGAGATGGAATCTGTTTCTGTTTAGGAAATTTCTTTCTTTCATTTTGGTTCTCTGACTCTGCAGATATAACCAAAGATTTAACCAAAATAAGTAATGGTTTTCATCCTTACTTGTAGGATACATTTTTTTAGAAGAGTATGTAAGAACGAAACACACGAGAAACGGAGACAGAAAGCAGATGCACCCTAGAAAGCATAAACCTTAAGGAGCCGTTGGGCATTTCCCTGCCTTCCACAAGAACTTGTGCCAGCATTCAGCCAACTCCACTCTCAGGGAAGCCGTAACCCCTCAACATGCCCGGAGCCCTGATGCCCTGGTGCCCTGCTCCGACCTCGCTTCACGGAAGACCTTGCCCTCACGTGCAAAAGCCCAGGTAGCCGACTCTCCCAGCTGTGGGCCCCTTCTGGATGTGGCTCAGCCATATTTTCTGCAGGAAGCCCCAGCCCACGACGGGGTGAGGCATGGGTACCAGGGCCTTGCCCATTCTGCCCAGCACACGGCTCCTCCATGGTTAGGAATTGTCTGACCTGCACCGTGGTTAGAGCCTCACCCCAGCCAATCCTGGTTCCTGCCCCTTTCATCCTGCAGAAGCAGAACCGCCGTGACTCTCCTCCGCTCCTCACCCATCTCAGCATCTGCTTTCTGGAGGATCCAATAGACGCAGCCTATCTATTCTCAGTTTCCACTTAGAAAAACCTCTCGTCACACTTCTATATAAAAACTCTGATACTGATACAAATAGAATTTCCCAAAGCATGTACCAAAATGAATTAATGAAGAGATGCTGTTTTGCCTCTACAAATGTCTTTTTGATAAACATTACCACATTGGTTTTCCCCTGCCCCTGAGACTGTTTGCTCAGGGATCCAGCTTTTAAAACTGCTCAGGTTTTCACATCTGCAAGACAGGGAGTGATCCAACCACAGGAATGAGCTCTCCATGGTGTATGCCTACCCGCAGACACAGTGGGATGTTTTGCTGGATTTTTATGAGAAAAGCTTTTCTTTTCTAACAGTTCTTTGCTTTATTGTACTGTAGAGTTTGCCACCTCATGGAAGTAAGAAAGCAAAAGAATAAGATTCACACTGAACAGCTGGTTTTAGATGTGGATGTTAACATTACTGTAAGTGGAACTGGGTTTTGGAACTGCTGAGTGAGTATTCTAGTGGTTATAGCCATTGCTACAAATTCCTGTAAGAGCTTTCACTAAAGGGAGAGCCAAAGAATGTTTAAACCAACGAATGATGGAAATAAAGACTCATATAACATTGGCTTAGTGAATTCCACGGCTGAGAGGAGCACAACAAACTAAGGTGTTTAACCTCCAAAACAGCAGTGAGACGTTTCAACTTTTACAAACTAAAGGCAAGCAGCAGTTTTTGATGGTGAATTGATGTGCTATTTCATTTTTTCCAAACTAAAGGCAAGCAGCAGTTTTTGATGGTGAATTGATGTGCTATTTCATTGTTGTTTTTGGTTTTTTAATGTTTCCGTTTTGATTTTTAAAATTCTGGATCATGAAAAAACTCTGGAACAAACATTTTACCACAGGTACCAAGGAATACTAGGAAGGACCAAGTGATAATATCTAATAAACAACAACAAATATCTGGATCCCCGATGCTTGTGTGAACTGGGTCTAGCTAGCTTAGAACTCTACCTAGGAAGAGACAAAATGTTCGGTACCTTGACTTTAGCAGTACATCCTGAAAGTCGAAAAATTCCTTCAGATTCCAGACCTGATTCCTCAACTTTCTCAAAAAACTAGAAAGCAATGATATATTACCAGAATAAGTACCTCTATATGATCATAAACATATGAAACAGTAACAATGATGACATGAATCAATAAGTTACCAAGCATATATATATTTGCCTGGCACTTGAATGCTGTGTTAAATGTTCATAACCATCCTATGACGTCAACGTTATCCTCCGACATGCAAATGAGAAAGTAGAGATTTATAGCAGTTATACAACTTTCCCAAGATCAACCTCGTAAGTAACGGCACTGACTCAAGTTCGTGCTCTTAACCACTCTAAAATTATACATGCCTCTTAACCATTTTTAAGATCTGATTACTATAACTCTTTCTGCAGACTGATCAGTAACAAGAGATTCTAAATCTACTGTCATTGGTTGCAATCACTCTGACTAAGAAACTATAGGAATTCTAGATGTCTGATCAAGGAGTTTAGACGGGGTAAAGATTAATAGCTTTCGTGAGTTCTCAGGATGGTGATAGGTGTTAAAAAAGTAATAAACACTACCATTTATTGTGCATTGATTATGTGTAAGTTCCTATTCTCAGTCCTTTACCTGCATTAACTCATCTAATCCTCACAATAACCCTATTCTACTGCTAAGGAGACTAAGGAGAACAGTTCGATTCACTGTAATAAAGCACCTCACAGTGCTTCTCTGGAAAGGATAATAACTTGGCCAAGTTCACCCAGTAAGAAGGGGATCCAGCTTCTCTGCTATTTTCCTTTCAAGAAATGATGGTGGATGGTACCTGGAACTAAGGTAATTCTTCTAGGTATGGAGGCAAACAGACATTTAGGAAGAAGAAACATGTCTGTAAGAAAAGCCTCTCTTGTAGGAGTGGGAGAGTACTATCTTGAGGTGTCGTAGCGAGGAACACTTAACATCCAGTAGTAATAACAGCTAACATGTTGCCAATATGATATAAATCCATATTTAGTTTAACTAGCATTTATTGAGTACTTTCTATTTGCTAAGTTCTACGCTAGATTTTTGTACCTACACAGTACTATAAACTCATGTGCTGAATCGTCTTTGATTTTGATATTTTAAACTCTGTCCTTTACATACAGGACAAAGACAATGCTGGTTTCAACTCAATGAAGGAAAGAAAATCTCAGCGTCACCATGGACTCTGGATTTTGCTACTGCTCCTTTTCCCACTCCACCTCTTGCTGACTGTGTGTCTTGGCTAAGTTTTCTCACTCTTCTATCCCTCAGTTGCCTCATCAGTAAAAGGGCAGTGGTAACACCAGCCTCTTTGGGCTGCTCTGTGCTGACTAGACGTGGTATTACATAAACAGCACTGGCACAGCCCTGCCTAGGGAAGTCACCCACAGAGGGCCCGTGTGTACAAAGGTGTTGCTTGTATCCTCTGGCCATCTCGGTGCCATCTTCCTGGCTCCTATCTCCAGCCAATCAGTCACCTGACTTGAGAAGTATCTCAATTTGAGGCACTGGTAGCAAAATATAGGAAGCTAAACAAGTGATGTATGATTATCAGTGTCAGGTAAGTATATGTTTCCTTAGACAATATTTTAAAATATCATTTAAAAACTCAATTTAAAATTCCACAAAATTTGTGTTAAGGACTAGGAATTTTAATTGTGCCACTGGATGTCACTGTTGAATAAATGCACACTTAGGTAAAAACCAGTATAAATTGCTGGCTATAAAACAACATGACTTAAAAGCAAATCAGGTATTCAGCAACAATAGTCACAGAGATATTAGCATTTTATAGTTCAGATAATATCATTTTCGAAACCTCCTTCCACCAAAATTATTCTTTTTGTCTAAATGTATCCTATCTGCCCAGACACACCGGAAAATGACTGGAACATGCTGGTTTTTAGATTTTATTAAACTTGGTTTGGAAAATTGATAAAATGATTACACATATACACATTTTTAAAACCCAGCCTATGCTATATCTCAGCAAATATTTGTATGATTTATATATGCATTGGTAATAATTAATGGTCATCTTTATCTAGATAGAATAATCAAATGCACACACAAACACATTCATATGCGCAAATAACATTTGAAAAAATATTGGAAAAAAATGCAACTGTTCGTGCCCTGGGTCAGACCATCTGTGTCTGTCACCTGATGTGTTATAGGCAAACAAAATGTAACAGGCTCCAAAAGAATGCAGCAAGGCCAACTGGCCCAGGCGCCATGGGCCGTTATGCGGTGCATGGAATAAAGCTGAAAATCACCAGGGGCCTGAGTCCTAATAGGGCGATAGTGTCTTTAAATATAAAAGAAAATTCATTTGTGGGTTTACAAAGTGCCAAATCATAAGCATGAGGCTCTGTGAATTCCCCTTTCATTTGCCTGCTACTCACTTTTTGTAATACCAGGGGAACTTTCACTCCAGGGTCTTTCTTTCGGTCACCGTCCAGGAGGACTGTAAGTGGAACTCCAAAAATCCCATTGTCTTCATTGTGAGACAGTAAAGGGGGAAAAAAAAAAAGAATTAGAAAAGCATTATCTTATTCCACTGTGTCAAAGTGTTAAAGCCAGAAGCAATCAGTCTTCTTAGTTACCTCGTCCTTTTACTTTCTCTGTTTTGTTCCTTTTCAGTTGAATTCCAAAGGCATCAAAAAAGGCAGTCAATTCAATCAGAGAGAGATGGCGGATTTTCTTCATGTCTTCAGCAGACAGATCTCCTGCTTCAGTTAAGCCAAATCTGGTTTTCTGAACATTAAATTTCTAAAACACACAGTGAAGGTATTTATTTTTTATGGCAAAGGAAAATTATTATGCGTTCACTCAAATGCCACCTGGACACTCTAAATCTATGCAGTAGAACGTGTTCTTTGGAAAACATCTCTAAGGAGCATGCTGCATCCTAGAAATATGAATATGTGGTTTAGAACAATGTGCAGATCACTGCTATGCTAATTAGAAGCAAAACAGCAGTCTAAAGTATATGATAACATTGCCATTGCAACTGTGGAAACTGCCTTCTTTATAAGGAACACCCAATATTGTCAAACAACATACATGTCAGGCACCACATGGAATGCACACACCATGGCCCTTAATTGGAATAAATGTGACACACACATAACAGGAAACACACCTAGGTATATCCCAGGAGAGCTCTAAACATATGTTTTTTTTTTCCTTCTTGGGCAGTCAATCTTTAAATCAAGGTTTATCTATCCCATACTGCACACTTTAAGAGACTTTTAGTAATCTCCCAGTTTAAACTGATTATATATGCTTGCTGAGACAACAGTTATTCTACCATAAAAATTAAATTTAAATGATTCCAAATTCTTAAAAAAGCAAATACAGAGAAAGTGCAAACAATCCTACTATGATTTTGAAGACAACGATACTGACATATTCTCTATTTTCACACAAGAAACAAAAGACACTAAAACAACAACAGCAGCAAATCCTTCAACAATCCAGAAATATTGTGAAGAATTTCAGCAGCAAGACCTTTTAGAAGCAAAAGATTATTCTTATATAATATCCACAGGTTCACTTTGCCCTCAGAAAGAGTGGTATTGAAAAAAAATGCTGAAGTAAAACAAAAAAAACCCCATAGATTAAATTATAAACACTTAAATTTAAATTATAAAGCTTTAAGTTCACATTTTCCATAGGAGTTTCCTAAACTGGAGCTTCCTTGGGGTAGTCAAAGTATCTGCCCATTCATTCATTCTTTTATTCATTCAATAATTGCTCCTTGGAACCTCAAGAATTTAAAAATGAAACAAAATATAGGATGTGGCTTGGGGCATGCCTTGTGCTATTAAATGCTTAGCTAGTTTACCTTCTTTCTGAGGCTAAGTCCTCATATAATAGTAACACATAACAACAATATAAACAAAAACTGCAATCGCTTATTGACCAACTACTATGTGCTAAATCCTATGCAAAGTTCTTCATGGGAAGAGCCAAACCTCAGAAGGAGCTGGCTTCGATGAGGAGATGCAGGGGCCAGCATCCTCTCTTGCATGCCTCTCTTTAAGATAAGGAGGGGCTCCCCCTGAAACCAGAGTCCTGCAGGCTTCTCTCTTTTCCCTCGACCACCACATGTTGCCCTCTAACCTGCAGACTGCTTAGGGACCAGGAAGGGTTTTGAAGTTGGACACACTTAGTTTCAAATCCTATTTCTGCTTCCCACTAGCTGCAGACTTTGGACATGTTACTTAGCCTCTCTGGGCCTCAGTTTCCTCAGCTGTAAAATGGACGTAATCACTAGGGTCCACCTTACATTATTAATAGAATATCTAGTATAGTGTCAGGCCCGTAGAAGGCACTCCGTGAGTCCTAGAGTTCTTCCTTTCCTCTTCCTGTCCTCTGTCATGGGATGGTTGTTTGGGAACGGTCCAAGTCACCTGGTACAAAAAGTCTGTTTCTGCATGACTCAGTTTTTTAGCTCTGAAACTGCCTGGGCCCTGCTCATCAAGCATCCAACCGTAATCAGCACAGAGTATTCAGGACTCCACAAGATAAACTTTTCACACATGCATTGGTTGAATGGCAAACAGACCAATGTTACATCGTTCTCTATTAGGCCTCCTGGATATAACATTCTGGATATAAATAATGAGACTTTGGGGGTAACAAAGTATATAGCTCTCTTTGCCCATCATGTACTAATAGAAGTTCTTGAATTGGTTTTGATGTGTTTTTATTGTCTGTTCCATGAGCTCTCACTTCCTCTCATGACTGTGACTTTTTGCAGTCCCCTCTTCTGATATGTGGCTTATAGAGGCACAAGTGTGTAAAGGTAGGGTCTGCATTGATGTATGAGAAAAGTAAGAATATAAAGTGCAAGAAAGCTCACAAGCCAGGCAGGTAGAATCCTATTTCATTTGTAAAACAGTATTCAAGCCTACAGCCTCACAACTTTTCCTCCACACAGGTACAGCCAGGCAGGCTGTGCACTGCACAACAAGTGGTGCCCACATAACACCCCCAATGGTAGTGTGAGCAGTGTGATGCCTGGCCGCTGAAATCCCCGTGCACACACACAGATATTTAAAAAAAGAAATCTTGGCCATGCACGGCGGCTCACACCTGTAATCCCAGCACTTTGAGAGGCCGAGGCAGGCAGATCGTGAGGTCAGGAGATCGAGACCATCCTGGCTAACATGGTGAAACCCCATCTCTACCAAAAATACAAAAAATTAGCCGGGCAAGTTGGCAGGTGCCTGTAGTCCCAGCTACTCGGGAGGCTGAGGCAGGAGAATGGCGTGAACCCGGGAGGCAGAGCTTGCAGTGAGCCGAGATCGCGCCACTGCACTCCAGCCTGGGGCAATAGAGCGAGACTCCGTCTCAAAAAAAAAAAAGAAAAAGAAATCTTAGTTTTGTCCTATGAAGTCACAGGAAGTTCCTGGAATAATCATGAAAGGTTTTGCTTACAGTTAAAACATAGTCTTCTTTCTTAATCTCTGATTTCTTAAGTTTATTTCTTTTTAGAGCCTCCGTAACCATTTCTGAATAAGACACTTCAAATGACAGCTCTTCAGCCTCTGGTGGAATGTTCTTTTCCAGAAAATCATCATCTAAAGACAAAACAAAGAATACAGACTATTTAATATGCTATTTAATCAATCAATACTATTTGCTATAAAACAAATTCAAAATATTTACAAGTGAATCCACAAGCACGTTACAGTGTTTATATGCGAGGAAAAGCAGCAGACTCACCCCGAGGAGTTCAGTTAAACAACAGTGTCGCATCACAGACCTCCATATGGACACATTTTTATCATCATTGCCCAAACAAACTATTTACTCTGATTTTTAAAATTTTAGATTTGTATGTCTCATGAAAGTTGCTGAGGATTATTAAAAGAAAGTCCAAAATAGGGTATTTCTATATATTCTTATGATATTAAAATTAAGCTCATCTAGACCCAATGTCACTGTTACGGGTAAGCAGAAGCTTAAAGCAGAGGAAGAAAGGCTGGAAACTGCTAGAATTCCTCTCTGCTTTGACTCCTGTTGTTTCTTCCCTCACCTGTGGAATATCTGCCTCTTAAGGTTTGTTCAAATTCCATTTGTATTTCATGGCTAAATTTGTTCAGGTGAATTAATCGGAATTTCTGTTATTTAATATTGGTTACCTGATCTTGTATGACATACATTGAGAAAAAGCTGAATGGGTTATATGTAGTACCCCTTAAAAATGTTTTTCTCAAGCTAATTTGAAAGTTAAGACAAAAGAGTCACTGAGCAAAAACAAGTGAATCCATAAATCATTTGAGCGATCCTAACCTGATTTCGGATTCAGATTTCAGCTTGTCATCTGGTTTCATTGCCTGGCAAAACTGTTCATATGCAAAGTGAATAATTATTTTATTATAAAAAGAACTCATTCTCTTTTGCCCTCTGCTGTAGGCACTGACTAGGGGACTACCAAGTATAACAAAAGGAACAAAAGGCAGAATTAAAGAAAACTTAGTTAATTTTACATTAAAATTAGGTGGAGAAATTTGTAAGTCAACAGATATAAAAATTCTGAATAGTGATGCTAATTAAAAACACAATAATAAATGAGTGCAGCGAGAACTTAGAAAATAGCAAAGGGACGCCAGGCACAGTGGCTCATGCCTATAATCCCAGCACTTTGGGAGGCTGAGGTGGGCAGATCACCTGAGGTCAGGAGTTTGAGACCAGCCTGGCCAACATAGAGAAACGCCGTCTCTACTAAAAATACAAAAATTAGCTGGGTGTGGTGGCAGGCACCTGTAATTCCAGCTACTCAAGAGGCTGAGTCAGGAGAATCACTTGAACTCAAGAGGCAGAGGCTGCAGTGAGCTGAGATCGTGCTACTGCACTCCAGCCTGAGTGACAAGAGCGAAACTCCATCTCAAAAAAAAAAAAAAAAAAAAAAAAGAATGGCAAAAGGAGAGCTATGATGCTCCCTTGTTATACAGGGGCTTGCATTCAAAACAGAGGAAGATAAACAAATAGAACTCTAACTACCTATGGATCTATAAAGAGCCTCTTTGGAGAGCAGCAATTAAACAGGCCAATGCTCCAAACCACAGGACAATTCCACGTAGAAGGCTGGTTTTTAGTGGCATGATTGCAACTAAGTCACAGTATGGCAACAAATAGAATGATGTAGAATACTAATGTCTGGCAAGTCCCTTCTTTTTTATTTTTATTTTTTCTTATCAGCTTTATTGAGATACACTTCACATGCCATTCGATTCACCCATTTAAAGTGTACCTGCCAGTGGTTCTTAGCTTATTAACAGAGTGGTACAACCATCACCATGATCAATTTTAGAACATTTTCATCACCTCAGCACCTTTATTTTTGAAGCCAATGCTGAAAAAAGCACAGGATCCATTATTTACAAAAAGAATGCATGTATTTTGGGAAAAACTGAGAAATCACAAAAATATGGCCAAAAGGGGCCTATTTCCTACAAGGAGGATCTGAGATTCCATACCTAGCCCATCTAGGGAGCCCACCTCTCAAGCGGAAGAGGCGCAGATAAAAGCCTCCCCAGCAGCCTTGTCAGGGGGCAAGCTGCTCTGGTGCTGCGTGTGCCTGAGCAGTGAGTAGGGATCCTCAGAAGTGGCCTACTCCTGGCAGACCACATCACTTGGGAAACAGCCTTTAAAGCAAAGACACTAGCCATGTGAGGAGTTTCTAAATGATGAGGTGGTCGTGAAGGAGGAAAAGATTCTGCTTCCAATCTGGCTCTATTAATTTTGTCTTGTGTGACAGAATGGGGTGTTTGGAGTTGGGTGGAAGGAGTGAGCGATGGAAGTGACAGAATCACAACAGGGAGAAAAGCACACTTATACTTCGCTTTTAGAAATTCACTGCTAACTGTATTGAGTGCCAGAACAAAAGCGAGAAGACACAGCTGAAGTTCAACAGGAGGCATGCCGCTCACCACTTATCGCATTCTGAACTGGCTGTCCAGGCTCCGGTGATCCATTGGAATGAACTGGTAGAACTGGAATGGTCTCAAGTATAGCCTGCCAAGCAAAGGAAGATGAACACAAAACATTTTACCATAAATACAGTCCACCTCACATTTCAGCCTGACTTATGTTCTGCAGTATACAAGAGTTATTTTCACATAAAAAAAGCCATTCTTGATTTCATAAAGGACCGGCATCTGATTTCCTGTTTCTGCATTCAGTTTGGATGTGTGCAGCTTACACATGTTTCACAAAAGGGAACAATGTAAGGTCCATATAACTGTGCTTTCCTAGCTCTTAAATATTTGCTGCTTATACCTTTGCTAAGATGTAGAGATTATGATTCCTGACATCACATAATTTGATATTGCTGCTTATACCTTTGCTAAGATGTAGAAATTATGATGCCTGATGTCATATAATTCGATAATTATAATATCATTTGTTAATTAATCTTCATGCATTTTTGTCTTACTTATATTAATTATATTGTTAATATAACATTAACATATTAATTCCCTCACAGCAAAACACAGAGTGATAGTAACTAACAAAATATTAGGTATCTTTTCTAATTCAATTTCCCCTCTTAATTAATTTGGTATTTTTTAAATTGAAATCCTGCCAGAGCACTGAACTCCCCTTCAGTATTATCAGAAGTTGAGTACCTATCCTGGTAAAGGCCTGTGAAGCAAACTCCTGCCTAGGTCTGGATGGGTATCAGTAAAAATTTACACACAAATCCTATCAAAACAATTTACATGCAAATCTTATAAATTTTAATGTGGGAGTTCTCTGTGAATATGTGTGATAGTGAAATCTGCTACTCCATCAAGAATCTTTTATATGCTATTCACACATAAAATGTTTTCCCCCAGAGCCTGATTTCTTTTTTTATTCTCATATTTCTTTAGCAATAACTGAACACCTGCTTCATGAAAGGTCTTTTATCATGTACTACAAGTTGCGCAAAGGGGTCTTGAATTCTGAGCCTCATGATCTCCTTTTATTCCTATTTTATTTCAAAACAGTTGATACAATTATAATTGTGTAAATGGTGTATGAATAGATGTCCAATTATTAAAACATAGATGCCCAATTACTGTAATTGGTGGAAGAATGACAAACCGAAAAAAGGTCTAGGGTCATGTAGGTTCATTGTCTGGCCAATGTTTGGTGGCTCTACAAGTAACAATACGGAATAAAGATTACCCAGACACTCAAATCCTTAAAGAGATGTGGACAACTTTTCCCTTTCCTTAAGTTTTCCAACAAAGAAATGCTTTGTCAGACTTTGAAATAACTTACCTATGGGAGAGAAGACTCTTTTGAAAATTGATAAGACTTTTTTATTTATTTAGGGCTTGAAACTGATGGTTTGGGATACTTAAACCTACTGAGTGTCATTATCTTAATTTTCTCTGACAGTTTTACTGGCCCCTAGCCAGTTAATTGTACTGAATGAGTGCCTGCTCTTTGTAATGTAAATAATTATGGGACTTTCTTGGGGGAAGCAGAAATTTGAGTCATAATCCCTGCTCTTGAGCTACTTACAATGAGAAGAACAGAATAACACTTACAAAGCATTACGAAAATGAAGCCACTGTTAAGAACTAATTTCTGTAATACCAACTGCAAGTGTTATTGGAGAGCGATTGAGAGGGAAGAGGTGCTGCCCAGAAGGTTTCCACTGATGAGGTGGTTGGACTTGAGCTGGAACTTAAGGAATAATGAAAAGGACTTCCAAAGGCAAGAGGAGACATGCAGAAGCATTCAGGCCAGATGGAGATGGAAGCAGAAATTTCAGGCATGGAAATATCTGAAGCATTTCAGCACCAGGGATCATGAAGAGACTGGGGTACCAGGAGTCAAGTCATGGTATTAGAAAAACATAAGAAATAAATTAATCAGGAGAGTCAGTGCAAATTATGGAAGGTTTTGAAAGCCACGTCAAAGAGTTGAGACTTAGAATCCTAAAGGTTAGAAACAAAACAGAGCAAGACAAACAAATGCACATCTTTGTGTTACAGCAGAAGAATGATTCATGGTGGAGATGAAGGAACAGTGGCAGCCAATAAACGTTACCTGAGTTGGGATGTAGGTTGAGCAGGAAGGCTAGATGCTTGACATATATCATTTTAAAACATCCGTTCCTCATTAAGGATTATATTACGACTAGCATCGTTTTTGATTTGTACTAGTGATTTTAATGTATTTTAAATATAAAGACCACCCCCATTTAAAGCAACCTTCCCCAGCTTGTTCATAACTGAGCCCACCGTTTCCCTAATGTGATCAACCACATGTGTTTCTCACCAGGGCTTTCACTGCTAAGGGAAGTGACAGAATCACAACGGGTGTTTTCCCTCTGCTGAAAGTTGCTCTGCTGCCCTAGTTACACCAAGCTAGGATTGGAAAGTAGAGTATGAGGGGTTATTATGTTAAATTTTAAATTGTAGGAGCCTGGTACTATCTGCTATAGTTTTCTCCTAGACTTTGACTAAAGTTATCTGGTATGTCCTCCATATTCAATAAAGACCATACGAAACATTTTCAATGCTCTGTTCACTACTTAAAATTTCACTGACTCAAAACATGTTTATGATCTCTCTGACTGGCTGTTTGGTTTTTGCCCATGGTTTGAGTTTCTGTGCTATATGACTCCATGTACTAAAGCCACCTGTGCTTGATTAAACCAAGACAGTAAGGCTCCTCATCTTCTTGTTCTGCAACCAAGATCAGAATGGACAAATCCACAACTTGCAAAAAACACTGTGCCAGAGTCCCCAGAGACCAACTTAAGGAAGCCACATTCACTGACAAATATGCAATGCATTTTACAGCAGAAGATATAACACTTGCAAAATCTATTCAACATGAATTTAAAGGTATTCTGATGATGTCTTGAATTAAAACATTGTTCACATCTGAAATTATAACCTAAATACCTAAATATTAAGACAATGAGAACATTAAATACCAAATATCCATGAGAATAGCCAAAGTTTTATTCAGAGATTCTTAACTTTAATGCAAATGACTAAAATTAAGGGAAATATCTTCATACTCTAAGAGATGAGAAAAAATTATCCAAGTAGAGCCAAGAAAGAATGTAAAAAAATAAGATTTGAATAAATTATTGCAATAGGAAAAAATAGGCACAATTAAATAAAGTTAGTTATCTCTTTAAAAATATTGCTGCTGGAAAGATTAGGCATGCATAGGAATGGGGGGATATGGGAAATCGCTGTACTTTTCCACTCAATTTTGCTGCGAACCTGAAACTGCTCTAAAAAATAAAGTTCTGCCTGGGCAATATAGCAAGACCTCATCTCTACTTAAAAAAAAAAATTTAGCTGGGCATGGTGGTGCACACGTATAATCCCAGTTACTGGGGAAGCAGAAATAGGCCAACAGCTTGAACCCAGTCATTCAAGGCTGCAGTGAGCCATGATCATGCCATTGCACTCCAGCCTCGGTGACAAAGCAAGACTTTCTCTCAAAAATAAATAAATAAATAATAATAAAGTTTATTAATTTAAAATATATTGCTGATACGGGCAACTATTTAGAGTCTGATTAAGATATAACGCACACATTTTAGAAACAAAAATGAGTAATATTTACCATCACAGATAATTTAAAATTATAATGTAAATAAACATTTGTGTATGTGTATGCATGTATATGTGTACACACACAATAAATTTATAACAACATACCTTGTAATTTGAAATAAACTGTATATCTTGATAAAGCAAATACACATTACCAAAATTCATACAAATTGGGATAGAAAATAATCTAACCCTTAAATTACATCCATTAAAAAATTAAACAGGCCCAGTGTGGTGGCTCATGCCTGTAATCCCAGCACTTTGGGAGGCCGAGGCAGGTGGATCACGAGGTCAGGAGTTTGAGACTAGCCTGGCTAATATGGTGAAACCCAGTCTCTACTAAAAATACAAAAATTAGCCAGGCATGGTGGTGTGCGCTTGTAGTCCCAGCTACTGGGGAGGCAGAGGCAGGAGAATGGCTTGAATCCGGGAGGCAGAGGTTTCAGTGAGCCAAGATCGCACCACTGCACTCCAGCCTGGGTGACAGAGCAAGACTCCGTCTCAAAAATAAAATAAAATAAAATAAAAATAAAAATAAACAAGCCAGGCGTGGTGGCTCACGCCACCTGAGGTCAGGAGTTCAAGACCAGTCTGACCAACATGGTGAAACCCTGTCTCTACTAAAAATACAAAAAAATTAGCTGGGTGTGGTGGCGGGCATCTGTAATCCCAGCTACTCAGGAGGCTGAGGAAGGACAATCGCTTGAACCCAGGAAGTGGAGGTTGCAGTGAGCCGAGATCGCGCCATTGCACTCCAGCCTGGGAGACAATAGCAAAACTCCGTCAAAAAAAAAAAAAAATTAAACAAAGCTTTATGCCTACAATGATATCAGGCTTTGGAGGTTTCATAAACAAATTATTAAATATATCAAAAATATATACAAATTATAAATATGTGTAGATTTATATATTATATGTTTATATCATAGTTCGATAAATGGCTCCAAGGTACAGAAAAGAACCCAGAGTTTTCAACATATTTGTACAAAGGTTAGCATAACCCTGCTAAACAAATTTTAATAAATTGTATGTGTAGACTAATCCTGTTTACTAGAATACAGGTTAAAATACTAAAATAGTAGTGAATCAAATTCTACAGTTTAATAAAAGAATAACATAACACAATAAATTGGGTTCATCCAATTTTATTTTATTTCTTGGATGAACCCAATTTATTGTGTTATAGTTCAATATAAGAAAAACCTATCAATGTAACTTCCTAAAGTAATTGATTAAAGAAGGAAAACATTACATTCATCTTAACAGATGTTGGAAAATCATTTGATATAATTTAAACTCCATTCCTGATTAAAACAATTATAAAGCTCAGAATCTTAGAATAAATACTCTCCTTAATGATGAAACATTAGAAGAATTCATAAGAAAAATCAAGAACTTATCAAAGGATCCTCATAATTATTAATCAATGTTATAAGTGATTGTGGTCAGTCCTCTAAGGGAAAACAATGAGATAAATAATTATTTTACATACTGAGTCAATAAAATTTTCCATATATGCAGATGATTTCTGAGAAAAATCATAAAATTAAATGAAAAATTTTTAGCAGCAGAAAAGCTTCAGGAAGGAAGCTAAAGGAGACACTTATAAGAAACAAAAAAACCTACTTTCCTTATATATCTGCAAAACAAGCTAGAAAATATCATTAAAAATCTTACGGTTTAAATACCAATGCAAACTAGTATGTGTGAAAATGCGTGTAAGACTTAAAGGAATAAATTATAAAACCTCACTGAAGGATAGAAGACACACATAAATGGAAAGACACAATTATTATTCCTCAATGGGAAGACTCAATGTTTTGAGATGTGGATTCTCTCTCCAATATTAATCTTTAAATTCAATGAAATTCTTAATAAAGTCATAACAAGATTTTTTATGAGGTAGTCATAGCCTTTTTCTATGTTCATCTGGAAGAAAAAATTTCTAAGAAGGGCCAAAGGAAATTTTAATGCAGACTTTGATGAAGGGGAACTTACCCTAACAGATTTCTAAAACAAACCATAGAGACAGACATCTGCAAACCTGGTGGATTTACTTCTCATAAAGTTGGCATTTCAAACATGAAGAAATGATTAAAGACTGGGGGAAAGATATGGGTTAGGTCATGGCTATCTTATGGAAAAGATAATTTAGGTTACCTTCTTTTACCATTTTACAACATAAATTCCAGTAGGGCAAGTTGTCGGGGCCCCCTGAAGTCTTGGGGGTGACAGTAAGTTGGCCCCGGGAATTTAGCCTGGCAGGAGAGGTTTATTTTTACAGGTGTCACAGACAGGACCCCTGAAGCCCTGGCCCCTGCTTCATTTGATTACCGGATATCCCTCCTTCTAGAAGAGACTGGGAAATCAAACTGGGGTCCCTGTGGTTCCTTATAACCAAGAAGCACAGGGCCCAAAATGTAGTTACCAAAGCAATAACTTGGCATCAGTGAGCCACTCTAGCAAATAATCATTTTGTTTACCTTTTCTAAAAGATACTCTGAGTAACAAACAATCCAAGGTAAGTCAAGTCGAAGGCCAGTGCCAGTGAGATATTTTTTAGACCCAATACTGCTGAAACTTTTATTTATGTCATTACTGGCATTCAACCTGCCTTCAGAAAAAAACAAAATGAAAATAAAAATAAAATCTGGGTGATTAACTTACCCTGGACAGCTCTATAACTGCCACACAAGACCCTTTTCTTTCTCTTATACCCTCAAACTTGCAAAAAGCCTATTTGTAGACAATATGTGCTCAGTAAGAATTTGCTGAATGAATGACTGAATGAACCAACGATGCGAAGAAATTCGCAGCTAAGAATAAAGAAATAGAAAAATATGACCAGCAGTCTTACCAGAAATAAAATTGTGGCCATGGAGCTGCCATGGAAACACCTAGAAAGGAAGGCATGCCTACCATCCTCTCCTTTGGCAACTCAATCATACAATCATCCTCCTCCAAGTTCTGGTGGTGTGTGCATGGAACCACACGCAGTCCTGTGCTGCTGCTTGTACAAAATGCTGGGGGTGTTAAAGCCAGCTACAGAGGCCGACAAGGGGTCTGACCATGTCAGGAGCTTCCAGGTTAACTAGAAAGTTGGAGAACCACCGCAGGCTGTAAGCGAGACTTGTATTTTAAATCAATGACTTGAGGCTCTGGGAGGGATGAATTTGAAGGGAATAAAGCTAAAGTCTGGAGATCACTTAGGAGGCTACTTCAGCAGTACAGAAGATAACAATGAGTTTCTGTACTGAGAGACTGTAAGACAGGAGGGGAGCAGAAAGATTTTACAACCATTCACATGATGAAATTCACAGGTCTCAGAGATGCGCATGAAGAGGGGAGGAGGGAGGCAGAGTTGAGGCTGCCATGCAGGGGTGACTGTTGGGCACATGGGTGCCACAAGCTGTGGTGGAAGATAAAGGATCCTGGGCAAGTCCTCAGGGCACGAGTCCCCAGTCACAAGGGAATAGCACAACTGTGTAAGATCTACTGCAGGTCACTCCTTATTCGAACAGTTACCAGACTTTGTGAATGACTGACTTTGTTTTCATTAATAAGTGAGATGAATTTGAGATGACGTCTAAAGCAGAGACACTCTCACTCATTTGCATCCCAATGCCTGGTCTTGAATGGGAAAGTAAGAGCTGATTTACAGTCAGTGGGTCAGATATTGTGGGTAACCCTCAGCCTATTTATGCCATAACCTACAGAGTTATTAGTAAGTTAATCAATGATAAAAGTCACTCATATTATTTTATTCCTCTTACATGATCACTGTGCAACAAAACAATACCATAAACAAAAATCTAAAAACACAACAGCAAAGTTAATTTATGTGGGGCTAACAGCATTATCTCCCTAAACAACAGGGATTTCCTAGGAATGTGTCATGCATGTAAATGTCATCAGCTCCTTGTTTCTCGAAATGGACAGGGGTTGAGGAAAAACTGCCCCAGCAGAACCTTTGAATGTGCCACCTCCATCTGAGTGGCTGTTGTGCTAACTGCTGCCTTCCATCAACCAGCCACTGGAAAACAATTGCCTCATCTGATGGGGTCTCTCACTGTCTTCTGTGGAGGGTCTATCATATCCTCCCTGCAGAGCTCCTGCTCAGAGACAATGAATGGGGATTCGCAGTGGGGGTGACGGGAGGGGGAATGACAAAAATTTTTGACAAAACAAAAGTACAAGTTCTGTTACTTAAGACCAAGTGAATGAATTCATCTGAAGGTAAAGAGTTTGCATGAGTGAGTCCTGAGAACTAAGGCATAGTGGAGAGCCTTCAACATCAAGATGAAGGTTTTGAATTTATCCTGTGGGTAAAAGGAACTTCTGGGTTAAGACGGTAGTTAAGCCACGTCATCAAACCTCTGGGATTTTTCTGAGTGAGCTCAGCTGAGAAGACCAAAGTTAACAAATTCCTCCAAATTGATACACATAAAAAACATCCTTTGATTTCTGGCTGCAGTGACATGAATCCATGGAGTCCTCATTTATTTTGAGCCTCTTTCTTCCTAATTTTTACAAAGTTAGTAGTTCTACCAGCAGCTGTGGTTTCCTTGCAATCTTAGCTCAAGTATTTTTTAATGTTTTAAAGAATTGCTTCTTCTTACCTTCCTACATTAGTTGCTTTGACTTGCAACTGTACCTTGACATGTAACTGTGCTGACATGGATGACTTACCACAGAGTCACTCCTGGGAACCGCAAAACTCCCTTCTTTATCCTGGGATGCGTCAGACAGGGTAGTACTGTTGAGAGAAGCATCATCTGGCTAAATGGAGAAATAAAAGTACCATTCTTATTCAGGCAAATACTTTCTAATGTGTTTGTGTATTCTGCTCTGTGTTCATACTGAGATATGTGTGGCAATATATGCAATTATGACTGCCTGTGCATGGACAATTGCATCCAACTGGTAGTGCAGCACTATTATGTGCCACGTAGGTGCCCAGCCCTCTAAGGACACTGGCCTCTGTGGCAGACACTGATGTGCCTGCCACAAACTCCATTTGCCTTAACAGTATCTTGGTTTTGTTCCAGGGAATTGGGGTAAATCAAAAAACCTGATTTCCAGGCTCATTTGCGGTTAAGAGGGGTCACGTGGCCGACAAGGTGTAAGTGAAACTTTACCAAGTGTATTTATTAAGAAAAAAATATAGGTTCATTTGATACATGCTCATGACAGGACCACAGACGACAGCCTGGAGCTGCCAGGCATGTTGTACAAATGAGGACAATGGGCACCAAGAAGAAGTCAGGGACAGAAGAGCAAGCCTGGCTGTGTCCATGCGGCTGGCCTATCAGACATGGGCCACCCATCTGAAGGGGTCTCCATGTGAAGCAAAACAACTCCAACTTTTTGATTACATGTATCCAAACACAAACTTAACTGGACTAATGTCATAATTTTTTTTTAGCAGATTCTATGACTGTTTTTTGTAGTGAATAGAATTTAGTAGCAATAGTACCAAATTTTGTTTTTTGTTGTTGTTGTTGTTGTTTTAATAAAGCTGAAACTAAGAGATTTTTGTTGCAGTGTAGTATGGTGCCACTGAAATTAAGATGTGAATATTATTTTCTTTAGCAAGGAAACTTATTGCAAAATTTAATGCATTTGATTGAATGTATTTTGCTTGACTATATTTTCTCAATTTTCTAGAGATACTATACATTATTTTACAAAATGAACAAAGATCTTTTTTTTTTTTTAAAGAAACAAATAAGAAACAAGAACTAGTACAAGAAATTTAAGTCAGCTGGGCATGGTGGCTCACGCCTGTAATCCCAGCACTTTGGGAGGCAGGAGAATCACCTGAGGTCAGGAGTTCCAGACCAGCCTGGCCAACATAGGGAAACCCCATCTCTACTGAAAATACAAAAATTAGCCGGGTGTGGTGGTGCATGCCTGTTGGGAAGCTGAGGCAGGAGAATTGCTTGAACCTGGGAGGCAGAGGTTGCAGTGAGCCAAGATTGTGCCATTGCGCTCCAAACTGGGCGACAAGAGCAAAACTCTGTCTCAAAAAAAAAAAGAAAGAAATTTAAGTCAAGATGGTGAACTGACAATCTACCTCCCCTGCCACCCAAATAACTACAAATGGCAGAAAAATATATATTTCTTAGAAGAAAAGGTTTTGAATAGCACTGGAAACCAACGAAGAATTCCATAGCAGGCCAAATGAGAAATTTGTAGGTGTAAAGCAAATGGGATTGGTTTGATAAGATAAAAATCTCTTCCTAAATGTAACATAAAATAAAATTTCTAGGAAGGGAAGAGAAAAACAAATAATGTAGAATGAACAAAGAATAAGAAAGGGCCGCAGACAAATAATTAAGACATGTTTAGAAAAATAGGAGCCAGGCAGACCTCTCTTGCCGTAAATATGTAGACAGCAACTAAATATAACCCAAGGAAAAAACACCAAAAAAAAAGCGATCTAAATTAAATGAAATTGTTGCCTTGGGGATGAATGAATTCCTAGTTTGAGTACAGAAGTCTAAGAGAGAAGGAACTCCAGATGCCACAACAAAAGACATGGAGGGGAGAACAAGAAATGAAATCAGCTTTTATCTCCCTCATTAGTTTGGTTTTGCATTTGAGGAGCCTGCATCCTAACCAACCTATCCCCTTTACACACATTATTAAGCACCCCCTACTCACACAAACACACAATCAACAATTTTGGCCTTTCTGGAAAATAGATCTACTCAACTGCAAAGGAAACATACAATAATTTCCTATACAATCGGAAAATCAATAAAGTCCAGCTCTATGCCTCTGCAGAAAACTTTAGAGGCCCGGTGAGCTGTAATTCCTTCTATCTGCAATGTACCGACAGCTTCTGCCTTGCAGAACACCTTTCACACACTGTGTCCTTAGGTGAAGGCGTAGGGTGAATCCTATCATCCTCCTGCTGTAAAAGATTCTGATAGACGGGACTGGGGGAGGGGCTGGGGAGGAGGACAAGATGAAACACCTCAGATTGATAGTCATGGTCAGAAGCTCTCCCTCCACTGGAGGCACAACCTAAAACCTGAAAACACTCGCTGCCACCCAGCGGGAGGCGTGCAGTTCCCTGACCACATGGTACTCACTTCACTGTGCGCATCACAGATTGCCACACATTCCAAAAGCTAACGCGTTCTCCACACGCGATGTTTACATTTCCAAAATCACTGGAAAAAACTAAACGTTTATATCTATGTTGATACTGAAAAAAATATTTATACAGGAGTCTGTTATTTTTTCTGTGTGAGCCCATGAAGACCCAGCTTTCGTTGACAACATCCTCCACACAGGATATGCAACAGAAAATGATTTTTTGTTGTTGTTTCTGCCTGCAGATCTTTTTTAATGATAGAATTTAGTTATTTTAGATTTACCTATTAAATTATTCCTTACTAAGTTTAACAGCTATGGGTGATGGGGAGATGTGGCTGTGTTTGCTCACAATCTGAATTATGTAGCATCTTTACCTAAGGGAAATGACAATTTATATACTTTATTCTACATTTGTACTCATAAATGTTCTGGGCAGCATTATTTGTAATAACTCCAAACTGTAAACAATCCAAATGTCCATCATCAGGTGAACATCAATAGTGGTATATTTATACAATGCAATATTATTTAGTAATGGACTAAATTTTTAAAACATACAACAAATGGATGAATCTCAAAATTATTATAAATTAAAGAAGCCAGACATAAAAGAACATACTATAATTAGACTTATATGAAATGGGAAACCAAGCTAAGGTGTTAGAAATCACGGCTGGGCTTGCTTCTCCAGGATGGGGGGCCTGCTGACTGACAGGGCCCAGGAAAAATTTCTGGGTGATGGAGATGTTCTATATTTTGATTAACTGTAATTACATGGGTGATAACGTTTGTTAAAATTAACTGAAGCTGGGTGTGGTGATGCACACCTGTAGTCCCAGCTACTTGAGAGGCTGAGGAGGGAGGATCATTGGAGCCCAGGAGTTTGAGGCTGCAGTGAGCTATGATTGTGCCAGTGCTCTCCAGGCTGGACAACAGAGTGAGACCCTGTCTCTAAAACACAAAAAAACAAAAACACAACCCAAATTATTGAATTATACATCTAAAATGTAGACACTTACAGTTTGTAAGTTATACTTCAATTTAAGAAAACATAAAAATTATTTGATTCCCTAAAAAAATGTAATTCTTACCTTCTGAGAAACTGAAAAGGGCCATTGCTGCTTTGAATTGAGATTATATTGCTATAATAATGGGTATATTAGAGATTAAAAAACTGCTTTGGGAAATAATTTGTTTGCCAAAAATTATAAAAAGAGTGAGACAAGCTAAATAAAAATACAATAATGACCAAGAAAAAATGTTCAAATCTGGAGCATAAAGTTGAAGAAAACTAGAAAACAGAGCAAACAGACTAATATGAGCTAATTTCACAGAATCCTTAGGGTGTCGCTTTTCTAGCCGGAAGCCTCTTTGACAGGTGGTGCCTTTGTCTGAGTTTTGCTCGGGCCCACTGGGTTCATTCCGCCCACTGGGTTCATTCCGCCCACTTGGCCCAGCAGGCTGCACTCGGCTTGTGCTACTGGCCCAGATCCCACGCCTGCCAAGGGCAAGCTAGGTGCGGAGTGGCAAGGGGTGTGTGAGCAAGCGCAGGGTCCAGCCACAGCACAGAGCCAGGCACGTCAGCTGCAGTGGGGCAGGCAGCTCCAAGTGCCAGTACAGGCACTGGCTCTGTACAAGGCTACGGCTGGACCAGGTGTACCACAGGTGGCTTCCACTGTGGGCACCAGGGAATGCGGTGGTGCCTAGAAGCCTGGAGATCCCCGGAACTGCAGAGCTCCAAAGAGGGTGTCACAGCCCTGGCTCAGAGAGCCCCTAGGTCTGGGCTCCCCAAAGGGACACAGCTCTTCTCTCCTTCTAGTTGCCCACAATGTGGCAAGTGGGAAGCGTGTTTCAGCCCTGTTTATGTTACAGCTCTTTCAGTCCCACCATTTGGCGGGTCCAAAGTTCTAGTCCCAGGTCCAGGAAAAATGAGGTACACGGACAATGGGAGGGTGAGCAAGACAGAGAGGAGCTTCACTGAGTGACAGAACAGCTCTTAGGAGACCCCTGGTGGGTAGCTCCTTTCGGCAAACAGGTCATCCTGAAGAGACCTGAAATGGGTAGCCCTTTCCCACAATTGGTAGTCCCTGATGTCTGTGTGACTGGCTGAATCCAGGGGTTTTTATGGGCTCAGAAGGGAGGAAGTGCATGCTGATTGGTCCATGAGCGGCCATGGGCGGGCCTGGAAAAAGCACCATCCAATTGACTGAATGGTCATCAATGGAGTCCTCACTCTGGTCAGCAGACTTCACCCAGAACTGGCAGCCCATCCTCCAGGCTTCAGGCTGTTCCTGGCTTGAAGGTGAGGTTTCACCAGGTACCTGCCCCTTTCTGCCCAGCAACCTGTCTGCCTCCCACCTTCAACATGCCATCCGCAGTGCCCAGGCTGTTCCTGCTGAGGGGCACCTGCAGGCCTGTGCCGAGCTGCCCTCAGCACCCACCTCGGCCTCCCTCCCATGCTGGTTGGTGCCCAAAGTTCTGAGGGGGGCCAAGGGGGCAGGGGACTGGAATGTAAGCACCACCCTGAGCATGTGCACACCGTGGGGGGTTGCAACAGCGCCCGGGCTGGGCCACAACTTTGCTCCACACTGGAGTGGGAGCCAGGAGCGGGGAGAGGCCAGGGAGCATGAGCAGGCACTTCCAAGCCTATGGGAGGAGGGGTTTCCCAGGCCACCAAGAGTACAGAGATGCCCGGGTCCAGAGCTGCAGGTGGGCAGCTGCAGGTGGGCAGCTGCAGCTGTGCCTGGGAGCACAGGACTCCCACCCTGCCAACTCAGCAGGGGGCAGGGCTCCCACCTGTTCCTGGCTCCTGCTGGCCCCATGGAAGGCACAACCCTGGCTGCACCTCCCTTGCTGTAGCCGGCGTCTTCACAGAGGCAGCTCCAGAGGGGCCTGCCTTCAATAAAATTTAGGAGCTATTCAATTGAAGCAAAGCATCCAATATGTGCTCTTGAAAGGTGGGAATGGGGAGAAAAAGAATTTAAGACATAATAGAAGAAAATATCCAGCAACTGAAGAAAGAAAATTATTCTTAGACAGAAAAGACCCACTACGTGCTGACCAGGATGAAAAAGATAAAAAGAAGATCTTTGTGAAAGTTAAGAATTCCAGCAATAAGTTCAAAATAAATTCAAAACTTATAAAATTTAAAAAGTTGCAGAGAGAACAAACACAAAAACCTAGAGAAGTTTATTTATAAAGGAATGAGGTCCAGGCAACTAAAATAAGAATAGAAAAAACATACGGTCACGCTAAGGGTGTAACAGTTTGTCAAAAAAGAGAGAGAGAGAGAAATTCTACTATATAAGTTTTCCAGGAGATCGAAGGTTTCCTGTTAAAAATGGACAGTCAGTTGTCATATGTTCCTAATATAACCCCCCCGAGACCAATCTGGTTCAACTTTCATGTAACTAAGTGGTGAGCTGTTTTTTAGTTGCCATTGTGAACCCAAAATAACTGAGAAAGGTCTCAGTCAATTTAGAAAGTTTATTTTGCCAAGGTTAGGGATGTGCCCATGACACCGTCTCAGGGTGTCCTGACAACATGTGCCCACGGTGGTCAGAGTACAGCCTACTTTTATACATTTTAGGGAGACATAATACATCAGTCAGTACATGTAAGATTTACATTGGTTCGATCTGGAAAGGTGGAACAACTTGAAGTAGGGCTTCCAGGTCATGGGTAGATTTAAAAATTTTCTGAATGGGCTGGGCACAGTGGCTTATGCCTGTAATCCCAGGACTTTGGGAGGCCGAGGAGGGTGGATCACCTAAGGTCAGGAGTTTGAGCCCAGCCTGACCAACATGGTGAAACCCTGTCTCTACTAAAAATACAAAAAAATTAGCCGGGTATGGTGGTGCATGCCTGTAATCCCAGCTACTTGGGAGGCTGAGGCAGGAGAATCACTTGAACTCAGGAGGCGGAGGTTGCAGTTAGCCGAGATCACGTCATTGCACTCCAGCTTGGACAACAAGAGTGAAACTCTGTCTCCAAAAAAAAAAAAAATTGATTGGCAATTGGTTGAGTTATTATTAGTAGAAAGGAATGTCTGAGTTATGATAGGGGCTGTGGAGACCTAGGTTTTATCATGCAGATGAAGCCTCCAAGTAGCAGGCTTTAGAGAGAATAGACCATAAATGTTTATCAGACTTAAGGTCTGTGTTGATGTTAATGCTAGAGGGTATAATGAGGCATGTCCAACCCCCTCTTCCATCGTGGCCTGAATGAGATTTTCAGATAGCTCTGGAATACCCTTGGCGAAGAGAAGGGGTCCATTCAGATAGTTGAAGGCCTTAGAATTTTATTTTTGGTTTACACCATGGACCCCCAGGTTGAAGGTCACACAACCTGAGCATGCCAGATGAACCAGGCATGCAACCATGGGTGGAACCTAAGTGCTCAGAATGAGGAACAGGGACTGAAGTAAGAGGCAGACACCATATGGCAGGATCTAGGATCTAATCAGATTGAGCCCTGGCATCACCCCATGGCAGGATCCAGTCAGAGCAGGCCTCCTGGCATCACCTTATTGCAAGATCCAATCAGATCACACCTCATTACCCTCTGACTATAAAACTTGCTCCAAGCCCCAGCTCAGTGAGACAGATTTGAGCATTTCCTCCTGTCTCCTTGCCATTTGAGTTGAAATAAACCTTTCTTGCTGCAAAACTTGGTGCTTCAGTGTTCTTTCCATTTTGCATGGGCAAACCGACCCAGTTTGGTTTAGTGACACTAACGGGTATGAAGAAGGTATCGGAGCCTCCTAGCCATCCTGTAAGAATAAGGATTAGGTCCACGTGCTAAGGCGGCAACACGAAAGGAAAAAGTTGTTAGTCCATGCTAAGGCTATTAGTACATTGTTTTGCAGTTGTACAAGCCTTGGTAAACTCCCCATTAATTTCTTAGTTTTGTGATTTAAAAAAGAAAACACTACTTGCTTAAAATTAAGTTCCTTAGATTTTCTTTTATATGAAGCAAACAGATATAACTGATAATTTTTAACTAATGGTATGATTGTATTTTGCAGTAAATTATGAATCAATAGCAAGCAAGTATAGCTATTTGGTTATCATTTAAGACACTGAAAATAAACTAGAAGGATTATTTTACATTTTCAATAAACCAACACCTTGACAGATTATTTCATTTATGTTGACTGCACATAAGGAAGAAGTCTTCTTTTATCTATATAGGAATTGATTTGTAAGGTAGGTTTCTGATTACTGTAGATTGGACTGTAAACATTTTGTAAGTGCTTGGGTTTAGTGGTGTGTGTGATTAGAGTCAAAGGTCATTCATATGTAACACACAAATAGACTGTTTATTGTAAGTAGCTTAGTGAAAAATAAATATGTTGTCTATTAATGAGATTATAAGACGTTCAATGGACTTTTAAAAACAGGATTATTGAGATATACCATATATGCAATTAACTGTACATAAAGTATAAGTAACATACAATTTGATGAGTTTTAACAACTATATAGACCTATGAAACCATCACCACAGTCAAGATAATGAACAAAACAAGCACCCCCCAAAATGGACTCATGCCTCCTTTGAATCTCTCGTTCTCTCCCCTCCTCACCCTCCCTCCTGTCCCCAGGAGCCAATCAATGATTATCTTTCCCCCACTATAGGTTAGTTTACATTTTCTATCATTTTGTGTGAATCAAATATTTTTGGGTCTGGCTTCTTTCACACAGTATAATTATTTTGAGATCCATCTGTGTTGTGCGTATCAACAGTTTGTTGCTTTTTATTGCTGAGTAATATTCCATTTTGTGGATATACCACAATTTTTTTTATCCATTTACCTGCAAATGGCCATCTGGATATTTTCAGTTTGGGGGCTATTACAAATAAAGCTGCTATAAACATTGTGGATAAGTGTCTGTGTGTATATATATTACTTATGAGTAGAACGGTTGGGTCTTATAGTAGGTATATCCTTAATATTTTAAGATGCTGCCAAGTGGATAAAACATTTTACATTCTTAACAACAATATATGAAAGTTCTAATTGCTCTGAATCTTTGGCACTGCTTGGTATTGTCAGTCTTTTTAAGTTTAGCCATTCTATAGGGTATCTAGAAATATCTTATTGTGGCTTTCTTCGCATTTCCATAATCATTAATAATGCTGAGCACATTTTCACGAGCTTAACTACTCAACTTGAGCTCATTTACTGCTGAATATTTTCCTTAAAAATCACCTAAGGTAGATAAGTGTGTTGAAATCTGTGGTTGTCCAGCCATCTTAATTATGTTGCACTTTTTTCAAGTTTTGCTCAACCATCTTGAAGAAATGGCTTATTTCATGCCTACCACCATCCCCCCACAACTATAACTTACCATGGAACCACTTGTCTTGATAACTCTTGGAAGCTCTCTTTCTTCCTTGGTGCCATCCAGCTGATTAGTGTGGTTGCCACAGGTATCACGAGGCTAACGGAAGAAATGAAAGCCACGTTTATCCAGGCATATCTTTCCAAATATGACTGCGTATTCACACATGCATTACACTAGAGTTTTTATATATATGTACAGCTGCCTGGAGATATATACAATTAATGACTACCTGGGCATTGATAACAGCACTTACCAATTCATTCATAATTACATTGATCCTCATAAATGCCATGTACTGTAACAGAATTCGTCTCAGAAGCAAACTCTGCTAGCTTCCTGCCAAAACCCACTTTCTTTTCTTTCCTAACTTATGAATATCATGATTTTGCTCCAAGATGGTATGTTCTAACTAAAAAGACTGAGTGTGATCATGTGATGGTTCCATCCAGTAAGATATGAATGTAATTCTACTTGGTGGAGTGTCTGGGAAAGCTAATGTTTTCTTGTGAAAGTGGATGAAGTCAGCGTCTTTCAGAAGCATGGACATGGTGCATGTGATGTCCAGACATCCTGTAGGTATTAACAATTGGCCCATACACTAAGGGTGGCAGAATGGAAAGAAGAAAAAATTGATAGATCACTGCCAGGGCAGCCATACCAGCCTTTGCCTTTCTCCTTAAGCCTCTTGTTTTGTAAGAAAAGTAAACCTCTAATTGTCTAAGTCTGATCTAACTGACAAAACCATGCTATTTTAAAGCCAGACTTTGTGATTGTATTTTGCAATGGTTTGTAAACCAGTATCAAGAGAAAACCAACATCATGAAAAAGAAGTACAGTGATAAACATTCTACAAAAAGCAGATAATTGAGGAAAGAGAAGAACATTTATAATTATTTAATAATTTTAGAGAGATCTGAGAGGCGGTTGTAACAAGAAGTCAGGAACTAAGTATAACAATAAAGGGGAAATCAGTGAAAAAAGAGGCATTCTTGTGAATTAACAGTATGATTGTTGAATTATAAATGCAACAGGGGCCAAGTTATAATTACGCATGATAAACATTAAAATTAAGTCTCTACAAGAATAATGCAGGCAAAATCTACTAGCATACAAATAGAAAAAATATACGGAAAATAAGTGACAATTTAAGATATGTGAGTTTAATCCAAGCAGTGAAAGGAAGAATAGAAAAAGTGGAGAGAAAGAAATAATTACAGAAATACTTGGAAGAGACTGTTCAGAATTCAAAGGAAAGCAAGAGTTATCAGAAACAAAAAGCTGAGTGCTGATGATGATGGAAAAAAAAAGATTTCATATCCTAATGATATTCAGTTCTCCAACAATAAAAATACACCTACAAGGTTTCCAGAAATATAAAAATGAAAGCAGGATATAAATAAAGGAATAAGTTTTAGGGAGGCATCAGACTTCTCAACAATAACACAGTATGAAAAAGCAGATGGGCCAATAGCTATACATTACTGTAGGAAACCGATTTAGGGCCTAGCATCTTGATACTCACCAATTTAGGATTTAAGTTTTTTGGATTATAAAAATTTAGTATCCAGAGACATTTCTTGCCAGATTTGCTCAAAGAGTAAAAGGCACAATCTGCTAAGAAGATGTAACATTCTGTAATATATGTGATTATGTAAGTTGGTATTTTTACTGTTCTACGTAGTCATTTCATTATACTCTCCTTCATCATCCTTCTGCAGGACAGGACAGTGCCTGCCACCTCATTCCATAAACTGCCCAGCAGCTCACAGGTATGGCTAGAATAACTTCAGTGTTCTCTTCTATCTCAGTGAGAAGTTTCTTCATGTGTTTGGCACCACGCTTACCCCGGTTAACTTTTTTTTTTTTTTTTTTTTTTTGAGACAAGGTCTTGTCACCCAGTCTGGAGTTTAACAGTGAGATCACAGCTCACTGCAACCTTGAACACCTGGGCTCAAGGGATCCTCCCGTGTCAGCCTCCCAAATAGCTGGGACTACAGGAACATGCCATTGCATCTGGCTAATTTTTTTAATTTTTTTTTTTTTCTAGAGACAGGTTCTCGCTTTTTCACCCAGGCTGGTTTCAAACTCCTGGGCTCAAGAGATCCTCCTGCCTTGGCCTCCAAAAGTGCTAGAATTACAGGTGTAAGCTGCCACACCTGGCCCTGATCAGCCTTTAAAAGGTGGTATGACCTTCAATGATTTGAAATGAAAGGCATAGTGAAAGCCAAGTGAGAGAATATTTTGCCCATGGGGAGACTGGGAAACAGAAGGGACAGAGGAGACTTGCTGTGATTATGCTTCTGTTTGCATGTCCTGAGGATGCCTGAGATCCTTCTGGTACTTTGATTATTCACTCTTTCACATGGAGCTCAAGACAGAACTGCTTTACTTACCCCAAAGTGACAGCCAATGGGTTGGCATAGCTTAGCTGGTTTGGGGTGGGTGGCAGCCAAGGGGAGACAAACGCAAGATGAGTTAATGTTCCCCTTTGGCCGATGTAAAATCATTTCATAAACATTCCACTCAAAGGCCAACTGTTACCTTACCTGATAACTGTGAATTACCATGTTTCACCTTCTAACCATCACCATTGCTTTTGTTTGCATTTTAAATTCACTTTTAAGCTAATATATAAAAATCCTGTATGCAGGGGCCATGTCTCCTTACTTTACTGCTGTTGTCCAGAGTGCTAGGCACTTAGTGAGTGTTCACTAAATACCTACAATTGTTTCATGGTGATTACCCTATAAACCTGACCCTGATCATCACTTTTTAAGGGAAGAAGAGAAGATAAAGGCAAAATGAGGGAAGTTTTACTCCCCATACACCTAGAAATATATTATATTGAGAGCTCTGCAGAAAAGAGTACCATAGCAGGGCTGACATACTCTCCCCAGGAAGGCCTGTTTTGCAAGGCAGGCCCCTGGGCTGGCAACTGAGAATCTGAGTTTCAGGAGGTTCCCACTATTTCCTCAATGTTATGACTGGCTCATGGATCCTAAACTCTTTGTGCAAACAATATGACTTATACTGAACACCTGCGTTCCTTCTGGGAGTCTGGAATTTTGTGGCATACTAGGTAGAGGGTGCCTACATGATCAACCCCCAATAAAAACCTGGGGCTCCTTGGCTTAAATGAACTTTCCTGGTAGAAACAGTTTGTTGCTGGAGGAATTAATCTTGTCCTACATTACCTCCCAGAGAGAGGACTCTCGGAAGCTTGCGTAGATTCCCTGGACTTCGCTCCATGCACCTTTCCCTTTGCAGATTTTGCTCTGTATCCCTTTGCAGTAACAATTCCAGCCATGGGTAGGACTATTTGCTGCATCCTGTGAGTCCTTCTAAACCACTGAACCTGGGCATGGTCTCGGGAATCCCTCACCCATGGGCAAACCAGATTATGTATTTTTGATATTTAAGCTAATATATTTTACAATACCATATATAAGTGTTTGAAGATTACCACTTGTCTAACCTACACACACACACACACACACACCCCCACTCTCTCTCTCTCTCATCCTTTCGTGATTATCTACATTGTTATCTTCTGCTTCGTATGGTTAGATTCGAAAAAGGTAAGAAACATATTTTTCAGACCTTATTGGCCTCTGCTTGCCTGATGCAACATCTGCAGTCCAATTTAAAAATCTACTCACAGAGGATGCAACATACCAGTCTAAAATAGAAGTCCCTCTCTAATATACTGAGAGAGAAGAAGTTCTGTGAAAACTCACCATATATTTTTCCTCTAGTTTGGAAGAAGGCAAAATATGGAACGTAAGGATAAAAAGGTACAAGAGAAAATAAATAAAATAAGCCCAGAATAATGAGAGTCCCTTGTTAGGGGTGGGGGTGTGCGTATGGTGTGAGATTGAAATTAGGGCTCCATAAGATAAGCTGCCTGGAAATCTGGTGAAATCAGGTGGCCTAATAGCAGGTTCTCCCTGCCGTACTCCTGCAGAGAAGGTCCCCCAGCCAAACAACCCTCCTTATCCAGAGGACAGTTCTTGTGTATCTCTGAGTAGTATTTCAGTTCCCTGCCAGCCTATGGAATCACTCAAAAGCCAATCACCTCCTCCTGTGGGAGCCAGGGAACAGCCTTCCCTCTTGATGCTACAAAGCCTGCAGACCCCACTTGCTCACCCTGTTCCCAAGAGCAGCCTACATGTGGCCCTGTGTGGCATGCGGTGTCCTCCTCTCCCAAGCTGTGAGGAAACGTGACTAATAAACTGCTGTCGATTTCATGTGACCAGTGTTGGGTGCTGTGTGTTCAGCCACTCTCATAATCCAAGGGTGGAGAGCTTTCCCTCACCAACGGGGTAAAGAGAAGACAACCAAAATAGAAGGCAGAGCCAGGTGGGACATAAGGCTCACAGAAACCCATTTTTTGGAAAGGCTTCAGTGTCTGCTCTGACTTGCCCTCTTCTGGCTGAGGGGTGAGACGCTGGCTGCAGTAAGGGGAATGGGGACAGCAGAGAGGGGCAAACACCTCGGGCCAAGTGTCCTGGTGGGAAGGAAGGTATGACTGGAAGGTGTTAGCACACTTCGGAAAAATATAATAAAATTAGAAAAAGGATTGAATTAGAAAAAAAAATAGAGACAAAATCTGCAAAACAGGATTGCTCACAGCACCCACTGACTACACTCCACGTCCAGACCTCGGTCTACCTTCAGGCAACAGAAGAGCGGCCAGAACACAAACTGGCCACATCCAAACCACTCAGCAGACTCTTAGGAGAGACCAAGAACCTGCTTCCAGATAGAGTGCCCCACATGAAATCTATGTAACATAAAAAGAAACTGTACAGAAACAAAACACCATCATCATCATCATCGCCATCTTCATCACATCAAGGGTGGGAAAAGGAATTATTCTTGGAACAGCAAAGAATCCTTCTTCCCTTAACAGGAAGGAAAAAAACTAAAGTTAAAGAGAAGGAAACATACTGAAGTATAACAGAGGAAAGTTTCTCACTGTAAATGGTCTGCCACCATGAATCCAGGTGGAGGCAGGTGTCAGCAAACCCCCGTCCTTCTATCGCTCCTATTCACGATGCACCATTTCAAAAGGTGGACCCAAGCTTCATGACACATGGTATAGATCATGCATGGGATTCATCTCATAGAAATAAAGCCTTCTACTGAGACAGATTCATTGGCAGTCATGAACTCAGATTAGCATTCTTTGAAACTCTGTACTAAAATGGACAAGATGGGCTCTGATGTAATGTGTTCACTTCCTGTGCTAGATAGTGTACTTTTTCCCACTTATCACTACACATTTAAGATGACATAGTGCTGCTTCCCATGATATTTACATTTAGAGTGGTACATATATACCATGGAATACTATGCAGCCATAAAAAGGAATGAGGTCATGTCCTTTGCAGGGACATGGATGGAGCTGGAAGCCATCATCCTCAGCAAACTAACACAGGAACAGAAAACCAAACACTGCATGTTCTCACTTATAAGTGGGAGCTGAATGATGAGAACACATTATGGACATATGGTGGGAAACAGCACACAGTGGGGCCTGTCCAGGATCGGGGGAGGGAGAGCATCAGTAAGAACAGCTAATGGATGCAGAGCTTAATACCAATGTGATGGGTTGATCTGTGCAGCAAAACACCATGGCACATGTTTACCTAGGTAACAAACCTGCACATCCTGCACATGTACCCCAGAACTTAAAATAAAAGCTGAAGAAAAAAATGCAATTCTAATTCCAACAAAGAAAGATATTTACCTTTATAAAATAACTGATCTGGGCATGGTGGCTCATGTCTGTAATCCCAGCACTTTAGGAAGGAAGAGGCTAGGAGTCTGAGACCAGCCTGGGCAACATAATGAGACCTCATCTCTATAAAAAATTTAAAAATTAGCTGGGCATGGCAATGTGCAGTTGTAGTCCCAGCTACCAGGGTGGCTGAGGTGGGAGGACTGATTGAGCCCAGGAGTTCCAGGTTACAGCGAGCTACGACTGTGCAACTGCACTGCAGCCTGGGTGACAGCAAGACCCAGTCTCAAAATGAAAAGAAAATAACTGAAATGTCAAAATATTTCTTATGGTGGGAATTAAATTAATACTAAAGGATACATGGAGGGTAGCTCAAGATTTTCCATTATAAGCTCATCCAAGAGAACAAAATTGATCTGACATCTTCCCCCACACTTTGACTTCTGGCTGCAGCTATTGCCGTGGGTGTTGTTATTTTTGTTATTAAAGGTAGGGCATATAATTATTTGTGAATTTAACTATTTATTTATTCCTGAGTTTAAGAGTCTCCTTTTTTCTTCACTGTTTCCATATAAGTGGGCATTTTTTCATTAGTTTTTCTAACTGTCTTGAAATAATTTTTTTTTCTAACCTCCTTACACTCAGTTTCCCTTGCCTTAACTTACCAGTTGACCGTTTCTACAGGGAATTGATAATACCTCCTCTTTATCCAGAGTCACATCCAAAAGAGGAGTTGGGATACAAAAAATCATCTGGCTATTGAAAAAAATGAAAGTGCATTTTATTTATGTTTCCGAAATTTAATTGTGCAATAAATCACTTGTTATGTATAATATGTGTACATTCATACAGATTTGTGGAGATAACCATAGCTATGATTACCTATGCACTCGTCATTGCATTTAGCAATTTATCAACCCATACTGAGCACCTACTAAATGCCAGGCACATTAATAGACACTATTCTCTGTGGAAGACACTATCAACTGTGCACCCCAAATCCAGTCTGTTGTCTTCCTTAAGTGTCCTGATTGTTTTTATGAAAGCCAAAAAGAAAGACAAAAAGAAACTGGATTCATGGTAGGGAATAACACCACCTACATCGTCTTCTTCAGAGAGAAAAACAAACTCATATTTGTATAACACATTATTTCTTGTGTTTTCTGTTATGTGCAGCCAAATGTATATATATGTTATATAATCATTTTTACAGCATACTATATATTTATATAGTCAGTTGTACATCAATTCCACTTTTAGCTAGTTGCTTATCAATTATGAAGCTGGAGATAAATTAAATCGACTATTTTGCCCAGTTAAATGTGTCACTGAAAGGAACATTTAATTCAGATCTTATGAATGTTGGAAAATGTATTTGGGTACTGGAATTCTGCTCACGCTGAACAGGACTGTAAACCATGCGTGATGTATCCGGAGACTGATTTAACATTTTTGATTTAATATACAACTAAAACAAAGGTTAAATGTCTATTCCTTTATTATAAAAACTCCATTGAAAAACTAAATGTATTAGATATTTAGTGAAATCATAACATTTCTTTGAACCCATAGAAATTGTCATTCTTCACCTTGCCTGTCCATATTTTCTAAGTTTCCAATAACAATTATGTATTACTTTCATTGTAAGAAAAAACACATTTATTTTCTGAAAGGAATAAGTACTACTGAAAAATCAGCACAAGAAAATTCAATCAAGATAGCAAAATGCACAGGCTACCTTCTCCTGTCCCTGCAAATTACTCCAAGTGTCAAAAGAGATGTCTTTTTAAACGTGCAGTTCTAAAGACCACTGAACATTTCCATTAACAGAACAGAAATTGTTGGAAGTTCCTGGCAGATAAAAATCAGGCAGGAATGGTTTGATAGGGGTAGAGGAAAACCTCAGCCTGTAAAAAGGCACAAGAGAAAAATGCGTAGAAAGTAAAGGCTGATCCAGAAAAAGCCCATTTCCAGAACCAAAATAAAAGGATCAGGGAGGCACCCCACTCAGAAGAACCAAAGTAACTGGAAAATATTTTTCAGAACAAAGAGGCCAGGCAGACCCTTCCCTTCCAGACACTGAAGAGCGGCAGTAGTTAACTCTCGGTGATGAGTGACACCTGCCTCGGTGGCAGTGGCGGCTGTCCCAGTGAGGGTGTTGTAGGCAGAAGGCTGAATTGCATTTCACTTGGAGCCTTCTAAAAGGAAATATAGCAATTTATCAACCCATGCTGAGCGCCTACTAAATGCCAGGCACATTAATAGACACTATTCTTTGTGGAATAGTGTATAAAAAGAGAAGTTCAGTTTGCTTGAAAAGGAAATAAATTACAGTTCTTCAGGACTCCCATGACTTTGGCATTGATACCATATGTACATGTCTTTTAAAAAATATTTTACATTTTTTTAATTTTTATATTATCAACATGGAATTTTTAAACTTAAAAATATGACTCATACAAACATAAAATGGGCACATGTCAAATGTTATTTTTTAATTTCTAATTTTTGTGGGTACATGGTAGGTATATATATTTATGGGGTATATGGGATATTTTGATTCAGAGGTGTCATAATCCCGTATGTATGTGTCTTAAGTGGAGGATGACAGTAAACACACTTCACCATTCAAAAAGGCCCAGACTCCTATTCACAGGAGAGTTCTGGGAGAAAAGAGGACCATACAACTCCCATTACCATACTAATCAATCTGTCAATCTAGTCATTTCTTAATTAACATAAATCAACACCCAAGGATCAAAGTCAACAGAGCAACGACAATGGAAGAGAAAAACAACGATGCTAAAATAAACACATGACTCTGAAGGGAGCAGAAAATTCAAGGAAAAGAAGAGAACTTGAAATTTAAGGTTTAATTTAGTTATTACCTTCAGAGTGCTGAGAGGCTACTGCAGTCAAGAAACAACAACAGATGCTAGCTATAATGACAGGGAAGTCAGGGCAAGGGGAGGGACTTCAGTAAATTAGCAATATGACCATTAAATTTTTTTTCTTTTTGAGACAGGATCTATCATTCTGTCTTCCAGGCTGGAGTTAAGTGGCCCAGTCATGGCTCACTGCAGCCTTGACCTGCCAGGCTCAAGTGACTCTTCCACCTCAGCCTCCTGAGTAGCTGAAACAACAGGCATGGGACAGCAGGTACGTGCCACCGCAACTGGCTAATTTAAAAAAATTTTTTTTGTAGAGACATGGTCTCGCTATGCTGCCCAGGCTGGTCTCAAACTCCTGAGTTCAAGCCATCCTCTTGCCTTGACCTCCCAAAGTGCTGGGATTACAGGTGTCAGCCATCATGCCTGGCCAAATTTTTAAAGAATGAAGGCATAAATGTTAAAACAGCCATGGCCAAAATAAGCTTGGAAAATATAAGAACATTTAAGAGACACAGAGGTTCAATCCAAACAGTGCAACAATCATCTAACAGGAGTTTCAGAAGGAGATAATTGAGAAAATAAAGTGAACAAACAAATACTTGTTTTAAATGCTACAAGAAAATATGTAGAACCTGAAAAATGAACTAGTTCTCAGATTGCAAGGGCTCGCTTAGTACTGACCAGGATGAATTTTTTAAAAAGATAAAGTTGGTGAAATTTCAAGTTTCCAGCAATAAAAATAAAATTCAAAAGCTTCCCCATCTGTTATGTAAAGGAACAGGATTGATGCAGACATTGTACTTCCCCACAGCAATGGTACATAAGAAAAGATAATGGACCCATATCTTACAAACTCTGAAGTCAAGTGATTTTGAGCATGGGATTCTATGTGCAAAAAAAAATTAAGAGAAGAACCAGCATAATCTACATATCTATTTTCTAAATTACTGAATTTATAGATAAATATAAGATAAATACTTATATCTTTATAAGTATTTTATACAATATAAAGATATAAGTATCTTATACTTATCTATCTTACTTATATCCTTACTAGATAAGTATATTGGGTCAAATTTATACATCTAAGATTAATGCAAAATCTCCTTATGAAACTGATTATAAGACTTCACTAAGAAAGTGAAATGGAAAATCTTAGGTAATTATTCAATTAATGTAGGTAAATGATGCCAAAGAAAGAATAAGAAGGAATAGGGAGGGAGACCAAGGGATAGGGAGGGAGACACACAATTGGTGGGGGCGGGTTGGGGGGAGAGAGAGAGAGAGGAGAGGAGAGAGAGAGAGAGAGAGAGAGGAGAGAGAGAGAGGAGAGAGAGAAAGAGGAGAGAGACAGTGAGAGAGGAGAGAGAGAGAGAAGAGAAGGACCCCAGAGACACAGGACAGGAGGAGGAACAGAGGAATTGGTGTTTATGTTGTCAAATTCAAATAGAAAACTGAAAAAGTTCAGGTACATTCTCTAGAAGCTTCCAAATTTCTTGCAAAAACAGATGCCGAATTTTTTAGGAAACAACATCTGTGAAGATGTTTCTTAGGCCTTATATATTGTAAATATTTTTTCAAAAGTGAGGTTTATATAGCTTTTTACATCTCTGACAAGGAACAATCTGAATTTTCTAAGCAGCTTATACAATGCCAAACTTACACTGATTTCATTTCACTGACTGCGCTATTTTCCAAGACAGCACAAGCCCTTTTAACTCCCTAGAATACATGGTCTTTCTTTCTCCTGTGCCCACCCACTTCCTTAGTCCCCATTCTCAATTCTCTCTAGAACTGAGACTTCAGCAGCAGGACTGGGAGGAAAGAGAGGAAGGCAGACGGAAGGAAGAACCCTGGGCCATTCCTCACTCCTCACCACAAATGCACCCTGTTAGGCCCTCTTTTGGTCTTTCCAGGAGTTAGACACCAGTTTATTCCATTTGCCTGTCTCAGTGAAGCAAAAGAAATTTCATTTTGAGGAACTGAGCACTATATCTTTCCCTTCGTGGTCTAAATGAAAGAAGAAGGTGCACAAAAAATACCCTTTACCTTGCTGTTTTTACATTACTAGAAGTCCAAAGTCTTAGGAAATCTGAAGAGAACAGTTATGCATTCTCTAGTAATGCACTGAGTAAATGGAGGATTTGGGAAAAGCCTAGAAATGCAGTTTCCTAGAGAAAAGCAAAATTCAAAGTCTGAAGCATCTGGAAATAGAAGTGAGAAAGGCAGCATGGATGCAAAGATTTTAGGACCCTCTCAAGATGATCCCGGACACAACTGAAAAATAACCCAGGGAATTTTTGTTTTCAGAAGAATTCCCAGGCTCAGGCCCTCCTTTTATTTACAGTAATAGCAAATCACCCACTTGCAGTTTTTCTAGTCTCCCACCAGCTGGAGTCTACTAGGTACTGTGTATCTTTGGGATCCACTTCGGGGGATACAAGAAAGGAAGAAAGAAGCCACCAGAACAGAAGGGTATCCCAGTGCTCCAGCTAGAACCCAGCAGAACATCTGAGCTTGCCATATCTGAATGCTTAAAAGTGGAAAGAAGGAGAGTTGCTCTTCATTTATTTTGAAAGAAAATCCATTAGAAAGATGAATTTCGAATGAACATGAATGATCATGACAAGTCAAATGCACATCATAAGTCAAATGAACAGGAATGATCATCATAAGTCAAAGGTATTAATCAATTAGACCTTCAGCCTAGGAAACAAAGTTTTCCTTTTTCTAATATACCACCCTGAAACAAATTTGTCAATAAATCTCGAAGATTTAGTACAAATAGTACAATTCATATTTGCTTTCCTCTTTCCTTTCTTCAAACACCAAATAAAATGCAAGTGAAGGGGGAGGCTGACTTAGAAACTTGCACTAACTCTTAATCTAAAAAAATTATGGCCGGGCGCAGTGGCTCACGCCTGTAATCCCAGCACTTTGGGAGGCCGAGGCAGGCGGATCACGAGGTCAGGAAATCGAGACCATCCTGGCTAACAGGGTGAAACCCTGTCTCTACTACAAATAGAAAAACAAAATTAGCCAGGCGTGGTGGCTGGCGCCTATAGTCCCAGTTACTCGGGAGGCTGAGGGGGGAGAATGGCGTGAACCCGGGAGGCGGAGCTTGCAGTGAGCCGAGATTGCGCCACTGCACTCCAGCCTGGGCGACAGAGCGAGACGCTGTCTCAAAAAAAAAAAAAAAAAAATTATGCTGGTTAATGTGAATCTAACTAAAACAAAGCATTTGAGTACTGCTTCTCAAGTAGAAAGTCCCTGAAGACTTTCAAAAAGATTGTTAAGAAGTATAATAGCCTTTTCAAAACCCACAAGACACGTTACTTGTCCTTCATTTATTTGGTTGTTGTTGTGGAGTCTATCCCAATTTCCCATAAAATCATCCCTTGGTACTGCTGCAGTATCATAGCATAAAGAACTCTAAGTGCCACTAGACATAAGGACCACAGTTGCTGATCATAAACCATGATGCTGCTGGGTGATGTCTGAATAAGAACATCTGATACGGATGGTCAGATGAAAAATACAAAAATGTCAGGCCCAAAGAATTTAAACCAGCAAGGCAACCTTTTACTACAGTAGGCATCTTGGTCAGGACACCTGTAGCTAATGTCCTTGCCTCACATTGTGGAAGTCACCTTTACTCAGTTACAGCTGTAGACAATCCCACCATCCAGAAAGACACAGGTTTACACTAGGTTGAAAGTCCAAATAGCTCAGAACTCAAAATGCACTTACCATAAGTTATATCATTATATATGGCAGAAGATTCTAGAACTATGTTATTCAATACATAAGCTACAAGCTACATGTGACTGTTCATATTTAAATCTATTAAGATTAAGAAAAATTAAAAATTCAACTTCTCACACTAGCCACATTTAAAGTGTTGGTAGTCATATGTATCTGGAGCTACCATACTGGACAGAAGTAGACTATTTCCATCACTATAGAAAGTTCTAAAGGACAGTGCTATTCTAGGACACTGTTAGCACAAATGCAAAGGTTAACTGGGCCTATATGAGCCGCCTTGGCAACTACCCAATGTGACTACTTTAACTAAAAGAAGATATGACTTACAGACAACCTTAAGTAATTCAAATTGGAGACTGTCTTCAACCATGATTTCTACTCAATACCCCTGAAGTTTTAATGTATGCCATTATTGATACTATAATTAATCAGACAAGAAACCTAAATCAGAATGATTAACTAGCTTGCCCAGGTAACTTATCTCTAATTGCAGCTGACCATCAAATTTCCTTTTTTCTATATACTAGTTATCCCAAATGTTTCAAGAATCCCATCTGCATAGAACCTAACCTAGGATCTTGCGCAGATAATGCATCTGTCGCATCTGTGATGCAATTATTGTAATGTAACATTGCAATTGTGCAATGAATAAATGAACAAGTAAGCTATAAGACAGAGCTAGCAGTAAAACAAATGTAGACATAGGAAAACATGAGTAATAGCCTTAGATGTAAAATTGTGGACATGAAATTGCTAAGGGTAAGCTAGAACTTCAACCAGCCGTTTATCATAAAACATGGGATGTTTCCCTTATGCTTTTCTGAATCATTCTCTTGCCCACTTAATTAATGCTGGTATCTTCCATTTTTTGACCATTTTAATTTATCTGAACATAAAGGCTACCCTACCCAATCTCTCATCCCCACCCCCCATTCAACCAAACCACCTGGTCTTGCTTACTTCCCTAGGACTCCTTTGCCCGACCACAGAGTTTCCATTCAGTGCTTAAATTTAAGTAAAGGGTCCCCGGATCCTACCCACAAAGACTTGTTCCACTGCCAAAGAAGTCACTCTCTGATTTCAACAAAGGGAATAAGTTTAGTATTGAGGGAGATTGCAGTACAGGAGATAAGAAATGATCACTTAAGTTCAAACTTGTAAAAATTTGCACTGTGCTGTCTGCTTTAGTTTTCTCAAAAAGTTAGAATGGAACCACCCAAGCAGACATTTCTGATATTTTTTCCACCCCAGCCCCACCCTACCCCATCCCCAGTCAAACTAGGCGCCTTTTGAGCCATGTTTGAGCCATTACTTACAGGAGATTCACTGACTCCAAAAATGTCTCTGACATCCCTGATAGATTGCTTATCCTTTTTCCTCATGGTTTGGGTATAGGTATGGTATCTCTTTTGCACGGCAGCTGCTTGGGTTCGAGTCAATGTGGAGAGCAAGGCTTTGCCATCTTCCTCTTCATCACCTGAGATCAGAGTTGATAAACCCACATCTTGCAGCCATTCTGCTTCAAGTTCTCCTTCTGTGAAAGAACATTACCAAGAGAGGGTTAGAATATTTTCTGTATGATTGGATGCCATGTGAATATCAGACAAGAAGTATTGGTAAATAATATTTGTATTTTTTTTCTACAGTAATTATGGGAAAGAACTACAAGAATGAATGAAAGTCTGCACTGTATTTTTAAAATAAGTCAAATTTTAAAGTATTTTCTAATAGAGTAAGGTAATTGGCAGACTTGGTAAGGTAAATTTTCCTGCTAGAGAGTTAAACATGAGCCATATCTGTCCTACTAATTTCAAAAAGTGATAAAACATGAATATTTAAAGTAAAACTATAATAGAAAAAACCCATTACTTAATGGAATACAAATTGGTTTTTCAATCACTCACATGGAGGTTCAAATGCCAGGGCCACCATTCACCAGCTGCCTGATTCCTAAGTCTTAACGATATCTCGAGGCCTCAGTGTCCTCTCAGCAAAATAAGTATAGTGAACCTCTATAGTTTTATGTTGTCTTGGCATCCCTTTTGAATATGGGCTTAACTTTCTCATACCAGAAGCAGGGCTTAGTCACTCTTGATGTGGTTTCCAGGTGTCCAACTCCTCCCAATTCCTCCATATAGCAGATCCAGGTATCTGCCTTATACAATCACCTCTTGGTGGTGACTTCCTATGAGACAGCTGGATACAACCTGCCTGACTCATCCCACCAACCCACACCCACTACATGAACTGCACAGATAAGGTGCAGTGACCACATCTCAGTCACAGAGCGACTCCCTGCTTGCTCTAAACCCACCAATTAGGACTCCTGGTGGGAAACCTGCTTGGGTAATGCTTGGATCCTAATTGAGGCTCTGGTCCCCAGGTCCCTCACTCACTCTCACTCTTTCCTGTTCCCTGCCTGCTTGTTGATTGCAAGTGTCCCGGATGGCTGCCCCTTCCCATTGGCCCTGAGAGACGAGCTGCCATCTTCTCCCTGGGATCTGTTCTTTCTCTTATTTCATGTGTTTTGCTGAGTTGCCTCCTCTGTGTCTCACCTGGCCAACACACCTGAACCTAGCTTATTTCCAGTCAGGGCTCTCTTCTTATAGCATCTGCCAGTACAAACGAGTTTCCTGTAAGAGGGACACCCAGTCATGGGTTGAACATGAAGGTTTTAGGCCACCCACCAGGATAAAGAGGTATCCTGTGAAAGGCAAACATCAGTGACCAAATCCCCTGTAGCTCCATCAGAGCAGGGTTAGTTTATAGCTGCTCACCCGAGAGAGACCTCAAGACCAAATTAGAGAAAAATACAACAGTGAGAGTAATAATAACAAAAGGATTAGGTGCCTATGAGGATTTTTTTTTAAATCAATGTATTTATGACAGGTAGCAAAGAATCTGGAAGAAAGTCGGTATTCAATTGATGTTCATTCTCCCACCTTTCTCCTTATTCTGAATGTTAATCTCTTTTTTTCAGAAGAAAATTCAAAAACCTAAAATTCCTCAATATATAGAAATATAAGGAAATCAGAATAACAGTGTCCTGTAACAGAAAATCTACTACACATATGTTTCTGGGAACTATGCTAAGGAGGCATTACCCAAGTGAGGGTTGTTTAAAGAGCAGATTAGACTAATTTGTAAACAGCATGCCAAAGCATTAGTCTAGTACTGGATTCTGCTTACATTATTGCATCACTGGTGTATAAACAAAGCCTTTGATGTGTATTACAGGCCCAGTTTCTTAGCTAGGCAAATATTTAATTTGCTATCTTAATTGTTCATTTGCTTTGTAAGCTGTCCCTTTAAGAAAAAAATGAAAAGTGAATTGATGATTGGCAGCCGTAATCTAAGTAGTAAGCCCTTTAAGTTAAGAGTTATGACATGGAGCTCTTCCTTAAGCTATAGATAAGCTTTTAATTTCTGAAGACAAAATTTACAATTTAATATTTAATATGTTAATATTAAAATTTTAAAAAGTTGTTTTTCCCCTCCACCTATGTAAGGAGTAATGAAAGAGTGGGAGGAAAGAGTACTTGGTAGGACTGGAGTTGACATAAATCAGAGGTGAGGATGGTCTAAGTCCTTAAACTGCAGCCTAAGTAGGATGTATGTTTTCCATAGGTAAGAAATGTTCAGGGCAGATACCAGTATTACTCCTGTTGGCTGCTCACTCTAGTTGTCAAATACATAACTTCAACACAGAGAACTCCTTTGAATTTCAGTTCCATATATCTGACTGCCTATTCAATATCCACTTGGCTCTGTCATTCATATGTCATATTCACTGTGTTCAAACCTGAACTCGTATTTCTCACTCCCAATTCTAGGCCTCTTTCAGGATTCCGTATTTCAACACACGAAACCCACCATCCAATGTAATTAGGCAAGAGAATAACCAGGAGGCATTCTTGACATCTCCCTCTCTTTCACACATCAACTCCAACACACCCCCAAGGCCTTTTCATATTGCCTCGTTATTACTACTCAAAAGGTCCACCTTCCTTTATCTCTTCTGCCGTGACCCTGGTCAGAGCTACATCCTCTCTCTTGTGGATTGCTGTGATAGACTCGCAACAGTTCCTCCTATGCCATTCTTGATCCCCTTCTAATCTATTATCCATATTATAACTAAATGAGCCCTTTCAAATGAAAACAAAAATAATTCTACAGTGTGAAACGGCTTACATTTCTGGACATGCTTATACCATACTCTCCTCCTCTCCTGTTCTCTGGCAATACTGGCCTACTTTGGATTCCTCAAAAACTCAACATTCTATTTTGTCACAAGGTCTTTGGACATGTCAGTCCTTCTACTTGACCTCATAATTACTGGCCACCCATCTTTCAGATCTCAGTTTCTACATCTTTTTCTCAGGAAAGCCTCTTTTTCCCTGAACTCATCAAGATAAGGTCATGTCCTATTGCTATCAATCCTAACACTGCTGTTTCTTCTTCCTTCAAGTAATTTTCTCCTCCAAATATATTTATATTATTTCATTAATTACTTTCTCTTCTACTAGATTATCATCTCCTTGAGAGAAAAAAAATTCTGCTTTTTTTTTAATCACTCTAACACCAACACCTTCCAGAGTGCTCTATTAGAGAGGCTGTATTCCTTATCCTGCTCTAAAGGGAGTTCATTTTAGTTCCCACAGTTAACTTGACTGGACTCATAACCTCCACTGCTTGCCCTGCTCTATGCAACATCTGTAATCTTGGTTAGTTAAAAACAGCTTTCAGCAGTTGTTTTTAAATGGGATGCTTAGAGTCTCCATATATATTCCCTAACTGACTCCCAGATAAAATGTGGGGCAATCTGAACATCAAAATAAATGACAGTAAAAGATAAACCCACTAAATAAACCAGGAGTCCATTCTGATATAAAGAAATAACTTGGTGTAGAGTGGGATGTTTATACAGTTTGAAGGTACCTCCCAAGATAACAGTAATTACAAAAATGAAATGACTAAGTTCACACTGGAGAAACCTTGCATGTATATATCACCTTAAGTAAGTGATTGAAGTGGACATCATCAGTGACAGAACAAATTAAAATTATGAGCCACCTGACAGGATGCCATGAGAAGAACACAACATCACAACTTGCCAAAGATGTATAACCTGAGTCTAAGTCATTGGGAAACATCAGACAAACCCAACTTGTCTGATGTAGAGGAGCATCTATAAAATTACCTGCAATTTTCAAGTGTCAAGGTCATAAAATTCAAAGAAAGGCTAAGAAACTGTTCCAGACTGTAAAGGGGAGAGAGAGAGAGAAAGAGAGAGAGAGAAGAAAGAGAAACACGTTTTTCAATTAAATATAACAAGTGATTCTAAACTGGAGGGTTTCTTTTTTTGTCATAAAAGGTAATCTAGAAACGATAGCAGTCTGAGGACTGGATGATAGTAATATAATAAAAATAATTATTAATTTTAATAGTATGTTGTGATTATACAGCGAATGGCTTTCTCTCTATATAAGTGTGTATGTATATATACATATAATACCTAAAGTACTTGGGAGTGATAGAGCATCAGGATGGCAAGTTACTCTCAAATGGTCCCTGAAACTGTCTTTAAAACTGTACTTGTGACTTCCCTATATGTTTGGAATTATTTCAAAATTAAAAGAATATAAGTACATATGACAACTTAAAGCAAAAATGACAACATTGCATTGATGTATGTACAACATATGCAGATGTTATACATAAAACAATAGTATAAACCACTGGGCATGAAGAAGAATGAAATTCTACTGCTGCAAGATTCTTATATTTGATATAGTGAATGAAGCATAGTATTTATCTAAGTAGACTATGATAAGTTATGGATGAATATTAAAATGCCTGAACAGCAACACCACCAATTAAAGCAATATAGCTGAAATGTAAGCATAGAAACTATGAAGAAATTGTGAAGAAAAACACAGACAGATAGGTAAAGAGTAAATGGATGAAATAAGATATATCTTGCAAACAATAACCCTATAACCCTAAGAAAGCCAGAATGACTATATATTATTAGACGAAGCAGACTTCAAGACAGGGAATATTACTAAGAGTATTGAGGAAGCTCATTTATAATGATAAAATGAGTCAATTCAACAAGGAGTAACAATCATAAATGTATATGCACCCAATAACATAGTTTCAAATTATAAGCAACAAAAACTGACAGAACAAAAGGAAAAAATAGACAAATACACAATAAAAGTTAGAGATTTTAACAACTTCTCTCAGTACTTGTTAAATCAATCAAAGATTAGTAAGAACATAATAAATGTGATTAAAGTTACCACCACCTTAATCTAATGAGCATTTACAGAACACCACACTAACCAACAAGTAAAACACATTCTTTTTAAGTGCACATGGAACCTTGACCAAGACAGACAATATTCTGAGCCATAAAATAAGTCTAAATTTCAAAACTGAAACATATAAACTATGTTACATAACACAATTTACTTAGAAATCAATAACAACATGTCTAGAAAAAAACCCAAAAATTTGTAAATTAAAAAATACACAAAGAAATTGAGAAAACATTTAAAACTGAATAATAATGAAGATATATCAAAATTTGTGGGATGGAGTGATAGCAATGCTTATAAAGAACTGTACATATTCAAAAAGATGAAAGATTTAAAATTAATGGTCTAGGTTTCCATCTTAAGAACCCAGGAAAAAAGCAAATTAAACACAAAAACATAAACAAAAGGAGATGTAGATTTTACTAATTTGTTTTCAAAGAACCAACATACTAGAAAAGCACATTATATAATTCAACACCCATTCACATTACTGCCAGAAAAACTAGTAATAGAAAGACATCTGGTAAACAGCATTTACAGAAAGTTTACAATTACCATCATGTTTAATGGTGAGTACTGAACCCGTTCCCTGTAAAACTGGGAACATGACAAGGATATGTAAGTGCTGTCACCACTTCTATTTAACTTGTACTAGAGGCCCTAGCCAGTACAATAAGGCAAGATAAAAAATAAAAGCACAAAATATCAGAAAGGAAAACTGTCTCTATTCATAGATGACCTGTTTGCTTATGTAGATAATCCTAAGAAATCTAGTAGACAACCACTAGAAAATCATTTTAGGAAGCTAATAGTATATAACATCAAGATACAACCAGCATGGCACATGTATACATATGTAACTAACCTGCACAATGTGCACATGTACCCTAAAACTTAGAGTATAATAAAAAAAAAAAAAGAAAAAAAAAAAAAAAACATCAAGATACAAAAATGAACTGTATTTCTATATGCCAGCAACAAACAACAGAAAAGACAGAGGCAAACCCAATTAAAAGATCTCATTAAGAATATGAATGGACAAGTCACAAGCAGTGAGAAAATATCTGCAATACATATATCTGACAAAGGACTTGTATCAAGAATATACAGTAATAAAAAGTTTTAATAAAAAGTCAGTAATAAAAAGTTTTAAAAAATAGTCAAGAGTTTTCACAAAGCAAGATGCATGAAAAGACAATAAGCACAAGAAAAAAGTTCAACATCATTAGTCATCAGCGAAATGTAATTACAACCATAATGAGATACCCCACATATCCACTAGAATCACTCATATGATGGAGACTGAAAGCATCAAGTGTTGCAATGATGTGGAAATGGAACTGTCTGTCATACACTGCTGGAAGGAGTGTAAAATAGTACAACTACTTGGAAAAATGCTGGCAGTTTCACAGTTTCTTATGTAGTTAAACATTCTATGAAAAATACATACATCCAAGAGAAATAAAAACATATCTATACAAAAAGACTTTCACAAGATTGCTCATAACAGCATTATTCATTGTAAGCAAAATTGTAAACAAGGCTCAAATTAAAAGTAGATGGATAAACAAATTGTGGCATATTCATAAAATGGAATATTACTGTTATGGGTTGAGTTATGTTCCCCAAAAACGTATGTTGAAGTCTTAAATCCTGGTATCTATGAATATAACCTTATTTGGAAACAAAGCTTTTGCAGACACAATTAAGATGTAAATTGAGATGAGGCTGGAATACTATGCAGCCATAAAAGGATGAGTTCATGTCCTTTGCAGGGACATGGATGAAGTTGGAAACCATTTTTCTCAGCAAACTAACACAAGAACAGAAAACCAAACGTCACATGTTCTCACTCATAAGTGGGAGTTGAACAATGAGAATACATGGACACAGGGAGGGGAACATCACACACCAGGGCCTGTCAGGGGCTGGGGGGCTAAGGGAGGGATAGTCTTAGGAGAAATGTAGGTGAAGGGTCGATGGGTGCAGCAAAACACCATGGCACGTGTATATCTGTGTAACAAAATTGCACGTTCTGCACGTGTACCCCAGAACTTAAAGTATAATAATAATAAAAAAAGAATAGCATTCACATTATAACATTGTAAAGAAAAAAAAAGAAAGAGTGAATAAAATCCAGAATTTGGTAGCACAGTACGGTGACTATAGTTAACAATAATCTATGGCATATTTTATAATAACTAATAGAGTGGAATTGGAATGTTCCTAACACAAATAAATGATAAATGAAGTGAAAAAAATTGAGATGAGGTCATACTGGAGTAGGGTGGGCCCTTAATCCAACATAACTGGTATCTTTATAAGAAGAAGAGAAGAAACACAGACAAAAATAGGGAGAATGCTATGGACTATGGAGACAGAAAATGGCACAATGTGGTGTCAACAGCCAAGGAACACCAAGGATTGCCAGCAACACCAGAAGGTAAGAGACAGACATGGAACGCATTCTCCCCTAGAAGGTTCCAGGAGAGCATGGCCCAGCTTGACACCTTAATGCTGGGCTGCTAGTCCTGCTGTTTTAAGCCACTAGTTTTGTGGTACTTTGTTACAGCAGCCCTAGTAAACTGAAACAAACTACTTAATAGTAAAAAGAAATAAACGATTGATATCCCACTAGAATCTCAAAACTATGCTCAGTGAAAGAAGCCGAACCCCAAAATAATTAATGATGCAAAAACATGGGAGCCATGGTTGTCTCTGGCCAGGGTTGGCAAGTCATTGGGAGGCATGAGACTGGGAAAAAGCATGAGGAAATTTTCTGGGTTGACTGAAATGTTATCTATCTTGATCAGTGTGAGATTATAAGAGTGCATGCGTTTGTCAAAGCTCATTGAATTGTATGTTTAAGATCTGTGCAAATGCTTCAAGGAAAAAAAATCTGCAAATAAATAACAAACTGTAATTAGTAGGTCTGCTTTTGTAGCAGTTAGGTTAGCAAACCTGAAAATATTTCCTGTGTATTCTAGGTTTGAGCAAATGAGTAAATATAAAGTACAGAGTGGGAGCCAGGTTTATCACTATTGGAGAAGAGAGTTACAAACACAGAAAAAGGGAAGACAGCAACAAGCCCTGTGGAGCTGGACTGAAATTGGAGGTTATTGTGAACTTGTGGTGTTTAATATGAATAGCTAGCTAGCTGGATAGATAGATAGTAAGAAAAAGGGGGTAAGGGATGATAGGGATTTTCCTTTATGTGTCTTCCTGTCTTTCTGGATCTGAAAAGGCAAAATCTAAGCAAGCAAGTAATAGGAGTAAGAATACATTTCACTGATGGAGGATGGTTCCCTTGAATGGATTCTCGTTACATGTGTGGTGGGGCGTTTTATTTCAAATAATATCAGATGTATGTTAATTGTGGTACATCTTAATGATTTCTTAGTCCTGAGAAAGAGACTCAGAAATGGGAATGAAGAATGAAAATACTTTCTAAAGTTTCAGTTTATCCTGCCCACTGTCTTGAAGTTAATCACTGGCTAATGGAAACACTCTTAGGTGTATACTTACTAAACTACCTTTAGTCTTTTTTGGATGTCTTACATATTTGCTTGTTGACAGACAGGGCCTGGAAGAGATGACTGACCTATGCTTTTAATCCACTATGAGTAGTTTTGCTCTTTTTGAGAACTAAGGACAATTACACTGTTTATTGGTGCTTATTCCCCACTCTTCCATCTTCTGTTTAGTTTCACAAGCAATGGGTAAAAGACTCCCTATTCAATAAATGGTGCTGGGATAACTGGCCAGCCATATGCAGAAGAATGAAACTAGACCCTTACCTTTCACCACATACAAAAATTAACTCAAGATGGATTAAAGATTTAAATGTAAGACCTCAAACTATAAAAATGCTAGAAGAAAATGTAGGAAATATCCTTCCTGACATCAGTCTTGGCATAATTTTTGGCCAAGTTCCCAAAGGCAATTTCTATAAAAACAAAAATTGACAAGTGGGACCTGATTAAACTAAAGAGCTCTCTCCTCTCTCCTCTCTCCTCTCTCCTCCTCTGTCTCTCCCTCTCCCCACGGTCTCCCTCTCCCTCTCTTTCCACGGTCTCCCTCTGATGCCGAGCCGAAGCTGGACTGTACTGCTGCCATCTCGGCTCACTGCAACCTCCCTGCCTGATTCTCCTGCCTGGGCCTGCCGAGTGCCTGCGATTGCAGGCGCGTGCCGCCACGCCTGACTGGTTTTCGTATTTTTTTGGTGGAGACGGGGTTTCACTGTGTTGGCCGGGCTGGTCTCCAGCTCCTAACCGCGAGTGATCTGCCAGCCTCGGCCTCCCAAGGTGCCGGGATTGCAGACGGAGTCTCGTTAACTCAGTGCTCAATGGTGCCCAGGCTGGAGTGCAGTGGCGTGATCTCGGCTCGCTACAACCTCCACCTCCCAGCAGCCTGCCTTGGCCTCCCAAAGTGCCGAGATTGCAGCCTCTGCCCGGCCGCCACCCCGTCTGGGAAGTGAGGAGCGTCTCTGCCCGGCCGCCATCCCATCTAGGAAGTGAGGAGCGCCTCTTCCCGGCCGCCCATCGTCTGAGATGTGGGGAGTGCCTCTGTCCGGCCGCGACCCCATCTAGGAAGTGAGGAGCGTCTCTGCCCGGCCGCCCCGTCTGAGAAGTGAGGAGACCCTCCGCCTGGCAACCGCCCCATCTGAGAAATGAGGAGCCCCTCCACCCGGCAACCACACCGTCTGGGAAGTGAGAAGCGTCTCCGCCCAGCCAGCCGCCCCATCCAGGAGGGAGGTGGGGGGGGGGTCAGCCCCCCTGCCGGCCAGCCGCCCCGTCTCGGAGGGAGGTGGGGGTCAGCCCCCCACCCAGCCAGTCGCCCCGTCCGGGAGGGAGGTGGGGGGGTCAGCCCCCCGCCCGGTCAGCCGCCCCGTCCGGGAGGTGAGGGGCGCCTCTGCCCGGCCGCCCCTACTGGGAAGTGAGGAGCCCCTCTGCCCGGCCAGCCGCCCCGTCCGGGAGGGAGGTGGGGGGGTCAACCCCCCTCCCGGCCAGCCGCCCCATCTCGGAGGGAGGTGGGGGGGTCAACCCTCCGCCCAGCCAGCCGCCCCGTCCGGGAGGGAGGTGGAGGGTTCAGCCCCCCGCCCGGCCAGCCGCCCCGTCCGGGAGGTGAGGGGCGCCTCAGCCCGGCCGCCCCTACTGGGAAGTGAGGAGCCCCTCTGCCCGGCCACCACCCTGTCTGGGAGGTGTACTCAACAGCTCATTGAGAACAGGCCATGATGACAATGGCGGTTTTGTGGAATAGAAAGCGGGGAAAGGTGGGGAAGAGACTGAGAAATCGGATGGTTGCCGTGTCTGTGTAGAAAGAGGTAGACACGGGAGACTTTTCATTTTGTTCTGTACTAAGATAAATTCTTCTGCCTTGGGATCCTGTTGATCTGTGACCTTACCCCCAACCCTGTGCTCTCTGAAACATGTGTTGTGTCCACTCATGGTTAAATGGATTAAGGGTGGTGCAAGATGTGCTTTGTTAAACAGATGCTTGAAGGCAGAGTGCTCGTTGAGAGTCATCACCACTCCCTAATCTCAAGTACCCAGGGACACAAACACTGCGGAAGGCCGCAGGGTCCTCTGCCTAGGAAAACCAGAGACCTTTGTTCACTTGTTTATCTGCTGACCTTCCCTCCACTATTGTCCTATGACCCGGCCAAATCCCCCTCTGTGAGAAACACCCAAGAATGATCAATAAAAAAAAAAAAAAAAAAAAAAAGCTCAAAATCCTTTGCCCCAGTGGAAGCAGAAGGGCTTCCTTTGAGTGGCACCCAGAGTGTGCTGGGGCAGGCTCATACGCGCTCGTGGGAGATGATTATTAAATGCTCAGGAATTTTGCAAGCCAGTTGTTAAACTCAGCCATTATTAAAAATTAAATTATATAAGCTTCAATGATATAAACTCTATTTTAATTAAAAAAAAAAAACTAAAGAGCTTCTACACAGCAAAAGAAACCATTAACAGAGTAAACAGACAACCAAGAGTATGGGAGAAAATATTCACAAACTATGCATCTGACAGAGGTCTAATATCCAGAATCTATAAGGAGTTTAAACAAATCAACAAGCGAAAAGCAAATAACTCCATTAAAAAATGGGCAAAGGATATGAACATATGCTTTTCAAAAGAAGACATACAAACAGACAACAAATACATGAAAAAATGCTCATCATCACTAATTATCAGAGAAATGCAAATCAAAACCAAACTGAGATATCATCTCACACCAGTCAGAATGGCTACTATCAAAACAGTCAAAAAAACAAACAGAAAAAAAAAAAAAAACACTGGCAATGCTGCAGACAAAAGAGAATGCTTAAGTACTGTTGTTGGTGGGAGTGTAAATTAGTTCAGCCACTGTGGAAAGCAGCTTGGAGATTTCTCAAAGAACTTAAAATAGAGCTACCATTTGACCCAGCAATCCCATTACTGGGTATAAACCCAAAGCAAAATAGATTATTATACTAAAAAGACACATGCACTTGTATGTTCATCGCCAAGCTATTCACAATTGCAAAGATATGGAATCAACCTAGCTACCCATGATTGGAGGACTGGATAAAGAAAATGTGATACATATACAAGATGGGATACTATGCAGCCATAAAAAAGAGTGAAATCATGTCCTTTGCAGCAATGAGAATGGAGCTGGTGGCCATAATCCTAAACAAATTAACACAGGAAGGGAAAACCAAATACTGCATGTTCTCACTTGTAAGCGGGCACTAAACACTAAGCACCCACAAACATAAACATGGGCACAATAGACACTGCAGACTACTAGAGGGGGGAGGTAGGGAAAGAGGAATGGGTCAAAAACTACCTACTGGGTACTATGCTCACTACCTGAGGGCAATATACCCATGTAAGAAACCTGCACATGTACCCCTTGTATATCTAAAATAAAAGTTGGAAAAAACAACAACATGGCTTTTATTTGGTGGAATACAAGACAATCTAATATAGTAATATGAGTAAATGCTTTAAGGTCAAATTTTTCTTCTTCACAATTATACTGCTAAAATTTCTCTCTCTCTAGTTAATAGTAATTAATAGTCAAGTATTAATTACTCTAATTAATAATAACAAATGAGTAGACAAATGTAAAAGCTGTCAGAATTAGAATACTCAATCTCCTTGATGGTAATGAATCAAACCAATAGACAGGCACAGCATCCCTAAGTAGCAGTATATAAGGCATCAATTTGTATTTTTGTTGAGGTCCAGCCCTCCTTGGGTCATGTCACCTGGGATAAAAGCCACCCTGAGCCAGTACAGTAGATATAAATCAATCAGTGGGAGTAGATCATCAATATGCCAGATTCTACTGATTCATTGGTTAAACTATTGGTGGGATGATTTCTGCCTATGAACAGAGTAACAGAGGGCAGAGAAAGAAAGCCAGTCAGCACATAGGAAGACAAATCCAGCAACTTACCATCCACAGGTGTGACCTCAGCTGGCGGTGGCTCTTCTTGCCCTCCCATGCTGCTGTCTTTAATACTTTCTATTTCCCGCCAGAAATCCTCCATGGAGGCGCTGTCTACGGAGGCTTCTGAGTTGGAACGGCTGAAGGCAGGAGGATGGAGGGATTCATTGGAGAGCATCCTGTTAATTCTTCGGCAGCGAGGAATGGATTTTCTGAGGAAAGAATAATATCTATGAATAAAAACGGGTTATATTTTTATGTTATAAAGCCACAAAATTAAATTTAATTAAGTTTAATTAATTAAGTTTAAATCAAATGGAGAAGTGGAGTAACCATGGTTGAGATAGGTTTGAGGGAATAATCTCCACTCAGTGGTGGCCCTTTTAAAAAAATTCTCTATACTTTATTTATTTTTTAATTTTTTAAAATGATTTTTTGAGTAAGAGTCTTGCTCTGTTGCCCAGGCTGGAGTATGGTGGCGCGATCTCGGCTCACTGCAACCTCCACCTCCTGGGTTCAAGCGATTCTCCTGCTTTTGCCTCCCGAGTAGCTGGGATTACAGGTGCCCGCCACCACGCCCAGCTAATTTTTATATTTTTAGTAGAGACGGGGTTTCACCACGTTGGTCAGGCTGGTCTTGAACTGCTGACCTTGTGATCCACCTGCCTCAGCCTCCCAAAGTGCTGGGATTACAGGTGTGAGCCACCACACCTGGCTAAAAAATTCTCTGTACTTTATAATGACTCTGTGGCCGTATAGGAATTAACATGAATATGTTTTTAATCATTTTCACACACTCATAAAATACAAAGTTACTTATACTAGTCAAAATATGCACAGTAAAAGTTTGTTTCTGTAACCTATCTATGGTGATGGCAGAGAAGGACATAAGAGTTGCTGCTCACAACCATTAGGTGGTTATTATTAAACAAACAAAAAACAGATAATCACAAGCGTTGGTGAACAGGTAGAGAAACTGCAACCCTTGTGCACTGTTGGCAGGAATGTAAAATGGGGCAGCTTTCTATGGAAAACAGTATGGAAGTTCCTCAAAAAATTAAAAATAGAGCCACCATACATGCATCTGTAATCCCAGCTATTTGGGAGGCTGAGATGGGAGAATCACTTGACCTGGAAGGCAGAAGTTTCAGTGAGCTGAGATCATGCCACTTGCACTCCAGCCTGGGCAACAGAGCAAGACTGTTTCAAAAAAAATAAAAGAAGGAAAATAATTTGCTTTCCTAACAAGTCAGTTTTGCTTAAAAATATAATTTTGATTGTAGGTAATACTAGAAAATATGTTACAGGCTTAAGAGGTTTAAATATGTCCCTAAATAAAATGTTCTTAAAGCCAAAAAAAAAAAAAAAAAAATTAAGAGCCACCATAAGACCCAGCAATTCCACTTCTGGGTATATACTCAAAAGAATTGAGAGCAGGGACTCAAAGTAATATTTGTCCATCCATGCTAATAGCATCCACTTAATAGCTTTTGGCTATTGACCATTCACAATAGCCAAAAGTTAGAAGCAACCCAAGTGCTATCAGCAGATGAATGGACAAGCAAAATGTGGTATAAAGGAAGGAAATTCAGACACAAGAAACAACATGGATGAAACCTGAGGACATTGTGCTAAGTGAAAAAGCCACTCACAAAAAGACGAATACTAGATTATTCCATTTACTTGTGGTGCTGAGTAGTCAAATTCATAGACAGAAAGCAGAATGGCTACTTCCAGAGGATAGGAGTGGGATGGGGCAGGGAGGAATGAGGAGTTCGTGTTGGTATGGGTTTGCAACTCCTTTCAAAGAATCTTCTCCAAGCTTGCCTTCTTGTCTTTGGGTTCAGGTGGAATTGGACAAAAAGACCAAGACTAACTCTTAAGCAATATATGGTCTGAGCTGTTTCACTCAAACAAGAGCTCCCAGGTGGAAAGAGGTAACTAGACCAATGGCACAATAACGTCCACTGTGGGTTTTATGACGACTTAGGACAATTACATGTTGACATGCTGAGCAGCAGCGGATTGTTATCAAATTTAGCCATGGCTAATGTAAAGCACACTGAATTCATGAGAGTACATAGAGGCAAAATAATGTTTCCATAATAACACCAAAAAATTTCCATTTGCTCATATGCTGTACACATCTAGGAATCCTCCTGGATTTCTAAATCGCATCTAAATTTAGTAGAGATTTCTGGAATTTTATCATTGATCTTTTCGTAGTATCTGACTCTAGTTCTATTTTTGAACATTAACTGACACCAAGATAGCCAATTTATTTTTTAAACCAAAACATTTCAGGAAAATATAAAATATCTACTTTTATTTTTTATGTGTTGTGTGATAAGAATTTTAGCTAGTTTTGTCTGATAACCGGGTGATAATTCTCGCTGAATTCTTTATAGTTCAACAAGTCAGACACATTCTAGCAGTTGAAATACCTATGAAATTGACAAGATAGTAAGACAGCTATTATTAATTTTATTATTTGTAGGCTTTGAAGACTTTTTCCTTTTGCAATAAGACTAATACTGAAAAACACCCACAAACTCATAGAGTACTAGTATATAAACACCTACTTCTTTTAAAACTGAAATCAGTTACCACTGCTCACACAGCCTCCTGCCCTCCATGTACCAGACTCAGAAAAAGTATATGGATATCTAAGACTTTTCTTAGTTCTAGGTTTTTTCGGCTAATTCCTTCAAAAAATAAATATGCTTGACTTATTAAAAAAAGACAGTCTTAATAGTAAACATGGACCATATTTAAAAAATTATAATGCAGTATAAGTGTTTACGTCTAATATACAATTGTATAAAGCAAAAATGGAAGGTCTTTTCCTCCCATCTGTACCATACCAATATTGTTCTATAAACTGCTTTGTTTTCCTGACTCAAAAACATGCAGACACTTTTTTTCAAGCCAATACGGTAATACCACCTCAATGGCTGCACCTGGATATTATCACAGATCTTAGAAATTAGACAAACAAGCAGATATATCCAAACACTGAAAATATTTGAAGAAGTATGAAATTTGTGAAATAATAGGTAAATCACAGAAGACAAGGGGAAGATACATTTAGGGCTAATGATGATATTTCAATTATGGTACATAGTTTCTTATTCATGCGAAGGGTCTACTAATGGAATCTCAGGGAAGAGACCCTCATAAAACTCTGCTGGGGACAGGGAGGACAGATGTGAAATATTATTGGTCATGAGCAGCTAAGTAACACACTGGTTCCTTCTGAAACAGTCCACCCAAAGAATCCTTTAATCACAATGATCAGCTTTTTTTTGGCAAAGAAGTCAGACAGCATTTTTGGGGATAAGAGCACTTGGAAGAGCTCTCACATTTTTGGTTAGAGATACAAATGTTTTTCCTTCACCCCAGGGTGGAGAAGGAACCATGAATTTCCACTCTTGAAACATTACGTAATTTTGACCCTCAGGCCCATCCAACAGTTTGATGAGCCTTAATGGGCAGCTTCATACCTCACCATATTAGGAGAAAATGGAGTTTAGGCTTCATCAGCTGTTTTTGCCTTTTTATTTCCAAACAATACCAGGAAAATATTACATGACAAATTGAATGCAATTGTGTTACACAGAAACTTTTGTTGGAAAAACACCACAAGGTTTAAAATTAAATTTCAAGTGTACGATAATTATCATAAATTCAAAGTGGCATTAAGAAAAGATTTTATTATTCTATTTTTTCTTCCATTGTCTTTTTAGCCATAACTTATACTATATTTTAGTAGATACCAGAGATCTTTATTACTATTCACATGGAATTAGTATTTTATAACTTCACAACAGTGTAAATATCTTACAGAATATAATTCTCCCTCTACCCTTTATATTACTGTTGTCATCTATGTTGCTCCCTCAGATGTTTACATCCCCCAATAGTTATTATTGTTGTTGCTTTAAAATAGTAAGTTTTTTGAAAAACTAAATACATGGTCTTTTAAATTTATCTTTTCTAGAGTTTTTCATTCCTCCCTACATATCTGTGTTTCCACAACAGATCCTTTCTCTTCATTTTTGAGAACTTCCTTGAGCATTTCTCTCGCATTCCTTAGCATTTCTTGTACTGTGGATCTGCTGACAACAAATTCCCTCAGCTTTATTTCTGAATATGTTTTTAATTTATTTCCATTTTTGACAAATATTTTTTACTGGGCATAGAACTCTAGGCTGACAGTTTTTGTTTAAATCCTTTTAAAGAAGTCATTCCATTGTCTTGTTGAGTCTATTGATTCTGATGAGAGTCAGTTACAATTCTTTGATGTTCTTTTAAATATAGTATCTGTTCTATCTGCTCATAATAGATTTTATCTTTATCTTTTGCTTTCAGCAATTTGAGTGTAGTTCTCAATTCTGATTGAGGTTTACTGAGCTTCAATCTGTGGGCTAATGTCTTTCATCAATTTTGGAATATATCCACATCCATTTTCTCTTCCAATATTTCTTCTGTCACTTTTCCTCTCTCCTCTCCTGGAACTCCAATAACATGACTGTCAGGCTGTTTGATGTTGCCCCAAATGTTCTTCATAATCTGCTTTGCTTCCCTCCCCCAACTCTCTCTCTGCTTCAGTTAAAACATTTCTATTTCACTGTCTTCATTTTTCCTCACTTCTACTGTGTTCAGTCAGCTTAGTCTTCCAATGAATACTTCACTTCCAATATTGTATTTTTTTCATATCAAGAATATCCAATTAGTTCTTTTTAGAGATTCAGTTTCTCTGTTGACATTATCTATATTTTGATCAATTTTTGCCCATCTATCCTCTAATTTCTATAACATATTATAATTGTTATTGGAAAGATCTTATCTCTTAACATCAGTATCTATGCTGTTAATATGTCTGATTAAATATTGATATAAAAACGACCAGTTGCTTATAGGTCACATTTTCCTTTTTCTTCACATATTTCATAACTTTTTATTAGATGGCAGATGTTGTTTTTTAAAAGAACTCTAGAAAACTGGAGTAAATAAAGGTTTCCCCCAGAAAGGGCAAGGCTTTTCCTCTATTTGGTAGATAGAGTGAGAGGCAGAGCATGTCAATCCAATCAGGAGTTGAGCTGGGTCTGGGCTGGGTTGCAATTTACATTAGTTTTCATTTATCTCTGGTTTCAAATGCTTCAAGGGGGAGATCTGTCCTGTGTGTACTATAGGTCCCTCCTGCTAAAAGCGTTTTGAGATAAACACCATGGGACTACAGAGATCTCTCTCTGCTTTACAGCCTGGTCCCCTGTGTTGCTGGAATCCTGTATTGCCAGGGCTCCCAGCAAAAATCCCAAGGGGCAGAGTTGTTGAGTGGGGAGAACTAGCTCTGCATTTGGAGCTTCTACAAATTCCAATCTCTTGTGCTAGTGCAGGCAGCCATTAACAGCTCCACTGGTGTCTCCTCATCCCGGTAGAGTCCCTCCACCTAGACAGGTATGACCTTTGGCCCAGAACTGCAGAAACTCAGGGAGCAGACATGCCCAGGGAGGTAATGACCACTTGGCTCTGCTTATGTCACAAGAGTTCTTCTTCCCTGGAACTTGGCTCCTTCAGACTTCTTTGTATCCACAGCTCTCCAACATAGTTTTTAAAATATAGATTTTTATATTTATTCCTTTTTTTTTCTAGCTGCTACAGTGGGAACGGTAGTCTGTCACAAACTAGTCTACATCCTAACTGGTAGCAGAACTCCCACAAAACATTGTAAACATAACAGATATTTTTAAAAAGTTGCATTTGTTTATGCACAGCTTGCTCTGTGTAACCACAAGTTTAGTTGTTAAGTATATTCCAAAAAAATATTTTTAAAAGACATACTTCTTACTATGAAATACTCTATGGGCCTTTATTATCTGTTATTTTATGGAGAGGTTTATACATAACGAGTTACTGTCATACGCATTACATCATTTGATCCTTATATGCACCCCACGAAGTAGCCAAAGCCAGTATTGTACGTCTCATTGCACAGCAATGGAGAGAGTTACTGGGAGCAAAGTGGGGACACGTAGCTTCCCCTTGCAGTTATAAGTAAATGTGAATTCTGTTCTGTGACTTCAAGGTTCAGCACCTTCTGTCCTCAAAACTTCTTTGCTAGTCTTACCTTACATCACTCTCCCACGGCATTAGCACTGGGCATGCTAATCTTTCCTCAGTTTCTCTAAAAAGCCAAGTTCTTTCTTCCCTTAGGAAATTTACTCTTTCTGCTCTTTCTTCCTGCAACCTTCTTTCTCCCCAAGCAATTTCTGCAGCAAGATGCCTCTCATCATTCAGCTTGCAATGTAAATGCCACCTCTTGGGGGATCCCTTTCCAGGCCACTCTAATGTAGCATTCCTCCAGTTATTCGCTGTCTCAGCTCTCGGGGTTCCCTGCTTCTCATTCATCAATAATAAACACTTCATGCACTCATTTGCTTACTTTGTTTTGGGGGGGTCTATTTTCCCCACTAGAATATAGAGGAACCATGTTTGTCTTATTAACACAGTGTGTGGCAAAGGAAAACAACGCAGAAATACTTGCTGAATGAATGACTAGCGTCAGTGGAGCCAGGACAGGAATTCAACCTTTCCCCGTCTGGTCCAAATGCTCTCCCTCCTGTAATTGTTCTTAATTTCAAAAGCCCCCTCAGGTATTTGTGTAACTGCTTATAGCTGTAAATATTTTTATAGCAGAGAAGTGATATAGTGTGGTGATTTAGACAAAAACTCTGAAGCCAGCTAGCACAGGTTTGAATGCGGGCTACAGCTCTACAATCTTGAACAAACTACTGGACCTCTGTGACTCCATTTCCTAAACAGTAAAATGGGGATATTAATCACATGCACTTCGAGGGGCTGTTACGAGGAGTGAATACATGTAAAATGCCTGGCACATAGTCAACCCGTGTGTTAGTGATTGCTACAATTTAATTAATTTGATAGCATGTCCAGAGCTAGATTTAGGGTGTGGCTATCATGGGTGCTAAAATATAACAAGTACATAAAAATGTCCCTAGAGATATCATGAGATAAATAAAACTGTATTTATCAGAATTGCTCTCTGACCCAAGTCTATTCCCAACCCTGTTGTCCCAACTCCCTTGGCCCAGAAGTGGCTATCTGACACAATTCTGGCCAAAGTCACATAAGTAAAAGTCTTCTCCAGGGTTGCAGTGAAATCCTTTGTTTTCCTGATATAGGTGCCATCCCTTTCTCTTTCCCATTCTCCCTCCTTGGAATGTGGACAAGATGACTGGTGCTGCAGCAGCCACCTTGCCCATTATGAGAGAAAAGCCAAGAAATTGTAGCAATTGGCCTTGATATTACTGAGTTTTAGAAATAACACCAGATGCTGCCTATCTCTGGACTTCCAGAAATGTGAGAAAAATAAATGCCTATTTTTAAAACCTACTCTCATCTTTGTTGTGTTTGTTATTTGCAGCCAAAATCATTCCTAACTGATAATGGGAAGGAATGTTCTAATAAGTCATTTGGGGCAGAGTGAGATGAGACACCCTCTGTATCCCACTAAGGGGAATATTCAAGTAACAATTTATAGTCAACACAACCTGCCTCGTAAGGAAGGTGGGTGGCATCTAACAATTCTCTCTTCTTGTTTTGTTTTGTTTTTTTTTTGTTTGTTTGTTTTTGGAATGGAGTCTTGCTCTGTAGCTCAGGCTGGAGTGCAGTGGCATGATCTCAGCTCACTGAAACCTCCGTCTCTGGGTCCCAGTTCAAGCAATTCTCCTGCCTCAGCCTGCTGAGTAGCTGGGATTATAGGCATGCACCACCATGCCCAGCTAATTTTTGTTTTTTTAGTAGAGACGGGGTTTCACCATGTTGGCCAGGCTGGTCTTGAACTCCTGACTTTTTTTTTTTTTTTAAGACAGGGTCTCTGCCACCCAGGCTGGAGTGCAGTGGTGCAATCATAGCTACTTGCAGCCTCAATCTCCCAGACTCAAGAGATCCTCCTGCCTCAGCCTCCCAAGTAGCTGGGACTACAGGTGTGCACCACCACACCTGGCTAATTTTTTTTTGTTTTTAGTACAGATGAGGTCTTGTTATGTTACCCAGACTAATCTTGAACTCCTGAGCTCAAGCGACTCTCCTGCCTTGGCCTCCCAAAGTGCTGGGATTACAGGTGTGAGCCACCACACCTGGCCTTCACAGAATGATTCTCAATTGTAAGGGCTACCAAATTATTAGCCTAACCCCATGTCTTGGTCTGGCTTTGATCAGTACATTACGGAGTTAAACTTCCTGCTGAAAACATCCCCACCTACATGTACAGGGAATATCTTCACGTTGCTCTCAAACTGAACAGATTCCATGAGTTTTGGGAAGAATATACCAAAACCAAAGATTTCGCCTTCCCTCTACTAGAGAAGAGGAAGACTTGAGTTCTCCATTATTTGTCACTGCCGTTGAATGATGCTGGTGGCAGCACAGTGTGGACATCTAGAGAAATTCCCGTGGATACTGATTGCAGTGAGCCTGTAGCAGGACTCTTTCAAAAGAAACCACTGACTCTCTGGAATAGACCCTGGCACAGTCCAGTTCCACAGCTGTCTGCCCTTTTAGCTTCCTCAGAAGGCCGTTCAGATAGAGCAAGAGGACAAATCCCTTGTTTCTTATGCTCTGGCTTCTCAGTAATCTTTGGATTCTAACATGTTTATAAACAACTCAACTTGGATGTCCTGCAAAAAGCACTTGAAAGGCAATAATGATAAAAAGAAGCCATAGTTTCAGACTAACAGGACCAAGAACACAGAAGGGGTTTCTGCCTTCATTCTCAGGCTCCCAACTCTCTTCTTCTATCTTCCTGCCATCTCATCAGTTTTCTCTGTTACTTGCCTGGCTGGCCTCATCCCTCTTAGAGGAAAAGAAGAAAGCGAACAAAGCTTTCATGAACAGGTAAATAGATCTGCCTGAACCTCTCTGTTGGCAGCAAAGAATACAGAAAAATGTGTTTGTAGATTGGGAAGGCTTAAAACAGCAAACAAATCTTTACTTATGCAGCAGGGAATATGGAGGGTTGGATTCTTTCTTTAAAAAAAAAAAAACAATGACACATCAGTAATTAAGTTGGTAGGCATTTATGGATAACCTCTGAGTACAGCACTATGCAAGTAATGGGAACGGTGGCAATGGAAGAATGAACAACTTCAAACCAAAAATTCACGTGATGTACTTTATTGTGACATTAGCTTTATTGCAGAGGTCTAAAACCAAACCCACAATATATTGAGGTATGCCTGTACATAAATTATATATGTGTGTGTGTATGTGTGTGCTTTATATATGACAAACTGAAATATAATCTGTTTCTTAAATTTCCCCATCTTTGTCTGAGGGAGGGAGAGATGGAGAGTGACTGCTAATAGGTGATAATATCTATGTTCTAATATTAATCAGTGGCGATATCCCAACTTTGTGAATACACTAAAAACCACTGAACTGTACACTTTAAAGGAGTAGATTTTATGTTATATGAATTGTATCTCAATTTAAAAATGTATGAGAATTACCCCTGCTTTTATTTTTTTTAATTTTGATAATTAAAAGTGCTTTGAGATTTCAAATATTCTTAAGGAAAGGCAAAAATTTTCCCAAAGGGGCATGGGTTGAGAAAGATTTAAAGACACTTCTATGAAAGGTTACTGGTTGCTTTTAGCAAAGGCTAACAGTCAGAGGTAGGAAATGATCTTGCTCCCTGTTCGGCTAATAATCATCCACGTAATGACAGGCTAAAATGTCTGCTTTGCAGGCAAAGTAAATCACTAAATGTGAACGTTTTATGTTATGTCTGTGTTAAAACTAATATGCAATTTATAAGCTTGACATATATATTGATTTTGGTAACGCTCAGTCAATCCCACAAGTGACTCTTAACACATTATCCCCAAAGATAAATTGAGGTTATGAGTAGAGAACTAGTTTGGTGCCACCTAATCATTGCTCAGGGGCTCATATTTTTTATCCAATTAGGGGCTACTCAGGAAGGAATCTATGAAAGAGAATATGAGCAAAAAGAAGCTTTTTCTGGCTCTTTACTAACATTCTACCCACTGTCCATTCAGCAACATGTCACTCTAAGAGTCTTGGTGAACTCTAGGTTTTGTGCTTCTGAATTTACACTTCACCAAGTAATCTGGATAAACATCTTTTTAAAAATTGTCTTTTTATATCAAAAGTAAGTACATATTCTCTCTATTGCTTAATGCCAAATTGCAGTATATATTTTGATTATGTAGTTTTGAGGGGCCTGCTACAGCTAGCACTACTATGTATGGCTTTCAAAGCAATTAAAAGTGAGCCCCCCATTCCAGCATCATCTAAGAATTTACCTTGACTTTCTAGCTCCCTCCTGCCTCTCTGATGCTGTGATGTATTTGCTGGAATGCAGCCATTTAGCCCCTGTTTCTTCTAAATCTCTGGTCTCCATTTATTGCCATTATTACCTAGTCATTAACCTTCAGTCAGGAAATGTATAAATTCTGCTTGATTGTATCCTCGTATTGCTTTTCAGTTTCCTTTGTCTGTTTTCTCGCTTCAGCTCCAAAAATTCAATAATAGCAGAACAGAATCACAAGGTCAAGGGTATTATCCGGCAATCTCTCTACCTGCTTGGTGTCCCATGTGGGCTTTCTCAGGTGGATGGGCTTTACAGAGCTTGGTCCAGCTTCACAGGCTTTCCCTGAGTGGGACTGGCTTTCCTCCTCATGGGCCCTCACTTCAGCTCAGCTTCAAACTATTCCGTACAAAGTCCACAGTGAAACACAAGTACAAACTTATTAAATTCTATGAGGGGTGAGTTGGCCATTTGAATGAAGGCGTATCAACCTTCCTTATTCTTCTTCTTTCACAATATGCTTTTTCCACACTTAGAGTCACTCCATGACAGTTTTAACTCTGTAGGGTCCCCTGGAGAATAACCATTCTGTGCTCCATCAGTTGTGATTGGCTGACTTTGAGAAGGCTGCTTCCTAAGTTCCACATAAACAGCTTTGAATTGGAAAGCCATAACTAGGGTTTCCAATGAAACAGAGGATCCCAGGATTGGAGATCCTCTGTTTGAGAGGGAGATCCTCTGATTGAGACGGAATTTCAGAAATGCCTGAATAAATCACCACATTTTATAGATACGAAAAATGAATCTCAGAGGGGCAGTAAGTTGTCCAAAATGACACAGCTAATTATTGAGAAATGGAACTACAAATTTGGTCTCCTGGTGCCTAATTCCATGCTCTTTCCCCCATCACCCGTCTCCTGCCTATTTATACTTTATATTCTTCACTAACTTAAAAAATATAAGGCTTCACACTTTTATAGTAGAGATTATCCTTTTTGTCCCCTTAATGTATTTCTGAAAAGCATATGACAAAATAAGTTATCAAATTGAGTATATTTTTACTATAAAATATGCTGAGAAATATATCCCCAGCCAAAAGTTTTATTAAAGATCAAAGAGAGCTATGTGCATAATTATCATAAAATATATGGATGTTTAAAAATGTATGTAAAGCTCTCTAAAAATCTGAAAGTGAACCAATAAAATTGGCAGGTGTAGCAGACCAAATACACTGGCTATGTAAGTTATATATAGAGAGAGAACTACACATTAAAAAGCAACTGCTGTATATTTGATCTAAAAGGAGTGTATCAGCACTATTCACTATTAAACATGAATGACATTTTAAGTTTACCCATAGGTTAACCTATTAGAATGCATGGAGTTTCTTGAAATGGCATCAATAATTCGTGTCTTCTATTTTAAAATCATTCAAGAAAGAAGAAGCTAAGACTTCCATTTTACTCAGCTTTCCCTGTGGTAGGTAGAGACATTTCCAAAGTATCATAGCCAAGTTAAAATATGATAAATTCTAAATCCACATTCTTATTATTCACATCGACAATAATCATCGTCCACCCAACTGAAAGCATTTGACATTAGTTCTCTACCTCACCCTCTCCAGTTTACTGAAAACACTGTTCATCATCAGATGAATTCCTTGAGAAAACTGCAAAGCCAGCAGTCAGAGCACTTCATGCTGTTTAAAAATGCCATGAAAACAACAGTCATAATTAGGACCCTCAAAATCCCTCTCACTGCATGACAAAGAAAGGCACAGATCAGTAATCTGAATGCCAATGGTCAACATGAACGTTAGAAAGACAAGAGCTGTAAGTTCTGTCAAAGGAGAATCAAATAAATAATTTGATAGTGGCTGACACTTCACACTGTGGGGTTCTTGTCATCAGTATCTCTGAAGCTCTTCCACAGTCGAGGTGAATGGCTTTAAGGAGCTCAGCATCTAATCCCTGACAGCAGACGAAAAGCTATATGTCTCTGATCAATAGCTGATGCCATGGGGATGGAGAGTAATTTATTTTCTGTCATCTTAGTCAGGTGAAGCTCTTTCTAAGAGGAATAACCCAAATCAGGAAGGTTTCCCTCCTAAGCCTTCCTGTCCGCTCATTTTCCAGTAATGTTACTGCCTTACTCTACCACTGGCCAGCATTCATCATGATAGCCATTCCTTGAATAGACTCTTTTGTGAGCAAATCTGTTGAGCTTTCATTCAATTTTTAAAAACACAGAGAAATAAGATCTTGCATTTCACTTATTTACTTCTAATTATTTAAAACAAGAAGCTGCCTAGTAATATTTTGATTTTGATGGCTAGCCAAGTGATATATTGGAAAAGGGTTTTAATTTTGCTTCCATTTTCCATTCTAAAGCTCCCTCTTTAAAACAAAAATTACCCATATTCTGCTTACCAGAATATCTATATTTCAGTAGAGGTGTAAAACAAAATTCTACCAAGGCTCCCACTAGTCCAAACAGCTCCTCTGTATGAATTAAATAAAGACTAGCCTCTGTGGGAAAATATGGTTTGGCTATTGGAGCAAGGCTGCATTCTTAGTCAGAAAACAACCTGCAAAAGTATTCATTGACCCTGAATTCTGCTCAGTGACTCACAGTTTCCCATTTATTTCCATTATAGAATTCTTCTCGAAAAATGTCTGTCTCCAGCCAAACTTTTGGAATCATATAGTTGAGAAAAAAAGTTTTATTAATTGAATGGTAAATGTGGATTGATATTAATTCATTGACAAAAATTAATAATTAATGGGAAAGATTGTGAATATTACATATGGCTATTTGAGTAACCTTTTGAGAAATATGCTTTTACAAAAGATTTTCTGGTTTTATTATCCCAGGAAGAATTAAAAAAAAGAAAAAACAGCACTATGTATTTCTCTAAAGGAGGCACGAAACTAAATACATTGTAGTAGAAAAAAAAATAGACGTGTAATGTTAAAAACTCTAGAAGGAAGGTAAGCGAAAGTTTCTAGAGCCCTCCCACAGCCCTCTGCACTTCTGAACACAGTGAACACGACTAGTTAAGGTCTACTGTACTTAGAAATATGTTTGAATGTACTTAATAGACATATAATAGGTAACCTGTACATAGCAAACCCTCAAAAATGTTTACTGAAAGAAGTGAACAGACTTTGAAAAGGAAGAGTGGCTAGGTCTATTTCCCACTTTGGTAGGTGAATGCATGACAATCGGCAAATTCAATGCTGGTTCAATGAAGATTCTTGTCCTTCTTCAGCCTTTTCTTCTCTCCAGTCTACCAAATTAGTTATTAATAATGTTCATATCAATGATTTTAGATGTTTTATTCATTTAGTCAATGAACATTATATTAACACATCAGTAAGTTTGTAGAAAGTTGGCAAGGGTGACCCCAGTTGCAGCAGCAAGATTAAGAATCCAGGAATATCCTTCAAATGGCCACATACTGTAGATACTTTTACAATCAATTGGACTAGAACTCTGTAATATTTGACTCAGCTGATAGGCCCTCCTTCTTGAAACTGGTGCAGTGGCTAGGAGTATTCATTTTGCTAAAAATTTCTTACAGAACTTTATAAAACACAGATGTTTGGGCCCTAATCACACAGAAATTTCAATTCAGAAGATTTGGGGAGAGGCCCAAATCTATGTATTTTTATTAGCACCCCACCCCCATGACCACTATGTAATGCTAGTGCCACTTATTTGTTAGACAGACTTTGAGAAACACAGATCTGTCTCCTAGCAGAATGAACACTCTCTCCTGATTCTCTAAAACTCTCTGAATAGGCTCCTCTGTCTACTTTCTGAATGCTCTTTCTTTATCTACTGGCACCTCACAAAGTTCCACCTCTAGCACACAGCTCTTCATACTCTATATAACACCCTCTCCCCAAAGCTTTTCCTACCTTAGAGTTTAGCTTTAACCTATACGATGATACATTTCCAGTCCTTAACCCCATCCTTAACTACTCCCTCAGACTCACATCTAACAACCCACTGGGCTGGGCCCATGCCTATAATCCCAATACAGGGATTGGGATTATTGGAAGGTCAAGGGGGGCTGATTGCTTGAATCCCAGAGTTTGAGACCAGCCTGGGCAACATGGTGAAACCCTGTGTCTACAAAAGGAAAAAAAAAAGCCCACTGAACATCTCTATCTGGATGTTGCAATGAAACTGCTCAAGACAATGGGATGTAGTTACTCAACCATACATCCTACAGACTGATGACTGGGTGCCTTTGTTCATGCTTTCCCTGGGCTTGGAATCTTTCCTTCCACTGCTATCTGACTTAATGTAAGATTCATTTTAGGTGCCCTCTCCTGAAGGCAAGAACTTCTCAAACCCATCCTTCATTCCTTTATACATGGGCTGATGCAATTCTGAGCATACTTCTATCAATACACTTACTGGTATCTCATAAAAAATATAAAAATAATTTGTAGGTAGATGCTTTGGAATTCATACAGAGATAAAGGCAGAAACTTATATCGAACTTTCTCAACAATCAGCTGAAATTTTGGCTTGATAGCAAAAAGGAAAAAACTAAATTTCTCCAAAGTATCCATTAATTCAGAGGTGAAGGTGAATTAGGAAACACATGCAAAGAGAAGACTAAAAATTTATTTCTGAAGAAATTTACTGACTATAATATAGTGACAATGATTAGTTTAACAACTGTTTATTGAGTACCTAAAAATACTAGGTACAAGATTCAAGATGCCAGACACCATTCTAGGTACTGCAAATCTAGCAATGAACAAAAAGGCCTAGCCCTTTGATATGGTTCGGCTCTGTGTCCCCACTCAAATCTCATGTTGGATTGTAATCCCCAATGTTGGAGGTGCGGCCTGGTGAGAGGTGATTGGATCATGGGGGTGGTTTCTAATGGTTTAGCACCCCTAATAGTTTAGTCTCCCTAGCGATGTTTCATGATAGAGTTCTAATAAGATCTGGTTGTTGTAAAAGTATGTAGCACCTCCCCCTTTGCTTGCTTGTTTTCTCTTTCTCTCTCTCCTGCTGGCCATGTAAATATGTGCCTGCTTCCCCTTCACCTTCTGCCCTGATTGTAAGTTTCATGAGGCCTCCCCAGAAGCAGAAGCCTGTACAACCCACAGAACCATGGGCTGGTTAAACTTCTTTCCTTTATAAATTACCCAGTCTCAGGTATGTCTTTATAGCAATGTGAGAATGAACTAATACACCCTCATTATGGTTTCATTCTAGTAAGGGCAAATGGAGCCAAAACAAATACTTTATATGGTCATTTGTGCAGGTACGTAGGTTAAAAATATATAAAGTGAATTTCCATTTCCAACTATGACAGCAATGGGGATAAAAATTACTCTCCCACTATAAACAACTAGAAACTGGACAAATAGAGGAGGCAACCATTTTAAGATTTGACAAGAGGCAAAACAGGACTATGATGCCAGGGAGAAAGAAAACAAATTAAATTAGCCTTCTAATCAATGTAGCTTTCTACTTAGAGGAATTTCCAAAATAGAGCACATGGAAGGAGTTCCTGCACAGAGCCCAGTAGTCTCACTGAGGTGAAGAAGCAGAGATCAAAGCTCAGGAAGGCGAGTTGGCTAGAATCTTCTGGTCAGAGCACCAGAAAAAATAAAATCAATGAAGAGATATTGCTTTAGGAATTGGCATGGGGGTCCCCTTGACTCTGGCTGAATGCCCATCAGGGCTGCATGAGTTGAACCTTCTCAAGATCAGGCAAAAATTAACTTCTACACAAAGAACCACGGAGCTATAATCCAAAAGTTCCCACTGCTCATACAGAGCTAGGAAAATGTATGTACACTGGTGTGTATACTAAAAATATATATATCAAGTGGACTTATGCTTTAAACCATGACAGAGTAAGACTTCACACTTGCCAGAGTAAAGAGACATGGTCAAATACACAAGATATACAATGGAAACCTTAGAAGTCTCATGCCTTACTAAGAAGGCTAAATTTGCTCTAGCTAGAGGCTGCTCTAGAATGTAACCCCCGAAAAAATATCCACAAGAAACTGAACTAGCTGCCAAAATACAGCTGTACACTCTTTAAGGAAATACAACAAAATCTAGGACTTGACCACTTGAAATTGACAACTTCCAAAATCCAATGAAAATTACTTAATAAATGAAAAAGAAAGAAAAAGGAACAAATAATGAGAAGAAAAATCTCAATAGAAAGACACAGAGATGATGGAGTTAGCAGAAAAAATGTTAAAACAGCTATAATAAAAATACTCAAAACCTTTAAAGCTTTAAAATACAACATGAATAAGGAAAAAGAAGACATAAATGATGAAATGTCTATACATAAAAAATACAATATGTGAAATAATACCTCCAATGAGTAGAATTAACAATACATTAGATACTGGTGAATAAACAGAAACACACAGAGAAAAAAGAGTGAAAAAATAAATAAACAGAGCCCCTGTGACCAATAGGAGGATATCAGATGGCCTCATAAATGTGTCAGCTTCCAGCCGAGATGGAGTAACAGGAACCAGACTCACTTCCCACTTGAAATGAAAAACACACACACATACATACACAAAATATATGAAACGATTCTCAAGATATTGAATGTCAGGAAGCTGAAAACAGTGATCCTGGAGGAACAGGGAATAAACAAGTTGAGCCCTACAATAGCCCCAGTTTATTGCTTAGGGAGAGCTTCCAGGCCATGGGGCAGAAGCAGGGAACCCAGCTGAGCCTGAGGGTCTGAGTTTAGGAAATGGAGCTGGGAATCAAGGAAGCCCTGGAGCTCACATAACAGGATACTGGTGAAGAGAGATCTCCAAAGACAGAGAACTCTGGAGCTCCTCAGAGGAGCCCCGTCAAGCCTTCAGCTGAATAGAATCAGCAAATTCATATATGGAAACTACCCTCAGTCAGGGAAAATCACTGGAAGAATCAGATAACAGGATCCCAGTAATCACCGAGGGTCAGGAATAGTTTGTGTTCTCAGCAGCTTAAGTGGAAAAGTTCATAATTTATAAGACCATGGATAGAGTATTCAGAAGAGTTTTGCCTCTAGAGTGGGGAAAAGCTTTTTCTTAGACTAAATGCTCTGGTCTTACCTGACAAATCTTAAAAGTAAGATATGAAAGGATCAAATAGTTTTCAAGTGCCAGAACAAAGCTCAAAAATATTTATAGAACTATAAAAGTATCCAGCCCCTAATAAAAAAAAATCCACACTGCAAATTCCAATAAAAAATGACGAGGCTTGCAAATAAGCAAGAGAATATGACCCATAATGAGGAGAAAATGCAATCACTACAAATGAACCTTGTAATGACAGGTGACAGAATTAGTAGACAAGGACATGAAAACAGTTATTACAACTTTATTCTGCATGTTTAAGAAGCCAGCGAAAATACTGACATCTTAAGAAAACACAAAGAAAATTTTCTAAACACCCTAACAGAATGATGAAAACACAAAAACCACAGATTCAAGGAGTTCAATAAACTCAAAGGATAAGAAATATGAAGAAAACAACACCATGGTGCACCGTAATCAACTTATTTGAATTAGCAATAAAGAAAAAATCGTAAAATCAATTAGAGGAAAACAAACAAAAAAGCCTGTATGTACAGAGGAATAAAGAAAAGGACGCCAGCAGATGTTTTTGTCAGAAACAATACAATCTGAAAGATAGCATAACAACATCTTTTAAGTACTTGAAGAAAAACTATCAACCCAATGAAAATATCCTTTGAAAATAAAAGAGAAATAAGGTTTTTTTCAGACATAAAAATGATGAAAGATTCAGCAGCAGCAGATCTTCCCCATAAGAAATGTTACAGGAAATCCTTCAAGCAGAAGGAAAATGATACCAAATGGAAATATGAATCTATAATGAGAATGAAGAGCATAAGGAACAGTAAGTTCAAGGTTAAATATAAAATTATTTTCCGATTACTTAAATGTCCTTAAAATTGATTGTTTAAAACAAAAATAATAAAAATGCATGACAATAGCAGAAAGGCCTGCAAGGGAGAAGGAGATACAGAAGTGGACTGTTATAAAATTTTTGTCATATATATATATAACAAATAAAAATATAGTCATATTTGACTATATCACTATTCTCTTTGCATATATATATATTTCAATCTTTTTTTCTGTTTTATTTTGGAAAGTTTCTACTGCTTTTGCCTACAAATTCACTAATCTTTTTCTTGTGCTATGTCTACTATGCCATTAATCTACTCAGTTTATTTTTAACCTCAGACAATTTACTTCAAGGTAAACTGATAAAGATTATAATACATAGCTTAAAGGAATCACTAAAATAACACAACAAAGAGATGTTAAGCAAATAATTGTCAATTAAACCAAAAGAAGCCAAAAAAGAAGAAAAAGAAGAATGAAAAAAGGAAAAATAGTCAGGCACGGTGGCTCACACCTGTAATCCCAGCACTTTGGGAGGCTGAGGCAGGCGGACTGCCTGAGCTCAGGAGTTTGACACCAGCCTGGGCAACATGGTGAAACTCCGCCTCAACTAAAATACAAAAAAACAAAACAATTAGCCAGTCCTGGTGGCGTGTGCCTGTAGTCCCAGCTACTTGGGAGGCTGAGGCAGGAGAACTGCTTGAACCCGGGAGGCGGAAGTTGCAGTGAGTCAAGATCTTGCCACTGCACTCCAGCCTGGCGACAGAGTGAGACTCTGTCTCCAAAAAATTTTAAAAAAAGGAAAAATATAAAGCAAATAAAAATAATATTTAAATGCAACCACATCAATAATTACATTAAAGTATAAATGGTGTAAACCTCTCAATTAAAAAGAAAAGGTAGCCAGGCATGGTGGCTCATGCCAGTAATCCCAGCACTTAGGAGGCTGAGGTGGGTGGATCACCTGAGGTCAGGAGTTCGAGACCAGCCTGGCCAACATGGTGAAACCCCGTCTCTACTAAAAATACAAAAATTAGCCGGGCGTGGTGGCAGGCACCTGTAATCTCAGCTACTCAGGAGGCTGAGGAAGGAGAATCGTTTGAACCCGGGAGGCAGAGGTTGCAGTGAGCTGAGATCGTGCCATTGCACTCCAGCCTGGGCAACAAGAGTGAAATTCCGTTTCAAAAAAAAAAAAAAAAAAAAAAAGGCAAAGGTTATCAGACCAGATTAAAAAGCAATACAGAACAGTATGCTGGACATAAATAGCTTACAATTAAAGGATAAAAAAACCATGCCATGCTAAAACAAATCAAATGAAAGTTGTAGTGGCTATATTAATAGAGGAAAAATTTTATTATAGAGCAAAAAGACTTCTGGAGATTAAGCAAATCATTTTATAATAATCAGTAAGATCAATGAAGACGAAATAACAATCTTCAAACTTTACATATTAACAAGAGCTTCAAAACAAATACAGCAAAAACTCAGAGAACAGCCAGGAAAAATAGACAAAAACCAAAATTACAGTAAAAGATTTCAAAACCCCTCTTTCAGCTGGGCATGGTGGCATGTGCCTGATGTACCTGTAGTTCTGGCTATTCAGGAGACTGAGGCAGGAAGACAGTGTTAGCCCAGAGGTTCAAGGCCAGCCTGGGCAACATAGCAAGGCCATGTCTCTAAAAATATAAATAATAAGTAACTTTTTCTAAAAAACCCTCTTTCAATAATCTATAGAACAGGTAGATACTAAATAAGTAAGTATATAAAAGACAACTTATTTGACATTTATAAAACATTTCACCCATTAATAGCAGAATACACGTTTTCAAGTACACATAGAACATTTACCAATATAGATACTATTTAGTCTACACAAAAAGTGTCAATAAATTTAAAAGGATCCAAATCATTGAAATATGTTCTTTGACTACAATCAAATTAAATTACAAATCTATAATGGAAAGATATCTGGAAAATCCTGGAATATTTTGAAACAAAATAACATACTTCTAATTACCCAATGGATCAAAAGAGAAATAAAAATGAAACCAGAAAGTGTAAAAGTATTAAAAATGTACCATAACAAAATTTGTGGGACATTGCTAAAGCAGTGGTTGGAGGGAAATTTGTAACATTAAACACCTATAATGTCCAAGCAATGACTTCAGCTTTGATCTTAAAAGAGAAAAATAGCAAACTAAATCCAAAATAAGCAGAAAAAATTAGAAATAACAAGTACCAGAACCAAAAAACAATGAAGCAGAAAACAGAAAAAAAAAGAATAAATGAAACCAAATGCTTGTTTTTAGAAAAGATCAATACAATTAATAAACCTTTATCCAGATGGATCAGGAAAAAGAGAAGACATAAATTGGTAATACCAGCAATGAGAGAGGTGATATCACTACAAATTTTACTGATATTAAATGAAAAATACTGGAATATTACAAATAACTTTATGCCAACAAGCTCACCAACTTAGTGTAAAAGATAAATTCCTTGTAAAACACAATCTACCAAAGCTCACTTGAGAAGAAATAGATAACCTGAATAGCCCTTTATCTATTAAATAAATTGAACTTGTAATTTAAAACTTTTCTACCAAGAGGCTGGTTGTGGTGGCTCACGCCTGTAATCCCAGCACTTTGGGAGGCCGAGGCAGGTGGATCACAAGGTCAGGAAATCAAGATCATCCTGACTAATACGGTGAAACCCCATCTCTACTAAAAATACAAAAAAATTAGCTGGGCGTGGTGGGAGGCGCCTGTAGTCCCAGCTACTCGGGAGGCTGAGGCAGGAGAATGGCGTGAACCCGGGAGGCGGGGCTTGCGGTGAGCCAAGATCGCGCCACTGCACTCCAGCCTGGGCGACAGAGTGAGACTCTGTCTCAAAAAAATAAATAAATAAAAATAAAAATAAGAAATAAAAATAAAAACTTTTCTATCAAGAAAACTCCAGGTCCAGATGGCTTCATCAGAGAATTCCTACAAACATTTAAGAAAAAGATAATTTATTATTTTTCTTCTTAAAAAGAAGTTCTCCAAAAACTCTTTCAGAAAATTGAAGGGGAGGGAACACTCACTAACTCATTCTATGAGGCCAGCATTACCCAAATACCAAAACAAGACAGACATAACATGAAAAGGAAGCCATCAGCTAATGTCCCCTATATACACAGACACAAGTATTATTAACAAAATTTTAGCAAATCAATCTACTCTATATAAAAAATATAATGCATCATAACCAAATGGAGTTCATCCTGCGACTACAAGGATGATTTAACGTTTGAAAAATAATCAATGGAATTCATCATATTAACAGATGAAAAAATAAAAACCACATGATCATCGCAATATATGGGAAAAAAGTACTTGACAAAATCCAGCATCCTTTCCTGTAAAAAAATTCTTAGCAAATTAGGAATAGAAGGGTACTACCTCAACCTATAAAGGGAATCTAGGAAAAACAGTAATATCATATTTAATATGAAAGACTAAATGTTTTCTTCCTAAAGTCACAGATAAGACCTGGATGATTGCTCTCACCACTTCTATTCAACATTGTACTAAAAGTTCTAACCAATGCAATCAGGCAAGAAAAAGATAGAAAAGGTATCCAGATTGGAAAGAAATAAATAAACTAGCTATATGTAGATATCATAAAAAATTTATATTTAGAAAATCTTATAGAATACATTAAAAGAAACTAAAATTAATACATGAATTTTGCAAAGTTATGATACATGAGTAATATAGAAAACAATAATTGTATTTCTATATATTAACAGTGAGCAACCAGAAAACTTTAAAAACAATGCCATTTACAATTGCATAAAATATTCTAACAAAAGATGTGCAAGATCTGTACACTGAACACTGCAAACATTGCTGAGAAATTAAAGAACACCTAAATTAATGAAGAGATATAACTTGTTCAAAGATTGGAAGATTTAGTATTTTAAGATGTTATGTAAATTAGTACAGTCACTATGAAAAAGTGTATAGAAGTTCCTCAAAACACAAACACAAAAAAAATAGGCTGGGCATGGTGGCTAAAGCCTGTAATTCTAGCATTTTGGGAGGCCAAGGTGGGCAAGATCACTTGAGGTCAGGAGTTCAAAACCAGCCTGGCCAATGTGGTGAAACCCCGTCTCTATTAAAAATACAAAAATTAGCCAGATGTGGTGGCAGGCACCTGTAATCCCAGCTACTCAAAAGGCTGAAGCAGGAAAATTAATTGAATCCAGGAGGCAGAGGTTGCAGTGAGCTGAGATTTCGCCACTGCACTCCAGCCTGGGCAACAGAGTGAGACTCCATCTCAAAAAAAAAAAAAAAAAAAAAAAAAAAAGAACTACCATATGATCCATATGATCCAGCAATTCCACTACTGCACTACTGCACATATATAAAAGGAAATCAACATATCAAAGGGATATTTGCACTCTCATGTTTATTGTAATACTTTCATGTTTATTGTAGCACAATAGCCAAAATAGGGAAATCAAGCTAAATGCTCATCAATGGATGGATAAATGGATAAAGAAAATGTGGTATACCTACACAATGGAATATTATTAAGCCATTAAAAAGAAAGAAAGCTGGTCATTTGCAGCAACATGGATGGAACTGGACGTCATTATGTTAAATGAAATAAGCCAAGTACAGAAAGACAAATATCTCATGTTTTCACTCATTTGTGGGAATTAAACCATGAATCTCGTTAAGATAAAGGGTAGACTGGTAGTTACCAGAGGCTGAAAAGGGTAGAGGATGAAGAGAGGTTAATTAATGGGTACAAATTTACAGTTAGATAGAGGAAATAAGATCTAGTGTTTGATAGATCAGTAAGGTGACCGGTGGGCTATTTATAATAATTTATCATACATCTCAATATAGCTAAGAAGGGAATAATTTGAATGTTTCTGGAATAAAGAAAAGACAAATAGTTAAGGTTATGGATATCTCAATTAGACTGACTTGATCTTTACAAATTATATCAATGTATTAAATTATCTTAGGTACTCCCAAAATATGTATATTATATAGCAAATTTTAAAAGTCACATTAAAAAAAAGATGTCAATTCTCCCCAAGTTGATCAATATATTCAATGATTCAAATGAAATCCCTACCAAAATCCTAGCAGGCTTTCTTCATATAAATTGATTAGCTTTCTAAAGCTCATATGAAAATGCAAAGAACCTGAAATAGCCAAAACTACTGTGAAAAAGAAGAAAGTCAGCACACTTATATTATGTGTCTCAAGACTTGTTATAAAATTATAGTAAGAAAGCAATGTGGTACTGCCATCAAATAGACTCAGATTAGAACAGAATAGAGCCCAAAAATACACTAACACATATGTTGTTAATTAATTTTCAACAAAGGTGCAAAGGCAGCTAACTAGGGAAAAGATCATCTTTTCAATAAATAGTACTGGAACAACTAGAAATTCACATGCAAAAAAAATTTAAAGGCCTTCCATCCATACTTCATACCACACACCATATACAAAAATGAACTCAAAATGGATCATAGACCTAAACGTAAAATCTAAAACCTTTTAAAACTTCTAGAGGAAAACACAAAAGAAAATAAAAATCTTTGTGACCTTGGCTTAGGTATATTTGAAAGATAGGACACAACAAGCACGATCCATGACTTACAATTCCTCTGCTCTTCAAAAGACATTGACAAAAGAATGAAAAGATAAGCCACATACTTCAAGAAAATAATGGCAAATCATATATCTGATAAAGTACTTGTATCCAGAATACATAAAGAACTTTCAAAATTCAGTAATAATCAAACCACTGTATTTTTTAAATTATACTTTAAGTTCTGGGATGCATGTGCAGAACATGCAGGTTTGTTACATAGGTGTACACGTGCCATGGTGGTTTGCTGCACCAATCAACCCCTCATCTACATTAGATATTTCTCCTAATGCTATCCCTCCCCTAGTCCCCCATCCCCTGACAGGTCCCAGTGTGTGATGTTCCCCTCCCTCTGTCCATGTGTTCTTATTGTTCGACTCCCACTTGTGAGTGAGAACATGCAGTGTTTGGTTTTCTGTTCTTGTGTTAGTTTGCTGAGAATGATGGTTTCCAGCTTCATCCATGTCCCTGCAAAGGACATGAACTCATCCTTTTTTATGGCTGCATAGTATTCCATGGTGTATATGTGCCACATTTTCTTTATCTAGTCTATCACTGATGTGCATTTGGGTTGGTTCCAAGTCTTTGCTTTTGTGAACAGTGCTGCAATAAATATATGTGTGCATGTGTCTTTATAGTAGAATGATTTATAATCCTTTGGGAATATACCCAGTAATGGGATTGCTAGGTCAAATGGTATTTCTGGTTCTAGATCCTTGAGGAATTGCCACACTGTCTTCCACAATAGTTGAACTAATTTACACTCCCACCAACAGTGTAAAAGTGTTCCTATTTCTCCACATCCTCTCCAGCATCGGTTGTTTCCTGACTTTTTAATGATTGCCATTCTAACTGGCATAAGATTGTATCTCATTGTGGTTTTGGTTTGCATTTCTCTAATGACCAGTGATGATGAGCTTTTTTTCATGTTTGTTGGCCACATAAATGTCTTCTTTTGGGAAGTGTCTGTTCATATCCTTCAGCCATTTTTTGATGGGGTTGTTCTTTTTCTTGTAAGTTTCCTTAGGTTCTTTGTAGATTCTGGATATCATCCCTTTGTCAGATGGATAGATTGCAAAAATTTTCTCCCATTCTGTAGGGTGCCTGTTCACTCTGATGATAGTTTCTTTTGCTGTGCATTAGCTCTTTAGTTTAATTAGATCCCAATTGTCAATTTTGGCTTCTGTTGCCATTGCTTTTAGTGTTTTAGTCATGAAGTCTTTGCCCATGCCTATGTCCTGAATGACATTGCCTAGGTTTTCTTCCAGGGTTTTTATGGTTTTAGGTCTTACGTTTAAGTCTTTAATCCATCTTGAGTTAAGATGCGGTCCAGTTTCAGTTTTCTGCATATGGCTGGCTAGTTTTCCCAACACCATTTATTAAACAGGGAATCCTTTCCTCATTGCTTGTTTTTGTCAGGTTTGTCAAAGATCAGATGGTTGTAGATATGCGGCGTTATTTCTGAGACCTCTGTTCTGTTCCTTTGGTCTATATATCTGTTTTAGTACCGGAACCATGCTGTTTTGGTTACTGTAGCCTTATAGTTTGAAGTCAGGTAGCGTGATGCCTCCGGCTTTGTTCTTTTTGCTTAGGATTGTCTTGGCTATATGGGCTCTTTTTTGGTTTCATATGAAATTTAAAGTAGTTTTTCCTAATTCTGTGAAGAAAGTCAATGGTAGCTTGATGAAGATAGCACTGAATCTACAAATTACTTTGGGTAGTATGGCCATTTTCACAATACTGATTCTTCCTATCTAAGAGCATGGAATGTTTTTCCATTTTTTTGTGTCTGCTCTTATTTCCTTGAGCAGAAACCATTGTATTTTTTAATGCGCTAAAGATTTAAAAAGACAAGTCACCAAAGAAGTAAACACATTGTTGAGGGAAAAATGAGGCATTGTTATAAACCAAGAACTGAAGTCAGTAATACTTCCTCTAGGATATTGTCCCTGATCCTACCAGATGAAAAGGTTCTGCCAACACATACCACTTATCATCTTGTAGTTCACTGGCTGGAAGACATGATTCATCTCAATTATTAAATTTTAAACTACTTGGAATCAGAAATGACATTAGATTAATTTTGACATCCCTCAGTCTGTCACAGGGTCTAGCATGATGCATGCTTCACATGAGTAAATATTAAATGCATAAACACAGAAGAATTGTAAGTATATATGGAAATGCTTTTATTTTTTATTTAAATCACTTTGGTGGTACGAATGGTTTTTGGTTACATGGTTGAATTCTATAATGGTGAATTCTGAGATGTTAATGCACTAGTCAACTGAGCAGTGTGCACTGTACCCAATATGTAGTCTTTTATTCCTCACCCTCCCTCTGAGTCCCCGAAGTCCATTATATCACTGTGGGTGTCTCTGCATCCTTGTTGCTTAGCTCCCAGTGAGAACGTACAGTATTTGGTTTTCCATTCCTGAGTTACTTCACCTAGAATATTGAGCTTTTTAAAGTGAATGCTGTATATTGAAGAAACGTATTTCAGAAAGTCATTGTATAGGTTTAATAATTTACAGGCTGGGCATGGCGGGCTCACACCTGTAATTCCAGCACTTTGGGAGGCCGAGGCGGGCAGATCACCTGAGGTCAGGAGTTCGAGACCAGCCTGGCCAACATGGGAAAACCCCGTCTCTACTAAAAATACAAAAATTAGCCGGGCATGGTGGCAGGTGCTTGTAATCCCAGCTACTTGGGAGGCTGAGGCAGGAGAATTGCTTGAACCTGGGAGGCGGAAGTTGCAGTGAGCAGAGATTGCGCCATTGCACTGCAGACCAGGTGACAAGAGAGAAACTCCGTCTCAAAACACACACACAACCCCAATAATTTATAATTAGTTTCCTTCTCTGATTATATGTAGATGGAGGTGTTTTTTTGCATATGAATCTCCAATTGTTCCACACTATTTAATGAAAAGAGTCTTTTCCTTTTTATTTCCTATTTTTATCATTAGTGTTCTAAAAAACTGAATTTTATTAAAATAAATCTTTTCAAATTTATGCTTTTCCTTTAAACTTAATGTTTTTAAAAATGTGTTTAAAAAATTGTGTTTCGGCTGGGCACAGTGGCTCATGCCTGTAATCCCAGCACTTTGGGAAGCCGAGGCAGGCGGATCACAAGGTGAGGAGATCGAGACCAGCCTGACCAACATGGTGAAACCCTGTCTCTACTAAAAATACAAAAATTAGCCGGGTGTGGTGGCGCGTGACTGTAACCACAGCTATTCAGGAGGCTGAAGCAGGAGAATCACTTGAACCCGGGAGGCGGAGTTTGCAGTGAGGCGAGATCGCGTTGTTGCACTCCAGCCTGGGTGACAGAGTGAGACTGCGACTTAAAAAAAAAAAAAAAGCGTTTCTAAAAACATCATCTAAAGTTAATCACTGTTCTCTAGTTCCCCTTCTCATAGGCCTCCAAATTGTAGAAAGCTGTTCCAAGCAGTGCCAGTTCTAAAAAGATAACAAAGTTCTGCTATTACAGAAGACAAAAGGAAACAGAAGACCGGGAAGAGGGAGGTGGGGGAGAAATATCATATACAGTTTCATGAAGATCCAGACTCCTTAAGTTTTAAGTACTGTCCAAGAGACAACTGCCAGGACAATTCTAGCCTCAGACAATGTTCTGAAGCGAAGACAGATGCTCAGACTACGCGGCCTCCAGAAGGCGGAAATCCTTGAGTTGGCAACCATCTTGTCTTTTCCAGTCTCCAAGTGACAGAGAAAATACTCCAAAAGCAACAAAGTGATCCAGTTTTTTCCATTTCTGAAGTCTTGCTTCAGGTGGGGAGTTACTGATTAAAAACAACTACAACAACAAAAACAAAAAACACACCTCTTCACAAATCAGGGCAGATTTTATAAGTGGATACACCTGACTCCAGAAAGTTAACGTTATATAACACCTGGATGACAAGAACAGGAAGGAAACAAATAGAGCCCCAAAGTCTATTTACTTTCAATAAATATTTGTTGGTCATATACATATAAATTTCTCCCTCTGGTGGGTTGTGAAGTTTGTCTAGACTAACCTAATTTCAATTGCCATCCCCAGTTTACAGACCCCTTCACCTACCAGACACCTGGCTAAGGTTTGCTTCTAATTTTCCATTTGTTATTTCTTAATTTAAGAATCATTTAAAATTTTTCAATTATTTTTGAATAAAATATAAAACCACAGAAGTGTGTGTATGTGTGTACACACAAAAAGGAGAAAGAAAAACAAGTAGTTCATTTTCGACTAATAGGGAAACTTGCTCCTTTAAATCACCAAAGGTTTTATGGGAATTTGCCAAATAGGTTCACTTGCCAATCTCATTATTTATAAGACCCATAGGATGTTGTAATAATGTATTTTTGGAAAATAACAACAAAGCTGAACCTACAATTCAGAGAGGAAAGAAAAGAGAGCGAGACTAACTTCAGAATGACTGCAGTTTATTGGTTACCCAATCTCGTAGCCTGTATGACAATGTACCTTTTCTGAAGAAAATGACCTACACATCAAATACAAAATATTGTATTCAATAAAACGGCTATTGTTACAGAATGAAGATGATGTTGGCATCTTTGAAGACAGAGGCCAGGAAGCTTTTAGAAATGGGTAAGTTGATGTGTGGGAAAGACAGGGAGTATAGCAGGGGTGCTCGGGGGAGGCAGGTGAGGGAAGCTGAAGATTTGTAATGTAGAAATGCATGTTGAGAAGCTCAAGTGGTCTCAATACGCTCTGAAAAAAATGTATGCATGTATAGATGTGTATATATTTTTATAAATACATGAATGCGTGTGTGCATGCACTCTGCTACCATTTATTGACAACTTCTTTTCAGCGAGTGCTCACTGGTACAGAAATCAGGCTGGTTGTCTACCGCTAAGGCCTGTTTCTCTTGGTACGTTCCTGGGCCTTCTAAAGAGTTATTAAATATTTGGAATAACACCCATGTATGTTGCTCTACATTTTGTTAGGCACATTCATTCATCCATTGGCCAGACTTTGCTCAAAGGCAGGAGAAGCCTGTAGGCTTTAGATATGATGGTCTGGCTTTTGTCATATGCTGTAGTTTGATTTAGGTTCCAATGTTACACATGAAATGCAAGGATCTACATGTTACCTGGCTGTATGTTTTAAAACTTCCCTTGGGATGTCCCAGGCCATATCCTGGTTAACACAGGGACTTAGGGAAGCCCAGCCTCTAAATATCTGGTGACTCTTTCTGCAAATGGGAACTTGACCATTCACATAGGGGCTACACCCAGCTTGCCCAGTGAGAATGTCAAGTGTGACCTAGAGCAGGGATCAGTGAACTACAACCCACAGACAAATCTGGAGTGCTGCAGGCTTTCTGCTGCGGGCTAACATATAGGCTGTGTTTCTGGAAACACAGCCACAGTGACATAGAGCTCCTCTCACTTGCTTATGCATAGTCCATGGCTACACGCCAGCTGCCAGTGTAGAGTTAGTAGTTACAACAGAGATCATATGGCCTGCAAAATAGAAAATAGTTACATTTGGTCTTTTACAGAAAAAGTTTGCCAATCCCTGGTCTAGAGCAAAAGAATGTGTGTGAGGCCCAGGCTGCAGCTGTGTGCCTTCTTGGGACACACAGAGAAATCCTCTCCCTTCCCCAGCCTAGGGGAACACACTGTTCCCCGAGGAAGGGTGACTATTAGAATATCCTCCCATCTCGTCACCATCAACACAGGCTGTGCCCTCCTGGAGCACTCTTCTTTCTCGCAGGGACCCCTCCAGCTCTCTTCCTTGCTGGATTTCAGAAAGAATAGGAGAATCAATGAAAACGCGTTGCTTTTCATACTCTGAATCTTTGTGTAAAGATCCACTCCCTCAGAGAGAAAGTGCTCTAAGATCCACTCCTGGATTTAGAAAATTAGTCTTAATAAAATGAATACCCAGGAAAATATTCTAATGATAATCTGTGAAAATAAAACTTCAGTGCTTCAGTTGATTTCTCCAGAAACTCCGTTTAAATCTGTGTAACTTTTCTTCATGCATCTAAGAAAAATTGCAATTAAAAAATTAGGCCAGGCATGGTGGCTCATACCTGTAATCTCAGCACTTTGGGAGGCCCAGGCGGGTGGAGCACTTGAGCCCAGGAGTTCGAGACCAGCCTGGGCAACACAGTGAAACCCTGTCTCTATAAAAAATTTAAAAATTAGCCAGGAGTGGTGGCGTGTACCTGTCATCCCAGCTATTTTGGAGGTTGAGGTAAGAGGATTGCTTGAGCCCAGGAGGTCGAGGCTGCAGTGAGCTATGATCTGTGTCACTGCACTGCAGCCTGGACAACAGAGCAAGACCCTGACCAAACATAAAAAAAATTAAATTGATCATGTGATTTTAGAATTCAGAGTCTCAAGATCTATTGAACAAACAAAAGGCAAGATCAGAAATAAATGGTTTAGACCCTAAAAGCAAATCTAAAAGAATTTATAAGAAAAACTGAAAACCACTGGGAATTTTTAAAATCACAAGTCAAGGGAGGCAAGGCAGTGTCCTGTGAGGGATAGAGCAGTAATGCGCATTGTTACCTGCCAGGGGAGGCCCAAGTTCCTCCTGGTGAGGATGGGCAGTTCCAAGGTTCCTCTGCAATTCACAGGACTGTCTCCCCATTTTCCTGCTACATGCTCAAGATCCATGAGCCCATTTTTAGAACGGACAATTTCTCTAGTGTTTTTGAAGTCAGGCAGAAACATAAATCAAAGCCACTACAATTTACTTGTTGTATTATGACAGAAAAAAAGAATATGAACTAGAACAAAATGTGGTAGTCTGTTATGAAACTTAATTTGTGGGGAGGATCAAAAGAGGTTGGGAAAGAAGAATTTATCATGTTTAGTGGGGTATGTGGTAGAAAACAGAACAAATGTGGCAGCTATTTTAAGCACAATTTTCTGTGCATCTATTTTGCAACACCTTAAGCCTAGAACTGCACGCCATACACTTTTTCTTAATGAGAAATATTGTTTATTTTTAACTGGAAAAAGTTTAATGGTGTTTGTTATCTAATATTTTTATTTTTTTCTGACTGAAAATGAATAAAGCACTCATTTTATTAACATATAGAATTTACAAAGTATAACCTCTCTCTCCTCTTCATACCCATTTCATGAATGATCTAACAGAGCCTCTAGCAAGTAATCTCGGACACTTCCATATTGATAAATGAGTCTGAGTAGAATATTTTCTATTTACATTGTAAATCATCTAGTATCCTTTTTGACTACCCTTAGCCTTCACGGGTCCCTCTGAATGAATGACAAATCTAAATCAAGTCCTCAGCATATTAGAAGCCAATACACATCTATTACTGATGAACACAGAGAGTAACCAACAATCTTTTAAACGTCACTGCCAAGAAGCACTTTATAATTCGCATTATGACTTTACATATGTATGAAGGTGGAGGGAAAAGGGTGAATAGGGAAAGACATTCAAATAGTTTCCTGAAAATCAATTGTAATTCTTTAGTTTTCTTCCACTTAGAGCATAACCTTAGAGCCGTAAATTTAACTCTCTTCTTCCACCCTATCTCTGTCCACCTCAAAGCCGTCCATTCCCTTTGGCTGTAGGAAGACAGAATGCAGAAGAAGAACATAAACATGAAACAAAATAGAGGTACACATAAGAACAGCGTCCATGGCCTGAATCCTTAAAACAACAGGTCAGAGAATTATTAGAGGAGCACTGTTCCTCATCTGTCCTTATTTTGAGCATAAAAAGACCTTACCTATTGTTACATACCAAGGCCTTCTGTAGTCAATTACCGCCCATTGCAATGATGGACCTTACAATTGTACAGCATTTTAGGGTTCCATATTTATTGTGTCTCGTAAGTGTGTTAATTATGAAGAAATAGCAGCTGTAGATGTCAAATCACTTGCCCCAGTCATGACTTAAAGAAAAATAGTCTTTTGGGCAGAAATGTGGAAAACTTTTGGACCCAATATAATCAGTATAAAAGCCACAACAAATCATGCAGAATAATAAGTTGTTTCTTTCAAGGTTTTCATTATGTTTTGCTTAATGTTTGAAATACACTTTGAATGAGGCAAATGTGAGCATCATACTGGAAGTAGCTTTAGGGAACAGATTTCATTTGTAAGTAGGCTGGAAACCGGCTAGATGAGAGCCATTGCTAAGAGGAACAGCAACATTCATATGTCTAATGAGTTAACCTAAGAACCTATAGTTCTGAGGAAAAAAGGGATTGGAGCAATTTATGTAGTCACAGTGGAACAACTGTATCAGCTGGCGGGAGGGAGAACTACAGAGTTCCACAGAGGTCACGATTACTGCGCCATTATGTTATTTTCCCCGATTTCTTGCTTAGCCAGAACTCTAAGAATGAAGGAGGGGCACTTGATGCTGTGAACACTTGCTTCCCCCTTGCACTGTATCACTCCATAGGAAGTGTTCTGGAATGCTGTGGGAGCGTTTTCTGATTGTTGCAAGGACTAGCATTTAATTGGCAGGGCCAGGAATGCCAAGAGTCCTAAAATGCATGGACAGTACTGCATAAGAAAGAACTGTCCTGTGTCATGCAGGACTTTCAAATCCTTGCTGGACACTCACCACAGGACAAAAACCTGTTTATAACTATCAGAGGTTAATGCAGTTTTAAATATAGATATACAATGTACTTTTTTGCTCAGCTTTATTAAACATTTATTGAAAAAATTCATTGAGCATAACTGATGAACAATAAACTGCACATGTATTAAATGTACGACCTGATGAGTTTTGACGTTTGTATTCACACATGAAACCATCATGACAGTCGAGGACACATACACCTCCATCAGTTACAAAAGTCTTCTCACACCCATTTGTAATTCTATCCCTTCCTCTACGTCCATCTCCAGGTAACCATGATTTGCTTTCTGAATCTACAAATTAATTTGCACTTTAAACCAGGCACAGTGGTTCACATCTGTAATCCCAGCACTTTGGGAGGCCGAGGCAGGTGGAGCACCTGAAGTCAGGAGTTCGAGACCAGCCTGGCCAACATGGTGAAACCTCGTCTACTAAAAATACAAAAATTAGCCGGGCATGGTGGTGGGTGCCTGTAATCTCAGCTACTCAGGAGGCTGAGGCAGGAGAATCCAGCCTGGGTGACAGAGTGAGACTCCATCTCAAAAAACAAACAAACAAACAAACAAAAAAAACCCACAAATTAAAAAAAAAAGAAAAAAACTGGCACTTTATAGAATTCTAAATAAATGGAATCATACAATAAGGACTCATAAAATATGTTTTTATACATGGAACTTTACAGCAATACAACCATAGTGTAATTTGAGGGAAAACTATACTTTGTTTTGTTCAAATACTCACCATTCTGGAAATTCAAGTCATCTGCGGCACCACAAGCAATACAGCTCATGTAGACCCCTCTCCATTTGTAGCATGCATGGTAATTCTGCACATCAGACCAACCAAGTGACTCCTTCAATGTGTTCAGTCAGTTTTAGTCATGTCCCAATGTTTACATATTTAAATACTTATTATATAAAATATACTTTCCTTTTACTTCTTCCTTTATGTGATGGTTAATTCTGAGTGTCAGCTTAATTGGATTGAAGGATACAAATATTGATCCTGGGTGTGTCTGTGAGGGTGTTGTCAAAAGAGATTAATACTTGAGTCAGTGGGCTGGGGAAGGCAGATCCACCCTTAATCTGGTGGGCACAATCCAATCAGCTGCCAGTGAATATAAAGCAGGCAGAGGAACATGGAAAGGAGAGACTGGCCTAGCCTCCCAGCCTGCGTCTTTCTCCTGTGCTGGATTTTTCCTGCCCTCGAACATCGGACTCCAAGTTCTTCAGTGTTGAGACTCAGCCTGGCTCTCTGCTCCTCAAGCTTGCAGACAGCCTATTGTGGGACCTTGTAATAGTGTAAGTTAATACTTTATAAACTCCCCTTTATATATATATATCCTATTAGTTCTGTCCCTCTAGAGAACCCTGACTAATACACTTTATATTATAGTTGGGGCATTATATTAATTTCTAAAATTTTGTGCACAAGTAGATTATATTATCTATAAATTTCATTATGGGATATCAAAAGGGGACAATGTGTCTGATAGTGCTGAGTAATGGATCTACAGACCATTCATTCTTTCATTCCTTCTTTTCTGGAAAATCTCACACTCCAGGCTTCCGTGACAACACTGTCTCCCGGTTTCCCTGATCACTCTTTCTTAGTCTATTTCCCTGGCTTCTCTTGTACCCAACCCTGAGAAGCGGCAGTGTTTCCTCTGTTTCATCCTTTACCCCTCTGTTCTTATCAACTTCTCTCTCCCACGAATTTCTATGACATTTACTAACAATTATTTGCCAAACTGCTCTCAAATCTAGGTAGGTAGACTCCCCACCCCTCTTGTTGATTCCACAGCACATTCTCACTTGTCCACTCTGTTCGACTTGGATTTTCTCCCAGTGCAGTATATCAAAGGCAGCAAGTCCCAAACAGAACTCCTTATCTTTTCTGCAAAATCTACTCTCCCTGTATCTTCTGTTTTTCTTGGTTGGTGATGATACCATTTACCGAGTCTGACAAATTAGAAAACTGGAACATTTTGGACTAATTCATCATTTTTTATTCTCCTAGGGCAAGTGTTCGCCAAATCCAACAAAACTATCTTATATCCTGAATATGTCTAAACTCTAAAGCACAAGTTTTGTACTTTTACTAAATATCAATATAGCAACATTAAAGTCTTAATGTTAAGTATGATTTAAATCATTAAGTGTACTTAAGGTATCTAGCCTATGAAAATAATTTTAGACAACTTTATGCCCAAAAATGTTACGTAAAAAGTTATTTATGAAAATTTGGGAACAACCATTAAAGAAACAATTTGAGGCAGGGCACGGTGGCCCACGCCTGCAATCCCAGCACTTTGGGAGGCTGAGGCAGGCGGATCACCTGAGGTCAGGAGTTTGAGACCAGCCTGCCCAACATGGTGAAACCCCGTCTCTCTTTGTGTTTTGTAAAAATACAAAAAATTAGCCGGGGGTGGTGGTGCACACCTGTAGTCCCAGCTTCTCGGGAGGCTGCGGCATGAGAATCACTTTAACCTGGGAGGAAAAGCTTGCAGTGAGCCGAGATCATGCCACTGTGCTTTAGCCTGGGCGACAGAGTGAGACTCTGTCTCAAAAAAAAAACAAAAAAACAAACAAACAAAAGAAACAATTTGATATTTTAATTTTGCATCTATACAAAAGTAGTTTTGAAGCCATCAAAAGTATACTAATAGAGTGTCTTTATTATAAAAAGAAATGCTTTTCATAGTGTTAAATTAAAAATTGGGATGTAAAATTTTCCTACATAGGTAAAACATTCAGGGAAAAACGACCAGTATGAATTGTTAGTGGTGGTGATCTCTGGTGAAAGAAATATAGATTAGCTGTATCTTCCTTTATTTTGAGATGGAGTCTTGATCTGTCGCCCAGGCTGGAGTGCGGTGGTGCCATCTCAGCTCACTGCAACTTCCGCCTCCCGTGTTCAAGCAATTCTTCTGCCTCAGCCTCCCGAATAGTTGGGATTACAGGTGTGCGCCACCATGCCTGGCTAATTATTTTATTTTTTTTAGTAGAGACCAGGTTTCACTGTGTTGGCCAGGCTGATCTCTAACTCCTGACTTCAAGTGATTTGCCCACCTCAGCCTCCCAAAATGCTGGGATTACAGACGTGAGCCACCGCACCCGGCCTGTCTTTTCAAAGTGTACATCTGTCATGGAGGTAGCCTTCAGCTAGCTCCCTACCATGCAAAGGCTGAGGTGCCAACTCTATGCATGTCATAAAAAGGTCTCACATCCTCTCTCCCAAGTCTTGTTTCTTCAGCCTGATCCCCTGCAAATTCATCACCAACACACAGACCTTGCTACCTTCACTGGTACAAGTCATGAACTGCGGCATTTTTTCAAGGTTGATTTCTTTGACAAAAATGACCTTTTCTTCTGTGTTGTCAGGCCAAGTAATACATTTATCCTTTAAGACTCAATTCAAATGTCATTACTCCTTTGAAGCCTTTGTTGGTAGAGTTGGGAGCCACTCACACTGTCTTCCCAAACACTGTTGTGGATACTCTGTTTCACACTTATCTCTTGATATAAGACAGAGGTGGCCACAGGAATTCTTCTTCCTGGGCAAGTACTGTATCTTGGTCATCTTTGTATCACTTGTCTCTGATACAGTCTGGCACACCATCCTGGCATTGCTATAAAGAAATGCCTGGCCGGGCGTGGTGGCTCATACCTGTAATCCCAGCACTTTGTGAGGCCGAGGCAGGTGGATCATGAGGTCAGGAGATCAAGACCATCCTGGCCAACATGGTAAAACCCCGTCTCTACTAAAAAAAATACAAAAAAATTAGCTGGGTGTGGTGGTGGGTGCCTGTAGTCCAAGCTACTCGGAAGGCTGAGGCAGGAGAATGGCGTGAACCCAGGAGGTGGAGCTTGCAGTGAGCCGAGATCACTCTACTGCACTCCAGCCTGGGCGACAGAGCAAGACTTCATCTCAAAACAAAAACAAAAAAAAAACAAACAAAAAAACAAAAAGAAAACAAAGAAATGCCTGAGGCTGGGTAATTTATTACATAAAGAAAAGATGCTTAATTGCTCACAGTTGCACAGGCTGTACAGGAAGCATGATGCTGGCATCTGCTCGGCTTCTGGGGAGGCCTCAGGAAACTTACAATCATGGCCAAAGGCAAAGGGGGAGCTAGCACGTCACCTGGCCGGAGCAGGAGGAAGGGGCTGAGGGAGGTGCTACACACTTTTGAACAACCAGATCTCCCGAGAACTCACTCACTATACAGTAACAAGGGTAGGTGGTGCTAAACTGCTCATGAGAACTCCACCTCCACAATCCAATCACCCCTCACCAGGCCCCACCACCAGCACTGCAGATTACAATTCAACATGAGATTTGGGCAGGGACACAGATCCAGACCTTATCAACTACAGACATGCAGATGCCTCAAGGCCAGGAGAAACTGAAGCCAACCTGTATTTTCTGACTAGACAAAAGGCAGAATGAGCCAGAATACATGGAACAAAGCAGAACTACTCAAATTAGTTAAAGAGGAAATTACAGTTGGAGTAATCCTACTGTCAATCCAACTGTGATGGATAGGAATTAGATTATTTAAAAAGTTGGAATTAAACTTTTACATTAAGAAATCTCTTGTGCCTGTATATTTAAATACAGTTGTCTTTGAGAGTTGTGTCTAACACTTTTAATAGAGAATGATAACATTGGTTAAAACTGTGTTTTTGAAAAGTGAAACAAAAAACACCCATGGGGACACCTATGGAAAGCCAACCCACCAGATTAAAATTCAGACTGCCATTGCTTTGCCTGCACATCACAGCTTTGTAAAGTGTTAATGTCTGTGCCACAGGCATTATGCTATATTGTCTTAGATAAAAACGATCAGAATTTCCGGGGGTAGGGCCTAGATAGAACTAATTTTTTTAAGTTTCTTCCATTGTTGAAAACCACCAATCTACATGAAAGAAGTTTTCCCCAGTTAACAGACTACATCCCTGGAAAAAAATAAGTATCTTAATAACCATTCTCATTGATGATCTCTACCTAAAACATGAAAGCAAATGATATATTATTAGTATAAAGGAAAAGTAAATAATAACAATGTAGCTTAAAGAACTTTCTTCACTCAAGAGATGCTGATTCTTATTTTAGTTTTTTTTTTTTCTTATCCTCAAAATACATTTACAAGGGCAACTTCAATCCTTTTTTTTTTTTTTTTTTTTTTTAAATGGAGTTTCGCTCTTGTTGCCCAGGTTGGAGTGCAGTGGCGCGATCTCAGCTCACTGCAACCTCCGCCTCCCAGGTTCAAGCAATTCTCCTGCCTCAGCCTTCCCAGTAGCTGGGATTACATGCGTCCACCACCACGCCCGGCTAATTTTTGTGTTTTTAGTAGAGACGGGGTTTCACCATGTTGGCCAGGCTGGTCTCAAACTCCTGACCTCAGGTGATCCGTCGGCATCAGCCTCCCAAAAGTGCTGGGATCACAGGCATGAACCACCGCGCGCGGCCCCAACTTCAATTGTGAATGAATGATCACATGAGAACATTTCAATATTTTTAGGCCAAAGGGAAAAGCCTAGAAAATAAAAAACTTTGCTGGTAAGAAGCTGAGCTCTGAAAAGAAAATTTGCTATTTTAGGGATTTTTTTTTTCCCCACAGCAAATAGCTTTATAATTATTAATATTTATATATCAATAGCCATAGCAAATAGTTTTAAAAGCTTTGAATGGCAGTTCTTGCTGTGAGGATAATTTGTTTTGATCTTTTCATCAAATTTTAAATGGTACAATCTTATATCATTCTTTCAGGGATTCACCTATCAATAGCAAGGACATTGGAATAATAGTTTCAAAGAATGAAGTGGTCAGCGCACCCCAAAAAGGCATGCTGGGGGGCGTGTGGTTGGAAGGTTACAGTGGCACAATGATGGAGCCCGAATGCTGGGAGAAGAGAGTGGTGAGAGAAACTGGGCCCCAACTCTTCCTTCCTGAGGACTGCTCTTCTCCACTGGGTTCTCACATTTTTATCCTCATTGACACCAGCTTATCTTGACCTGGGTATACACCTATCCCTTTGGGACTGGCATAGTTAGGAAAATTCTCTTAATTTTTTCTTTAAGTATATATGACAGGATAATTTGTCAAAACATTCTTTACTAAAAACTAAAGAAAAGGAAAAATAAAATAGAAAAAATAAAAAAGGTGTAATATATAAGCTTATGACCCAATAGGACTAATGTCTAGTTGCAGTTTAGCTTGTACAAATGAATAACTCTGGAAATCACTACGCTGGTCACTCCACGTCAAAATACTGTTTTGTTCAACTGACGTTTCTTCTCCCATTTAAAGACATAAACCTCCCTCCCAATTGTTCCTCCCAATAGAACTTCTCCTAATTTCAAACAGACATCTCCTCAGGGAGTGTTTTCCAAAAAATGTTTAATGTCAACCCATATGAAGAAACACAATTTAGATCTCTACCCAGTACACACACATACCTCATACATGTAACAAAAGTTTCATGAAACAGTCTCATTATGTGTGATATACTCTGACCTATTTCCTTTTCTATTTCATTTTTTCAAATGCAGATATTGACCAACTCAACTAATTTCATGCACTATCACCGTATGGTATTAGCCACTGGAAAACTAAGTAAAGCCTGAAAATGTCCATCTCAGTCTAGTGCTCATATCTACATGGAAACTCATTTATACATCACAGGCACGGTAATCCCTTTCTCAGTTTCTCAACTGCACCCACTTCCTTGGAATTCTCAAACCTGCTGGTTGGCTTAGTCGTTTATCATACAATAAGGGTTACAACATACCAGGGGCCCAGGACCACAGTCAACGCATCAATTCCTGCAAGTATGCACAGATGCCAATCCAAGTCCCAGGTGCTTACAAACTAAGGAAGCAAAGAGGAGGAAGCAACTGTGCTGATCTAAGGGACCCCTGGGCCAAAGAAGGACTTGTTGGAGGTAGAAAGATGCATTGGAGGTGGAAAGAAGGAACCCAGAGTGATGGAGCTATCTTTACCACTGAGTTATAGTGCCAGGAAGGAGTGAGGAAAGAGTTAAATTTTGAGTGACACACCTGGTCCTCTTGAATGAATGAACAGTTAAATCAATATTCAAAGCCCTAAGCCACTGTTTCTTTTTTAAAAGTTATAATGATATGAAAAAGTGTTCTACTACTCTTGCTGAGGTAATCTGGAATCTGTGTTATTTCATTTATGTGAACTATGCAGGGACTCAAATGGGGAGTATTCCTTACAGATGATAAAAGAAGAGAACCTAATTACGAAGTTATTGGAGAATCCTTCTGAAAGAGGGATTTAGGTGTTTTAACAAGCACTGAAATTAATTCCAAAGACAGCTTATGAGGGAATCTTTTGGTGTTTTCTCCACGAATTTCCTTTTGGAAAAAAAAAATCAGCTCCTCAATTTCCTCAGACCCTGGTTGTCCACAGGCATTTGCTGCTCAGGAGCTGCCTCAGTACAAACAGCTCTGACTCCATGGACTGCTAGCTGTTCTTGGGAGAGATACTGCTATTTGTCAAATGTAACATTCGAACAAAGCTTGAGGACAGGGGATTATAATCAGATATCTTTACTCAATATTTTCACGTGACTAAAATTAGAAAACACAACACATTTCAAAGGATTTTACAGAGGGACTTTAAGTTCATCAAGCAAAGTAACTTTGGATAACTTTGGCCTTTGTTTCCACATCATTTTGTTCCCATCTTTGTTATGTACCTCCTACTGCGCTGAAATTGACTATGATCATGTCTTCATCCCTTCACTAAATTGAATAGAGGGCAGTAACATGTTTCCTTATTCTTTGTATCCCTAACATCTGCCCCCTTGCCTGGAGTTTAGAATGGAATCAGTAACACTTTGTGGAATAAATAAGGAAAGAGGTAAGAGGAGTGTGAGCTTTGCTCTGTAGTGGAGGGTAGGAAGGTGGTTGGAGACAGGGCAGGAGAAGCAAGAAAAGTTGTGGGCTTTCCCCAGAAATGAAAGCGATTACATTCAGAACGCGTAAACCCAACCAGGCTCCTGGCTACTTGCTCCCTAAAGCAGTGCTTCTTAATCTCTAGGTGGATATAAATCACTTGGGAGTCTGGTTAAAATGCAGACTCTGATTCAAGAAGTCTGGGGCAGAATCTAACATTCTGCATTTCTAACAAAGCTCCCAGGGGTTACAAATACCGCTGGGCTACAGTTTAGACACACCTCCAGGAGCAAGCCAGCCCAGAGACCTATGCTGAAGGGATCTCCAACTGCATGGATTTGACTGGGCTCCCGGGATCTCCAACTGCATGGATTTCACTGGGCTCCCGGGAGAAAGTAGATAGTAAACTCAAAGAAGTAACTGAGGAGGTTTTAATAAGAGTCTGCCTGGCTATTTGCAAAATGTGAGCAGCATGAGGGGAAGAAAAAATTAAGGAACTTAACAGCAACCAGGAGGATGAGGCATCACCAGCCCTAGACGGGAAGCCCAAAGGGAGGGAGTGGTTACCAGAACCAGAGAACTTTAAAGCTGGAACAGGAGCAGTAGGCCAGGGTCATGAAAAGAGCTGTGGTCTTGGGTACAGAATAGAGGAACGCAGTTTTCCTAGGGATGGGAAAGGGGAATAAACATCCCAGTCTCACTTTCTTCCCAGTCCCTGATTGCCTCTTGTGCCTCCCATTGGCCAAACCCAACTGGGAACTAGAGGGCAAGGGGGGCTTGTGGATGAGCTCCCCGCAGAGCGTCTCAAAGTGTAGGAGAGTAAGAGTGAACTTCTGATTAATTCAGCAATGTGTTATGTCCTGTGGTTAAAAGTAAATACCCAGGCCGGTCATGGTGGCTCACGCCTGTAATCCCAGCACTTTGGGAGGCTGAGGCAGGCAGATCACCTGAGGTCAGGAGTTCAAGACCAGCCTGACCAACATGGAGAAACCCCGTCTCTACTAAAAATACAAAATTAGCCAGGCCTGGTGGCACATGCCTGTAATCCCAGCTACTTGGGAGGCTGAGGCAGGAAAATCGCTTGAACCTGGGAGGCAGAGGTTGCAGTGAGCTGAGATCGCGCCATTGCACTCCAGCCTTGGTAACAAGAGCGAAACTCCATCTCAAAAAAAAAAAAAAAGTAAATACCCTTAAAACACAAAGAGTCTGGACTTCTCGAGGGGGGCGACATGGAAAAAAAACTGCAGTGAGTCTGTTTATTTCTATAGGTAATCTTCAGGAAGAAAAGAACCCCAAGTGGGTAAGCAGGGGGAGCATTAAAGATAAAAGAAAAACAAGATGAATGCCTGAGGCAAAGTGCTGGGAAGCCATCAAAAGCCCAGCTCAGAAAGTGAAGAACACAGTGGCCTCAACAGGTTCTCTTGGAGAAACAGGACTAGCAGGTTGGAGCTGGCTGTGGCAGTTAAGGGAAGACCAGCTTTCACTTTGGTCTCAGGAGCACATGGCCCAAAACCCTCCTGCTCCTTTTTAGAATTCAGATACAATGTTACTGATGGATTTCCAAGATTTGGGAAAGAAAGTAGACCCAAAGAAAATAAGAAAGAGTAAGCACCAAGACCAAATAGCCAGCTCCTAAAAAGATCCAATCAGAAGTTTGTTAGAGAAATACATATGGGCACACATTATATACAATTATATAATTGTATATAAAATATGATATATAATTAATCTCTTGGCTGGGTGTGGTGGCTCACGCCTGTAATCCCAGCACTTTGGGAGGCCGAGGTGGGTGGATCACCTGAGGTCAGGAGTTTGAGACCAGCCTGGTCAACATGGTGAAACCCCGTCTCTACTAAAAAAAAAAAAAAAAAAAAAAAAAAAAAAAAAAAAATACAAAAATTAGCTGGGCGTGATGGCAGGTGCCTGTAATCCTAGCTACTCAGGAAGCTGACGCATGAGAATCACTTGAATGCAGGAGGCAGAGGTTGCAGTGAGCCGAGATCGTGCCACTGCACTCCAGCCTGGGTGACAGAGTGAGACTCTATCTCAAAATAATAATAATAATAATTAATGTCTTGACATTATATATAACAGATAGTGACATATATGTATATTTCAAGGGATTCCTCATTAATACTCTAATCGAGGCTGTTAGGAATAACATTAAAAGATGGAAAGAATAACCTCATATTTGGATTTTCAACGTGCTAAAAAACAGTGAACACTCTTCTACCCATTCACCCTAGAAAACAAGGTTATCTCACCCCCTCAACCCCCCACTCCCTAAACCAAGGACATGCTCTGCTCCTCATCAGTTGCAGTGGCTAAGCACAGCAGACCTTCCCAAGGCTGGGGAGGCAGCTAAAAAAAAAACCAGTTGGAATCTCCAGGAAGTGAGAAATTGGCTTGGGCCTTGACTGATGAATCAGATCTGGGTGCTCTCTGCCAGGATAATATGATAGCTTGTTGACTGATGTGCCCCTCTCTCCACTGCCCTGTCCCCATCCCTAAACCCATATTCCAAGAGATATGGGCTGGCCAGTTTACCACTTGCCCCAGGGAGAATTGTCAGGAAGAAAAATAAAAACAGCAAACAGATTCCAGAATCTTGGCTCTAGTTCAAAAGAGAGACAAAAATAGTTTTGAAAAGAGATATCAACTGGCAAAACAAGTTTTTTTTACCACCCCATCCAAACTAGGGAGAAGGAAAGAATTTGCAGAGGAAAAAATCATTATGAGCAATTAGAGGCCATGTGTTTGGTGTCCCACCCCCAGAACAATGCCACAGTGTGTCAGGTGGGAGCTGGGGCCCTCACAGGCTTCTCCACGAAGTTTGGGAGGATCTAGGAAGACACTTGCTTCCTGCTTCCCTTCTTTTGTGATTAAGGAAGCAGCCTCAGAGACACATCCCATGTCACCAGGGCAAGAAGAATGGGCAGAGACAGCAGCTCCCGCTCCCGCTGGGGAGTGATGGGGTCAGGAGTTCCCTGCACAGCCTGAGGGGTGCCCACTTTAGCTGAGAGAGAAAAGGAAGCAGACAGAGACTGATTGATTCTCAGAGCCTGACAGACGTGCCTGGCTGGAGATAAGGATCCCCGTGGCAGGGGCTGCAGAGTGAACAGTTCCTTCCAGAAACTGGAACAGGACGAAGGCTCAACTCATATCAGAGACCCAGGTGGGAGCCACCCCATAGATCCACTCTTGCATCCCAGCAGCACTGTGTCCAATCCCCTGGGGTCAAAGCTCAGACAGCAGAGGAAGGCTGAGTCACCAACACAGGTCCCCCTGACTGTCCCGACTGCCTCTCCAGATGCAATGGCTTCCAGCAGCAATAGAAGGAAAGGAGGGGAATCAAAGGGAAATATTCTGAATATTCCTGAATTTTAACCAGAAGCAACTTAGAAAGTGCTAAATTGGATCAAGTCGACTGGCTGTGGCTGTGACTAGATGGAGCTTTTCTGCTGTCCGTCAGAAGTGGGGGCTCAGAGTTAGAATATAAATTTTATTACCAGAAATAAAGAAAATTACATTCTGTGACTGTGAAATTCATGGGCATTACAAGACTGATTGAATTTTTTTTTTTTTTTTTGGAGACGGAGTTTTGCTCTTGTTGCCTAGGCTGGAGTGCAAATGGCGTGATCTCGGCTCACTGCAACCTCCACCTCCCGGGTTCAAGAGATTCTCCTGCCTCAGCCTCGTGAGTAGCTGGCATTACAGGCGCCTGCCACGACCATGCCTGGCTAATTTTTGTATTTTTAGTAGAGACGGGGTTTTGCTATCTTGGGCAGGCTGGTCTCGAACTCCTGACCTCAGGTGATCCACCCACCTTGGCCTACCAAAGTGCTGGGATTACAGGCATGAGCCACCGCACCTGGCCTAAGAGACTGATTTTTTTTCTCAGCCTCCATTGCTTAAATGTTATACAGGCATCCCTCAGCATCTGAGGGGGATTGGTTCCATACCCCTCCCCACAACTAATACCAAATTCCACCGATGCTCAAGTCCATTACATAAAATGGCGTAGTGTTTGCATATAACTTAAGCACATCCTCCCAACACTTTAAGTCATCTCTAGATCACGTATAATACCCAGCACAATGTAAACCCTATGTAAAGAGTTACACTGTATTGGTTTTTTAATTTGTATTTTTAATTGTCGTAGTTAGTTTTTATTGTTTTTTTTTCCCCAAATATTTTTGATTCAAGGTTGGTTCAATCTGCCCATGCAGAACCTGTAGATACCAAGGGCTGACTTTATGTGAATGCTTGGTTAAGATCCAATTCTATCCAGAAGCAGCAGCTCAGTGGTCTCGCTTCTGCATATGACCAGCTGATTCTGGGCAGCCATCTGGCCTTGTCACTGAGCTTCCCTGAACTCCAGTTGAAAGCTGGGGTGGGCTTGTAGGTCCAGCTCATGTCCAACAAGCAACAGCCCTGCCTGGAAGCACCTGGACCTCTTCTGCTCTCCTCTCCTTTCCAACGTCTTGCTGCAAGCCTCATATTTCCCATGAAGTTCCCTTAACTGTTCTAGTTCATAGGGATCATTCTTATGTAAGCTAGGGACTCTCAGGTTCAAAGTTAGTGACATTTCGAGTTATCTTTGATTTACTTTTGTAGCAGGATGGTTGAATTTCTTTCAGAAGCCTGTTAGAAAGATGCACGTAGGTCAGTGTAATTTTGAAGCAATAAAGAATTGGCAGAGGCCTGCATGAGTCTTGACAAATGGATTTGTACCATTACCTAACACAGCTTCTCTGATAATGAGGAAGATGTTTAAAATGCTATACAAAAATAGGCAGATGTTTCTGCTGTCCATAAGGCCAGGCAAGCACTTGAATGTGACCTCCAACCTAGAACTGGGGCAGATAGTGGTCATACAATGGCTGTTAAGGAGATCGGGGTATACCTGTACCTTGGAAACTATATATTGAAACTTTGTAGAATTCTGATGAAATCAAAATGGAAAGCCTCTAATATAAACACAGTGTTCATGCTCAGCTTGTGAAAACCAAGTAGATGCAATGATAAAGGCTCCTGCAATTTTGTTCTGCCCAAGGAAATGTGATAAATGTATGCAGTTCCTGATAATGTCTATTTTGCACAGCCTATTATTCCTTTCTCTACCAGGTAAATTCCACAACCCTAATCAGCAGATGGAGGAGGATTTCACTGCTTACTTTGCAGAGCTTCAATATCTATCTTAATACTGCAATTTGGGGTAATTTTCCAGATAACATGATGCAGGATTATTTTCATATGCAGTACACAGTGCACCCTTCAATAATATCTGGACCCAAACAAAGTTGGATATGTATAATGGCCTATGAAAAGGCCTAGGCTCTGCATGAGTCTATGTAATTGACATTAAAGGAAACACTTCTACTACAATGCTGACTCAGGCAAGCATTCTTGTGACCTGGTCTGGAGAACAAAGAAAATGAACATACCAGGATATCTGCAGATCACTTCAGATGTTCTGACCTCTGCTTAAGCCACAGAGTTAGCCAGCGCTCTGCTTACAGATGTGAAGTGGTGATTCTGTAAGATGAAGGGAGGAATACCCTGAAAAAGTATAGTCTTCCAAATCCAATAGAATGAACTGCTGTGATAGCCCGATATTCCCTAATATCAGATCTTCTACTATTCACAGTACCACTGAGGTATTCAGGAAAGTCAGATAAAAACATTTCCAGACAGTCACTCAAAAAGGTCTTTAAAAGAGAATAAAAGAGCAAAATCAACTCTAATCAAGATGCACTAATGCTCGTTAGTCACACGTAGCACTCCCTAGTGCCCAATATTAAGTAAAACACCTGTTGAAAATCCTCAGCAATTCCACGAGAAATCCTACAGGTATTATTTACAGATAAGGAAATGAAGGATTAAAGAGGGTTTGCCACTGGTCTGAAGACACATTGCTGATTAAGAGGAAGAGCTAGGATTCCAACTCAGGCTGTCAGACCTCAGAGCCAGGACTCTCTACCCTGTGCCTTGGGTATTTTCCCATAAGGTACTTGCAGTATTGTTTCTGATGCAGTGACCATTGCTAAAAAGCTGCTTATGAATGGACAACATGACCAATTTCTTCTCCTTGTTACTGAAAGAGGGCACCACAAGAGAATGAAGAAACTCATACATTTTTAGGATATAGGAGGCTGCCAGTAAAGTTTCCAGGACATTTTACATGAAACTTGCAGCTCATTAAGAAGTTGTCAGTCATTTCATGTGGATCCATCTCTGCACTAATTTCAAAACTAGAAATGCAACATGCCAACTTCATGGAAAAAATCCTAGAGAAAGGTTGATACAGCTAATCAAATGATTATGAATGAGTTATACACATCTCCAGACTACACCAATCCTTAGTCGATTTCTAAAGGGCAAAACTTTCCCAAGTTTGGAGTTAATCTTCTGAGAATATTGGAAAAAACCAAGAGCTAATGGCTTTGCTAGTGCCTAAGGGAACCACCCTAAAGGATGGCTGGTAATCATACTGATGAAGGCTTGGGAAATACCTATGTCCAATCAGAGTCCCCAGTGTAGCCACCAGATCGGAAAAATGCTAAGGAGGGTCAGACCTTCAAAACCAATGGTGTTCTTGGGTGTTTTCCTTCATACTCTGTCAATATCTTTCTACTTGAAGCAGCCCCAGCCTCTCCCCACAACCTTGTCCATTCTTCTCACTTACAGGCTGAGGGTTCACAACTGTTTTATTCATTCATTCATTCATTCACTCATTCATTCATTCATTCATTCATTGAGACAGGGTCTTGCTCTGTTGCCCAGGCTGGAATGCAGTGGTGCAATCATAGATCACTGCAGCCTTGACCTCCTGATATCAAGTGATTCTCCCACCGCAGCTTTCCAAGCAACTGGAACTACAGGCGAATGCCACCAAGACCTGCTAATTTTTAAAAACTTTTCGTAGACATGTGGTCTCACTATGTTGCCCAGGCTGATCCTGAACTCCTGAGCTCAAGTGAACTTCCCACCTCTGCCCTCCAAAGTGCTGGGATTGCAGGTGTGAGCCACCACGCCCAGCCTCGCAAATCTTTGGGCTAATTGCTCTTGAGCTCTGACTCTTCAGTATGTCAAGTTGTGTTCTGCATGTTCTCCTTCACTTGAAACCCATCTTGTCCAAAGCTCACCCCCCTCCTAACTGTAATCCTTTTTCCCAGTCTCAGTAATGGCATCATTACACACTTGTCATTTTTTACTACTCCCTCTATATTAGATAGATTCACAAATCCAGGTGAGTCTCCCTTAAACATATCTCTCAAATACATCTTTTTCTATTTTGCTGTACACCCAGTGTTCAAGTTTATAATATATCTAGGTTATTGCACCGCCTAACTGGTTTCCCAACTCCTCCCATTTTAATATTCTTTACATACCCTTGCAAGAGTCATGTTGACAAAACAAAAATTTTATATGTCATTCTCTTATTAACAATCATTTGATAAAAGTTCCCCAATTGTTGGGAGGATGTTCCAAACTTGTTAGGTTGTATAAAAATTTCTTCATAACCTGCCTCAGCTTACCTTTTCAAACTCACCGCTATCCCCCCTCCAATCGTATATGCTAACATTCATCCATAATGATCTAATCATGGATCCTTTAAGTTGGGCTGCTGAATAGGAGTCAAGGGGAACAAGATATTATAGCGGTTAAGAAAGAGGGCTTTGCAGCTGAACCAGTGTGGATTGAATCTCCGATCTACCACCGACTGAAAGAATAACCTATGTACCACTCTGACACCCCGTTTCTCCTTGTCTCAAAAAGGTCACCATCATAACTAAGATGTGTTACCTATTATAATCCTCCTCCTCATCAGGTGTACTTACATCCACTACTTCATATACAGCAAATTGTCAAAGAAACACTTTGGGCCGGGCATGGTGGCTCATGCCTATAATCCCAGCACTCTGGGAGGCCAAGGCAGAGGCAGGCAGATCACTTGAGCTCGAGACCAGCAGTCTTACCGCCAGCAGCACCGCACCTTCAGGGAGACTTGAATGGCTGTGATACTCAAGCCGGTGGCCAGCTGCTGCAGCAAGCCTTTACTGTATTAATACTGTACATCTTGACTGAACTGTTTTCATTCTCTACTTTTGGAAAATATCCACATTCAGTCTGTGTTTACGTCAGCAGCACTGATTCAAAACACCACCGCTGGGGTTTGAAACAGGCATTAAAACACATTCCTGCACTCGGCTCATCTGGAGTCAGGAGGAGGCCTTCCAGTAAATCCTTACTTCACTCTACTTTGTCATTCCACTTATCATAGAAAGGCATTGATTTCCTTTTAGCTCATCTCAGGGGCTATTTTAGCTCATCTCAGGGGCTATATTGTTATTTTTTTCCTAAAATTTCAGCCAGAAACTCGTCTTTAGAACCTTGTATTACTGTGTCCATTGTCTTCAGGGTTCCTTTATCTGTAAAAGTTCCTACTTGCTTGGGTAGGCTAAGTGTTGTTCATTTTCCCAATGTTTTTTCCCCACTTTGGCTTTAAGATCATAAAAATGAAGTCCTTTGTTTGTATTTTCAAATCTAAACATGAGCCCTACCTTGTTAAACTTGTCTTTAATTAGTGCAGCTGATCTTCAACTAATCCCTTGGCTCAGAGTTTAACAAGGGCCTCATAAAATTTGTCTGTAAAAGACAGGCAACACGTACAAAGTGAGCATGGGAGGGGAGCAGTAATTATACATGGGAGCTATCAAAAAGAAACCATAGAATGTGAAACAATTTCTAAATATAATGCAAATTCAGTATTACTTAGGAGATTTAAAGTTAAGGAAAGTCTCCCTATTTAGTAATCATCACCAAAGCATGTGTAAAATTTTATTACTTTCACAAATGAACACATCCAGCGAATGTCACATCCGAAGCATCACGTGGCCTATCATTGCCCTCGGTTTTGCTTACACCACCTGAAATCGGAGGTAAAACTAAAAACAAACAAACAAAAAACTCTCACCCCTTCCACCACACACTATGAAAACAAGCAATATTTCATCGAAGGCTTCCTTAACACACTCTAAACCAATCTAAAAAGCAAGTTCAATAGAGTCAAAGAAGACTTGACTTTTTGATTACAAAATGCTCTAGTAAAAACACTTAAGAACAATAAGGAAACGATAAACACACTTTGTAAATACACAGATGACACTGCTCAAGGAAAAGGAATCCATAATGCTCTGATGCAGATGATTGCAATCTAATTTTAAAAAGGAAATTCAAATAAACAGCAAGACCACCTCTCTTAACGCTCCTCCTCTCCAACCAAACCCATCACAAAGGACAAGAACAAGAACAAAAATGAAATAGAAGACAAACAAAGAGTCATTGACAAGGTAGCTGTATGTATGACAATGCTTTACAAATTAAACATGAAAAGAGGTTAATCGATATTATGGAAGCCTTTCTGGGAAGAGCACACATTTGTGTTTCCCGAAGAAGAGCCTCTGCGTGCTATTGATCAGACTAATTAGGTCCTTGGCTTTGAGACTACACTAACACAGGTGCTAATTAATTTCTAAGAAGGTGCTTAAGGGAGGGGTAGACAGAGGCCACGGAAAGATCAGAAGAAATGGACAGATGCAGGTCACACAAATCCCCCAGCAAACCTCTTTCCTGTAGAACTCCTTCCCCACCTATGGTCCCCACCATAGGTGTAGGACCAGGGCAACACACAGCCACTTCTGGTGGGTGCCCTCTGTCCCAGCGCTGACAGCAGGAGGAAAGGCTTGGTAAGCCTGCCCACAGATGTGCATTAATTCCATTAAAGAATAGAAGAGCTTGCTTGGCTAATGAACTCTATCTACCTCAGTAGATTTTTCTAAAATTAGGTAATTAACTGGAAAGATTGGGTTAGTTTAAAGGCTCCAGCACACAAACAGAAATAGGAATCAAAAGACTTCTAAGCAATTCATTTTTAACCATCTATTAAGAACACATTTTAACTAGTCCTCTCAAATTACTAATAGGACTTAACTTGTATATTTGAGGTTTAAAAATCCATATCCATACCATGACAAAAATCTGCTGTGAGAGGTTAAAAAATGGCAATTTACTATCAATATGATGCATCTATAAACTAATAATAAAACTATAAGCCCCTAAAAATAGATTTTAAAAAAGCTATCACAGCTATCTGCGCCTTCCTTTCTCTTTTACATAAAAGAAAGAACTAGTCTGCAGAAAGAAGTCTGTGGCCGAAGTTATTAAGAAGTGCTTAGAACCTTACCTTTTAGCAGGTTAAAAATTTCAGGGATGATATTCTTGAGGAAGACCCACAAAACCCCTCTGCAAGTGTGTCTCCCCATGACCCAAAGGCAGGGAAGCCATCCCCAGCCCACATTCAGCACCCCACACACATTAAAATTGCTTCAACCAGGACAGGACAGTGCTGGCCGCCTCCAGCCGCACAGGGCCAGAAACAAAGGGCAATGGAGTTTCTTCTCTAAGTGAAGAACTAATTCCACTGCACAGAAGCTATTTAAGGAGGTGGTGCCTGTGGGACAAATGCTGCCTGGAGCCTTCCTGTTTGTGTCTCAGCTCAAACTTCCATCCATTTCCTAAGGAAGACTGCAAAGTGTAATCAGCCTCAAGAAGGCTGAGATTAATAGAAACCCAAGCAGTGTGTGAGGACAATTTTTACAGTTTTTCCTTCCTTCTTTTCTCCACTTAACAAATGTGGAGCTTTATTCAAAAGTCAAAAGCAAAAACCATAACTGTTGTGATTGCAAAAAGTTTTCCTATTCCCGAAAGATTTTTTTAACCTGAAATGTAGAAAGGAAAGAATTCATGGATGATTAATTCAGTAAATACCAAGCAGCAATGCAGAGAGAAACCACGCAACTTATGGTCAGAAGGCAAGGGTCTGGTTGAAAAAACTTTGCCATTTACTAGCTTTGAGCCCTTCTGAAATTCACAGATTCTCTTTGGGCCTCAGATTTTCCATCTGAATAAATGGCATTGATAATACGCACTTTGCAAAGCTATTATGAGAACTGCATAAGATGACTGTAAAAGACCCTATACTTGGCCCTCTATAAAAGATCATGCTATCATTATACCACATTATCTGATTTCCCAGCTGCTGTCACACAATATCAGACATTAGTAAAAGGAGCTAATTTATTTCTTCTCTTCTCTCCAAAATTACATTATGTATGCATCTGTTGCTTGTGTACTGTCTGACTTCCTCATTGGCACCTAGGTCACAGGTGGAACAGAAACTTCATTTGCTATGCTGATTTAACATTTCCAGTGCCAAGAACTGTTCCTGGCATACATTAACATACAATAAATATCTGCTAAATGAATAAATGGATAAATGCGTAATTTCAGACAAAGTACAACATTCTACACAAGGTAAAACTCAAACAAATACATATTTAATTAGTGAATGAATACAGGTGCTTCTTGACTTATGATGGAGTTATGTCCAGATAAAACCTTCACAATCCCAGCACTTTAGGAGGCTGAGGCGGGTGGATCACCTGAGGTCAGGAGTTCGAGACCAGCCTGGCCAACATGGTGAAAACCCATCTCTACTAATAATACAAAAATTAGCTGAGTGTGGTGATGCATGCCTATAATCCCAGCTACTCGGGAGGCTGAGGCAGGAGAATTGCTTGGACCCGGGAGGCGGAGGCAGATGTTGCAGTGAGCCGAGACCGTGCCATTGCACTCCAGCCTGGGCAACAAGAGCGAAACTCCGTCTCAAAAAAAAATAAAAAATAAAAAAAAATAAAACCCATCACAAATTGAAAATACTGTCAAATAAGTCAAAAATGCATTGAATAAACCCAACCTACAGAGCATCACAGCTCACCCTAGCCTACCATAAACGTGCTCATTATCTTACATTATCATATAGTTCGTTAAATCCTCTAACACAAAGCTTATTTTATAATAAAGTGTTGAATATCTCATATAATGTATTGAATACTGTACTGAAAGTGAAAAACAGAATGGTTGAATGGGTACTCCAAGTATGGTCTCTACAGAACACATGTCACTTTTGCACTATTGTAAAGTAAAAAGATCCTAAGTCGAACCATCCTAAGTCAGGAACTGTCTGTACCGTTTTTCTATAGAGAAACATCCCAGGGAAAATGCAATGTAGTAAACTTTAAGACAAGTTGGAGCTCCTGGAAACAAATGTAATAAATATGACCTTACATTCTGTTAGAGCACCCAGTTGAAACATACTATTAAGATGGTTAATGTACAAATGAAATTCATGGAGTGTGACTATTAGGTACAATATTTAGTATGAATTAATTCACTGAAACAATTTAGCTTAGTTTAGAGTATACCTAAAGTCCTTTTTTGGGCTTGTTTCCCTTAAAAATGAAAACTCCCCATTGTCCTTTAAGTCCTACCTTGGTGGCAGTGGGATTCATTAATGGTTTTGTGGGGTTTTATGGATTTGAGAGGATTTTGTATTGATACATAATATTTTACATATTTATGGGGTATATGTGATATTTTGTTACATGCATAGAATGTGTAATGATCAGCTCAGGGTATCTGAGGTATCTACTACTTTGAATTTTATCATTTGTATGTTTCCTCTCTTCCAGCTAGTCACCCTAACATGCTGTTGAACAACAGTCCTAACCTTTTATCTAACTACATAAAGAGCATTATCCAGACAAGGAAAATGACATGTGTTCTCTTGTGGTTTTTAAGATCCAACTACTAATGTTTAACATAAAAACGTACTAGGCAACAGGATAGTCTCAAGGATCAGAAACAACATATGGTATTTAGTGTTGGGCCTTCACATTATTGCTTGAATCCAGTTCAGGTCACTAAGGACCACAGATCAATTCCTTGATGAATGTTCATTAATTATGTGTAACGAAGGAAGTGACTTTAGTGGTTATTTGTCCATTTTATAAAATTACCAAGAGATGAAAGATCCTGAATCTCAAAAGATCATGTGGAACATAATTCCCTCTCACTTCTAAGGAACGCTCTTGCTTTGCTTGTGAAATACGAACCTCTCCCCATCTCTCTTCTTTTCCTCTCTACCCTCTCTTGGCTCCCACATTTTAGAGAGGACAAGAACTATCTTACTACAGATCTTTTTGTGAGCATTAATAATTGAAAATAAATATTTAGGCCAGGCACAGTGGCTTATAACTGTAATACCAGCACTTTAGGAGGCTGAGGCAGGGGGATTTAATTGAACTCAAGAGTTTGAGACCAGTCTGGACAACATAGTGAGATACCCCACTCATCTCTACAAAAAAATCTAAAAATTAGCCAGGTGTGGTGGTGCACACCCATAGTCCCAGCTATCCAGGAGGCTGGGGCAGGAGGATTGCTTGAGCCCAGGAGAACAAGGCTGCAGTGAGCCATGATCATACCACTGCACTCCAGGCTGGGTGACAGAGCAAAACCCTGTCTCAAAAATAAAAATAAAAATAAAACAAAACAAAAAAAGATTTAAAGTTGCTCACTCTGAATGAAGACATTTTAGTTCCAAAATATGGAGAAGAGTTTCATAATTATTGAACCTGAAGGTTACAGATTTGGGCTGATGAAAAAGAATCTCTAAGAACAGAGTATGGTCAAATAAAAACAAAACTGACTGACTTTCACAAGTCTTCATTCTCTTTATGTTTTTCTGAATTCAAGGTTTCAAACACTGGGGCAATATGGCTCCCCACCCCCCACCTCCCACACCTCTTCCCTCTCCCCTTCACTCAGCTGCCCAAGGGCTGGAGGCATTTTTTAATTGAATAATTAAAGATTCTAAAGAAGTCTGATATCGATTTTTTAACAGCTTCCAGCAGCCAGGCTTTCTCACCTTACAAGTAGCCTCTGGCTTGACAAATATCAGTCTATGTGGAGCAAGAGAGCTCAACTATAGAAGGTTATCAGATGTGGCTTAAATGCTGCCTGTGACGAGCATGTTTGATCCCAGGGGAAGGTGGGGATGAATTGTGGAAACTGCCATCCAAGAGTCAAGTCTTTTTTCTTCATCTAACGTAACAACACTTTGGAAGCACCCAAAAGCTCTGACATCCTACCCTGGGGATGCCAATGCACCGGTCAGCTTTTTCCTGTAGAATTGCTTTATTGCCCAGATTATTGACAGATTTAATCAAGACAGCACTGAGTATTTGGTTCACAAATGAAAGGATAACTTCAAGTTACTGATTACAGGGTCTTGTGCTATTTCTATCCTTATTTGAGCCCATATATCATATTTTAATAAATATTTATCTGATGCTACAGAAAACACAAAAATCAGTCTTGTAAGAGAAGATCATTTATGTCCATGACTAAAAGGAACAAATATCATAGAACACATTATCCCAAAGCCTGCAATTACTGCTTATGTACACTTTGCAACAAAACAAAAATGAATTTTTCCTTGCTGCCATCTGTTGTTTTATAGAAGGATAGCTAATTTCCTACCAGCTGATTCCAGTAACTATGATTTGTTAGGAATAAAATAAATAAGACGAAGTTACCTTGAAAGGAAAATATTCTCGATAAGGAAATATTTTGATGGCAAGTTAATTCTAAGAGTTTAGGGGTATTTGTTTTCCAAAATAAATAATAAAGGAGACATTTCCTCCCCCTTTTCTCTTTCCAAATTGCTGTGGGCAAGGGCCCTGATAAATGCCGTGAAGACACAAAATGTGTAAGTACAGGGTTCCTATTCTCAATCAATTCATAAACTACGAAGATAGACATAGAAATAGCTGTAGTACAAAGGTAGTGTGCAGTATAAGACAGAAAGATAACCTAATAGCAGGAATGTAGAGCACGAAATGAAAAGGACGTGGGTGCAAATCCTGGCTTTGGCACAACATAGGTGCATGATCTTGAGCAAATTTCTTAATCTTTCCAAGTCTCGCTTTCCTCGTGAATAAAATAGAGATCATACCAGTACCTACCTCATTGGGTCATAGTGAAAATTAAATGAGTTTATGAATGCAAATCCCTTAACAGAGTTCCTCGCTTTTGGAAGTCCTAAATGAATAGCATTGATGCAAAAGAAAAAGATTAAAGAATTATTTAAATTGCCATGGACATGCAAAGGAGAAAGAAAATTCACATCCATAAATGAAACGATAGACATGGAGCCCCAGTTAGGAAATTACTTTCTTGGAATAGTTTAGATGTACAGGTTGTCCCTGACTTATATTCCTTATGTGTGAAAGATGATTGGGAAACAGGACCTGGGAGGAGCAGGAGCCACAGCAACCCCTCAATCTCCCAGTTGTCAGACCCCCTTCCTATCTGGGATGCCAACTATGGTCCTGTGTCTAATATCAGCTTGTGTCAGTCCAGGGCACAATCAATGGCCCCGGAGTCTCTTCTCACCCTACCAAAAAGTTGCTTCTCTCTCAAATCTAAAGAGGGTCTGAAAGGCTACCTTAATGTCTAGAAGGAAACACCCAGAATATTTATAAAAGCTGAAATTGTTTCTGGCCATAAAGGATGAACTGATATTAGATTAGCCTTGCCACCATAAACAACTAGATAACTGCATAAACTACATAAAAAACTGTTTATAGACATTGGATAAGAGGAAGCACAACAGAAGATGTGATGCCTGAGAGAAAGGGAATGCTGAGTGAGTCCTACAGGCATCCCAGCTTTCCACCCGGATGAACCGCCCAGACCAGCAGCACAGCAAGGGGAAGCCAAGAACACTGGGGTCTCACTGAGTTAAGGGGACATGGAACAGAGTTCAGGGAGGCTAAGGCAGATGGAATTTGGAAGAAAAAGTATCTGACAGGAAGAAGTTATAGAGACAAAGAGCTCAATTAATCCATATGGGGGTCTCCTTGCATTTGTTGCTAAATATTAAGTCACTCATGTGCAGCGTCAACTTCATAGAGCAGCCCCTGACCCCCCAGAAAAGGATCTTCCATAAGTTAATCAATTCCCAGAGCTCCTAAAGGGCTGGGAGGCATTTGACTTTGGACCAATCAGAATAGAAAGTCTTTGTTGAGAACCTGGGGTTTTACTCAAAACCCCAGAAGTCTCTCACTTTAGTGAAACTAAATCAGCCTAAGTAAAGTCTACTCTAGACCTCCCTTAACAAAACTTTAAAAGAAAGGCAATAAAACCTTGCACTGAACAACAACAACAAAATAACAGTCCAGCATTAACTAAAAAACTACATATATGCAAAGAAGCAAGAAAATGAGGCTCAAAAACAGACTCAGAAATGACAGAGTCAAGGGTGGCGGAATTAGCACATAAGGACATAAAAAGAGAAATCATAAATATGCTCAACTATTTAAGGACTTAAAAAGAAAAATAAGAGGAGAGAAATGGGAGATAAGAAAATAAAACTTTCTGGAAATGAACAAAATATCTGAAATGAAAAATATACTAGATAGAATTATTAGCACATTAATCAACTGCAGAACAAGAGACCAATAAATTTGGAGACAAAATATGGAAAATACTCAAACTGAAACACACAGGGAACAAAAGTTTGGAAACATTGAATAGAGTCTGAGTGACCTATGGGATGACATGGAGTAGTCCAACATATGTGGTACTGGAGTGCTAGGATGGGGATTGGGACGGGGAACTGATTTAAAGAAATAGTGGCTGAAAATTTTCCAAGTTTGTTGAAAACTATAGATCACAGATTCAAGAAACTCAGTGAACTCGAAGAAAGATAACACAAAACCACAGACAGGCATATAATGATGTAATTGCTGAAAAACAGAGATAAAGAGAAAATATTGACAGCAGCAGAGTAGCAAAAAACAGACATATTACATACAGAAGAACAAAGATAAGAATAACTGCAAACTTCTTGTCAGGAACCACACAAGCTAAAAGTAGTAGAGCAACATCTTTAAAGTGTTAAAAGAAAGAAATGATCAACCTAAAATTCAATATCCAGTGAAGTTATCCTTCATAAAGGAAGACTAGATAAATACTTTTTTAGACAAACAAAAGCACAGAGCCAGCTAATCTGCACTAGAAAAAAAATACTAGAACATAAAGTTTTTCAAGCAGAAAGAAAATAATACCAGATGGAAACTTGGACCTCTACAAAAGAATAAAAATGTGGGGAATTGCAAATATATGGCTACATATAAAAGAAACTATTTTCTTATTTTGATTTCTTTAAAATAAAATTGACTGTATGAAACAAAAATGATAATGTATTTTAAGGTTTATGACATGTAATAAATAAAATATATGATAGCAGCAAAAAGGAGAGGAAGAAAAAATGAAAGCAAAGATCATAAGATTCTTACACAGGAAATGATAGTATTACTCAAAGGTGGAATGTGATAAGATAAAGTGTCATGTTGTAAACTCTGCAGCCATCACGAAAAATAATGAACAAAGAGCTAAAAGAGTAGAGATAAAATAAAATACTAAAAAAACCCCAGTAAAACTCAGGTAATATAAACGAGGGCCGGAAATGAGTGAGAAAAAGGGAAAAGAACAGATGGGATAAATAGTAAACATATAGCAAGATAGTAGACCAAACCCAAGCATATATGCTGTCTTCACACTTCAGAAAGACACAGGCACAGGAAAAGTAAAGGACGGACCAAGATATGACATGCAAGCGTTAATCATAAGAAAGTTGGGGTGGCCACATCATTCAGACAGGTAGATTTGTGCGGCAGCTTGGGTCCTGCATGAAGCAGTTGTCAATACTGAATCAGAAGCTCAGGAGATTTACTGCGGGGAAACAGCCATGAAAGATTAAGGTAAACAGGAGCCACACTGGGTATAGAAAAGCCTTCAAACATGACTGAAGATCTGAAACCTATGATCAGAGAAGGGGAAAAAGACTTGAGTAGGAAGAGTCTGGGACTTTTGGGTCCCCAAAAGTCTCAGCCAGGCCTACAGAGATCCCCCAGCAGAAACTGCCCATCAGAGGAGCTGGCATTGGCGCTGTATCAGCCCCGTTTAGTACCACGCTGTGCTCAGTCATGGGCCAGTGGCATCCTGGGGAGAGCAGAGCCACTACAGGAAGACTGGCAGGTCCTGAAGTGTGGCAACTGAGGCTGTGGGCTAAGTATTCCACTCTTTGGAAAGGAGGTCTCAGCAGCACAACTCTATGGCTATTACAACTTCAGAAAAAGAACTAGGACTAAAGACAAAGAGGGATATTTACTTATGATAAATTATTGAATTCATCAAGAAAACCTAATAATCCTAAATGAGTATGCCCTGAGACACAGTGCTTCAAAATATTTGAAGTAAAAACCCTTCAGAACTGAAAGGAGCGACACATGCACAATTATAGTTGGAGATTTCAACACTCTTCCCTCAGTAAGGGATAGGACAAGTAGACAGAACACCAGGAAAAATAAAGAAAACAAACAATAGCCTCAGCCAAATTCACTTAATGGATCTTTATAGACTACTTTCATCCCACACATTCTTTTTAGGTTCCCAGGGAACATCCCCAAGACAAATCATATGACAAGCCATAAAACAAGTCTCAAGAAATTTTAAAGGACTTAATTCATGCAAAGTATGTTCTTTGACCACAATGGAATTAAATTAGAAATTGATTTTTTTAATACCCAGAAAATCCCCAAAGATTGGAAATTAAGCAACACACTTTTAAATATCCTGAAAAGTCAAAGAAGAAATCCCAAGAGAAATTAGAAAATATTTTGAACTCAATAGTAAGAAAACGACAACAAACCAATATATATGGGATGCAGCTAAAGCAATCCTCAGAGGGAATTTTATAGCAATAAATGGTTATATTAAAATAGAAGAGAGATACAAAATCAATTATCTAAGCTTCCATCTTACGGAAGCTATTAAAAGAAGAGCATTAAATTAAGTCAAAAGTAAATAGAAGCAAATAAATAATTAAGATGAGCAAAAATCAATGAAACTGTAAGCAGGCAAACAATAGAAAAAAATTTTTAAAAAGCAGAGTTTGGAAAAGATAAGTAAAATTAATAAATTTATAGCTCAGCTTGAGCCAAAAATAGGCAGTGTTGGAAAGGAAAAAAAGAGCCGTGTACCTAAAAATCCTACAGATCACAAACAGAAAATAAGGGAATATTTTGAAGAATTCCATGCCAAGAAATTCAACAGCTTATATGAAATGGACAAATGCCTTGAAAGATAATTTATTAGAACTGACAGAAGAAGAAATGAGATCGACCCATATTTATTAAAGAAATTGAATTCATAATTTAAAACCTTCCCACAAAGAAAACTCCAAGCCCAGATGGCTTCACTAATATGCTATCAAACATTAAGGAAGAAACCAAACTTGCACAGAAAAGAGGTAAAAGGAACTCTTCTCAATTCATTGTAAGAAGCCAGGATTATAATGATACCAAAACCATCTGTACAAAGACATTACCAGAACAAAAACCTATGGACCAACATCGTTTACAAACATAGACACAGAAATCCTCAGCAAAACATTAGCAAATCAAATCTAGTATTAGCTTGTAACATCTTGTGTCTGACTGCTAAAGCCTGTAGCAATAATTATTGTTGAGTCTTTTTTTTTCCAGTGTAAGTCCTCTGTTGGAGATAAATACCTCAATTGTATTGGTCATTTGGTTTAAACTCAATAGTACAGGCCTTTTTGGTTAAGCGCGTTGTAAAGTAATGAAATAAAATGGCCAGACAGCAACTGCCCGTAATTTCTAACATTAGCGTTTTTTAGCACCAAGGTCAGAGTATAACATGCAGAAAGTCCAGCCATTGTTTTCAGGCTTGAATTGATCAATCATAGGGATAAGATGCAGAATAACCTTACAAGAGTTTTGATTGATTTGAATTCTAAAGCAGGCTTAAAAATGGAATCTCTCTTGGCTCGTTCACTGGCCTAACACACAGGTCATATCCAATCAGTCAGAGAACTGACTGCTGCCTCAGGGAGGCTGGCAGGCTTTCAGCTCCTGAAGAGGGGTTATTACAACAATGTCAGGGCCAACTTAGTCTCTGGCTGATGACTTCCCTGATTCTAGGGAGGAGCCATCTTCCTCTGAACTCTAACAACACTTTAAGCCTCTCTTGAGACATAGGGTGGTCCCTGCTCTTCCTCAGGGGATATGCTCCAAGACCCCTAGGCGATGCCTGAAACCTCGATAATGCCAAACCCTACATACACTATGGTTTTTCAATCTGATCATCAAGACAGTTACTAAAATGACTAATGGCAGGTAGTGTCACAGTGCTGATATGCTAATATTTCCTTTGATCTCTTTGGACGTGGGCTTATACACTAATATTCATGCACCCTGGATTGTAGGAAGTGCCTGTGAAATTCTAGAAAAGGTACCAATTCATGTTCTTTTTTCTAATACCAAGCAATTCAGTAATTGAGCTACTGCCCTTCATTTCACTGAAATTATTACCTCATTCTTTCATGTCTACGAGGACTCCTTCCATGGACAACTTCAAGTGTGTGAAATTAGATTTTATCATCCATATTTCAAATTTCTAAAGAAAGCTATTTTTTTCTTTAGTTTGATAGAAGAAAACAGCCAACTAGATTGTACAAATAAAGATTGGATATAGCATATTCTTGATAATTATTTCTCTGCTTTAATATTTTCTTTTTCTAAACCTAAATAAAGAGAACTGCAAAAACTGTGGAGAGAGAAGAGGGAGAAGCTCAGAGCGCTGTGCTCACTTAAGCCCTCTCCGCTGCACTTCGGCTCCTGTATCCTCCCTACCTAAAGAGCATTGCTGTTCTCCTTCCCCATCTATGGGCCAGGCGAGACTACTGGCAGCTCACTTGTCTCAGCACTGGAGCTGGGAGCACCCAGCACATATTTGTGGGACACACACTGTGCTGGACACTGGCTGATAGGTCAGTGAAAAAAATTCCAGACGTAGGCTTTGTGCTCCCGGAGTTTTGAGACTAGCAGAGAAGAAAATTAAACAAGTGTCTGCAGTAAAGTAGGATGACTGCTATGACACAGTAACAAGGCTAGTCTGGAAGTCAAACTCTAAAATGTGTGCAGGAATATTCTTCCTTGAAAAATAAGAACTGAGGAAAAAGATTGGGTCATCTGTACATGTCTGGCAACTCCTCTTTTCCCCAGTTTTCTAATTGGTAAATTTAGGATGATAAAATCATCTCTTGTGGCCAGGAGTGGTGGCTCATACTTGTAATCCAAGCACTTTGGGAAGCTGAGGTGGGAGGATCACTTGAGGTCAGGAGTTCGAGACCAGCCTGGCCAACGTGGTGAAACCCCATCTTTACTAAAAATACCAAAATTAGGCAGGCACGGTGGTGCATGCCTGTAGTCCCAGCTGCTCAGGAGGCTGAGGCAGGAGAATCGCTTGAGGCAGAAGTTGCAGTGAGCCGAGATCACGCCACTGCACTCCAGCCTGGGAGACAGTGCAAGACTCCATCTCAAAACAAACAAACAAACAAACAAACAACCATCCCTCTCATAAAGTTATTGTGAAAATTAAATGGGATGATACAAGGCCTGGTGAATGGTCAGTATAGTTTTGGTGTTGTTATGCCAATCAGAGGGCACCTGGCCTGGCCCAGAGAGTACCCCAGAAAACATTATTTCTATGCTCAGTCCTGAAGCAGGGAAGTGAATTCATTGTGCGTATATTACTCTGCTTGAGCTGCCATAACAAAACGTCACACACTGGATGGCTTAAGATTTTTTTTTTCTCACAGTTCTGGAAATTAAAAGTCTAAGATCAAGGTACTGACAGCGTTGGTTTCTCCTGAGGCCCCTCTCCTTGGCTCATAGATGGCTGTCTTCTCCCTGCATTCTCACTTAGTCTTCCCTCTGTCCTAATCTTCTCTTCATGTAAGGACACCAGTATGGGATACTAGATTAGGCCCTATTTTCACTTAATTAACTCTTTAAAGGCCCTATCTCTAAATATAGTCACATTCTGAGGTACTGGGGATTAGACTTCAACATATAAATTCTGGGGGCACACAGTTCATTTCATAAAAATGGGGGAGGCACAGCAGACTATTTCTAACAGAAGGAATATCGTGCGTGAATTGAAAGAGGATGCGTAGCATGTTGAAGGGGAAACTGAATGAAATTACATCCTTTTGCAGTATAGACTGAAAAAGAGAAACAGCAAAATTTGAAGCTAGAGAGGGAAGTGGTGGCAAACCAGGCCATGTAAAGCCTTATAAGGTGGTATAAAATATTAAGCAGTTCAGGTTACCCTAAGGGAAATGAAAACCATTATAGAATTTCAAGTAGGGTGTGTGTGTGTGGCATGGTTGAACTTGTATTTTAGAAAAATCACTGTCTGCATTATAAGAAACCTTTGGAGCAGGAGGTGCACCTGGGAGGCATCTGAAGTAAGACAAGCCAGAAAGGCTGACAGCTTGAGTCATGCCATGGCGATGTAATAAACTGACACACACTGGAAAGCTAATCAATGGGGTGATTGGTAGAGGGAAGGAGAAAAGGAGAATGATCCCTATGCTACCAGCAAATGGGTAAATAATGGTGAGCAGAGATGACAAAGTAAAAATTGGACTTGAGAAACCTGTGGAACTGCCTGTAGACCGCTGGTTATTGACAGCAACTACCCTTGCTATCTACCCTTCTTAAACCTTTCCTATATAACCACAGAGTGTGCCAACAACTCTATATTGTCATACATCTTCTTACAAATAAGGAAGCTCAGGCTTAATGAGATAACATAACTTGGCCAAAGGTTCACAGCTACAAAATGGCAAAGCTAAAAGAGGAATTGAGTCTTCCGAATTGCAGAGCCCAAGTTGAAAACCACTATTCAGGAAGGAGGCTGGGCTGAAGGTACATATTTGGAGGTCATTCGATCATTAACAATGCTTGGCTTGTTGGCTTTACTTCCCAATTCCCTCACTGACCACTGGCCCTTCCTGATTCTGATCCTTGGTCCTCATCCACATCTGTTAACAGATTATAATATGGCTGGGCAGCTGATGGTCCAAGCCTAGGGCCTAGGAGCCCAGATTCATGCTGTGGGTTCAGCAGTGGCAATGCCTGCCTCCATCAATACTGTTTCCTTCACTTAACACCGTGGGCTAGACTCCAAGATCTGTGAGATACGTGTGCACATAAGCAGCCTTTCCAACTTGTATTTGGGTGAATATCCAAGACCCAAGCTGAGGAACCAAAATTCCATGTTTACTAATGCACATGCCTTTAAAAACATTTTAATGTAATATACATGAAGAAAACAGAACAAACCATAAGTGGATTGCCTAATGAGTTTCCACAGACAGAATACACCTATGAAATGTCACTGAAATCAAGAAAAGAAGAGTAACTCAGGAGCTCGCCCCATGTTCCTTGCACTCACTACCTGCCCCTGCCCTCACCCCCACCCCCATCTCTAAGATGCTACTAACCTTACTTCTGATACCCCCAATTAGTGTTGCTTATTTTGTACAATATATAAAGGGAATCGTATAATATATATGCTGTTTTGTGTATGTTTACGTGCATTTTAAAGACTGAATTTAACTTGGAAAAATAAAAAAGTTTGTTGTATACAGAGACCTAAGTATAATACCACGATCTCATCTTCCCATATGCTAAGGACCCCTGATATGGATATATACAACTTCTACATTTGTATTCTGAATTACACCCAGGTAAAATCAGTAACATGAAATGAATCCAGGAAAGTACAAGGCCCATTTTTGTGTTTCCTCCTCTTGAAGAGATTGAGTCACTGACCCAGACTAACTGTAACAAATCCCTTCCAATGAATTAAAGATCAGAATGTAAAGTAATAGTAATGGTGATGGAGGTTTTAAAGGGAAAGCTCTATTGCAATAGCTAAATTGAGATAAGCTTTGGATAATAATAAATTTGACATCAATGCTAATTATTGCTTTATCAAAGCAATCCATTTTCTTAGTGAGAAATCTTTTACCTTGCTAAGGAACTGAAAGCTTCTGTAGAAAGTGTTTTGAATGTGTTGTAAAAACAACAGAACCATCAGTAAAAATAAACTTTTCTGCTAGTTTAAAAATTCTTTTAAAATAATTTCACAGAAGTCATGCATTTAAATTTCATTATTTTACTGTATGTCCATTATACTCTACTGTATAATTTTACAATGTACTTGGTGAATTCTGAGTTTGTTTCTTACCTGGACCTAAGAATTTCTTGGTGTGATGGGGATTGTAGTCTGGTTTGTAGGATAAGAGGATCTTGACTTTGAGAGTACTCCTACAAATTATACTTCTTTTGCTTTTTCTTCACAGCATCAGAAACTTACAATTTTTTTACTTGGAAAATGAAAATAATCATATTTGCAAATTTACTGTCACCAAACTTTTAAAGTGGCCCAATGTTTCTAAAGCGGAAAAAACCTATCTGTTCGCTGCACTTCTCCAAAACATGTAGTTTGTGTGTGTGTGTGTGTTTGAACTTACATAGGCAGGCATAGTTAGGATATAATTCCATGACAGAGAAGATTCACTTCATTATTTTAGCACATTGAATTCTTTGTTTGAACTCCTGCTGCAAATGTTTTGATCACAAGTTTCTCCTAAAATTCCTGATTACAATTTGATGTCCCTCTCCAAGAAAATAGCCAACAATTAGCATAGCCTTCTTGTTGAATCAAACAAGGTTCTGATACCTATCTAAATGAAGTGCCTTCTGAAAAAGGAATCAACCACCTGTGACCACAGTTTTTAAACACAGTGGGAAGCGGAGACTTGGGGTGAAATTTAAAGTCACGTTATTCTTTAGCAGGGGAACTCTGCAGCTGGGCATAAGAGCCTAGTTTCTCTGTTATTCTTTCATAGTTTTTCAAGATAAGATAGGAATCTGAAAGTGTTCCAATTTTAGCTACTATTTACCTTTTGTTTTTGCTATTCTAATTTCCAAATAGATGTGCTGTAGATTTCAATTTCTTCACTCATTTAATACTGATGTTCCATAAGCATATCCAGCGTATTTTAAATTCTTAACCTATTAGGTGCAGGGCTTAAGCTCTAAATATACATTTTAAAACGAACCAACCATATTTTATGCAGCATAACTCTGAATAAAATTAGTAGCACTTAAAAACAAATTAAAGAACCACCAAAATGAAGGTAAGTCCCTGTAACTTTACATGCTACAGAAAAGATATGAAATAATAAAAACTACATCTAAACACAGGCGTTTATTGATCATAGAATGTTCTAAGTGAAAAGCAGAATTTCCTTATTCATTTCTAGGCTTGCCTTTTGATTACACTTTACTTTTTGAAAAGCCCAGTTTTTTCCCCAAATTTTCCTACCAACTCTTTAATAAAACATTCTGAAATTTGAGTAACTGTGTCTAAAAGGATTTGAGATTAAGAACTAAATCCCCAGCTGCCAGTATATCTGAATTTGCCTCCTTTCCAACTATATGTAAGGTATCAACGGTGAAATAATGCCTATAAGAAAACACAGTAAGCATCTAAAAGGAAAAGCCCACTCCATACATACTAAGTATTAAATTTAAATTGATTTTAAACAAGGATTTTATTCAAATTTAATTTTACTGTGTCATATGTGATTAAGTATGATTTTTAAAGCTCATTAATAAAAATCTGTTTAATAGAGCAACAAGTTCCACATTATTTCACAACAAATCTAAAGCAGTACTATGCCATTCCTGACTCTTACAATAAATAAATCACTATTTCCTGATTTGCCTTTGATCTTCTCTAATTGAAGACCACAATTCTCATTTATCTGAGATAATAAGTGAATAGATAGAGAAAAAAATCATAAATACCATAAAACCTTATTTTCAGGTCTGTCTACCTACAAATGTTTAACTAGACCAAGCAGCTAGGAGGAAAACTGGACAATTTGTATTTCTCACCCTTTCCCTTCTGGTTTTCTGGTGCAATGTTAAAAGACAAGCAAGTGGCTGGGCAAAGTGGCTCACGCCTGTAATCCCAGCACTTTGGGAAGCCGAGGTGGGCGGATCACCCGAGGTCAGGAGTTCGAGACCAGCCTGGCTAACATGGAGACACCCCATCTCTGCTAAAATTACGAAAATTAGCCAGGCTTAGTGGTGCGTGCTTGCAATCCCAGCTACTCGGGAGGCTGCAGCTGGAGAATCATTTGAACTCGGGAGGCAGAAGTTTCAGTGAGCCGAGATCATGCCACCGCACTCGCCTGAGCGACTTTGTTTCAAAAAAAAAAAAGACAAGCAAGCACCAGACTCCAGAGCAGAATCTCTGCCCTAAACCGAAGCAAAAAAGGACAGTCTTAGTTATGCTTTACGGCTTTTAACAAGTTCCCCGGCCCCTCACCCATTGCTCATCTGATGGTTTTATTATAGTATGTTTGCCACAGGAATTTCTCACTTGGATTATCCTAAATAATATTGCTAGCAAACCTACAACTCCATGCAGTGACACAGGTCAAAAGAATTCCTCAGGCATCAGTTTGTTTCCCAAACCTTTCACCAATAAACTTGGGAAATAGCTATTTAATACAGCACAAAAAAGGACTTAGTGGTACTTGGAAAATGGCTCTCAGAGCCAAAAATTTATAGCTCGGCTTAGGAATGCTGAGGCCAAGTCTCAGGGAAACCATGCTGTCTTTTGACTGGGCAGATAATCTAAGGGCAGAGCTCATTTATCTTCTGGGGCAGTGCTGTGTGAGCTTGATCCATACTCCTGCTTGTGTGCCTTGAACAACTAACTCTGTGTTCAATGCTTTATTCTACTGGATGCTGGAAAGACCCTTGACTCCACCAGATTTTTAAAGAATTTACCAAAGTTGCTGAAAACACTGGATATTTGGTCTGTTTCTGTGTCTTTGATGTCACACGTCCCATTAACTTTGCAATGATGGAGAGGAGGACATAGGGAGAAAGAGATAACAAAATTTTGGAAACATATATACACTTGTCACTGCTTAATTCTTAATTCAATAGGATAGGTAAGCTAGAACATTGACCACGACTTCAAATGCTCCTTTTACCAAATCTGTATGGATTTTATTTCTCTAAGAAAGTAACATCATAATGACTGTAAAATCCTGGCTTTGTATTAATCGTCGGTATGTTCCTAGAATTCCTACTTCAGATACGTTCCTTTCAATATGTAAAGCTGGTCAAGCTTCTGTTCTCATTTATCTCTGCCTCTGACCCATCTTTCTAGAGACATTTTGGTTCTTTTGCTTTATTTCATTTGTTTCCCTTCTTTCTCTAAACACTGCCCTGCCCCCTATTTTCCTACATATCTCTGCGAATGTCTAATAGGGTTTTCTCCTGTTTTCCAAACTTCACCATGTGAAATAATGGCTTATTACACTAACCAGTTTCCATGTTTCCAAAAAATACTGCTGTTTGCCATTTGTGATAACTATTAAGCAGGTCATATTCTTTGCAAACGGTTAGAAAGAGTATTTTCTTGATTTTTTAAGTAATGCTCTTTACTGTCAAGACCCAAGTGTGATGGTTAATATTAAGTGTCAACTTGATAGGATTGAAGGATGCAAAGTATTTTTCCTGGTGCGTCTGTGAGGGTGTTGCCAAAAGAGATTAAGATTTGAGTCAGTGGACTGAAAGAGGCAGACCCACCCTCAACGTGGGTGGGCACCATCCAATCAACTGCCAGCGCAGCTAGCATAAAGCAGGCAGAAGAAGGTGGGAGCAGTGGACTTGCAGAGTCTTGTGGTCTTCATCTTTCTCCCATGCTGGATGCTTCCTGCCCTTGAACGTTAGATTCCAAGTTCTTTGGCTTTTGGACTCTTGGACTCACACCAGTGGCTCTCAGACTTTGGCCAAAGACTGAAGGCTGCACTGTCGGCTTCCCTACTTTTGAGATTTTGGGCTCGGACTGAGCCACTACTGCCTTCCTTGCTCCTCATGGTATTTCACCTTGTGATTGTGTGAGTCAATTCTCCTTAATAAACTCCCTTTCATATATACATATATCCTATTCGTTCTGTCCTTCTAGAAAACCCTGACTATACACCAAATAACAAACATTTTTTCAATGTAAATGAATCCTTCAGTTTTGATTAAATCATCATGATCAATAATTTGTATATTAAGAAATCAACCTCCACATTTATTAGGTTTGGAAGATCCCCCTTCTATGTGGTATCTTATTCTTCTAACATAAGCTGAAGTAGAAAGGATATTTTCTGATACGTTATTTCTGTGAGAGTTACTTTCCTTATTCAATTTGGATTTTTACACCTGAAAGGGATGGAGATGGAATAGGAAGAGAGGGAAGGGAAAGAGGACAGGAAATGATCATTCAAAGGACTGTGCAAAAAAAGAACAGTGCGCCCTGAGAATATAATAAAAGAATAGTTGGCTCTTCCATAGATCTATATTGCAGTCATCATTCTAAGGTCTTTACTTAATGTTTTTAATTCTCACAATAAATCTGTGAGATTAATACTATTACTATCCCCAGGGAGGAAACAGCCACTGTGGCTAAATAACCTGCCCAAGTTCCCACAGTCAGTAGAAGAGCCAGGATCCCAATCCAACAGTCTGGCTCCAAGGACTCCTACCCTTCCCCATAGATTTGTTTCTTTCAAAGCTAACGGAGTTGATTATTTCAATACTGATGAGACTGAAAGTGAAATAACAGTGACTTATAACCAAAATGCCCTGATTCTTTTGTGATTCTATATATGAACCAAAATATTTGAGACCTATATATTGATTTAATTGATATTTTGGTGTTTATTGATATAAAAGAAATTGCTCAAATGCTGGTCAGCAATGATACTCATTAGAAAACATAGAATACTACATTTTATGGTATTTGGACTCAGGCATAAGATGACCACATGTTCTGGTTTGCTCAGAAAACCCCAGGTTATACCTGCTGTCCAGGCATAATTGTTAAGTTCACTCTCAAAATTGTCTCATTTTGAATAATAAAATATACAGTTGTCTTACTTAGGCACAACCAGTGCAACTGGCACAAGTCAATTTAATAATTTAAATAATTACTGGTTTTCATATGGTTTTAATAATTCTGATGCTTTCATTTCCTCATCCTAAAATCAATTGTTCTGACCATCATGAGCTTGACAATGCTTTTCCCCGTTTCTCCTTTTTCTGCCTCTTCCTGCCTTTAAACACTTCATTTCCCTCTAGTCCTTTTGCCAAATCACTGGCTCTCCTGCTTCAGTGCCTTCTAGTCTATTATAACCACCCTAATGGCATTTATATCCTTAAGGATTCCATTGTCACTTTTTGGAAAGGAGCCACTACTCAACTTCACTCTCTCACGTTATGTTTCCCATATTGCCTTTGACTCATCACTTGCCTTAGGAGATCTAGGCTTTTTCCATATCACATTAAAATTCTTCCAAAAATTTACTTTCTTTTTTTGCTTTAAGACAGAGTCTCACTCTGTCACCCAAGCTGGAGTGCAGTGGCGCGATCTCGGCTCACTGCAGCCTCTGCCTCCTGGGTTCAAGTGATTCTTGTGCCTCAGCTTCCCAAGTAGCTGGGATTACAGACAAGTAGCTGGGATTACAGTAGCTAGGTGTACCACCACACCTAGCTAATTTTTTTGTATTTTTGGTAGAGACGAGGTTTCACCATGTTGGCCAAGCTGGTCTCGAACTCCTGACCTCAGGTGATCCACCTGCCTTGGCTTCCCAAAGTGCTGGGATTATAAGCATGACCCACTACTCCCCGCCAATTTACTTTCTTTTAGTCCCCTTACACAAACCCCCTGACCTCCTTACCCTTGGATCAAATTCATTTATTCACTCAGACATATAGTCTACTTGGGAAACTTAGCTGGCAAATTCAGGTTCCCAGGTCCAGGGCTTCATTTCACAATATTACTTATGAAGATCCTTGGGAAATTGACCTGCAGAATGAATGGAGAAAATTCCTGTCCTATCTCTGCAAAAGAACAGTTTACATATGCCCTGAAGCATTAAGTTTCATTACTTTACCCTTATCTCAGTCCACCAAATTATGGATGCTGGAGGGCACAGTTGGTCACTAGTTCTGGAAAGCTACTTCATGCCATCGGTGAATTAGTATCAGGGAGACAACTGCCAACTCTATCCTACTCCGTGATTTGAGAATTTTGACAATGCTCTCCCTTTCTTAGCCAGCATGGATTCTTAAAATCTTAGTATTTAAATTTATCCTGCTTATGATACCCAGTATAGAGCTGTATTCCCTTCTTCTAGTACGATTTAACAACATTAAATGGCTCTACTTATCCAAATACAGTTTAATCTCATGATGATAATGACATATCATTAATGGGTTTGCCATAATAGTTGTTGGATTTGTGGTACCGTTTGGAAGAAACTGCAATAAGGACTGAAGACCACATTTAATAGAAAGAAGTAAATATCACTAAAGATTTAAGGAAAGTAATTACAGCTGCAGAGTCACATGGCCAAAAATAAATTATATATTCCACTCTACGATAATGTTTTAAACAGTATTCTTCCTACCTGCTACCTTGTTATTTCATGCAAATGGTCATATTTGAGATAAGTAGACTTTAAGAACAAATGAAATAATTGCAGAAATCAATTGTATAATATATTTTAGAGCTATTGATGTAATACTGAAGAAGAAATGTGCTAGTGCAGACCAGAATTTGAGCAAATCCTAGTCACAAAAAGTTAGCATGGCTCTGTGTGTCAGCTTTACAATTAGATTCCTTTAAGAATTTCAGCAACCTCTTCTGTCTCTTATGGGCAGAGGCCATATTTACTAAGACAAAAATTGGTATGCGAGGGGTAAAGTGTTTGAAGATGAAACGCTACTAGAGAATCGGAACATACAGTAGCTACGCCTCTGGAAGACCATCAGAACTCAAACTTTAAAAACAGTGGCAAACATAAAATGCCTCAACCAATTCAATCTAATTTCACCAAATATTATCTTTTCATTTAATTTGGAAAATACCCACTTTATTAAGAATAATCTTTAAACATCAAATTCAAATTTCACACTATGTGAGGTTATATATATTATGTTCTTCAAAGTGTGGTCTGCATTTATAGAATAAACTGAAACTTTCTTGTATGCTACAGAGTAAATCATAAGATTGCATTAACTCTGTGAATCACACACACACAGATAGCAGACAAAGAAGAAAAAATACAGTTGATCTCAATTTGATCTCAAGAAAACACAGTATCTGTTCTTATTGTCACTTTGCATTCGATAAAATAGGAATATCCAAAAAAAATTTAAAGACTAATTTGAAGAAATTTCTTTTTAGACAAGAGCAGTGGCTCTCATCTCAAACTAATTTTCCTACTTTAAGCTTTTGCAATTACAATATTGTCCTGAAAATAAGCAGACATTATTTAATAGTCTCTTTCAACAACTCTTCCCTTAAAAAAATACAAAATAAATCCATTGGTACCATTTCAAACTGGGTCCCTAAATATTACAAATCCCTTTATTCTCTCCCTCCTCGCAAATTACATCTAGTCTAGACCCAGAATCACTCAACTAAGCAACATTTCTGTAAGATACAAAACCCTCTGATTTATTAGGAAAAGCTTGAGGGTCTATTAATACTTCATTAAAACCCCTACGTAGTATTTATAGCAACAACAGAAAAAAAAAAGTATTGCCAATTAGTGGGTAAAAAATGAAAGCAAATAAAATGCTTATGAACATATAAAGCAAAAACATAAACCCATGACTTGGTGCAACGATACTAGCTTAATTTCTTAGAAGCCCAAACTTCTGCATTCCTGAACTGTGACCAGGGGTGGTCAGAGAGTGCTGAGCGGAACAAAAGGCCTCACTGTCACTGGTCCATACTCTTAAGCTGAGAGAAGGAAAAGCCTGCTGTGTCACACAGCACTCCCAGGCAAGAACTGACTTTGAGCCTGAGAAGCTTCCAGAGCCCAATTCACAGCATTCCTTAGACATGGTCTTTCTCATGCAGAGGCTGAGGTGGATTTAGCACTTCGTGGTTTTGCTGAGACTGGAATCTTTGTTATTCTCCATGAGGTTTGCACTGAAGACACAAATGATCTCAAATTTAGACACAAAAAGATTGTGAGAGACCAAGTTAGAGAAAGAGAACCAAGAAAAAGCTTGTAAGAAATTTTAAAGTGAAGCGCTAGACGTTTATTGACTTGTGAGGACAGTGATGCAATCAGAACAGGCAGGAAGGTCTGTTTTGCTTCATTGTTTTGATTTGGGTCTGAGTTCCCAATAATTTATAATAATGCTCACATTCTGTTGAAACAGCTCCAGAAATTGTGTTTATAGAACTCAATAGTGGAAAGAATTCCATTGGTCCTATTCGTGTCTTTTATCTGAGAGTAGCAATGAGGATTAATAAAAAACACGGCTCAGTAGAAACCTTATTAGTCTACCAAGGGTGAATGGGCATTGGCCAATTTGTAAAGGGAGCTAAAATTAAATTCTTAATATAATCTAATGTCAATTAAGTGCATATAATAATGACCACCTTGAAAATTATTTAATAGTTAAAATATAATCAAATTACTCTGTTCTACAAGTGTAGCTTCCTTTACTTTCTAATTAAACATTATTTTATGAATTTGAATTTCCCAGATGCCTGGAATTTTTTTTTTTAAGTTTTGTAAGCAAGGCTTCAAAAACGGAAGGTACTTTGCTATTTCTTATAATAGAAAAATTGGCTTCTTGTCTTAGCAATCACCAATTATGTTTATAACCCTAGGAAATTTCAAGGACAGAAAATCAAGTTAAATCAGAAAAGAAAATTATACAGCAAATGTTATGGCTTACACAATTACAAAGAGACAGCACTATTTTATTTTGTGATCTATGACGCTGCTAGCAGGGAGCAACTGCTGTTGCCAGGGCTGGCAGTTCACTCTAGGGGTGGACACCCCCGTAGAGAACCAGTTTGTATGTGCCCACAAGTGGGACAATATTTTCTTCTTGTTGATGCAATTAGCACAGAGAATTTTGCCTTTCTATACTCCAGCTCCAATAATATCAATTTCCATGTATATTCCTCATGGCCATCATTTTCCAGTCTTTAAAATTATGTTTTCTGATCCCTTCTAAATCATCCTAAGTCACTGAGCCCTAAATTAAGATGCTGCACTTTAACAAGAGACAAATTATTAATACCTCCAAGAAGAGCGATGGCCTCACAATGAGGTCATGGAAACTCCAGTTTCACAGTTGAAAAACAAAAGCATTTCCTTTCTCTTTCACCTCTTGGGATTTTTTTTTTTTCTTTACAAGAGATAAAAATCTGACAAAGGGAAAATATTAGGAGCTGGCTATGTGGAACCTGACGTAGATTAACATTTCTCTGTGTTTCTTTGGTGTATCATTTTCTATGTTTCATTGAAAAATTTAAAAAATTGTCTTCTCTGAAAAATTTTAAGCAGTCAGTTATTTTGTTTTTCAATTAAAAAAAATCATACATTGCCTCCCTCTCTCTATTCCATAAATATTTCTAGGGTACGTTGCTAGGTACTGAGATCAGAAAGATAAACCCTGACTTCTGCTTTCAGGGAGGCTGCAGTCCAGTGCAGGGGTAGGGGTCAGCTACAGAGGAGTAACATCATAATTACCTTTGGAAATAATAAATTTATGGCTCTAACTGGCCCAGGTTTTACTGGTAGCATAAAGGAAATAATCTAGACCCAGATTGGAAGAAAACACGAAAAGGTACTAAGGAAGGCTTTCTAGATAATGTCAAGTGCTATGTTTTAAATATGTCCCTTAAATTTTATGTGATGAAAAGTTAATCCCCAAATTCATGTGTTGGTGATATTTGGAGGTAGAGCCTTAGAAGGGTAATTAGGATTAGGTAAGGTAATCAGGGTGGGCCTCCACGATGGGACTGTGGCTTTATAAGAAGAAGAGAGACCTGAGCTGGCACACTCTTTCCCTCTCACCATGTGATGTCCTCCACCATCTTGTGACACAGCACAAAGGCCCTGGCCATACACAGCACCAAGCACTTGGACTTCCCAGCCTCTAGAATCATGAGCTAAACAAACTTATTTTCTTTATACAGTATCCAGTCTTTGACATTCTTTTATAGAAACAGGAAACAGACTAACACAGTAACATATGACCCAATCTCCAAGGACTATAGTACTTACCAGGTGAAGATTGGGGAAGAGGCTCTTCAGGCAAAGGAAGTAGGATGTATAGAAAGGGAACAGAGTGTGATGGCTAAGAGGCATGAGCTGTATTGTGGAATGTATATTTTACCACAATTTTTAAAAAGCAACAGCAGCAGCATTGGGTTTTAGGCTGACATTACCATACTTCACTTGGGCCGATTAGTTACCCTGTATCTCAGTTTCTAAATCTGTAAAATTAGAAGCAAAAAAACACCTACCTCATAGGAGTAAACCCTAGGGGCTTTAATACATGTAAAGCATTTGGAATAGTGCTTGCTTTATAGGAAGCACTCAGTAGATGTTAGCAATTAATACCACGCACACAGACCCAGAGACACGTGAGAGTAGGCACCCAGTAAGGCATGGGAGTTTAAGTTGCCTTCTCCAAAAGGAAAAGTCCAATAGACAGAAGGAAGGAACCAGAAAAGAAAACTGAGTTGGAGATCATCACAAATGCCATTTTGAAGATACCCCTTTTTCCTTCTTGGAATCCTCACTGAACTTTAAATGTACACTGAGGGTATATTTTTGAAGCTACCTACACTTTACTATTTGAGAATAACCTGTCAGTGAAAATTAATTATGTTCTAATTTTTAATTTTAAAATAGAACACTCATTTTCATTAAAATACTCCTTTTCAAAGGGCAGACTGATTATATTACTACTCTAAATATGTCATCTATACCAAGGCCTGAGAAAGAGTACAATCCTGAATCTATGGATGCTAAGCATTCCCCAAAAATCTGTTTTTGCATACATATAAGCTATCTCTCGCTCTGTGGATAGAGTGATGCTATACTCTAATGCCACATATTATATGGAAGGAATGGTAAGAATACAATGTGAAAAAGCATGATGAGATCTTCCCATTTAAAAAAATGGTATAGAAATGTTAGAACATTGGAGACTTGAGTTGATTAACATCTCACCTTCTTCATTTGAAAAATAAGGTTAGATGTTTTCTATGGGTCCTTGGGGCTCAAATGTCCTATAAACTGATTGCTGGACAGGTTATATGCAATCAAAGCAGACTATAAAACCCTGGGTAAAGGAAAATATCTCTCCAGTCCAGCATTTTGTCAAACAATACTACCAAGGAATATTTGTAGGAGAGAGAGTAATATCTGGCTTTTACATTTCTAACTTTCCTATAAGATATGCTATTAATTTGCTACCTATAATTTTAGCTAGCCTTTCTTGAATTTCTATTTTTAGTATACTATGGCCTACTGAATGGATAACATACAAACAGATCAGATCACTTGTTTGCACTGATTGACTTTTAGCTCAAACATTTTTGTCTAATGTTATGATTTTGACTTTTAGCTCAAACATTTTTGTCTAATGTTGTTATGATTATATTGGTCAGAGATGTGCTAGAAGCTTTATCTCCAACCTTAGAATGAGGATAAGCAAATATGCATAAACATATTGCATGCATAAACATTTACATAAACAAATATGTTTTGCCTCCATCTTGACACACAAGACTAGTGACTGACGGTCTCCTGTGCAGATCACACAGCCACAGGGGAATGCAAGGAAGGCACTAGAAACACAGACCAAACTCCCATTTAGGAAATGGGCCACAAACTGTGGATGTGAGGGTTTAAAAAAGGATTAATTTCCCTTGTTTTCCTATTAGTCAACAATTTGTATAATTTCCAGTAAACATGTGGGAAATACTGAAAGACTTTGGTTTCCTCTCTGTCTTCCTTGAGAAATGACTAGAAGACAGTACCTTCTTGGGCCCTGACCTTGTTAAATGTTGATTGCCAACATTTTTCACTTCTGAAAACAGAAACATCCTATTCATATGGTATTTTCTGGTATGCCCAGAGTCCTCCCAGCCTCTCCTCCATCAGCTTTCTCACATCAGCCAGAAACATCCAAGCCACAGAAGTTGCCCATCATGGCAATGCTGCCCAGAAGTGTCCTGATTCAAGGAGACAACACAGATGGCAGCCTCCAACACAGCAGTCACTCGAGCCAGGCCCTATTTTAGCCATGTGCTATTTTTATACTGAACTTGCCCTATACTTGTTCAAAGCTAATCTCTATGTACCAGAGAAACACTCTTAATACTGTGAGAGCTCTCTCCAGGTATACAATATAGTCATGGTATCTATAAATGTAAAGATACCCTGGATGTAAAAGTTTCCCGGAATAGGTATTGATGCAGTAACTGGTTCGTTGAACCGAATATTTGTTGATTTAGGTTGAATCTTGTTTGGGAATGTGGAGATTTCTATTCTAGGGGTGGTGTCATTCCAGGAAGGCAGAAAATCTCTAACTGGATCTCCTTCACCACTTTCACAGCAAACGGTGCATTCCACAGCACCTGTGGCCATGAGCTTGAATGCAGATGACCAGGTTTGAGATGGCCTCCACAATATGCTCTGTTATTAGTAATATTTTTGCATTCACATAATTACTAAAATGCCTAAGGCAAGCCAGTGTTTCATTAGTGTCGAGTTAAAGCCTTCCCCCTCTGCTTACCCCATGTGCCTTTGGTGCACAACACTGGATACCCAGCTGGATCATCCAACCACAAGCCAAGGTAAACACAGAAAGTGTGAGTCACTGGGGGTAAGAGCTATGTATGTCTCTACTAAATGTGAAGTCCGAATACTGGCACTCTGGCTGAACCACTATGATTCCAGCATATGTTTATGATTAGTAGCTATTAAATCAGCTACTTCCAATGTGTAAAGTAGTTTCTACCAGTTATTTGGGTATTTTTTCTGTGGGGAAGCATGAACTCTTCAAGAGCACTAAAAGAATTTTTTGCTTGAGTCTGATTCTTTCAAAATCAATGCTTTAATATTTAATTCAATATTTTAATTACTTCAATAGACTATATGGCATCTATAGAGTTGAAGACACCCTCCCAAAGTGAGGCACTTTTATTAACTTATTTTAACTGCTTTGGCTGAAACAACTGACATCTCTTTGACAACTGGTCTGTTGAGCCAATCCCATCCCACAAATTAAACCCTGCCAAACATATCTACAAAAACTATCACTACTTCCCTTGCCAATCTCTAAATACATCCAACCTGAATTATTGACTGAATTATTGACTCCCTCTCCCTACCGTCTACCTTCATCTATAGACCAATATACACACATCACACCATATCCACATGTCCAACTCAAGTATCATGTCCTCCATGAAGCAAACCCTGTTTCCTCTTTAGAGGATACAGTACTAAACAAGAAATGGTTCCCAGTTCTCCTGGGCTCCAATATAAGCTCCTCAAGCACAGGAACTCTGTCTTGATTAGCTTTGCTCTTTCATGGTGGCTTCAAGAGAAGATATTTGATTAATGTTTGCTAAAAAAAAAAAAAAAAGAAAATAAATGGATGAATGAACTGAATATCAGAGAATCTAGAGGTCTCTATTTTCTCAGTTAAAATTATTTATTATTCATTCATCATACATATATAATTTTAAAACAGACTTAGACAAAGTGTTCAATATACAGTGCTGTTTTTTGTTTCATTAATCAATCTACTTGCCAAATGTATAACTCTCATCCTTTCTTGGCTGACCCCTGGTTAAGTTTTCAGAACACTACCACATGAATTCCTATATCCGTTTCTCTCTCTTTCTCTTTCTCTTTTATTCCTTTAAAACACATGAGCTAAGACAGTTTCTCCAAATGTCAACATGACACTATATTTGAAGTAATGTGACTCATATCCATCAGAATCTGTTAAAGACTGAATTGTCTGGACTCTTCACTGATTCCTTGTGACCTTGAAAAGTTACTACTCTGAGACTCAGTGTTTTCACTTAAAAATGAGAGATTGTAACAGGTGCAACCCCAGGTTCCTTTCAGCTTTCTGTATTCTGGAAAACTAATTCTCTGTATTTTGCTAGGATAGGCTTGCTACACAAGCCTCATGAGTAGGCGGAGTAGAAAGCTGTCTAAAACAGGAGTCAGATACTATTATGGCCCACAGGCCAAATCCAGGCTACTACCTGTTTCTCTAAATAAAGTTTTATCAGAACACAATCAACCCTATTGGTTCATGTAATGTTTATGGTTGCTTTCTCGATAACAACAGTAGAGTTCCCACAGAGAAAATACAACCAGCAAAGCCTAAAATATTGACCCTTCGCAGAAAAACTGTGCCAACCCCTGGTCTAAATTATGTGCACTGAGGTGTGTGACTTCCTGCCTAAAGAACATTCCGTTCTCTGAATGAGACCTGGAGTCTCACTATTAGAGGTTTAAAGAAATGTATATATGCTTTGGGAAGGTAAAACACCTTAAATGCTGAGAAGACTGTTCCTTGGTAGAACAAAATGATCCCTTCGTGGATCACTACAGGGAAAATAGAAGGGCTCCAGGAAGCCAAAGTAAATTGATCAGGCGCAAAAATAAACTTGCTTACATCCCAATCTTGGCTGGGTCTACAATGGAGAAATGAGTCTCCAGATGCAGTGTCCTGGGAGTAGAATCTTGAGTTCGGTTTTCTCACAGTGTGATAGGTTTTACTCTAAACCTGCTTCCTTGCCCAGCCCCTCTTAACCCAACAGCCAACAGCTGCCAGACAGCTGGATGACAATTGGGTACAATAATAGGATAAAACCACTAAATGGTCTGTACACATTATTGGCACTTTCAGGCTTCTATGAAATGATGTGTGTGAACCTCAGAAACCATTATGATGAGCGAAGGAGCCAGACACAAATCATACATGCTGTGATGGCTTCCACGAACAGGCAATGCTAATCTGTGGTGACAGAAGTCAGAAACGGGTTGCCTGGAAGGAGTAATTGAAGGAACAAAGTGCATGAAGAAAATGTCTGGGGCGAGGGAGATGTTATATATCTTGTTTTGGATGGTAGTTACATGGGTCAAAAATCATGGAACTGAATATTTAACAGTGCACTTTACTGTAGAGGAAGTATACCTCGATTTTTAAACTGACATCACTAAATAAAGCATTTATTTTTATTTGTTTGTGGGTATGGCTTCAGAAATCCTGGAGGTCTTTAGATTCATGACCATTATATAATTTTCCCTCCATGGTAATGGATAAGAAGATGAAGTGAAGATAGAAAGGTGAAGAAGAGAGAAAAAAAGGTGAAGAAATGTTCCTTGGTGGAAGGAAATTCCTGTCAAGCCTCTAAGCCCATTTTCTTCCCAGGCACATTCTTGCAATATGTCATCAGATATCAGTTTTAGGGCCTAGCATGTCAGAGGACACTCAAAAGCAGAAAATGAGGAAAAAAAGTGAAATAGATTTTTCCTCTTAAAATGTATGTGTGTGTGTTTTATTGAATTATTAAAAACACAAGGAAAATATTCAACAATATGCTCCCATGTTTCTTGGAACTCTCCACTTTAATTTAAATTCTATTAAATTTTTCTAATTTTGTGCCAAAAAGAGTATAAAGTATTTTAATTAAATGAAATATAAACATAGTTAAATTAAATATAATTAAATTAAGTATAAATGAAATTATTAAATCTAGCACATAAAATATTAATAAAATTTATCTTTCAAAAAAGAAGTTTTTCGTGAATACTCTCTTTAACTTTGAAAAACATAAATAAAATAAAGTGCCATAGCATTCTTAAACACTACCTAAAATTCCTATTAATTAAGTTGCCAATTCACAATCATCTGAAAAACAAAAATCAGTTCAGCTTATTGGACAGGCTACATTTTTCAAAGAAAACCTTAAACACAAGCATCTTACTAATATATTATCTGGACTTAGGTAGCTTAGTTGAAATAAACCAAGCTCCACTTTGAGTAATTGAATGAACTAAAATTAGGTAACAATTTCATGCTACTGTACAGACAGCAAAAGTACCTGAGAGATCAATTAAATAAGTACAGTTCAATGAGAGGGGAGAAAGGTGTTATCATAAAATTAGCACAGGTCTAAAAATGTGTTTTAGTTAAAAATCTAGGATTATCTCATTACCCTCACTTCCAACTTAATAATAGGGAAAAATAGAATCTAAGCATGAGAAAAGACCCTTGAGGTCAACTAATGGAGCCCCTCATAATCCAGATGAAGAAATTGGGTATGTCACTGAGTACAGTCTGACCCTAATCATTTTACTCAAAGTGCACATTAAATGGTCTCTACTCTCCCACCCTCATCTCATATTTCAGGGTATCAGCAATACCAGCATCTGTGGTTACATGCTGCAACGCCTCTTCCTTACGCTGGTTCTTTGGCCAAAAACACTCTTCCAACTCTTAAAATCCCCCCTACTAACTCATGCTCACTCTTTAGATTTAATTGAGCTATCGACTCCTCCAAGAAGTTTTTGTTAACCCTTCTCTCACCAACCCGAGCCCTAAACGTTAGTTACATCTTCTCTGCTTTCCCAGAGTATCTTATGCTTTTTTTTTCAATCATTCATTCATTGAACCATTCACATACTGAGTGTCAATTCTGGGCCAGTAGGCTAAAATGCTAAGGATACAGAGATAAGAGACAGTTTCTGTCCTCAAGGAGTGGAACTCTGGATGCAGCTGAAATTAATCATGAATACATTTCTCACTTAAGGACCAGCTATTAACCATTTTTGTAGCCCCAGCATCCAATATCACATATGGCATAGAGAGGTTCAATAAACATTTGTTCAATTTCACTTTTTATTTCAAGAGTCAGAGCTTAAATTCTTCTTGTTTTAATGAGTGAAATGACTCAAGTAAAATTTAATCTTTTAAAACACTGGGGGATATATTTACTTTCTATTAATTATCTATCCATGCTGCACTCAGTTTTATGTATGAAGCTATGATTATTTACAATTGTTGCCAGTTTGATTTTTTATTATTCTTATTTCTATGCATGTTATCAATAGTATATACTATCCTATGAATAAAGGTTAATTTAGTGTATTTTCTCTCTCAGGGAAGACTTTGTAAAGGAAGGGATGCTCAGATTTTGGAAGACTTCCCTGGTAGTTTCCAACAAAGGAGAAATCACATTTCCACATTTCAGCCTCCACAGTTAACCATTTGTTAAGACTCTTCTAAGTGCCAGGCCGTCTGATGAGGGAGAGGGGAAGGTAGTTAAGGATCCAGTAATGAAGAAAATAGACAATATTCTTGTTCTAGAAATGCTTCCATATTATTTTGAGGCTAAGAATAAAGCTTTATCCTATAAGCAAAAACGTATTATCAAAGGATTTTAAGTAAGAAAAGAAATGGGTTTTTAAGTTCTGCATTTTAAAAATGCTAGATTTCTTTCTCGACTTTGATCAGAATTTTAGTTCTTTTGGGTACATTTTTTAATGCTCCCCTCGTCGGTCTCCCTCTTCTCTCTCTTCCTTCTCACTAGCTAAGCTTTTAGAAGGAATCATATCTACTTTCTGCCTGTATTTTCTTATCTCATCATCACTCTTCAACCTGCAGCAAAGTGGCTCCCACCTCTACAACTCTATTAAACCCACAATAGCAAAGACCATCACTGATATCCACACTACTTAATCTGGTGGATGATTTTCTTTACCATATTGTTCATTTAGCTACTTTTGATGTGGCTGTCTGATCATTCTGAGCCTGCTGCCTTTGCTTCTGGAATGCTCTCATCCTGTTGGTCTCCGTCACAGGCTCCCAAGCCCTGTCCTTCCCTAGCTGGCATTACTCAAGTTTCCATCCTTGTTCCACTGCTGTCTCTATAGAGACTTTACTGTCTCCTGCCAGATCTCATCCAAGCCCAGTTTTAACCATCCCCCAAATGCTGAAGTCTCCCATGAATAAATAGCTTAGAACTTTCAGCCTTGATCTCCCTCCTAGGCTTCCAACTTGTATAGCCACCTGTCTGCTGAGCATATACACTTAATTATCCCACAAGAACCTAAAGGTTGAAATTTCACATGTCAAACTCATTGTCTCCCCATCCACAATCTGCTCATCCACCACAATTCCCAAATTCAATACCTAACACTCCCAGACAGAAAACCAAGTCATGGCCGGGCACGATGGCTCACGGCTGTAATCCCTGCATGCTGGAAAGCCGAGGTGGGTGGATCACCTGAGGTCAGCAGTTCGAGGCCAGCCTGGCCAACATGATGAAACCCCATCTCTACTAAAAATACAAAAAAAGTTAGCCGGGCATGGTGGTGGGTGCCTGCAATCCCAGTTATTCAGGAGGCTGAGGTAGGAGAATTGCTTGAACCCAGGAAGTTGAGGTTGCAGTGAGCCAAGATCACACCACTGAACTCCAGCCTGGGCAACAAAAGCAAAAAACTCTGTCAAAAAAAAAAAAAAGAAAAAGAAAAAAGAAAAAAAGAAAACCAAGTCATGTGTTCCTAGTTCTCAGCATGCATTTAATCACCAAATTATACCAACTTATTTGCTTGTTTTCCCCATGGAATCCTTCGGTCCCTTCCATCCATATTCCCACAATTCCAGCTGAGGACTTCATCAGCTTTACTTAAGCTACTTCATTACCCTTCTAAACCATTTCTCCAGCTCTTTGTGGTCTACTTTAAAACCATCTTTTATACTCTAGAGGAATAAAGCGATTGGGGGATCCTGGAAAAGAATAAAAGCAAAGAGCTACAAGATTACAGTTTTGATTTTATGGATTTTGATTCAATAGCTTTCAAACCAGAGTAAAATACTAATGAGCCAAACTGGATGTGGGCAGGGTTGGGGGTAGGGGAGTAAAAGAGACAAAAGCAAGAATAACCTAGAGTAAGATTTGGCTAAATGATGAATTCCTGTTTAAGATAAACTTCAAAAGTCCGCTAAATGGCAAAGCACTTCCTTGAACTCTAAAGAGAATTGGTGCTATTTTTTTTCTTAACTCCCACAATGAGAACTTTTTTTATCATCTGGATAAGAGGAGTATCATGTTTGTTTAGGATTGGTATAATCGAAATCAGCTTCACTTGGGCTTCTTATAAGCAATGACTCATGTTATTTTAGCTGGTGTGGGATCATTGCCTCATGAAGGATGACACAGCTTTAGACATGCAGAGCCTGGCCTGCTTTTTCCAATTCCATGCCTCCAGAAGCTGGAAGAGGTGGGAGTCCTCTAGCCTGCAGCTTTCTGCAACTCAGCACAATTCAGATTTTATGAAAACAGTTGCCAAGTCGACCTTGTAATCACAGAGCCTTATAAATGAGGAGGGAGAGGAGTTAAGTTGTGGTATGTTAAAAATCACAGGGCCAGGCATCCTCTGTTTTTCAAAACAGAATCTGTGGAAACTTACAGTCAGCTCTTTCCCTCATTAATTGCTTACTCTGTTGAGGTCAGTAATTTTTTTTTAAGATGCTAATGAAAAGTCACAGCAAATATGTTTTCAAGACTCCAACTTACACTCACTAAGATAATGTGCAAGGGTGGTTGTAATAGTGTTTGAAAGGAAGCTAAGGAAATGCCATTCTCATAATCGACACCACCTTTTCTCTAGCTCCATACCCAGTCAGGGAGCCAGTTCTCCCCTCTTCCATGTTTTCCTTGCTGTTGGCCTTCCTGCTTCCCCGAACCCAGTAGCCCACATTGTGGGCCTGAGTGAACGCTGTGGTAATGGGAAGCAGGTGATCAAACCAGGATCGACAGGTTGGTAATTCCCTGTAAGGCTCTAGGCAAGACACTTTTCCATACTTTGCTTTCCAGTTGTAGCACAGACATTGTTCCTGGCTATCCTTACTCATGACTGGTCTTCATGAAACTTTGTTCTCATTAGCAACATACTCTGAGCTCCTTAGCTGGTTAAAAATAATGAGAAGACACTCCTAAAACATGGCAGTTAGCAGAAAAGTCCAGACTACCATTTATCATATAATGAAAATGATTGTCCTATCTCTATAGTTCTGGTGTCCTAAGAACTAAAGTTTATTAAAATGAATAGCTTGAAAAATTAACACAAGGGCCCAGAGCCTGAGGGCCATTATGATTCTGACCTCTGCAGAGGATTCAGGTCCAGACTAAGATGGGCCTAGGATTCGTTTTCTAAATGGAAATGTCTGAGGCTCATCTGAGGTTGGCATCATCCATGGCTCCAAGGTCACTGAGGGACAAGGGCTGTACTCAGGCTTACAGGAGACTAGGGATGGCTCAGGAGTCTGAGTTTCCACAGCCTAAATTTTTGAGCACGATTTAGAACAGAACTGATCTCTACAATGTCATAGTCTAGGACCTGACTTGGTCCCCTGGTTGCTTTCAACTCAAAACAAGGTGAAAACTTGACTGAAAATTGGGAGAGAATAGAGGAAGAATTCATTAATTCTCATGAAGTGTGGTTTCTCAATGTTCATTATGAATTCTTACGGTAAGGCCGGACACAGTGGCTCATGCCTGTAATCCCAGCACTTTGGGAGGCCAAGGCAGGTAGATCACCTGAGGTCAGGAGTTCCAGACCAGCCTGATCAACATGGAGAAACCCCGTCTCCACTAAAGATACAAAATTAGCCGAGTGTGGTGGCGCATGCCTATAATCCCAGTTACTTGGGAGGCTGAGGCAGGAGAATTGCTTGAACCTGGGAGGTGGAAGTTGCGGTGAGCCAACATTGCACCATTGCACACAAGCCTGGACAACGAGAGTGAAACTCCGTCTCAAAAAAAAAAAAAAAAGAATTCTTATGGTATAAATCATACTGCAAGGAATGAAACAAAAAAATGTTTTTAACTATAGAAATATATTTTAGTTGTTAAAAAAGCAATTAATAAAACTAAAGTGAAAAATTATAAGATCTAGTTACTAAGAACATAAACCTAAAGATTAAAGGATTAAAACCTGCCCTCCTTCTGAAAGAAAGAGAGAGAGAGAGAGAGAGAGAGAGAAAGCTTAGTCAATTTGAATGTCTGCTCTAGAACATTTTGTCTAGTTTTAAATACTGTTAAATATAGTCTTAAATAAGTATTTCAGACCATGTGAAGGGTAAGAATATATGTTTATATATATATTCTTAATATATATATGAAATATATTTCAGACTATGTGAAGGGTAAGAATATAAATGAAAAAAATCCTATTATTGAACTTCCTTCAAGTGATAACAAGAGTTCTCAAATATATTATTATATTTAAATCAATTTCATATATCCATTCATACCCACTTCTATGCTTATTCCATTAAAACAGAATAGAAATGTTTGCAAAATGTAAGACTAAATCAACACTGAATATTTATAACCTCTACTATGCAGAAGTTGCTCTTGCTGGTTGCTAATACTATACCGGTATTGTCCCTGCTCTCAATAATCAAATTGAGGCAGAGAAACAATAAATCCATAATATATTAATAATGTTACAAGATTTAAATAACAGGTTAAAAGCACCAGTTCTAGAGGAGACCGGGTTGGAATCTTGGCTCTCCTTGCTGTGTGATCTTGGGTTACTTCTCTGTGCTTCAGTTTCTTCCTGTGTCACAAAACAGTTTTAAAGAATAACTGGGGTAATGTATGTCAAGCTTTTAGTATAGTGCTTGCCTCATTTGTAAGCTCTGATTAAAGCTAGGACTTATTTTTAAAGAATCAACATCGCAGGACCACAGGGCATGATTAGGGCATGACTGATTACCAAATGAGCATTATGGTGGTAGATGGCAGCTTGTTACGGTAGGTCAGAACCCTTCTGGCTACAGTTGTCGAGGAAACCTTCAGAGAAATTTAGTCCTCACTTCTTTGACTGCGTTTATTTATTCTCTCTCTCTCTCTTCTGCTTTTTATCTCTTGCCACTTAAATATAGATTTACTCCCAACCACTGACATGTAACTTTGGCTACTACATAAATTTTTGTGTTGTAGTGAGGGTGAGAGGAAAAGTGGAGAGAAAAGAAATAAATCCAATATCACAGTATGGGTTATAATGTCATTTTAGGATGTTGAGAATTTTTTCTAGCCACTGTCAGATTTCTCTACTGATCTTCAAAAACCTAAAATAATTGATGGGCCTTTGTATAAAGGTAAATACACTAATAAGTGGTTTCTTTTTAAGGCAAATGCATTGATCAGTGTTTTCTAAATTGATTTTCATAAATGAATACTCAATAGGAAATTTCAAAGGGATTCTTTTCCCTGTACATTATAAATGTATATAAGTAAATTTTATGTAAGTAAATGTATAAAGTATAAGTAAATGTATATAAGTAAATTATAAGTAAAGTATAAATGTATATAAGTAAATATATAAATGTATATAAGTAAATTTGTGGCTAACCACAAAGTTTAACAAAGATACAAAGATTTATCTTTGGTACATAAAAGATAATCAGTACCCAAACTTATAATTGCTAAAATAGCACAAATAAATCTCAAGTGTTTGACAGTTCAAGAAACACTACCTACTACTTTTGTCCTTGGTTTCCAGTTTCTCCTTCCTGTCCTTTGTATTGTGTGTTTGTATGCAGTCATCATCTATTCAACTAAGGGATCAGAAAAGGAATGCATAGATTTAATTAGCTTTTCAGAATAACATGACACAGGCAGCTGGTTTTCTAAGGGATACTTAGTATATGTTCTCCCACCCTTGGAATTACATGGCACTAACTGCCTGTCAAATGGACAGTTTATCTATATTATTCATTCATTGAAGAGTGACATAACACATTTGATACTCAAAGAATGTGTCATAAACCCCAGATATTTAAGAAGACGCATATATAGAAAAACAATCTACTTTTTTTATTTCCCACTTTAGAGACTAATGCAACTTGAAGTTTTTGTACACTTTAGTATTTTGTTTTGATGCACAGCCTAGAGTAATCACAAAGAAATAATGTATGAAACTTCATATGATAAAGAATGATACATTATGAAAAACTCACTAACTCAATAATCAGAGCACAGCAAGAGACAAAAAGCAAACAAGCTAAAAAGGACTCTCAAAGAAACCAAAATAAATGCTATCAAATTCTTCAACAAGAGTATACACTTTAGTCCTTTAAACAGCATTGCCTTTACATAGTTGTAACAAGCTGATTATCTAATCAAAAGTAAATTACAAAGCATGTTAAAAGTAACAATATTAGAAATAAAAGTACTGCTAAAGACTTTCAGAGCTGCCTGAAGAAATAAGTAATAATTTCAATTTTTAGGAAATAAAACAATATACCAATATAGACTATTTATTAGTAAAGCAAGCAAACTTACACATCTCAATAGGTACCTTTACTTTAGTAAACACATGCAGTTATGCTGTCTTAATGATAACAGTCATTAAGAAAAGGTTAATTTCTAACACTATTTAAGGGTATGCCTGACTTTATTTTCATCCAAAGAGGCTTAAAAACAAAGCAAAGTGTATTGCTTAAACAGATAGAATTTATTTCCAAAATTTTCTTCTGAAAAACATTCCATTTACCTCTTCTGCTTTGCTATATAACATTTTACTTTTATTCTTGGCTAGAACTGACATCTAGAGACCATATGGTTGAGAAATAAGAACATGGCAATTACCTCAGAAACAAAATTGTTTAGTTTGAGGATGGAATGAGAAAAAATTCTGATTACATGCAAATTAGAATGTTTACTTTAGTTAAAATACATTTGCAGATGTTCAGATAACATCTCCGGAACACTGGTAAGAGGAAAATGTTTTCCATCAGGTACAAAGATAATTCTCAAAGAATAAAAGATAGTTTCAGTAATACTCTCTAGGCAAAGTGGGATTTAAGAACAACTACACTCTCTTAACACAGCATTTAATTTAGCAACTTTCTGTTTTTTGTTTTTTTTTTTGAAATGGAGTTTCACTCTTGTTGCCCAGGCTGGAGTGCAATGGCATGATCTTGGCTCACCACAACCTCCGCCTCCTGGGTTCAAGTGATTCTCCTGCCTCAGCCTCCCAAGTAGCTGGGATTACAGGCGCCCACCATCACGCTCGACTAATTTTGTATTTTTTTTTTTTAAGTAGAAATGGGGTTTCACCATGTTAGTCAGGCTGGTCTCGAACTCCCGACCTCAGGTGATCCGCTCACCTCGGCCTCCCAAAGTGCTGGGATTACAGGTGTGAGCCACTGCACCCAGCCGATTTTTTTCCTTTGAGCCTATTAATAAACATTTGCTTCCAAAAAATCACAGAAATTTAAAAATTAGAAAATCTATCTTTAGAGCTTTCATAAAGTCAGACCAGGTAAAATTAAAACATTTTTTATACTTTGTGTCAAAACTGAAAAAAAAAAAGAGTAGATTAAATGACTGTTGATGACTATTTATATTTGGCTGACCTTTTAAAAGCTAATGAGATAAAAACAAAATCAGCAAGACTACTAGACGTCTATTTCATAGTATGTAAAATGAGTCAAATGTAGAAGAAATGAGAGAAATAGAAAGTCACCTTTAGAAGACCACATTAGTGAATTGTAGTGACAAGATCCACAGATAAATGCTAAAAGTTTAAGGAGAAAAAGGATATTTCCACAGTCTCAAAGTATCTCTCCAAAGGTAGCTATTAATTAAAAAGAGGAAAATCGTAACTTTATAGTACAGAAATCTGGCAGACACCACCTTATCCCGAAGATCAAACCTAACACCAACGTTAGTAAGATGTCAACGTCGCATACCCGCTGTATGATGCCCTCAGAGGGACCCAATATTACTTCCACAGATTTCTCATCGAAAATGCATAAGCTTGGTCAGGCTGAAGGCTCACATCTGTAATCCCAGCAATTTGGGATGCCAAGGTGGGCAGATCACTTGAGCCCAGAAGTTTGAGACCAGCCTGGGCAACACGGCAAAACTCCATCTCCACAAAAAATACAAAAATTAGTCAGGCATGGTGGCATGTGCCTGTAGCCTCAGCGACTCAGGAGGCTGAGATGGGAGGATTGCTTAGGTCCAGGAGGTCGAGGCTACAGTGAGCCATAATCAGACCACTACACTCCAGCCTGGATGACAGTGCAAGACCTTGGCTCAAAAAAAAAAAAAAAAACAGCATAACCTTAATTTAATCATGAGAAAACATCAGACCAACCCAATTTGAAGGACTTCCTATAAATCACCAACCAGTTCTCAAAAAGTGTCATGAAAGACAAGGACAGTCTGTCAGATTGCAGGAGACTCGGGAGATACAACAAAATTCAGTGTGGAGTCCCACATTCAATTCTACAACAGGAAAATTCCGATTTTATTGGAAAACTGGTGAAATCAAAACATAGGTCGTAGTTTAGTTTACAGTATTGTACCAGTTTTACTTTGTTTAGTTTTCACAAATGGTATTCTGGTTTTGCAAGATGTTAACATTTGGGGAATCTGGGTAAAGGTTACGCAGAAGCAGAAACTTTCTGGACTACTTTTGCAAGTTTCTTAAGCCCAAAATTACATCAAAATAGAAAGTTAAAAGTTATGACTTTTTAGTCACCATCTTCATCTACATAAGGCGATTCTACAATACTCTAAATTCCCTAAACTTTTGTGCATACATTAGAGATTAATGATCAGGGAGAAGTGAGCAGCTTAAAAATGGATAGAGCAACTGGCCAAATATTTAGCCATATGATACCATCAAAGGAAATGTACCAGATGTTTTCCAACAGCTCTGCATATGGAGGAATCTACGCTCAGCAGGGATCCCACTGTAAAAAGAAACCAGAGACACCAACTCTGATTTCAACCATAACATAAAGAATGACCTATAAATACCTATTGTCTACTAAGAATCTTATTTCCATTACTATTTTTGAATCCTCTCAAGAAAGTATACCTAGTATCCCCCAGAATATGGTGTCCCTGTGCATGTGTACATAAGCTCATACGGGCCTACATAAATGCTTAGTAAGAGTTAGCACCTGGAAGTAAATGTTTTCTTAATTAATTAATTTCAGTCCAGGAAAGTACCAATAAATCTATCACTAAAAGTTGCTAAATTTAGTTTTTCCTCAATATAAAATATTTACTTTCTAATCATCCATTCCATTTTAATCAAATTATCTTATTATTAAGAATAGTTAAGAAACAATAGCCCCCTCACAGAAGTTTAAACATTGCTGTAGAATTAGAATTCCTAGGATAACCTTGGTTAGCTTCTATATTTGTTTTCGAGGAAGAGTTGGCTGTTTCCCTCCTCTATTTTTGTCCTCTCTCGGGAAGTTTATGGTATAACTAGATAAATATCAGAAATAATCATGGCCATTTTCTACTATACCTTCACAAAAAAAACATTGTACTTCATTATTTGTATATACTCAGGAAACCCTTGAAAAACAAAATCTAGCTTTATCCTCAGCTACGTTTCATTTTATCAGTGAAATTATTTTGTATGTTTGTCAATAGTCTCACTCTGGATTCTGAATAGAAGCTTAGCCTCTCTAAAAATCATGATTCTAATTTCAACCATTTAACAGAACTGATAATTTATAGTTAGTTTATTCTCTTTCTTCCTTTACAATAGGATGTGGATATACAATTTTGTGAAATAAAGAATTAGTTCTCTTCCTCCCAACAAATACTTATGACTTGTGAGTCTCTTTGCTGCATGAATAAATTTCGCAGTGGTTGGAATCCCCCATGATCTAGAAATGCACTGTAGACACCAACTAGGACTCCCTGCCACTGTTAAGCACATAAAGGTGCTAAACACAGAAGGTAATTGGTGTTCCTCATTAGGAATAAGTCTAAACTGTCCAGAAACACAAGCTGAGAATGTTTTTTTGTTGTTGTTGTAATATCAAATCAGTTGACCAAAATGGAAAATAAGTGAGAATGAAATATGTTTGCTAAAACTTCCTCTGAGAGAATTATGCTCTTGCTTTAAACTACTTAAAAGTTTGTATGCCTATTAGGGACAGAAAGATGTTGTATCTTGATGGTTTTCTTGCCTTTTAGCTCCAAAGAAACAAATTAAAATTCATGTTACAAGTATGCCATGCTACTGAAAAGTAATAGCCAAAATAGACTTTGTGGAGTCCTTGAAATTAATTCCTAAGAAAACTTTGAAAGATAAAAGTAGTATGAGAAAATAGAATTAATTATGAGAATTAACAAGCAAGTCTATCCATCCTCACACTCTATTAGAATCAAGAAATATGGTGATAGAAATTATATATAAAAAAAGAAATAACTCTTAAAGAAACGGGGGGTGTGGGAAGGAATCCCAAAAGCTCAAAAGGAAATATGTATAACAGTATTTTAAATGCCACAGCAGACTGCCCCATGCAAATTTAAAGAGCAAAAACAGAACAGGACAAGATGGACAAAGGATAATCTATATATTAAAAATAAACATATTAATTTATACATTCTGAATACTGATTTTAAAAAAAGAACTTAAATCTGAGGATTCCTTACTGTCAATATATCGCAACCTAGAATCTTTTAGGTACCCACAACTCCCTCTAAAGGCCAGTGCATTTATGTGACTTCAGGTGGTTTCACTTATTATGCTCCATACATAGTTTTAACTATTTTATAAAATGAGGTAAGAATGAGTGATCCCTTTGATTCTTCGGTTGCAAGATTGGAGCTATAAAACTCAGATATTTGAGTTTTAAATGGCCCCCTTTTTTTTTCTTGACAAACAAGGCTTTCTTGACCTTATTTTGTTTGTCCGCTTCTGATAGTGATGCAAGTACCAAAAGTTTGACTCTCCTCTTTACAGCAACAACACCTGATTAAAAGTGATAACCGTAGGGATACAGCTAATATATCTGGTGCTTCCTCTGCGTTAGTCAATATCCTAAGCAGCGGAAGTAAATTGCCCAAGGCCACATTGTAGTAATTGGTGTAGAGTCAAGGTCTGCCAATCTGACCTCAAGCCTGAGGAACTGACAAGTACATTTCACTGGCTACTCACTTTACGAAAACAAAATAAAATAAGTAAAATAAAATAAAATGAGCAGCCCTAAAAGAAACTGCCTCAATGTTGAAGGGAAACAGGGAGAGTGTGGCAAACAAGCACAGCAGCCCCCATGATGGAGCAGCTCAGCTTCAGCTAGGGATGGCAGGCAGCAGGGCAGGCCTGAGCTGCTGGGTCCTTCAATTTTTTTTTTAAATGGTTAGCTAAAAATCCAGATTTACATCTGAAGCCTCTTGATGTAGAAATATTGTCACTTATTTCCTCTTTTTTTCTCAAAGTCTTGCTGGTTTGAAAGGTAAAGGGCCACATTCTTGGGGCAGGGACTATGTCCCGTTTATCTCTGTAACCCAAATGCCTAACACGTTGCTGGCCATGGAGGTGCAAACAGGTTGAGGTTGGCAGTTAAAAATCCCACCATTTTATCTTGGCTATTTTGTAATCTTGGCAGGAATTCATTAATTTACTCAACAAATATTTATTGGGCTACTACAATGTACCAGATACTGCTCTAGGGATATAATAGTGGAAAAAATGACCAAATAGAAAGATACTATATTCTATTTTACTGGGAAAAGGCTAGAAAAAAAAAAACCTTAAAAACATATAAACTCAGGTGTAGTGGGGGTCTGGAAAATAAAAAAGAATGGTTTGCTTTGAATTGAACCTATGCCACCAAGAGCTAAAAAATAACGCAGATACAAAAGTCCACGCTTTCTAGGGCCATTCTGGTCATTGCTCCACAAATAGGTTACAAATGTGTAAGCAATTTAAAGGAAAGGGTATTCTTGAAAGAGAGAGTGCTTTCTTCAGAGGTAGAACAATATGATCTTGCTTCTTGGCTTGAAAGGAAGTATTGATCATTAGTTAGTGAGTCAAAGGTTAATAACTTGGGCCTGATTATTTCTGTTATCAGACTTATGATTAATGGTGTCCTCTGGCTCTTTGTAAATACAGGAACCTCTTTTTGATTGCTTTTTTACTGGGAACCAAGGAATTAAGCTATTCTCTTGTGATTGGGTTGCAGGGGGCCAGGGGGTTCTGCAGCAGAGGAACAATGGTACCAAGGCTCCCATAGACAGAGTGCAGGGCAGTCACCAAAAATGCAAACTTGGAACAACGTGAATCTAATTGGCAACCTTAAGGTGAAATACTAGCTCTGACACGTAACGCTTGCTCTCATGTATTATCATTCCACAAGACCACATGCTGAGTTAATAGAACTTCTGCTTCTAGTTTGCTTTGGAAAAGGATGTAGTTTCAAATTGCCCAAATGGCACAATCTGGCTGGCGTTCTGAGACAGCTGCTGGGAATTATAGACAGGACAGCTACACTAGAACCGTTTAAGAAATGGACAAACTTGGCCCATGCTTTTCATCAAAACACACACACACACACACACACGCACACATATATATATTTATTTAGTTAGTCATAATCTGAGTACTTACAGCCAATAATTATGTTTAGAAAAGAAAATACCCTAAAGACAAATGCCAGTTTATATCTTCGAGCAGCCTTTAAAAGTATATGCACAACTCCTAAAGCTGGAAAAAAAATGTGATTTTCCCACTGTCTTTATATAAAAATGAGATTTCACTCAACCTGCTGTTTTTGAAAGAAACAACATTTTCTTTGTTAGCCAAGCCCAACATAGATCTCTTGCCAATGTACTTTGTTCTTCTCATGGATACTAGCCAAAAAGATATTCCTTGAAATAAAGTCACAATCTGTTAATTAGGAAATCAATTAAAATCACAATCAATTAAATTAGGAAACAGAAGTAATTATCGCACAACTAAAGTTAAAAGTATGAGATAAAAGAAATGATTAAAAATAAACATGATGAAAACACACCACTCAAACTGCCCCCTTGTAAAGAAAAGCACTCGTCAGTGGATCAGATAGTCACATTTACACAAATAAAACTTCCCCCAAATATGTATCAAATATCTAACCATCTCACTCATCATAATACTTTTGTCTACCCACTTAAACGTTTTTGTTTCAGTTAATGAAAGTCTCATTGGCCTTGATCTTGCATCAAATGGATGATCACTGATAGAGTAATTTAACATAGATCCTTGATTAAATCTGAAATGTACAGGATGAGATGCTTATAGACTTCTTTTGACCAAAAGGAAATATAATTGCATTGACAGCATAGAGTTGACATTAGCAGTAATCAAATAATGACACCAATGCCTTTATACAATTGAAAGGTTTTAACATGTAGAAATAAAATTGTCTTTAAAAGTCTATTGAGGTGTACTTTTTAGAGAATTTCTCAACCTAAATTTTAAACCAGGCATGCAGTTACTGAACAAGCTCTCAAAAGGAGTATTCTGAGGATTTAGGGTTATTCATTTACTGTTTTCTTTTCATGTGCTGCTTGTGTTTCATTTGGAATATTTTTTAATTTCCCGATGTTTTATAGGCAACTTTGGCCGAAATGAGGTATATATATATATATACACATGACTTATCCTCAAATCGTATCAAGAATGCAATCCTGCTGCTTGCTAATCTCTGCTAGCCAACGACTTCAGCCCAGGCTGGTGGAGCCTTCGAGCGTTTCCCACCTCCAGTCAAAGACAATGCAAAGAACCCCAGGCTCACTCATCTAGTCCACCAAAACTTGAAACAACATCCAGTGACGGCGGTCGTGCGCTCAGGCACAAGGCGCAGCTGCACGGCGAACCCCCCAAGCCCAGCGCGACTGCGCCGCCCTGGTGGGAGCGGCTCCGGGTACCTGCTGAGCGGGTGGCTGGCTGCGGCGCGGGGCGCGCAGCGCGACTCGGCGTTGGGGGGCTGGGCGCGCGCGTACGAGTGGTAGGCGGTCAGCACCACGCCGCCCGAGTCCTCCACCTCCATCGTCAGCCGCGCATGTCTCGGCGCCGGCCCCAGAACAAAGACCGGGACCAGCATGGACCGGCGCGCCGGGAGGCTGTCAGCAGCTGGGCGGCGCGGCCCGAGGTGCGACCAGCCGCTCTCTCCCGCGGCTGTCAGGGGCCCCCGGGCAGGCCCGCCCCGCCCCGGGCGCGCGAATTCGCAGACGCTGGGAACCACGCCCACGGGCTGGAGTGGGGGCGGGCATAGTGCGTGTGTGTGTGTGTGTGTGCGCGCGCGCGCGCGCGCTCCTGTGTGAGTGCCTGTTTGTGTGCCTGTGTGTGTGCGTGCGTCTGTGCCTGTCTGTGTGTGCGTGTGTACCTGTGTGTGCCTGTTTGTGTGCCTGTGTACGTGTGCACGCCTGTGTGTGTGTGCGCCTATGTGTGCGCCTGTGTTTGTGCCTGTGTGTGCGCGCCCGTGTGTCCATGTGTGTGCCTGTGTGCGCGCGCCTGTGTGTCTGTGTGTGTGCGCCTGTGTGTGCGTGCGCGCGCATGTGTCGGGAGTGCGCGGGGAGGTGTGATCCCCGCTTCTAGGAAACTGGAAACCGGCCGGGATCCTTTGGGGCTCCTGCTAGCGGCTCTAGTAAAGTTTGTTTTTCTTTGTTTCTTTTTTTTTCCTTTTCTCACTCCCCCTCCCAGCCCTCTTCCAACTGGAGGCTTATCCTGTGGCTGGGAACATTTCCTGCCTGGCTGCGAGGAGTGAGACTAAGAAACCATACCTCAGGCTGAGGAGAGAGGCCGGGTTTGATATGTGTGCTCTAGGGAAGAAAAGGAGAAAATGTGACACTCTCTCATTTAAAGCATCCACATCAAAAATTGAAGAACTGGATTACATTGCTGTTTACTTAGTCAAGTTACAATAAACTTGATTTCCTTTTGGGTCAGGTAATCCCCTTTTACAGCAAGGGAACGCTTCCCTCCCACACCCTCAGTGCGCCACTACCAGACTCTTACCTCACTCTCACATCCCTTTCCTCCTCCCAATCATGATCACATTAACAGATACCGTTTGCAGCTTGTCTGAAAATTAGACTTTATTATTATAAGCCAAATGGGTGTTATTTCCAGAAGTTACTGTTGGTGGGGGACGATGTAGGGACTGGTTCGAGGTAGATAAAAAGGGGCATCATTAGAAATCTTGAGTCTGAAGTATGTCCTTATCCACATAGGACTAATAGCACAAATGGAAAAACAACATTCTTATAGCTGATTAAAAAGTAACCAGAAGTATGCCTAGGAAGAGGCCCACGTGAATGTTTTACTCACACGGACAATGTGTTTTATCTGCTGTCTCTTCCGTGCATCTCTAGGAGCTAGACGAAGTGGAAAGACAAGTTAACCTATCCCTTACTGGAGGGCAACTTGATCATGCTACTTAACATCTCAGAATCTCTGTTGCTGCATCTGTGAAATGGGGAAAATAACGTTCATCTCGTGGGATTAAAGCAACAAGTACATATTAGGTTTTCAAGAAATGGGGGTACTCTTTGCTCTTTACATTCAACAAGAAGGGACACATTTATTTTCATTGCACTTTCAGAGGTTGGGAAAACAAGTTTTTCATCCAAAATGCTTTTTAAAAATGTTTTATTAATTAAAGGGGTGAGATAATAATGACTAAATTTGCTAACATACTTATGTGTTAGATGGTGTACATTAGCTGTTTAAACAATTCTATGAGGTAGGTAGTATTATTATCCCAATTTTATGGACAAAGAAACTTACTAAGCATGAGTGTATGGAAAAGACACATACAAAGAATGCTTTATTCTCCAAAATTTTCAGATAAAAAGAGGCATCTGTTTATTTACTGTGCTTTATGCCAATGCATAAAACTAAGACAATACCTTCTTAAAATGTGAAGTTAAAAAACCACTGTAGGTATTGATATATATATCCACAATTCTTCATCTAAAACCTTGGGAACAGATACATTTCAGAAATTATATCCACTTTTTATTTTTAAATGATAATTTGATACATGCACCATTTAATATAAAAACCCTCAGCCCAGTAAATTTGGGACAGTACTGTACATTTAAGTGTATTATTTCTGCAACAAAAAAAAAATGAATATTGACTTTGAGTAGGATAAAGTCTATAGATAGCCTCACATTTGTTCAGGTTAGGTTTATCACCCAATAAGTTTTGGCACCAAACCTCATAAAAGCTTGTAATTTTTATCTTACAGAATTTTAGAATTACCATAAGGAATTATAGTAGTGGAACTTTTTCTGCGCATGGAACATTCTTCTTTTATTTTTCTAAACTACAGACTCACAATATGAAATACCTGCAGGGTCTTTTCTTGTAACCATTTTGACCATAACACGGCCTCTAGATGCCCCGCGTTGCAGTAACGCCCCATCCTGCCAGCTACGGAGCCCTCCTCCTCTTGTGAATTCACATTGTAGACACCCTGGTTTCACTTTGGACTCCTCCCTCCAATCGATGATCAAATCTGTCATTTCTTCCTCAAAATGTCTGCCAACCATTCTTTGAATTCCTACTGCTAATGTCTTTGCCTTCTCGTCACCATCTCCTGACTAGGTGGCTGCAATCCTTCCTTCACAAAGATTACTTTCCATCAGCTTCCTCTTAAGCCCCACCCCCTTCAAAATGCTGTTTGGATGATTTTCCTAAAATGCAGAACATCCTCTTCTCAAAAGCCCTCGATTGTAACTCACTTGCTGCAAATTGAAGTCCAAACTCCTTCGTATGGCCTCTCCTTAATCTATTTTGATCACCGAGTACTTCATCACCCCAAAGGCCCTGTGGCCCACTTACACCAGCCTGTCCTGTGATCTTACTTTGTCTTTGCCCCTACCTATTATTTCTTGTCTGGAAATCCTGAAACACTCTATATATACCACTATAAAGCCTCTCAGGTGTTCCTAATTCAAAGCAACCTTCCTTCTGCCCTTCTGTGGAAATTGCTCTTACTTTCATTGTAATAAATAATTTCATTCGACCATGTAATTAAAGCACAGTCAGCCAAACACTGTGCTGTGTGCATTCTCCACGGCTGCGCCCACATCAGATGTTGCTAACAGATCTTAGCATTTTTTTCCACTGAGCCCAGATATGGCCATGAAAGCTACCTCAAAATAGAACCCCAAACCAGCAAGATAGCTTTGAGATGAAAACTACTTGCTAACTCAAGATTGTATTACTATTTTCCAAAAAATTAGTGTCTTTTACTAAATTGTAAGCTACTGGAAGGGCTAGGGTCATTTTTCTCTTTATAGCCCAGAGCCTGTAGAGTTTTGCAGAGCAGGCATTCAATAAGGAATATTTGTTGAAAGAATGAACATATGAATCAATGAGTGAATCAATGAACGAGATAATACTCTTTAGTGCAGTAGTTTCAACCTTGCAGAGTAGGCAAGTGTAAGGGTCAAAGAGAAACTTCTTTGCCCTCGGAAGTTTCACCGAAAAATTAACTCACAGAAATCAGATTAATTGGAGAAAAGGCATAAAAATGTATTTAATGTGTAAACACAGGATCCTTCAGAATGAAGACCCAAAAGTATATGGGAAATTGTCAATTCTTATGCTTAGTTTCAACACAGTATGGAGAGCCATGCAGAAATATGATTGGACAAAAAGAATATTATCTAATGCTAAGAGACTAAGTGGAGAAACCCAGCAAAGCCTGTCTGTCTTGATCCTTCTTGGCCTCTCTGAGCATGCATTTCTTCCTTCAGGGTATGCGACAGGACTCTCTCTAGAATGGGGGTCTTATAATCTGCAGTCAAACAAGTAGGTCAGATAACTTCTTTATGGCCAATTTTTACACAGAACAATGGAGGAAAAAGTGGGGTAATGTTTTCAGGTTTTATGGCCGTCTTTGGGGAAAAAAAGGTTCTGGTTTCTATGACCCACCTTGAAAAAGAGAGATTCTAGTTTCTATGGCTAGAAGATGAGACTGGGAGACTAGGAGCAAAAAGGTCAGGAAAAAAAAAAACAAAAACACAAAAAACAAAACTTTTGCCTTTGAGACTACCCCAAGACCCTCATTTTGTTTTCTGAGCCCCAATACCAAATTGTTTTCTGAGCCCCCATACCAAAGCATTATTATAAATGACTCATAAGTCTCTATGGCACTGAAACTGCAAACCAAAAAAAAGTTGACGTGTGGCTGGGCGCAGTGGCTCACGCCTGTAATCCCAGCACTTTGGGAGGCCAAGGTGGGCAGATCACGAGGTCAAGAGATCGAGACCATCCTGGCCAACATGGTGAAACCCCATCTGTACTAAAAATACAAAAATTAGCTGGGCCTGGTGATGCGCACCTGTAGTCCCAGCTACTTGGGAGGCTGGGGCAGGAGAATCGCTTGAACCCGGGAGGCAGAGGCTGCAGTGAGCTGAGATGGTGTCACTGCACTCCAGCCTGGCAACAGGGCAAGATTCTGTCAAAAAAAAAAAAAAGCTGACATGTATGTAATAATATTTTTCAAATATATCTATATGCTGTTGACTTAATAAAATACAACTCTTTTAAGCATTCTCGAGTTTTTGGCTTTTAGAAAGATGGTAGAATGCATATATTGGACGTTATAGAATATGCTACGCAGGCTATTTCCATTGGGCCTCCAGATCCACTTGCCAACCTCACTACCCTGCTTGATACCCTGGGTGGCTCACCGTGTGGTCTGCATCTATGAACTCCCTTGCCTCTGGCTTCAGGGACGGTTCACTAAAGAGAGGCACCAGCAGAAGATCTAGAGGGAGAGGGAGTAAGGTTAGGTACTGACTTCCCAGGCTTCTTTGCTATTTTGCTGCACGTTAGATCCTTCTACCTATCACTCCTGACTGCAACCCTCTGCTATGCTGCTTTCTCCAAATTCAGGTAACTCCTACCTCTACCTGGCCCTCCTGATCCTGGGGTGGTGACAGCTCCTGGTGCATGTGGTACTCACTCCTTCTGCTGTTCTGCCGCATCCCTTATTAAGGATTCCTTCGCTCCAGCCATGCCTTTATAAATAGTCCCTTTAATAAACTCTCTTTATTCACCTGGGCTGAGTGCCCCATCTCTTTCTGCCAAGACCCTGACTGATATGTATCCCGCTGCCCCAGGATGTGGGGCAGTGTCCCTCACACTATGAGGGTCAAATACAAATTATAAATAGCCTCATGTCAGTTCAGATGTTTTGTCACTGAAAAAGTTCAGGCCTGAACAGGTCTTGCGGTCAAATGAGTTATGAAAAAGGATTCAAATTTGAGAGTTTCTGAATTTCAAAATTCAGACTTGATAGAGTCTGTTAACATTTTTGGCATTCCAAACAATGCTGGAATCCAGTGTGCTAGGGGATGACAGCACAGGGCTGTGACAGCTGGCCAGGCAGTGGAGTAAATGGTGGCCCTGGAGAAGCTAAGCTTGAAACTTGCCCAACACTGGAGAGTGGACATGTAGACAGCATTTTCAGTTTATTTGGAGTAAGGGCAAAGATAGAGGGAAACTTACAGTTTCCTGTGCTGTCCTACTCTGGATGTCATACAGTGCCCAGCACTGAACTGGGAATCGAGAGACTTGGATGTCAGTACCCACTCTGCCACCAACATGACACCCCAAGAAAGTCACTGAACTGTAGACCTGTTTTTTTCACATGCAAAAGAAATAAAACAGCCTACATGTATTGAACATTTACCATGTCCCTGGTTCTGTTTAAGACATCAGAACATCAACTCATGAGAGGCTCACAGCAGCCTTTGAGGTGAGATAAGTATCACTGCTGGCAGCTCCATGTTACAGTTGAAGAAACTGGCTGTAGTAACTTCCCAAGGCTACCCACGTCCTACGCAGGCTAGGAGGTGGCAAAGCCAGTATTCAAACCCAGGAAATCTGGCTCCTGAATTTAGGTCCTTAATTATTATATTTCTCTTTTATGAAAGGTTTGATGAGATTCAAAATATATTCCTCTAGTAAAATGTAAAGAAACAAGTAGGATTTGATTTATGTTTCTTTATGGTAGCTTTACATAAACCTATTTAGTACACTAGAGGGTAAATAATCACTAGCATGTAATGATGATGATGAAAATAATAAGGAAGGGAGTCACATGTATTCTTAAGGCACTATACTAAGGTAGTTCAAAATTACTAAGGCAGAATTATTGTTTCTTAATATATGTGTGTGTGTGTATAATTATTGTCATCAACTACTCTTACAATGTGTTGAAGGATAATTCAGTTTTTCATTCTGCCTTGTAAATTTGTCAGTGGATACATATAAATAAGGCATTAGAGAATAGTGAAATATGTAATCACAAGTGCACAAAGATTGCACTTTCTAAATAAACTGGAAGCAGAGTGGTAGACAAAAGAGAGTAAGACAGAGTTGAGTTTGAGCTTGATTATGATTTACTATTTACTGGCTGTGTCACCTTAATTTCTCTCTTTTTCCATTTCCTAATTTGAAAAACAGAGACCAGTAATATCTCCTCAAAGAGTTGATGGGAAGTTAAAATGAGATCACATCTTTAAGACACCTATCCCAGTACTAAGCATATGCTAGATGTTCAGATGTTGGTTCCCTTCTCTGTCTTTCACTCTCCCTTGTCAGCTGTCCTCTGTCTCAGCCCTTCCAGAAGTACGATTTGAGTTCAACCCTCAAGAGTAAAGAATCTGGACCCAGGATTCCAAAGGTTTTTCACAACCTTTGCTGAGAGATAAGTCACATTCAATTTATGTGATGAAACCTACCTGGGGAGGCCTCACAAACACTGGCCCCCAAGTGCCACCAGTTGCATGGACTACGAAATATGGAGATATTCCATTTAAACCCATCAGGAAAGGCAAGAAAACAAAACATTTATGCAAAACTTTAACATGGACAAAGGAAAAGTGCTTCTTGTGGCCTTGGCTGCTTATCTGGCAAAATTGCTGCTAGGATAATTTCATACCAGAACAGGAAAACAGCTGCAGCCTCATGAGTCCTTGCAGATGCTGACTGACATTCTCTTAGCAAGAAGGGTTGAGGGAACATAGTCACTGGCCCTATCTTGCAGGAAATGAAGGCACAATTCTTACCTACCAAAGAGAACATGCGAATTCTGCTTTCAGAACTCCACCTGGCAGGGTGGGGTGGCTCACGTTTATAATCCCAGCACTTTGCGAGGCAAGACACAGGAGGATCGCTTGAGCCCAAGAGTTTAAGACCAGCCTGGGCAACATATGGAGACCCCATCTCTACAAAAAATTTAAAAATTAGCTGGTGTGGTGGTGTGTACCCTTAGTCCCAGCCACACAGGAGGCTGAAGTGGGGAGATTGCTTGAGCCTGGGAGGTTGAGGCTGCAATGAGCCATGATCGCACCACTGCTCTCTAACCAGGGAGATAGAGCAAGACCCTGTCTCAAAGAAGAGACCAACAAACAAAACAAACAAAAAACCCTTCATCTTACATACATTATCAGTGCCCTCAAGTCCTCTGGAAAGACTGGTTTAAATTAGAGGGAATGAATACAAAGTTGCATTTATTTTATATAAAGAGAAAATAATGAGACAAATATTTTAAAAGGTAGTGTGTAAATCTTTCATCATCAAGTCAGTTGGTAAATCTTGATCTGCTACTCTGAAATATTTTTCAAAATGTATTGGCACTACTTGAGTTAAATTTATTTTCTGGGTGCTCTCATGATGACACAGAATTTCTAGACTACTCTGATTTTCCTATTGCTTTCTTAGTATCTATTTTTAAAGAGAAATCAGGGCTTATTTTTCTTCATTAACTGTTTTGGGATCTTTGATCAATTTGGTAATTGGGTTAAGTAGATTATGTCACCACGAGAGCCAGCCAGCCAGGTCAAGACTTGTGTTATTTATGTGGTAGACATAACTGAATTACTTAAGTGACTTCTACAGATAAATTGAATCATTATTGATTGGAAATGAATCACTACTAATAGACCCAGGCAGGGTAGAGGAAAGGAACAGACCAGCCATAGCATAAAGTTTTAGTCAAAAAGTACTTACAATATGGAATATTTCCTGCAATACCATGTTTTTACAATTACATAAAGGCTTTATTCATTCATTCATTCACTCTTCCATGTATCCATCCATCTATCCATCCACCCACGCATCTACCCCAAGAACTTACAATTATCACTCATACCTACAATGCCAAGCACCAAGAATATGAAGATGAATAGGAACATGAAAGCACAGACTAACTGGGTCTCTGCAAGCGGGGAAGAGATTGGTGTAGGAGGTCATCAAATAACACACTTCCCCAGGAGGTTATGTTAGAGATGCTCTTAAAAGATGAATGACACTTGGCTAGCTCACAAGTAGGTGTGTGTGGCTGAGGCTATGTAAGGAAGGGCATTCCAGAGGCAGGTAACAGATGGAAACAAGGCACAGGGAAAAAAAGACAGTGAAGTATGTACAGGGAAACCCTTTTAGTTTAGCTTTGCTAGAGAGTAAAGTGTAAGGGAGAAAACCCTGGAGACAAAGCTGGAGACAGGCAGAGGCCAGGCCCTGGTGCATCTGAATGCCTTGTGAGGAGTTTAAACTTTATCCAAGAGTTCAGATGGGGAATCCACTGATGGTGTCAAACAAGGTAGCACCAGAATCAGCTTATGCTTTTAGGCATCCTCCTGGGCTCTGCACCACCTGGTCTTCACTCAGCTCTTCTGACCTACATCTCCTAGGCCTCCCAACCTTTTTGGGAGAAGAGTGTACACTAGAGTCTGAGGCAGAAGAAAACCAACTATAAATGGTCACATGCTAAGTCCCAAATTGAATCCTAAGACAAAGTCCAAGATGAGATAAATGGAATTTAAATAGCTATTGAAAAGACGTTTAGCTTAAAGAATTACACAGGTGTCTTGGAGGGGAAGCTCGGGAAAGGACCCTGACAATCCCCTCTCTGTCACTAGCTCGTGATTACAGATCAGCTGCCTGCTTTGTTCTGGTTCACCTGGGGAGGGACAGACCACCTGACCTGGCAAGTGATGGGGTGAGCACAGTAGGAGACAGTGAAGGAAGTAGAAGACAGTGAGAGGCTTTGGGACATGCAGTATGCAGGTCTGCCAACAAAGAGGGAAGGTTTATTATGATCATTCTTGGATTGGAAACCAAAGAAACAATTCTGATTAACCAAAACAAAGAACAATGTTTTACAAAGATCTGAGAAACAGCACAGGATTGAAGATCAAAACTGAAAGACAACTCTTGGAGCAGGAATGAGAACACAATCTTGCCAGGGTGCTTCTTACAAAATTAACAAATTTTAACTTTTTCTTCTATCCTTGCTTCCCTCTTCTCAGGAAACAGGGTACCAGAATTGCATCAGATTGGCTGTGGTTAAGCCTCCACTTGGCAGTCACTGAGTCTTAAGAGATGTGGTCTTCAGGGACTGCCTTCCCTGCTGTTAATGATAAGACAGGCCCCAAGATCACATACCATGAGGGAGAAAGTCCCTAAGTTGATACCTTGGAGATTTCAGGTAGCAGGAATAGAAGCCAACACATTAACAGTATTTACTAGAGCAGGATTTGGTGAAGCCTCAGGGAGGCAGGGCTCACCTGGAAGCACTGAAAAAAGGCATAATCAGGACACAGATGGTAAAGATTTCCAAGATCTGGAAAGGGAAGAGGTTCTTGCAGAGGGTGAGATGAAGTGATGCACAGGGAAAGAATGCACCTGCCCATTTTGCAGTTGTGCCTCCACATGGCCCTGAATAAGGAGGGGGTAACTGCCTGACAAAGTTGATAAATCAAACAAACCTGGGATTTTTGTGATAAGAATAGGAAGCTTCAAATCCACATCGGCTAACTCAGGCCTCAAATGTGGCTGACTGCATCATTCAAGAAGACATACATGACCTGAACTGAGTCACCTGGATCTGAAGATGTCAAAAGTATAATTTGAAAGTAAGCTTATACAAGGGGTGGTTAAAATGGTGAAAGGCAGGGTTTGGAGCAAGACAGATATAGGAGTTGTGCTATGTTTGACTGTGAGCAGTTACTTAATCTCTCTGGGACCTGATTTTTCTCATCTGTAAAATGAGATGGTAATACCTATCACACAAAGTTGTTGGCCACGATTTGAAAAGGATAAGTTGTAAAACTGCTGTGTACATAATGCTAAACAAACATAAGTTCTTTTTATTATGCTATGCATACATGAAATTGTTATTTTACCTTCTACTTTGTTAGCAATACCTATTAGAGGAGATTCCAGGGGAATTCAAGAAATTCTAGTCACCATTAGTCAGCCAGTAAATATTTTTTAGTACACTCCAAAGACTATAAATATTTCTACAGAAAAGGTCATGACTGTGTTAACATAAGTCATATTTTGAAACTAGGCAGAATTAGGTAGATAATCAGAAAATGGATGTTTGTCAGTTGAAACATTATTCAGGGATGTACCTAGTTATTACTGATTATCGTTCGGCTCAAAAAAGTATTGGAAAGCCTGAATGTCTCAGTGTCACCAGGTCAGGACATTGGCATGGTCCTGAAGAGGACATCTCCTCTCACAGCACCGGCATTCCAGATGAGGCATTTATGGGTGGGGTCTGAGCAGGCTACAGGCACACTCAGTATAGCTTCTGCTACATAGTAGGCTTAAATAACCACTTCATGAATGAAGGAGCCCTCTCCCACTTAATCCTCTGTTTCTACCTCTGTAAAATGTAACTACAGTACTGTAGTTACTACAAAATGAAACTATAGGACTGACACTAGAAAATGGAAGTACAGGACTGATACCTTACTGTGGCTTTCTCAAAATGTATGAGAACTCAAAAATCATAGGACAGCATGCCAATGGGCCTCAAAACTTGATTATGTGATGATGTGTAAATTGTGCCCATGGAGTTGTGCAATGTAGCCAGTTGGAATGGTTTTGAAGACAGGAGTGTAAGGTGAAATTAGACAGTTGCTGTAGTAATAAAACTTCTGTTGCAGGGAGAGGACAATTCTGATCACTGCTCTGGCACCTGCTAGCCAAGAGATCATAGACTACTTTTGTCTGTTTGTAATCCCTTCCTTTGGGGAATCCATACTAAAGCAATTTAACCTCTGAGTGAGTCGGAATAATATGATATTGGGAAATACAAAAAGGAAGCATGTGAATAAACTTGGTAACGTTATTTCACTGCATTTGTATCCCCAGAGTCCATAATAGTGTCTGCCATATGTGCTCTCAAGAAATGTATAATGTATAAACTCATGTTTAACGTGTAAATCAATCAATCAATCAATGAGTGGAGAGCTGCATATAGTATCCTCCCCACCCCCTAGTACTGTAGTTTTATAGTTAGGGAAGTAATTACGGTAGTTTTTCCATTCAATGACTGCAGCCAAATGACTCTCCTCAGGAATGCCCCAGCATTGAGCACATTCCTCTTTGCCAGGGGACCTGGAGGTGAAAACCAGAAAAGGAGAGGGAAGTAGCTAGTTTGTCCTGTGTCTGTAGAAGATAATAGATTCAAAAGAATGGGGCAGGTGCAGAAATAAAAAAAATTATGAAAGAAGTAGACTCTAAATGTCTGAAGTTGCCTAGGTAAATTGTTACCAAATTACCTTTTGATTTATATTTCATTTGGATCAGATTTGGGATCTGTAGATAACAGGTATTCATATAATTTAGGAAATGTACCATTTTATACCATTGGCCATTGAAATAAATTCAGAACAAAAGATTTTAAATTATTTGAAGCACTGTGGTAAAGGGTGTAATAATTCTTTCTCAAGTATCTCATCATCTTAGGCCTCTTTTCAGTCACTTCTAGAGAATTTTTTAAAAACAGCCAAGCCTCAAGTGATCATTTAATCCTACATATGATGGTGAAAGAGAGAGACACAATCAAGTCATCAGGTCCAAACTATGATTCATTATTTCTTTGTATAAAGGAACAAAAGTGTTACTTGTTTTTAGGGAACAAACTATCATAATTCTTAGTATCCAACTTTCATTCCAAATCCTCAAAGCTGTTTGTAAACATAAACTCATTTATTCCCACCTACCAAGCACCACTCAGAAGGAATTCTGATGGCATGAAGTTGTGAAATAATTACAAATATTGCAATCATAACTATTTACTGAGGATCCACCATGATAAGTATTGTATCATTTACTCCTTACATTGGAGGCTCAGAGATGTTAAGTTACTTGTCCAGGTTCACAGTATTAGTCTAGAGGATTAAGAGGCATCCTGGAGTAGTTAAGTCCCTAGACTCTGGTGCCAGACTACCTGGATTGAATCCCACCTATATCTCTTTTTAGGTCTGTGACCTTGGGCAAGCTAACATCTCTGGGCTTCTGTTTCCCCTATGCAAAGTGGAGAGGATGGTAAGAGGATGGCAAAAATGGGACCTACCTCATAGGGCTGTTGTGAGGACTAGATGAGTCAGGTGCTTAGAACAATACAGTGGCACCTAAAAGTGTCACGTAAGTGCTAGCTATTGGTATTATTCTTGTGGTTGCAAGTAATGAGAATGCAACTCACACTAGCTTAAGCAGCAAAAGAAGAGGTGGCGGCGGTATTTGCTTCAGACATGCTTTACAACAGAGGCTCCAATAATGCTCTTAGGAGCCTCCCCAATATCTCAGCCTTATTTCCCCTTGGCTTCCAGATATATCAGACAGGCTGTGTAGTCACAAGGTGGCCACCTGCAGCCCCAGGGATCCACTGTATTTACAAAGAAAGAAAAAGTTCTTGTTACGAAGATATGGCACAGGTCCCAGGGAAGTGGCCTAGCTTGGGTCTCATACCCATTCCTGAACCCAGGCCATAGGCCAGGCCAGGTCTGGGTCATGTGATAAGCTCTGAGACAGAAGGGCTGGGTTTGCCCAATCCAAACCACATGGCCTGAGGGCAGTACCTGTATAAAGGCTCTCAGAGTGATGCCCCAAAAAGGAGGGATCAGGTAAAGACCAAACATATACGTAGTCTCATGGCTAGCAGGTGACAGAGCAGAAATAGGAATTGTCCTCTCCCTCCAACAGAAGTTGTATTACTACAACAACTGGCCAATTTAGCCTTACACTCCTGACATCAAAGTCATTCTAACCAGGCTGCACTGCACAAATCCATGGGCATAATTTACACAGTATCACATTCTCTGGTTTTGAGCCGCATTGGCACTGCTCTCCTGTAACTTTTGAGTCCTCACACTTTTTGAGAAAGCCATAGTGAGGTATCAGTCCTGTAGTTTCATTTTCTAGTAACTACAGGACTGTAGATACATTTTACATTTACAGATGTAGAAATTGGTAGAGTTGTCACAGGTGGAATGGAGAAATGGCTAAACCTTTGATATTCAGATTTTGACTTCTGAGATAAGCTCTTGAAGAACATTCCAGAAACATTAGTCAAGAAAATTGGGCTTTCAATAACCAGAGCTCAGCACTTGAGATTTTCTAAATTCTAAAAACTTCCCATTAAGCCAGGCACTATGGTAGGCATTTGTAGTCCCAGATACTCAGGAGGCTGAGGTGGGAGGATCTTTTGAGCCCAGTAGTTCAAGGCCAACCTGGGCAACATAGCCAGACCCCATCTCAAAAAAAAAAAAAGCAAAAACAAAACAAAACAAAAAACCCCCCAAAAACCTTCCCATTAACATCTAGAAGCAAAGTTCAGAAGACTGAATGTGGAGGCTTTTTATCCACCATGAGAAAGACTTCAGACAGTGATGTCGAGATCGCACCACTGCACTCCAGCTTAGGTGACAGAGCAAGACTCTGTCTCAAAAAAACAAACAAACAAACAAACAAACAAAAAACCAGACAGTGATGTAAAGAGAAGGACATTGTTGCTGCCACACAGAGGAAGTCTTGGAGAGATGGCAAAGAGAGGAGTAAAGGATACTTTGGGGGTCTGTCTTAGAGGAAGAGGAGCTGTCAAATCTGCCCTTTCCTGGGTTTTAGGGTAATATGAGCAATAGGTTTGAGGGCCTGAGGCTGGAGAAGCTTATGTGCCATCCCCATCTGAAACTCTGGGATGAGGCAGCCCTGCAGAGACCCTAAGATGGCCTGTACCTCCTGGAATCCTTCATAAATGCACAGACGGGATCCAGAATTTCCCAGGGCCCCCAGCAAGAACTGAATGACAAACTCTCTGAGGAATCACTATTGTCCAAGATGAAATGACTTTGTGGCTGAGGGTCTCAGGATTTCATTGCCCAGGCCAGGAGTCAAAGAGTAGTTCTAGGCAGGCCAAGGGAGATCCCTAGTGGGGACTCTAATGAGCAGTGGGAAATGCTGGAGTTCCTGAGGGGCACTGCTTATGCTAATAGAGGGAACAAGTAGCTCCACCAGCAGTGGGGGCAGTGTGGACAGAGCCCCCCAACCCCACCAAAGCTAAAGCAGATGAGCAAAGGCTGGAGGACGGCATCATCCTTCGCAATGTCACATAATGTACCCTGTGCCCAGGTACAACCTCAGGAGATCGAGCAGAAGACAAGAAGCCACCACAGGGGAGAACAACTATGATAGAAACTTGGAACTTTGATGAGCTTAAATGCAAACTGAATGAGTTCCTGAAAAAGCCTGCTTTAAATCGGAGGAGACTGAGCATCTTTGAGTGATAGTCATAGAGCTAAGTTGAGTTCAAGGATAGATGAATACAGCTATACTTTTTATACATCTGATTTGTGACTATATTAGAAAGGTAAAACCTATTAGATGAAGATGAATAAGATACATAAAATAAGATAAATTTAAAAATATGATAAAATCTAGCAGTGTGTTATAAGGTGAGGCCATGGAAGCCAGAAGTTTCTATCTTAACAAATTTTGCATATAATTGGTATTGACATGTTAATGAATAAATACATTTCATGCTTATAAATTGGGCCTATGGGGCTAAAATGAGAGTAGATGAAGGCTAGGGCCAGAGGTGCTAACGTCCTACTTCAGAAATGTGATGCCAATGGAGAAAAACAGAGTAGAGTGGGATGAAAGCCCGGAAAAGGGCAATCTAATTAAGTGGAGAATGAGGCTTTATGAAAAGAAATATCAAGATGATAAATCAATCAAGAAATGCAAATTTTAACGGGGTACAGATTGAACTCTATCAGTTAAAATATATATTAAAAGAGTCATCAGCCATTATTCAATCCCACTCAAAAAAAATTAAGAAGTGAGCTGGAGGACTCAGAGGTTTGATTCATTGTGCCAATTTTTTTTTTGACCGAATAAAACCCACGTGATTTCAGAAGTGGCACAATCCCAGGTATTTGTGTGTATTGTATGTGCTACAGGGGTGGGCAGGGTTTGTGTTTACTGGTGTTGCCCAAGAAATGTCCCAGCAATAGGGCATCTGTTTTCAGAACAGACACCAGTCAAGATAAGGTTTTCTCCAAAACATTTTAAAACAAGATACTGAGAGAACCCAGATGAAGTGGTGGAAGAGTACCCATTCCCCAGTGAAACCACAGTATAGGGGAACTGTCCACATGGAGCATTCATAGAAAAGACTCAAAGAGCTACAAACTGACACAGCCTCCCCTTGGACGGACAAGGCTCAGGACTCAGAGTAGGCTTTGGGCAAATGTTTAAGAAACGGATTAATTTTGTACCAGAGACTTTGACCCAAGAAGCAGACATCTCAGGACAGAGCAGATTTTGAGTTATGGCAGCAATGTGTGGCATGCAGCAGAAAAAGTGGCTGGAGCCAGCAATGAATCACAATGGATAAAGCACTGTCATCAGTTCCTCAGTGAGGAAGAAACAGATACCTGCATAAAACATTCTCTGCCTCCTTTATAGTTAATTTTCCATGTACTAAATCATATGGAGATCTTATTATAGAGTGTGGATTTAGTCATCCTCAATAAATGCTTTTGATGCTTCCATAAACATCCAAGTTAAATATCCCTCTTTGCATGTATTCTGACTGGTTATTAAAATCAGGTGTCTGGTAAAGAAGCACTTGCAGGATTCTTCTCTTTTTGATGAGTACACTAAATGGGCTATATTTATTTATGCCTCTAACGCTCCCATTCCCTATCATCTTTCCAAGTGTGCAATCTCACAGTGGTTCTGAATCTCCTGTGTACCTAGGCTGGGGATGTGGCTTCCTCCGTGTACTGCTCCTGTACAAGTCATCATAGAAGTTCCCCATAGTTGTGCCAGTACTGTGCTGAAGGTGGGTTGTACAGGCTCTGAAGGGCTGTTTGTTTTGTTTTCACTCTTAGAGAGGACATTTATCTCTTTATTGAAGAAATATGTACTTTCTGGACTCTGCCTATTGGCCCTTGTTGCTTTTCATAATTTAAAGAGAGCTTGGCTTCAAGACTGCTACAGAAAAGAGAAAGCAGTAATAATCAATTTATTTTTTTACAGTTGAGTGTTTTTAAGGATGAATATGCACATATCACATTATCTGTGCTAATCAAGAAAATCAGTGTGTTGATCCAAAACTTACTAGCTGTGGCTTTGAAATTATTTTCACACATTTGAAAAAAGATTGAAGTTTGTGATGTTTACAAGAAAATAATACCTTTTTTTCTTTTTACTTTTTAAGAGAACAATATAGCTCACTGGTTAAGGGCACAGATGGAAGAACCAGAGTACCTGTATTTAAAACCCCAAACTGCAGCCTACTAGCTCTATTAGTTGTTTAGATAACCTCTCTGTACTTCAGTTTCTTGACCTGTGAAATGAGCATAATAATTGAATCTATTGCATTGAGTTGTTGTGATAATTAGGCTGGTTGATATATCTGAAGCATTTAAAACAGTGCTTGGCACACAGTGAGTGCTGTATAAGGTTTGACATTTTAATCACTACCATATTACCACCACTGCCACCATCACTACAATTGCTGCTGCTGCACCTGCACAATGTAGTGAATTCAACTGACCTAGAGTTAGTAAAAGTAAACAGTGAAAAAAATCCTGACCTTAGATTCACTCTGGTGCAGAAAAAATTAACTTACCAGAGATCATACAACTTCCATGTTAAAATTGAAAGCAGACGTTACATCTCCTGTAAATATATTCTATTGTTAAGTTGAATGGCTTCTTTCTGAGCTATTGTACTTGAATACATATCTTAGTTAATTAAGCAGTCATCAATTTCCAGATGCTATATGGGTCTTTTATGAAAAAGAATGCTTTTCTTGGCTGAGCACAGGGGCCTGTAATCCCAGCGCTGTGGGAGTCCAAGGCAGGAGGATTGCTTGAGGCCAGTTCAAGACTAGCCTGGGCAACATAGACCCTGTCTGTAAAAAAAAAAGTCAGCCAAGCCTGGTGGTGCATGCCTGTAGTTGCAGCTACTTGGGAGGGCAAGGCAAGAGGATGTCTTGAGCCCAGGAGTTTGAGGCTCCAGTGAGCTATGATTGTGCCAGTGGACTCCAGCCTGGGTGATACAGTCCCTGTCTCTTAAAAAAAATAAAAAGAAGAAGAAGAAAGAATATTTTTCTCCTGCTACAGGTGTATTGTCCAACATGGCAGCCACTAGGCACATGTGTCTATTGAGCATTTGACGCATAACTAGTGCATACTGAGATATGCCGTTAAGTATAAAAGCACATGCCAGATTTGAAAGATTTCATTTGAAAATAACATAAAAATGCACCATTAAAATTTTTCCATTGGTTACAAGTTTAAATTATAACATTTTCGATATATTGAGTTGAATAAAATATTTAAATTAATTTCACCAGCTTTTTATTTATTTTAATGTTTCTAGAAAACTTAAAATTATATATGTGGCTTGCATTATATTTCTTTTGGACAGAGCTACTTTATACAAGACAAATCTTCATGTCCAACTTTGAAAGCTGAAAACATTGCTCCATTTAGTGAGTCTAGAAGTGTTCTTTGCCTCAGTTGGGGGCACTATCATCCACCTAGTCATCCAAGCCAGAAATCTGAAAGATGCTGCTGACTTTTTCCTCTTCCTGTATTCCCCACTCAATAATAGTTGACTCATTTTCAAATCTGTCTATCTCCATCTCTTCTACCAGTGCAGGCCTCACCGTTCAAATGTAGATATTACAAAAGCCTTCACACCAGTCTTCTTGGTTAACAGTCTTGGCTCCCCAAAATCCTACCCCTACATTTCTGCTGGAGTAATATATCTAAAACACAAGTCAGATCACACCACTCCACTGAGAAAAGCCCTTCCATTGGTCCCTATTACCAAGTTCACTAGTGTAACATACCAGTCTCCCTGCTCCCCAGCTTGGACAGTGATTACTCATCAGCTTCATCTCATCTCCTTTTACATTCTGTCTTTTGAAGTGATATACAGAAATTCTTAAGTATGCATATTTTATTGGGTGCTGGGTTGCAATAGGGGTTGGGGAATGGAAGAGAATGAAGAGGAAGACCTGAACAGTGGTATAAAATTATCACTTATTATATGTACTAACTCATTAGTAATTTGGGGAGTATTCTTTTTTTTGAGATGGAATCTCACTCTTGTTACCCTGGCTGGAGTGCAGTGGCACAATCTCAGCTCACTGCAACCTTTGCCTCCCAGGTTCAAGTGATTCTCCTGCCTCAGCCTCCCAAGTAGCGGGGATTACAGATGCCCACCACCACACCCGGCTAATTTTTGTAGCTTTAGTAGAGATGGAGTTTCACCACATTGGCCAGGCTGGTCTTGAATTCCAAACCTCAAGTGATCCGCCCACCTTGGCCTCCCAAAGTTCTGGGATTACAGGCATGAGCCACTGCACCCGGCTTTAATTTTTTTGAATGAGATATAAAACACAGATTCAACATCTTACTGGATGTCCTGGCCAGTGCATTAAAACAAAGGTGGAGACAATCTATGTATGCTTTTATCAGGTACATTTTACTATAGCTCCTCTAATATCTTCAGAACCATAGCCTCCTAGACCTATAGAAGAGGAAAATTATACCTAAGTTATCAAGTTGCTATGACTAGTAAATGAAATCATATATAAAAAGTATAACATAGTGCCTGGGATATAATATATATTTAATTCACAATTACTATTGAAAAATAAACTGAGGCACATTAAAATATTAAAGAGTGAGCAAATAGCAATGCTTGAAGCAGACAACTCCAGACCACAAGCAGTTCAGGACACCTCAGGGAAGCCTTTTTTTTTTTTGATAGGGTGAACTCAGAAGCAAAGGCAAATAAAATATTTGATTGGTTAAAGTAAAGCAGTAGTCTTCTTTGGATCATTCCACTGGAAATTTCCTGTTAGAGGTTGGTTGGTGGTTTCTGACTAATAGTTAAGCTTAAGTTTCCTTTTACAGTGTATATTGTGTTGGGTTTCGCTTTGCTTAGGCAAGTCCCTATGGCACTGGAGCCGCCTCAGTGAAATGGCCTCCCAATTAATTATTTTAACATCACTTTCTAGCTTTTGGCTCACACCTCACCTTCACCAACCCCATCTCCATCATCAGGGATCTTTAGGTGGCAGCCTAGAAGGTGAACATTTAAAAAATAATGGCAAGAGATCACTTGCAAAGCCTTTATGGGGATCACAGACCACCGATTACTATAGAGCTTAAATAGATGTTATTGTATGGAAAAACCTTATTTGTTGAGAATAATGCAGACAGAAAAGAGCCAAGGAGGCAAAGTAAGTAATAATTAGGAAAAAAAGGAAAAACACTTTATGTCTGCTTTCCTGACAAATTAAACAAATAATAAGAAACCATGTGATGGCCATTGTTTATATTTCAAAAATTATATATCACAACATATGGGGACATATTGGAGGATTTCACTTACCATTGACATGAAAATTTCATCTTGTTGAAAGGTAATTTTTTTTCTGGCTAACATTCTCAGTAACTATCCTGCTCAAAAACTAACTTCATTGTCTCTAGTGAATTCTAGAAATTGAAGTGTAATTATATATTGACTGACTTAAACATTTATGTAAAAACCAGTAATTATGAAAACATCACTGGCTCCTTGATGAAAATTGCCATTTTCACTTGAATAATTCCTAAATTGTTTTCCTTCAGGGGTGGAGAGTTAAAATTTTTAATCTTTAAGATTAAAATAAATTTTTAACAATCATCATCCTTGTGACTTAATAAGATTTGTACTCAGACTGATGGATTATTTGAAACAGATCATCAATAATTATTTGTACTATTACCCAAATTAAGATTCATTTACACAACTGAATTTCTCCATTCTGTGACAGTCAAAAACAAACATTTTCATATACTGTTTAAGAAGCTGTCAGTATTTATGGAATCTGCAAGTCTGAAGAATATTTAGAACCCATCAGGCCAGGCGCAGTGGCTCAGGCCTGTATCCCAGCACTTTGGGAGGCCGAGGCGGGTGGATACCTGAGGTCAGGAGTTCGAGACCAGCCTGACCAACATGGTGAAACCCAGTCTCTACTAAATAAAAAAAAAATTTAGCCAGGCATGGTGGCACATGCCTGTAATCCCAGCTACTTGGGAGGCTAAGGCAGGAGAATCGCTTGAACCTGGGAGGTGGAGATTGCAGTGAGTTCAGATTGCGCCATTGCACTACAGCCTGGGCAACAGGAGCAAAACTCCAACTCAAAAAAAAAAAAAAAAAGAAGAAGAACCCACCTAATCCACCTTCAGACTCAATTTGGGCATTTCATTCAATTCATCAAGAGATTTTTCCCTTTTGTTCTCAGATCTAATACATCAGACTTTCATATAATGCTTGCATAGCCCTTATGCTTCCTGTAAGTTTAACCAACAACATGACACTACTGACTAAATTACCGAAGAGGATGATTTCCAAAGTCAGAATTCCCCATTTTGGGAGAGTTATGGCACAGGGTGGGACTTACTCATAACTGCATAAAGATTACCCAAATTTCTGGAAGATTTAGCATTTACTATTCCCACTTGGGCAAGGCAAAAATGAGATCATTCTTCTCTGATTCCCAGAACTCTTGTTTTTCAATAAAAAAGGTCAAGAGGATTCTGATCCAAAATTTATTCCTATAAAATTATAGAAATCATGTTATTTCTATAAAATTATATAAGTGGTAACAGCCATACTAGAAGTCTTAGCTTTTGAGGGTTCTAAAATAGAGACAATGATGTTACTTTGACTTTTGTCTTTACTTTGTAGACGTTGCTGTACTTCTAACACCTTATATCCCCACTTGCTCTCCCACCCCAATTCTTTAATTAAAGCATTGGTAAACCAAGACACATGGGCCAAATTCAGACTGCCACCTGTTTTTGTAAATAAAGTTTTATTGGAACTCAGCCACACTCATTTGTTTACATATTATCTATGGCTGCTTTCATGGTACAATAGCAAAGCTGCATAATTGTGAAATTGTATGATCTGCAAGCTTAAAATATTACAATCTGAACATTTAAGAAAAAGTTTCCTGACCCTTGTTATAGGAGTTATCTCTGAGTCCTCCTATCCCTTCCTCCCTGAAACACACCTGGGGTGGATGATCCAGACGAAGGAATTCTTCCACTTTTTCAAGAAGATGGCAAGTACTTTCATGCCGTGCAAATGCTGCCCTTTGCTAGAAATACCCTCCTTCTTCACCTTCACTTTGTTCCTACTCATCCTTTAAAATCCAGCTACAGTGTTATTTCACTTGAGAGTCTTTGACTATCTCATGAATAACACTCTTTTGTATCATCTTACTACATAAATGCATTTATCAGATTTTATCCCGCCACCACACACACACAATTTTAAACAGAAAGATACCTATAGTATAAAAGTCAAAATATGGGAAAAATATTTTCTGCAAGCCTAAATCAAAAGAATTCTGGAGTGGCTACCAGACAAAGTAGAGTTCAGAACAGGGAATATTTCCCAAGAATAAAGGATATTTACAATAATATAAAGATTAGCTGGGTGCAGTGGCATATGTCCATAGTCTCAGCTACTTGGGAGGTTGAGGTGGGAGGATCGCTTGGGCCCAGGGGTTTGAGACCAGCCGGAGCAACATAACAAGGCCCCGTCTCCCTCTCTCTCTCTCTCTCACGCACACTCACATATGTGTGTGTGTATACACACACACACACACACACACATATATACACACACATTGATTATATATATAAACTGATTATATATAATTATATATAATATCTATTAACGGATTATATACTATATATAATTATATATAAGATATATAATCAGTTTTTAGATATATATGTAATTATATATATATAAAATCAGTTAATCAAGAGGACTTTATCCTAAATGTATATGCACCTAATAACCAAGCTTCAAAATACATAGAACTGAAAGGATAAATATATAAGTCCACAATTAGAGTTGGAGATTAAAACACTTGTCTTTCAGTAATTTACTGAACAAGACCAAAATTAGTAAGGATATAAAACACTTGAAAAACACAGTTAACCAATCTGACCTAACTGACTTCGGAGAATACTGCTTTCAAAAACAGCAGGACACACGTTTTTGGTAAGTGTACATGGATCAGTCACCAAGATAGAACGTATTCTGAGCTATAAAACAAGCAAGCAGTGTATTTAAATGGATTGAAATCATACCAAACACGTTCTCTAACTACAACTGAATTAAATTACAAATCAATAACAAAAAACAATTTGGCAAACCACCACATATTTGTAAATTGAACAAAACACTTCTAAGAAGTGTTTCTTCTAAGAAGAAACCTCAATGGAAAGTTAAAAATATTTAACCAAATGAAACGGAAAATACGACTTACCAATTTGTGGTATACAGATGTACTTATAAGGAACTTTAGAACATTAAATGCTTATAATTGATAAAAAGAAAAGTCTCAAATCAATGATCTAAACTTTCACCTTACAAAACTAGACAAAGAAGAGAAAATTCAATACAAAATAAGCAGAAGAATGAAAAATAACAATGAGCAGAAATAAATTAAAACTAGAAAAACAAGATTGGGCCAGGCAATGTTAGCTCATTCCTGTAATCTCAACACTTCGGGAGGACAAGATGGGAGGCTCACTTGAGGTCATTACAGGAACAGCCTGGGCAACATAGTGTGATTCTGCCTCTACAAAAACAAACAAACAAACAAAGAGTGACAAATAAATGAAATCAAACGTTGGTTCTTTTGTGAAAATCAATAAAATTGACCATTTTCCAGATCATAAGAATAAAAGAGAGAAGATGTAAATACGAATATAATGAATGAAAGAGGAAATAGGACATCATTACAGATCATACAAACATTTAAGTCATAATAAAAGAATATCAGGAATAGGCTAGGCACAGTGGTTCACGCCTGTAATCCCAGCACTTTGGGAGGCTGAGGTGGGCAGATTGCCTGAGGTCAGGAGTTCGAGACCAGCCTGGCCAACATGGTGAAATCTTGTCTCTACTAAAAATACAAATATTACCTGGGCATGGTGGTGGGCACCACCAGCTACTTAGGGGGCTGAGGAAGGAGAATTGCTTGAACCCAGAAGACGAAAACTGCAGTGAGCTGAGATCGTGTCATTGCACTCCAGCCTGGTTACAAGAGCGAAACTCCATCTCAAAAAAAAAAAAAAAAGAATATCAGGAATAATTTCATGTAACAGGTTTTAACAGGTTTGATAGCTTAGATGAAATGGAAAAATTCCTTGTCAGACAAAAACTAGCTCACTAAGGAAGCAATCGATAACCTAATTAGCCCTATATTTATTAACCACATTATATTGATAGGTAAAATCCTTCCAACATAAGAAACCCCTAGGTCCAGATAGTTTCATAAGTGAATTCTACTGAACATTTTTTTTTCCATTTTAAAGTTTATAGAAAATATCAAGTAGCCAGAAATTCTTGGGTTAAAAATATCTGTTTCTTATTCCCAATCTTTCCAAAATTCTCAAATCTAAAAAGACCCTCAGAGCAAAGATCAAATCTACTATGGGATTATATGGTCTTCTGTTTAGACCTCAGAAATATTTTATTTTTTGTTTTTTTATATATATTTATATTTTTATTATACTTTAAGTTCTAGGGTACATGTGCACAACGTGCAGGTTTGTTACATATGTATACATGTGCCATGTTGGTGTGCTGCACTCATTAACTCATCATTTACATTAGGTATATCTCCTAATGCTATCCCTCCCCCGCCCCCCACCCCACGACACGCCCCGGTGTGTGACGTTCACCTTCCTGTTTCCAAGTGTTCTCATTGTTCAATTCCCACCTATGAGTGAGAACATGTGGTGTTTGGTATTTTGTCCTTGCAATAGTTTGCTGAGAATGATGGTTTCCAGCTTCATCCATGTCCCTACAAAGGACATGAACTCATCATTTTTTATGGCTGCATAGTATTCCATGGTGTATATGTGCCACATTTTCTTAATCCAGTCTATCATTGTTGGACATTTGGGTTGGTTCCAAGTCTTTGCTATTGTGAATAGTGCCGCAATAAACATACGTGTGCATGTGTCTTTATAGCAGCATGTTTTACAATCCTTTGGGTATATACCCAGTAATGGGATGGCTGGGTCAAATGGTATTTCTAGTTCGAGATCCCTGAGGAATTGCCACACTGACTTCCACAATAGTTGACCGAGTTTACAGTCCCACCAACAGTGTAAAAGTGTTCCTATTTCTCTACATCCTCTCCAGCACCTGTTGTTTCCTGACTTTTTAATGATCACCATTCTAACTGATGTGAGATGGTATCTCATTGTGGTTTTGATTTGCATTTCTCTGATGGCCAGTGATGACGAGCATTTTTTCATGTGTCTGTTGGCTGCATAAATGTCTTCTTTTGAGAAGTGTCTGTTCATATCCTTTGCCCACTTGTTGATGGGGTTGTTTGTTTTTTCTTGTAAGTTTGTTTGAGTTCTTTGTGTTTCTGGATATTAGCCCTTTGTCAGATGAGTAGATCGCGAAAATTTTCTCCCATTCTGTAGGTTGCCTTTTCACTCTGATGGTAGTTTCTTTTGCTGTGCAGAAGCTCTTTGGTTTAATTAGATTCCATTTGTCAATTCTGGCTTTTGTTGCCATTGCTTTTGGTGTTTTAGACATGAAGTCCTTGCCCATGCCTATGTCCGGAATGGTATTGCCTAGGTTTTCTTCCAGGGTTTTTATGGTTTTAGGTCTAACATTTAAGTCTTTAATCCATCTTGAATTAATTTTTGTATAAGGTGTAAGGAAGGGATCCAGTTTCAGCTTTCTACATATGGCTAGCCAGTTTTCCTAGAACCATTTGTTAAATAGGGAATCCTTTCCCCATTTCTTGTTTTTGCCAGGTTTGTCAAAGATCAGATAGTTGTAGATGTGTGGTATTATTTCTGAGGGCTCTGTTCTGTTCCATTGGTCTATATCTCTGTTTGGTAACAGTGCCATGCTGTTTTGGTTACTGTAGCCTTGTAGTATAGTTTGAAGTCAGGTAGTGTGATGCCTCCAGCTTTGTTCTTTTGCCTTAGGATTGTCTTGGCAATGAGGGCCCATTTTTGGTTCCATATGAACTTTAAAGTAGTTTTTTCCAATTCTGTGAAGAAAGTCATTGGTAGCTTGATGGGGATGGCATTGAATCTATAAATTACGTTGAGCAGTATGGCCATTTTCACGATATTGATTCTTCCTATCCATGAGCATGGAATGTTCTTCCATTTGTTTGTATCCTCTTTTATTTTGTTGAGCAGTGGTTTGTAGTTCTCCTTGAAGAGGTCCTTCACATCCCTTGTAAGTTGGATTCCTAGGTATTTTATTCTCTTTGAAGCAACTGTGAATGGGAGTTCACTCATGATTTGGCTCTCTGTCTGTCTGTAATTGGTGTATAAGAATGCTTGTGATTTTTGCACATTGATTTTGTATCCTGAGACTTTGCTGAAGTTGCTTATCAGCTTAAGGAGATTTTGGGCTGAGATGATGGGGCTTTCTAGATATACAATCATGTCATCTGCAAACAGGGACAATTTGACTTCCTCTTTTCCTAATTGAATACCCTTTATTTCTTTCTCTTGCTTGATTGCCCTGGCCAGAACTTCCAACACTATGTTGAATAGGAGTGGTGAGAGAGGGCATCCCTGTCTTGTGCCAGTTTTCAAAGGGAATGCTTCCAGTTTTTGCCCATTCAGTATGATACTGGCTGTGGGTTTGTCAGGAATAACTCTTATTATTTTGAGATACCTCCGATTAATACCGAATTTATTGAGAGTTTTTAGCATGAAGCGTTGTTGAATTTTGTCGAAGGCCTTTTCCACATCTATTGAGATAATTATGTGGTTTTTGTCTTTGGTTCTGTTTATATGCTGGATTACGTTTATTGATTTGCATATGTTGAACCAGCCTTGCATCCCAGGGATGAAGCCCACTTGATCATTGTAGGTAAGCTTTTTGAAGTGCTGCTGGATTCAGTTTGCCAGTATTTTATTGAGGATTTTTGCATTGATGTTCATCAGGGCTATTGGTCTAAAATTCTCTTTTTTTGTTGTGTCTCTGCCAGGCTTTGGTATCGGGATGATGCTGGCCTCATAAAATGAGTTATGGAGGAGTCCCTCTTTTTCTAGTGATTGGAATAGTTTCAGAAGGAATGGTACCAGCTCCTCCTTGTACTTCTGGTAGAATTCGGCTGTGAATCCGTCTGGTCCTGGACTTTTTTTGGTTGGTAAGCTATTAATTATTGCCTCAATTTCAGAGCCTGTTATTGGTCTATTCAGAGATTCAACTTCTTCCTAGTTTAGTCTTGGGAGGGTGTATGTGTCGAGGAATTTATCCATTTCTTCTACATTTTCTAGTTTATTTGCATAGAGGTGTTTATAGTATTCTCTGATGGTAGTTTGTATTTCTGTGGGATCAGTGGTGATATCCCCTTTATCATTTTTTATTGCATCTATTTGATTCTTCTCTCTTTTCTTCTTTTATTAATCTTGCTAGTGGTCTACCAATTTTGTTGATCTTTTCAAAAAACCAGCACCTGGATTCATTGATTTTTTTGAAGGGTTTTCTGTGTCTATCTCCTTCAGTTGTGCTCTGATCTTAGTTATTTCTTGCCTTCTGCTAGCTTTTGAATGTGTTTGCTCTTGCTTCTCTAGTTCTTTTAATTGTGATGTTAGGGTGTCAATTTTAGATCTTTCCTGCTTTCTATTATGGGCATTTAGTGCTATAAATTTCCCTCTACATACTGCTTTAAATGTGTCCCAGAGATTCTGGTATGTTGTGTCTTTGTTCTCGTTGGTTTCAAAGAACATCTTTATTTCTGCCTTCATTTCATTATGTACCCAGTAGTCACTCAGGAGCAGGTTGTTCAGTTTCCATGTAGTTGAGCGGTTTTGAGTGAGTTTCTTAATCCTGAGTTCTAGTTTGATTGCACTTGTTCTGAGAGACAGTTTGTTATAATTTCTGTTCTTTTACATTTGCTGAGGAGTGCTTTACTTCCAACTATGTGGTCAATTTTGGAATAAGTGCAGTGTGGTGCTGAGAAGAATGTATATTCTGTTGATTTGGGGTGGAGAGTTCTGTAGATGTCTATTAGGTCCACTTGGTGCAGAGCTGAGTTCAGTTCCTGGATATCCTTGTTAACTTTCTGTCTCGTTGATCTGTCTAATGTTGACAGTGGGGTGTGAAAGTCTCCATTATTATTGTGTGGCAGTCTAAGTCTCTTTCTAGGTCTCTTAAGGACTTGCTTTATGAATCTGGGTGCTCCTGTATTGGGTGCATATATATTTAGGATAGTTAGCTCTCCTTGTTGAATTGATCCCTTTACCATTATGTAATGGCCTTCTTTGTCTCTTTTGATCTTTGTTGGTTTCAAGTCTGTTTTATCAGAGACTAGGATTGCAACCCCTGCCTTTTTTTGTTTTCCATTTGCTTGGTAGATCTTCCTCCATCCCTTTATTTTGAGCCTATGGGTGTCTCTGCACGTGAGATGGGTTTCCTGAATACAGCACACTGATGGGTCTTGACTCTTTATCCAATTTGCCAGTCTATGTCTTTTAATTGGAGCATTTAGTCCATTTACATTTAAGGTTAATATTGTTATGTGTGAATTTGATCCTGTCATTATGATGTTAGCTGGTTATTTTGCTCGTTAGTTGATACTGTTTCTTCATAGCATCGATGGTCTTTACAATTTGGCATGTTTTTGCAGTGGCTGGTACCAGTTGTTCCTTTCCATGTTTAGTGCTTCCTTCAGGAGCTCTTTTAGGGCAGGCCTGGTGGTGAAAAAATCTCTCAGCATTTGCTTGTCTGTAAAGGATTTTATTTCTCCTTCACTTATGAAGCTTAGTTTGGCTGGATATGAAATTCTCGGTTGAAAATTCTTTTCTTTAAGAATGTTGAATACTGGACCCCACTCTCTTCTGGCTTGTAGAGTTTCTGCTGAGAGATCAGCTGTTAGTCTGATGGGCTTCCCTTTGTGGGTAACCCAACCTTTCTCTCTTGCTGCCCTTAACGTTTTTTCCTCATTTCAACTTTGGTGAATCTGACAATTATGTGTCTTGGAGTTGCTCTTCTCAAGGAATATCTTTGTGGCATTCTATTTCCTGAATTTGAATGTTGGCCTGCCTTGCTAGGTTGGGGAAGTTCTCCTGGATAATATCCTGCAGAGTGTTTTCCAACTTGGTTCCATTCTCCCCGTCACTTTCAGGTACACCAATCAGACATAGATTTGGTCTTTTTACATAGTCCTCTATTTCTTGGAGGCTTTGATCGTTTCTTTTTATTCTTTTTTTTTTTTTTTCTAAACTTCTCTTCTCTCTTCATTTCATTCATTTGATCTTCAATCACTGATACCCTTTCTTCCAGTTGATCGAATCGGCTACTGAAGCTTGTGCATTCATCACGTAGTTCTCGTGCCTTGGTTTTCAGCTCCATCAGGTCATTTAAGGACTTCTCCACATTGGTTATTCTAGTTAGCCATTCGTCTAATCTTTTTTCAAGGTTTTTAACTTCTTTGCGATGGGTTTGAACTTCCTCCTTTAGCTTGGAGAAGTTTGATCATCTGAAGCCTTCTTCTCTCAACTTGTCAAAGTCATTCTCTGTCCAGCTTTGTTCCATTGCTGGTGAGGAGCTGCATTCCTTTGGAGGAGGAGAGGAGCTCTGATTTTTAGAATTTTCAGTTTTTCTGCTCTGTTTTTTCCCCATCTTTGTGGTTTTAACTACCTTTGGTCTTTGATGATGGTGACGTACAGATGGGGTTTTGGTGTGGATGTCCTTTCTGTTTGTTAGTTTTCCCTCTAACGGTCAGGACCCTCAGCTGCAGGTCTGTTGGAGTTTGCTGGAGGTCCACCCCAGATTCTGTTTGCCTTGGTATCAGCAGCAGAGGCTGCAGAACAGCGAATATTGCTGAACAGCAAATGTTGCTGTCTGATCATTCCTCTGGAAGTTTCGTCTCAGAGGGGTACCCAACCATGTGAGGTGTCAGTCTGCCCCTATTAGGGGTGGTCCCTCCCAGTTAGGCTACTCAGGGATCAGGGACCAACTTGAGGAGGCAGTCTGTCTGTTCTCAGATCTCAAACTCCATGCTGGGAGAACCACTACTCTCTTCAAAGCTGTCAGACAGGGACATTTAAGTCTGCAGAGGTTTCTGCTGTCTTTTGTTTGGCTATGCCCTGCCCCCAGAGGTGGAGTCTATAGAGGCAGGCAGGCCTCCTTGAGCCGTGGTGGGCTCCACTCAGTTCGAGCTTCTGGCCACTTTGTTTACCTACGCAAGCCTCAGCAATGGGGGTGCCCCTCCCCCAGCCTTGCTGCTGCCTTGCAGTTCGGTCTCAGACTGCTGTGCTACCAATGAGCGAGGCTCCGTGGGTGTGGGACCCTCCGAGCCAGGCATGGGATATAATCTCCTGGTGTGCCGTTTGCTAAGACCACTGGAAAAGCACAGTATTAGGGTGGGAGTGACCTGATTTTCCAGGTGCCATCTGTTACAGCTTTGCTTGGCTAGGAATTCCCTGACCCCTTATGCTTCCCAGGTGAGGTGATGCATTGCCCTGCTTCGGCTCACGCTCAGTGTGCTGCACCCATTGTTCTGCACCCACTGTCCAACAAGCCCCAGTGAGATGAACTCAGTACCTCAGTTGGAAATGCAGAAATCACCCATCTTCTGCGTCGCTCATGCTGGGAGCCATAGACTGGAGCTGTTCCTATTCGGCCATCTTGGAAACGCCCAGGAATTCTACCGAACATTAAAAAATATTGCCAACTCAAAACAAACATCCAGAAAAAGGAAGATATAAAACTTTTCAATATTTTTTGTGATATCTGCTTTACCAGAAAGGAAAACCAGGAAAAAACATATAGGAAAAGGAAATTATATGATGATTTCCCTATGAACACAGCCACAAACATCTTTAACAAAATTTTATCAAATTAAATCCAGCAATACATAAAAGGAATAATACATCACTACCACATGAATTTCATCCCAGGGATTTAAGGTTACTTTAGCGTTAAAAGATTAGTTTAACTCATTATATTAAAATGTTAAAAAGGAAAGCCATATGAGCATCTCAGTAGGTTCATGTAAAGTATTTGACAAAATTTGACAGTCCAGTTTGACAATTTGATTTAACAATTGGATTCATATTAAATTCCACATCCATTTTTTTTTCTTTTCTTCTCTTTTTTTTTTGTTTTTTAGACATGGTCTCACTCTGTCATCCAGGCTGGAGTGCAGTGGCACAGTCTCAGCTCACTGTAGCCTCTGCCTCCTGAGTTCAAGTGATTCTCGTGCCTCAGCCTTCTGAGTAGCTGGGACTGCAGGCGTGTACCACCACACCCAGCTAAATTTTGTATTTTTAGTAGAGACAGGGTTTCACCATGTTGCCCAGGCTGGTCTCGAACTCCTGACCTCAAGTGATCCACCCACCTCGGCCTCCCAAAGTGCTGGAATTACAGGCATGAGCCATCACGCCTGGCCTACATTCAATATTCAATCCCATTCATGACAAAGACTCTCAGTAAATTAGGAATAGAGGGAAAACCCCTCTACCTCATTAAAGGGCAATTATGAAACACCTACAGGCATCACCGTAATAATTAATAGTGAAAGACTGATTGCTTTACTCCTAAGATCAGGAATAAGACAGGGACTCCTGCTCTCACCACTTCTATTCAACATTGTACTGGAGATCCTAGCCAGTGGCATAAGAGAGAAAAAAAGAGATAAAAAGCAGAGACTGAAAAGAAAGATATCAAAGTATCTTTATTCATAGACAATATGATTGTCAAGACTTGGTGTTTGCTAAATCAGTAGGGTGACTATAGCTATCATTAATCTGTTGTACATTTCAAAACAGCTAGAAAAGAATAATTCAAATGTTCCTAGCAGGAAGAAAAGATAAATATTTAAAGTGATAGATACCACAATTACCCTGATTTGATTATATGAATATGTCAAATTATCATATGTACCCCTAATATATGTACATCTATTATGTATCAATAATAAAAATGAAAATTCTAATGAATCTAGAGAAAAAAAGCTACTAGAATTAATAAGTGAATATAGCAAGGTTGTAAAATATAAGATTAATATATTAAAATCTATTGTATTTATATATACTAGTAACAACATTTGGAATATAAAATTTAAAAAGCATCTTTTACAATAGTATCAAAAATATGAAATATTACAGAATTCAACAAAACATGTACAAGTCATGTAAACTGAAAATTATAAAATATTCCCAAAAGAAATTAAAGAATACCTATACAAATGGAGAAATGTACTATGTTCATGGATTCAAAGAATCACGTAAAATGTCAATTCTTCCAGAATTGCTTTATAGAATTAACACAATTCTGATCAAAATTCAGAATCAAAATTAAAAAAAGCTTTTTTTTGTATAAATAGACAGATGATTTTACAATTTATATAGAAATGCTAAGGACCTAGACTAGCCAAAATTTTTTGATAAAGAAAGAGGTTGAAGCACTTACACTACCTGATTGTGCTAAGTGAAAGAAACCAGACATAAAATACTACATACTCTATGAATATATTTATATAAAATCCCATAAAGGCAAACTATAAGAAACCACAACAGTAGTCGCCATGGACCAGGGTCAGAAGAAGAATAGCTGCAAAAAGACATAAGGTAACTTTTTAGGGTAAAGAAAATGTTCTATCATGGGCATAATGGTGTTTGCATATGGTGTAACATGTAGTGATGTCACATTTTTCAAAACTCATCAAGTCATACCCATAAAACTGGTCAGTTGTATTGTTTGTAAATTTTATATCACCAAAGCTGATTTTTTAGTGGAAGAAAAATCACTTTAAAATTTAGTTACATATATGAGAGAAAATAGATGGAAGGTACAGAAATAGAAGTTTGAGATATCTGAATATACCTTATTTGGTGTATGTACATATTTTAACATAATTATAAAAAATTAAAAAATAGTCCCTAGGAATTTGATGTACAATAAAACAATCTAACTCTGTATTCACTTGAAGGCATAACTCTCCTTGGGGAACTATTCTATGTGACTCCATAACACAGTGATTTTATTATACATTCCTAGTGGGGCATAGTAATAAAACAAAAATATATCATTTTAGTCTTTTTTTTTTTTTTGAGATAGAGTCTCACTCCGTTGCACCCAGGCTGGAGTGTAGTGGCATGATCTCAGCTCACTGCAACCTTCGCCTCCCCAGTTCAAGTGATTCTCCTGCCTCAGCCTCCCCAGTAGCTGAGACTACAGGCATGTGCCATCATGCTTGGCTAATTTTTGCATTTTTAGTAGAGACGGGGTTTTGCCATATTGGCCAGGCTGGTCTCAAACTCCTAACCTCAGGTAATCCGCCTGCCATGGCCTCCTAAAATGCTGGGATTACAGGCATGAGCCACCACACCCAGCCCATTTTAGTAATCATATTGTTGATGGCCATGTTATTACACAAGCAGCTCAAAATAACTACTAAATTTTATCAAAAGGTAAACTCAGGAGCAAATCTGAATAATCCCCCACTTATCAAAGATGAAACAATATTATATCAATAAAGATAGTAACTGTAATGCACTGAAACACATTAAATTTCTTTAAACCAGTGAATTATTTTTTAAAAAATCCTTTATTATGAAGAGTAGTAAATGAAGGAAAATAGTTTAATATTTATGCTGCCTATATCATAAAAATTGTACCTCAGGATAATAAAATAATTGATGGGGCAATCTTTTCTTATAGAAGTATTCCAATTAATAATTGAAGAGGGAATTAACAGAATTAAATTTTTACTTCTTTACAACTTCTAATGAAACAATGAATCTAAGACAATAATCATCAGTGGCTACTAACATCCCAAAAGAGAGAAACTAGACATTATGTATTTCCTATTAAAGATAAATCATACTACCTGTATTAGTCTGTTCTCATGCTGCTATAAAGAACTGCCTGAGACTGGGTAATTTATAAAGGAAGAGGTTTAATTGACTCACAGTTCCACATGGCTGAGGAGACTTCAGGAAACTGACAATCATGGTGGAAGGGGAAGCAAACACATGCTTCTTCACATGGCAGCAGGAGAGAGAAGTGCTGAGCAAAGAGGGAAAAGCCCTTTATAAAACCATCAAATCTCATGAGAACTCACTCACTATCATGAGAACACCAGCATGGAGTAACCACCCCCATGATTCAATTACCTCCCACCAGGTCCCTCCCATGACACATGGGAATTATGGGAACTATAATTCAAGATGAGATTTGGGTGGGGACATAGCTAAACCATATCAACACCTTTGAAGTATTCTTGTAAAAAAAAAAAAAATCCTAACCTAAATCAGCTCAATCTAGATTTTACTCCCAATGAAATGGACAGAAGAACATGATAAATGATACAATGGGGATGTGATCAGTGGTATCCAGACAAAGGAAAATGCTTCAGAACAAAGACCTGCTGGTTTTTTTGTTTTGTTTTGTTTTGAGATGGCATCTCACTCTGTCACCCAGGCTGGAGTGCAGTGGCATGATCTCAGCTCACTGCAACCTCTGCCTCCTGGGTTCAAGCGATTCTCCTGCCTCAGCCTCCCTAGCAGCTGGGACTACAGGCACACAGCACCACACCCAGCTAATTCTTGTATTTTTCGTAGAGATGAGGTTTCACCATATTGGCCATGCTGGTCCGGAACTCCTGACCTCAAGTGATCCACCCACCTAGGCCTCCCACACTGCCTGGTGCAGCATTTTTTTGAGAAAAGAGAGAGAGAAACTACAATCATCTAACTTTTATTACAGTATATCATCATAATTGTTCTATTTTATTAGTTACTATTTTTAATCTCTTACTGTACATTTTTAAATTAAACTTTATCATAGTTATGTTATGTATAAGAAAAAAATAATATATATAGGGTTTGGTACTATCCTAAGTTTTAAGCATCCAGTGGGGGGTCATGGAACATCCCCCTGAGGATAAGGGGAGACTACTATATAAGGAATGACTGTTAAGTTGAAGGAGTATAATGATGGTATTGGGATAACACTTAAAAAGAGTAGTGTCTATCTTAGCAATACATATAGAAATATTCATAGATCAAATGATATAGTATCTGCGATTTGCACTAAAATAATATGGAGGTGGAGGGGATATAGGTAAATAGTAGAGAAAACAAAAATAGCTATGAGTTGATCATTGTTGAAAGGTAAATGAAGTTCTTCATTGTACTATTTCCTCTACTTAGTATATCTTTGAGATTTTAATTTTATATTGAGACTGAGTCGCACTCTGTCGCCCAGGCTGCAGTGCAGTGGGGTGATCTCGGCTCACTGCAACCTCTGCCTCCTCGGTTCAAGCAATTTTCCTGCCTCAGCCTCCCAGGTAGCTGGGATTACAGGCACCCACCACCAGGCCCAGCTAATTTTTGTAATTTTAGTAGAGACGGGGTTTCATCATGTTGGCCAGGCTGATCTTGAACTCCTGACCTCAAGCAATCCACCTGCCTTGGCCTCCCAAAGTGCTGGGATTACAGGCTTGAGCCACTACGCCTGGCCTTTGAGATTTTAAATAATAAAAAAAGCTAAAAGACACTTGCTGTTATAAAACTATACAATGTTGATTAAACGTAAAGAAGTATAACTAGGAATGATTTTCAAATTCTTTTTGGAAGCCATCTTATACTTGGGATTTATCAAATGAGTCTTTTCAGTGGTGCCACTACATAGCAAATCATTCTCTCAGATTCAGATATTTTTAGAGTACGTTTTAAATTACAGAATCAGAATTGTTTATGAAACTAAGATGGCACACACAAAATGTAATTATATTTTTAATTTGGAAATAGAAACATCAAGAACTCAGAAAGGTACCAAACAGCTTTTTATAAAGCCAGTTACTAATCTTGGTAGTCCCAAAATAGTACTTATTTTCTTACAATGCTGTAGAGAAGAAAGCACTTATCAGGTTGCATTATAAGTGAGGCAAAACATCAAAGCTGAGATCAACTGTGTATTACTGTGTTCTTAGGAGGTTCACCATTGTAAGAACAAAGAATACGTTCTACAGTGAGTATACTAAGTTGAGCTTTGCTAAGGAAAGTAACCTGAAATGAATTTACATAGGCAGCTGCAACCCTACCTATGGAATCAGTGCTATTTGACTGATGTGGGTAGCAGGTGCAATCTTCAGCCTTTGTGGTTCTCATGGCTTCAGGTGCTTCATATTCCCAAACACTCAGCTCCTCTGCTCCATTAAATTCAGCAGAATAGGGGGATTTTGCTAAAATACACCAGATTAGAACCAGCAATTTAACATCAAAACAAGCATTCATAGTTTGCTTCCCAAACCTGTTGATTGATTTCCTTATAACTGAACATGTAGTGCTGTACTGTATTGTCTGGTATTTTTCAGAAATAGTTGTTTTTCTTGTACCCACTCCCCTACCACAAATGCCCACACACCAACAACAGCACATGACTTCAGGGGAGGTTCAATGTGGTGCCTCCATTCACACTGAGTCACAAAAGCAGATATGAAATGCTCTCACTCTACTGTCCTTCATTAAGTTTTCCCAGTTTTACTCAGAAACGTCTCAGACAACAAGGGCCTGGCACGGGGAATGTTAAGGGCTTTTCAGACTAACAGGTTTAGTTATTTTCATAATCTCCAATCAATCAGGCCTCCAAACAAGATTTAGAGATTTCTGTAATAAGGATCCAAATGATAATTTAGTCATTTAATACTTATCCAAAGAAATACACAACTGAAATTCCATCAAAAGTATTTTTGTTGCTAATTATGGGAAGACTTTTACTTAATACTTATTTTGTACCTACTATGAGCTAGGCATTTTTCCCAGTACTTTATAAACATTAATTAACTTAATCTCATAAAACTGTAAGGTAGCTACCATTGCAATAATTTCACTAAACAAGAAATTGAGGCATAAAAAGATTAAATAATTTGTCCAAAGTCACATAGCTAGTAAGTGGCAAAGCGGGATTTGAACTCAGGTTTGGGCTTAACTAAAGTTCATATACTTAACTACTATACTCTGCTGCCTCTCTATTAAACTCCTCTGACACTTCCACTATGCTACAGATCACGACACAGGCTCCGTTTCTCTCTAGAGTCAAATGCTGTATTTTAAAAATATCTATCAACCTAAGAATACGTCAATACAACATGCAAACTGGTTCCTGGAAGACTAAAGGAGTACTACTCCCAGACAGAATTTTAGAAGTACATAGGGGAAACACAGGCCACACTTCCAGTACATGCCCATAGAAAACACACGTGAAAGCCAGTTAGTATGCCATAGCGGAAATTTTGTAAAGTGTAATATGAGCATAGTCTGCACATTTGAAGACAGATTATGTTAGAGACAAGTTATATTGCTATATAATTCACACTTATGTTAGCTTGCTTTACAATTAGTTTGAGAAAATGGTTCAGTGACAGGGACAGTATCTTGTACTTCTTTGTAGCTCACCAACACTCTTCCTACTATCAATTAACTTTCCTACCCCTAAAGACTAGCAATGCCTGAAAATAAAAATATACTAAAGTTTATTTAAATTTCAGGGATTAGACATAGGACTATTCTTGTGCTAGATGGAAGTATCCAATGGGAAAAAAAAGTCTTCAAGAGTCCTGTTCATTTAGACATTATAAGAACAATAGAAGAAGTGAGTAAAATTTCTTAGGTCATTAAGACAGATATAGGGTGTTCTCAAGCAAAGTAGAAGTTCTCTTTACCTTGGGAAATAAAGGGAAATTTAAATGGTCTTAGGGAGAGACTCTTGGAACAAAGGTGGAAACTTTAAGTGGTAAAAAAATCCATTGAAGGTTACAGAAAACCAATGATTTGACTTTTTAAGAAAGAGAAATATAGAATCAATTCACCTGCTCTTAAGATAAAACCTATTAAAAATGTATTTCAGTTCAATATTCAAGCTAGACAAGGGGAAAAGATGATAAAAACTAGGAGAAAGAAAAGATCATCACCTCAGGCCTACTCCAACGATAATTTCTACAATGATAGCAACCACATATTGTATATTTTCTTGAACCCTTCTAGTTTCAAATAGTCTCTATTATTGTTCAGACATGTTCATTTGCATTTATCCACGTTCTAACTGCTAGTTTGGAAAATTGCTGTCAACTGACCTACTTCTACCCTGGCGGCAAATTCACTCCTGCCTAGTCCTGGTTCCTCCTGTCTGACCATTAGCTAGACAAAAGCAATCGTTTGCTTCCCCCTTTTATCATTCCCCTCTTCTTCTTCCCTACACCCAACCAGCCTCCAGCCCTAATCTTTTTCGGCATTGTAATCTTACAAGCTTCCTTCTCTCTAAGGTAGCCAAGATTCCCAATCTGGCCTTGAATTGCGCTCGAGGCTATAAATCCAATCCCTTTCTTACCTCAACTGGATACACTTAGTGTGCTCGGCTCTGTGCCATGGACTCCCTAGTATTCCCAGGTTGCTGCTTTTTTGCCCACAAGTTCTCCTTTTACAAACCTCAATCAAAAATTATTTCTTGGGAATTTACTTCTGCTCATCCAACTAATTTTAGTTCCTCCTTCTCTGAAGCATTCTCTTTCAGTACAGTGAAGATGAGGAAATACTGATATGAAAATCAGTTCAATTTCTCTATCATTCGCTGAGCATATGTTCCATGCAAGCACTACAGTGTACTTGCTGGTGGGGGATGGAATAGACATACCACAAATAAACAAGAAATTTGTTGTTCTCAAAATGCTTAGAATTGAATGGGTGGGGGACAGGGTGAAAAATTATCTAATATATAAGGGTAATTTTAAAGCAAGATTAATCTGGCTCCAACAGCAAAATGGATTGCAGGGGGAAAGAATGAGGTAGGAAAATATTCTTGTCTATGTTGTGAGCACAAAAGAGGAAGCAAGTGCTTCTGACCAGAAGACTGGGAAAGATTTGTTGTGGAAATGGATTTTGGACCAGACCTGGTGGGACAAAGTAGGATTTCAGTAGTGGACAATGAAAGAAAGTACCAAAGAATGCTCTTGGCATCCTTGCCTATGTTGTTATGCCATAAAATCTATCTGGCCACTCTTGCCTATTTTCCAGTGAGGAAGTACGCTAATTTTCTAGGACATGTGGTACTTTCCATAACAAAGTACTACAAACTGAGTGGCTTACATGATAGAAATTTATTGTCTCATCTGGAGAAGAGAATCCCAAGATCAAGGTGTTAGCAGGGTTGGGAGCTTTTGCAGGCTGTGAGGGAGAGTCTGTTCATGCCTCTTACCTAACTTCTGGTAGTTTGCTGACAATCTTTGCTATACCTTCCTTGGTTTGTAGAAGCATGGTCCTAATCTCTGCCTTGATCTTCACATGGCATTCTCCCTGTGTGCAGGTCATTCTCCAATTTTTTCTCTTTCATAAACACACCAGTCCTAGTGGATTAGGTCTGTCCTAATGACCTAACTGTCACTTGATGTCCTCTGTAAGGACCATATCTCCAAATAAGATCACATTCTGAGGTATTGAGCCTTACGACTTCAACATATACATTTGGTGGTAGTGATGGACAGGGAGGACATAATTCAACCCATAGCAGAAATATACTAAAAACATATAATAATATATAAACATTACTAGTTAACATTAAAATATAACACACTGATATGTCAATCAATTAAATCACATGACCAATATAATTATATTAGTACTAAATACATAATAATTATAAATAAAATATGTAATATAGACATAATGATAACAATAAACTTTACTGACAATTTACTATGGTCTAAGTTATTTTTTTCACCTTATTTACTTCTCACAACATTCTATAAGGAAATTAGGACCAGAACTTGCACGTTCATTACACAGTTGCAGATGGCAAAGTTGTACCAAGATTGTTCTATCTCTATACGCTGTACTCTAATAACTACACCAAGTATGGTATTAATGTACATGTGCATTTACAAATGGATAGCTGTAAAGTAATGAAATGGATTCTTCTGTGTAGCTTTATGAAAATCTTTGTATATTTACTGTATATTATGTAGATAAATTAGAAAGTTTACTTGTAGCACAAAGGCATTTTTACATTTACAACTTTTTGTTAGGTAAAATATTGGTTATATTCAAATTCTTCACCTCAAATCCCACAGCACCTTACAGAAACACCTCAAGTTTCATGTTTTTTAGATTCTCTATTTCTGAATCAAAAGAAGGGCACATTTTATGTCTAGGGATTCCAAGTCCACAAACGACTTGTTTTCTTCCCATGAGAGGTAAATGAACAATGGGAACAGATAATGCATTTTGGTACAAACAGAATCCAAATAAAAACATTAGAGAGGCTGGCTCCTGAACAAGTGATAAGATTTAATGCCATCTACTCTTACTGTAAGTACTCTTAATAGGATACCAAGTTTAAAAGGGAGGAAAGCAAATCAGGGTATTTTCATCTTTCCATCAAGGTAACAGGAGTTGTATTAAGACGGAATCATAATGACAATAATAGTGTTGATTTTCATAGTGCTTTGGAATTTTCAAAATGCTCTCACATATTTTATTTCACTTGACTATAACAATCCTGTTCGGTGGGCAAAATAAGTGTAAACGACCCCCGTTTTTCAATAAGGACACTGAAGTCCACAGAGGTTAAGTGGTCTCCCAATGTCATCCAACTAATAAATAGCAGGAAACACAAATAATGTAGTCTGCACCTTCAGAACAGCTGTTTCTTAGCCTTTGGGAATGCTAGCCTTTGAAAACAGCATGTAGCATGGCAGTGTCAAAACTGAACTGACTTAGGAACTTTTAACCTGAAAATCTGTTGCAAAAATATTTCATTGGGAATTTTGTTGGGAACTGTTTGTTTGTCTTTTTAATACTTCATTTTTAAGAGCAGTTTTAGGTTCATAGCAAAATTGAGAGGAAGATACAGAAGCATCCTATGCATTTCCTGCCCTTGCACCTGCATAGCCTTCCTAGTTACCAGCATCCCCCACCACAGGAGTACATTTGCTACAACTGATTAATTTACATTGACACATCATTATCCCCCAGAGGCCACAGTTTACATTTAGGGTTCATTCTTCCTATTGTACATTCAATGGGTCTGGACAAATGTTTAATAACATGTATCCACCATTACAGCATCATACAGAATAGTTTCGCTGCCCTAAAAATCCTCTGGGCCCTGCTTATTCATCCTTATCCTCCCTATCCCCTGGCAAACACTGATTTTTTTTTTTTTTTTACTGACTTCTTAGTTTTGCCTTTCTGAGAATGTCCTATAGTTGGAATTCTATAGTATGTAGCCTTTTCAGATTGACTTCTTTCTTATAGTAACATGGATTTAAGTTTCCTACATATCTTTTCATGGCTTGAGAGTTCTTTTTATCAGTAAATAATATTCCATCGTCTGGATGTACCACAGTATATCCATTTCATTACTTAAGGACATCTCAGTTGCTTCCAAGTTTTGGCAAATATTAATAAAGCTGCTATAAACATCCGTGTGTGGGGTTTTGCATAGACATAAATTTTCAACTACTCTGGATAAATACCAAGGAGACTGGGTGCTGCATCACATAGTTACAGTATGTTTACTTTTGTAAGAAACTGCCAAACTGTCTTCCACAGTGGCTATATCATTTTGCATTGCCATCAACAATGAATGAGAGTTCCTCTTGCTCCACATCCTCATCAGCATTTGGTGCTGTGAATTTTTCCCATTCTAATAGGTACGTAGGGGCATCTTGTTGTTTTAATTTGCGTTTCCCTGATAACATATGTGGAACATCTTTTCATATGTTTATTTGCCATCTGTATATCTTTTTTGACTAGGCGTCTGTTAAGGTCTTTGGCCCATTTTTCAATCTGGTCATTTCCTCATTACTGAGTTTTAAAAGTTCTTCATATATTTTGGATTTCGATAACAGTCCTTTACCAGTTATGTCTTTTGCAAATATTTTTTTCTTGTCTGTGGCTTGTCTTTATTCTGACAGTGTCTTTCACGGAGGAGAAATTATTCTATTCTCTTCCATTCCATTCCATTCCATTCCATTCCATTCCAAGACAGAGTCTCGCTCTGTCGCCTAGGCTGGAGTGCAGTGATGCAATCTTGGCTCACTACAACCTCTGCCTCCCGGGTTAAAGCGATTCTCCTGCCTTGGCCTCCTGAGTAGCTGGGACTACAGGTGCACACCATCACACCTGGCTAATTTTTGTATTTTTTAGTAGAGGTGGGGTTTTACCATATTGACCAGGCTGGTCTTGAACTCCTGACCTCAAATTATCCGCCCACCATGGCCTCCCAAAGTGCTGGGATTACAGGCATGAGCCACTGCACCAGGCCCAGAATTCTTAATTTTTAAAAAAGTACAGCTGATTAATTCCTTCTTTCAGGAATTGAGACTTTGGTGTTGGATGTAAAAAGTCATTGCAGAACATGAGGTCTTCTAGATTTTCTCTTATGTTATCTTCAGGAGTTTTATGGTTTTGTGTTTTACATTTAGGTCTGTGATCAATTTTCAGTTAAGTTTTGTGATGGGTGTAAGGTCTACATTCATCTTTGTGCATGTGGATGTCCAGTTGTTCTGGCATCATTCTGAATTGTTTTTCAGGACAAAATGTTTAATAGCTGTTCAAGCTGGTCCTGATAGAACTTTATATTATTTCATGAATGGCTGCCAAGTATCATATGTAAACAATGAACTACAGAAGAAATAAAATAGCAAAGGACCTAACCAGTTCTGAGATGCAGACTTATGCATATAATTGCCATATTGACATCTCCATTTGAACACCAAAGGTGCCTTTCACAGTGGGAGAAAAAAATTGATTTCTATCACTTCAAATTTGGTCATCTTCCAGGTTCTCCATTTCAATAAATGAAGTACTTATCCTTCATTTTTCCCTTCCCTTTATTATACATCCATATAAAGATATTAGCAAGTTTCTATCTCCAAAATATATGCTATAATCATTCCCTTCTCTCCACCTTTATTGCTACCACCCTAATCCAACTAATCAAGCCCAGAGAAGTTCACACATTTCCTAACTAGAATCCCTGTTGCCACTTTTTCCCTCTTAAATCCAGTTCCATATGGAAAACAGAACGTTCCTTTCAAAATGCAATTCAGATCACTTAACTACCCTGCTTAAAACCCTTCAACAGCTTTTCCTTTTAGATGAAATAAAATTCAAACTCCTTAATATGGCCTACAAGCCTTTCATAACTTGGTCCAAGCTCACCTCTTTGACATCATCTCCGTTCATATTTTTCTACCTGTGGTAGGCAGAATAATGCCTCTTTCCCCCCTCCCCCACCAAAATATCCACATCCTAATCCCTGGAAACTGTGAATATGTTATCTTACATGGCTAAGAAGAATTGAGGTTGCAGATGAAATCAAGGTTACTAATCACTGACCTTAAAATGGGGGGATTATCCTGGACTATCTGGGCAGTCCAATGTAATTAGAAGGGTTCTGAAAATTGAATAGGGAGGCAGAAGAGTCAGAGTCAGAGAAGACATGATGATAGAAGCAAGGCCGTCAAAGCGATGTGGTGTGAGCATCAACCCACGCCACTTGCTTTGAAGATGGAGATGGAGGGCCATGAGCCAATGATTGGGGGCAGCCTCTGGAAGCCAGAAAGGGCAAGGAAACAGATTCTCCCCTAAAGTCTCCAGAAACGAATACCTTGGTTTTAGTCCAGTGAGACCATTTCAGACTTCCGACCCAGAAATGAAAGACAGTAAATCTGTGTTGTTTTAAGCCAAAATTTTGTGGTAATTTATTACAGCAGCAATTGAAAACTAATACTAAGACAAGTCCCACTGGTCTATTTCATGAATCAGTATCTGCCTTGGAGTTTTTATCTTTGTTGTCACCACTACCCTGGAATGCTCTGTTCCCATATGTTAACATGGCTGACCTGGCTCCTTCCTGTCACTCTGATCTCAGCTTCAGAGCATGGTCTTCTCTGACCACCCAATTAAAAATAGCCTACTACTGGCTTTCTATCACATTGTTTTATTTTCTTCATAGCACTTTAACTATATGAAATTATCTTGGACATTTATGGATATCATTGCTTGTCACCTAATTCCCTACTCTAGAATATAATTTCCATAAGAATAGGCTCCTTGGCCTTGTTTACCACTCACTGTATGTATCCTCAGTGCCTGGCACAATGTGCATGTTCAATACATAAATATTGGCCACTGAATGAACGAAAACCCCTGTGGGTGGTTTCACAGACAGTGATGGGGAGAGAGGTGTAAGAAGAGGCTGGAGAAGTAGACTGGGGCCAGTATCTTTGAACTATGGTAAGAACTTTGACCTTTATCCTAAGAACATTGATAGGCCAGGGAAAAACTATAGAAAGGAGAGTGATGTATTTGTATTTCTGATTTAAAAAAATTTGTTGGAGACAGATTGGAGGGGGAACATGGTGTATGTGGATATAAGGAGAATAGTTAGGAAGGATGCTGGTGGTAGTCCAGTCACAAGATGATGGTAAAGTTGGACTGAGGTAATGAAAAAAGCTAAAGTAGTAGAGATACAATTTGAAATTAAAATCAACAGAACTAGATTGCAGACTAGAGTATAAGAGGTCAAGATGAGTTGGTCTCAAGAATGACTTCCAGAATTATAGTCTGAGCAACTTAGAAGACTATGATGCAAATTTCTAACTTGGGAAAAATGAAGAAGAAACACATTTGAGTATATACACTAAGGAGAAAGATAGTTCAGTTTTGGCTTTGTTAAATTTGAGTTGTCTCCAGGATATAAAAGTAGAGACATCATGTAGGCAGTTAAAATTTCAGCCCAGAACTCAATTTAGAAGCAATGGTGGTAGATAATGTGTTTTGAGGATAAAAACACTGAAAGCCATGGGATTGGATGAAATCATCTAGGGAGACAGCATACAGAAGAGGGCTCAGGACACTGCAAGTTCTCCTGCACTGAGAAGTCATCAATCTTCCCCATTGCAACCCAGAAAGCAGACCATCATCCAGCAGGAAAGACGGCTATTTGTAATACTTTGAGACCTTGCATAGCCCATTCAAACTACCATGGATGGAAGTTCCTCCTTCCTACTCTCCTCTGGACATTTAGGCAGAGGTGAAGCCAGTAAAGAAGACTGAAAAAGAACAATCAAGGAGGTTGAGGGAAATCAGGAGAATTTCACTTCATTGAATTTATAATGCCCCCAAAAATGAATAGATAAAGAAACAGTGACTTTTGTGGGATAAATTACTCCTTCCTTATCAGAACATTATGAAGCCAAAGACTGAATACTAGCCTCTCATCCTAAATTCTTACACCAGGAGAAGACTTAGGGAGCATTTATATCATGGAAACATAATTCTTGATGAAACTGCTTCAAGTTTTCCTACAAAAATATTATCAAAAGAATGATTCATCAAAAAACCTTCACCTCCAGTGTATGCTACAAGGCAGGAGCCAAATTCAAGCACCTTGACTTGCTTTGTTGTGGTGGTTGGCTCACTCCTCTGAACTTCCTAATCCAGAGGTTCTCAAAGTGGGGACCCTGTCAGGCAGTCTACCAAGCCAAAACTATTTACATAATAATGGCAAGGTGTCATTATCTTTTTCAGTCTCATTCACTCTGGGGTGGATGGTGAAGTTTTCTAGAGTCTATATGGCTGATCACAACAGACTGAATGTTGAGATAAGAGAATATATTAAAGAAATTTGCAAAAATGTAATATAATGTTACTCTTCTGTTCTGGAAAACAAAGTTATTTTTCAAAAGAATGTTCACATGTAAGGGGTTCATTACTGTTTTAAATAAGGCCGGGAGCAGTGGCTCACACCTGTTTGGGAGGCTGAGGCTGGTGGATCACCTGAGGTCAGGAGTACAAGACTAGCCTGAGCAACATGGTGAAACCCCATCTGTACTAAAAATACAAAAAATTAGCCAGGCGTGGTGGTGGATGCCTGTAATCCCAGCTACTCGGGAGGCTGAGGCAGGAGAATTGCTTGAACCTGGGAGGCAGAGGTTGCAGCGAGCCGAGATCGCGTCATTGCACTCCGGCCTGGGCAACAAGAGCAAAACTCCATCTCAAATAAATAAATAAATAAATAAATAAAAATAAACAAATAAATAAATTGATAGTTTCAGATTTCTCCCTTTTAATTTGTAATACAGTAAATACTGATATATAAAACCCATATGAACAGAAGTTCTTTGGGGTCCTCAGTCATTTTTAAGGATATAAAGAAGTCAGGAAACCAAAGTTTGCAGTGGACTGTCCTAAATGGTCACCACAAGGGTTTTGAAAACTGGGACAATGAACAGCAGATTCGATTCTCCTTTCCTAATATCTAGCTATTCCACCGTATGGATAGGAAGCTCCCTTTGTACTAAAACGTTGGGATTTTCTCCCCAATCTCCAAACGGAGACAGCTGTACCTCTGCACTGACGCTGATCTTGCTTGAAAACCTCAGTTGACTCATGCCTGGTCTGCATCTCAGATCCTCAGCCTCACTTATATCCAAGGTCTCCAGCCTCCGCCCAGCCTACATCTCTGGACACGATTCCCAGTCGTTTTTATGAGAGGGACCTGGAACTCTGTTAACTCTCTTGGAAGGAATGGTACAAATGGGGGAGAAAACGCAGTGGATGTCTGGTGGCAGGGGTAAGGAGGCCCTGAGCTTCAAATCCAGTGCCCAGGAGTGACCGCCAGCCTGGGGCTTACCTCCGCTGGCCCAGGGCTCATCAGGACACTCCCACAGCCGGATCCAGGTCCATCACCGCTTGATCATACTCATTCGGGTATCAGGGCTCAGGAGTCACCCAAGCAGGGCTGTTTTTGTCAATGGCCATCTGTGCAACTACAAGAACGACTTGTCCATACTGCAGTTGGCCCCGTGGCCGTCCTCAAGGTCGGCTTTCTTGAAATCTTGAAGGAATATTCGGGCCCACTGGGTTTGGCAGTTTCGTGGTTCTCTCAGACTGTTCCCTCTCCTCATCTGACTGGACAGGAAAATACGTGGAAAGGTACACTGAAAGCCACACAGTCTGTGTCAACGTGGTGAGGTAGGGACTGACAGCCAGGCACAAGGCTTTGAGTTCTAGCCAAGCCGATTCGGTGGTCAATGGCGGCCTCTGCCTCTGCGCACCAGAGGCAGCGCGGCCCCACCTTCCACTGCCTGCCCAGGGTGGCTGCAAGTGCGGCTGCGCAGAAGCCAGGGGCGGGGCATCCTCAGGCAGGGGCGGGGCACCCTCTCCTGGGAGTGGATTCCAGAAGTCAGGTTCTGTTTAGTGCTGATAAGATTGGATTGATAACAACCGGGAGTATATTTTTGTTTTGTTTCTGCTTTTAGGGGGAGAAAATGTGTTTTAAGATTAGAAGCAAATACTCTAAGGAGCAGAGCATGTTTATACAAGCGTGTATAAACAATAGTTTGAAAGAGAATTGAGCCCGACTTCCCACCTATGGGGCCGGGATTGGGATGAGGGAGACGCATGAGCCGCTGCTGAGTTGGACAAGAACCACGTACGGAGGAGCGGAATGTCAACACTGTACTGAGTTCAGCTGCTGCCAGCCAAGCCCTGGGAATAGCTTGGGGGCAGCCGGTGCCCACTGGTTGTCAGCATCTCAGACATAGCAGTCTGTGGCCCCGCAGGAAAGATTCCTGTCTGCACTTAGGGACTTTTCTCAGCGTGGATGAGACAGCACTCTTTTCACGGCTCCCGGACACTCCAGTCACAGTGGTGATGTGAAACAGAATGCCCCTACACACTGCACATGGGAGGGAATTAAAGGGCCCAGCTCAAGATTTATACATCATTTCTATCCCAAGCCCAAGCTAGAACACTTGGCAAATCTCCCTCCATTACAGGGAAAGGGGCCTGAGCCCAGCGGATCCATCCCACGAGGATCTGATGACAGGCCAAAGAAAGAGCTGTAAATTCAAAGGAGCTAATCAGGGTAGAGTTGACCAGTAGGTTCTGGGAACTTGAGTTGAAAAGGCAGTGGAAACCTTTAATAACTCTCAGAGCAAAAAGTGCTGTGTCACAAATTCCAGACAACTCTGATAGCCTTTCTACCTCCACCCTTGACATTTTCTAATATTATCTATACATCTCTGTACCATCTAATTTAAAAAGAAGCCTTTCTTACAACTTGGCTTTCAAATGTTCAGTCTAGATTGCCTGTTAAGATTTTTTTATATAACTTTTGATGGCAAAGAAGGGTACTTTCAGCAAACCATACTAAGTTCAGAACGATTAGGAAATAACAAATTATAGTTCTGATCCTTCTATTGTTAAGTCTGATGATTTTGTGTAAACAGGGCTATTTGACAGGTGTGTATACAAGTGCCTCTTGAAGTATGATGGAGTTACTTCCAGATAAACTCATCATAAATGGAAAATATCATAAGTTGAAAAGAGCAGACATTGCTGCATCCTAAGTAGTGGAGTGTGCTGAATGTGTATTGCCTTTGCACCATTGTAAAGTTGAAAAATTGTAAGTCAACTCATCGTTAAGTCGGGGATGGTCTGTATATTTAAATATGTGCAATTACTCCCCAGAGTGACATTTACATTTGTTGAAATTCACCTTTTCATGTACCCATGGCCACTTGTAGTGCTAATCAGTGCTAAGTATCTCACATTAAACAAAATAATAACCATATCAAACAATAACCTTCACATCAAAAAAGCAAATCCTAGTTAGAAATTCCAGGGTCAGCTATTCAAAAGCATATGCTTGTGTTTAATATCAAGGCACAGTACAATGCACCTAGCTTTAATGCACAGGAAATGTGAAGGGAATAGCAGGAGAATCTCTAAAGTGCATTCCAGAATCTCATAAAAAGCACTTGGCAACTTTTCAGTAAGTTTGGAGACTCTCAAAAGTTTACCAGTTCTCCATGCCCACCAAGAATTGAGTGATGTCAGACTATGTGTTATGTTCAGTCCTGTTCAACTTTTTCTGTGCAGTTGTATATGAGAATGCAGTAAGGAATTTAGAAAGCTATGTCACAATACATATTTTGACATCTGGGGGACTCTTTTACCTCATCATATTACAAACATTTCAGACACCATTGACAATGACACAGAAATTGTCGAATGTAGACAGATGACTGTGTTCTTAAAGCACAGAAGCTGAAAGAGCAGGCAATTTATCATACACTGCAGAGTCAGCACAGCATCTGGGACTGATGGTGAGCTTTGAAAAGTTTGAGATCAAATACCAGTTTACACAAGAGAAATACTGTACCAAGTCCATGAGGTTTCTTAAAAAATGAGAATTGTCATTGGGTTCTGCCTCTTAGGTTAAACATCATCAAGTAATGATTGATGCAGAAGAAGAAAACTGAATTGAGAGGGAGTGAGAAAGGTGAGAAAGGTGCACCAGAACAGGAAGCAGTATTCTTATTTAGAGATTGACATGGCTCCAAGGTAGAGACTTAAGGCAAGTGGCATGATGGTTAAGTATCAGGACTTGGGAGTCAAACTGCCTGGGTTTGGATCCTGGTCTTCTCACTTCCCAACTTACAATTGGGCAAATTAATTTCAACCTATTTAGTAGGATTATAATGATCGTATCATAAGGATTAAATACAGAGATGCATATAATGCATTTAGCATAGTGCCTGGCACTCAGTACATGCGCTAAAAGGTAGTTAGCATGGAGAGGCAGGACAATGCCACCAGGAGTGAAGTTCTAGACTTAGCCCATCTACAAGCATTAAACTATGCTCATCTCAGCCCCTTGATGGGCCAGACTGCTGTTATAATGGAAGTAGAAGTGACATGATCACAAACAGATGAACATTAGAAACTAACGGTGGATTCACGAAAACACAGACTTTAACATAAGACCAAGTGACAGATTGTCATAGATTATTTGGACTCCATGAGGAAAAAAATGTTGGTGGTACATGATTTTCTCAGCCTTACCCACAAACCTGTGACAAATTGTGAAGGTGTCAGGATGATGTCAGGAAATCTGAACTCTCCACAGCTCTGTGCCATCTTTTAGCTCATTTGATTTTAGGAATGTCACTTAACCCTTCCACTTCTTCAGCCAATAAATGAAAATAATAGAATTTTGACCACTTGTTTAATACATTTTGCTAAGAATATAGAAATAATGATATTGAAGTATTTTGGGAAAAATGAGTTTAGGAGATACAGAATCAAAACCATAATTCGAAGGTTTATTAAGAGGTCAATAAATATTCTTTGAATTGAACTTATTGTGGGTATAAATTTACAGATATGCATAAATACAAATATGAGAAGAAGGTAGAGACCTATTTATGCAACCAGAGCTACAGATTGAGAAGCAGATGGCCGGGTTCCAATGCTGACACTGACTAGCTTGGTGACTTTATTTTACTTTACTTTTAATTTTTTTTGTTGAGACAGAGTTGCTCTCTGTCACCCAGGCTGGAGCGCAGTGGTGCAATCTCGGCTCACTGCAACCACTGCCTCCCAGGTTCAAGTGATTCTCCTGCCTCACCCTCCTGAGTAGCTGGGATTACAGGCACGTGCCACCACACCTGGCTAATTTTTGTATTTTTAGTAGAGACGGAATTTCACCTTTTTGGCCAGGCTGGTCTTGAACTCCTAACATCAAGTGATCAGCCTGCCTCAGCCTCCCAAAATGCTGGGATTACAGGCATCAGCCACTGCACCTGGCCTAAAGCCTGGTGACTTTAAACAAGTTAATTAACCCTTCTTCTCTTTAGTTTTGTCAGCTGAGGAACACAGGTGATAAATTCCTCACTCATGGTATTATTTTGAAAATCAAATATAAATGATTGAACAGTTTATGATGTCCTCTAAAAAATACAAATGTCAGTAATTTATATTAATAGGATATTAATGTGAATAATTGTTTTTTTTTGTTGTTTCTTATTTGACACTCATTTTCCTCACCCTGGAGATATTTTAAGTTTCACCCTCTACCAACTTTTATATCTTCCAATATGATTCCTTTCTCACAACCAGCCTGACGAACTCATTTCTTTCACATCAAATGCAACTTTGCTTTCTTCTAAGAACAGCTGGTTTCTTAACAAAATGAGGAGCATGACAGTAACTATAATAGGCTAGTGCTGTACCAGAGTGACATAAAAAGCCTTTTAACAAATTCAACGTGATCGATGATGGAGTCTCTTAATTTAGCTGTGCAGAGAGAGATTGCAACGACTTGGTTGTCTGTCACTGTGTTCAGAGAAAAGCCACTATTCACAAGAGCTATCATGTCCATTATTATAATTTATTATGTAGCCTACTAAGGTTTACTGTCTCTGTTTTTACAGGGAAAGAAGCTAGCCTAAAACAGAAAGCTATATATATATATATATATATATATGCTATATATATATATATATATATGCTATATATATATATATATATGCTATATATATGCAACTGCTTATTAAAATAGAATTATCTAAACACACATACATTCATGTCATTTATTGGATGTAGTACTCCATAGAGATTAATTGTTGCTTTATTTCAAGGGTTTTTAAAAATACTTACATTATTTTCACCCTTTGTTAGTGAAAATACTTTCCTGTAGCTTTCAACCTTACTGCAGAGAAAAAGTTTAAAGTTTATCTCAAAATCTTTCCAAATAATTTCCTAGAATTGTTTAGATTTTTAAAAAATCTCAAATAAGGAAACACCACTATTTCTTTCTCAGTTTTTGTTTATATGTGGTTTGAACTGTTTTCTCAAATGAGAAGCACATTGAGATACAGGGGATGAAATGAATTTGAGATGAATATCAAGCTGCTTCTAGGGAGAAGCTAGGCACTTGTTTCCCTCTGCAACGCTCTCTCCCAGCTTGAACCAATCATTTTCTCTGCATATTTTAGTAAACTGGCATGAATGATGCAAAGCACAGTATGGATTGTAGTCTGAAAGAGATTTCTTTTCATGACTAGTTTATCACCCTCACCTAGAGGGTGAGATGGTGAACTCCCTCTGTGGGTGCTCAGGGGTCCTTCTCTCTAGGCTCACCCAGTGACTGGGACAGCCTAGCCACACTCATCCTACTTTCTGCTGCTTTGTTTTGAGGCTACATCTATAAAATGACCTCTTTTCAGGGATGCTTTATCTGCTGTGCCATCATATCCCTCTAAGGAGAGTGGAGTACATCCTTCAGTGAAAGGGCAGAAGCAGTATTGCCCCAGGAATCTCCCCATGTCAGAAATAACTATTGCATATATTTCTCTTCCATGCTACCAAGAAAGATGTTCCCAGTCTTCCTGCTCCTAGGAAAAGGAAGATGGCTTAGACCACCTACATGTATCAGACACTGGTTTCCTTCACAGAACACAGGCAGGCTTGTTCCTGGCCTGTACTGTCTGGCATGAGAAAAAGATGACTTATTTCCCCCAAACCTGGTGCTGCTAGCCCAATACTTTGCAGGTCTTTTTGTCCACATCATGCTTGATACTTTTCAATGTAACTTACATATTTTTTCTAATTATGAAAGTAATCCATATCCTATCTGTTGTCATCTATCCCAGGGAAAGAATCTGATATGTGGTTGAATATTTACAACTTTATTCATTGCATCATTATTTATATCAAGAAACTGGATATAATATTCGTGTCTCGCCATAGGGTAGTAACATTTAGCCTTTGTTAAAAATGATGTTTTGAAAGTTACAGATGAGCAAAAAAGCTCCCCATACAATGTTAAGTGAAAAAACAAATACAAAATGAAAATACATGACTTAACACCCAGTGTGAACTCAGGTCTAACACCTGTATGTTCATATCTGGCTACATGGAAAAAATGGAAATGAAATATAACAAAATGTTAGCAGTTGCTTTCTCTAGGTGATAGGGATGCTAGGATAATCTTTGTCTCCTCCATAAACTTATTTCCGTTTTCCAGTTTATCTACAATGGTCTTATATTGCTTTTATAGTCAAGAAAAAAAGCTTTAAAACATTTGGATGTTTGTCCTCTACATTGAACCTCATGTTGAAATTTGATCCTAATGTTTGAGGGGGTGCCCAGTGGGCAGCGGTTAGGTCATGGGAGCAGATCCCTCATGAATAGATTAATGCCCTTTGCAGGAGTAAGTGAGTTCTGACTCTATTAGTTCCCACAATAGCTAATTGTTAAAAAGAACCTGCTATTTCTCCTCTCTTTCTCTTGCTTCCTCTCTACCATGTGATCTCTGCACACTCAGCTCTTCTTGGCCTTCTGCCATTAGTGGAAGCAGCCTGAGGCCCTCACCAGATGCCCAGTCTTGAACCTGCCAGCCAGCAGAATAGTAAGCCGAATAAATCTGTTTTCTTTAAAATTACCCAGCCTCAGGTATTCCATTACTGCAATACAAAATGGACTAGGACAAAGTGTAATAAAAAATAAAGTAAAATTACCCATAATCTCACCCTCCAGAGCTAGCGGCCATTAAAAAAAAAACACCTAATGTATTTTCTTCTGATCTTTTTTCCATAGATACAGCACTATACTATACACTTATTTGGGTTATTTTAACTGAAATGGAAAGAATTGAATCAGCCTACCATTGCTGAGCATATGCCACAGGATGAGTGTTAGATGAGAGGTATGAATTTATAGGCTTTCTATAGTGCAAGATCCTCACCATGCTCAATGTCATTCTAGAGTTTTAAGATAGTTGTGTCATTATTGTTATTGTTTTAATATAGCTACTAAACAGAAACCAACTAATTTACTTGCTGTTCAAATAAGAAACAACAATCTGTTCAAATGTTGGACTTACTGATTAATGGTACTACGCTTACTTCACAGTAGATTGAAATAAAAGTGATTTTCCAAAGATTAGTTTGATTTAAAGCAAATTTCAACTTGGATACTGACACACAGTTATGAGTTACACGTGAGCCACAACTCCACCACCTGCAGCAAGGTCTCCTGGATGTGCCCTGGAAGAGTCAGGGATGTGGTGTTGGGCAGCACTTCCTGCCAGGAGGCTCTGGGCTCTGGACAGCCATGGAATGCTCAGGTGAACCCTCAACCTTCACTGCATGCTCAATACTTAAACAGAGTTACAGGGATAAGCCCGGAACTTCTTGAGGCCTAAAAACTCTATAGGAAAAAAATTGAACTCTGTTTAGGATTCAGGATCAGACACCCACAGATGTGTCTTCTGGACTAGTGGGGTTGATAATAGAGGACTTCAGGGAGAGGCAAGAGGCATCCTGAAAAGCCTCTGATAAGGCAGAAGGCTGGCAGGAAAGATAAGACTCAGGGACAAGGCATCGGTATTGCAGGAGCCCATTGGGTCCAGGTTAAATGTGTGTGTGTGTGTGTGTGTGTGTGTGTGTGTGTGTGTGTGTGTGTGAAAACTCATGGACTCAGGGCTTCTCCCTTCTTCTCAGGAGATGCTGATGGCTATGTAGAAGAAGAATTTGATATAAAATAAAGAACCAGACTACTAGGAGCACAAGCCTTATCCTGTAGGAGGAAAAGTGAGAAAGAGAAAGGAGTGAGTGTCAGGACTAACCAGAGAGAGAAACAAAACCACTGACCACCCAGGGAGGGGAGCAGGGAGTTCATGGGCCAGGGACAGCGGATATGAGAAGTCAAGAGCAGAGTGGCACTGCATGGGCACCCCAGGAAGACCAGCCAGTGACCCCCACACACCAGGAGGCTTGGGGCAGGGGCAAGGAAGCCACCTGTGGGCGGCAGAGGTTGGCATCAGCACAGCCACACCAGACACAGGGGCCAAAGGGTGACAAGACAAGGGCACCAAAAAGGGTGGGAGCAGGGAGGGACATCAGATCGGCTGGTGACAATTCGGATCACCCCCTCCCACTCCCTCCATACACTCACATGCACACCACACCCACATCCACACACCACATATATCACATACTTATACATTCGCATATCACACACCACACATACCCTCACACATCATGCACTCTCACATACACACTCACACCCCACATACACTACACACATTTGCAAACTCCTGAAAAGACATGGGATAGGGAAGTACTGAGATTCTGTAATTTGGTGGGAAGGCAGCTCCTATTCCAGCAAGACGACCCTGCTTAGGATATAGACATGAACACAACTGATGAGTCTAGGAAATGATAGGAGGATGAAACTAGACTATGCTTACAGGAGAGGTTCATGACATTTCTATTTGAAAAAGTTACTGTAAATGTGTCTATATTTATGCTCACTCACAGAGGACATGTTTAATATCCACATCCGTCCCTACATCTATACACACACATGCATATGGTAGCAGATACTGTGATTTCCCCCTCCATCCCGATTCCTGCCCACCTTCAAGACAGGACTGAGCGCTCACTGCCCAGCTGCTGAGAGTGTTGGTGGCTAACAGCTCTTAGCTGAGTCCCTCTGTGGACATTACCCTTGGGCTAAAGAGAGCCATTCACCCAAGTTTATGTCCCTGCTATGGTCTGAATGTTTGTGTCCCCAAAATTCACATCTTGAAATATTAACTCCCAGGATGATGGTATTAGGATGTGGGGCCTTCGAAGGGTGATTAGGCCATGAGGGTGGAGCCCTCATGAATGGAATTAGTGCCATTATAAAAGGCCTGAGGGAGCTCATTTTCCTCTTCCACTAAGTGAGGGCAATAGCTAGAAGGTGGCCTCTATGAGGAACAGGTCTTCGCCAGATGTCAAATCTGCAGGTGGCTTGATCTTGGACTTCCCAACCTCCAGAACTGTGAGAAATCAATTTCTCTGGTTTATAAGCCACCCAATTTATATTTTTATTATAGCAGTCTGAATAAACTAAAACAGCCCCCTTTCTAGGCAGCTTAAATATGATAAATTTTTAGTGGAAGGAGATAAAGCCTGGCACTCCTGCCTGTCTTGACTCTTGGAAGGGCCATTCCAGCTAGAGAGCTCTGCGTGGGATCCATGGAGGCCTTTGTTTTTGCTGTATCTTGGTTCAATTTCTTGCTCTGCTCATTCCCCCTTCCTTCAGTCCCCACCACTCTCCATCCCCAGGGGCTCTCACCAACATATTTCATTCACACAAATCGTTGTCTCACAGTATGATTCCTGAAGAGCCTGGTCTGCAACAGTTGCTGCCAGAAGTGGTTTAAGGAAACAGACACCAAATGGGATTGGGAGCTGGAGCACCTGCTGACCAGCGGCCATGAGGTCCCCATGCTAGGGTAGTAGCCCTGGTAGTAGTAGCAGTGTTAACTGTTAAAACTTTCAGTGGTGGTGAGCTTGGATGGGTTTTGGTGGAAGGTAATGAAGTATTAGGTGCAAGATATTAGGGATTTGAGAGGTTGGGAAGTCTTACTACCTAAGGACTATGGAATTGGATGGCTGTTGCTGAGGGCTGTCACAGCTAAGTTTTCAGAAAGACGGTGAAAAGTATTAGCTTCCTATTGCTGGTATAATGCATTGCTATGAAATTGGTGGCTTAAAACAACCCAAATTTATTACCTTAAAATTCTCAAGGTTAGAAGGTCAAAATGTGTTTCAGTGGGCTAAAATCAATGTATAGACAGGGATGCATTCTTTCTGGAGGCATTAGGGTACACTCCATTTCTTTGCCTTTTCCAATTTCCAGAGGCCGCAGGCATTCCTTGGTTCCTGGCTCCCAGGCAGCAATCATATGTTTCCAACCTCTGCTCCCACCATCCAGGCTCCTTCTGTGACCCCGACCCTCCTCCCCGCTTCCATAAGGACCCTTGGTATTACATTGGGCCTACTCGGATAATTCACACTAATCTCCCATCTCAGAATCTTCAACATCTCAACAACTGTAAAATCTCTTTTCTACAGGTTTCAGGGATTTGAATGTGGACATCTTCAGGGGTTATTATTTTGCCTACCACAGTGATTAATCATTAATTAAGGCTAAGTGTGAAAGCCACCGGGCCTCCTTTGTAGCATATAAAGAGACTCTCATCATCTGCAGCCAGCAGACAAGAAAAAACTGAGTAGGCCCACGACCTAATTAGAATACTGTGCGAGCTACAGAGGAGGTTGACTTCTCAGTCAGACCTGCTACACCCAGGCCAGGCCACAGCTGGAAAGGAGTGTGACATGTTACAGGGATATCTGAGTTGATGCATTTGATAATCTTGAACTCCCAGATTCTCTGAGCCCTCTGAACCAGTACAAGTGGCCACTTTTCTCTGCTATAGGCCTGTGCTATACCCTTTATCTGAAGATGATGAGAGATCTCTGCCCTGCAAGGCAGCACATGCTGCCCACGGTGTCTAACCCCATCTTCCTCCCTGGCCACCAGTGACCTAACTAGAGTTAATCACAGTATACTCACTAGGGATGTGTTGTATTCTTTAAGAGAGAAAAAGCATTATACGCAAAAAGAGCTACAGGATGTAGCTATCACAGACCATGTGGAGCCAAGGGAATATGAATGGCTCTGTGTCCTGAGGGTGATTAATGAAGTGGGCTGGAACATAAAAGTCAGATAAGGAAGATTTTATCCAGAGATGGTGCTAAACTCTGCTTCATGCTTCTAGGGCAGCACTTCAAAGCTTGGAGAAAGCAGTGCTCCACACTGAGTGAATTAGATATGCCAAAATACCCATGGCAGAATGTGGAAGAAGAGATCAAACAGTTTGGAGAGCAGGACCTTCTGGAGTGAATGTGCTATGTAAGGGCTGAAAACCTACCTGACAGCTTTGCTCCAGGAGAAAACCTGGAGGACACCCCATACACCAGAGTGATAAGGAATGCACCCCAGAGAGGCTCGGAGGTGACTATCTTCTACAGGCCAGCGCAATGATGGAAGATGGTGTCACAGAACTGTGCTCCCCGACAGAAGCTTGAAATAAAAGAGGCTAGGTGGCAGTGCTTCAATGCAGAAGAAAGTGGGTGCCATTATAAGTGGCAAGATCACGATTTGTAGGCTATGCAAGTGGCTAACTGAACATGGTACACCTCAAGTATGTTAGGTGGTAAAACAAGGGTTGTCTCAATCTATACAACCAAAAAAGAATCAAGGAGGTATGACCAAAAGACTGAAGGCAGTCATCCAAATAAAAAGTTATAATCCCTTGCCCAGTTTCCAGAGCTGAGCCAGTTTCAAACCCATAGTCCATTGTCTGAATAAGAGCTTAGGTCCCCAGGAGAAAGGATCTTTCAATAGTAAGTAGAGCAATGAGTCTCCTGGTTCTTCCTCAAAGAGACATATGGCTACTTACTCAAGTAACCGTACATGGCAAAAGGGAAAGCCAAAAGTTTCAAGCATTGTTGGACACAGGGTCCGCACTGACACTGGGATAGGAAAACTCATCCCAATCCTCCTGTTCGAGTGGAGTATGAGAAATTTGGAGTCTTGGCCAAGATCCAGCTCATAGTAGATTAGGTAAACAGACCTCACCGTGGTAATTTCCCCAGTCCAAAATTGTTTAATTGGAATGAACACAGTTGACAGATGGCAAGAGCCTCACCCTGGTTCCTGAGCTTGTGGGGTGTTCAAGGCTATTGTAGTGTTCAAGGCTAAGTGGAAACCTCTGAAACAGTCCCCAGTCCTCATCCATGCCATCACATATACACACTGTCACCAAACAGTATCACATTTTTTAGAAAAAGCAGAGTTAGTGGCATACTTAAAGGCCTAAAGGATACAGAGGTGGTAAACCCCTTCTCCATTTAATTCACCACTTTGAACAGTTTAAATGAATCCTGTCAACAATAGACAAAAGCAACTTTGTAAATAACCTGAACACTTCAGTTTAACCAGTGGTAACTTTGCCCTCCTACCTATTGGTTAATTTTTATAGGTCAAATATCAGTGTCATATATTCTCCACATAAATTATTAACTTTATGAATTTAAGACTATGGAGAAACCAAGTCACCTGGTCTCATGAAAATAAAATTTGACATGATATCTCCATATCAACTAGAAAAATAGATTTATCAGTCCACTTTACTGTAATCTACTCTATTTTCACACTTTTTAAAACAGAAATTTTTCATTTCTTCAAAGTGGCTATTTCCAATTTTACTTGAGGACACAAGACTAATTTATATTCTAGGAGAAGCTGTCTAACCAGATGCTATCATAATTATGGAAATGGAAACAATGGGAGTAATTAAGTCTTCAAGAAAATGTATGGACACAGAGAGTGCAGGGATACAAGAGCCACAGAGAAGAGAAAATAGCCCATCAGATTGCAACTTTTTAAAATCGTACTTTAAATTTTATCTTTTGAGGAAAAACCCCTCAAAAATCTTAAAAATCTTTAATGATTTGGTATCAATGTCCTTACAGCCTATGTAAGTCACAGAACAGTGATTATGAGCCATCACTTTGGAGTCACAGACCTAGATTTATCTCAGCTCTACCATTTAGTAGCAAGATACTTAAATTTTATGGTCCTCAGATTTCTTTTATTTTCTTTTTTTAGAGACAGAGTCTCACCCCATTGCCCAGGCTGGAGTGCAATGGCACCATCTCGGCTCACTGCAACCTCCGCCTCCTGGGTTCAAGCGATTCTTCTGCCTCAGCCTCCCGAGTAACTGGGATTACAGGCGCATGCTACCACGCCCAGATAATTTTTTTTTTTTTGTAACTTTAGTAGAGACAGGGTTTCACCATGTTGGCCAGGCTGGTCTCGAACTCCTGACCTTGTCGTCCACCCACCTCTCTCTCCCAAAGTGCTGGGATTACAGGCATGAGATAATGTTTGTAAGTACTTAGCACAATGTCTGTACATAAGAAGTGTCCAACGAAAAGTTAGCTATGGTTGATGAAATTATTCTGATGATGACAATGATTCTCTAGAATGAGGTTAAGAGTTTCTAGTCAGCCAGGTGCAGTGGCTCACACCTGTAATCCCAGCACTTTGAGAGGCCGAGGCGGGCGGATCATCTGAGGACAGGAGTTCGAGACCAGCCTGGCCAACATGGTGAAACCCTGTATGTACTAAAAATACAAAAATTAGCTGGGCGTGGTGGTGCGTGCCTATCATCCCAGCTATTCAGAGGGCTGAGGCAGGAGAATCACTTGGACCTGGGAGGCAGAGTTGCAGTGAGCTGAGAAAGCGGCACTGCACTCCAGTCTGGGCCACAAGATCAGAAAAAAAAAAAGGAGTTTCTAGTCCAAGTGTTTTTCAACTAAATAAAAGAAATCAAGCTTTTGATTTTAATTACTAAAAACCATATCATTCCTTTTTCATTTGCAGGAAAATTGCAGAAAGTAAACTTCTAATGCAAGATTTAAAGCAGTTATATGAGAGGAATAGGAATTCCTTGCTGAAACAACATTGTGTAGTAGAAACATTAGCAACTATTTCTCTTATAAATGATTCTATTTGGCCACCTCATAAACTGTAATGCTGTGACAAAAATTGTCATGGAAATCTTTTCAGTATTTCCACATGGGCTCTGTAGCTTTCAACTTTATATAAAAGATTATTGAAGCCAATAGGAATTGGGATTTGAGAAAGTGTTCTTTGGATCCTAAAGGAAGATAATATTTCTTTTCATGGGGAATGAAAATCTATCTTGAGTGGGCAAAATCTAACTGCTGATGGTTGAGGGCTGAATTTGAGAACTAAACACATTTAAAAAAAATTATTGTGACTTACAATTTTTTTTTTTTTAATAGATGGAGTCTCGCCCTGTCACCCAGGCTGGAGTACAGTGGTGCGATCTCAGCTTACTGCAACCTCTGCCCCCCGGGTTCAAGCCATTCTCCTGCCTCAGCCTCCTGAGTAGCTGGGATTATAGGCACCAGCCACCATGCCCAGCTAATTTTTTTTTGGTATTTTTTAGTAGAGACAGTTTCACCATGTTGGCCAGGCTGGTCTTGAACTCCTGACCTCAGGTAATCCACCGCCTTGGCCTCCTAAAGTGCTGGGATTACAGGCGTGAGCCACCGTGCCCCTGCCTGGGACATATAATTTAAATACACAACAATACAAAAACAACTAGCCACCACCCAGGCCAAGAGATAAAATTATTACCTGGGAAACATCAGATCAGGAAAGAGAAGATTGCCCTAGAACCTGTTCATATCCTGTCTCAATCATAACACCACACCTTTTCCTCCTGGAGAAAACTATTAATCTGATGTTCATTCTTTCAGCAGAAGATATGATGGTTTGCTCTTAATCCTAGTTGGCCATTTCTGGAAATGGAAGGTCTGGATTAATTTTGGAGATCCTTCTTAAATCTTATCATTAGCAGCGGTCAATATGAATACACTCCTGTATGGCTCTCTAACAAAATAAGAGAGAGCTAAGTTGAACTGAAGGCCAAGGACCTCCTTTGGACATTAGACAAAACTCAGTTGACTTGAATGAAGAGAAAAAAACTTGAAAAAAATTATATAATATTCATAAATCTCCCCCCACCCCAGATAAAGTCTAGTAGCTTAGGGAATTATTCATGGCTTGCTCTTTCCTTGAAACTGTCTGATATTAATAAAACCTCCTTCCCTCCCTCTCCTCTCCTGTGCCTCTTCAAATCTCACTCACTCACTCACTCACTCACTCACACTCAGCAATTCTTCAGGGAGCTCTAGCTACTTACTGAATTTTACTTCTGAATTTCAAATTCCATTATAAACAAAGACCCCTTTTCCTATTGATTTTTGTCCCAGTTTTCTGGAAGCTCTAAATGATTCTTGGCTTCGCTACATCAATTTCAGTGTACTCTCTTTTTTTCTCCCCCTCCTTGGAGCTTTTTAAAACAAATCTGTATAATTGTGTCTACTGACTCCTTTAGCATAAAGACTTCATTCTAGTCTTTAAAGCCACCCAATGATTTTAGAAATGTTTTCTTTAGATTTTTGTTGGCTCTTTATTTTTAAAGCAAGTAAAAACAAACAATTCAAATATTTAATTTATTTTTATTAACAAGAAGACCCAGAAAAGAAAAAATCCTTCCTTCCTGAGAGGAAAAGGTCTAAGTGACAATAACATTATTGCTTCAAACATAATTTCTTAAAATATAAGACTAGCCTTTCTTAAGAGACAAGTATACTCAAAGCAGTCCTATTCAGCTGCACTGTGTTAGATGAAATGTATCTCTCCTTCTCTCCAAGATCAATCTAATACCATGCACAAAAGGAAAACCAAGTCCACGTAGACAAAAAGGGAATTTTTCAGAGGGAATTTTGAAACATTAGAGGTTCTGTTTCTTGTTGTAAGTATATGAAACATTATATGTTCTGTTTCTTGTTATATATATTATATATATATTATATATAGAGTCTGGAATATATACATTATGTTGGTGCAAAAGCAACTGCAGTCTTTACCATTAAAAGTAATTGGAAAAATCACAATTACTTTTACACCAACCTAATATTTACAACAAGAAACAGAACATCTAATGTTTCAAAATTTCCTCTGGAAATGGCCACACAGATCCTTGCAGTGGTTGCTTATGATCATAGACAATGGTCAATGTGTCAATTCTACTTTCCATGAGAAAAGAAAAATCATTGTTTGGGTATGTCCAAGGTTCTAGCCCATAAAAGAGATGTTCTGATAGCTTCCCAGAAGAAAAGAAGTCAGATTTGAAAGGCACAATAATGTTCACCACAGTATTTTTTAAAAATCAATAAATCCTGGAAGCAATTTAAAAAATCCATTCATAGGCCAGGCATGGTGGCTCGTACCTGTAATCCCAGCTACTAAGGAGGCTGAGCCAGGAGGATCACTTGAGGCCAGAAGTTCAACACTAGCCTGGGTAACATTGTGAGTCTCTAGTCTATAGAAAAAATCAAAATCAAAGAATAAAAATCCATTAATACAAAATTGATTAAATAAACTGTAGCCTAGCCATATATTCCAATACTGTGTAACTCTTTGATAGATGATGTATATCTATATTCATAGGCAGAGAAAGATTTATATAACATGGTGATTTAAAAGCAGATTATGAAATAATTTAGATAATTCTATTTGTTTGAATTGTGTGCTTCTATATACATATGTGTATGCATAGAGAAATACTTAGAAAGATGTTCCCTCACAAGTTCAGGATGCCTAGCTCTGGGTGGTAGGATTAAGAGTCATGTTTACTTTCTTCATACTGTTTTGAATTTCTTTGTGTGTGTGTGTGTGTGTGTGTGTGTGTGTGTGTGAGATGGAGTCTTCCTCTGTTACCCAGGCTGCAGTGCAGTGGCGTGATCTTGGTTCACCGTAACCTCTGCCTCCCCGGGTTCAAGTGATTCCCCTGCCTCAGCCTCTGGATTAGCTGGGATTACCGGTACCCACCACCACACCTGGCTATATTTTTTTGTATTTTAAGTAGAGACGGGGTTTTACCATGTTGGCCAGGCTGCTCTCAAACTCCTGACCTCAAGTGATCTGCCCACCTTGGCCACCCAAACTGCTGGGATTACAGGCGTGAGCTACCACGCCCAGCCTGTTTTGAGTTTCTTTAAGGTTAAAATTAACTGATTGTTTCGTGACATAGATTTCACAAATATTGCAGTCCGCAAAGGAGTACCTATATGGATTTGATTTTCTCCACAAGCACATATTATACATAAAAATCAGGAAAAAATAGTGAAGTTGCTTTATTTTAGAAAAGAAATATCTAGCTAATTGATACAGTTCTTTATTTTGTTTCAATATTACCAAATTGGCTGTAAAGTAAGATACAGGGATTTAGTGGAAGAATTGCCTTCAGTGTGGACAATGGACAATGGACAATGTCCTAGATAAGCTTATGTACTTCAATTTGTCCAGAAATATTTTACAGCAAATTTTGACTTGGGTATTTCTAAAAAGTATTTTAAAATTTGCATTAAATATAAAAGACAAAATGACAATGAAACAGTTAATTATTACTTGATATTTCTAGAACTATATTATTGATAGATTGTAGCCTTAGCAGAAACTTAGTATTAAAAATGTAAAAAGCACTTTGACTTTTTGTCCTCTTGATTGTTCTATGAAACTATTTTGAAAGACAGCCAAGCATGTGTTCAACACATGTTTTATACTAGAAATGTTTTGCCATAATCATAAACTGATTGAATAACCATGATAATTTCAGTGTTCTTTTGTCCATATGCTTCAACGTTTTGTTCATTTGCTTGAAATATGTACTTTGTTTTTAGCTAAAATCAGGTTCCTATGTGTTGAAAATAAAGAGCTGTAGATTTCTATGGCCATATTGTTGTAACATGAGATCTGTAAAAGATTATGGAAATAAGTTAATAACCACTTGGCATCAAGTGAAAAGAAAGCTATATATGGAATACGTTTTTATAGTAAGAACATTTGATTTTGGTCAAATCCATGTCAAAGAAGAACAAGAATTAATTTTAACTTTGGTATGCCCAGAATATGGACAACCAAATTATCTTAATTGGAAACATATTTTCACATTCAGAATTGCTTACTCTCAGGCACAGAGTTTCCATTTCAAACCTTGCAGCCTCATACGGCAAACCCCTCATTTATCTGAAAACCTCAACTATCCAGATTACCATTGGGAATCAGGAACAAAGTAAAAACAGGCTCCTGAGCACCAAAATAGAAGTCACAAATCCTCCCTGCACATCAGCCCTTCTCTTAGAAGTCTGTAGTAGATTAAGAGCCACAAATTCAGAAAGGAGTCTTAAAAGTCAAACTGAAAATAGTACAAAGTAGTGACTCTTGACATCATGACAGTCAGGGGAATAGCAAAGCCACGCAACAGGCATCATAATCTGGGGCCATTTCATTTAGGATCAACACTCTCTTTAAGGGTGGTAGTGATGACTACAAAGTACAATCATGGATACTGATGATTTGCCCCCCAAATACATATCTTCCAACTGTGTTTCTTGGTTTGTGCCTCCTATGGTTCTCAGTGCTCCAGTGGATTTTGGCTGTGACTTGCTGCTTATGAAGTACACGGACAGTAGTTCTAAAGGGAAGAATCATCCAATTATCTACCCTCGTCAGTTATCCTCCTGTTATCCTCACTGCTGGTATCTCTATGAATTAATAGGATAGAAATATCAAGAACACAGTTTCAGTGCATAGTAACTTACAAGTGAAAATAAGGCTAAAACAAGTGTATATGTGGCCTAGAACATTTTCATATTTATAATGTAAGACATTTCTAGGTTTTCTTATGGAAAAAATTCAGTCAACTAGGATATAACCAGTTTTTAAATATAGCTCACTAAATTATACTGTGATTTTTGTGCATGTATTATTAGGTTCCACTAAGAGAAAGGGGATTTGGGTGAGTTTGCTTTCTTTTTTTTCCCCTGAGATGGAGTCTTGCTCTGTCACCCAGGCTGGAGCGCAGTGGCATGATCTTGGCTCACTGCAACCTCCGCCTCCTGGGTTCAAGCAATTCTCCTGCCTCAGCTTCCCGAGTAGCTGAGATTACAGGTGCCCGCCACCGAGCCCGCCTAATTTTTGTATTTTTAATAGAGACGGGGTTTCACCATGTTGGCCAGGCTAACTCCTGACCTCGTGATCTGCCCACCTAGGCTTCCCAAAGTGCTGGGATTACAGGCGTGAACCACCACACCCGGCCTGGATAAGTTTGTTTTCTAATCAGCAAAGGCAAGTTGAGAAAATGAAGCAGGGATCCTGTCTGGACTTTGCAAACAAGACTTTCTTGTTTAGAAATCACAGAAAGTAGAGGTGAAAGCTATTATTACCATCATTACACTCAAAAGAGCTCACAGACAGCAGGGGCATCTCCCTGAACATGAAGTTGTGCCCTCCTGACCTCCCTGTGTTAGCCACAAATGACAAAGCAAGAGCATATGGGAACTGGTCAAATAAAACTTACAAAAAAAAAATAAATGAGTAGTCACAACAGATACTCTTTCCTTGAGGAATTTTTTTTTTTAAGTACGTGTCTTTTTTACAGAAAAAAGTGAAATTTAACTTAAAAGTGCATTTTGTGGGGTTGAAATTTTATAATGGAAATGTTTAGTGATTGCCTTCTTAGCAATTGCCTTCTGCTGTTGCAGGGGAGGATAGCAACATCTTTCTTTTTATAAACTGGGAATTCCTAGCAAGTGCTAACAAAAGCAATCTCTTTCTCACTTTGCTCTTGTGTGGGTTGCATAACCCTGGATTAAGTGATCAAGTACTACAGCCTGTCTTGGTAAGAGGTGAAACGTGGGTTTCACATGCCTTGGTTTTTATATTGAGGATCAGTTTGGAGCTTACAACAGCCTTGATCAAAATCATATTATTAATTTTTTGGATGAAAATACTACATTCTGAATATTAAGACATTTTTACAGAAAGTAATAAAATAATGAGTGCGAAGAGCAGCCTCTAGCATGTAGAGCAGGCAAGAGTGCTGAGTGAGTAAGACTTACAAGCATCAGAGTGCGCTAGAGAAAACCTACACATGGCTATATTTTTCTTTTCTTCTTTTGAGACAGAATCTGACTCTATTGCCCAGGCTGGAGCACAATGGTGCGATCTTGGCTCACTGCAACCTCCACCTCCTGGGTTCAAGCGATTCTTCTGCCTCAGCCTCCCAAGTAGCTGGGACTACAGGTGTGCGCCACCACGCCCAGCTAATTTTTGTATTTTTAGTAAAGATGGGGTTTCACCATGTTGGTCAGGCTGGTCTTGAACTCCTGGCCTCAGGTGATCCATCCACCTTGGTCTCCCAAAGTGCTGGGATTACAGGCACGAGCTACCGTGCCTGGTCAGGGCTATTTTTTCTGAATATACTTTTCTCCTTGCTTCCCATTACTTAAGCTGCCTTTTCTCCCCAGTGGGGCAACACTGAGGCTGTCAGACACGCTGAGATGACCAAGAGTTTCACAGTAGGCACTTATTCCTGATATGAATTCTGTCCCTGAAAGCAAGCCGGAGTCGGGGTGCAGAGAAAACAGAAACAGAAGAAGAAAAAAGGACAAGAAGTAACAGGAAAAGAATGCGTAAGTTATATTCTGAAAAGTATATTCTGAAATGTAACCGTTCAGACTAACAGTGTTGAATATCAATTCACAGTGATCAAAAGTCCTTTTAAAATTATTGATGCTTGAAATGCTAATTCCAGATTCCATTAGCATATATTTGTAAATATTATTTATACCAGATTTGTCAAGTACACTATTTCCTGCTTCAATAGTCAGAAAAACATTAATGAGGACTTGCAGTACTTCTCTGAATTAATTTTTTTTCTAATTTGTATTTCTCAGAAACAATTAGTTTCCCTGAGCACACATCCCAACTCTCAGAACTCTCAACTAGCTCACTCCTCTTCCTCATCCTCCAGGTCTTCCTGCTTAGATGTCACTTCTTCTAGGAAGATTCCCTGAATCCTCAAGTCTGGACACAGATTCTAAGGGCACGCTTCCTTAGCAACCTGCTCTTAGCCTGTCTGAGCCCTAGCACGCTGTGTTGTAATGTGCTGTCCACTGGTCTCGATTGATCCTCAAACTCTAAGCTCCCTGAGGACAGGAAAGTGATAGTTACGAGCCTGGGCTTTGGAATAATAAAAAGCACATCGTAGTACATCCTATAAGCCAAGTGTAATTCCGATTATTTTACATATAATAACGCACCTAATCTTAACATCCACGTAGGAAATTGGGGCAGAAGCAGGTTATCTTTCCCAAGGTCACATAGCCAGTAAGTGGCAGATCCACAATTTCAACCCTGGCCATTGTTTGCAGAGACCATGCCCTTTCTTGTAATAAGGTGTTGCCAATCAGAGCGGCTTCGTTTCTAGAAAATGTTAGCTACTTAATGACTCAGTTGACCAGGAGTAATTACTTGTTCTAAGTGAATCTCATTTTTCTCATCTAAAAAGTGGGAATAAATAACAGTATTTACATCAAGGAGTTGAGAAGCTTCCATGAGATAGTGCACCTTATAGAAAGTAGATAGTGTACTCAGCATAGTACTTGCCATATAATAAATACTCAATAATTATTTGTCTGCTGACATTTTGGGTTTATCCTATTCTTGTTCTTCTCATTCTCTTCCCTTTCCTCCTCCTTTTTTTTTCTTTCTCTTCTCCTCACTCTTCAGCATTGTGTCTGAGCAGAGGGTTGACATATAGTGGACATTAACAAACATCTCATGAATGAAGGGGTAAAAGAATGGATGAGTGAATGAATGAATGAAACAGCAGGCAGACTTTCTCTAAAATCAATTTGCATCTATCTTCCTTAGCTCTTCATCATATATCTTCCTCTACAGCAGACAGAGGGAGACATCTGCAGCCCTAGATTGCTGGCCTGTTGGGCAGTGACACCATTTCTCCTTCACGACAGCTTGAATTTATACAAAATCTTTACTCTTTTGAAGTCCATAGTTCTAAAATAGCGTCAACATTTTTAAGCTGCCAGATTTTATTGGGCTAAACATGATTAGCAGACATTCCTCGCTGAACACACCCAAAGGTTAAACACAAGCCAGAAACCAACACCAGATGCAGGTCAGGAATTCCTGAATCAAATTCTTCAGTGAAGGAAAAATGATAAAATCTCAGGTCTTCTCATTCTTGACAAGTACTCCTACATTTTCTTGACTAGTGTTTGTTCTTAGGGGCAATTTTTGCGTAAGAGGAATTTCCTATAAAGTGGGAATTTCACTGCTTTATATTTTTTACTACTCCAAAGGAATTTCACAAAACATGTCATTTCCTTCCACAATTGATGGGTAAGATTCCTACATCATTCACACCTGTGCCTGTGTTTCCCTGTGCATCTGGTACAGAGATGGGCATAAGGAGCACCTGTCTTGGAGAGATAGCATGGGGGAATTGGGTCATCTCAGCTGTTTTCAACTGGGGTTTTGCCAGTTCCTCTTTGTCTTTTAGTTCCCTTTGTTGCCCCTGTTTTTCATATGGTTATGCTGCTGTTGTTTCTTGTTATGGTTGTTGGTGGTGGTTTGGTGTTGGGGAATATGTAGTTCCTGGCATTCTTTTTTGGCTTCTGAATCCTAAATAACAAGCCAAAAGGAATTCAAGTTTGTGTAGGGACCACAGGTCTCTTAGGAAAGTCCCTCCCCAGATGGCTTTTCTTGTCCAGGGGGAGCATTCAGAGCCACTGGCAGAGACCGCTCTCGGCAATAAGCATGTTGTTGCTCCTATCAACAACGTTAATGAGCCAGAAATGAATTCTGTGTTTCCAGTAGCTTCTTTGGCATTTTAAATGGGTCGATTCCTTTCAGAAGAGTTCATGTGTTTTAATTCATATTTTGCGTATTACTAAAGAAATTTAAGATTTGCCTTCAGTTTTAGTTTAATTTTTTGGATCCATCCAGAGCCTTGAAAATATGAAGGCAATAGAACTTCTGGAAAAAAAGAAAGAAAGAAGTCATTGCGAGTCAACTTTAAACGTATCAGGTTCATGGAAATTCTTTTTTTTTTTTTAAACCAGTGGAGTATTTTAGAGTAAATACCTCTGCTGTTTTAACAAAAAATCTGTTATCTTTTTTACAAAAAAATCTGTATCGTTATCTAATAAAAACTCAAGCAATTTTCAAACTCTTCACCAATATGTAGAGTTTAAATTGCTTTTTATTATAGAAAATAAAACTTGATTAGATTAATTAAATTAATTGTTTAATTAAACCACAGTTGATGACTTCAACTTGATTTATTGATGTAAATAAATGGGCCATGGGCCAGACCTATGCTAAATTTAAAAATATACCTTAAAAATTAAGTTTAGATAAAAATAATAAAGTTGTGGAAATTGCAAAAAATAAAAACCGTGTCCAAAGACATTCTCTGGAACATGGTTAGTCACAAAGTGCAACGCTTTACTGTACTATGGTTGAGTGCAGACAAATCTCTTAGAAAAGTAAAGTTTCCTGAAATTGGAACTATATTATGGAGAAGAAATTTATAGAATGAAACCTCTTCAGGGTATGTAAGAAATGTACAAAACTTCTGTTTACGTTAAATAGTGTCTAAAAGAAGTGCTAGCAAGTGAATAAAAACACAAAAACTTTAAGCAAACAAATTGAAATATTACTGCATCTGTTCCTGAATAAGTGTTGTGTGTCTTTGGCTGGAAACCTGATCCCTGGACAGTATGTAGGGATAACAGATGTGGCTCTTGAGCAAGAAGAGACATGCTGGAAAGGGCACAAAGGTGAGACCTCCAGCGAAGTCTTGATATTTATAGCATGGGCTTCTATAAGCCACCCGACTCCTCCTTGACACACACACACTTTTTTTTTTCCTTCTATGACTTGCAAACATTTGGAGTCTCTTAATCTCCAGTTCCTATTAATTCCTATCTGTTGTTATCCTTCTCTTAATTCACATTCTTTCTGTTAAAGGTCTATGTATTTATTTGAATATTTTTCTATAGCCTTTTAATTTGGGACTTGTTTTATGCAGTAACTTAACTTTTTCTCTCTTCTCAACTTCCATCCTGTTGGTCGCAGAATCTCAGTGTTGCAAGGGGTCATTAAAGAGATCTACTTGAAACTCCTGCTCAGTGAGGGCTTCTTGGCTTATTATATCCCTAAAGAAGAGTGTTAGGATTTGGCTTCGTTGCTTAGAGAAGTGAAAACTCCCTCAACTGCAGGCCCACCCAAATCTCTGTTGGAAAATCCTGTGTGTCCACTTCTCCTGTTTTCGTTTTCCTTTTAGTCTTTTTGTGGTCTACTACGTGGTTTCCTAAGGTAATATTTTTCATTATGTTATTGGCCATGTCCCTTTCTTTCTCCAACGTTTTCCCATTTCGTTCTCCACCACCCCTTTTAAAAGATTTTAGAGGCCGGGCGTGGTGGCTCAAGCCTGTAATCCCAGCACTTTGGGATGCCAAGGCGGGTGGATCACCTGAGGTCAGGAGTTCTAGACCAGCCTGGGAACATGGCGAAACCCTGCCTCTACTAAAAATACAAAAATTAGCCAGGCTTGGTGGTGTACGCCTGTAATCCCAGCTACTCGGGAGGCTGAGGCAGGAGAATCGCTTGAACCTGGGAGGCGGAGGTTGCAGTGAGCCGAGATCCGAGATTGCGCCACTGCACTCCAGCCTGGGGAATGGAGACAGAGCAAGACTTGGTCAAAAAAAAAAAAAAAAAAAAAAAAAAGAACCTAGAAGTCAGCGGAAGATGGGAGGAGTCTGAGAAACAGCCCCGCCAGACCCAACCCAACCTACCCCCTAGACCCCACTGCACATTAATGCACATTAACCTTCACCTTGAGTGATAAATAAGCACCTGTAGTCTACTGAGAAGATGAGATTTAGGGGATGTTTGTCACAATGGTTATCCTACCCCTGATTAATACAGAAGGTTACTGAAAGTCCACTAGGAAGTGGATGAAGGGACATGTTCCTGAAGATAGTGAGGATTGCTAAGAAGCACATCTATGGGACCAAAGACATAGGAATCCAAATAGGAGCATTTAGTCCTTAATAGGCTAGGAAGCCTGCTGCTTCCAGGTTCCAGCTCCCCGCTGAAGGGCAGATGAGCAGCTGCGGATGTATATAGGAGATCTTCTACACAAAATTGTTCCATGCAGCTGTGCTTTTCCTGCCCAAGTGGAGAGGAGCACATAAAGGGAAAGCCCATCTGCTTGGGGACCGTTAACGTGCCTCTGGGTTCCTAGGTAACACATACCTAAAGAGGGAAGCAGAGAGACTATAACGGTGAGACCTAATTCAGCTTTAGAATGGGGTCTGAAATCCATGGCCCCCTACTGAGATACACAATTCCAAGTCAGAACTTTTTGTTTTAGTAGTTTAGTACTGCTGAAATGATAGGAGTGTTACAATTCTGGCTTACATTGGCCTTAAATTAGTGATAAGTTGTTCTAACCACAAATGTTGTCTTTTCTGTAAAGACTTAAAATTGTTGTTACTTTCTTGAGTGATGCTTAGTGTGGAGGCAACTCTACAGAGGGTTTCTAAGGATTTGGCAATTTGTTGAGATCATTAGGAATAAGGGAAGAAATGGCATAATAGCCAGCGCATTACTTTGGACTTTTTGTTGTACTCATTATGGGGTTGTCTGTAATGTAGTAATTTAATACAGAATGTTTTAATGTTAATGATGTTATTTCCTGGGTATTTGCCCAAAATGAGCAAGTTGGTTCTTACATGGTTTCGGTTTCACAAATGAGACTCAAAATGGTAGGAAAGTGAGCACTGTGGCCCTGGTGAATTTTGGTCCTAAGAAAGGCAGAATGCACCACAGGGTGACAATTCCAGCATCTAATTCCATCCCAGTGGCACAATGACTAGAAGTAGTATAGACCTCAATTTATACAAGGAAAGTTTTTTTTTTTTTTGCTTTTTTTTGCTTTTTTTTGTGGGGGGGGGCGGGGTCAGGGTCTTGCTCTGTCACCCAGGCTAAAGTGCAGTGGTGCCATCATAGCTCTCTGCAGCTTCAAAGTCCTGGGTTCAAGCCATCCTCCTGCCTCAGTCTCCTGTATAGCTGGGATTACTGGCTAATTTTTAAATTTTTTGTAGAGATCGGGCTCTCACTATGTTGACCAGGCTGGTCTTAACTCCTAGCCTTAAGCAGTCCTCCCATCGCAGCTTCCCAAAGTGTTAGGATTACAGGCATGAGCCACTGCACTTGGCCCAAATAAAGTCCTTTGAGTAATTTATTTTAAAATATATGCTCTGCCTCTTTAAATAAAATGAGGAAGAACAAAACAAAGACATGCATTAAAAGGTTAATAAAAGAGAAATAAATAATCAAGACCAAAGAAAGAGAGTTTCCATAAGATAAGCACAATGACTTCATAATGGCTGCTATGGTCGAGTCAGATTTGGCTCTGAGCATCTGGCACTGAAAACAAAGAAGATTTGGTAAATTATAAAATCAAGTTCTACTCAATGGAGCATTCACTGGCCTCCTACTCTAAAAGAAAGTTTGAATCTGGAACTTCCTTTGGGCATCATTGGATAACACAATAATCTTCTTACATACAATTTTATTAAAAACAAAAATTTAAAAACCCACACCAGACTTTGTCAAGGAATATACATAATTGCAATTCAATGAAAGTAACCTGGGGAGGGGAAATTCTAGTGATTCCACCACCTAAAACTTTTCCCAAGACAAGCCCACTAAAATACACATTAAACCATACCCACTGTTTTCTTTTATGATATCTGAAGCAGAGTTTGACTTAAATAACTGTTTATTTAGAATATGATAGCAAATACAATTTTAAATAATCCATGGAAGTTCATTGATACAATTGGAAGTGTTATTGAAGCCCAGGCTATGTTTAATTGCTTAGGCACTGTCTGTGGAGAAATACACAGAGATTCATTGGAAATGACGTATCAGTACTCTATTTCTTTCATTTTTCTTAACTTTTATTTTAAGTTCAGGGGTACATGTACAGGTTTGTTATATTGGTAAACCTGTGTCATGGGGGTTCGTTGTATAGAGTATTTCATCACTCAGGTATTAAGCCTAGTACCCATTCGTTATTTTTCCTGATCCCCTCCCTCCTCCCACTCTCTACCCTCCAATAGACTCCAGTGTCTGTTGTTTCCCAGAACATGAAGTATTTGGTTTTCTGTTCATGCATTAGTTTACTAAGGATAATGGTCTCCAGCTCCACCCCTGTTCCTGCAAAGGACATGATCTCATTATTTTTTATGGCTGCATAGTATTCCATGGTGTATATGTGCCACATTTTCTTTATCCAGTCTACCAGGGATGGGCATTTAGGTTGATTCCATGTCTTTGCTACTGTGAACAGAGCTGCATTGAACACACGTATGCATGTATCTTTATGGTAGAATGATTTATATTCCCTTGGGTATATATCCAGTAATAAGATTGCCAGGTCAAATGGTAGTTCTGTTTTTAGCTCTTTGAGGAATCACCGTACTGCTTTCCACAATGGTTGAACTAATTTACACTCCCACCAACAGTCTGTAAGTGTTCCCTTTTCTCCATAACCTCACCACCATCTATTATTTTTTGACTTTTTAATAATAGCTTTTCTGACTTTTATGAGGGGGTAACTCACTGTGGTGTTGATTTGCGTTTCTCTAATGATCAGTGATGCTGAGCTTTTTTTCATGTGCTTGTTGGCTGCATGTATGTCTTCTTTTGAAAAGTGTCTGTTCATGTCCTTAGCCCACTTTTTAATGTTCTTTTTTTCTTGTAAATTCGTTTAAATTCTTTATAGATGCTGGATATTAGGCCTTTGTTAGATGCATAGTTTGCAAATGTTTTCTCCAATTCTGTAGGTTGTCTGTTTACTCTGTTGATAGTTTCTTTTGGTGTGCAGAAGCTCTTTAGTTTAACCAGATCCCATTTGCTTTTGTTGAGATTGCTTTTGGTGTTTTTGTCATGAAACCTTTGCTCGTTCCTATGTCCAGAATGGGTCTTGCCTAGATTGTCTTCCAGGGTTTTTATAGTTTTAGGTTTACATTTAGGTCTTTAATTCATCTTGAGTTGATCTTTGTATAAAAATAACTTTGTGTAAGAAATGGGTCGGGTTTCAATCTTCTGCATATGGCTATCCAGTTATCCCAGCACCGTTTATTGAATAGAGAGTCCTTTCCCCATTGCTTGTTTTTGTCAGCTTTGTTGAAGATCTTACTTGTGGTCTTACTTCTGGGATCTGTATTCTATTCCCTTGGTTTATGTATCTGTTTTTGTACCAGTACTATGATGTTTTAGTTACTGTAGCCCCAGCTTCATTCTTTTTGCTTAGGATTGCCTTGGCTGTTTCAGCTCTTTTTTGGTACCATATAAATTTTAAGATCGTTTTTTCTAGTTCTGTGAAGAATATCATTGATAGTTTGATGGAAACAGCGTTGAGTCTATAAATTGCTTTGGGCAGTCTGGCCATTTTAACCATATTGATTCTTCCTATCGATGAGTATGGATTGTTTTTCCATTTGTTTGTGTCATCTCTGATATTTTTCAGCAGTGTTTTTTAGTCTTCATTGTAGAGATCTTTTACCTCCCTGGTTAGTTGTACTCCTAGGTATTTTATTCTTTCTGTAGCAATTGTGAATGAGACTGAATTCCTGATTTGGCTCTCAAGGAGGAGTGAAGAGTGTAAATGTAGGGTTGTGGTGAGTCTGCCTGCCTGGCCGAGGATCCATGCAGGTGGGGTTGTCCAGTAGGCAGTTAAATGTGCATACCCGGTGCTCTGGAGATACAGATGTGGAAGTCACCAGCCTGTATGCACATCACCTTCTACAAAATGCTGTTCAAGTATAGGTTCTATCTTAATGGCATGTGATCTGTTCATATACTAGTGAAGCTCTAATCCAGGCAGGTCATTAAGTTTACATTCCTCTCCAGAACTATGATTCTGGGATGCTATGTTTCAGTGTTTTTTTTTTTTTTTTTTTTTGAGATAGAGTTTCCCTCTGTCACCCAGGCTGGAGTACAGTGGTGTGATCTTGGCTCACTGCAACCTCCGCCTCCTGGGTGCAAGCGATTCTCCTGCCTCAACCTCTTGAGTAGCTGGGATTACAGGCACCCGCCACCACACCCGGCCAATTTTTGTATTTTTGGTAGAGCTGGGATTTCACCATATTGGCCAGGCTGGTCTTGAGCTCCTGACCTCAGGTTATCCGCCCACCTTGGCCTCCCAAAGTGCTAGGATTACAGGCGTGAGCCACCACACCTAGCCCAGTTTTCCTTTTTGTCTTTCACTCCTTAGGAAAAGAATTGGTTAAAACATTTCCTTTATGTTCTTGAATTTCTCATCTGCTTTCAAAGAACTAAGCATATTGTTATGGAAGAAACGTCCCCTTTTAAAAATAAACCTGTAAACACACATAAAGGCCTATAAAAATCAAATAAAACAAACACATAGTCTGTCTTGTTGCCACCATATGGTTTTGGTATTTCACCCAAAATAGGCTGTAATAAATTCAGATTGAGAACTCTAACTCTACCCTCCTATTATTAATCCTTGCTGTCATAGAAATTCATGGTTTGGGAAAAGTCTCTGGTTTATAGAGGGCTGAGATGCTTATTAATGTGAATGACCAGATCTGCAGAACCTCCATATTGGGAGGGAAAGATGGAAGAAGCAATCTACATCCTAGGCAAGCTCAGCTAAGGAGAGCAGACAGAAATACAAGCCGAAATCATGTAGTGGGAGGGAATTGATGCCAATATGCCCTGCTAGAGCCCTGTGGTCTTCTGATTACAAAGGGGTAGCCTGCATTCTACACAATGGAGAGTACTGCAGAAATCTTACGAACAACTGCTAAAAAGCAATGCATAGAAAATATTCAATATTAATTTGTATGTCAAAATGTTCCCAATTTTTGTTCTAAAAATAGATAACCTCCAGGTCAACGAAGTGGGTCATTTAAAGCATTTCTGTTTGCAAATTTCACTGCCTCCCACTACCTTCTTTTTCTTTTTTCATCTAGACTTTTGCTCTGTGAGATCTGCTTGCACTGTTGTAAGCAAGCCCACTGCAGAGAAGGACCTTGGCATTTGTCTCATCTGGAAGAGTGTGGCCAGGGCACCATGAGCCAGGTGACCTCTGGGCATGAGCTCAGGCACATAGTCTCCCTTCCAGTCTAGCTCCACCTGGGCCCGGGTGCCAGTGAGACCTTGCACCCTCACTCCTAACTTGCCCCAGTGTTGGCTGAGTTCCAGGGCAGCCAGCCAGGCTTTGCTTCCTTTCTCAACTATAACTCTGCTCCTGAATTCCTACCCCTGAATTTTGTTACAGCTCCTTCCTTCCCTCCTTCCCCGACAGTTGTTCTCCCACCTGTGGGAAACCCCAAGGACAGCCTCCCACAAGCAGTCAGTTCAGGAACTGCTGCTGAATGAATCTCTGGCTTGGGAGATGAGTTTGGCCTATCCAGAGAAGACTCACTCTAGAAAGCCACTTTCTCAATCAACAGCACCATCTAATAAAAGTCTGGAAGTTTGCTGCAGCATCTCAAACCTAATGATGTAAGGCTTAAAGGATACCTGGATTCCAATAGCCAGATTTGCTATTTTGCAAGATAAATCAGGAACCTGATTAGAGACATGTAATTAGAGGCACATTTAAATCTAAACAGCCATATTTAAGCACCATTCTGCAAGGGATGCTATTTTCTGAAAAGCCACTCTGGGTGCCAGATTCCACATCAATTGCTCTTTAAAGAATGAAGATAGACGAATAAAGACGGGAAAATGTGAGTTGTCACAAAATCACCTTACCAGATAACATTCAACTGGACATCTCACTCTTGCAGACTGCCACAATGCTGATCATTAAATGAGTCTCAGCTTTCGGCAACGTGGCCTCTTTTGAATGACATGCTTTTCAAGAAGGTTCTCAATTCTGCCTATGCCTAATTCTGCCTAGGTCCTCCTGAGAGTTTTCCCACATGAGCCATCTGTCCACTGTCTATATTCCTTTGGTCATCTGACCTACCTTTGTGTACTGAATACGTCTTCCTTCTTTCTCATGAGCTCCAGCCATGAGTTTCTACGAACAGCCTGGTTCTGACTACTCTACTGCTCAGTGTCTTTGTATAGGAAGTGTCCTACTTATTTTTTTCCTGCCCTGCTCTGTCCACCAAAGCCACTCCAGGCAAATGCTTTCTTCTTGACCTCCACTCAGGCCTGCCCTGGACCTCAGCTCAGAGTAGCTTGAATGTAATTGGCAGTGATCTTATTTCAGATGACCATCATTCAGAGTATGCTATGGAGGTGTTTTTCTAGGAATTCTATTCAAAGGACTAAACAGCTAATTGAAAGATGAAAACTACTAAAATAACCTTACAGAATAAAGTATATACAGTTCAATATATACTTACTTCTGCCCAAAAACGGTAAATGTGTTATGATGTGAGTCAGGTATTGTGTGTCTTGCTGAAATGCTCAGTTAGGTTTAGCAAAGAAAATTGGGCCTCCGTCATATCCATACTTTCCTGTGTGTTCATGACTTTGTCCCCCATCCAGTTCCTACTCCCTCATGATAAGCACATGCTTTATGCCTTTATACTGACTCTGGGGGAATCCTCAGCCTCTCTCATACTGCAATTTTTCAGTGTTGAGACTTGAAGTACAGTCACTTCATCAGCCATTCATATAGTTTAGTTATCCAAGACTCTACAAGCTATTACACAAATCCCTGCAAATCTCAAACTTAATTGCATTTATTTCCACCAAATTGCTCTCAGCAAAAACATTAGCAGGAGCTATGTATTACTCAAGGATAAATTCTCCACTTTCAGGTTGGATTCTCCTCAGTCCTAACACTTTCTGAATTCCACTACTGGAAATAGTCACTGGGCCTGGCAACCTGAGGGTTTGCTACTTACTCATCTCATATCCAGGTTTTTCATGCTTCCCTGTAATTCTGTTTACCTGATTATGTGAACCAGGAAATTGGCTCCTTGGTGCATGTTGAGATTTGTCTGTGGCCCCAGCAGCAGATCCCCTTGTTCCCACACTCCTACAGCCCTGGATGCTGCTGCCATTGCCTCATCTTCTCTGCCTCTTTTATTTCTAATCTGTGACTTGCTTTTTTCTTTTTCTTTTTCCTTTTCATTTCATTTCTTTTCTTTTTTTTTCTTTTTGGTAGAGATGGGGTTTTGCTGTGTTGCCCAGGCTGGTCTTGAACTTGTGGACTCAAGTGACCTGCCTCCCTGGGCTTTCCAAATTACAGGCATGAGCCACTGAGCCTCACCTTCCCTCTTTTATTTCTAAAAGCATAGCAACTTCTTCCAAAATGCTAAGGAACAAAATAACAAAATGTGAATTGCTAAAATGTTGCATGTTCTCGCATGTAAAATACTGGAGCAGGGATCTTTTAGACACTACCTAATGTGTTCTTTCGGCGGTGTGCTTTATTTCAGTTAAACTGTCTCCCCAATTAGCATGCCAAACACATGCATATGTTACAATTTGATTTGGGTGCTATCATTTTAACACAAACTAGCATAGTTTTTTAAAAACTGAATGATTATTGGTTACATACATGGGTGTGATTTTATATTTTGCCAACCAGCTAAAGATGTGTGTAATAGTGAGAAAATGCAGCTTAGTAATAAAGATTTTTGTTTTACAAGACAACGCCCAGAAACATTGCCATGCCACTGCCAGAAACGAGGAGCAGTGTGGCAAAAATCTTAACAATAGGAAAGTCTCAACATTCTCTGGGTTCTCCCAAAATCAAAAGCTAAACAAAGCAAAGCTCTGTGCCAGTGTTCTATGTGGAAGTGCAACCTCAGGGAAGAAGAGTGAAGGGGAAAGGAGAGTGAGGAAGGGAAGGAGGGAAAGCAAATTCCAGGCTGATTGTTACTCTGTCTCATGGGAACCAGCCAACTCGCTGTTTGAAGCCACCATGTCCACCGGGGAGAAGGAGAGCACCCATTTTGTGACCAGGCTTTTCTCCAACTCCAGCCTGTCCCATGAAGGCTTAACGTTCCTACACTTTGGGTTATGGAATTCAGCATCTCTGGGAACTGCTGGAGACCAGCTCCTCCAGGGGTCCAAGCAGGGCGGACCCGCTGCGGGTCTCACTGCAGCAGGTGCATCAGAGATCATGCCTCAGCCTGGCTCTCGTGTCCCACAAATTCCTGGAAGATTACTGCTGTCAGAAAATGAGGCAATGACAGGGATGGTTCCAGTGCTTTAGGACTGTGGGAACAACACAAGCTGCTGCAGGGGCCATGCTAGCCCTAGTGGAATCCTGGGAAGGCAGATGGGTCGGAACAGATGTGAGAAGAGTCATGAGCATGGCCCGATGCATGAGCAGAGCAGTGCGTGCTCATCATTGATCCCTTGCTTGTCGCTATGTAACCTCGAGAAGGTCAGGTCATCTCTTTGTGCCCCAGTGGTTGGAGCTGCAAATCCTCAGACAGGGAGAGGGAAGGAGCCAAACACTGTCCCTGTGTGAAGGAACAGGGCTGGAAGTTCTCCTAGACTCACAATACTGGAAGGTGATATGTGATAATCTGGTCCAATGCCTTCATTTTCTACACAAGAAGCAGTGTAGAGGAGGGCCTAGTTATTTCAGCTATTTTTCAAGTATCTTACACCCATTGAACATTTAGATTTGACAAAGAACTCTCACAGTTATGATCTCATTTGATTCTTTTCACAGCCGTTAAAGTAAACTCAGTAGATATTATGTGTATCTGACAGTACCAGAAATGGAATCTGTGTCTGGACTGCAAAATAAGGATCTTTCTATTACACTTTCTGTCCTATTTTTCTTGCAGTCCTTTTCAGCTGGACGTGGAAAGGCTTTCTAAGGCATTCTAATCAACCTGCACTTTGTTGTCTAAGGAGCCCAATGGTTTCCTTTCTGTTAACTCATCCAGTACTCAGTGGATAATACATTCTAAGTGTTTTAAGTATTTTGGACAATGTGTTTAATCTGTGTTTCCTGGCAGGGAGTCAGGGTGGATTGGCCCAGGTGGTGTTAGTCCCATGAGCTACATTGTGACAGAGGGAATAGCAATTTGTTATTGGCACACATACAAATAGTAAATATCGATTGGGTCCAAAACAGGATGCCAAGAATCAGAGTTGGAGAATCGTATTTGGAGATGAAATATAGCATCTAAGCCAGCAATGTAAGAGGTAGGTTTTAATGGTTAGAGGGCAGAGCCAAGGGTTCAGGTAACAAGAGCCCAAGGAATAGGGAGGTTGAAATAAAAGAGGAGAGAGATCTGAGTAAATGAACAAGAAGAGATGGTGGCAGGTTTTTGACGTGTTCTGAGAATATACAGCATGGCTGGGCTGAGTCCATTTGAAGAGCCAGACACAGAACAAAAATAATGCATTTTCTGCTGTCTAGTGGAAAATTCTCAATTTGATAATTCTTTATTAAGTGCTTACTTTGGCTAAACATTTAAGGTTCGACTCTTAAAGTGCTTACATTGCATGAAGAAATATAAATTGTATACATATTCCTAAATCACAGGATAGTATAAGTTAAGTACCACATGAATAGTATAAACAACATACTCTAGTTATTCAGAGGAATAAGAGGTCTTTGAAGAGAAGAACATCATGCTTTGTGAATATTTATCTGGAGGCAGAATACAAAATAGATTGCAGATGAAGTGACTGAGATAGAGAAATCAGTTAGGAGATTATGGTAATAGTCCAGGCATGAGAAGAGTTTAGTATATGTCTTAGCAGTAAATATGTTTTGGATTTATCCATTTAAGTTCATCTTGTTTGACTTATTTCCTTAAGGAAAAGGGCAAATATGAAGTACATTTAGCTCATTAAGTCCACACGTAACTGAATATCTTTTTTTTTTCTTGAAACGAAGTCTTGCTCTGTTGCCCAGGCTGGAGTGCAATGGTGCGATCTCGGCTCACTGCAACCTCTGCCTCCCGGGTTCAAGCAATTCTCCTCCCTCAGCCTCCCAAGTAGCTGGGATTACAGGTGCCCGCCGCCATGCTCAGCTCATTTTTGTATTTTTAGTAGAGACAGGGTTTCACCATCTTGGTCAGGCTGGTCTGAATATCTTTTGAGTCAACCTCTCTTCATATACTGGATGTTGCTTTGTTCAGAAGGGCTGGAAATTAGCAGGCAGGTGCCAAATAAAAGAGCAATTGTTTTTGGAGGAGATGGTATGGTAACATATTTGTGCCTACATAAATTTTGAAATCAGACACATCTGAATTCAAACTCCAAATGTGTTTACCAGTTTGTAATCTTGGGTAAATTACTTAAAAGTTATCTGAACCTGTTTTCTCATCTGTAATATGGGAATAATAATATCAACCTAGTTGTCTTAAAGTAAAATTTAAATGAAAGTGCATTATAGCTATCTCTCTGGACAGCCAAAACTCTAGAAATATAAACTCTTGCTACTGTACAATTATTTAACAGGTCACATTTCTGAGTCATCTTACAGGCTAATGATGACTCTGGAAGATGAGCTGTAACTGTGGAGCTCATGGAACTACATTGGGCAAGACTGTATCCTTTTCCTATTATGCATAACTGAAGTTGTTGTGAAAACAAATATTGCATCCATCTATTTCATGCCATGAAGTTTACTTTAAAATCGTGGTAAGTTCCTCATTTTTATACTTGAAACTAAGACTATCAACTCAATAACATATATATCAACACAAAATAATGTTTAAATTCACGTTACCTTTCTTAACAGCTCTAACACTTAAAAATAGTTTTGAAAGGTTTAAATGAAAATACCAGGTACAAAAGTGTATGTTTGCCTTAGCATCTTTTTGAAGGGATTTCTTCTGTGTGTGTCTGTGTGTGAACATGTGAATGCACATAGTTTTGCTGATTAGATCTAAGACATGTCTGAGAATAATTAGGCCTCCAAGAATGTGGAAGAGGATTACCTGTTTCTCCTTAGTTTCATGTGACTAAACCCAATGAAGAAGATAATATCCCTGAAAACACTTTGATGCAGAATTTAGGCTATGAAGGAGGAGGGGGACACGCAAAGCCGAGAGAGACAGAGGTTTGTTAACAGAAGTGGTTGGTATCCGTCGGGTGTTCTGGTCTTTTACCCTGTGATGGCTAAGTAAAATAGACATCTAATGGAATTCAACTGTCACCTTTGGCATTTGCAAGCCCTTCATTAGGGAATCTTTATCCATTCTTCTTCTTCTTTCCTGACCCCCATAACTGGCTGTAAATATCAGCACCCATATACACACAAAGACAAAAATTCTTAGATTAATATCAATCTGAGATTACAAAGCCATTTATTTTTATAAAACAGCATTGGGATTGACGTGGTTTGGCTGTGTCCTCACCCAAATCTCATTTTAAATAGCAGTTCCCATAATCCCCATGTGTCGTGGGAAGGACCAGGTGGAGATAATTGAATTGTGGGGGTGGTTTCCCCCATGCTATTCTCATGATAGTGAATGAGTGCTCATGAGATCTGATGGTTTTATAAGGGGCTTTCCCCTACTTCATTCAGCACTTCCCCTTGCTGCTGCCATGTGCAGAAGGACGTGTTTGCTTCCCCTTCTGCCATGATTGTAAGTTTTCTGAGGCCTCCCCAGCCATGCTGAACTGTGAGTCAATTAAACCTCTTTCCTTTATAAATTACCCAGTCTCGGGTATGTTTTTATTAGCAGTGTGAGAATGGACTAATATAGAGATTCATCCAGAAAACAAAAATGAATTATCTACAAGAACCTACGGTTTTAAACAAATGTCAAAACCCCCTCTTCTATGAGAAGAATGAGGAAAAACTTTAACATATAAAAATATAACTTTTTGGGCCAAATCAGGAAAACTTCAAAAACATGGTAAACCTGTTGGTTTGCAGCACATCTCCAGGAAGCATCCTTCAGACCCATTGGCTCCAGTTTGAGGGGATAGTACAGAAAAGAACAACAACAAAAGAAACTCCCTGAAAAAACTGGCTTATTAAACAACTCACTGAATACTAAGGATAAGGCTTAGTGATCTGTGACTCTACCAGGCACAGACCACCTAGCTTGCATCAGCAAATGCCTTTGATTAGCCTGGCCAGCAGAAATAACCTACTGAGCCTTGAGTAGACGTGGCAGACAGAAATCTAAACATCACCCAAAGCAGTGAAGTCCCAGGCATTAATCTTCAACAAATATTTATTGAAATCTGGCAGTCCAGACATGCTTATTCCAGGAGAAGCTGACAAGTAAAAGAGGGAGAAAGAGAGACAGGCATGCGACCAAGCACAGTTTATTTTCACAAGCTGCATGCTAGCGAACAAAGACCTAGGAGAGCACATCAAAAAAGGCAATATGTTCTGGCTGGGGGCTTGGAGCAGTCTGGAAGAACTCACAGAAGTGATGACATTCAAAGAAGGCCTGAGGAAGTAAAGAAATTCACCGGGCAGAGAAAGAAGGGAAGGACATTTTACATCAGAGTGGGAACAGCACGAGCATATCATGGCAGCGAAGAGCATATGGCACTTTTATGATAGAACGTAAGATGCAGAGGTGGGAAGGTGGCAGAGGACATTCAAAAGTGACGTTGCAGTCATATTCTGAGGGATCTGACAGATGAGCTGTTAAGAAATATGGACTCTGTTCTATCAGTATTATGAAATCATTGAATCATTCATTCATTGAAATGGTATTTTCGGAGGACTTACTATGTGCTAAGTACTGTGTCAGCCTCTGAAGATTAAAATAAAAAGGAAGGCCCTCCAGGGACTCACAGTCTGGTAGGGAGAAAGGCAGGCAAACAGTCACAGTACGGTAAGTTACATGCGAAGACAAAGGGGGTTGTACTGCGGAATTGGGGAGATGAGATTTAGTCTGCCTAAAAAATTCGGGAAGAATCACATAGACTACTATGTACACAGGTTTTTGTGAGTGCTGGGAACTGTTGTACTGCACATGTGCGTATATTCATTTAATTGAACAACCACGCATGAGGTAGGTTCTCTCGTATTCTCATCCTGGTCTTATGTAGGTTGAGACAGAAAAGAGAGTTTCAGTGAGTTGTGTGTTCACATGGCTTGTGGGCAGTAGAAGCAGGATTTTAAGCTGGCAGCCTGGTTTCAAGCCTGGACATTTAAAGACTGCACCCTATTGTCTCTTCAGGAAAAGATTAATTTGATATGAGATTTAGGGTGAGAAAGTTGCCGGCCTTTTGCCTTCGTTCTTTTCTCCTGTCCCTTCCTCTACCTGTCTCCTTCTTTCTCCCTTCTCTCTTTCTTGCTTTCTAAATCCCAAACTACATTCCTCCAAATCCCAGGATTCTCAGAGGTAGGGGCGTGTGTGTGTGTGTGTGTGTGTGTGTGTGTGTGTGTGTGTGTGTATTTAAGTAGACGAGCGAGGCAGTTGGTCGGGGAGGTTCAGAGTCCAGGGAAGTCTCTTCAGCTCTTTGATCCTCACTTCCCAGTTTATGAAGTCAGGGTGGAAAGTGGATCAGAGGAGATGGCCTCCGAGGATCCCTAAGACATTTTGTGCTTGGAACACAAGCTCAACAATGAAATAAAGCTGCTTCCAAAGTAATAATGAGGGAATGCTAATACCTTTCAAGGAAGGAAAGTGTATTATCATCTGCTGAATGTGAAAGAGACTTGGAAACAATAGCCGGTAATCTGCAGGGCCTCCTAGAGATAAATTCTACAGTTTAAAATGAAGGCACCCCTCAAACACGGTGAAATACATGAAATTGAAATGGCACCACACACCTCTCTCAGCACCTATCCTACAGCCTACTCTTTCTTCCAGCTAGCAATCAGCTCATTCCCGTGGATGTGCTAAGTGATGACAGCAGGGAGATTTACTGGTGATGAGGAACTCTTAAACATCAAAAAAACCTCTAAGATCAGAGGGAATAACGGGTTAGTAGAGTGAATCCAGGCATGGTGATGGGCATGAGACAGATACTTGAGAGAGAGGAGTTTGCATAGCACCATTAAATTTATATCCCGTGGAGGGCTCCTAATATGTCTACGTGTACTGCAAGCCCTCCACAGCCACTGTGAATCCTCTGCGTGATGAGGTGGGGCATAACAAAACAAATTCTTTAATTAACCTATTAATATAGTTTGAATATTTTTCCCCACCCGAATCTCATGTTGAATTGTAATCCCCAGTGTCGGAGGTGGGGCCTGGAGGGAGGTGTTTGGATCATGGGGACAGATCCCTCAGGAACAGCTTGGGCCATCGCCTTGGTGATAAATGAGCTCTCTTTCTGAGCTCTCAGGAGATCTGACCATTTAAAAGTGTGTGGCCCTTTCCCTCCCCCAACTCGTTCTCTCTCTCTTGCTCCTGCTTTTGCCATGTGAAGTGCCTGCTCCCCCTGTCCCTTTCACCATGAGTAAAAGTTTCTGGAGTTCCCCCAGAAGCAGATGCTGCTATGCTTCCTGTACAGCCTACAGAACTGTGAGCCAATTAGATTTCTTTTCTAGTAAATTACCCAGTCTCAGGTGTTTCTTTATAGCAGTGCAAGAATGACCTAAGGCACCTATACATTCACATGCTCAGAAAAACTTCAGGATTTCCTGGGAAGACAAACTTGTATTTCAAAAATAAACTTTGGAGCTTGAAAATAAAAGCAGTTTGCTCCTTTCCTGCATTTGGAGGTGAGCCTACATCAGCCCGTGGCCATGAAAACAGGCTCCTGGGAGTTGGTTGGTTTCACAGGATACTGATGGTGGAGAATGACTCCCAGGCCACCAGCACAGGTGCAGGAAGCACAGGCAGTTCATGTTGGAGGGGGGTGTTCATGGCAAAACCTACCAGGGGATTACAAAGTAATACAACCTCATTTATAAAGAAAAGATAAATACAGTGATCTTCAGGCATTTGCTTCAGTGCAGTAAAATAGAAACTCAGTAGCCTTGTTGGCCATAAGGTGAACACAGAAAAGTCCCTTCATCTCTACTAATGTTTTGTTGCCCTAGACATGATGGTTTGCTGGGGAGGAATTTTGTACTAAAAAGCCCCCTTCTTGTTTCTTTTTCAAATCCGGGAAAGGAAAAATTACACATAAGGAGATTGGGTTTCAAAAATTCACAGGTTTAAGTATCAGTTAGCTTTTGCTGAATAACAAACAGCCCCAGAAATTTGTGGCTTAACAAAACAACCATTTACTTAGCTCATGATTCTGTAGGTCAGTAATTTCAGCTCATCCAGGTGACCCTTTGGGTCTTGACTGGGCTCCCTCATGTGTCTAAGGTCAGCTGCCAGATGGGCAGCTCAGCCACTGGGGGCTTCTGGCTGTCAGCAGGGCCAGCAGAAAAACTGCAGGATAGCCTGGGCATGCATATAAGGAGGGGGAGAATTGTGCCTATTTTTGCAACTAACACTGATACTATTGTGTGCCTCTATAATAAGACACAAAAATATTGAGGGTGGAAAAGAAGACAGAAATCTTGACATTACAGCTATTTCTTTATTACTGTTCTTACTGACAGAATCAGTTTCACAAGAAGCTTATTTTCTTTTCACCAGCCTAAATCACCTTAGCATATAAGATGATATAAAATAATATATATTATTATCTATTATGTGTATATAGGAAGAAATATATTAAATATATAGTTGGATTTATATATTATAGAAATATATAATGGATTTCTATATTATAGAAATATATATTTATATGTTTACTATATTTCTGCTTTAATATGTATTTAAAATCTTTCTTCTCAATTATAAATATAATAATTATTATATATTATATATTATAATTCTTATTATAAATATATTAAGAAATAAATTTCTTAATATATAAATAAATATATTAGATGAAATAAATGTATATATTATGTTAATGTAAATATATATCTATATATTATTTAAATCTATTATATATAGTGTGTAGTATTACATTAAAATATACTTTTAGCTTGTTTTCCTTTCTTCCTATGACTTCACCTTACCATTGTCTTTCTAGTCACTTCCATCTAATGTCAAGATTGGGCTATCATTGGAGAGAAAAGAGGGATCAAATTAAAGATTAACATGTATAATTCCTGCTAGCAATGGAATTGTTCATTTAATGCTTAGAAAACATAAACAATTTGTTCAAAGTTGTTTAAATGGGGAAAGAGTACTAAACCCCAACATCTTGATTGTTAGTTTAATGCTCTATTCTTTATACCATGCTGATTGCCTGAGCTGATTTTTATGAAATCAACTTAATGATGTAGTTATTTTATTTTTCAGGGGGCCAGAGTGTTCATGAACGCAGTCTCAGGTCTGAAGGAGAGCTCTGTGCTAGAATAAAACAAAATCACCCAGTAGATCAGAATCTACTCACGAATGCTCCACGTGGCTAATGCTGCTTGCTGGTTTCCGTTGCTCTCGTCAGCTTTGGACCCTCCCCCTGTACTGTTGGCGAGAGTTCTTGGGGGGTTTCGGGGACATTGTAGCTGGCAGTAGTGTTCATGCCTCTACTTTACTGGCAGTAACAATTAGAATTGGTCCAGGCTGTACAAAAGAGAAATCCACAAATACCAATTGCATGAGCATCATTTTCTCATGAAACTTTTCTCGCATCACAGAAGATGAGTTAGGCAGACAGGGCTGGGAAGGGAGGCTCGTAGGTTCATTAGCAACCCAGATTTTGTCTATCTGCAACTTTAGCTTGTCATTTCTATCCTCAAGGGCATCATAAGCTTTTAAAGCTCCAGCCATTCTACCTGCCATCCAAGCAGTGAGAAGAGGAGAGAGAGAGGAAGACAAATAGGAGAAGAGCTTTCTATACAGCATTCCTGGATGTCTCGTCCAACATTTGTTGGATGTTATTGGATGTTCCATCATACTTGTGGGCCAGGACTTAGTTAAATGGCTACACCTTGCTACAAGGAAGTCTGGGAAATACAGTCTTTCAGCTGGATACATCCCCCTGGCCTGAATAAAAGCTGGGTTCTCTTACAAAGCACAAAAAGGGGATTGAATATTGGTTAGGCACCTGTCAATCTTTCATATCAGCCCACGTGAGATAGCCAGGGTTTGGTGAAATAAAATGCTGTTTCTCCTCAAAACACTTCTCTCTTCCTGATTGGGGAGGGACCCTGTTCTCTGCAGAGAAATTCTTTCTCATGACAGGGCCAACATGTCTGCCAAAAGACAGCAATAGGACTTCCCAATCATTCTATATATTTAAGGGAGACTTTTTAAAAACTACAATACGGTTGAACTCATGTGATTTTTTTTTTTGCCATGAAGTTTCTTGTTAAGCATTGAACATTTAAAAGTAAATTTTGACTAATGTGAAATAAAAGAATGTTACTTGAAGCAACAAAAAATGCTAAGTATCATTAGTCATTAGGAAATGCAAACTTTAATGAGATACCATTATATACCTACTGAACTGGCTACAATGAAAAATACTGACTCTGGTATTTTAAAAGATTGTTTATTAACAGTTGTCCAGGGGAGCAATTGGAACCCATGTCATTGCTGGTGGAGAGACGAAATTGTACAGCCATTTTGGAAACCTGACTGGTGGTTTTAAAAGATTAAACTCATTCTTACCATATAACTCCAAAATTCTGCTTCTAGGCATTTAGTTCTTTCCACACAAAGTCTTGAACACCAGTGTCCATAGCAGCCTCAAACTAGAAGAACAGGTGTGTCAGCAGGTGAATGTGCATCAACAGGTGAACAGATAAACAAATTGTATGACAGCCACACAAAGGAATATTACTCAGCACTAAAGAGGGTTGAACTTCTGCCATATGCAATGAAAGTGGTGAATCTCAAAAATGTTAAATTATACTAAGCAAAAGAAGCTAGACACAAGAGTACACACTGTATTCTTCCACTTACAGAGCATTCTGGAAAAGGAAGAATTATTGCAAGAGAGAGCAGATCATTTGTTACAGTAGGCCAAGGGTTGAGGAGACTGATGACAGTGTAATAAGAATGTTCAAATCTTAATTGTGGTGGTAATTATATGAGTATATTATTCGTCAAAATTCATTGAATCGGGTGTAATTTATTGTTTGTAAGTTATACATGAATCAAGCTGATTTTCAAAAGTGGCATCAGGATACTCCGTAAAAGAAGTTACCCACTTGCCCCCAAATAGTCTGTCATTAGCAAGCCTCTTGGTGTCCACTCCAGAACCACATGACCCCTATTAGCTCAGGGATCCTGGACTGCAGAGAAGAACTCCACTTTCCCCAGGAGCTCGGAGCAGTGCAGGTAGTGCCCCAAGGTGCTAAGTGTGTGTCATGGACCGAATTGTGTCCCTTATATTGTGTCCCCATATATTGAAGCCCTAAACCGCAGTACCCCAGAATGTGACTATATTTGGTGATAGGGCATCTTAACAGGTGATTAAGCTGAAATGACACCATTAGATTGTGTCCTAATCCGAGCTGACTTATGCCCCTATAGAAAAAAATATTAAGACACAAGAGACACCAGCAAAATGCACAAAGCAGGAAGATGACTTAAGGTCACAGGGAGAAGGCAGCCATCTACAAGCCACAGAGAGGTCTCAAAAGAAATCTACCCTGCTCACCCTTTGATCTTGGACTTCTAGCCTCCAAAACTGTGAGAGAACAAACTGATGTTGTTTAAGCTACCCAGTCTGTGGTATTTTACTATGGCAACCCTTGGAAACTACTACAGTGTATATTTGAGAGTGGTTAATGAGACAAATCCTTCAGCTGATGTAATGGGAAATTAGCCAGGGGCTGCCTGAAAATTAATTTCTGAGTAGACACCACCCAAAGGACTGTGTGCATGATCATAGCTGTTTCTTTAAACTCTATCTAGCAAGAGTCATGAATGACAAGACTGTCAAATGTTGGGCATAGAAGTGACTACTGGACGCAAGGTATGCAAATGGGCTAAACTCTGGGGCCAGGATGACTCCTGAAGTTTAATGACAGCATCATGTGAACTGCTTACTCCCAGGTCCTAGACATCGTGTCCAAGTGGGGGTTGTACCAGTTTTAGAAAAACTCTAAAGAAATGAGCTATCTGCTTTATACCACTGCGTCTGTCTTTGCATATATTCTTAGGAGATTAGTAAAATCTCTATGACTATTGAAGTGCAGGTGAGCTTGTGGTATAGGTTAAAAGCAACAATTATAGTAACATGGAGATGGGAATGGAAATGATCTTAACTGTGTGGTGTTGACTCATTAAATCAGCTTTTCCCCAGGCCCCACACTTGACTAGGTCCTAGAAGGTCAAATGCATTTGGGAAATGCTACATATTCTAATGTCCTCTTGCAGATTCACAGAGGATATTTGCACATTAAAGAAATTAAAGAGTGCTGTATTTTAAAACTCAAAGACAGTATTTCCCAAACCCTCATGATCAGAACCCCCTTTTTCTCCCCTACCTTTTGTTTCTCACATAGGACATTTTACAATTCCATGAAATGTACCTTAGGAAATACTACATTAAATGAAAAGTTGATTAAATCGCTACAGATGTACTTTCCAAAGGTCACTGCTATATTGGTGTCACATGCATGAAGTGATAACATGCTGATAGGTTTTATGTATGCATTTTACCTTAATTCAGTAATTTTATTTCTATGAAGGTAAGATATGGATGCACATTCAAATACAAAAATTAGTTTCTACATGTAAGGTTAATTTTACAGAGTATAAATTTCTAATTTGCATTCATAATTTGTCCATTTGCAGATGCAAAATTTGGTACCAAAATGATCATGTAGGAAAGCAGTCCGATGCTGGCAAAATAAACTACTCTGGGTATAATTAGCCACCTGGCATTCAATAAGTGCAGTTGACTAACTGGCTGGCTTACAAGTGGAGGCTGGAACTATTTCACTCTGTTTCCTCCCTGATACCATTTGCGGAGAAAATTTTTTAGGCTTAATTTTAAGGGCAAAAATAGGAATACGAGGAAAACATATGAAATCTCCCAAAAGTAGTTGCTTGGTCATCCAGGCTAGAGTGCAGTGGTGGTAACACGGCTTATTGCAGCCTTGACCTCCTGGGCTCAGGTGATTCTCCTGCCTTAGCCCCCCAAGTAGCTGGGACTACAGGCAAGTGCACCATGCCTGGCTCATTTTTGTATTTTATTGTAGAGACGGGGTTTTGCCATGTTGCTCAGGCTGGTTTCAAAATCCTGAGCTCAAGCGATCCTCCTTCCTTGGCCTTCCAAAGTGCTGGGATTACAGGCGTCAATCACCTTGCCCTAAAATAATTTAATGACTGGCAGAAACTTGTTTTGGCCTAAGCCATTTAAAAAACTTTCAAAAGTACAAACAACGTATTTGCTATAGCATATTTATTCCATAATTTTGGTTTTCCTTGTCAGAAGAATATATAGTTTCTCCATATTTATCTGAAAGGGATAGATATTTAACCTTGTTGAGGGGCACTTAAATGTAGTTCCATGATTTATTTTTGTGTTTATGTCTTTAATTTTAAGATCAGTTCATTACGATCATTGATTGATTCCTGCCAGTGGCTTTGGAAAGCACATGCCTATTAAGTCAATAAAGGAACAATGCTAGGATGACCTGAATATAAATATTTAATTAGTTCAAGTATAATCTTGGTGCGGCTTGCTTTCTTAGATCTGGATATGTCTGTGTTTACATAACCATGTAAAAGTGGCCAAAATATGCTTTTCGAAGTTATAGGCAGCTGGTTATGTTCCCTAGTGGCACTCAGAATTCCCAGCTGTTCTGGTACTAAGCCAAGTGTAACCCTGAATTTGATTAGAAACATTAATATTAGAAAAACTGACTACGTGATTATGTCCAACACTAGGCATTACCACAGACCTCGGACAACTCCAATGAGAAAGAAAAAGTCAATTGAATGAGAAAAGAGTAAAAAGAATCAGAGTTAGGAAGCTCTTAATAGTCCACAGTTTTACCGAGTAGACATTAAGTCTTATACCCCTTATCCATTATGTGCAGAAATAACATTACTTCTATCCAGTGTATGTGAGGATGTATAAAAATTTACTTAGATTTTGCATGAAGTCATAACAGACATAAAACACATACCAAAAATTTAGACATTTCTTCCATATCATTTAGGATAGCTGAGAAGTCCGTATCATTTTCAATGCTACCAATGGATGACTGGAAGAAAGGAAAGAATTGGCAGTTTGGACTTCACGCTAGGGGTAAGAGGATTTTCAAAGGGGTTCATTAATTTTAAAAAATGCTTACAATATTGCCTCCACTGAAATGTGTTTATAATTACTCAATCACTATTTTGTGGTTGCAGTGATTTTGAAATATGTAATATGCTTTACACTGGTGCCCTACTGCATGTAGACTCTACTCCAGCTGCTCATTGGAATGGCCAAGCAGGGCTGAGAGTCATGGCTCATACCTGTAATTCCAACACTTTGGGAGGCGGAGTCAGTCAGATCACTTCAACTCAGAAGTTCAAGACCAGCCTGGGTAACGTGGCAAAAGCCCAACTCTACCAAAAATTACAAAAAATTAGCCTGGTGTGCTAATGCATGCCTGTGGTGCCAGCTACCTGGGAGGCTGAGGCAGGAGAATTGCCTAATCCTGGGAGGCAGAGGTTGCAGTGAGCGAAGGTGGTGCCACTGCACTCTAGCCTGGGTGACAAAATGAGACCTAGTGTCAAAAAAAAAAAAAAGGGAAAAAGAAAAAGAATGTCTCAGGGGCCTTTGAAAGGACACCCAGGTACTCCACTACCTCTGCCAGAATAATTAAACCCTCACAGAGGGTAAGCACCAGGCAGGCCTCTGCATTTTCCAAAGATCTGTCTACCCTGCCCTGTGATTCTGTGACCAGAGGGAATGTAGGACTGCTGGACTATAATTCTCAACATTAAAGAATTATCCCATGCAGCCTCATGAATGCTAACCAATAATATTTATGTCTATTTGAGACACTCTTCATTAGAACAAGCTAATACACATTTTAAAAAGTAAATGATGTGCTTGAGTGGATCACAAGGGAAAATCCTAAAATACCCCCAGTAATTGCCCTCATCAGTTTGCCCTAGATTAATTTTCAAAAAATTGAAATGCATATGTTAATGTGATATAAGTCTATGTAAATTATATAACCACATACTTAGCATCTTGAGGTTCTTTGCTAAGTTTCTCTTAAGCTATAGCTGTGAAGCTAAAAATTCTAAAACTGGCTGCAGAGGGAGGATGGTTTCCAATTAGGGTGTTTTCTCTTAACTAAATCATTAAGAGCTCAGTTGATTTTAACAGCCTGTGGGTAAGAAAAGAGAAAAATGGTAATGTCCTCATTAGGGAATAATATGTTCATGCAGGAAAAGAATTAAGAATTCACAAAGATGAAAGAAAGAGAAATGGAAATGGTTTCTAAAGTATGATAGCTCTTTAGTGGAATTCTGTTCCATGCCATCACTTAAAGAGATGAAGAAGTTTTGGCTTCTTCATATATTTGATATTAATCCAAAGTGGTTCATTCTAATTCAGAATGTATCAACTCATTTAGATCTATAGAGATTCAAGGAAAAAACATGTATTGGAAGTAAAATATATTCTCTACAATGTATTCTTTTTTTGTACTAAATAACTGTCCAAATATATTCATAGAGTGAGTTTACTTAGCTTTGACTTTGAGTCACTTAAAAGGGTACACAGTTATTCCAAATATTGCTTATTAAGCTTTAGGCTTTTCTCTAGTTTTTGGCTTCCTTTTTGGATCATATTTGCCCCAGCTACTTTGGGAGATTACGAAGCCTCACACAACCAACTGCAGATTTAACTATTTTAGAATATTATTTATCAGCTGAAAATAATTTTAGGCCAAAAATTCTTGAAACCAGAAATCTCTTTGAATGTGCCAGATTAATTTCAAGGATGAGCTATTCATTGACAGTGTTCTATAAAGGATTGTGGGTTAATTAAATAACTCATCTGATAGAAATCCTGGAATTCAGAGGACACAGTTAATCCAACTTCAAAGAATATGAAAAAATAACATAAACAAGAGGAAATGGAAAATAAATGAACATAAAATGATGCCATAGTTTCCTCCTATAAACTGGTCATGGTTCTTTTCAAATGTCACTTGGTGTCTTTTTCATATTTAGGATGAAAAGATAAGACAAAAGCAGAAAACCCACTCAAGTAGTTAAGTTTCAATGATATTTAAAAGCAGAAGACTACAACAGAATGCTGATGTGGCAGAGTTTAGAAAAGACATGTGCCTCGAGACAGATGTCCAGTTAACAAAAGTTGCCCTTTGTTGTTTTGGTTTTTTGATTCTGTTTCATCCCGAAGGCTCAGGAAAGAAGACAAGAATATTTATGAAAGGAAACAGATCCTACCCAATGATCTCTCAACAACCTTTATTACATTAAGATATCCTTGATGAAAGAGCCAAGTTGACAACTCCGAGACATTTAGGAAAAAATGTGATCAGATTTGAGACTTACCGCAAGAGGCTTCCCATGCAAGATGTAGAGTGAGCCCCAGGTCTCTCTGAAAATTACCAAAAAGATATTTTGAAAAGTATACAACCGTACATGTGCCGTTAGTAGCCCAGAAACATTAAGGAATACCTAGAAGATAGAAGTGGATGGATAAATTTAATGCAAAAAGAAGAGGAAACTGTAGCTAAAGTTTCTGTAGTTAAAGAAATAACACTACCAAGAAGAAGCAAATCTTTGAGGAAAACTGAGAACAAGTAATAGAAAGACCAAGGTGAAAAATCCTCATTACTAATTTCAGAGAAAATAGAATTTGTTCCATAAACAGAATAGAACCTTAAAAATGGTCACAGTGTCTCAGAGAGACTCTGATCTAGAGGATATCACAGTAAAACATGTGAGAACAGGTTATTTGCTTATTTGTTAATTCACCAATTTGACAAATGTGTATTAGTGTCTATCACGTGCCAGGCACCATTCTAGATGTCAGGGATAAGGGAGTAACCAAAACAGAAAAAAATTTCTGCCTTCTTTAAAATTAAACAAGGGCATGATATCCACCAATTAATCAATAAGATGTGGTATATCATCAGTACATAAAATATTATGGAGAAAAATAAAGCAGAGAATGGAGTAAGAGAGTGAACAGTAGGGTTGGAATCTTAAATAGAAGGGCCACAAAAGACGTCGCTGAGATCTGAATGAATTGGGGAAGCAAGTCACACACATATCTGGAGGAAGAGTATTCCAAGTCTAAAGGAGAAGTGCAAACGCCCTGGGGTGAGTGTGGTTGAAATAGAGTGAGGGAGAAGGTGATGTGTCGAAGACATGATAAAAGAAATAGTGGGGGTCCCTATCAAATAAGACTTAGTAGGCCACGGCAAAGACTTCAAATTTTATTCTGAATGAGATGGGAAGCCACTGGAGTATTTTAGGCAGAGGAATGCAGTGACGTTACTTACATTAAAAAAAAAAATCACTCTGAACTTCTTCTAGGTGGAGAACAGACGCTGGGGACAGGGAGGGCAAGGGATACGAGGAGTTAGGTTATTTTCATAGTCAGTTGAAGGCCGGGCGTGGTGGCTCGTGCCTGTAATCTCAGCACTTTGGGAGGCTGAGGCGGGTGGATCACAAGGTCAGGAGTTCAAGATCATCCTGGCCAACAGGGCGAAAGCCCATCACTACTAAAAATAAAAAATTAGCCGGGCGTGGTGGCACGCACCTGTAATCCCAGGTACTCAGGAGGCTGAGGCAGGAGAATCGCTTGAACTCAGGAGGTGGAGGCTGCAGTGAGCCAAGATTGCGCCCCTGCACTCCAGCCTGAGTGACAGAGCGAGACTCTGTATCAGAAAATAAACAGATAAAAATTAAAACAGCCCAGTTGAGGGGTGATGTGACTTAGATCTGGACATTATAGATAAATAAACTTGGTGAGAAGTAATTGAATTCTGGCTAGGTGGAAGTTTGAATAAAGTGTGCTTGGAACTAAAAATATATGATTTCCTGAAACATACATATATAGGTTCGTTTATACATACATCAGTGGATGGGCTGAATTTAAAAACTAGACAATTCATCACACTACTCAGAATGGAAAAAAAAACCGGAGATAAAATTATTAATCTAGAAGGCAAAGTTAAGGAAACATCCCGTTATAGTACCCAAAGACAAAAAGATTAAAATTTAAAAAAACTTTAAAAGCCATAAAGGATAGATGCAGGGGATTAAAAATATATCCAATAGGAATTTTCAGCAAGGAAGAACAGGGAAAAGAGGAGAAGAAATAAGGAAGTAACAGAAAGAAAACTCTTGGAGATTAAAAAACAGAACAGGAATCTTCCAACTGGAATTTCAAACACTAAGCCAGGCTAAGGAAAACAACAAAAAGCTTCTTGGACAGAGAACTCTAGAGAGAAAGCAAGGTCTCTTATAAAGGAATGAGAACAGACTAGCATCAAACTTCTAACTGGAAACCCTAGGTATTATACATTAAAAAAAATTCAAAGTTCTGAGGGAAAAAAATATTTTGATTCTAGAATATCTTCATTCAGTCAAAATAATCAAATGTGAAGGCAAAACAAAACACTTTCAGACATGAAAATTATCATCTTGGGCACATGGATGAAAATATCGCTCTACAGTGCTTGTTAGGAACAATGAAAGGTCTGAGAGTTTACCCTGCTTGCAGCTCAGTTAGTCTACCAATTTCAGAGATGCTGGCAGAAGAAATGAGACTCCCAGTCAGAGACAAACAACTTCATTATTCACCGCACAGCAGGCAGCATGAGCTTCCTGTTTGCATTGGTACCTTTGTGCCTCCATAGGGGAGACGCAGGGCTGCCCGGGCTGGTGCTGTGTTTACAGTGGGTCTGCATTCACAGCCAAGGATCCCTGAGTTTAGGAAACCCCCAATCTTAAGAAGTCTGCCAGTAAACCCAGCCAACTTTTCCTATGGAGGAAGAAGCTATCTTTATTATCCTGGTCAGGAATCAAACTTGCTCTCTGCCTCAGAGGAAGACACTAATCTTGCTGTACAAATGTCCTTGAAAAGAGAGTCTTGGATAACACATGGAGAATTGCCTCCCACCCCTGCAACAATATTCTAGCGAGATAAAGGAAGAATCCAAGAAAGAGGACAATACAGGATACACTTATGTAAAAATTAGTTACAGTTGAATATGACCAGGAGAAATGTATAACATTAGAAAGAAAATAAAATGGAATTGCTGTGAGATGGTTGGAAGACACTCCCTTGACCAGCAGAGTTTAAGTTGCATAGCATTACGTTTACATTTCATTCTATCTGGCTTATGGATGGAACCACATTCTAATTCTATGATGAATAAAGTTTGCATGACTTTTTAATGTGATAAATAATATTTATTTGGTTTGCTTATTCATTTTTTTTTAAAGATTCAACCTTCAGACCAAATCTGGAAGTTCTAATTACAAAACACAATTGCAGCATTACAAACTTAAACTTCCACAGCCAGATGTGACAAAATAAAAAGGATAAAACTTAACTTCCCACCACAAAAAACTAGACAAAAAGGTATGAAAAAATTGTTTCAGACACTGACCAGCAGGCAGCCCAGGACTATGATCTCTAAAAAAGGGGAAAAAAAAAGGAAGCCCTATGATAGTCCCATATTTCTGCAAGCAATTTCCCAAATAAGGCGTAGGTAGGGGAATTCCAAACAGGGCCCAGTGGCCTCAGTGGGTTGAGGAGACAGAGATCAGGGTTAGGAGAGGTTGAGGTAGTCAGAGTTTGAAGGGCAGAGACACAGAAAAGAACAGAGTGATACCGAAGTGAAATTACAGAAATCTGTGCAGTTATGCTGCAGAGTCTTTGCTGACTACTGGGCCATGCCTGCATAGAGGACCTCTCTACAAAGTAGTGCAAAAAATGACTAGGTGAGCTGAACATTTCCAAGATCTCACAGCAGAGAGAAGTTCTAGATCAGAAAGACCAGAATGGAGAGTACTCAGTGATCCCTTAGGACACTTAGTAAAGACCTCAGATGGGTCACTTGTTGGCAGTAACAGAAAGGCTGCACTATTCCTGGAGTAAAACATACTGCATGCTTCTGCTACCAAAAGCTTAAAAAACAGTCCCTGAAGGATCAACTGCCATGTGTGGAAGTTAACTGCATGCCAAAACACAGTTCAGCTCTCTTAAAAGGAAAACAATACAATTTAGAGACTTAATAAAAATGTGCAACCTCTAGACTTACTAGATACACCAAGAAGCAGGAAAATGCAACACATTACCAGAAGAAAAATCAGAAAATAGAAACAGACCCAGAGATTATTGCATTGATAGAGTTACCATACAAGGACATTAAAATAGATTTTATAACTATGTACAAGTATTTAAAAGAAATACGTTCACATTGAACAGAGAAATGAGAGACATAAAGTAGAAGAGAATGGACCTTCTGGAGATGAACACTACAATATCTGAAACAACAAGATAGCTGGATAACATTAATAGCAGATTAGACACTGAAGAAGAAAAGAACGATGAACTTGAAGGAATAGTGATAGAATCTATCCAGAATGTGGCCCATAGAGTGGGGAAAATTCTGAAAAAAAAATGAGAAGAGCCTCAATGACCTGTGAGACAATATTCAATAGTCTAACCATGTATACCTGGTGTTCCAAAAATAGAAAAGAAGAGGAAGCAGAAAAAAATTTGAGGAAACAACGACCAGAAAATTTCCAGATTTGTTGAAAACTTTAAACTCATAGATCCAATCTGTCTTGAATAGATTAAATACAGTGTCCTTTCTCTCTCTCTGTTTCTCTCTCTGCCTATAACACACATACACCCCGAGTCATTTCATAATCAAATGACTGAAAATCAGTGGTAAAGAAAAAAAAATCTTAAAAGCAGAGATAGTTATATCAGCATTAAAAGGAGACATGGAATAATTTCTTAGAACCTTGAAATAGAAAAGGCCTTTCTAAACATGACATGAAATTCAGAAACCATTAAAAAAAGTTGAAAAATTTGAAAATACTCAGTTCTGTGAAAATGATACCATGTTTGCAAATGGTTTCATTTTTCTCCTGGGTGTGAAGAAGACTATATTTCCCACCTCTCTGACAATTTAGGCCAGTGGAATATGGACTGCATTGACATACACCATTTCTAGGACTGGCCCATAAAAGTCTCCCATGCACGATCACAGTCCTCTCCTCTTTCTCCTTTTACAATAAACTTGGAGGTTTCCTGTTGATAATGGCAGTGTCACAGATGGAAAGAGCCTGGCTTTTAAATGACTACAAGTTTCAGAGTCCCTATCAGTGCCCCCCTCCCCTCCTAGCAAACAGTATTGACTATAATGAGAGTAAGCAATAAATTTTATTGTACTAAGCTAAATGAACTATTCAGATCGTATGTTAACAGCAGCTAGCATTTTTTTTTTGCTTTTTCCCGAGACAGAGTCTTGCTCTGTTGCCCAGGCTGGAGTGCAGTGGTGCGATCTCAGCTCACTGCAACCTCTGCCTCCCAGGTTCAATCAATTCTCTTGCCTCAGCCTCCCAAGTAGCTGGGATTACAGGTGGAAGCCACCATGCCTGGCTTTTTTTTTTTTTTTTTTTTTTGTATTTTTAGTAGAGATGGGGTTTCACTGTGTTGGCCAGGCTGGTCTTGAACTCCTGACCTTGTGATCTGCCCGCCTTGGCCTCCCAAAGTGCTGGGATTACAGGCGTGAGCCACCGCACCTGGCCAATAGCAGCTAGCATTTCTTACCCTGACAAACATGCATAATATTTTTAAACTTCTACATGGCAAAAGGAAGATACAAATTGTAAAAATGTGCAATATATATCTCAAAGAGCTGAAAAATCAGTAAGAAAAAAACCAACAACACAATAGAAAAAGAGGCAAAAGTTATGAGCAAAAAGTTTGCAGGAAAAAATGCAAATAGCATTTAGACACACCAGAAGATTCTCAACCTCACTCATCATGAAATAAATTCAAATTAAAATTGTATCGTGGCTTGTATTTTTTAAAGACTCATTTTAAAGCTCATTTTTAACTGAAACAAATACATTTAAAATAATAATTTATAAATTTCAAAAATAAATAAAAATGTCCCTCCAAAATATAAATATGTACTTAGACATATGTTATTACTCTAATATAAAGTCATATCAGGTGAAGTTAACATTGTAAAGTGTTATTTAAGACATTAAATAACATTAAAATTAGAAGCATGTAATTAATCTTGAAAGCATTTTAATGCAAATATATTATTGAATCTTTTAATGTACGATCTTAAGAAAGAAAGTGAATCACAGCACCACTGTTGAGTCATTGAGTGGTATATTGAGCAAATGTGTTCAGCTGCTGAAAAAGCTCTTTCTAACCTCATACCAATCTTGGGATGGTGAGCAAACAGCATTCCAGATATCTTCTATGAACACCATCATCTTCAAACACCTCTATCTTGTTAATATACAGGAGACATTTTTCAACAACTTTTTTTTTTGGTAGCAGAGACTGCTATATTTTCATGAGTAGGAAACTGCAGTCCATCTCTGATTCATCTTTGATTTATTTAATTCCATCAACTAGGGGTGGAATTTCCAATATATTATCAGCCGCAGCATTTTCAACATTGCCTCATTGGTGATTCAATTCTTTGGAAGTCTCTGAACTAGAGTGAGGCTTACGCTTGCAATAGAAGCTTTGTAACGTCGTATCAGACAATTTTCTGGGGCTCATGAGGCCTCAGTCCTATCTCAACTTGCACAGCATATACTCTTTTTTTGAGGGGGGATATAAATTCATATAATTATGTGATTCTGAATTTAGAATGATTCACAAAAATAATGGTTTTTTTGTCATCCCATACCATATTTTACTACTTTAAAAGCACAATATGCTGGAAAATGGGATTAGAAAAACCTAGCATTATAACTTCTTTCATTTTCATATTCTGTAAATTGGCAGTAATAACTCATAGCTTTTGTGGGAGGATTACAGAGAGGATGAAAATAAAATATCTGGTGCACAGAAGGTACTCAATTCATCTTAGTTTGGTTTGTTTTTCTGTTTTTTAAATAAAGATACCAGTACTTCTATAGGACAAATTTGAGGTGGTACAAAAGAAAGGTGGAATTTTAGTCATGCTGGATGTGTACTTCGATCAGCAGTGTTCCCTGCTGAAAACAACACTGTTTTAACAGGGTCTTGTCAGCTCTGTTGAGACTTTCTTCAGTGATGTGTAATATCAATAGAATTGCCCCAGCTGGGCTCAGTGGCTCATCCCTGTAGTCCCAGCTACTTGGGAAGCTAAGGTGGGAGGATCACTTGAGCCCAGGAGTTCGAGTCCAGCCTGAACAACATAGTGAGACCCCATTTCTAAAAAAATAAAAAATAAAGTAAAAGTGTCCCAATAGCAAAGAAAAGGGAGGCAGTTTAAGTCAGAATTCAGTGGTGTTAAAGCTAGGAGTCAAGTTCTCATCATGGTTTTGTATAATTAGAGTGATTTTGGTTGCAGGGATCATCTTACTAAAATGGTATTAATCATGACACTTGCCAAATCTCATTCTCTCTCTGTCTCTGTCTCTCTTTGCCTCTCTGTCTCTCTCTCCCTCTGTCTTCCTCTCTCTCTCTCTCTCTCTCTCACACACACACACACACACACACACATGCTCTAGTGTAAAGACAATTGGTAAATTCATGGAAAGATTTTAAGAAAAGTTAACGTATGAGCATAGTTCTTAATATCATATTTATCAGGAATTATTTCCAAAGATTAAAGAAAAGACAATTTACCATCAACTCGGCCTGATTCAGGACAGACTTTTCAAGCATTTGGAATCAAATTTGAATTTAAGACCAAGGTAGTTTCAAAAACTTGGCTGTCTTGAGTTATCATAGCTACAAGCATGTTCTCACACTGAGACCCTCAACCCCCATCTTACAGTCTATCACAGCTCAAGTAAACAGCACTCCCCACGGCTCACCATATAACTCCCACAGTGTGCTGGTTAGGAAAGAACACCCAAGGCCTGGCAGAATGACAGCAAACACTTCTCCTGTTTTCCCCAACACTCCAGGGATGAATAGCTGCTCTCAAGGTCAGATCTCATTAATAATTACATATTTTAAAAAATTTAAGCAGTTTTTTTCTGCATGACCTTTAATAAAATGGCACATAAGTGATAAAAGCAGGGCATCCTAATAACTCAGAGAGCCACAGGAAACAGCCCAGAACCTGCAAAGGACCCAGCTCATCATGGTCAGTTGACATAATGTTCTGAGTAGAGGAATGTCTTGTTTCAAACAGTCAAACAGTGGCAGATGGAGTTCAGAATAGATGCTATGAAAAATACCCCTAGTCGCAGAGGAGTCCTAAGGAAATTTCAGATCACTTGCCCTGCCACATCTCCATCTATTTTTGTCCGGCTGCACTTGTGGTAACTATGCCACTGGAAACCCCCCGTGTCCTCAGCTATATCTGCCATGCTCCTCTGCTGGCAGCTGGAAGCTTCTGGAAGGAATGTGCCGAGGTCCATTGGAATATCTGCTGACATTATGTTTCTTGTTACTGGAGTCCCAACTCTCAAATCAATGAGTCAGGGTGAAAAATCTTAGGGCAACATACTTCTAAATTGTCATATGAGTATTTGACCTCAAATGCTTCACAAGGGAATCTGTAGGAATTGGAGGGGTTACTAGCTGATATATTCCCACAGAAATGAGTACTTGAATGTTTTGACAAGAGGGGATCTGTAAATGCCTTCTACTTTATTGCAAATTTGTTTTCCCTTTTTTTCTTTTGTTTTTATTTCTTTTTTGTTTGTTTTTTGGCTGGTTGAAGACTGCTTGTCTCTTTTCTGGGGACTCAGGGTACGATCATAATGGGTATGATTTTTATTTTTTAAATATAAAATTATAATATCGAATTTGCTTTACATTGAATATCTTTTTTCTTTTCTACCATTGGATACATCAATGTATAATTTTATATAATTTTCATATACATTTCAGACAATGTAGCTCAAGAGATATGTGGGAGATGATACTGATGTTTTTACATTTGTCCAAAGAAAGATTGAATGAGAAACTTTGATGTGGTCCATATCCTCATTTTATTGGCGGCTCAAAGCGCATGTTACTTGAGAGGTAGAGGCGCCCATGGTAAAGAACAATGACCCAGGGAGAAGCTATCTGGAGTTTGACACCGTGACGATGGTACCTGCCTCCGAGTTGTTTGAGAGTGGCAACTGAGAAAGCATTTGGGAAAACACACGGTTTTTTGCTGGGGTCTAATAGCCGTGAAAACTCAATATACGTGCTTCCATTTACTATTCAACACCACACAAGGAAATATAGGTGAGTGAGAATTGAAACCCGTATCTACACAGAAGACCTGGGAGATGACCTGAATGTTTGCAGAGTCTGAAACATAAACTAGAAATGTTCTCTTGAAGACAACTCAAGTTCTTGTGTTTTGTCACCCTTGGCTTTTTACTCTGTAAACAGAAAAATACTCAGTTATTTGAACTTTCTTGTTACTGAGACTCTAGATAATTAAAGTTTCATATATCCGTCTGGAAAGATAGACATCAGGTACCTTGTTACATGGTGCTTTTCTTGATGGCTATGTGTTTAGTAACATCAAAAGCATGTTTACTAAGCAGGGAAAGGAGAGGCTGGATTGATGTTGGAGTCAGACATCGCTCTCCAATCTCCTCAGAAGGGTGCGGTGGTTTAAGTGTGGCTCAGAGAGTCACTGGAATTTGGAAACTCCCGAATTAAAGTAATAAGCATGTTGGGATTCAAATTTAGGCCGAAGAGAGAGGTTTGTCTGAGAAAACTCAACACCCTATGATATCTACAATTCTGCTCTTTGATATCATTTCATTTTGCAGTTTCATAAGGAGTCTGTGAAAATTCAGTCTCAAGTCAAATAAAAAGATTTTAAAAACAAGACTATATCTTGAAACTGTTTGCAAGTGTTACCAGAACTGGTGGTTCTGAATACTGGAGTTGAATTTCTCGCAGAGTTTCTATTGTTAATTTCCACTGTTAGTTTTACAATTTTGTTCTAGAGGCCTGTTCTGGCCCAAACCTGACCAACAGGTTCCCAATTATGTGTAAATTGAAAACGTGAAGGAGAAACAGCCGGCCATGATTTAGTACACATTTTCATGCTAAAACCAAACCAAACCAAACCAAAACAATGCTAGAGATTGCAGAAACAGAGTGTCTGTCTAGGAACACTGGGATACTTGTGTTTAAATGCAGGCAAGCAGACATGTCACACATGATTCCCATCCACCATCTCCATCCAGAGAGCCCGTGGTGAAGATCATCCCATAAATCAGAGATGGAGGATTTCGAGGCTGATGAGTTTCTCAGAGCCCTTTTGCTGATTTAGATATGGGTTCTGTCTCTCTCCAGTTAAACACTTTCTATTCTCCATTTCAGGATTTGGGGAGATTAGGATTTGGGTGTCTTACCAGGTTCAATACTGTGTACATGCTACTGCTGCTGCTGGTCACTCTACATTTAAGCCTTCTCATAATTCCTTTGATTAGAATTCAGACAGCTTTTTGTGGCCATAAAAAAGAACTGAAGTCATATCCTCTGCAGAAACATGGATGGAGTTGGAGAACATCAGCCTAAGTGCACTAACTCAGTCAGAAACAGAAAACCAAATACCACGTGTTCTCACTGGAAAGTGGGAGCTAAATAACCGGTACACATGGACATAAAGATGGAAATAACAGACACTGGGACTCCAAAGGGAGGAAGTTGGGTGGGAGGGCGAAGGCTGATAAATTACCTCTTGGATACAATATTCATTATTTGAGTAACAGATATTATAACAAGCCTAATCCCCACCAATGCAATACACTCATGTGACAGACATGCACATATGCCCCCTGAATCTAAAAAAAATAATTTTTTTAATATCTAAAAAATATTCATATAGCTTTTGATTTAAAATAAACAAATATTTTCTGATCAAATTACTTTTCTTCATTTTTATTTGTTTGCTGTCTCCTGCTTTGTTGAGCCCAAAAGAAATGAGTTTGCACTGTTTATTTTTTATTACAGCCTCTGCCCCATTTATGCAAACTGGCCCTCCTCGGCCTGTTCTTTTTTTCTAATTTTTCTCTAAGAAAAATGAAGCACATCGTGCCAAGAAAAATATTTCCTTTACTGAACATCTTCCAAGAATCTGAGTTTTTGCTTCTAGTTTCTAAATTATACTTCAGAATCTCAGGAAGCCTCCACATTCTATCTCAACCTTCCATTTGGAAACCTTAGTGCCTTTATCTTTGCTGGAGCAGCAGTTTCCAAATGTCAAGTACAGTTTATTTCATTTTAAGTAAAGGATTTCAACTTAATATCTTTTTTCAAATCTTTATATCTCTTGGCCAAAACTATAGCTCTCCCTTTAATGATTCTTAGATGTGAGTAAGCCTTTTCCCAGGCTTATCATGTAATTACTGACCCCAAAGAACTCTTCCCTGCTCTGCCTTCCCCCACCTCTTTATTCGTCAGAGCTGAAATATCATAGTGGCTAGAATTCCATTCGGTTGATAACATTTGCTCCTAGTGGGTGTTTACCACATGATGATCAAATATTATTGCCAATAGAACTCGATGACTTTGAAAAGGTTTGCAAATCTAGCTGCAGTATTTGAAATTCAAAAAGAGACACATTCATGGATCCTTTTAGAAGGACATAACCTTCTCCTTCTCCAGCACGTTTTCTGTGTGTTTGGCTAGCATGGCAAGAGCTCCCACAGAAAAGGGAGAGATGAAGGAGAGAAGATGGAAAACCCTAAAAAAAAAAAAAAAAAAGACAGAGGCCTAATGGGCAAATATCCAAGAAATGAGGCAACTGTTGGAAAAAGGCAGTCGAACTTTGAGGATTAATCATTCCTTGTCCTCATTTACATATTGCTCATTCTTTGCTTTGAGCCCCTAGCAGGCTAATGTAGACGAAATGAGATACCTTCCTCAGCACTTCTGTCCTGGTGACATTCCTATGATCTTCTCGTGGAGCAGGGACACTGCTCCTCCCCTGTGTTGTCACTGTGGGCACAGCCACTTCAGGACCTACGCCTTTATACCTGATGCTATTGCAGATGGCACATCTAAAGAATGTTGCTTTAAATTTACCCCCTTCAAAATAAGTCTCCACTGGCCGGGCACGGTGGCTCACACCCGTAATCCCAGCACTTTGGGAGGCCGAGGCGGATGGATCACCTGAGGTCAGGAGTTCGAGAGCAGCCTGACTAACGTGGAGAAACCCCATCTCTACTAAAAATACAAAAAAATTAGCTGGGCTTGGTGGCACATGCTTGTAGTCCCAGCTACTCGGGAGGCTGAGGCAGGAGAATCGTTTTGAACCTGGGAGGTGGAGGTTGTGGTGAGCTGAGATCATGCCATTGCACTCCAGCCTGGGCAACAATAGCGAAACTGTCTCAAATAATAATAATAATAATAATAATAATAATAATAATAATAATGTCTCCACTTTCCAATGGATTGTTAGAACATAGATGGAAGGATAGGATCCTCTGTGCTTAACATTCCTGAGGCTGAGCTGTCTGCCTATTGTCCTGTTTTGGTTTCTGTAGTGTGTGCTTCTCAAATTTGGTTACATGACCTCTGGGATATGAAGCAGTCCACAGGATAAATGGCATCAATTTTCCTCAAAAATGTGGGAGGGTGGGGGAGAAATTAAAGCAATATAACTTGTAACTTAAAATGTTTCTGTAATAAAAAGCACAATGGTTATATATTCAGGTGGAATGCAGAATTCCCACTTTCTGTAATAGAACACAGGCTGCAAGGATGATAATAATGTTCAGGAGGTTTGCTTAGAGATGCTTTTCTGATGACTTCGGCAAAAATATTTCAGTGACACTGACTTAAATCAGCATGGCTAAATGCACGTCTTTAGTTATACTTATTTATTAATGGGTGGCAGGTTAAATAACTCTTTTAAAAAAAAGTTGTGATCACAAAGGAGGGAAAAGAGTTTGATGCTGGAGGAGCTGATGTTTCTAGAGGCTGATGGGTGATAGAGATCCACTGAGAACTGTGGGGAGAGAAGAGTTGTTCAAAGAATAGAACCTTGAGAGTAATTTTCATTAAAAGAAAAAATCTACGCCCTCAAATCCCAGGAGCTGTTCCAGTGAAATGAGATCTTACTCCTTTTCATGTACAGTTTCTGGTGGTCTCTGCTCTGCTGTATTTTTATCATTATTTTACTTAATTGGATGTGTTAAAACATTTTCTAATACTTTTTGGCTAAATGTACAATTGCAAATGGTTTACTGAGTTCCTTTGTGATCTCAGGGCCAATTTATTTTCTCTTCATGGAACACAGTGTTGAAATTAAATGTCAATTGAAAGTACGATCCAATTTACAAAGATTTATACTAGATTTCCGCAGAAATTTTATTTGCATTAAGCAAGGTGGCCAAGAGGTGCCTGGGCTTTCCTCTGTGGCTGCTCCCGCCCTCCCACACGGAGGTGCAGGGCTGCACAGGGGACAAAGGATGACAGGACACTCTGCCCCTCTGTGTCTCAAAGTTCTCTTAGGTGGTGTGATTTGAGAGGTACCAGGATTTAGGGGGCAGCCTGTGACCCTAGTTCCTCTCCTGCTGATGCTTCATTCATTCCTTGAAGCTTCAATCAATCCTCTTAAAAAGAAAAGGAAACAAAAAAATTTATTAACATAAATATGTGGAATATATGTGGACTTTGGTGTTATTGACAAATATGGTTTGTATTTCTGATACACCACTTGTAGCAAAGACTTTGTACAAATTGCCTAATCACTTTGGATGAAAATAAAGACTCAGGCTGAGACAGGACTGAATGGTGGTTCTCACCATGCTCCTGGTAAAGGCTGTGTCGTTCTCTAGATATGAAAATAGAGAAGTTTATCAGGCTCTCTTTTTTTCCTGCCATTATAGAGTCACATACTGTTCAGTGGAAGAGGAGGATGAGTAGGAGGAAAGGAACTGGCTCAAAGGCTACGGAAGGATTCAGAAAAGACTTGCAGAGACTAATATCTCAAGGGTGAAGCTTGAGCTGAAGTTTCCATTAAAAGCTTCCATTGAGCAATGACCATGCCAATACTTCATATAGTAGTTTATTGATTCCTCACAGGAACACGATGCAGTAGATATTGTCATGATCATCCCAGCTTTCCAGATGGAGAAATGGAGGCTTCACGAGTTGAATTGGCATGTCTAAAGTCAGCCTGCTCATAAATGGTGAAGCTGTGAATTCAAATCAGACAAGCAGGTGTCCGAGCTTCTGGCTGCCCTGCTGCCACGCTGAATAACGACTGGCCACCCCAAAGTGCCTTCAGTCCCTCTGCAACTGGTTGGCCCAGCAATGGCAGGTGGCCATTTTTGTCTATGTCCAGTGACACCCATGAACTGACCTACTGATGTCCAAAGACAGGAAGACAGAGGAGGAGATGGAAGGATGGGGAGGGCAGAAGGCATGACATGGATGAGGCAAGAATAGCTGGAGTGAGAGACCACAGAGATCTTGGGACCAGCTGGGGCCCTGTTCAGTGTAAGGATCAAGTAGAGTCATAGAGTCACGGGACCCAGCCACGGGAAGGAGCAGGCTGAGGTTCACATTGGCACCTTGGCCCTGATTTGGTCAGAGTTCCTGCAGGCCTGAAATAGAGGGGGAAAGGAAGCCTCCATCTGTCAGAAGCGCTTCCACAGTGGAACTGTAAGCAGCCTCAGGTTTCCTCCTGGCTTCTCTAGTGTTTTCTTAGCACAGACTGCCAATTTTAGCTGTTAAGGAAAATGTATTTTTTTTAATGGAAGGACTTAGATTCTTATTCTTTCTAAAGGTTTTTGTTCATCTTTTGTGATATTCTTGAACATGCTTAGCCTTTTATTTTATACAAAACTCACCCTCTCGCATACATGGAACGTTAAAGTTGTTATAACAGATTATAGATGGGTGTTTTGTTTGTTCTAATGTGAAGTAAGAAATGCATTGGGATGGTGCATTATTTTATTATGATGTAGCTACGTCACATAACAATAAATGTTGGAAAATAAGGGAAATATTAATAACTTCAAGTTACTAATATAAAGACTGTTATAATTTTGGTCTTTTCCTTCCAGTCTATTTTTTTCATATACATGTCATCATAGTATTTGCATAATTTTACACTTCTCCTTTTTTCACTTATTATGTTGAAAGTATGGTTCCATTTGGATACATAGTCCTCATGTTATCATTTAAAAATACGTAATATAGCATTAAGTAGCTACAGCTTTTTCTTAACTATTCTATTATTGGAAATTAAGTGGTGAGGCAAATTTTGATTAATAATATTTGTGGCATTAAAAAAAGACATTGTGACTTTAAGGTAGAAAGCAAAAAATTCTTTGTTAGCTACACTAGACAGCTGATACAGAAATGCTTGTGAAAATAAAACCATGGAATCCTTCTATGGTAACTACTGTTTTTCTTTCATAAGTTACTAGAAATTACAAACAGCTTGTATTTATTGATCACCTACTATGTGTTTGGCAGTAGTTTAAGTGCTTTACAATATTAGCTAATTCATTTTATCCCCACCCTATTTAAGGAAGGCCCTATTTACAGCCTTATATCGATACACATAGATAACACCTCTGAGACACAGAAGGCTGAGTTATTTGCCCAAGTCTATTCAGCTAATAGATGACAGAGTAGGGAACCAAACTTATGCTGCCTGGCTCCACAGTTTATGTTCTTACCACTGTGTTTTTCTTTTATTCTATATTATTTTTCAATTAACAAGTAAAAATTATATATATATATTTATGGAGTACAACATGACATTTTGGTAGATGTACACATTGTGGAAGGGTTAACTCAAGCCATTGGATATAAGCATTACCTCAGAAACTTACCATTTTTTTTTTTTTGCAGTAAGAAAACTTAATGTCTTCTCTTCAGAAATTTTCAAGGTAACATTACATAATGTGTTCTTATTTTTTGCAGTCAAATGAGGTGCAATAGATCTCTTGAACTTATTCCTCCTGCCTACCTGAAATTTTGTGTCGTTAGATCAACATCTCCCAACCTCCCCACCCCAAACCTCTGGTAACCACCATTTTGTCCTCTCTTCCTATGAGATTGACTTTTTTATACTCCATATATAAGTTGGGTTATGTGGTATTTGTCTTTTTGTGCCTGGCTTATTTTACTTAATATGATATCCTCCAGGTTTATCCATGTTGTCACAAATGACAAAATTTCTTTCTTTTTGATGGTTGAATAGTATTCCATTGTGTATGTACAGCACATTTTCTTTATCCATTTGTCCACTGATGGGCACTTAAGTTAATTCCATATCCGGGCTATTGTAAATAGTGCTGCGATGAATGTGGGAGTGCAGGCATCTCTTTGATATACTGATTTCCTTTCCTTTGGATAAATACCCAAGCAGGTGGATTGCTGGATAGTATGGTAATTCTATTTTTACTTTTTTGAGGAACTTCCATGCAGTTTTCCATAATGCTCTACTAATTTACGTTTTCACCAACAGTGTACAAGTTTCCTTTTCCTCCACATTCTCTCCAACATTTGTCACCTTCCATCTATTTGATAACAGCCATTCTGACAGATGTGAGGTAACATCTCATTGCGGTTTTTGTTGTTGTCATTGTTGTTGTTTCTTTCTTTTTTTTTTTGAGATGGAGTCTCGCTCTGTTGCCAGGCTGGAGTACAGTGGCACGATCTCGGCTCACTGCAACCTCTGCTTCCCAGGTTCAAGCGATTCCCCTGCCTCAGCCTTTTGAGTAGCTGAGACTACAGGCGTGCACCACCACACCCGGCTACTTTTTTGTATTTTAGTAGAGACGGAGTTTCACTATGTTGACCAGGCTGGTCTCAATCTCCTGACCTCGTGATCCACTGGCCTTGGCCTCCCAAAGTGCCCCAAAGTGCTGGGATTACAGGTGTTAGCCACTGTGCCCAGCCCTCATTGTGGTTTATAATTTGCATTTTTCTGTTCATTAGTGATGTTGAGCAGCTTTTTCATATACCTGTTGGCCATTTGCATGTCTTTTTTTGAGAAATGTCTATTTAGGCTCTTTGTCTATTTTAATATCATGTTATTTGTCTTCTTACTATTGAGTTGTCTGAGTTCCTTATATGTTTTGGATATTAGTCCCTTATCAGATGCATGGTTTGCAAATGTATTTTCCCATTCTATGGGTTATCTCTTCACTCTGTTGATGGTTTCCTTTGCTGTATGGAAGCTTTCTAGTTTGATTTGGTCCTATTTGTCTATTTTTGCCTTTGTTGCCTGTGCTTCTGGTATCATATCCAAAAAATCTTTGCCTAGACCAATGTCATGGAGCTTTCCCCTTATGTTTTCTTCTAGTAGTTTTACAGTTTCATGTCTTACATTTAACTCTTTAATTCACTTTGAATTGATTTTTGTATATGGTGTGAGATTAGAATCTAATTTCACTCTTCTGCATGTGAATATCCAGTTTTCTCAGGAATATTTGTTGAAGAGACTGTCTTTTGCCCAATTTTGTGTTCTTATTGCCATCTTCATCAAAAACCAATTGGCCATGAGTATGTGGATTTATTTCTGGGCTCTCTATTCTGTCCCATTAGTTTATGTGTCTGTTCTTATGCCATCACCATGCTGTTTTGGCTAACATAGCTTTGTAGCATATTTTCAATACATGTAATATGATGCTTCCAGGTTTGTTCTTTTTGTTAAGGATTGCTTTGGCTATTTGGGGTCTTTTGTGGTTCCATACAAATTTTAGGATTGTTCTTCTGTTTCTGTGAAAAATGTTGATTTTGTATCCTGCAACTTTACTGAGTTTGTTATTAGTTCCAACAGCATGTTTTTAAATTGGCAGAAAACCTGTGCACATTTTTAGAAAGAGCTTGACTTGGCGGGTTACACAGATCTGGATCCAGTTTTGACTCTGCTTCTTATCAGTTGTGAGTGCTTCGGCAAGTTACTAACGCTCTATGAACTTGAGTTTCTTTAGCCATAAAATAAAATTAAATTAATAAATGTGCTATAAGGTATCAATGAAATAATATAAGTAAAGTCCTTGGCACAGTAGTAGATGCCCAACCAATGTTAGTCCCCACCTTTTCCCTGATTACCAGTCTGATCAGCAGCATGAGAAGGAGTGAGAGGACATTTCCCAAAGCTGATAATAGATGCTAAAGAAGCCTAAGCTTGGCCAGAGGTTGACAGCATGCCCAGGCAGTCACCTATTCTTCCAAAGGCTGCTCTGAGATGACTTTTATTACCTAAGGTTTTTTTTATCTGAATAACAGGACAACCTTAATCACTATACAACTCCTCCCCTTACCCCCCTATAACTTCCCCATAGTTTGTCACCCCTACCCCTGCCCCCCAACAACCAGGAGGAGCCTCAAACTCCTGTTCTTTTCAATAGCTCAGGATGCAATATAAGCTTCAATCATCTGACCCTTCTTTGAGTCTCATATTTTTTGGGTCTCCTGAGCAGGGATATGTAATTAAAATTGTCTTTTTCCTCTTGTTTATTTGCCTTATGTTAACTTACTTCATAGCCTAGCCAAAGAGCCTGAAAGGGTGGATGGAAGTCTGTTCGTATTCCCCTACTCTCTTCTCTGGTGGTTAAGACAACTCATTTCTCTGAAATGATTTTATTGTGGTTGTTCCTAATGATAAGTGACCCCTAGAAGTTTGCCTATGGCCTTTTCTGGTCCTGAGGTCAGAAGATTCCACACTAATGTGAGCAGAGATCTAGGGGGTAATTTCTCAGGGATATTTCTCTTCTGGTGTCTTAATCTATGCTGAATGATGGGGTGGAGGTCCTCCTAGGAAGAGGGAGCCACGCTCCAAAATAGGCCCGAGTGATCGATGCTCAGTTTGTTTATGTTCAGACCCTTCATGCTTTTGAAGGATAGCCTTGGCCTTGGGTTGGGCCGGGCTCTCCACTCTATTTTAGAATTGCCCACGACCTTGTGCCATTGTTCTGCTCCTCCTAATCTGGTCTCATACTTCCATGAAATCATGAGTATTTTCTATTTTCAGCAGAGAAATGAACAATGCAGAGAATATTCTCATTCTCTGTAACATGTAAACAAGCAGAGAAGAAAACCGCAGGGCTTTGCCCTCATTTCACTCCAGCCACATCGGCCTGTTTTCTGGTGTTTTCCTTGAGGTCCTTTGCTCATGCTGAAGTGCTTTCCCCTGTCTGGCTCCTCCTATGGTTGGCTTCTTTTCCTTCAAGCTTGGGCTTAGCAATTACATCCTCAGAGAAGTCATCCCTGACTTCACGACCTAAAAGAGTGTCAGGGCTTTATTAACATGTCATAGCACTCAGCTAGATGCCTTATTAGTACTTACTCAATTTGAAACTAATTCACTACCTTTGTGTATGAAAGTGCTGATTTTTCTGCACGTGTCCGCAGACAAAGAGAGGGTGGAATCCGTGTATGTGGCCTTCTGCCCCATCCACCCAGGTGAATGTCATGCTGCAGCCTAGAGAAAAATATGGGGTCCAGAGTGGCTCCCAGCCATGTCAGAGACATTATGGAATGGATGCGGCATGGATTCAGATTGAGTTGACTCAATTAGGAAGTATGAGTTAGTATGCTTTCATTTTAGATTCCGTACTTTTTGATAAACCTAGAAAGAAAGAAACAGGTGAGAGGATTTTATAGCAATTCATATATACTCATGGATTCTTTCGCCACAGTCATATTTTAAAAATACAGTTTTGGCCGGGGGCGGTGGCTCACGCCTGTAATCCCAGCACTTTGGGAGGCTGAGGCAGGTGGATCACCTGAGGTCAGAAGTTCAAGACATGCCTGACCAACATGGCGAAACCCCGTCTCTACTAAAAATACAAATTTAGCTGGGCGTGGTGGTGCATGCCTGTAATCCCAGCTACTTGGAAGGCTGAGGCAGGGGAATTGCTTGAACCTGGGAAGCGGAGGTTGCGGTGAGCTGAGATTGTGCCATTGCACACCAGCCTGCCCAAGAAGGGTGAAACTCTGTCTCAAAAAAAAAAAAAAAAAAAAAAGTACAGTTTTGGTCATGTCCATTGTCCTGCTGAAAATCTTGGTTATTTTCCATCTCTGAAAAAGCAAGTGTGAGACTCACTCCTTCTACATGTGGCAGTCAGTGGGATGCTGCTCCCTGGACATCCCTACCTCCCCTCCTCTGTCTCTTTGCACATGGCCTGCTATTTGCCCAGAGGAGCCTTCCTCCCATTTTCATTTGGTGAAATCTGTTTGTCTTCCAGGGCCTATTTTACTCACAGTAACTCTTCATAGTCTCCCTGATCCTTCAGCTAGGAAATGAGATGTTCCTAATCCATTGTCTCATAGGAAAAGAAAAAGATAAAATGTATTGAGTTTGACTACATATCAGGGGCTATTCTAGTTTTACATATGTTCACAGATATAATTTCCAAAACAACCCCATGAGAGAGGAACCAAGGAGGACACCGAGGCACAAAGAGATGAAATAAATGTCTCCAGGTCACCTAGCTAGTAAGTGGTGGGTTTAGGATTAAAGCCCAGAGAGTCTGGGCCCTTAATGGCTCCCCTTCACAGGCCGAGCATGGTGGCTCACGCCTGTAATCCCAGCACTTTGGGAAGCTGAGGCAGGTGAATCATGAGGTCAGGAGTTCAAGACCAGCCTGGCCAACATGGCAAAGCCCTGTCTCTACTAAAAATACAAAAAATTAGCTGGGTATGGTGGCACGCAGCTGTAATCCCAGCTACTTGGGAGGCTGAGGCAGGAGAATTGCTTGAACCCTGGAGGCGAGGTTGCAGTGAGCCGAGATGGCGCCACTGCACTCCAGCCCGGGCGACAGTACAAGACTGTCTCAAAAAAAAAAAAAAAAAAAAAAAAAAAGACTACCCTTCCTTGGGCTTCTTGGTAAAGTTTGTATTGCCTTTTCCCCCTAGCTTATGGGATTTTTGAGGGCCTGGACTATGTCTTGATGCCTTGTTGATCTTTTTATTTTTCAAGAGCATGCAATAATTGGGGGCTTATAACAGATGATCACTAAATTGCTTAAATGAACACATTAAGTAATATTCAACCTCGGAAAAGCCTAGGTTGAACTTTTCAAAATCACATGAAATATTCAGTCTTCATGTCAAATGTTCTATTGCTCAGGCTGATTCATTTTCTTTTGCCCCCAGGCAAGCTTTCCCACTTCTGCCCAGACTTGGTATTCAGAAGCCCAGACGATGAAGCTCAGCCAGAGTAATAACAGGGGAACAGAGACAAAGCTCCCTCTGACCTCTCTGAAGGAGAGCAGGGATTTTGCTTTGCGGGGTTGGGGGTGGGGGTCAACAGAGTCCTTGCGGTTGTTCTACTCCTCCTAATCTGGTCTCATACTTCCAATAATTTATGAGTATTTTCTATTTTCAGCAGAAGTCTGAATGTTTGTGTCCTCCCAAAATTCATATATTGAAACCTCCCCCCACTCCTCCATTGTGATAGTATTAGGAGGTAGAGCCTTTAGGAGGTAATTAGGTCATGCGGACAGAGCCCTTGTGAATGGGATTAGTGCCATGTGAAGACACAGCCAGAAAGTGCCATCTATGAGGAACAGGCCCTCATCAAACACCAAATCTGCCAGTGTCTGGATCTTGGACTTCCCAGCCTCCAGAACTACAAGAAATAAATGTGTGTTGTTTATAAATCACCCAGGTCATGGTATTCTTGCTGCAGCAACTCAAATGGGCTAAGACAGGCCTGATCACTGACCCACTTCTCCTTTGGCATTTTCATTTTTCTTTAGACCCTCAGCATACTTGGTTCTGCCCACTACTTTCAGGAGTAATTCCAGAGTCGGGATGACAAATGTCTGGCAAGATATTGCCAGTCTTCATCCAACTGTCTTTTTACAGAGATCTCTGATCAACCATAGATCCTCTCTCCTGCTAACCTTTAACAAAACCTTAGAAACTTTCCCAGCCAAGCCACTAGCAATCTAATTGAAATTGACACACCAAATGAAATATATTTGCCATCACTAGCTAGGCTTAAGCAAAGCATTTGGAGGAACCCATTCATGCAAGTAAGCACTACAGTGGCAGCAGCAGATCCTGCAATGTCCTGCCCAGACGCCCCTGTTCTTACAGTTTCAGTGCATGCTTGCTAGATATCCATCTGCAGGCCCCTGAGCTTCTCTGCTTGAGGGTCTTCAATAGCTAAAGGAATCCACTTTGTCATCTCCACACAGTAATCTAGAAATGCTAGGGGATTAATAATAAATGGTTGAATGGCTTGTGAGAATTGGGTATATAAATACCCCAGTTCCCTCATCCCTCACGTATAACAACTGTGTAACGTAGCTCCTGGAGTACTCCAACAGAAGGATTTATGCTCCAGTTACTCAAAGTGGTAATTTGCTTGATAATGAATGTTATTTTTTGGTTCTTTTGCTTTCCTATTTTACATCTCTACTCCCCTACTGTGTTGCCTGGGATTGCCTCCCAAACGAACTACTTGCATTTGAATGGTGGTTTTAGGGTCTGCTTAGGGGAGTACCCCAAGTATCTAAAGAATGACATCACTGTCATGGCCCTCATTATGCTCAAGAAATGTTGATTGGGAGATAAGTGCTTCTGATGGGAGCTCATGAGTAGGGAAGAATGGCATGGGAGGGTGAGAACAAAGGAGGCCTAAAGTCAAGGAAAGTGAAAGGTCAAGGGGTTTGTTCAATAAGTTAGTGCTACTAGAGGTTCAGGGACATGGAAAAGTAATTTGAGCTGTGTAGAGGACAGGAAGCCTGCAACCAAATATTGCCTCCTGGGAAATCATGAAATCTGACTGAAGCAGTCATCCATAAGAGCTCTTTTTTGCTCTATGCCTTTTCTTCTTGGGGAGTTTGCATATTCCCTAAGAAGAGAGATATAAAGCATCTTGAAAAACATTAAGAAGTAAACCATCGTGTAATGCCATTAGTTTTGAAGAACAAGAATTCTATTTTCTTATTTCCTTTGGAAATCTAATTGAATATTCCTTATGAAAAATTGCTTGAAGATAGCGCTTAAAATCTATTGCTCTCCACCCTGCTCCTAATGTTTTCTTGTCATTATTTATGTATGTGAAAAGCATATAGATTAAGATGATGACCTTGTAGCTGACAAGTGAAATTGTATTATGATTGTTTTGATTTGCTCTATTGAATGTGCTGTAGTCTTTACTATAGAAGAAATACCTAGGCCCAAATAATTGCCTAAAAGTCACTAGATCTTTTGACATAAAATGGCAACATCTTTTAATAGTTGATATAATAAGACCAAGTATAAAGTGAGTTCAACAAAAATCAATTGCTATGAGATTGAGTTTGTCTACTTTGATGTTCCTTATCTTTTCTGCTGGGAAGAGGAACAGATATTGTACCAAAACTAAGGATGGAGAAAGCACTGGGGGAGTTCTTTTGTCTTCTTCTGTGCAGGCCTCTCCTAGAGCCTCTTTCTCCATGTGCCTGCGATAGGAGCCCAGCATGCATGTCCATCCTAAGGGAAGGACAGTCTTGGTATAGCTCTCTGTGGAGAAGGAGGCAGGCATGGGGACAGGGATAGAAGTATGTGTGAGAAGATAATACATACTTCTTCTCATGCTAGGGAAAGGGAAGGGAGGAAAGGCAAGAATGGGGAAACCGGGGAGTTGCATGGTAGGGCTTGTAAAATGGGATGTTTGCTTTGGGTTGGAATAGTAAGAATGCGTGCAGCTCCATAGTACATGGTGTGCCCACTAGGGCACACTTCAGTTGGAAGAGCTTAAAGAATGTGAGGAGGGCCACCACGTGTAGAGAATGGTCGAATTTGGAGTGATTTCTGCAAACGCAAGTCAAGCGGATTACCAGTAAGGCTAACAGCACTACCTGGCACGTATTTCAGTGGGACTTTTAAGGTGAAGCTGGAGAAACTATACCCAAAAGACCTTATCTGTGCAATGACTGGGGTGTCTCAGAACGAGCTCTGGCTTGGAGAGAAGCAAAGAGGACGGAACAAGAGGCAAGCTAGAATTACAGAGAACTCTCCCCAACACTCGGCTTAGGTTGATTCCCATCTCGGAAGAGTCAGACTGTGGCATCAAAATGTACAGGTGAGGAAATGCATGCCAGATCACCAAGGTAATGAGTGGTGGAGGAGAAACTCAGCCCAGAACCATCTGGCCTACGTTAGTGCCTCTTCTACATGGCAGTAGAAAAGGTAGAGAGAAAGCTGTAAAATCCAACACAAGATGGACTTGGTGAGGATGCACGCAACCCTGAAGCGTGATAGGTACATTGCACTCCCAGAACTGACCATGGACTGTTGAGCTCTACCACCAGGGGAGGGAGAAGGGAAAGATGTGCCCCAAGGGTGCAGTCTTTGAAGGATCACAGGAGATGGTGGGAGGAAGCGAGGAGAGGGAGCCTCTGGATATCAAACTTGGTCCCCATGTTTTCTGGGCATCATTTTTTCACACAAGTGATAATCCAGTAATAACATGTGCATGACAGACCTGGAGAAAGTGTTGAGACTTGTGAATACATCCACCAGCTCTTCTTCTACTGCTGCTCTTTCTCCCGCCACCCAGAGCACACTTTCCACACCTCCCACACCCTTTGCCTGGCTGGCTCCTCCTCCATGACCTAGCTTGGACTTCTCCTTCTGGAAGCCTGGGCTCTGGCCTCCCATATCTTCACATGTCAGCCTTGATTCCATTATGCATGAGATGGGCATTCTGAATTTCAATGTCTGTCACCTTTTATAAACCTTGAGTCCCTTTAGACCAAGGCAGTGTCGTCAATGTTTGTTTCCCAGCTTTATTGCATAGCAAGTGCTCAACAAATGTTTCCTTTGAACTGCATCGAACTACACGACCTCTTCCTTCATGTACTTTTCATTTCTTCTTTGCTCAATGGAAGAAATAACTCTTCAAAATGATGCTTGTGGCTAGGCGTGGTGGCTCGTGCCTGTAATCCCAGCACTTTGGGAGGCCAAGGCGGGCAAATCACCTGAGGTCAGGAGTTTGAGACTAGCCTGACCAATATGGTGAAATCCTGTCTCTACTAAAAATACAAAATTAGCTGGGCATGGTGGCACATGCCTGTAATCCCAGCTACTCAGGAGGCTGAGGCAGGAGAATAGCTTGAATCTAGGAGGCGGAGGTTTCAGTGAGCCTAGATCGTGCCATTGCACTCCAGCCTGGATGACAGAGCAAGACTCTGTCTCAAAAAAAAAAATGCTGCTTGTGTCCATCATTTTTTAAAGACATTAACCATGATTGTGATCTCAATGTGCATTGACAGAAGGGGTCCAGGCAGATCACTTCACCCAGACACCAATACTTTCATTTGTGTCTCAGACTGGTGAATTTCCACAAAGCTCTTCCCTGAAAAATTTGACAGTGACTTCCCCAGTGCTCAATTACACATGGAGCTTCTGAGTGCAACTTCACAGTCACACCTGACAGATAACTGAGGACCTAGGGGTGAAACTCAGGCATTGGTAGTTTTTAAAGCTTCTCAAGTTATTCTGAGGTGCAGCCAAGGTTAAGAAGTTCTACTTAGACTTAGTCCCTTTGGCTTGCCAAAGATTGTTTCCAGATGGTGCAGTAAGATTGTTTTTCTTTCCTGAAGGATTGAGACCATTTCAGAAGAGAAGCACAATGATCTTGGTGTTCCACATGTCCTGATGGTGGATGCCTTCTCTCAATTCCCACCAGATACAACATCTGCTTTTTTCTCCTGCGGCTATGTGGTGACAAGCCTCATTAATGTTGGAAGACAGCCTGGACCCAGGACTTCCTTATTGGGAAGGATGTGCCAGGACCTGTCTCTGCGATTTACGATGCAAAGGATGTCAGTGTCACCAAGCTTTGTGCTGAAACTTCATGCTATGTTTGGACTCTGACAAAATGAAACACCAATATTTTCCTCCAAGAATTTGTTCTGTACTTTTTGGTGAGCATTAATGAACACTGTGCTGCTAAAATAGCTGAATTTAGTTTGCTGTCTCTGATAAAAATTCTTAAGCTGGTGTAAGATTTGAGTCTCCTTCAGGCTCACTGTCAGCTCATAGGACTGTATTGCTCTCCTAAGTAGTCACGATTGCAAGTCTTATTGTACACACATAGCAAAATAACTCCATGATCATCCACATGACTTTTAAAATGAATACAGTCTACAGAAATAGAAGAGCTTGCTGAATATTTGAAAATAAATGCCATAAGCTTCCAAGTTCCTTGTGGTATGCTCTAACATGGCTGCATCAAAATTGTCAAATCGGCGAAAACTGACAAATCTCTGCTGCCCTTGTGCTTGAAAGAGAATGTGGGTTTTGGAATCACACAGACTCAGGCATCAGGCTTGATTTTGTCACTTATCACTGGGAAAGGGAAAGCTTCTTAAGCGCTTTTTAAAAGTCAGTAGAAAATGGGGTCGTCTTAGCTCTGCTGAGCCTGCCCTTTCTGGAATGCTCTCTTTACAATGCGGGGGCCTCATTTCCCTGCTGCAGCCCAGATGGATTCCCCTCCTCTAGTCACTCCAACATTTGAGACAGCCGGGTGCAGGTTGCTATCCCATTCCTGAAACTAATGTCCCATAGCCACCAAGTTGGCACTTTCAAATTGAGATCTGAAGCCATATTTCAGTTCTAGGCCTGCTCCACCAGTTCTCTCTCCTGGTATTTCTACTTCATGCACTCCAACACTCTTTTTATCTCTGATTCCATATTTTCTTTAGGTTTTATTCCAGCTCCTATAAAATATTTCCAGGCAACCCTATCAGCTAATAGTCTTCCTACTTTCTCCTTATGGGTGTTTTAGAGTGAAGCTTCCTATTGGGCCACATCTTTGCAGGGGACTAACAGTGCCCATCCATGGTTAGTTACGGTGAACCTGGGGAAGCCATATAAAGTAATGGTCAATAACAGGCCTCAGGGCCGACGGGCTCTGTTCTCAGCTCTGCTCCTCCGTGGCTGTGTGACCTTGGGCAAGTGAGCTGACCTTTTCAGGTCTCCTGTCTTCATTTGAAAATAGAAGATTATAGTAACAGTGCCTTTCCTGTAGGATCCTTCGAGAATTAAAGGTGTTTCATGTAAGCAAAGTGTTCAGTGCAGTTCCTATCTTACAGCAAGACCTGTGACCCTTTCAGAGCAGAGGCACCCACTACAGCCGCACAATTGTCCACATTATTTGTACATATCAGACAAATACAAATGTTTGATGAAAGCATAACATTTTTAGCTAGGAGGGATCAGAGGATTACTGTGTCCAGTGCTTCCATTATGGAAGAGAGCAGAGGCGAGACGTTGAATGTAATGCAAGGTCACTGTTAAAAGATAAAGTGAGTCACAATAAAATTTTTAAGAGTTTATTTGAGCAAACATTGATTCACGAATCAGGCAGCACCAAACATAAAGTAGTTAGGGCCCCACTGAAGGAATAGGGAGAAGGTTTTTATAGGGTGAACACAGAAGTAAGCCAAAGAAAGTATTTGATTGATTACATATGTATAGTTGCCTTGTTTGGTCTATCTCATTGGGAAACCCCAAGTTAGATAATTATAGGTTAGTTGGTGGCTTCCAATTGGTTGAGCTTCAGTTTCACTTTTCTCTGAGATGGGCGTTATAAGAAATAGCCCATGTTAAGTTGTAATTGTGTTTGCAAATCAAGCAAGGTTAAGGTCACTTTCCAGGTCTAACTGGCTTCATGTGCGAGGGGATTTCTTCAAGCCTGTTCGCCACTGTATGTTATTTTAATATCACACAGTGGCAATGTTAAGGTAAAAACTTGAGCTTTCCTAGTAAGATGGCTAATTTTATGTGTCAAGTTGAGTGGATCATGAGATGGCCAGATATTTGGTTAAACATTATTTCTGGTTGTGTCTGTGGGGCTGTTTCCAGAAGAAATTAGCATCTGAATGGGTAGATCAAGGAAATGAATTGTCTTTGCCAGTGTGTGTGGGCATGATCTAATCCACTGAGGGCCAGAACAGAGCAAAAAGGTGGAGCAGGTGAGTTCATGCTGCCTGACTGCTCGAGCTGGGACACTGATCTCTTACCCTCGGTACTCCTGGTTCTCAGTCCTTTAGGCCAGACTAGAATCTACACCATTGGCTCTCTGGCTCTCAGGCCTTCAACCTCCTCAGGCCTACCCCACCAGCTTTTCTGGGTCTCCAGCTTGCCAATCGTGGGACTTCTCAGCCTCAATAATTGTGTGAGCAAATACCTTATAATAAATCTCTCAGTAGATACCTTATTGGTTCTGTTTCTCTGGAGAACTCTGACTGATCTATGATATACCTAGCATTCAAATTAAGGCATAGTTGGCCTGCCTGTTATCCCAGGAAAGTCATCGTTACACACCCAGTGGGACAGCAACCTCCCATCATTGCTCAAGCTTCCATGAAATTCAATGAACAATTATTCTCGTCCTCCTCCGTGATTCTAAGCACTTCATACTCACCCCAATTGCCATCATATTGTATTGTTTGCTGGCTTATAGCATCTGTTTCATCAACTGGAATATCTTCAGGACAAGGACTATTTCTCATTCCTCTGTCACTAGCCCAGTAGAGGGACTGGCATAAGGAAAAAAGTTAATAAGTAGTTGTTCAGCAAGGGGTACCATACCCACAAGCTGGGGTGGGATAAGACAAGAATTTATCAACTCAACAAATAATTCAAATAACAAAGCAGAATGGGCTCAGTGCCACTCAGGAGATGCCGACAGAGTTCAAGAGTTCCAGGGAGGCCTTCAGTTTCTGACAAATTGGCAGTTCTCTTTCTGTGTTGTTTCTGTGTTGGCACTGAGCCCTTGGGCATTGCTATCCTTGTTACCTCGGGATGTAGTGGAAACAAATGGTCGCTGGTTAAGCCCTCAGCTGTCAGGTGGCCGAGCAGCTGCTCAGGAGGACTGCCAGGTAGCGTCTGTGCCAGGTGGGGTCCTGGGAAGGAGAGGACATGGCTCCCACAGAAAGGCTGGATATTTAAGGAGCCTGTTCCTCCCCGGCATTTCTCATTGTCTACAGGAAAGTTGGTTGCTGACACTCTTGGTGACCATTTATTGGGTGGATTAATGACATCTCAGTTAACCAAGCAGGCTAGGAGGTGGAGGTCTTATGATAAGGACCTTCTTCAGCTAATAGAAGGAATATTCACTGGTGTTGAGGCCCTGTCTGGCAAAGCTCTCCTTCTCACAGGCACAAGTGTTTCTGTTAATGTTTCAATCTTATATTTACTTCACTTTCTCAACCTCATCTCTTCAGTCTTTTGAAACATCATCAAAATATTTTTAAAGGCTTCGTAAAAGTACAACTTTGGCTTGCCTTTGATGACTTTGTGGTAACAGAATCTTCTTGAGAGAAACCAATATCATTTCTCAGTAGATAGGAAGAGAAAACAGTCCTAGAGGAAAAACATTGATTAGAAAGTAAGCAGTTGCAGTAGCTCCAGAACACAATGGGGGGACTGTTAACACAATGAGCAGTTAGAATGTAAATATCAAGTTGCCTCCTAATCCCTTTGCCTAGCCTGGTTGAATAAACACAATTGAAAAGGTGAAATTATTTTTCCCCTTGAAATCAGAGTTTGAAGGGTAGCCAGCAGAAAACTCCAGAAATCATTGATAATTGTGCTCAGTATATCTGTTATCAACCTAATCTGCTATCCAAAACAGAGATTGGGCCATATCCATGGTAACTCCAGAAGCTGTTTTCTTTTCTCTGTAGTAGGTAGATAAAAAGCTCTCCATGGTGCCTCCTTTGGGGGTATGGCTTTCCCAAGCTCCGTGCTGGGCAGGAAGTTATGTCCTAGCGGTGTAGATCAGTTGAAGATGTTCATTGTCTACATGCTGTATATTCAGGCATGAGGAAATTTACCAAACTCTCTCATTAGAAAATAAAAACATGTTTCCGATTATACTGTAGTAAATTCCAAAATGCCCTGTGGTTCAATTTTTGGATATATTTGTCCTTATTTCCTTTGGGTTCTCTAAAGAACCTAACACTTGGCACAAATTAAGCACTGACTCCATGGCAGCTAAGTCTATGACTACACAGTCATCTAAGTCTATGACTTCAGATGTCTTTGGACGATGGTTATAGCTATAGGAAGAAGGATGGGACTGATTCGGAGGTTTCTGGCTGGGATGAAGAACTGTTGCTGCAATCTCTTGGCCTCCTCAGGAACTGAGCCTTATCTCTCATTTAAATTCTGCTGTCTAACACAAAGCTTGGTCCTGAGGAAGTGCTCGCTAACCCCAAATGTGCAGAGATTCCTCTTCTCTGTCGACATGGGATGGCCTAATGGACTACACTCTGGAGTCGTTAATAAGAGAAATCTTCAAACCTAGGTGCTCAGTTCAGCTACGAGAATAACTTTGGGCAACTCATTCAACTTTTCAGAGCCAAAGTTTTCTAAACTGTAAATTAGGAATAATAAAACTTAGCCTGTAGTGTTATCATCGGAGAGAAATGAGATAAGGTATTTAAAGCCTCTGAGCACTAAGCACTCAATCTGTGTTCCTTCTCTTCCCCCTTCATTCTCACTGGCGATACCTTTCCATCCTCAGTTCTGCTTACCCCTTTGTGGGAGATTGGCTCGTGGTAGCTACAGCTTTTCCCGTTCAAGTTTTAAAATGCCAGCTGCCCCAAATGACTCTGGCTTGTCTACAGCACACACATTTCTGAGGCACTGGATGATTCAGAGAGAAGTTTCTGTGCTTTGCAGGCAGCCAAGAGATCCACTTACCCAGATTTCAGTACACCATGTTTACACAGTGTTGTACATTTTTATGTTAGGCTTGTATTTCAGAATTGACTTTTGTTTTTAATAGGAAGGCAAGATTCTGGCCAACTCTAACTACCAAATTATGATTTATACATCCAAAAATCTATTTTTTTAAACTACAGTTCTGACATCCGAAAAATAAATGTTGCTCTCAGGAAATGTATAGCTACTGTGTAGATTTCAGAGACATAGATGTGGGTGACGTATGGGCAAAGATTGCAGGCCCGCCACTCTGCCCCACCCCTCCATGCTGCCAAGGGATGTCCAGGGCACTGTCCACCATCTGACAGTCACACTGCAACTCTCAAGGTGATAGCCCATGCCAAGGAAGCTTCTTTGATTTCAAACCCTTAGCTGGAAATATAACAAATATTTCTGGTGACTCCTCATTATATTTTATAAAGTACAATGTTATTCAATTATTCAAAATTCCTTGGTAACCAATATGATAGTAGCCATCTCATCCTTTAAAAATTATTATTATTATTTTAGAGACAGGATCTTGCTCTGTTGCCTAGGCTGTAATGCAGTGGCACAATAATAGCTCACTGCAGCCTTGAACTCCTGGGTTCAAGGTATCCTCTCGGCTTAGCCTCCCTAGTAGCTGGGACTACAAGCATGCACCACCATGCCCAGCTATTTTGTAATTTTTTTGTAGAGATAGGATCTGACTATGTAATTCAGAAGAGTCTCAAGCTTTTGGCCACAACCAATCCTCCTCCCTTGGCCTCTCAAAACACTTGGATTACAGCCATAAGCCACTGCACCTGCACCCGCCCTCAATTGTTTAAAAATAACCCAGGACAGGAAATTTGACAGGTTAAAATACAACAATTGAGTCTTTTTGCCTCGAGGGAGTGTTGGGCTGGGCTGGCGGACAGGTAAGGGTATTTGGGCAGCCTTCCAAGGGCCCAGGAAATGCTTGAGTGCAGAAGAAAGTTGCTAAAATGACATGCATATTAGCCAGCTCTAACAGAAGGGATAGGAAAACAGCTTGTCCTCTCAATGTGCTCTGAAAGTATGTGACATTTGTACATATGTTGTATAGATATTATTTTATTTTACAGTATATGCTTGACATTTGAAAGTGCACAGCACATTTTGTTTATTTTCTTTTGTTTTCTTTTTTTTTTTTTTTTTTTTGAGATGGAGTCTCACTCAGCCACCTAGCGGCTGATCTCGGCTCACTGCAACCTCTGCCCCCCAGGTTCAAGTGATTCTCCTGCCTCAGCCTCCCAAGTAGCTGGGACTACAGGCGCACACCACCATGCCCAGCTAATTTTTAATAGAGACTGGGTTTCACCATGTTGGCCAAGAAGGTCTTGATCTCTTGACCTCGTGATCTGCCCACGTCGGCCTCCCAAAGTGCTGGGATTACAAGCATGAGCCACAGTGCCCAGCCTGTTTATTTTTTTAAAGAATTATTACTCATATATTATCTGGTGACTATCAGTTCTCTAAATAAATGTAAATTCTCAAAGACCCTTTCTTAAATGACACTGACAAACTGACATTTGAAGTTCTCAGAATTGTCCCAGGATTTCAGCTGAAGGATGTGTCACAGCTGCAGCTATAAAACCTACTTATGTTCAACTGCCACACTGTATATATTATAGTTACGTTTTTCCAGCGCATCACATGCCGATAAATGGATGGCATTCCCGTAGGCTGTTTGTCAAGTTTTATGTTCTGGGCAAAAGGGTGTTATGTTACCATTTTAGTTGTGATCACAAAACATTCAAAATCAAAGTCCAACAGGGTTTGTTTTATGGGATGCTCACACATGTCTCAGGTTCATTTGTCTTGGGAGTTTATCAGCACACATCATAAAATGTTCCTGAGTGGTACTAATGCCAATCTAATGGAACCTAAGGTCCATAACGTGGCAATATTCATAGTGCAATGTTAGAATAATGTTCAGTGAACAGCTAGATACATAAAGTTTAATTAGTCAGAGAACAAATTTTTCAAGCTCTAAACAACTTAATTATTTGCTGGTTATCAGTATAAGAATTGCTTTCTAAGAAATACTCCCCTGAGGGAAGATGTGCAGGTGATGATAACAACAATAAAACAATCCTGCAGAATTTTTGGAACCTTAAACTTCCCACCATGAGTAGGAGTTCTTTGTCCCCCATCCCCAACCCTACACTCTTCCCTCTTACTGTATCCTGTGGATGTTCTGACCTTCTCTTTGGAGACCATTTGCTATCTGCTCCACCATTCATTCATTCATTCACTCACACATTCACTTAACAGACATTTATTGAGCATCTACCACCTGCCAACTCCCTGGTTCCTGACGCTGTGGAGTTTATAATGCAATGCAGGTCCTCTTAAGTCATCCAGTCTGGTGGCTGCTCAGCTTCCTCTTCCTGTGTCCATTACCAGGTCTGAGGGACACCGCAAAGGTCAAGTGGAGAATTGATGATTTTGCATTGCTGCTTTGAGCCTGAAATACCCTGAAATACCTCATACTGCAAACCTCTGGCTCTCAACTTCCCAACCTCAGGGCCATGGACCAGGCAGGGACAAAGAGAAGCTGGCATGGCCTCCAGTGCTACAGGAGCCAGGTAGGCTTCCAATTTCCAGTTCAGAGCCCAGCTCCCAGCTACACTAAACACTGAGCCCAAGACTGAGCAGGCTCACTTCCGACCTACACTACCTAGGTTAAACTGGCTTAAGAAAGTCTTTCTTTTATACAGTACTCAGTACAACTGTTTGCATCTCTTAGAGGAAATAACCCAAAGTATACTGAAGGGCTAATGACACGTAACTGGGTTCTCCTGGCCTATCAGGCAACTTTATATGCCAATTAGAAAAAGCAAAGGGCTCCCCTCTGGGTGAATGAATTAGAAACATGTGCCCCATTTGGGGTGGGTGTATGCTGCCTCTTGGATGCAGATCAGCCTAATGTCCATGTGCTGGACTCCAGCCCCGGCTTCTCTTCTGCTGGTACCTTCTGCAGCACGGAAACTGCATCCCCCTGAGTGGCAGCCCTGGCTTCTCTCGCTTTAGTGGGAAACATTACTCCGGAAGACAGACTGAGTTTTGGAAGTGTTGCATTCTCTCAGCCTCAGCAGGTCTCTCTTCCAGGAACACCACACCCACACTCAGCCAACTCTCATTGCCTCAACTCCAGGGTCATTGCTGCTGGGGGCTTTGCCCAGAGTGCCTACCCTGGTTTTAGTGGGCCTCCCATGCGATCCTGCACTTACCTCTACCTCAGCCCACAGCACTTTCTATTCCACAGGAAGTCTATTTGCAGGTTTGCTTCATGTGTCTAACAGGGATCCTGCGAGGACAGAGATGTTATTCTACTTAATATTGGTTCTGTCACTCTCAGCTGATGATCTTGTCTCTTGCTGGAAACAACAGAAACAGTTAGGACGGAGCTTATAGATGCTTCTTAAAAATTTTTTAAGAGATAGGGTCCAGACCGGGTGCAGGGGCCCACGCCTGTAATCCTAGCACTTTGGGAGACTGAGGCGGTCAGATCACCTGAGGTCAGGAGTTCCAGATCAACCTGGCCAACATGGCAAAACCCTGTCTCTACTAAGAATACAAAAATTAGCTGGGTGTGGTGGTGCACGCCTGTAATCACAGCTACTTGGGAGGCTGAGGCAGGAGAATCGCTTGAACCCAGGAGACAGAGGTTGCAGTGAGCCAAGATTGCACCATTGCACTCCAGCCTGGGCCACAAGAGCGAAACGCCACCTCAAAAGAAAAAAAAAAAGAGAGAATTAGGTCTGGCTATGTTGCTCAGGCTGGAGTGTAGTGCCTATTCACAGGCAGGATCACAGTACTGATCAGTATGGGAGTTTTGACTTGCTCTGGTTTTGACATGGGCTGGTTCACCCCTCCTTAGGCAACCTTATGGTTTCTGCTCCTGAGAAGTCACCATATTGATGCCAAACCTAGTGTAGACACTTGATTGGCATAGCACACTACGGCCCAGGGCTCCTGGGTTCAAGCCCGTCTCGGGCTTCGGTCTTCCAAGTAGCTGGGACTACAGATGTGTGCCATCACGCCCAGCAGAACTCATACATGCTTCTTGGAGCAAACTTATTACCCACCTGCAACTGTGTTCTACCCTCAATACTATGAAAGCACGGGCTTGTCTCTGGCCACACCCTCTCATCTACTACAGGACAACATTTCCTGCCTATGAATCATCAGGTTTTCTCCCTATCCCCATAAGAATAATAAAATGCTAATAACAGCACTTCACCCATCTCACTAAAAAAAAATCTATCTCCCACTACTGTCCAATTTCTGTTGCATTTTACAGCAAAATTGCTTTAAAGAATTGTGTGTCCTCTGTCTATACTTCTCCTCTTCCCGTTCTCTCTTGGACAGATTCTCATCACTATCACTCCACGGACACTGCTGTCAGTGAGGCCATGGTGGCCTCCATGTTGCCAGATCCAATGTTCTGTTCTCAGTCTTCATCATATTGATCTACTGGCAGCATTGATTGTAAGTAATCAATCTCTTTCTTGAAATGCTTTGTTCATTTGACTTCCAGAGGACTCTCTCCTTTCCTATTTCCCAACTGGGGCTGCTTCTCTGACTCCTGCTGCACCTGGCCGTCTTCCCAATTTCCAAATACTGGAGTACTCCAGGTCTCAGTGCTCTCTTCCAACTACCCTCACGCCTTCTGTAATGTTGTCCAGCTCCAGAGCTTTACAAATAAACTGCAAGCTGGCAATTCTCAAATTTATATCTCAAGCCCAGACTTCACCTCTGAATTCTGGAATCATATTCCCAGATGATTACTCAAGTCCATCACTGGGATTTCTAACAGGCATCTCTAACTTACAATGTCCAGAATTAAACTTTTGGTTGTTTTCTTTTCTCTCTCTTTCTTTTTTAACTCCTAAACAAGTTCTTTCTGAGATCGCATCTTCATAAAATGGTGCCTCTGTGTGTTTCAGTGCTTGGTCCAAAACCTCATTGATTTACCTCATACCTCACCTGCAATTCACCGACAATCCTGTTGGCTCTTCCTTCAAAGTAGATTCAAAATCTGAGGATTTCTCGTCCGTTTCACCTCTATCTTGCAAGCCACTGTTCTATGCCACTTATACCCTTGCCACGCAAAGGGTGGTCTGTGGCCCAGCAGCCCCAGCTTGCCTGGGTGCTTGTTAGAAATGCGAGATCTCAGTCTCACCTCCAACAGAATGAATCAGAATGACATTTTCTGTCAATGCCCAGGTGGTTCATTTGTATGTTACGGTTAGATGTGCTCTGACCTAAACTACAGTGACAGTCCGCGATTGTCTTCTGTCTTTGCCACTCTTTATCCTATTTTTCTGACTGATACAGCAGTTAGAGAGATCTTTAAAAAATATAAGTGTGGGGTCGGGTGCGGTCACTCACGCCTGTAATCCCAACACTTTGGGAGGACAAGGTGGGCAGATCACGAGGTCAGGAGATCGAGACATTCCCGGCCAACGTAGCAAAACCCCATCTCTACCAAAAATACAAAAATTAGCTGGGTGTGGTGATGCACACCTGTAATCCCAGCTACTCGGGAGGCTGAGGCAGGAGAATCGCTTGAACCCAGGAGGCGGAGGTTGCAGTGAGCCAAGATCGTGCCATTGCACTCCAGCCTGGGTGACAGAGTGAGACTCTGTCTCAAAAAAAAAAAAAAAAAAATATATATATGTATATATATGTCCGAGGATGTCACTCTTTTGCCCCAGCCCTCCAATGGCTTTTCCTTCCCTGGGGCGGGGGAGGGGGTAGGGGGGCGGGCAGGATGCTAATGTTCCTAATGGCCCCTAAGCTTCACTTTAATCCATGTCCCTACCTTCTGACCTCATTTCCTACTAGTCTTCCCCTTGATCACTTCACTTCAGCCATGGTGGCCTCCATGACACCTCCGCTATCCCACCTACTAGACAGAAAACTCACAAACTTCAGGATCTTTGCCCTTGTTTCCTGGAACCTCTTCCCCAGATATGGACAACTTATTCCTTCACTTCATTCAGATCTGTTCAAATGACATCTTTATAGCAGAGGCCTTTCATGACATTCTAAATAAAATAATATCCCTCTGTTACTCTCCATCCCTTTTCCTTATCTTATTTTCTGCATATTTCTTTATATCATATACTTATTTGTTTATTGCTACTGTCTGCTCATTAGAATGTAAGTTCCATGAAGTCAGGGACTTTTGCTATTGTGTTAATGCTGTTAGAATAGTGGCTGACACACATAGGTACTCCTTAAATATTTACTGAATGGAAAAACAAATCTCCAGTTTCTCATTGAGTATTATGTTCACTTCATAAGACTAACTCTATTTGGTAAAAGCCTTGGGGTTATTAGATAACGTGCCCTCAGTAGGCTGTGACTTGGGAGAGGGCTTTTAACAGTAAGGATTGCTTTGGAGCTTCGGACTTGTCAATTGATGCATTTATCGCCCATTCTTCCCCAATGGCCTAAGCACAAGATGCAGGAATGGAGACCCAGAGTTGATCAGGGTGGGACAGGATGGCTGGAACAGTCACACTGTGTGACACTGGCCAGCGCTGGCTGGAGGGTTTACTCCTAGAAATGTGGTTAAAAGCCAACCTCAATCCAGCCCCAGGTGTTTCAAGTGCTCACCCCATCTCCCGAGCTGACTTTCCTTTTATTTTAGGCTGAGCTGTAGGTTTACATTCGGCAGCATCCAGCTGAGGTTTTGTAATCAACAGTGAAGGTGAAAAGCCTGAGCAAGCCTGGAGAGACAGCGGAAGGCAGGCTAATGGCACCAGGACGCAGAAGGTCCCAGCAACCAGAAAAGACAGCAGAACCGTAAATAACCCCTAGGTTTGTGGCATCCACAGAACCAGGGCGTAACCCTTTCATCTCTCAGTCATGCAAAGGACCAAAGCTAATGTCCTTAAAAAGCTTAGGAAAGAGCTGCAGCCGGACAGCATCACAATTTTGGATATTTACCGACCAGGGGGAGTAGAGGCCAGAAAGATTGCATTTAACAGGCAGAGTTATTTGGCAGATTTACCTACATTTGATTTGAAATTCTCTTTGGGTGGAATTTGGTTTTTATTTTTTCTCTCTCTAGTGCTTGTAACAAGCTGTTTTCCCTCGCATGTTACTGTTGTTAATTACCTTCTGAGTTTCTTAGTCACATGGCACTGGTGCTGAAGAAGACCTGAGAGGGATTCTTGCCCAGACCCCTTGTTCTGTAGATAAGGTAGCGGAAGTTCAGCAAAGTGAAGCACTCACTCTGTAGCCTGTAAGCGATGACAGTTAGGAATGGTCCATGGGCCTTCTGATGAATATATTAGCCCCATCTGTCACCCAGGGATGAAGCCACACTTAGATATAAGGTGTCTTTGCTTGAAAGCCAAGGCCAGGCATAGTCTTCAGGTTCTACCACCTTTCCTCATCTTTCTCCACCTCCAGCCCCAAGCCCCCAGAGCCCTGATCATGGTCCTTGGCCTGAGGCCCAACGTTGCCCTCCTTTCTTGGCTCCTTGTCTAAGGACAAAGTACAGAGTTCAATCTCTGCCTCTCCAAGCTTCACCCTGGGAAAATTCCTTCATCTCTCAGTTTCCTCCTTTGCAAAATTGGGAATAATGCTACCAACCTTGTAAAGCTGCTGTGTTGCTGTCCACAATAAATGAAATGAGAGAATTTCCTATGACTTTGTAGATACATACCAGGCAGTGTCTCCCCTCCTCCACCAAGTCCCACGTCTTCATTGTCTTGCCTTCAGTTATATTAAGTAGGAAATGACTGTGATAAAAGAACTCACAGCCCGTTTGACCTTCAGCAAGGTGCAAATAAGTGATAAAGCTTAATGTGTTTGAATAGCCAGAGGCTGTTGAGACCCCTTAGCAGAAAGAGTTGGATCTCTTTCCCCAAAGCCCTGAAGTACCAGGCAGGACCTGAGCTGCCCCAAGCCCTGCTGGGACCTACCAGCTGTCTGAAAGAGAAGCCAGGAGAGGTGATGCCGCCAGCTTCACCTCTGAGATTCCTGTTCCCTGTGCATCTTTGATAACAAACGGCCTCTATGCACCTTTCCACCACGCTCCCACGCATTCATTACTGCAGTGGTGTCCAGAAAATTTGTCCAAAACTTTAAAATGGGCGTAAAAGATTACTAAGAAAGGTTTTTCAATGAAATGCTAGATGCACTGTACGAGATTATTCAACTCTATACAGTCTGTGCTCTCATTGTCTTTGAGTTACTTTATACCTCTGTAAATTGTCGAAAACTCACAGTAATTCCAGCGATTCTCATCAATAGAGATGATGCAAATGAATCTTGTCCAGGTGCAGGAGCAATTGACTCCCTTCTGGGCAAGAGGCTGGTTTTGCATCCATTAGCAAACTTATTCTAACATTCCTGGTTGCCTAAATATATCCTTTGGATCTTCTTTGGAATCATTTAAAAATATTGTAATGATTCTATCATTAGTTAATGAGTGGAATAAAATCTTGGACATGTGTTCATTAAATATTTTTAAGATAGTCATGATTTTAGTTTTTCAAAAAGTTATTTATCCTTTGCGGGATGGGGTGGCTCACGCCTGTAATCCCACCACTTTGGGAGGCCAAGGTGGGTGGATCACCTGAGGTCAGGAGTTGGAGATCAGCCTGGCCAACATGGTGAAACCCCACCTCTACTAAAAACACAAACATTAGCTGGGGGTGGTGGCACACATCTGTAATCCTAGCTACTCGGGAGGCTGAGGCAGGAGAATCACTTGAACCTGAGAGGCTGAGGTTGCAGTAAGCCGAGATCGTGCCAGTGCACTCCAGCCTGGGCGACAGAGCAAGACTCTGTCTCAAAAAAAAAAAAAAAAACTTTATCCTTCGACATTAGGGACCTCCTACCCTGCAGAACTTGGCTCACACGAACTTCTTGGAGGAACCCTCCTTGGTTTCATTCACTGAGTCCCAGAAGCTCTTACTGTCCCTACAACACTTTAGGTCCATGGCTTCATCCTAGCATCTTTGTTCCTGCATTACCTCCCCAATAGACCATCATCCCGAAGATCACTGACCACTTGGTGGAATCCTGGATGCCCTTGAAACTCCTAGCCCTATGCCTTGCACAGGATAGATACAGTATTGAGTCAACACTCTTATTTGCCTTACAAAGTCTCAGACATCTTGAAATCCTTGAATTAGTTCCTGATTACTAAATATTGACTAGACATCCAAGTGTTAGTTCGGGTTCAAAAATAATAAGAAATAATAAATGGAAAAATGCCTAGCCCTTGCATATTGTTTACTACATGTCAGAAACTATTGTGAGCATTCTTATGTATGTCTACTTATTTAATCCTCACAATAAGCTTATGAGGTTGTTCTACTCCAACCTGATGTGATAAATAAGGAATTGAGGCAGAGAAAATGTACATAACACACCTGTGTATAGATGTAGATATGAGCAGGCCTTGCAGGGCAGGGCCATGGGCACCAGCAGCCTGTGCTGGCCTCTGGATGGCTCTGAGTCCATGAGGGAGCACATTTAATAACAAACAAAAAGTGCCATCACAGATTAAGAGTGGCCGGGAAGAAAGCAAAACATTGTCTATTTCTGCATTTTAACAGCGCTTTGTTTCTGCCTTTTGAACAAAGGCCCTACATTTTCCATTTTCCATTTGCGTTGGGCCCTGCAAATCTGATAGCTGGTCCTGGCTATAGAGGCTGCCTTATTAGCAGATGAGTGTCTTTTCCTGTCAGTCCGTCAGATCCCAGAACACTCAGTCCTTGTGCCCCCACATGTGCATGTGAGGTTTTCAGATGTTTCTGCATCTGAACTTCAGAAGTAGATAAAGCTTGGGCTGTGCTGGGATCACAGCCTGGACGTGGAAGCGCTCACACAGTGAAAGGAGAGTTTGCCGCTGGCTGTTTACTGTGCTGAGAAGGTTGTGGAGAGTAACAGCTCTGGAGCTGGCCCCCTGAGTTTGTATCCCAGCCTCTGCCATTTACCATCTGTGTTACCTTGGGCAATTTTCTTAGATTTCCTCTGTATATTAGAATGGAAGTAAAAATAGTACTTGCATCCTATGGCTGTGTCTGCAGCATGGTAAGCCTTCAATACCTGTTAGCTGTTTTTATACATTTATTGAACATTTATAAAAGTCTTGGAGCCAGAGAGTTAAGATGTAGAGATAGATAGATAGATAGATAGATAGATAGATAGACAGACAGATAGATAGATAGATACATACATACATACAAATCGTAGATGAGTTAGAGAGATAGATCTGGATATACAGATACAGATACATGTGTGACTCTGCAAAGATTAAACTGACTGGGAGCAGAGGAACCTTTGCAGCAACGAGAAAACGTGCCCTGCCTAAAGGCATTCATATTCAATGTTTAGAAAGAAAACACTGAGTGGTCAAAGAACAAATGTTGCCAAATGTTACGGGTCATATTTTGTCTGTAGGCCATCCTATATGTGAACGTGATTTTTTTTGAAAGATAGGTTTCCTAAGTTGGTGTTTCTTAGCCTGTGATACCAAAATAATATACTAAAATATATTCATTGAATCTATCATTCTAGATAATAGAAATGGCAAAACACCCAATAATATGTTGAGCAATTTTTCCAGGTTTTGAAAAGAAAATAAATCTAGAATATTTAAACTCTTCAATAATGCATTATACAGATTTTTAAATGTTGAGCATGGACACTTCTATCGTTTGAATGGGTGTCCCACCAAATTCATATGTTGGAACCTAAGGCCCCATATGGTAGTACCAAGAGGAGGGGGTTTTAGGAGGTAATTAAGTTATGAGGACTCCAGTTTCATGAATGGGGTTGGTACCCTTAACTAACTGGCCCTTTTGCCCTTCTGCCTTCCCCATGAGCGGGTATAACGTTCGCCCCTTCTGCCATGTGAAGGTCCAGCATCCACCCCTCCGCCAAACAAAGACACAACAAGAAGGCGCCATCTTGAAAGCAGAGAGCAGGCCACACCTGACATGAAGTCTGCCAGTGCCTTGATCTTGGGCTTCCCAGCCTCCAGATCTGTGAAATAAATACGTATTATTTATAAATTACCCTGTCTCAGATATATTGTTATAGCAGCACAAACAGACTAAGACAGACACTTATTTTTTAAGGGAGTTGCTTGTTTTGAAACTAGTTATCTCCAGTGAATGATATAGTTTGGCTCTGTTTCCCTACTCAAATCTCATGTCAAATTATAATCCTCAGTGTTGGAGGAGAGGCCTGGTGGAAGGTGACTTGATCATGGGGATGGATTTCCCCCTTGCTGTTCTCATGATAGTGAGTTCTCACAAGATCTGGTTGTTTTAAAAGTGTGTAGCGCTTCCCCCTTCTTTCTCTTCCTCATTCTCCACCCATGTAAGATGTGCCTGCTTCCCCTTTGCCTTCTGCCATGATTGTAAGTTTCCTGAGGCCTCCCCAACTGTGCTTCTGTATAGCCTGTGGAACTGTGAGTCTTTAAACCTCTTTTCTTCATACATTACCCAATTTCAGGTAGCTCTCCATAGCAATACAAGAATGGACTAATAATGATATTGTCAGCCAAAGATTATACCAGCAGGCACAAGACAGAGGAAAATAATCCACATCCAGAATTTTTGGACTCTTTGCCTCCCTGAGTATAAAACCCCCGACACTGCCCCCAGCAAGGTAGATATCCACAGACTACCCAGATAACTTCTACTCTGATTAACTCCAGATTCTCTCTGCTCTGTACTCACACTGACTCTGGTTCCTTCTCCTGACCCCCCAGCACCATGTGACTACAGTATGTGGGTCCCACCCCTTTTCTGCCTATTGTTAAGCCACTCTGGACTGACTAGCATTTGCAGTCCCCACATCAGCATTCCCCAAACCCACACTTTTAACACACACATAAGATCTGTCTCATCAAGTATAAAAGGGTATAACTCAGAGGTACACATGACTGGGGGAGGGGAGCCATTCATGCCTAAAATACATCAGATCAGATGGATAAGCCATTAGTTTCTGCAGCTAATCTTGTAGTAATCATATATTTAAATCATTATGAATCAGAAGTCCAAGCAGATGTTATGAAACACAAGTTTTTCTGGCTATAAATATTTTAAGTGAGAGAAAAGATGTCAACTGATGTCCAACTATTCATTTCTAAACAATATCACTTTTAAATAAAGATGCCTTTCATGATATAAGCAAATGCATAAAGAATGTATGGTCGATAAGATAGAGGATAAAACACGCAGCAGATTATCTCTGAAGGATATTTCAATTCCCACAGGATATAATGGAAATTCCTAAAACTTCTAGGGAAAGAGATAAAACAATGTGTTCCCTACTTTGATGGATAGGATACTAATGTTTTCTCTTCCGGAGCACACATTCCTTAGGAAACAGAAACACAAGGTAATGGCTTGGATTTTTAACTAAATTGCTGCCTTCCACTCTATGCATTTGCAACTCTGGAAGTTCAGATTTGTTTTGGTTACCTGTTTGCAGAGGAAATTCACTTCCCTGAGGTTTAAATGGCCTTGAGAACTCTCTTTGGTTGTTCCAAAGCTGTATTAGCAAACTCTTATATTTGTAGGTACACACACACATGCACCTCCAACACACACGCACACGCGTGCGCGCACACACACAGAGGAACATGAGCTACCTTGGACTTATACTGCAAGACTGTATTAGGTTTGTGCAAAAGTAATTTTGCGATTTTTGACATTAAATGTAACGGCAAGAAGCACAATTCATTTTGCACCAACCTAATAAAAGGCATGTAGCCCCTGGTTCCCAACACCTGCTTTTTAAACCAGTGAAGAAATGCATGATCAAGATATGTACACTGTTCAACATGGGAACACTTGAAAGAAGGAAGTAAATAAAACACAAGTACAGGTGACTGGCATTACAATAAGCTGGTGACCTTGGAGGTGGAAGGGATTAGATTTACTTAATTTTTTTGGTAAGGCACCTACAAGACAGAGTACCACATTTAGTAAGTCACCCCTGTGAATTTCCCAGAATGCACTGAATCAGCCTTCTCCATCCCTTGCTTTCTGCCCTTGGCTCTATAGCCTTCACTTTCAATGACCCTGAGGGCCAGCTGGAGGAACTGGACTTCCCAAGGTTTTCTGAGATTGTCTCTGTTACTCATGTACACCCTGTGCTTGTAAAGCAGCCAGCTGGGAGCAGCATTCAGAACAGAGAATTGGGCACATTGCTGACATTTAGAAAATGTAAACAGAGAATTCACGCAACTTTGCCAGTTAGCAATCAGTGACTATCAACCCCTCTCACCTTCACCACTGCCCCTCCTTTAAAATGGGCACATAGAGAGTTTCTTGTGAGTTTAACAGTGTAAGATTAAAACCAAAAGAGTCACAACAAGGATCTAGTCATGCCTTGATAACATTTCCCACTTAATAAAGCTGTAAAAATGTATGTGTGTGTGTGTGTACGCGTGCACGTGCATGTGTCTGCATTACAAATAATCTTTTGCAATAAAGATGTTACTCTATTTGATTTTATTTTACTTGGACCCATTTTAACTCCTCAGTTTTAAAAATCTGAGTTCTATTAAATATTAAAGAACAAGACCAAGCATAGCTTCTCACAACCCAACCATGAAGTTGCATTAGTAGCCAAGATAATGTATAGAAGATATAGTCGGATCCCCTTCTATTTTAAATATCTTTCTTGTGTTGTACAATAATAACCATTCTTTTTCTTCTGGCACATGAGTATTCCCAATGTAAAAAACTATGGCTATTCTACAGTAACAAATGTTGATAATTCTAAGAACATTTCTGCATCACCCCATCATACTTCTCCTCTGAGTGTTCAGGGCCAAAAATGCTTTTATGGATTCGCTCATATGGTCTCATCTGTGAAGAAGTAGGTTCCAGGATGATGGCATTTCCAGGAGTAACTATGTACTTAGAAAATGACTAATGGGCCATGAATGCTTTCTCAATTTGAGATTTATTATCTCTGATTTCTTATCAAATTCTCGCAGGTAGTGAGACTACTTAAACCTATGCAATAAAGCTGTCAAAGAGGGAAAGAAAGAGATTCGATGAGAGAAAAACGTAAAAGAAATAAAATTTGTGATGTTTCCCTAAGGTCTTTTAAAAAAAATTTGGAAAAGAAATTGAATGTAAACTTTATGCAGAATATGCAAAACGTGCATTCTTTGGCCTATAGTCAGGTAAGAAAATTGGTGGTGGCCAATGAACATTTTTGCAAAGACAAGTGCACAGATGTACAGATCCAAAGAGCCATCTCAAGTTTGCCAGGTCCTTGCTCCTTGGCCTTAAGCAACCTCCTTAATCTCTTGGCACCTCTGCTGTCTCTACTGTAAAAGGAGACCTCCTTCATAGGGTTACTGAGAAGATTTAAAGAGGAAACATAGCAAAGTGCCTGGTGCAGTGCCTGCTACACAGTAGGCTCTGAGTCTTCTGGGGAAAATGTAGGGGGAAAAAGAACTAGCACAGCAGGACCTTGCTGGAGGGTCAGGCAAAGATGAGCAGTTGGAACTCATGACTGGGTTCCTCAAAAAAGCTCAAACCGAGGTGGGCCGATCATGAGGTCAGGAGATCAAGACCATCCTGGCTGACATGGTGAAACCCTGTCTCTACTAAAAATACAAACAATTAGCAGGGCATGGTGGTGCATGCCTGTAGGCCCAGCTACTTGGGAGGCTGTGGCAGGAGAATCGCTTGAACCCGGGAGGTGGAGGCTGCAGTGAGCCGAGATCCCGAGATCGCGCCATTGCACTCCAGCCTGGGCTACAGAGCCAGACTCCATTAGAAAAAACAACAACAACAAAAAAAAACTCAAACCCTAGGAGGTCATCAAAGACTGATTAAAATAATTAAAATGTCAATGCCTCAGGCTGTGTGTATGGCTTAATGTATGTAAAAGAAAAAACTTAATTATTTAGAAAATCACTCTGCTCTCCACCACTGTTTTAGCTGAGGTTAAGTTCCATTCTGTTTCCACAGCAGAGCCTCTCCATTTGCAGGATCCACACGGACATCCAGCTGCCCCGTGCCTTGACCTTTACTTAGCGGCAGCTGCAAAGAAACAAGAATATTGCTAATAGTTGTATTCTGTTCCTCTCCAATAATAGAAATGGACTTTCCCCACCTCTTACTGGGTATGTTTTTCATTAGGCAATTTCTGAGTTTTGAAATTAAGCATGTTTTACATAGCACAAGAACATCTTAAGTTCAGTCTACCTAATGTCTACTGTGGCTAATACTTTTATTGTATCTTCAACTCAATTTATGGATAAGATACAGACCTTTGATGTCTACTGATGAGAACATGGTTTAAATTTCTTTTTACTTTCTATTCACCATTCCTTCACCACTTAGTCACTCATTATATCATTAATAAGCTGCTTGATGATTCTAACTCTAACAAAATGCTAGAGAACAAACTCTAAGTGGAAAATATCATAATAGAAGATTTTAGAGTTACATCAGATTGCAGTTAATTGAATCCATATAATGTGAAGCATATTTCAGAATGGAATTATTTTACCACAGTTATAAATAGGGGCTGAATAGAGCTCAGACGAAGGAAGTGCAGGCTGCAGAGGCAAGTCTACCAAGGTTCTGATCTCATTTTAAACATTTCAACTTCCCACAAGCTGTGTGACCTATTGCAAATTACTTAACATCTGTATGCCTCAGTGTCTTCAACTATATATTGAGAATAGTCGTACCTACCTAGAGATTAAATGAGATAGCATAGAAACTCTAAAGATTAGAGTTGATAAAAATGGAAAATGATGATAACCACTGAGAACGACTTTTTTTCAGAAAAAAATGATCAGCTGTATATTTTTGATAAAATGTTTAGAGTACTCTTCCAAATCAAGGGATTTGGGCAGTGATGAGACTAGCCAAGTGAATGAAAGTCAAAACTAAGAAAATATATATAACAAAAGTTTGTTGTACAAAATCGGTGCAACAAATCAGTGCCCAGAGATCCACAGAAGGTAGAGATGAAGAATGAGACAAAAGGGATCTCAGGATTAGTCTGACAAACAGTAACAGGCAGCATGGAGAGGCCAAAAGGAACAAGCCAGGAAGCTACCAAATGACACTAACACCAAAACTCAGTACCTTAATTCCAAGGAAACGTTCCTCTTCACCTGCATGAGAACCAAGGAATGTTATTATTAGCATCATCATCATCAACAGATAATATTTGCTAAACACTCACTAAGTGCCAGGTACTAGTAAAACTCTTTGCTTGTATTATGTGTTTCTCTAACAACCTTATAAGGTTGCCACTAGACTTACCAGTCTTATCTGCAGATGAGGAGGCCCAGGTTTAGAGCGTTTAAAGCAACTTACCCAGCATCAAACCTCTATGGCAGAGCCAGTGTTCCTGCCAGATTGGTCTGACATTAAACTCCAACCTCTTAACCAAAACAAACAAATAATGACAATGACAACACGCAGAAAAAGAGGATTTCTGGAGCTTCCAATGTGTGCACAGCAGACTGTAGCAATACTGGCCATTGCAGTACTAGGCCTGGTATGCTGGAGTTGGCTGGATCCAGTTCCCAACTCCATGTTCAGTGACTGCATTGGTAGCATAGCAGGAGTATTTACACTTTGGAAATTGGCAAATACCACAAATTGGGCTTTTTTTTTTATCCTGGTGAGCTGGTTATTAAACACTCCCCAACACACACTGCCCGCAGATCTTTGGTGGTGATACTCACCAACAGTTTGAGGGTCTGGCCAATGAATTCACTTCTGTCCTGTTCATTGTCTCGCTTCTATTTTGAGGAAAGTAAACATCTCAAGTAATTAAATTCCACATGTTCATTTATCCATTCTTTCTTTCCAACAGCTTGTTATTGATTAAAGATAAACTTATTTGAGCCAAAACTCAAGTGATATTTACAGTCTAGGAGCTAGGATGAATAATTCTATGTTTTCAGGAAATATACCATTGATTTTCTGTACTTTATGATACCACACTTCCTGTGAGTTATTATGAATATTAAAAGAAATGTTCTTGAAATTAAATTTCGGTTTTTACTTATAGATACAGAGGGTACATGTGTAGAATTGTTACATGAGTATGTTGGACCCAGGTTCTGAGCATAGTACCCAATAGGCAGTTTTTCAATCCATGCCTTCTTCTCTCCCCCTACTTTTGGGAGTTACAGTGTCTATTGTTCCCATGTTTATGTCCACATGTGCATATGGTATTTGGTTTTCCATTTCTGCATTAATTCACTTAGGATTATGGCCTCCAGACCCATCCAGGTTGCTGCAAAAGACATGATTTCATTCTTTTTTATGGCTGCATAATATTTCATGATGTGTATGTACCACATTTTCTTTATCCAATCCACCATTAATGAGCACCTGGGTTGATTTCATGTCTTTGCTATTGCGAGTATCACAGCGATTAACATACAAGTACATGCGTCTTTTTGGTGTAATGATCTACATATACTCCTTTGAGTATATACCCAGTAATGGGATTGCTGGGTCAAATGGTAGCTCCGTTTTAAGTTCTTTGGGAAATCTCCACACTACTTTCCATAGTGGCTGAACTAACTTACATTCTCACCAATAGTGTATAAGCCTTCCCTTTTCTCTGGAGCCTTGCCAGCATCTGCTGTTTTTTGTCTTTTTAACAATCGCCATTCTGACTGGTATGAGATGAAATGTCACTGTGGTTTTTATTTGCACTTCTCTGATTACTAGTGATGATGAGCATTTTTCATATATTTGTTGTTCACTAGCATGTCTTCTTTTGAGAAGTGTCTTTTCTTGTCTTTTGCCCACTTTTTAATGGAGTTATTTGTCTTTCGCTTGTTGATTTGTTTAAAGTTCTTATAGATTCTGGATATTAACCTTTGTCAGATGCATAGTTTGTGAATATTTTATCCCTTTCTATAGGTTGTCTGTTTACTCTGTTGATGGTTTATTTTGCTGTGCAGAAGCTCTTAAGTTTAATTAGGTCCCACTTGTCAAGTTTTGTTTTTGTAACAATCTTGTTTGGGCACTTGGCCATACATTCATAACCAAGACCAATGTTAACAAGGGTATTTCCTAGCTTTTCCTCTAGAATTTTTATAGTTTGAGGTCTTACATTTAATTTGAATCTTTGATCAATCTTTTCTTTTTTTTTTGAGATGGAGTCTGTCTCTGTTGCCGAGGCTGGAGTGCAGTGGTGCAATCTTGGCTCACTGCAACCTCTTCTTCTCCTGGATTCAAGTGATTCTCCTGCCTCCGACTCCTGAGTAGCTGGGACTACATGAGTGTGCCACCACGCCAGGCTAATCTTTGTATTTTTAGGAGAGATGGGATTTCACCATGTTGGCCAGGGTGGTCTCAATCTCTTGACCTTGTGATCCGCCCACCTCGCCTCCCAAAGTGCTAGGATTACAGGTATGAGCCACCATGCCCAGCCTGATCAATCTTAAGTTAATTTTTGTATATGGTAAAAAGTAAGGGTTTAGTTTCATTCTTCTGCATATGGCTGGCCAGTTATCCCAGCACCATTTATTGAATAGGGTGTCCTTTCCCCATTGCTTGTTTTTGTTGGCCTTGTCAAAGGCCTGATGGTTGTAGGTGTGTGGCTTTAATTCTGAGTTGTTTACTTTGTTCCATTGGTCCGTGGGTCTGTTTTTGTGCCAATACCATGATATTTTGGTTACTGAAGCCTTGAGTAAACTCAGGTAGTGTGATGCCTCCAGTTTTGTTCCTTTTGCCTAGGATTGTTTTGGTTATTCAGGCTCTTTTTTGGTTCCATATGAATTTTAGAATAGATTTTTCTAATTCTGTGAAGAATAATGTTAGTAGTTTGATAGGAATAACATTGAATCTGTACATTTCTGTGAGCAGTATGGCCATTTTAAAGATATTGATTCTTCTAATCCATGAGCATGGGATATTTTTTCATATTTTTGTGTCATCTCTGATTTCTTTCTGCTGTGTTTTGAAGTTCTCCTTGTATAGATCTTTCACCTCCTTTGTTAGCTATATCCCTAGATATTTCATTTTCCTTGTGGCTATTATAAATGGGATCATGTTCTTGATTTGACTCAGCCTGGACATTTTGGTGTATAGAAATGCTACTGATATTTGTACATTGACTTTTGTATACTGAAATCTTGCTAATATCATTTATTGGTTCTAGTAGTCTTTTGATAGAGTCTTTAGGGTTTTCTAAGTATAGAACCATATCAGATAGTTTGACTTCTTTTGCTATTTGGATGCCTTTTGTTTCTTTCTCTTACTTGATTGCTCTAGCTGGGACTTCCAGTACAATGTGGAATAGGAGTGGGGAGAGTGGGCTCCTTGCCTTGCTCCAGTTCTCAAGGGGAATGGTTGTGGCTTCTGCCTGTTCAGTATGATGTTGGCTGTGTGTTTGGCATAGATGACTGTTACTATTTTGAGGTACGTTCCTTCTATAGCCAGTCTGTTGAGGGTTTTTATGATGAAGGGATATTGGATTTTATTGCAAGCTTTTTGTGCATCTATTGAGATGATCACATGGTTTTTGCTTTTAATTCTGCTATGTGATGAATCATATTTATTGATTTGTATATGTTGAACCAAACTTGCATCCCAGTAATAAAGCTACTTGATCATGGTGAATTAACTTTTTGGTGCTGGATTCAATTTACTAGCATTTTGTTGAGGATTTTTGCATCTACGTTCATCAGGGATGTTGGCCTGAAGTTTTCTTTCTTTGTCATGTCAGCCATATTTTGGCAGTAGGCTGATGCTGGCTCCATAAAATAAGTTAGAGAGGAGTCCCTCCTCCTTGATTGTTTGGAATAGTTTCAGGAGGATTGATACTAGTTCTTCTTTATATATTTGGTACTATTAGGCTGTGAATCCATCTGGTTCAGGGCTTCTTTTGGTTGGTAGGTTTTTTTAAGTTACTGACTCAATTTCAGAGCTCAATATTGATCTATTCAGTATTTCAGTCTCTTCTTGATTCAATCTTGGGAGATTGTGTGTTTCCAGGAATTTATCCATTTCCTCTGAATGTTCTAATGTGTGTGCATAGAGTTCATAGTATTCTCTGAGGATTTTTGTATACCTGTAGAATCAGTTGTAATGTCATGTTTGTCATTTCTGATTGTACTTATTTGGATCTTATCTTTTTTTCTTTGTTAATATAGCTAACAGTCTATCAACTTTTTTTGTATAATCAACTTTGGTTTCATTGATCTTTTGTAGAAATTTTTGCATCTCAATTTTATTAAGTTCTCTAATTTTAGTTATTTATTTTCTTCTGCTAGCTTAGAAGTTGGTTTATTCTTTTTGTTTCAGTTCCTTCAGGTGCACAATTAAATTGTTAATTTGAGATCTTTCTAACCCTTTGATAAAGGTATTTAGGGCTGTAAACTTTCCTCTTAACTCTTCTTTGGCTGCATCCTGGAGATTTTGGTAAGTTGTGTATCTATTTTCATTGATTTCAAATAACTTTTTGTTTCTGCCTTAATTTCAGTGTTCATCCAGGAATTATTCAGGAGCATGTTGTTTAATTTCCATGTATTTTTATAGTTTTGAGAGATCTGCTTGATATCAACTTCTATTTTTATTGCACTGTGGTCTGAGAGTGTGCTTGGTGTGATTTCAACTATTTTGAATGTATTGAGACTTGCTTTATGACTTAGCCTGTGGTCAATCTTAGAATATGTTCTGTGTGCAGATAAGAAGAATGTGTGTGGTTGTTGGGTGGAATGTTCTGTAGATCTCTATTAGGTCAAATTGGTCAAGTATCAAGTTCAAGTCCCATTTTTTTTTGTTAGTTTTCTGCCTTGATGATCAGTCTGATGCTGCCAGTGGGGTGTTGAGGTCTCCCACTATTGTTGTGTGGTTGTCTAAGTCTTTTTGTAGGCTAAGAAGAACTTGTTTTATGAATCTGGGTGTTCCAATATTGGGTACATATATATTTAGGATAGTTAAGGCTTCTTGTTGAATTGTGCCATTTATCATCATGGAATGCTTTTCCTTGTCCTTAATTTTTATTGTTTTAAAGTCTGTTTTATCTAATACAGGAATAGCAATGTCTGCTCTTTTTTTTTGTTTTCTGCTTGCATGGTAAGTCTTTCCTCTTCCTTTTACTTTGAGCCTGTGGGTGCCATTACATGTGAGATGGATCTCTTAAAGACAACAGATGGTTGGGTCTTGTTTTTTATGCAACCTGTCATACTTTGTCTTTTAAGTGAGGAATTTTGCCCATTTAGATTCAAGGTTAGTATTTATATCTGTGATTTTGGTCCTGTCATTGTGTTGTTAGCTTGTTGTTATGTAGACTTGATCACATAGTTGCTTTGTAGTGCCTGTGGGCTGTGTGCTTAGGTGTGTTTTTGTGGTAGCAGGTATCATTTTTTTGGATTCCATGTTTAATGCTTCCTTAAGGACCTCTTGTAAGGCTGGTCTAGTTAAGATATACTCTCTCAGCATTTGCTTGTCTGAGAAGAATTTTATTTCTCTTTCACTTATGAAGCTTAGTTTGGCAGAATATAGACTTCTTGGTTGAAATTTCTTTTCTTTAAGGATGTTGAAAATAGGCCCCCAATCTCTTCTGGCTTGTAAGGTTTCTGCTGAGAGGTCTGCTGCTAGCTTGACAAAATTCCCTCTGTATGTGACCCGACCCTTCTCTATAGCTTCCTTGAAGATTTTTTTCTTTTGTATTAGCCTTGGTGAATCTGATGACTATGTGCCTTGGGGATGGTCATCTTTTATAGTATCTAGCTGGGGTTCTCTGTATTTCTTGGATTTGCATATCAACCTCTCTAGTAAGATTAAGGAAATTTTCATGAACTATATCCTAAGATATATTTTTCAAGTTGCCTATTCTCTTTCCTCTTTCAGCTATGCCAGTGAATCATAGGTTTGATCTTTTTACACAATCCCATATTTCTCAGAGGTTTTGTTCATTTTTCTTAATTCTTTTTTCTTTATTTTTGTCTGATTGAATTGATTCAAATAACTGGTCTTTGAGCTCTGAGATTCTTTCCTCTGCTTGTATCTTCTGCTATTAATACTTCTGATTGTGTTATGAAATTCTTATAGTGAGTTTTTCAGCTTTAGAAGTTCAGATTGGTTCTTTCTCACAATGGCTATTTCATCTTTCAGCTTTTGGATTGTTTTAATGGGTTCTTTGGATTCCTTGAATTGGGTTTCAACTGTCTCCCGAATCTCAGTGAGTTTGCTTGCCATCCAGATTCTGACTTCTACATCTATCATTTCAATCATTTCAGACTGGTTAAGAACCATTGCTGGGGAGCTAGTGGACTCACCTGAAGGTAAGGGGACTCTCTGGCTATTTGGGTTGCCAGAGTTCTTGTGCTGATTCTTTCTTATCTGGGGTGGGGGGTATTGGTGTTCCTTTAATTGTGGTGTAAGTTGAGTATAGTCTGTTGGCTTCATTTCTGGATGCTTTCAGAGGGTCACGGCTCTGTACAGGATCTTCATGTATGTGTGAATTCTTGCACTTGGTTTCATGGCTGTATATATTAGCAAGATAAATTTTTCGTGTTGTAGTTTGGCCTGTGATCTAGTCAATGGAGCTTAAGAATAGTGGCCAGTAGCTAGGTTAATACCCAGCCATGCAGCTCTTTTGTCCTTTTCACGTTCACAGGTGTGCTCACCAGGTCCACTCCTGAGCCTTTAGGGAGCCCCTCTGATCCCCGACACTATGCCTCTGTTTCTTTTGTTAGGTTTTCTGAGCCACAGGCCCCTCTGAGGCAGAGGCTGCAGCAGGGAGATATGCCACATTCTTTCTAGACCACCATGTGGAGACAGGCATGCCCTGCTCCTGCCCTGGCCTAGGAACCGATGCATCTCACCCCTCTAAGTGCTCTGAGGGTGGGGAGCTCCTCGCTCACTCAAGTGCCAGCCACAGATCTCTGCTTTGTACTCCCACATTGCGTGTTGCAGCCCTGGAGGCACCAGGATGTCCTGTAGCTTGGGTTTGGGTTCTGGCTGCACTAGGGAATCTGATGTGCTCCTGAGCCACCAGGAAAATACTCAAGTGCAGCAACACCGGCAGAGCTGCAGGAACTGCACTGTGCATCTGCTTCTGCAAGGTGGCTAGGTATGAACCCTGGGAGGGGCCGGCAGGCAGGTGGCCTTTCAGAGCAGTTGTACCCCAGTCCCACAGGGAAGCTGGCCCCACTCTTTCCCGGCTCTGAGGTCAGCTGGGGTCCATGCCTCCCTGATGGGAGTGGGGAGCCCTGGGGGATGAGCATTTATGGCCACTCTCCCCTGGAGTTGCCCAGTGTGCAAGAGCTTCCAGGCTCCATGCCACCCAAAGGCCTGTCTCTGCCTGCTTCCTGGGAGAAACCCCTGCCAGCTCACACATCCATGGGGGGAGGCAGGGTCACCTATAGCTAGGATCCCAAAGGTCTGTGATGAGAGTGAGTCATCCTTCAGTTCCCTCACTCACCCCTTTCCCAGGTTACATTTGGGGTCGGGAACTGGCCCTGGCATCCAGGTACCTTGTGCAGAGATCCCAGCTTCCTTCCTTTTTAGCCTCACCTTCAGTGTTGCCGTCTCATCCACTCTCAACATCTTTCTCCAAAGATCTGCTCAAATTATGGTGGTTTACTCAATAATTTGGTCTCTCTCAGTGGGAGCAGCACTTCCTGGCTGCATCTAGTTGGCCATCTTGTCCCCAGTCCTCAGAAGTGGTATTTTTTAAAGCACCCATTGTTACAAAAACAATGCTGTTTTGGCTGAGTTCTGACTCCTCAGTTAGTATATTGGGGGATTTCTTCACATACGCTGAATGCCGCTCTAAACCAGGGACCCTGTCATTGGCTGGTAATAGAAAGTTCTTATTCTTAAAAATCTGATATTGCATTAATAGGGAGACAGAAACACGAACAACATGTATAATTCCTTGTGCTAAGTGCTGTAAGAGAGGTCTGTATGAAGGATTCTGGGAGACCAGAAGCCATGCACTAACTTGGGTGGGCAAGTCACTGGAAGATAGGAATCCAACGAAGAAAGGCACAGAAAAGGGAAAAAAGACAATGTGATTAAAGATAAAGCAAGCATTGTGTTGCCTGTTAGAGGGCAGTCAGAGTTTCTACTGGAATGATAAATTAGGCCACATCAAGGAGAATCTGGACAATTGGAAAAGAAATGCCTCCTCCATTGCTGCCAATGGGAGATTGCTGTGGTGGTCATATGCAAGGCCGATTAAAGGAGAGAGAGGAGATGGAACGGGAGATACTCAGTCTCCAGAATCAATAATAAGAAACGAAACTCAAGACTGGCAGGGAAGAGAGAATGGATTGGAGGGAGACTTAAAGGGTGTGAATAGGCAACCTTTGATGCCTGACTTGATGGGACGAGGGCATAAAGTAGGAGGTGTGGGTAGTAAAAGCCCAGGCTTCAGAATGCTTTCCTATTCCATAACTTCAGCAATACAGCTGGAACTATGTCCTTCCATGTAAACAAGGACAAACATACCTAACCCACCAGTGATGTGGAGCATCAGATGGCAATAAGGACGACCTGAAATATGCTCCCATTCACTTGGCATTAGGGCATATGACCTTTCTCGTCCCTGGCACATTGCTTGGGACATAATATACCCTCACTAAATCTTTGTTCAGAGAGGAAGAGGGAACAAGGATGGCTCGGAAGACAGAGTTTAAGTAAAAACACGCAGCTAAGTTCCTTAGCTTGTCAAAGGGCGAGCTGCATTTCTGAAAATATGGACAGAATATTGACGTGCTCCTGACATGTGGTTCTAAGTGGTGCTTTCTTCTATTTCAGCTGCTCTAGTTCTACACCAGGGAAGTTCAGAGAGGGTCATTCTATCACAGTGCTTTCCCCTGTAAAGGCTAACCTGTTTATAGTTGAGAGACAACAAAACACCTATTTTTAGAAGCAGCCAAATAATGGATCTTCTAACTACTAATGTGGAGATAAGCTTAGAAGTTTTAAACACAGTCTGTGGCTATAAAATTGCCCATGCATGATGGAACAGGGTAAGTGAAAGCCTCTATTCCCTCTAGACTCATCCTGTCATGGATTGTAGCCTTCTTATTCATGTGTTAAATGTTGATCTCAGAAAGCATAGAGCCATTTCTGCTGGGAGCTGCTATCATCTCTCTGCCACTCAGCCAGTCCATTTTTGTACCTGCATGCTCCTCGATACATATTAAATGATTTTTAGGAGGTGTAGAGGATAGATCAAAGCCTTAGGAAATGGAGGAAGGTAAAATAAAATTTATAATTCAGGGAAAGTATGTGTGGATGGTCTCTTCTTAAGACTGAAAAGCATAGACATCTGGTTTAATCATTTCTAGCCAATTCTCCTTGTAGCCCCTGTGTTTGGAAGACCATCAAACACTCCTACTCTCTTAAAGGCAGAATGTTTAGCTTGAAAGTTTCAACGGACTCTGTTTGTTTCCTTCTCCTCCTATCATAGCAGGCTTTTGTTTTTTAACTATATTGTTTAAGTATGAGAAAATAGACAAATAAAATAGTGGTTTTCCCTGTGCATTTCGAAGGCATTTATCAGAAGCCAGCAATAAATCTTATTTTATTTGACGTTATATCAACCAGTCATCAATCTTCCAAAGACAAGTGTCTTGATGAGCAGAATGCTAAGTGGACCCAACGGTGAATGCGTGGCCATGGCCTTTTCTGTATTAACATTTTCCTCTTTGTCCATTCATAAAATGTAAATTTAATTGTCTTGAAATGCTGTCGAGGTTTTAAAATTTTTCTTTGCGTGGTATTATACCAAGACTCACTTATTCACGTCTTAAACGATGATGCAAGCTTCCTAGCAGTGAATAGCTCTAATTATGATCAGGTCCCTAGCCATTTCATGTTAAATAGCTTTGATAGTCCAACAGATTGGGAGGAAATTGTTCTTCAGTTGATTTGACCCCCTGTTTCTCTCCTCTTTCCCTGAGATTTATTCCCAGACAATTGAGGTGTTTCTGTCATTTGTAATATGTATTATTTTAGCCCTGATTTCAATTCAAACCTCTGAGGCTGCATAACTTGAGGTTAAACTGCAGATTTCCTTCCTGCTTAATACGGGAAACCAGGTTCAAAATATCTGGCCTGGGGACACTGAACCATCCTTTAAAAATAAACCACACAATTTTAAAATAAAAAACATACCTAGTTTCATATACCTAGAAAATTTCCACTTCAAACAGAAATCCTAAATGAAAACAATGGTCTTCAGGTTTTCTTATTTTATTTGAAAAGTAAAGATCAAGTAAGTAATTATTATTCAATAATTTTGCCTTAGGTAATAGAATTTCAGGCAAGGTAAGTGATTGCATAAAAGGAAGGAAATACAGAAGTGGCTGAGAGTCTGAGTCTCGGGGGAAAATATTTGATACATCAACTAACTAGCTTTCCAAATGATTATTTCTAAAGAAAATGGGGAGCCATCCTATCCAGTGACATTCTGATCCAGTTCACTTCATCCCATTCACTGCAGCACACCTCCCTCCCTGATCCCCACACAGGTAGGATCAGAGAGTTAGGTCTTCATGTTCGGTCAGCAGAAATGAACCTGAAAACAACCTGTGAGTTCTCATCTCCCTAGGGTTCCTGAGAAGCAGTCACCCCCTCTCTCCTTGGCATCAAATAGAGATAAAGAGTTTCAAGATTATTATTACAAAAGAATTTGGTTTTTCAAGTTTATTTCTTCCCCTTACAGACACATTCTGCAGTGTGAGGACAATACAGGAGATTTTCTTGAAAGATTAAGCTTGGGAATTTAAACCATTTCGGAATTTACTTAAAGAGATAGGACTCAAGATAGAGATTTACTAATTCCATAGATAATCTGCAATGATTTTCCAAGAAAACCTTTCTTCTTCTTTCAAAGGAAATTAAATGGAAGCAGAATTATCTTTCAGAAAGACTAACTTGGGTAGATTCCCAGTTGCCTTGCCTAGGTAGTCTCCTTACTTGTCAAAGTGCCCAGTCCCCGCTCTCCTAGTCACTTGAGGCCCACCATCTCCTGCTCTTCCACTTGCAAATGTCTCACACTCTGCCTGAGCCTGTGGTGAAAAAATTACACACATCACACCTAGCCAATAAAATGCACTGGGTTCTCTGGTTGACCTCTAGCTTTTCATACATTCTTCATGGCTTGAGATCTGCTTTTTTTCTTCTATCAGGGATGCAACCTACTCATAGAAATGTTTTGAGAATCTCTAATGCATGTATATTTATTTATAAGCTATAAATATATATTACTCTCTGAATATATTGTGTATATTTAAAAATATACACAAAAATGGAACTTTAAAAGTTGTTAGGCCTGGCATGGTGGCTCATGCCTGTAATCCCAGCATTTTGGGAGGCCAAGGTGGGTGGATCACTTGAGGTCAGGAGTTCGAGACCAGCCTGGCCAACATGGTGAAACCCCATCTCTACAAAAAATACAAAAATTAGCCGGTGTGGTGTCAGGCACCTGTAATCCCAGCTACTTGGGAGGCTGAGTCAGGAGAATTGCTTGAACCTGGGAGGCAGGGGTTGCAGTGAGCCAAGATCATGCCACTGCACTCCATCCTGGGAGATAGAACAAGAACCATCTCAAAAAAAAAAAAAGCTGTTAAATAAAATTTATGAAAGGTCACTGCTATGGTTTGAATGTGTCCCCTATATTTCATGTGTAGGAAACTTATTCCCCAATGTGGCTGTATTGAAACATGGGGTCAGTTGCAGTGGTTCATGCTTATAATCTCAGCACTTTGGGAAGCTGAGGCAGGAGGATTGCTTGAGTCCAGGAGTTTGAGACTAGCCTGGGCAATGTGGCAAGACCTTATCTCTACAAAAAAAAAAAAAAAAAAAAGAAACATGGGGCATTTAAGTGGTGATTGTATCATGAGAGCTCTTCCTTCAAGAAGGGATTAATTTATTCATGGATTAATGGGTTATCACAGGAAGAGACGTGGTGGCTTTATAAGAAGGGGAAGGGAGATCTGAGCCAGCACATCACCATGCTCAGCTCCATGTCATGTGATACCCTGCATCACCTGGGGACTTCGCAAAGAGACCTTACCAGGAAGAAGACTGTCACTAGATGCGGCCTCTTGACCTTGGACTTCACAGCCTCCATAACTGTAGGAAGTTAAGTTCCTTTTTTTACATAAATTATCCAGTTTTGGGTACTGTGTTATAAGCAACAGAAAACAGCCTAATACAGCCATCGATTTGGACTGAGCTCCTGCATTAGACCCCAACAAACTAGTCCAAAATGGACTCACTCATTTCATGATGGAGTCCCCTCTGCTTTAACTTATTCAAGAAACGTAACCTGATGTTAACCATTCCGCTTTTTGTACTTGCTGTTTCCTTGTTTCTGTTCAAACTACCTTACAAAAAATGACTGCTGTGCCACACCCAGCAGAGTGCCTGCCTATTCTGTAGACCGAATGCTGCCCAGTTCATGAATCACTGATAAAAGCCAATTTGATCTTTAAAACTCAGTTTGCTGAAATTTTGTTCTTTGGTAAAGTATTAAAGTAACCATAAATAGAAGTTCTAATATTTTCTTTCTTGCATACCTGCTAGGATCTGGGCAGCTGACTTTGCAGGCCACTGAGTAGGACAGTGATCCCAGAGTTGATGGATGACTGAGGTGATGTGGTCCAGGCTGGCAGACTGAGAGCAGGCAACAGTGCTCTTGAGACCTGGTTTGTGATTGGCTGCATCCAAATTCATTCTGAGTCATTTTCGGCCATCTCAACTCCTGCTAAGCTCAATGGTGTCATGCATCCAAATGACTAACAGTTGAGCTAATAATCAATCTATCTAATGGTGCGTGCCTCAGAATTGTTTCAACAAAATGAAAAAATTTTAGGGAATATGACAGTATTCAACTCTGCCTGCTAGAAACATACAGTTCTCCCTCTTTTTCTAAGATACATTGTAAAAATAGACCACTAGAACATGGGAGGGTTATTACCAGAAACTGCAAAACACACAATAAAACAAATATCCTGATGACATTGTAGCACGGATAAAGATTGTGAACTTTCAGAAATTTATTCATTTTAGATAAAACATTTACAGAGACCTATTTTGTTTTCCTTAACATTATTTTAAAAATCATTAAAAGGGTTTGGTTCTTTAACAACAACAAAAAACATGCAGAGCTTTGCTAGTAAAATGTTGAGTTTGTTTGTAGTTGGTTAGAAAAAAATACTATCCCAGATCTCTATTATCTTTATTATCTCTAAAATCATCATTGATCTCTAGGAGATGACAGCAGGCCAATGCTCAGAAAGAAGCCTCGCTTCATGGAGAAATGTGGGGAAAACTGCTTGCTCCAGGAGAAGGATCAAAGGAAGACATTCATATGTCCTCTCGTTTGTTCGCCAGGTTTCTGTGGAATCCCTAAAATGTGTTAGGCATTTAGGGCGCAGAGCTGAGAGAGATGCTGTTCTTAATAAGTTCTCAATGGACTTACAGGCTAGTGGGAGAGAGCAGTAAACTAGCAATTACCTGGGAGAAGACCTCGCCCGCAGGAACGCACAGGGGGCAGTGACGGCCCAGCAGAGCAGCACGGAGCAGATCGCAGCATTTGGGAGGCCCTCCGTCTTGCTGGCTGGGTTGAATTCTAAGGAATATGATAAAGTTATGAAAAAGAGAAATTAATAAACATTGACTTAGCAAGTACTGTGCATCACATACTCTGCTACAAATATAATGAATATAGTTTCATGATAGGAATATACTGATATTAGGGCAGACCTGAGATGCAGACTTCCGGAGTTCATACCCAGCTGCGCATTTAGTTTTTTTTTTTTTTTTGAGACAGAATCTCACTCTGTTGCTCAACCTGGAGTGCAGTGGCATGATCTTGGCTCACTGCAACCTCTGTCTCTTGGGTTCAAGCGATTCTCTTGCGTCAGCCTCCCAAGTAGCTGGGATTACAGGCACCTGCCACCACACCTGGCTAATTTTGTATTTTTAGTAGAGACAGGGTTTCACCATGTTGGTCAGGCTGGTCTCGAACTCCTGACCTCAGGTGATCCACCCGCCTCACCCTCCCAAAGTGTTGGGATTACAGGCATGAGCCACCGCACCCGACCCACATTTACTACTAATAGCTGGGTGTAGTTGGGTAAGTTAGCTCACTTCTCTAAATGTCAATTTTGCCATGTGTTGAATGGGATAATAACAATATCCCATTTAGAGGTAAATAAGATAGCTATGAGGAAGGAACTAGACAATCTATGAGCAGCACTTAGGACTATGCCTAACATGGTAGATATTAGCTATTATATATCTGTCAATCTAGTAACTCATGAGGTAGCTATTACTATTATTGTTATTTTTCTCTCATTTCAAAGACCAGGAAACCGAGGCCTAGGGAGCATTAGTAACTTGCAATGCTACTACTATGGAGTGGAATCCAGGCTGCCTGGGAACTTCCAGGCAGAGGCACTGGCCTAGGAAAGGGAACAGAAACACACATTGATTTAGGGATGAAGGGAATAGGGGATGCTTCAAAAGGAATGATTACCTTGATTATTTGAGGAACAGAAGGCTGAATGTCAAAAAGTAGTAAATCAGAAATATTTTTCCCTATGTGCATGTTAATAATAAGTTGTGTGAATAGATGATCTGCATGAATAGATGAGAAGCAATTATCCTGGAATTTTAGAACTATAGATAGGTTTCAGTATTTTCCACAATTCAACAATCAGAAGGAGAGAGAGAGAGAGAGTGAGAGAGGAGAGGCTTAAGAATCAGATCACAAAACAAAACAAACCAACAGCTGTGCAGCGGAGAGAGGCCTAAATAAGTTTGCAATAGGTCAGCATAAAAAGCTAGTACACAGTATATGCTGAGGTATATCCATTTGTTTTTACTGTTGGTTCCATATTTTGTTGACATTTGACATTTAATTGTAAAGAGTGTACTACCTATTACTTTGCTTTGTCATACCAAAACATTTTTCTTCTTGATTTATACAATTTTGGTTCCCGGAATGTCTTCCTGTCCGGTCCTAAAGCTCAAGTTTCTACACTCTTATGCCACACCCTAAGTTACAGTTCCAGCTCAGGACTGGTGATGGTGACCAGGAAGGTTACATGATCCAACAACACCGAGCACTAGTGACCCCTTTTCCTAGCTGCCACCAACAGGGTGAGCTTATCCACCCAGGTGCCTCTGAAAGGAGCCTTGCTCCTTCTGCAAGGCTGCTCCCATTTTGCTGGGTGACTTTGCACTGTAGACAGCCTCTTGCTTACTCTTTCAAGCTTACTCCTAGGTAATTTATTAAAGGAAAAAAAAGAGAAAAGTATCTGAAACACTAATATTAGTAGTTTTCTGTTTGAATCATAGAAACAACAACAAGGAATCATTACTTCCTTTCATGTATTTACTAACTCACATTTCCTACTAAGATTTAAGAGTGAGAAACATCAAGGTTTGACTGACAATGCTGAAGTTCGATGTCATCTGTGTGGCTCACGACCGTCTTTTTTTTTTTTTTTTTCCTGACAAAGCAGGCGTTGGGCATTGTTTTGATCCCATTAATGACCACCCAAGATAAGGAACTTTTCCATACAACTGGGATGCATTCCTTCTTCACTCAAGGGATTTTTAAATCCCAGAGAGGCTTTGAAAACAAATGCGTAGCTTCTAGGGATCCCAAGGTATAGCCACTAATGAATTATAAATAAATAGAAATTCTCTCTATAATTTTTACTATACAGATAAAATAGAATGGGTCTTTCTTGGACCTGTAATTGCAACGCTCAGGTTTTGCCAGTGGTGTCTCTCAGATTTTGAAGGCCTTCAGCTGAAGTTTACTACATCATAAGAAATGCATGCATCATTTATTTCTATGAATGTTGTAAATGCAATCACTAAACATGACAATTAGTTGAGCAGAAAGTGCATGCAAGCTGACTGAAAGATAAGCTAATGAATAACTTTTCTCTTCAAATTGAGAACACATTTATGTGGCTTAAGATCTGAAAAAAATAAATAAAATGTAAGATCATCTAAAATACTTTTGGTCAAACTGGAGCTCAAATGACCCTCAGTAGAAATAAACGTGTGCAAAAAATACCTCTGGGTACCCAATGTCTCACTGTGGTTTTTCTGTGTTTGCCTCTCAGGGAGAAAGCATTGGTTAGTATGTAGTGTTCTCATATTCCCTGGTGTGTAGTATACCCTGGTGTGTAGTACACACAGTGGTGTGTAGTCACTGAGTTAAAACCTTTGGGAAAGTCACGAGAAGACTAGAGAGACTGTCAATGACTTTGAACATTGCCTCTATAGCGTCTATAGCAACCAGAACAAATCTCCCGGTTGCAGGTAGTGCTGCTTCTGCTCCTTGTTCCCTCCCTCTCTTTCCCCCCACCATCCAGCGCACAGGCAGTGCTGTGTGCTCAAGAGCAACTAAACATTTGCTCAGTGGCTTGTACTTTCCTTAAATTGTCTTAAATAAAGGAAGTAAAAATTAGCTTGCTGCACCTAAAGCTCCAGCTGAGGTTCAATTTGTCCAGCTTCACATGCAATAATATCAACCTGGAGTGTAAGATTGCTGAGAGATTCTAAAGGAGAGATGCTTTAAACTCTTTGGGGAGCAAGAGAGACCTAAGTAAGAAAACAACCAAACATAGGCTAGGCGCGGTGGCTCACGCCTGTAATCCCAGCACTTTGGGAGGCCGAGATGGGCAAATCACCTGAGGTCAGGAGTTCGAGACCAGCCTGGCCAACATGGGGAAACCCTGTTTCTACTAAAATTACAAAATTAGCCAGGCGTGGTGGCACAAGCCTGTAGTCCCAGCTACTTGGGAGACTGAGGCAGGAGAATCAGTTAAACCCGGGAAGCGAAGGTTGTAGTGAGCCGAGATCACACCATTGCACTCCAGCCTGGGAAACAAGAGCAAAATTCTTGTCTCAAAAGAACTATTTATACAGTGTCTGCTCAATAAGCACTTTAAATGCATTATTTTATATGATTCCCATAGCCTCCCTTCAGGTGATATTACCACCTATCTTGGGCAGCAGGCCAGTGACGAAAGCTAAATCTGCACAGGACTGAGTCTGGGGTGTAACGATGTGAGCCTTCCAGCTGTCGTCTCTTTTCACATGGGTCATCCCTGGCATGAGCTTTTCTCTCCAATTCCTTCACTTTGTTTGTTCCTCCAGTGTAGCTTCATCTCTACCTTCACTTTATTTATTTATTTATTTATTTATTTATTTATTTATTTATTATTTATTTATTGAGATAAGTTTTGCTCTTGTTACGCAGGCTGGAGTGCAATGGCACAGTCTTGGCTCACTGCAACCTCTGCCTTCTGGGTTCAAGAGATTCTCCTGCCTCAACCTAGCTGGGATTACAGGCACCCGCCACCATGCCCGGCTAATTTTTGTATTTTTAGTAGAGACGGGGTTTCACCACATTGACCAGGCTGGTCTCAAACTCCTGACCTCAAGTGACCTGCCCTCCTCGGCTTCCCAGGGTGCCAAGATTACAGACATGAGCCACTGTATCCGGCCTCTACCTTCATTTTAACCATCTTTTGAGACACTTTAACTCTCTGAGAATGCACATACATAGGTAACTCGTGGGCCAGACACGATAAAAATGGCGAGACAGCTACTGTCTAGGGAGAAAGATGATGGGATGTGCAGAGAGAAAGGTGTTACATAGGACACTCTAATGAATAGCGAATCTGGCTTTTTGCACAGAATTCAAGACTTGAATTTGCTTTAGTCTTCAGAAGTTTGGGGGCTCATGTATGTGTTTGCGAGGTAACATTTACATTCTCCGTAGATGTATGCTACACAAATGTCACCTAAGAGTTAATGCTGTCCAGAGCATCCCTGAAAGCACAGCCTGATTCCAACCCTGAAGGAAGGCACTTATTTGGTAAAGGAGGGATTGGCATGAGGGGCAGAGAGAGTGGAAGAAGAAAGGAAGGGAAGTTGATACAAGATGCCTCTGGGGCTCGACCCTTGCACTTTCTGAGGAGCTTCTTGAGATGTGCTGAAGGACACGGGGTGCATGGTCCTGTAGGTGTGAACTTTCCTACACTGCCTGGCAGATTTCCTTAGGCATCCATAGTGAACCCTACGGCAGGAAGCCAGAAGCACAGGGAGTGGCCTGCAGCAAGGGGCCGGCAGGTGCCACCTGCTCAAAGCTGGTCAGTGCCTGTAGGAAGCCAGTCACTTCAACAGTGGCCACAGTGGGAATGACAGAGGGCCCAGAGGACTAGCAGGGGCACAGGGGGTGGCCAATAGGGGAGGAGGGTCTGCTGTCACAGCATAAGAATAAAAGTGTAATGCAGGGGAGCAGAGAGAGTTTAAGCCTAAAAGCTTAAACTCATTGATCTTTTTGTTTTCCCTACAATAAATTCCTCTGAAAAACCTTCACATCCATAAAATACTCACAATGTTCTTAAGAGTTTATTGTGAAACACAAAAGACCAAGATATCATGAATATCGGCGGGTATGTGGTAGTCTCCAGCATTCCTTCCATCCCTCACCCATTGTGTAGGATGTGGATTGTAGGAAACTGATCTCATCCTCCACTCCACAGGTGGAACCCTGACTATTTTAACTCAATCAAGGTCATCCCAGCCTCCTTTTCACAAAGATTAATTTAAGGAATTCAGGTTGAAGCCAATCAGTACCTGTTATTCCCATGGTATATGGATTAGTACTAGAGGTTCCAGAAACCTCTTCCCCAGGATGTTGTGTAGATGGATATAAGGCCTGGGAGGACCATACTTATTTTTATCCCCTTGAGTGAAGCCAGCCTAGGACAACACCCACTAAACAGAAGATTGAGAGACAGTCCCTGGATAGAGCCAAACTTGAAGCCATCCCATCCTGGACTTCCAGCTGTGCAGATACCATTTCTTATCGTTTAAGCAATGGTGAATCAGATTTGCAGCCTAAAGTATCTTAACTGACATTTCAACAGTCTTTGCCTCCCCAGCTTTTAATCAATGATTTAATTTCATGGAACATTTCGATTCCAGAGAAGGAAAAGTTGTCCCTTTCTTAGGCTGGGGCAGAATCTTCCTTTGGGTTCACATATTGACTTGTTTGCAGATTGCGTTGGTTTGAGGTCAAGATGGAACTGTTTAGTGTTAGCCCTTCCAGAACTCTTTCAAATTGTCATTTTTTTTCCTACTGAAAGAGTTTGACCAACTAAGCTGCAATTTGCCTTGAAACTATATGTCACCCATAACCTGTACTGTTAGACTGTGTTGATGGAAAAGATTTCAAGGCATTTTCCAAGGAAGAAAAAAAATGCCCGGAACTCAATGTTATTTTTTTTTTAAGCCTCACTTATGTAATACAGTGTATACTCAATTGTTTCCTATTAAGGTAATTCCCATCACATTAATATTTCATATCCCAAGGATTTAGTTTGTTGGCCTTATTTTTTAGTAGTTACCTAGAGAAGTTCTCCTTAATTTATGGGGGGCTCTCAGGAATGCCTCCTTAGTGGAAAGAAGACCAACTTTATAGGCAGGTCCCTGGGGAGAGGCACAGCTTTCCCTATTGCAGAGGATTGTGTTGTAGAAGCTGTTCCTGTGTCATCGTGTCCCTGAGTGTGACTCATTCCTCACAGCCTTTGCAGCAAATCCATTAGAAGCCGAGCAAGGGACCATTTCTGTGTGACAGATACTAGGACAATGAAGCTGGTTCATGCTAAATGTCTATGGCAAGAGACATTCCAAATCTGTCAAATGTTTAGGCAAGATTGTCCACCCTTCCTGCAACTGCAGATTAGGCTTAATGGAATATGACATTTGACTTCACATCTCTGTATGATTATCTGTCAGGTAATTCAAGGTACCTTCAGTTCTTGACTCAGAAAAGCTACTGCGTCAGGAGCTAACAAATGTCAGCTTACTGAAATTCACAAAAGGGGGTTCTAAATATTCACTTTCCATCAATTCATATTCAGTACTATTCAAATTTAAATCAATTTGTTCTAAGAGTTTAGAACTCTTTCAAGTTGTACTTTCTAGATCTAATTCTCTTATGGACTGCTGCATGTATAAATTTTTACTCTCACAAATACATATTCTATTATTTTCAAGGATACTGCATTTAATGCAAGTGTATGAGGCACCAAAGCCCTCCCATGTAGTCAAAACTTATAATTTCACTTTTTCCAGGGACTTGGAAAAAAAGGGGTAGTTTAGTATTGATCTAGCCATATAACAGAGATTCTAAAAGTTTAATTTTCCATGGACTTAGTGACGTTATTATGCCAAAATAACTTAAGCAATAATTCATAAGGGTTTTTTGAGGTGCCCAACAAACAAAGTTTTAAAGAACATCTTATCCTGCCCATCCCTGGGACACAGGGGAGCCAGCACTGGGTTCGAGTCAGAATTCTGGGTCCCAACGTGGGACCCCTGGTCATAGGTCACAGGGCAAGTGAGTCCTCTTCTCTGAACCTTGGTTTCTTTTTGGAGACAATAATACCCTGAAGATGGTTGAAGGAATTAAATGAGGTAACAGTAGATGCTAATTTCCTTTCTCATTTTTCATCCCTTAGAAACACTTCAAGAGAAAGAAAATTGAAGTTTCTGATTTCAAGATTTCTTAAGTCTTCATACCATGCCTTACATGATGTTCTCCTGACAACTTGTGACTACAAACAGAGGATTACCGCAGAATCATAAGCAAACACGGGGACAGATTGATTTTGAGATATTTTCTAAGACAGACAGTTGACTGCAGAAACATGCAGACTGGAGCTTGTGTTTTGAAAACAAGCATGCTAGAGACTAAACAGGACATGAAAGGTTTGCCTTTCTTGGTCTAAAACACATTTCTTTTAAAGATTTACCATCATAAAGACTTCTTTTTGAAAAGCTTTGTTGAAAACCAGCTTGTAAATTTAAAAATGCTCAAGAAAAAATTGTTTGTCGATGCAAAAGTTCAGCCAGGTTGCTTGGAATGATGACCAGATATGTCGCTAGAATTCTCTCTTCTATTTTCTTTCCTCTATTTAGGCTCTGGCTCATGCCTTGGTTTTGGATGACATGAGCTTCACCTTGCGGGGTTTTGGAGGGTGTTATCTGGAAAATACATGACATAGGCATGTCAGAAGAATTCAGATCTTCCTTCTTAGGTAAAAGGGGTTAAAATACTCTTAATTAATCATCTATCAGGGCATTGGGCTGTCAGTACAGATTACAATTTTTTTTTTTTTTTTGAGATGGAGTCTCGTTCTGTCACCCAGCCTGGAGTGCAGTGGCACGATCTTGGCTCACTGCAAACTCTGCCTCCTGGGTTCAAGCAATTCTCCCACCTCAGTCTCCCGAGCAGCTGGGATTACAGGTGTGCACCACCACGTCCAGCTAATTTTTGTCTTTTTAGTAGAAATGGGGGTTTCACCCTGTTGGCCAAGTTGGTCTTGAACTCCTGACCTCAGGTGATCCACCTGCCTCAGCCTCCCAAAATACTGGGATTACAGGCATGAGCCACCATGTCCGACCAACAATGTTTTAAGTAGTTAAGACTGCAGCATTTGGAACCAGGGGCAAATGTTTGAGTGGTCTTGAGCAAGTTACCTAAACTCTCAACAAAGTGGAGACTATACTATATTACCTGATTCACTCAGCTGTTATGAAGACTAAGCAAAGAAAGGTACGTGAAGTGCCTAACCCACATTGTCCAGAATATGCAAAGGCCTCAACACATGGATGAAAATATTGCCTGTCTGTCTGGGTGCCTCGGTTGGATTTATTAGTCAGGCTTGCATTACAGCTATAGAAAACTCCAAGCAGAGTTATTGATTGCTCTTGTAGTCAACACCCCATACCAACAAATACTTTGGAAACTTGTTGGAAAAATACTCTTTCTGGTAGTTCTGGACTATGCTCAGGGATCACTTGGGAGTTCTAGAAGCTGGGAAGAATCTCTCGAAGCTAAAAGATCAAAAACAATACAGGGAAACACGGAGACGAATGGATGTGAGATTCTTCCACGTGGGCGAAACAAGACAGTCATGACTAATGCTAGATTTACTCTTCCTTGGCTGAGAGCATGGTGTTTATTCGAAGTTGAATCTAGAGTGAAAGAGAATATACATGTATGCAAAACATCATAAGGGAGAGTTGTCTTAAAGACAGTGGCTCCTCATCTCAAATTCATTAGCATATACATGCCCACACAAGAACACAAAAGAACTTTCTGCCCCAACCAATTAAAAATATCAAAAAGGAGAAATGAAAACAGATTTTCTGTCTTACCAAAATATTATTTTTATTACTTTCATTTCCTAGGTTATGGGTGTTAATAAATGCTAAAAGCATTTCTAAATCTAGAAATCCATCCCACAAGATGTTTTTCTAGAGTCCACAAAAATCACACAGTTATGTTAATTTGCGAGTAAGGAAACTATGAACAACAGAGGTAGAGTTAATATGAGTAGAGAAAGGGTCTAACACCAAGTGGCACAAATGCAATTAAATCCTGGTTCACGTGACCCCCCCAATTCACAACTTTACTTTTATCAACATCCCACCATTCAGGAAACTTTTAGCGCACTAAATTCCTTTATTTTGTGAAAAAAATTATCATGTGAAATGACTGCTATATAGGACAGTCAATTAAATTTGAGTGTCAAAAACTGACTTTCTTTAAACATAGCAAAACCCTCCAAAGGTAAGCAATCTAAAAGTATTTTTTTCTTGATCAGTAAGTCTAAACTCTGCTATTAACACCATCTATCAGGTTCTCATGATGACATTGCAAGCAATGCCAGAACTAGAGCCCAGGTGGCTATGACTCAACAACTGGGTATCATTGGCAGAAAGAAAGAAATCTGAGGTTTCAAAATGGAATGAGAAAGGAAATGAAGGCCACTTTCCCCTTACTCCACAATGAATGAAGTATTGATACTGGGACTCACCTGGTGCAAGAATGAAGAAACAGCTGGATTTTATTTGTTCCTTTTGCCTGCTCCTTAGAACAATGGAACCTGCACTAACCAGCTTCACAAAGAGCTTTGATTGATGGCAGCTTTTCAGATACCTCTGTGGCTTAGTCTTATCTTGTTTGGTATCTCTATTGTTTCTGAACTGTAAACACCAAAGGAAGGACCCATTCAAAATGCAAGTACTAGGCTTATTCACACGACTCAAGATATTCTTTTCCAAAGTTGAGTAATAGAATGTGTCATAAAGACATCAAAATCTGGTAGATTTGATTTTAAAATTTGATTCATGACTGTCTTGACTGTCTTGTTTCGCCCACGTGGAAGAAGCCCATACTCATTCTCCTCTGTGTTTTCCTACATTGTTTTCAATTGTTTAGCTTTGGGGTGATTCTGCCCAGCTTTTAAGACCCCCAAGTGATCCCTGAGCATAGCCCAGAACTGCCAGAAAGAGTGGCTTCTGAAGTATTTGTCAGTAAGGGGTGTTGACTAGAAGAGCAATCAGGTAGGTATCAAAAAACTGCTTGGAATTTTCTGTAGCTGCAATGCAAGCCTGACTTGAGTAAATCTATCTGAGGTATCCAGACAGACAGGCAATATTTCCATCCATGCAGAGTCATAGACTGACATACATTTTGAGGTCTTTTCATATTCCAGCCATTGCATTAGGTACTTCATGTACATTTGCTTGCTTAGGAGAACTTCGAAATCTTAGGTCTCATTAAGAGTCTTTGATCATTTACCCACATGCATGCATACTCACACACAAACACACACAAAAAGCACTGGACTGGACTGCCTTTGAGTTGAATGCTGATCTTGAGATAACCCCTCGTCTGCATTTTTACCACCCAGATTTCAACTGGTTAAACTTTGTGCCTGTTTCACCTGCTAGAAAATTATTGAGCAATAATGATTTTAGATAACAATTTTAAAAGAATCTGTATATCTCTAATTCCAAAAATTTAAAAACTATTCATACCCATGGGGAAGATGTTTCCCTTACAATTATGTATTCTTTGTAACGTCACCCTTGTAGAACAAAATTCCTTTCTCTTTTTTTTGAGACAGGGTCTTGCTCTGTCACCCAGGATGGAATGCAGTGGAGTGATCTCAGCTCACTGCAACCTTTGTCTCCTGGGTTCAAGTGATTCTCATGCCTCAGCCTCCAAAGTAGCTGGGATTACAGGATCATGCCACCACACATGGCTAATTTTTGTATTTTTAGTAGAGAGAGATTTTCACCATGTTGGCCAGGCTGATCTCAAACTCCTGGCCTCAAGCGACATCCCGCCTTGGCTTCCCAAAGTGTGGGGATTGCAGGTGTGAGCCACCATGCCCAGCCCAAAATTTCTTTGTAGTGTCACCTTAAATATCTCTATGGATGAAACAGAAACTTGCTCAATCTGTTACCTCATTTTTGGTCTGAAGTCTTGAATAATAAGATACCAGGTTTATGAAGCAATATATGAGTTGTTTGGAACACAATGAAACTCTGTTTATTGTATGCAACTTCAGATAAGCTAAATAAGGATTTAAACTAACACTCCTTTTTGTTTGTATATTTGCTATCGCTAGGACTTCCTTTTTCAATTTAAAGATTGTGTCTTATGTGGGAGATCCATTCCAACCAAGCAAAACATCTAGCAGACTACAAAGGATTTAGCTTGTCTTGTTTGTTTACATAACTGAGTTGAGTATTGGACTATTAAATCTTGCATAACATTATTTTGATTAAAAGTAACTGGTTCAACTTGTTGCATGATAAGAATGAAACTTGTCAATATAATGCATTTATTCATGAGAAATGTTCATGTTTCATGTGAAACTTTCTTTTAAAAAATAAAACTTTAAAATATCTTAGTGCTGCTTTTACCTTAATATAATGAAGGAATAGTCTCCCCTGCAGCAGAGGTTGAAAATTAAACTACTCCCAGCGTAAAAAAAGTCTGATTTGTTTATCACATGGGACAAAGCTTATAACCGCAGGAGCTGGAGAGGTCTTATTTCCACACTTAGTTTCCAATCAGAAACAACCAATAACTATGCTATCCCAGCACTTTGGGAGGCCAAGGCCGGTGGATCACTTGAAGTCAGGAGTTTAAGACCACCCTGGCCAACATGGTGAAACCCTGTCTCTAGTAAAAATGCAAAAATTAGCCGGGCGTGGTGGCGCACGCCTGTAATCACAGCTGCTTGGGAGGCTGAGGCATGAAAATCCCTTGAACCTGGGAGGTGGAATTTGCAGTGATCCCAGATCGTAGCACTGCACTCCAGCCTGGGCAATAGAGTGAGACTCTGTCTCAAAAAAAAAAAAAAAAAAGCTGATGACATCATTTAACAAAAGGTTGGGTTCCTTAACGTTACTGACATCACATCAGCCTGGTACTGACCTACTGGCCCTGTATCTTATCCTTGCTCTTACTGGTCTATTCTTGTTAATTCCAAAGTGAGGAAGTTGTTTCAGTGTATTCATTACCACTTTTCCCCTCCAAATCTATACTTCAGAGGTTGTGCAAAGCTCCAAATTTTCCATTCCAACAAATCTTACGGTCTTTTTGCCTCCCTCTGTAGGAAAGGAGGTTATTCTATTTTTCCTGGACACATTAAATGGTGTGACTTGTTTCCCACTGTTCCATTTACATAATCTATGAAACATTCAAAGTATCTGTATCTCAAGTGAAAACAGAAATTCAATTGTACCAAAATTTCCATCAGGGCATTTTATAATAAGTTAAAGATTTTTCTATTACTTTTTACTTACTAGTATAATAGTGTGTTAGAAAAAGCAATTCGGTGAATATACTACAAAATTGTCAAAATTTTAGTGCTTAAAAAACATAATTTCTTTAATGTAACTATCAGAATTTGAGGTAACTATATTATTTTTTCAAGCTTATAGGTAATATTTGAATGGCCTATTTAAGCCTATGGATACCAAAAAATGGTGACTAAAAGCACACAAAATCTTGGGAAGCACTTTTTTCATATGACCTTTTGTTGCATATCATGATTTATAAGAGAACTGTCTTTGGTCACTTCCCTGGGAAACATTCTCTAAGATTTGTGCACTGAGATTACACACTGGAAATTTCTTTCGGAGGCCCCTCTAAGTCAGTGCTATGAGTGAAGGGAGTGCATTTTAGCAGAGGAAGGAGCTGAACTGTGATGTCTGCACAGACGCACACAAAACAAGGCAGAAAACTGAACCTCTCCCAAAGGAAGCTCTGGAGCTAACATCAGAGCTGTCCTGCTTTGAAGCAAGGGCAGAAAATTCTGCACTCCCTCACTTCCCCCAACCCACCCACAGCCGCAGACTCGTAGAAGGAGGCCATCCTTGGGCAAGGTAGCCTAAGATAATTCACGGAGAAGGACTCAGATGAGAATCTTTGACTGCCAATGCTTCCAGCAGCTGGGAAATGAGTGTCCCAGCTGTGAAGGTAACATCTGGATGGAGCACCCCAGTATCCACTCTAACAGTCAAAGGAAAACAAACTAGGTAGACAAGTGGTTTGGTTCATAAGCCCAGGGGATTCACTGCTCTGCATTAAATCCTTCTCTGTCTTCCTTCTGGGAACCATGAAATTGTCTCCATAAAGTCCATCAGCTATTTTAGCCACTTTTTTTTTTGAGACAGAGTCTCACTCTGTTGCCCAGGCTGGCGTGCAGTGGCGCCATCTTGACTCCCTGCAGCCTCTGCCTTCTGGGTTCAAGTGATACTCCTGCCTCAGCCTCCCAAATAGCTGGGATTCCAAGTGCGCACCACCATGCCGGGCTAATATTTGCATTTTTCAGTAGAGACAGGGTTTCACCACGTTGGCCAGGCTGGTCTCAAACTCCTGACCTCAAGTGATCCGCCCACCTCGGCCTCCCAAAGTGCTGGTATTACAGGTGTAAGCAACCGTGCTTGGCCTATTTTAGCCCCTTTTCTAATCTAGCCCCTCCTACTGTCATGAAATAGAACAAATGCAAACTAAGTTAGCAGGCCACATCCCAGGGAGGCTGGTAGAAGACATGAGACTACTGGGAGAGAGACAAAAGGATGGTTTATTTTTCACAGCTATACAGTAGCTGGGACTTCTGCACTTCTGTTGGTTCCCCACTCCCCAGTTCCCACAGGACAATGCAAAGAGGGCCAGAAGACACGTGCAGACACAGCAGTCATGATGTGGTAGAGGAAACTTGAAGGTAGGGAACTCGGACTTTTTAAAGTAGGCACTAAGCATGCCTGCCCTTTGCTTCAGAGACAGTGCCATCTCTGTCTTCCAAGACTATTTGCTATATAAGCATTCTTGAAGATATAGCCCAGAACATAGATGGCTAGTGCCTCTTTTAGCAAAGTGGAGATATGTAGAAACACAAGAGACCCATGAAGAATTTCCACCAGCAGCTCCCGCCTCATCAGCTGCCACAGAGAGAGAGAGCTGTACACCGTAGTGAGTTTAGTGAGCGCATGCGCTAAGGCCAGCTGCTCGAATTTCAGTACTGGTTCTATTACTCCTAAGAATGTGACTTGAGGCAAGTTCCTTAACCTCTGTAAGCCTTAGCTTACTCATCTGTGAAATGGAAATAGTAATAGTACCTATGGCCTATGGGTAGTGTAATCATACACCGAGATAAGCCACATGAAATGGCTGGCATGTGGTAATCAGGTGCCGAGTAAATGGTAATCCTGTTATTACAGTAGACTGGACACAGACCAACTGCCTGGTTATTTTCCCAAAGCAGTATCAGAAATAGGAAAAAAGGTGTTTGAAGGTTTTAGCTAACAGAGAAGTGGCTGACCGCTCATAAGACTCTCTGCAGGCCCTCCTTCACCTTGCATGTGTGTTTAAGTTCCTGCCCCTGCACTCCACAACCATGCGTTTTCACTCAGGTTTGGCCTCAGTAAGGCAGACAGCTGTTTGCGTTTCACATACTGTGACTCGAGTAGTTCCATAAGCCTCTGTGACCTGAAGTGTTCCTCTGGCAGCCAGCCGTAAATCTCTTGCTCAATCTCCTTTTAACTCCTCAAACTTAGAAGCCAAGCTGACATAATCCTTATCTGTGGGCTCAGCCCCACCGCAGCGGCCTGAGCTAATCCTACTCTTGCAAAGAAGAAACACAAAGATCTCTGGTTTTTTTTTTTTTTTTTGACAGGATCTCACTCTGTTGCCCAGGCTAGAATGCAGTTGCACAGTCATGGTTTACTGCAGCCTCAAACTCCTGGGCTCAAGCAGTCCTCCCACCTCAGCCTCCTGAGTAGCTGGGACTACAGGCATGTGCCACCACACCCAGCTAATTTTAAAATTTTTTGTAGAGACAGAGTCTGGCTATGTTTCTCAGGCTCATCTTGAACTCCTGGCCTCAGGTAATCCTCCAGCTTCGGTCTCCCAAAATGCTAGGATTTACAAGCGTAAGTCACCACACCCGGCCTACTCATCAGTTTTAAGTGCCAAGTTTTTTCTCACTGAGGGAGCATATTATCCTGTGGTAGCTGCCAGGGCCTGGAATTACATTTTAAGCCCAATTTGAATTGAATGGAAATGAGACCTAATCTCCCGCTCCAAGGCAGTCGCTTAAGGAACGTATTTTAAAGAGGAGACACTTTTCTTTCAACATCATCACTTTCTCCAAACATGACAAAATCACGTATCAAAACGAAATCTCGAGTTCAAGTTGTCTGTAGAGCTATGTTGTGTTGTAGCAGGGATATAGTAAATCTCACAGGCTTTGACAGGTGGTTAGGTAGTAAGATATCTTTCAGAAGGGATTTAGTTATTCCTTTTCTGTGAAGTCTGGTCTCTAAAATTTTTGCTACAAATACTCTGTCTCTCAGTTTTATAATGACATAAACGTATATCAGAAAATATCTAAAGCAGGCTGGGCGTGGTGGCTTATGCCTGTAATCCCAGCACTTTGGAAGGTCAAGGCGGGCGGATCACCTGAGGTCAGGAGTTCGAGACCAGCCTGGTCAACATGGTGAAACACCGTCTCTACTAAAAAAAAATAGCCAGGCATGGTGGCTAGTGCCTGTAATCCCAGCTACTTGGGAGGCTGAGGCAGAAGAATTGCTTGAACCTGGGAGGCAGAGGTTGCAGTGAGCCAAGATTGCACCACTGCATTCCAGCCTGGGCAACAAGAGTGAAACTCTGTCTCAAAAAAAAAAAAAAAAAAAAAAAGAGTTAATAGATAAATAGATGATAGAGATTTTGCTTTTTTAAACCTCTTCATCCACTGTAATAGACTACATGGTTTGTTAAAGGGGTAAGTATTATCTTTTCATCTCAACCCACATTTCACTCTGAATATTAATGGTTATTCCTAGAATCCTCTTTTTCCCATCCCTGAAAAGCAAATATACTCATATTCTTTGTTTTGGCGAAGGTCTTTATTATAGCCATAAAGGATAATGGATTTATCTAATTCCATCGTTTTTACTAACCAAAGTTATAAAGTTTTAATTCTACCTAGATGTTGCCAGTCAGAGTATAATGTGCCTTCAACCTAAATTATCACAAAGTACATAAAAACTTGGCTTCATAATTCTCATGATAATTTAGGTTATTGGTTTAATCCACCAAAAATACCCTCTGAACTTACAAACTGAAGCATACTATACCTGTTTCCTTTCGTGTTTTAGGTACTATGATAAGTTACCAGTAATTTATAAAAGAATGAACAAAAAAGCCACAATCTCTTTCATATGCTTCTAATTATTTTCAAAATACAAATGTTAAATAGTTTTTTATTTTTAAGGTACTATTTAGTTTTCCTTTTGTTACTTTTCCAAATTTTTTAAAAATTATTTTTTTATTTTGAGATAATTTTAGATTCACATGCAATTATAATAAATAATACAGAGGTATCTCATGTACTTTTTAACCTAGTTTCTCCCAGTGATAACATCTTGTAAAACTGTAGTACAATATCAGAGCCAGGAAATTGACACTAATACAATCCACTGATCTTATTCAGATTTCCCAGTTTTTCCTGTATTCCTTTGTGTGTATGTGTTTATTTCTATGCATAAATGTTCTATTTTTTTCTTCCATTAAGTTTTCAACCATCAGACCTCATTTGTGTTTCTGCTTCTGGAAATAGGAGATAGAGATTTTAGCTACAGCAATCAGAATCCACCCTGGAGTGTGCTGTTTTCCTGTGATAGCAAGAAAATGTTCCATTTGAAAACTGCTCCACAAAGAATCATCAGAAACCACAGAAAACAAATGATGGTGTTGGCGGCTTTTCTGTACAACTCAGTCTTTTATTTCAGAACTCTATATGCTAAAAGGGCAGGATTCTCTCTCATCTCCTCCTTCCTTTTTTTTCTATTTGTTTTTAACAGAGAAAGCAAAAACAGACTTTGGAAAAATCACAACTAAAGTAAATCTATTCTTTGGAGAGTTATATGTGGATGATTAACTTAAGAGAAAACTGGTTAATGGCAAGTACTGAAAGATCTGATCTTTCTAATGAACACATCTAAAAAAAACTTACAAAATAGAAGGTTGTTTATTCTTTAAGGCAAACTTGAAAAACACAAGATTATAAAACGTCTTGGGGAATAAAAATAAAGAACTCATTCCCTATAAACAGTTGTAGTGCTTTCTTACATCTCAGAGAGTGTCCTTACCTCAATACAAATACACAGACAGCACACACATACACACAGACATGCACCCACATTCATACCCACACACATACACACCCACATACACATACACGCACACACCAAGAGCTCAAATACGAAAGGCGAAATCAAACACCCCAGAGAGGGTGGTGATTCTGCCAAACTGCAGATACTGTAGCTCTTACAATAAATGGGAGGAAAAAGGATTGTTGTTGGCAAAGCATGGAGGACAGTGATTATTTTCTCAGGAAAAAAAGGTTAGATGTCATATTTTCCTCTGTTTTAACACAAATGACCGAACATTTAGAAAAACAAGATGCTTAAATCTTGTTAGGATAGAGTAATCTCATCTCATGTTAGCTTAAGAGTAAAACCCCAATTCTGCTTACCCCAGAATTTTTTCCATAAGGGCACGTCACTATCACTTGATAGACTTTTCCCACCAGGCTCTTTTCTTTCCACGCTTTCTGAAGTAGATATGCTTGAGAGGAAAAAAGGAGGGAGACATACTGAAAAAAGGAAAGGGTTGAGAGTGAAACACTCACATAAAACTGCCCATTTGAACTGTTTGTTCATCTTTGAATAATCTGAGAATTTATGCAGCATAGTCTATGAGTATTATCTGCAGAAAGCAGACCACAAGGGCTATCACAGACCTGCTCAATGATGGAGTTTCACCAGGGATCCAGGCTGAACACCCTCTCACAGGGCCACCTCCTGATCTTTAGTTCTGTGAGCCTTTGCTGTTTCGTGCTAGAGCTTTTAGTTGAAAGTAAAATGAAAGAAGTCCTCAGACTTCATGAATTCCAGGTGTCTGTGAAGTGGGACTGGCAACATTTTTTCCTCCCACCATAAAAAAGTTCTCTAGTCGGAGAAAGTATTCTGAAGCTTCTCTGTTCAGACCCTGGTGTTCTGAAACACACTGAGAGGTTCACAGGATGGAAGCAAATGAGGTCAGTGGATTCTCTCTTTGCACTCAGAAAAGAACACCCTGCTGGGCGCTGGCTCACAAAAGCCATGCTCTGAAGTGGCTCCACGCTGCCCTAGAGCATGGGTGGCAGAGATACTGCATCAGCAAAGAAACCGTGTGAAAATCGAAATTTGTCAGCACGAGGTCATTCTGCATCAATAATGAAACAGATAAACCTTTAAAAACCATCCGTTCCTTTTAATTCAGAAGCACATGATAGAGGCAGCAATTTATAAGCCAACCAAATTGTTTTGCAGTTAGGCAGACGTGAGGCCTTTCCTGATGGTTGCAAAGCCAAGCATAACCTGATGGTTGGTTGCCACATGGGATGTGGGAGCCAGAGGCCCCGGCTTTCCTCTGGCCCTGGAGCAAACTGGCTGGCGGATGAGATGGGCCTGTTTCTCATTAGCCCAGTTCACCTAGTTCCAAAGAGGACTGGCTCCTCCTAGATCTGGCAGCATAATTCATGAGACGCCTGGATTTTGAACAGCACCCCAGGGCAGCACTCAGAAGAAAGGTCTCCAACAGTGAAGTCTTCCTAAGGAGAAAACGGAGGAGACAAGCACCCCTTTCTCCACATACTGCACCCGCTTTGGATGATTCGGCTTCTGGTCTGAAAGACGTGGATTAGTGGCTCGCCTTTGAGTTAGAAATTTCCTTAAGTCATTTGCATTCATTTACTGGGGCACTTAAGCCAAATTGATCTGACCAATACATCAAAGCTATGGCCTCCTCAGTTACGGAGACATACCAGCTGAAAATCATCAATCTCGTCAACTGTCGGGAGCCTTAGCTAGTGTTCAGAATCAGAGGCTAGGTTTACGCTTATCTCTGTCCCGCAGGCTGGACACACGCTCCCAGGATGCCAGGCCAGGAGCGGCATTCCAGGGCAGGGGCTGTTTAATGTCAGCAAGGGGTCAGGAGGGCAGGCCACTGCATTCTGACAGCTAAACCACTGGTCTCTTCTGTCTTAGGATTTTCATTCATGTTCCCGAGCAATCGCGCCTCTAGGAAACTGGCAATCTCTCTTTGAAGCTGCGGCGGGCAAATGCCTGCACACCTGCCCGTACACACACACACACACACACACACACACACACACACGCACTCCTACATGTATACATATGCGTTCAGAAAACTCTCTGCTAGTCTACAGTCTTCAGAGCTAATATCTGATCATTCATTGAAGGGACTTGCTGATCACATTCTTCTTTCCTTGAAAATGTATTAAAAATGTACATTTTTTTCCACTGATTATTCTCAGATAAGCATGTGATTTGCAAAAGTACTTAATGCTACAGGAAGCTTTATAAATGCTCAAACACACTAATAAAAAATTCTGATTTCAGTCTTAAATAGAAAGTGTAGTATAGTGGTTAACTATTTAGGAACAGGAACTGGACCCTCTGGGTTCAAAGCTAATTCTGCCATTTATTACAAATAGAGATGTAATTTTGGCCAGACTACTCGTTATCAAGTTCTTGTGCCTTGATTTTCTCATTTTTAGAAAGGGGCTAATATTAACAGTACCTACCTTATACAGCTATTATAATAAGAAGATTAAACGAGTTAATATAGACAAACAGCTTAGAACAGTGCCTGGCACATAGTAAGTAGCTAATGAATGTTGCTGTCCAGGCTATCACTATTATTATTATTGACTAATGTGCTCTACAAGCAGGCTCCTGCAGACACACTTAAGTAACAATTCACTGTTATTTATTTATTTATTTATTGAGGTGGAGTTTCGCTCTTGTTGCCCAGCCTGGAGTGCAATGGTGCCATCTCAACTCACTGCAACCTTGTCCTCCCGGGTTCGAATGATTCTCCTGTCTCAGCATCCTGAGTAGCTGGGATTACAGGTGCGTGCCACCGCACCCGGCTAAGTTTTTTGTATTTTTAGTAGAGACGGGGTTTCGCCATGTTGGCCAGGCTGGTTTTGAACTCCTGACCTCAAATGATCCACTTACCTCGGCCTCCCGAAGTGCTGGGATTACAGGCGTGAGCCAGCGTGCCAGGGTCACAATTCACTGTTTATATCATTACACTATTTTCAAACTATAATCGCATCCATTATCCTGTTCAAATCCTTATCACAGCCTTCCAACGAGTGTGCTGATCATGGGATCTGCATCTACTCACTGCAGAAAATTAATCTCAGAGAGGATAACTTATTTGTTCATGGACAGAAAGCAATTTTCTGAGTCATAACCTTTGGGCCAGCCCTCTTCCAATAACACTGAATTCTTCAACACCTGAATACTCTGCTGTTAATGTAAATTATACTTTTAAATTTTATTTACTTTATAGTCTTCTGGGATGTCTTCTTGGACTCACAAAGGCAAATTATTACTATTTTTCATGTAAACCGGAAAAAGTTCCTAGAATTTGTGCATCCACGTAGAGCCATGAGTTTCAAACAGTGGGCCACCATCCTTTAGTGGATAATGAAATCAATTTAGTATATTATAACCAGAATTTTTAAAGAAAAATGAAATATGATAGAATAGAAAATAACAGAGTGCAATATTATTTTGTGAAGCTCCTATCTGAGTTAATTTTTTCTTTGCATGTGTGTATACTAGGTTGTAATTTAAAATGTAAATCATTTTTTAAAATGTATTCTTCCACACCCACTAGGATGGCTATAATTTTTTTAAAAAACAGAAAATAACAAGTGTTGGTGAGGATGTGAAGAAACTGGAATCCTTGTACATAGGTGGTGGGGATGTAAAATGGTGTGGCTGCTGTTGAAAACAGTCTGGCAGTTCCTCAAACAGTTAAACACAGAATTATCATATGACCCTCCTGAGTATACACCCACAAGAATTAAAAACAGGCATTCAAACAAATACTTGCACATAAAAGTTCACAATAGCCAAAAGTTGGAAACAAATCAAATGTTATCAACAGGGGAATGAATACGCGAATATGGTGTATCCATTCAGTGGAATAGTATTCAGCCACAATGTGGATGAACCTTGAAAACATTTTGCTGAGTGAAAGAAGCCAGACACAAAAACTCACATATTGTATGATTCCATTTATGTGAAACGTTTGGAAAAGGGACATCAATAGAGACAGAAGGCAGATGAGCGGTTGTCAGGAGCTGGGGGGCTCAGGAAATGGGCAGTAATAGCTTACTAGGAATGAGGTGTCCTTTAAGGGTGATGAGAATGTTTTGTTAATAGAACCAGAGAGATGGTGGTTGCACAACACTGTGAATGCACTGAGTGCCACCGAATTATACACTTTACAATAGTTAATTTTATCTTACATGATCTTCACCTCAAATGGAAAAAAAAACCCACCAAATTTCCTCTTCTAGGTCATAGTCAAAAGAATTTGAAATCCATTGAAATGGAGGGTCATGTTCGGTCAGGTGGCCTGTCTTCTCAGCACAGAACTACGATGGTCTCCATCAGTTTCCACCCTGCAGGAGAGAGCAGAGCACCTTCCTTCTTCAGCTCCCATGCCTGCCCTGACTCTGCTTAAGGAAGGGGAGCTGGATTTTAAGAAGAGCTACTACCTATCTTGGATTTTCTCAAGAGCTGAGAGGAATCATAGATTCCTCCCATCTTGAGAGAAACATGCAACGAGAGACAGCAGATGATCTAGAGACAGGGGTCTGGAACATAAAGTCAGACCTAGACTCAAAGACTCAAACCCCAGTTCTACCATAGACTTAATCCATGACCTTGGGCAAATAATGTATCCCTCAGTTTCTTCGTGTGCTAACTTTGCATTGTTGTAACAACAATTAAATGAGATAATGCATGTGAAGCTCACAGAGCATAATAGGTGCTTAATAAACAGCAGCTGCTACTATTATAATTAATATTATGCCAATATTTCAACGATTCTAAGCCTCACATCTTTACATGTTTTAACATCTCCAAAGTCAGGACACATCTTGTAACTGGAAACAATTCATAGTTTAATTGGTCTCATTTAAAAATCTTTTTTAGTGGTACATCTTACAATCGATAGCATTTTGGATTTGATTAAATACAGTATTTGGATAAAAGTGCTCTAGAATAGTGGGTCTCAACCCTATAAAACCAAATGCTTCCTTTTAACTATAATTATTTTGCAATGCCTCTTTACCAAACTGAAGTAAGATTTATAGTTAGCATAACCAACCTAAACACAGAGGTTAAAACCATCAATATGCTACTCTGACGGTCATACACATAAAGAACAAAAAGTAATTTACACTAAAGAATTACACATGTCAATGTGTAAAAGCTTAGGCTTAATTACACCAAAGGGTATAGTGAAGTAGGTAGATATTTTATGCATATGTAAAATCACTCCCAATGTAAAAACTACAAAAATCAGGCTGAATCTGAGTGTTGTATTGATGACTCATGAACTCAAACATGTGATTAACATTGATGATGTCATTTTCTGGAATAGTAAATAACTCTTGATAAGTTCTGAATGAAACAATCTTCTCTGAAAAAATTTAGTGTATATTACACTATACAAAAAATATACCTTGTGACTACACATAAAATAAAGTTCCAGGTTCAGATAATTAAATACAGATTTTTCACTTGCACATGAAGTCTTGGATCATATTCAAGAATTATGAGTACAGGCCGGAGTGATTGTTTACATCTGTAATTTCAGCACTTTTGGAGGGCAAGGAGGGAGGCTCGCTTGAGCCCAGGACATTGACGCTGCAGCAAACAATGATTGCACCACTGCACTCCAGGCTGAGTGACAGAATGAAACTTTGTCTCTCAAAAAAAAAAAAAAAAAAATTCTTTGGTACAAGGGACTTTCCCATACATGGCCAAATGCCTACCATTCTGTCCCACAAATGCCAGTTTACCCCCTAATTGTGGCAACTAAAAATGACTCCACCCATATTTCTAAAGCAGATCCTAGGGTCAATATAGCTTCTGTTGAGAGCCACTGTTCTCAGACTGGTGCCCTGCCTAAATGGCACTCTGCAAGTCACAATGCAGAAAGCCAGATCCTTTAAATATGAAAGGGCCGCTTCTGTGCTGCATAGTGAATAAAAACTGAATTAAATTTGTTACGTATGAAATTGCAAGACCTTTCCGACCCTTCAACTTAACTCCCACCCACCCCATACATGCCTGAAGAGCAGAAAAATGAAGCTCTGAGTGGGGGAATTCAAAAGCTCCTGCCACTGTCCTACCCTCTTGGGGACTCCATAGCCATACAGGTCACACTGGATAACAAAACCTTCTTCATTTACTCCGTCACCTTATAAAGTTAAGGCATCGTGAAGATAAAATAAGGTAGCTGTTGCTGAAAGCATCAGAAAACTCTACCATATTTTATAAATGTTACCTAGTGTTTTTATCACTAGCCAAAAATGTGAGTGTGGAAAAAATTTTAAATAAAACAAAAGGTAGTATATGATACACCAAACTGATGCGATGGTCAGTGAACTCCTGTTAATATCGTTCTCACACAATTTGAGTGGTTCTTTAGGCAATATTTCCTTGGTTTGCTGAAAACCTTACAAAGTGGTGTGACCAACTTTGCCAATTAAGAAAATAACTCTGGCTTGTAAATTATCAAAGTGAAAGTTATGAAGATAAGTTGGGGACTAAGAAAACACTACCTCACAGAATCCTGGCAATAGCATATTTTTCACTCAATAAGGAAAAACATATGCCAGTGACTAGGATGCTAGAGAAAATAATTTAGTACTGTTTTTTTCAAATCCGGTAGCTCTTACTTTAAGTCTGCTAACTCTTCCTTAATCCTCAATAATATGGAGATCCAAGTAACCAGATGGCTTTTCTGTTTCTGTTGGTTTTATTCCTGCTGTTAATAAACACTTGTCTCATTAGAAAGAAAAGGTATGCTGCTTACAGGTGGCTATATGGATAGTCTTAAAAGGATTGATAGATTATTTTGCAAAAATCTGCACTAATCCTAAAATAATTAGTAACTACTAATACAACTGCCACAAAAATTAAGGGAAATTTTTTTGTTCAGAATTTGCCAACAGTGACAATAAAGACTAAAGTAAGAGATAACTAAATTTTTTAATTCACAACTTTCTAAATATCAAAAGATACACCAGAGAGAGAGAGAGAGAGAGCAAATAAAATGTCAAGGACATATATTTATATTTGACATAAAAATAAAGCTGTGTCAACAGTGTTTTCTTATATTTAAAAAACAACAATGGAACAAACCAATACAAATAAAATAAAACAGTTGAAATGGTTACCTATAGGAGGAGGGAAGAAACAGTTGGAGGAGACAGAGATGAATACTAAATTTCTTAAATATGCTTTGGAATCATGCAGATATTTTATATACTATTACACTAAATTTAGCTCAATCAAAGCAAAAATGTAAATCCTCAAAGTAAATGATATAGTTTGGACGGTTTGTCCCCTCCAAATCTCACGTTGAAATGTGATCACTAATGTTGGAGCTGGGGCCTAGTGGGAGGTTATTGGGTCATGGGGGTGGATCTCTCATGAATGGCTTGGTGCCATCCCCTTGGTGATAAGTGGGTTCTCCTGTTCTCGCTCAGTCAGTTCACACAAGATCTGGTCATTTAAGAGTCTGGGACCTCTTCCTTTTCTCTCTCTTGCTTCCTCCTTTGCCATGTGATATGTCAGCTCCCTCTTCACCATCTGCCATGATCATAAGCTTGCTGAGGCCTCACCACAAGCAGATGCCAGCACCATACTTCCTGTGAAGCCTGCAGAACTGTGAGCCCAAACAAACCTCTTTTCTTTATAAAAGTATCCAGCCTCAGGTATTCCTTTATAGCAATGCAAACTTACTGACACAGAAAATTGGTACCAAGGAGTGGGGTGTTGCTATAAGATACCTGAAAATGTGAAGGCAGCTTGGAACTGGGTAACAGGCAGAGGTTGGAAGAGTTTGGAGGGTTCAGAAGAAGACAGGAAGATGAAAGAATGTTAATCTTCTTAGAGACGTGTTAAGTGGTCGTGACCAAAATGATGATAGTGATATGGACAGTGAAGGCCAGGCTGACAGGTCTCAGGTGGAAGCAAGAAACTTATTGGGAACTGGAGCAAAGGTCACCCATGTTACACCTTAGCAAATAATTTGGCTGCATTGTGTCCATGCCCTAGGGATCTGTGGAAGTTCCAACTTACAAGTGATGACCTGGGGTACCTGACAGAAGAAATGTCTAAGCAGCAAAGCATTCAAGAGGTGATCTGGCTGCATCTAACAGCCTACCATCAAATATGGGGGCAAGGAAATGACTTAAATTTGGAACTTATATTTAAAAGGGAAGCAAAGTGTAAAAATTTAGAAAAGTCACAACCTGGCCACATGATAGAGAAGGAAACAGCATTTTCAGGGAAGAAATTCCAGCAGGCTGTGGAATAACCACTTGCTAGAGAGATTGGCATAACTAAAAGGGAGCCAAGTGCTAATATCCAAGACAATGGGGAAAAGCCTGGAAGGCATTTCAGAGACCTTAGAGACAGCCCTTCTCATCACAGGCCCAGAGACCTAAGAGGAAAGAATGGTTTCAGGGGCCAGGCCTGGTCCCGGCTGCTCTGCTCAGCCTGGAGACACTGTTCACTGCATCCCAGCAGCTCTGCTTTCAGCCTTCACTCAAGGACCCCAGATATAGCTTAAGCTGGTGCTTCAGAGGGCCCAAGCCATAAGAGTTGGCAGCTTCCACGTGGTGTCAAGTCTGCAGGCACACAGAATGCAAGCCTGAAGGAGGCTGGACAGCTTCCTTGTAGATTTCAGAGGATGCATCAGAAAGCCCAGGCAGAAGCCTGCCACAAGGGCAGAAAGACTCACTAGGGCAGTGCTGAGGGGAAATGTGAGGTTGGAGCTCCCACACAGAGTCCTCACCAGGGCACTGCCTAGTGGAGCTTTGTGGGGGGCCACTGCCTGCCAGTCCCAAGAATGGTAGAGCCACTGGTAGCTTGCACCCTGTACCTGAAAGGCTGTTGGCACTCAACTCCAGTCCACAAGAGCGGCCACAGGGGCAGACTGCCCAAGGCCTTGAGAGCCCACTCCTTGCACCAGTGTGCCCTGGATGAGGGACATGGAGTCATAGATTATTTTGTTTTGGGTTTTTTTTTCATATACATTTTCTTTTCTTTCTTTATTTTTTCATAAAATATTTCAGGGAAAAGGATTATTTTGGAGCTTTAAAGTTTAATGTCTGCCCTGCTGGGTTTTGGACTTGTCTGGGTTTTGAACTTGCTCCTTTCTTTTGGCTGATTTCTCCCTTTTTGAATGGGAATGTTTATCCAGTGCCTGTACCACAACTGTATCTTGGAAATAACATGTTTTGATTTTACGGGCTCATAGGTGAAAGGAACTTGCCTTGAGTCTCAGGTAAGATTTTGGATTTTGGACTTTTAAGTTGATACTTGGAATGAGTTAAGACTTTGGGAGACTATTGGAAAGGGAATATTGTATTTTGTGATGTGAGGACATGAGATGTGGGGTGGGAGGCAGGAATGGAATTACATGGTTTGGGTGTGTGTCCTCTACAAATCTCATGTTGAAATGTGAACCCCAGTGATGGAGGTGGAGCATAGTGGGTGGTATTGGATCACGGGGGCAGATCCGTCATGAATGCCTTAGTGCCATCCCCTTAGTGATGAGTGATTTCATGCTCAGTTAGTTCATGCAAAAACTGCTGGTTTAAAGAGCCTGGGACCTTCCCCTTCTCTCTTTTCCTCCCTGTCTTGCCATGTGATATGCTTACTCTCTCTTTTCCTTTTGTCATGATTGGAAGCTTCCACCAGGATCAGAGGCTGATACTATGCTTTGGACTGCAGAACCACAAGCCAAAATAAACCTCTTTTCTTTATAAATTACCCAGTTTCAGGGATTCTTTTATAGCAATGCAAAAGGACTAATACAGTTATATATAATATTAAACAATGAACTAAGAATCTGGTTCATGGCATAACCAGACAGAAAACAATACTTAGTGACTTTTCTTTGAATAATTCTAGTAGGCCATACTTTAAGTAAAATAAGAATAACTAATAATAATAGAATAATTTAAAAACTTCTTCTAGTAATCATATTGTTGGTGGGATTGTTTGTGGTGTTGTTCTGTTATTGTATGTATAATGTGAGACAGGGTAAATTAGTAATTATATTTCTATTTTTGAATACTGAGATTTTTGGTGTGGGAGACAAAAGGTAAAAATATAGGATTGATTAATTGCTAAATTTAAAGTGGGAGTGTCAGTATCAACCCCTGATATATTGTATCTTTAAAAAAAACATATTTCCCAGTTCTGCTTGCTGAAAGACTTAGAAACAATGATCAATCCAATAACAATGCACACTCATAGATCCCAGATTGTGTTCTCTATGTATCACATCTAACTGAAAGGAGTCAGGGCTTGGAACATCTTTTCTTTTCTTTCTTCTTCTTCTTCTTTTTTTGATATGGAGTCTCGCTCTGTTGCCCAGGCTGGAGTGTAGTGGCACAATCTCAGCTCACTGCAACCTCTGCCTCCCAGGTTCAAGCGATTCTCCTGCCTCAGCCTCCCGAGTAGCTGGGACTACAGGCATGTGCCACCGTGCATGGCTAATTTTTTGTATTTTTAGTAGAGACAGGGTTTCACTTATTAGCCAGGATGGTCTCGATCTCTTGACCTCATGATCTGCCCGCCTCAGCCTCCCAAAGTGTTGGGATTACAGGCGTGAGCCACTGTGCCCGGCCAGAACATTTTTTCAAACCAGATATCAAACAATCTATTGAATATTACTAGGATCATATCAAAAGGACTCAGTTTATAAATTAAATAAAGTTTATGGGCTAACTATAGGGCACTTTGAGCATCAATAATTATAATGCACTGGATTAAAACATATCAAGTATGTTAAGTGTTTGGTTGTGTTTAAAGACATCAGGGAACCCGCTTATTTTGAAAACTAATAATTAAAGGGAAAGAATCAAGAATTTATCCTGTCTTTCCAATATCAGTTTTATCTCAAATAATCAAATAGTTGTTGAGAGAAGTGTCTCTTTGTAGAACTATTCCACCTGATAAATAATGATGGAATGATAAGATATCATCATTTTGCAAACTCTAGTAGATTAATAAATCCAGGCAATAATTATCAATGTAGCTAACATCATACAGAGAGTCAACCAGATATTATTTATCTCCAGATGGATGTATACAGTACTATCTATGAAGAATTCTTGGGAAGAAAACAAACTGAAATCTAATCAAGCTTTTAGACATTAAATACCATTTCACAGGAAGTACAAGAGAGAAAGGAGCAGATCTGTTCAATGACACCATGGGATGCAATTAGCAAATCCACATTGTGGGAAACTCTGCAGGACAAACAACCCAGTTTATGAGAGAAGGGGTGGAGGTGGGGAGGAGTGTGAGAGCCTGTAAATAAAAGGAGACTTCAATGACTCATTCATCAGAGGCTATGTATGAACAATCAAACTATACAAGACATGTATGTACAATGAGGGAGGTCTGAATACTGACAAGCTGTTTGACAATATTGTGAAATTGCTCTTTGACGGGTAGTTATTGGTATTGTGCTTAGTTAAAAAGGGAAGTACTTGTTTTTTTTAAAACATACATAAGCACACATATGATGCACACATATTTCTCTGATATTCACAGATGATATAATGTGATGGGATGTCTGAAATTTGCTTCCAAATAATTCAGAGAGGAGGCAAGTGGTGTGTCAGAGTACAGAGGAAACAAGACTGGCCATGAGTTGATAATCTTTGAAGCTAGGAGATGAATACATGTTGGTTTATTGTTTCAACTTTTGAACACATTTGGAATTTACCATAATGAAATTTTTTTAATCAAAACCAAAATATTATACGTAAAGCATTCCAAAAATAAACTACCAATAATTGTTAACTAAATGATAACAGAGCCTAGAATAGTCATAGGATAATATGATGGATTTTCAGGATGGGAGTCTTGAAGTGATAAACCATACGGTGCACAAAATTTATGCTTCTAAGGAAGACAGTGAAATCTTTGTTTATGTTAACTGTGTGCCTTTTTGAAAAAGTCACTTAGAAAAATCCTCAGAAAGCAACTAGAGAATTGAATACGCCAAAATTCATGACAAGCTATGAAGCTGGACTTTTACCAAGTTACACATGCCTAAAGAAGATACACAATCTTCACTGTAGTGAAACTGACACTGGAAAATGAAGCTAGTCACTCAAATAGATAAAAAAAAAGTGACATCTTGTGTTACATCTGCGCCATCAAACATTTTAAAACATAGATACATTTATTTGTACAGTTTCCTTTTAAATTAATAGAGAAAACACAATGGAACTTAAATATGAACCCCTGACATAAATGTGTTCTAAGTCAAGAGAAGCTATTGCATTTCTGCAGATACAAGGGAGTCATTGATTCACCCAGCCCCGGTCAGCCAGCCAATCTCTTGAAAAGTGGCCATTAGAAGTGCATGAAGCTTGTAAAGCAAAACCTCTGAAACAGTCCTCTGCATCGCTACTGAGGTTTGCCAAATGAAACTTCTTTTAATAGTTCTTCCACATGCCAAAATAATTCCCCTGGGATATTAACTTACCCAGTTATGAGAAAGAAGAAAGAAGAGGATACCACAATTTACATTTATCCACAGAGTAACTTGGAAAACCATTAAGTGGTACCACGTGGGGATGATGACATGTCCACGTGAAGTGGCCTTTATGCCTTTTCATTTGTAAGAGACAGAACCATGGAAAGCACACTGAGTTGGCATTTGGATACTTGATATAACGCCAAGATTCTACTACTTATTAGCTGTGCAACCTTGAGCTGTTCTGACTTGCCTCATTTATAAACTTAGGACTCCAGGAGTGGAAGAACAGAGTGATAAAGAAGTCTTGTTATTTCTCTTTATATGTTTGCCACAGGTTTTATGCCAGTGAGTTCAACCATGCTTGACTCAATTTTTCATCAATAACAGGAAATACATTAAATGCCCATTAATTTCCAACTACCGTATATGCAAAGTACTAGGATGCAAAGATAAGTAAGAAGTACTCCTTCTGGCTGGGCATGATGGCTCATGCCTGTAATCCCAACATTTTGGGAGGTTGAGGCAGGGGGATTGCTTGAGGACAGGAGTTCGAGGCCAGCCTGGGCCACATGGCCAGACTCTGTCGTACAAAAAATAAAAAATAAATAAAAGAGATAATAATCCTTCCCTGAAACCCGTCAGAGTTCACAAATGAGAGTGGTAAAAATACAGAATGCTTAAAGTGGTCTGATGTAGAAAGTGTTAGGACAGCACAGAAAGTCTCCTTGGAGTAGTGTTTATTTATATTGGACCTTTGAGAATGAGTAGACTGTTAACCAGCAGAGAACGGCAGAGAAGGATGAGGTGGGGAGAAAGGATAGTCAAGGAAAAGGAAAGACTGAGAGACAGAATTCAAGAAAATCTGAGGATATTGAACGGATATCCCAAAGTGGCTTACAGATAGGGAGATGAGACTGAAAATAGGTAGGTTGAGAAGTGACTGTTCAGGGCCAGTACCACCCTGCTGTGGAATTGGGCTTTGTCCTGTAGGCTCTTAGAGACCATCAGAGATTTTTCCACAAGGGAAGCCCATGATCAGTTTGTTGTTCCATTCAATTGACTGACTGATTGATCAATTGATTGACCTTCATTGACTGATCATCTGCTCTTGCCAGCCACTATGCCAACATGACCCTATTTTTCCCATTCAGAAAAAACATAGGCAGCTTTTTACAGAGCACTGTGGGCATGGTTCCCCCATGCTACTAATTTTGATGAAATACAGCTAAAGTTGCTCTTAGTTTATGCAATTACTTTTTAGGATGGGTTTTTATTTTAGACCTTATGTGCACAAAATGCTAAGAAATCCTCCACCAGATTATATAAAGAAAGATTTGTTCATTGTATAATCCCTGCCTCCAGCTCTTTCAAACCATTAAGATTAATTTCATTTCTTGGGTAATATCCAATGTATTTGTTTTCTGAAAGGGTTCATGCAACTCCCAAATGTGTCTAACCTATTCCCTGAGAATACCTGGACTACCATTGAAGAATCTTTCTTATTTAGAGCTAAGAAAGCCTGCATATTTCTAACATCTTTAAACACAGAACTTGCTATGCAAGTCATCAGCTTCACGAAGATTACAAAGAAAGAAAAACAGGAGAAAGTTTGATTTCTGTCCCTGAGGGTTGACAGTCTAGGAGGAGAGGCTGCACAATCACAAATAAAATGATTGAAAACACTTTGCTAAAGATATTTTAAGAAGAAATTTGAAGGTGACATACTTGGAACAAACAAGTTCCCCAAAACAAGGTTTCAACATCTTTTTGGTGTTGTCTTTCCTAGAACATTGTGCCTCTATCAATGCTTTTAAGATAAAACTTGCCTGGGAGAAAAATTTTAACTATGATTTTACTTGGTAAACACTATTATTCTAAATTTGAGCTCATCCTGCCTGCTCTGATATAAGCCTTTTTCTTCATCAAGAGTTATGCTTGGGTACAGAAAATTACCTATTTTCCCCTGCTTTTTATGCAGTCATTTTGTCAGACACAAATTCCAAAATCAAAATCGTCTAGAGGGAGTAGTCAGCATAGCAGTTTACCCAGGATGATGAGAACGATGTGGAAATAAAAGGGGCAGCTCAATGTTCTCCCCACCCCTACTTGGGGCATTCATGCTCATAGGCATATAGGACCATGCATATAGGGCCATGCATATAGGGCCATGCATATAGGACCATGCATATAGGGCCATGCATATAGGGCCATGCATATAGGGCCATGCATATAGGGCCATGAAGACATGGTTTATAAACAGATAGTTCCAACCCACAATCCCTTACCTACAATCCCCAAATCTCCAAAATTCTAAACACCAAGAATTTTTCTAACTCATTTGGTGACATTTGACCTGAACTGATATTTGGATATATTATGTATTCCATTTAGTATGAATATATTTTGCTACAGAAATATAAATGTGTTTTATTATAGAGTGCTGCCCCACACTCACTCAGCCCAAGTATATGATTTAGGTTTTATTTTATTATTTGAAAATTTGAAAAATTCTGGATGACCTGGAAAATTCTGTACTAGCAGTCATTTGAAGCACCTTTTATATGCAAGGTGCTCTACACACAGCATCTCATTCCAAGGTGCTCTACGCACAGCATCTCATTCCATTCTGACCCACGAAGGAGGTATTATTACTATTGCTGCATTAATGATAGGGAAACTGAGGCCTGGCAAAGTTAAGCAATTCATCCAAGATCCCATACCTAGCTAGTGAGGGAGCAAAGACCCAAACTCAGGCTGCTTGATTCCAAAGCTCAAGTTCATTTCACTCTATATAGGGCTTGGTAGCTGCACCCTGCTCGTCATTGTCCTATCCACTGACCCTGTCAAGCCACCGCCTCGATGGTGAGCAACGGTTTCTAGTAATCTTCAGTGCTACGTGGATGCTGAGGGGAAGAAAGGTGTTGAGCATCTATGAACAGACTGTTTTGTTGCCCCTTTGAATTACTAGTGGGCATCTTCTTGCCAGACCTTCATTTTTATGCCAATTCACTGCCATCTAGTGGTTATTTCAATAGCAATTTTACGTAAAATGTTAGGTGACATAGCATCATTTCTAACAGGCTGGAGATTTGGTCCTTAGAGGTCGTAAAAAAATAAATAAATAAAATAAATAAAACCAAGATGTGCAGGAAAAAGGAATCTAATCTAAGTAAACATTTATAAAATAAAGTACATTTTATTTTTCTATTCTTCAGGTAAGGGACTAGCAAGATGAATGGGCTTTGCTAAGGCTTTGTAAAAGCTCATCTTTACGAACTTAACTAAATAATCAGATTAAATCTCTATGTAGGCTGCTTAGGAAAATAAAAGCTTTCTCTGAAAAGATTTCACCAGCCTTTCTTCAAAGATTGCCAGGGATTGTCTCTGCTCTAATTATAATATTTACAATGCAAATTGTTGGTTGCAATGTACGTTTTTTTCATGAAATTAAAAGTAGTCATTCATATCCTCATTTACATATGTTCCTCTCCAAGACAGATAAACTCTCATTCATCTTTGGTAACAATAATATGATTTATAAATTTGAAGTTCTGACAAAAGAAATCAAAATATGCACATCAATAGAAAAGGTTTTTGGCATTGTAAGTACTTATTTAGTGTATTTCAGTTTAATAATATTTATTGAGCTTCTGGAAAGTCCCAAAAAAGATTCAAATATAGACTCAGCAGTTTCTTGGCCCAGTTGCTTAGAACCTAGAGGAGAAAGATTGGCAACATTACAGTTCAGGTGACACGCAGACTGCAGTGCAAGGAAGTCTGTCCAGTATGTTTGGAGATTGTAATAAAACAGGACTAAAATCCTAAAGACGCTCCCCAGCTTGCTGGTTTCAGATGTCAGACTGGGAGCTTCTTAACACCAAAACATCCTCTCAGATAAATTGGGATCAACCTTTAGTACCTATTAAGGGGCCAGTAAGAACGTCAAAGTTGCTTTGAGATTAAAAATGTTTTGGTGAGCAATGCATAGCCTTGTACTTGCAGCCCAATCCTATCGGGAGGAATAGCATGTGAATAACACGTGAATGTCAGGATCCTGTGAGTCTTCTATTACACACTGCCTACAATTTAAACAGCGAGTCTTGTGAGGATGGAATACTAAAATACTCAATTGAAGCAGATCCTTAAAAAATTACTTTATTTTAGCACTATGTGACTTAGAAAAAATAATGAAGCCAGTTATTTGCCTTAATTATAAGAATGTGATGAGGGGCCGCCACCAGCCAGGGGAGCCTAAGGTTTGGGTTTGTTTTTTTTTTTTCTTTTGAGTTGGAGTCTCACTCTATCTCTCAGGCTGGAGTGCAGTGGCGTGACTTCGGCTCACAGCAACCTCTGCCTCCTGGGTGCAAGCGATTCTCCTGCCTCAGCCTCCTGAGTAGCTGGGATTACAGGCACCTGCCACCATGCCTGGCTAATTTTTATATTTTTAGTAGAGACGAGGTTTCACCATTCGGCCCGGCTTCCTCTAACTCCTGATCTTAAGTGATCCGCCCACCTCTGCCTCCCAAAGTGCTGAGATTATGGGCGTGAGCCACTGAATCCAGCTTTTTTTTTCTTTTTCTTTTTTTTGTTTTAATTAGAGCTCCTAAATTATTTTCTTTTTTGAAACTTCACAATGCTTATCACAACTTCGTAATAGCGGATGCCCTTTTCTCTGCTTTTTTTTCCCCTTGGCATGCTTCCCTCATGCCTCTTGTGGTGATAGTGTCTTGCTTTGGTTCAAACATGTATTTATGGGATTGCATTCACAGATTTCATTCCATCCAAACGTAGGTAAAAATGCAGGAGTAATGTCTTTCCTTATTTTTGCCTCTGGGTGTATGATGGCCCCAAAAGAACAAAGGCAACAAAGGGCAAGTCTCAGTACAGAGCAGAAAACCCCGATAATTTGCAACAGGAAAGTGCTCCCCTGTAGGGGGCTCTGGAACCACCACTCCAGGCAGTGTGTAATTTGCAACAGGAAAGTGCTCCCCTGTAGGGGGCTCTGGAACCACCACTCCAGGCAGTGTGTAATTTGCAACAGGAAAGTGCTCCCCTGTAGGGGGCTCTGGAACCACCACTCCAGGCAGTGTGTAATTTGCAACAGGAAAGTGCTCCCCTGTAGGGGGCTCTGGAACCACCACTCCAGGCAGTGTGTAATTTGCAACAGGAAAGTGCTCCCCTGTAGGGGGCTCTGGAACCACCACTCCAGGCAGTGTGTGAGGCTGGGAACAGATGGGAAGGCAGCCGTTCGTAGCAGCCTGTGTCAGACAAGGGACACCTCCAAGTATACAATTGCTCCACTCTTCGCTAAGACCGACTACATCCTGACTTACTCCTGAAACATCTAAACCCTCATTAGAGAAACAGGAAGTTCTCATGTAGCGAAGGCCAGCACACAATGCTGCCCTTTGTCTGTTTGGAAAAATTAAAGTAATAAAATTATCCAAATCATTTCCACAGTTCCGAAGATTTGTATAAACTGCATCTGAGCCCTTTAAAAAGCAAGGCTTTGGATGAGATTTAAAGCTTCGTGATGTATTTACTCACGACACATACAGGAGGCAAATAGATACCTGCATAATTTTCAGGTGATCTAGCTTGTTTTAAGGAGACAGTGGAAAGTCTAATGCGACAAATGTTAGGTGTGTCCTTTGGAAAATTTCCCTTCACATACCAATTGCTTGACTGGGGTTTCTTTGGGAGGCAGTCAGTAATCAATTTAGCATTGAGCTCTCAGAAAATGGCAAAAGTTCTAAAGAACTAGGGCATAAACCTATTCAGGATTCAGTGCAACTTCCTCAATTGTTTTTTATTAAAAATATTTTTTAAATGCCAGCACTCACCAACTGTGCAAAGAAAAAGTCATAAAAAATAAACTCCCAACCTACAGTGTGTACAGGAAATGGTGAGATAAAAATCAATAAAAAAACAAAATCAGGTTTTGGCTTCCACGGAGTTCCACACACCAACAGTATTTGAAAATCTTTTAAAATGATGAAATCAGCAATGTCTGAGACATTCCTAAGAGTTCACTGGTTTATTGGAAACCTAGGAAAGCACATGAACAGCGGAGTACTTGTCACGTGGAGAATGTGAGGGTCGAGGTAATGTTGTAAAATGTTAAGAACTTTTACCAACTTTTGTGAACGTTTTAGAGAAATGGCAGAAACTAAGCCTTAGTGTTCTGCTTAGCTTTTCTTTCCTTCTTTTGTCCACCCTCTCCAGCCTTGGAGAAAAGCACTCTCTCTCTCTCTCTCACACACACACACACACACTCTCTCTCTCTCACACACACACACACACACACTCTCTCTCTCTCCACATGTGTAGGAAGTCCCATTTTGTATCTCCAGCCCACAAGTCTCTCCTCAGCTCATATTCAACCCTGCCCTCCGCATCACCTCAAATCTTACACAATCAGAACAGACCAATCTGCTTTTGTCACAGTCCTGCCCATTGTTAACAAATGACAACTTCATTCTTCTAACTGCTCAGGTGGAAAGCTTTGGAATCATCCTTCATTCCTTTCTTTCTCTCGAAACTCATCAGCTCTGCCTTTAAAATCGATCCTGAATCCGGCCATTTACCACCTGTGTCACAGTCACCTGGCTCGTTGCAATAGCCTTCCAACTGGTCACCCGCTTCCTCAGTTGTTGTCCTTTGATCTGTTTTCAAAACACCAGTTAGGGCCAGGAGTGGTGACTCACACCTCTAATCCCAACACTTTGGAAGGCCAAGGCAGGAGGATCACTTGAGGTCAGAGTTCAAGACCAGCTTGGGCAACGTTGCGAGACCCAGTCTCTGCAAAAAATAAAAAATAAAAAAAATTAGCCAGGTGTGGTGGCACCACCTGTGGTCTCAGCTACTCGGGAGGCTGAGGTGGGAGGATTGCTTGAGTCTGGGAGATGGAGGCTGCAGTGAACTATGATGGCACCACTGCACTCCAGCCTGGGCAACAGAAGGAGAATCTGTCCCAGAAACTAAAACAAAAAAGCCACAAAAAAAGACACCGCCAGTTAGAGTGACTTGGTTTCAATGTTAAGACAGGTCATGTCAAGCTGTTGCCCCAAATCGTCCAATATTTCCCTTCCTGCTCAGTAAGAGCCAACTTCCTTGAAATGGCCAAAGGCCCTGTGCTATCACTGGGTTCTCCGAACTCATCTCTCCTGCTTCCCTCCTCTCTCTCCTGGCTCTGGACACTCGGAACACACTAGGCTTGCCCGCGGGTTGTACTGGCTTTTCCCCCTGCCTGAGACCCACTTTGCTCCAGACAGCTCATTCCCTCCTTGCTCCTTTCTTTTGGTATCTATGTTCTCTCAAGGTGTCTAAGATGCAGAACCCACACTCTCAGCACTTTTTCATCCCCCTCCTTACTCTACTTTTCTTTGGAGCATCTACCATCATCGAATTTATTGCCTATTTTATTTAGGTATCTAACAGCTCACACTCTTAGAATGTAAACTTCCAGAAGTGGAGGGAAGTTTTGTATTCCCAGTGCTCTATCACTGGTACCTAGTAAGAGCTAAGAGGGATGAATCCAGGTTTATGAGGTGGGAAGCTTACATTTCCAAAGGATCTGCTTAAAGAAAAAGAGAACACAAATGTACAAATACAAAATTAGGTATAAAAGTGAATACTTACTTAGAATTAGAAATTACAATAATTATTTTTTTTAATTTTAAAAAATTTTTCTTAGAGATAGGGTCTTGCTCTGTTGCCCAGGCTGGAGTGCAGTGGTACGATCATAGCTCACTGTGACCTTGTGAACTCCTGGGCTCAAGTGATCCTCCTGCCTCAAGTCTCAAAGTGTTGGGATTACAGGCATGAGCCAGCATGCCCAGTCCAAATTATTATTATTATTATTTTTGAGACAGACTTTTGCTCTGTCACCCAGGCTGGAGTGCAGTGGTGTGATCTCAGTTCACTGCAACCTCCGCCTCCCAGATTCAAGCATTTCTCATGCCTCAGCCTCCTGAGTAGCTGAGATTACAGGCACCCGCCACCACTCCTGGCTAATTTTTGTGTTTTTAGTATAGACTGGGTTATAGACGTGAGCCACCTTGGCCAGCCCCAAATTATTTTTTAAATAGCCAACACTAACAAAAAAAATCACAAAGTCCAGAAAAAGGACATAATATGTTCATTAATCAACTACCTATTCATTTCTACAATACCTTTTCTCCACATTTTTGGCTATATCCTCTTTAATCACCTCTTTCTATGATAATAATTTTATATATATTTTTCTATACAAAGAATTAAAATGTAACTCAATCTTTCCTCTAGCATAGTTGAAAGTTTTATTTTGTTTTGTTTTGCTTTTTGGAACTGATTAATTTATTGCTTAGTTTGTATTAATAGCTCAGCTTTACAGTTTGTTACTGGTAATGTCACGTATGTTATTAGGATTGTTGTCTAATTCTGAAACATGATCACCAGGTTTCTTTCATGCAGAGCTATAGGAATTCAGGTCATTTCAAGTATTTTGTGCAGTGACCAGTCTTAAATACTATGAACTGATGACGTTCAACAGTTTGTCATTGACCTCCTCATTGTAATGGCCCAATAGGAGTTTCATATTATCTTTGTCAATATCAGTATTTCATAAGGATAAAGCTTGCAGCTTCACATACAAACTCACTGTTTGTTAGTGCACAACTTTATGCCCTACAAAAATAAGAAATCTTTTAAAACATATTTCATGTATTCTCATCAAAAAGAAAACATTGTTTTGTGCCTTTACAATTTTATCTGTTGCATTTTTCAGTATATTCCTAACCAAAGTGAACTTCTGTTTTGACCAGGGGTCAATGAAAGCTGCGTTTTTTACTTTCAGTTTTACATGACTGGTGGTTGGAAGAACTCTCTAAAGGCTGCCTCTGGCTAGTTTCCCTTCTAGTATCTACATGCCTATGGTGTCAAGCACTGTTGTATTAGTCTGTTTTCATGCTGCTGATAAAGACAAACCTGATATTGGGTAATTTATAAAGAAAAAGAGGTTTAATGGACTCATAATTCCACATGGCTGAGGAGGCCTCAGAATCATGATGGAAGGCAAACGGCACGTCTTACATGGCAGCAGACAAGAGAAAGAATGAGAATGAAGCAAAAGGGGAAACCCCTTGTAAAACCATCAGATCTCATGAGACTTATTTGCTACCAGGAGAACTGCATGGGGGACCTGTCCCCATGATTCAATTATCTCCCACCAGGTCCCTCCCACAAGATGTGGAAATTATGGGAGCTACAATTCACAGTGAGATTTGGGTGAGGACACAGCCAAACCATGTCAACTGTAGGACATATTCACAGTCCACTATGACCTCTGGCCTTGCACTTTCGTGGCAAAACCCTGGGTAGATTGATGCAGCAGGCAGTAGGAGTATTGCTGGAAACCTTCCTATCCCAGGGTGGTTAGTAATGGCCTGACCACCCACGAAAGTGACTGGGAACTACACACAGAGAACCCATGAAACCCAGACTAAATGCGTCCTCAATCAGCTTTCCTTCAGCCAGAACCCCAGCAACGCCTTCAGCCCTCCATTCCCAGGAAACACAAGGGAAAGTCTGAGAGGAAAGAGACAGTGGTCTTAACTGATTCTGGTGAAAAGGTCTTATTACAAGTTTCACAAAAACGTCTGACCAAATGAGTACATTGATAGAGCCTCTCCCAAGACTTTGGGGAGGGTCTGTGCAGGTACAGAGCCTTGAAGACCATTTCCATTAGCTTCATAATAAGTTAACTTTTGACACTCAATAATAAATATTTCTTGAATAAAGGAAGGAAGGAATATGCAGTATCCAATACTCAAAACCAAATCTCCAAAATCTAAAGACCATGCTACTTCTGTAACTCTGCTGGATGTAGTACAATCTTTTGTGACAGGGAAGTCAAGCTACTCACCCACGGAGCCATTGGGAATGCTCTCAGTATCCCCATAGTTAAGGGGATAAAGTTGTGAGGCATATTTTTTGGGGGAGAGGACAGCAAAGAAACACTGAAGAAATTGCGGGGATAGTATTTTAAAACTGGGAAACATTTTATTCATGCCCCTGGAACAGTCCTGGTGTCAGAGAGGCCAGGAGCTGAATGACTGCATGGCTTTTGGCAAATTCCTTTACCTCTCGAAGCCTCAGATTGTCCATCTAAAAAAGGCTGGCCGGTAGAAGGTAGTCAATAAATGGTAGCCACGGGCTGGGCGCGGTGGCTCATGCCCGTAATCCCAGCACTTTGGGAGGTTGAGGAGAGAGGGTTGCTTGAGCCCAGGAGTTCGAGGCTGCAGAGAGCTGTGATCACACTACTGCGCTCCAGCCTGGGTGGTAGAGCAAGACCTTGTCTCTAAAAAAAATTAAAAATACGTTGTAGCCACCATTGTTACTGTTGTTGCTGTAAGGAAAAGCCTGCCTTGATACAAGAATTGATTATTCACCTCGACTTCCTCTGGCCTCACTTCTAGAATTTGCCATTTCTTCTTCTTTAACCTGTGCCCCAAAACAACCAAGATGGGGGTTGGGGGCAGGCATATCTGGCTGTCCCTTGTGCCTGGTACATCTGAGCCCCAAGAATAGGGCCCCTCACAAATCAGGAAATGTACCTTTAAATTATGTTTTTCACCATTTCTGCTTTCATGTTCCAGTGGTTGTTTTTCTCCACAGCTAAGAGCTTTTCCTGAAGCTAATCAAGCTTCTAACTGACTGCCTTACTTAAGTTCTTTGTTGCCTTTTCCAGGAAGTTAGAGTGATACTAGAGAAGGAGGAAAAATATCTAAGCCAAAATGTTTTTCCTGCATACTATGTAAGGGAGAATTTCTAAACTGCCAGATTAATGAGTTTTCACTGGACGCAGCTCACCCAGTGGGCCCCTGGTTGACCAGTCCCTGCTGGCTACATTTTTAGCCTTATATTTTGGAAAAGAAAATGAAATTGAAGTCTCTTGTGATCAAAAAAGACCTACAATTACTGATAAAATATTATAGCAATGAACAAAAAAAGGTGCCCCCGTTAGAGTCAATGATAGTCTTTGTGAATTACACTTCATAGCTAAAGTCTATTTTAATTTAATGGCATTAGAAGCTCTTTATTCATTTCTTCTGTGTGGTGGAAAAGTCCCCAGTTTATGCAGCTGGGGTGTTTTCAGTGGTAGCTGCAATATGAAGGAAGGACTATTATGACCCTCCAGTGGTTAGATGTGGGAGCTTTGGTTGTAGCAATGACAGATGTATCGCTCGACTCTGCCATTATTAGGCTGAAGCTTCTCCAGGCACAAATAGAACTCTTATTATCATCAGACGCAAGTGCACACACAGCCATTGAGAAAAAAATCTGGGGAGCCCTATCTCAGTGATATGAAGATTTAATAAAAATACACAGAAATTATTTGGAAAGCAAAAAATGTGTACTGATAAAACTGTCTCTGAAATTTATATGAATTTTGAAGCAAATACAGACGTCTATTCCAATTACTGTCACTTTTGTAGACTAGTAATTTTAAAATAAAATGATCTTTTCCTTTGTAGCATTTGAGATCCACACATCAAATCTCTAATTTCTGTTTCTGATTTTATGCCCACTTGCTAGCCTTTAACAGTTCAGTGGCCTGTCGGCATGGACAGTTGCCCGTGTTCAGTCTCAAGGCAAGTGATTTTTTTCCAGGTGCATTTTTCTTTTTTTTTTTGGTTTCTAGCAAATTTCATGATCAACTTTGGCCTTAATTATACACTTTCTAAAATCATTGAGAAAGAGTTATGACTCCCTTTTCCTGAAGTAGCGCACAAATTAGTGAGGCAATAGTCTTGTCTAATCTTATATATATATTTTTCTTTCCAGTAATATTGATTGCCCCATTTTTCTCCCTTCTTTCTCTGAAAACTCATGGGAGAGGGAAATGAGGGTGGCTTATTTGTTAAATGAACCCCGCAGCAGATGAAATTCATCTACACTTACTTCCAGAGGCTTTCTCTGCCAGGATTTAAGCCATTTTTTTAGAAACAAAGATCACAAGTGCCAATGATGCATTGAAGATAAAATGAGTCCCAAGACCAAGGATAACAACAATTACAGCGGGTGGCCTGCCACGGGATGCTATTATTTATCCTGAAGGTTGGACCTTAATTTCCAGCAGGAGGTTTTTAAAGGTGTTGCAAAATTAGAACATATTAATTATAACAGTCTATTCTTATAGGCTTTAGCACCTACAAACTAGGCTCACAGTCTAAAAACTCATAAACCTACACCTTCCACCATAGCCTGAGACTATTTGAATAGTCATGGGTAAATAGATCATCCTCTATAGAATTTGCTTTCTTAGATAGGCTGTGGCTTGTGCCTCAAAGGACAAGACTAATGTTTAAAAGGAATATTTCTGAATTCCAAATATTTCTGTTAAAGGGATCAGTTGTCTCTTCCTATCTAAGCACAATTCCCATGCATGGTATGGTAAATGTTAATACCTTTAATATTTGTACTTTGCTATGACAAGAATAATCAATAATGTCATTTCTGGGGAGTTAGTCCATGGCTGAATGCTCTGGCCTGTCACAGAGCAAATACAAGATGCATAGTTAAATTTGAATTTTAATAAACAATGAATAATTTTTCTATATAAGTATAATATTTTGGACATGCTTGTACTAAAAATTTATTCATTGTTTATCTGAAATTCAAATTTAACTAGGTGTCTTGCATTTTATTTGCAAATCTGGAAACCCTATTGCACTCTTTTGATCTAAAGTCTCAAAACATGTGCTATCAGCATTCAGAAAATATGTAACTATCCAACGTCAATACAGGAGAGTTGTATTCATCCATTTTCATGCTGCTGATAAAGACATACCCGAGACTGGGCAATTTACAAAAGAAAGAGGTTTAATGGACTTACAGTTCCATGTGGCTGGGGAGGCCTCTCAGTCACAGTGGAAGGCAAGGAGGAACAAGTCACATCTTACATGGATGGCAGCAGGCAAAGAGAGAGGGCTCATGCTGGGAAACTCCCATTTTTAAAACCATCAGATCTTGTGAGACTTATTCGCTATCACGAGACCAGCATGAGAAAGACCCATCCTCATGATTCAGTTATCTCTCACTGGGTCCCTCCCACAACACGTGGGAATTATGAGAGCTACAAGATGAGATTTGGCTGGGGACACAGAGCCAAAACATATCAAGAGTCAAACTTAAATAGTGTTGACATATGGAAGGGGGATATTCTAGTCCAGTCCCAGATAGCATGTCATTTGAGCAGTTTCTGAAAGATCTAGGTCTTGAGCCAATATTATGTTCTCCCTTTGAATAGTGAGGATTGGTCACCCAAAAGCCATTCACAATTGCTTTTATTCCTGCTTTCTTTTATGACAGGAGTTGGGAAGACAAAATGTTTACTTTTCCAGAATGCCAGTAGCAAGAGGTGACCACATGATCTGGTTCTAGTCAATGAAAGGCAAGTTGGAGTCACTGGGTTATACTTCCAGGAAATCTTTTATGAAAAGGCCAGACCTCATTCACTTGTATCCTTTGGAATTTTTGCTACTTCCCCATTTTTTTCTGCTGAATATGCAATCAAGCAATCATGAGGACATGACATTCAATCATGAGGCTACAAAACCTGAGATGAAAGTCTTTGCACTCCAGTAGGGAAGAAAGAAGGAAAGAGGCAGCCCTCCTAGAACTTCTTGTTACTGGAAATACATAAGCCTTTTACTTGTTGTTGTGGGTTGAATGGTGACCCCCAAGAAGGTAAGTCCACATCCTGAACACTGGAACCTATGAATGTGACCTTATTTTTTTAATGATTTTTCGTGCAGATGTAATAAAGTTAGGAATTCAAAATGAGTGCATCCTGAATTATCTAGGTGGGCCCTAAATACAATGACAAGTACCCTTATAAGAGACAGAAGAGGAGAAGACACAAGTGATGCAGGATTTTTACTCCTTAGTTCAGCTAAATCTGGGTTCTTGTCTCATAACCAGGAAAAATTAGGCATGTGGACACACTGAAAGGTGAAAAGGGCAGAATCTATTAAGCAAAAACAAAGCTCTCAGCAAAGAGAGGGAGTCCTGCCAACAGGTTTCCACCTCTCTAATTGAATATCAGGGTCACCATACACAAACTGAAGAGGCCAGTCTCTTCCCCGCATAAGGTGCAGATTCCTGGTAGTTCCACCCCATTCCCTAGTGCACACGTGGGTATGCCCAGGCAAGCCATAGGTAGTATTGGAAAGGCAACATTCAATTGGCTATAAGGCATTATTCAGAAAGAATCAATGGGGAAAGGGCAGGCAAACTGGGGCAGACATTCTCCCTCTGGATCACAGGTTTCATCTGGGACCAGCAGTCTGGTCTTTCAGCCCTCAGGCTGTTTTAGGCTTGAAGGTGGGGTTTTCACCAGGGACCCTTCCCTATCTGCCTAGGCATTTGTCTGCCTCCTGCCTCTATCACAAGGACAATAAAGACCAACTGAAGACGAAGGTGGAGATTGGAGTGATCCAGCCACAAGCCAAGAAACACCCGAAGCCACCAGAAACTGAAAGAGGCAAGGAAGGATTCTCCTGCAGAGCCTTCAGAGGGAGCATGGCCCTTCAGACACATTGATTTCACATTTCTGGCCTCCAGAACTATAAGAGAATACATTTCTGTTGTTTTAAGCCCTCAAATTTATGGTAAATTGTTATGGCAGCCCTGGGAAACTAATATACTTGCTTATGACCTTTTTTTGTCATATCTTCTGCTATATGCTTCCAAACACAACTTGATACAATTGTCTTTATCATTTTTTCTTTTTTGTCTTTTTCTAAATTCAAATTATAAAAATATATCATGTACTAACGAGAAGAACTGGATAAGTCAAATGAAAAGAAGACACTATATAGTGTAATATTGTTTGTCCTTATGATGAAAATACAGGTTGATATATTTTATAATTATATATTTTCCAATTCTCTCCTTCTCTACACCCCACCTACTCCATATAGGTACATGTGTACATAAACTGCTAGACCACTATTTAAAATATGTACAAATTATTTAAAATATTTAAAATATTTCATCTTTTATGAGCATACACAAAATAATGATTTTATAAAAATGTAAAACATTCCATTTTAAAATCACATTAAAAGAAATCCTGCCTTTAAAATGTAAATATCATCATTAGAATTTTTTTTTTTTTTGAAACAGGGTCTCACTCTGTCACCGAGGCTGGAGTGCAGTGGGGCAATCTCAGCTCATTGCAGCCTCTACCTCCTGGGTTCAAGTGATTCTTGTGCCACAGCCTCCTGAGTAGCTGGAATTACATGCATGCACAACCATGCCCAGCTAATTTTGTATTTTTAATAGAGACGGGGTTTACCATGTTGCCCAGACTGGTCTTGAACTCCTGAGCTCAAGTGATCCACCCACCTCAGCCTCCCATAGTGTTGGGATTACAGGCGTGAGCCACTGCACCCAGCCTAGAAAATAATTTTTAGTCTCATCAAATGTTCAGCAGTGTAGGTACTTCTAAAATGAATTTTAATTGCTAAAAGTGGAACCTATGTTAGATTTACATTAAGAGGTGAAAGGAAGGATAACTTCAGAATTTCACGTTGAATTTTTTCTTGTTTTATAGAATTCTAGAAACTAATATTACTAAAAATAAAAAGACCATTGGAAGGCTGGGTGCAGTGGTTCACACCTGTAATCCTACTGCTTTGGGAGGCCAAGGTGGGAGGATTGCTTAAGGCCAGGAATTTGAGACCAGCCTGGGCAACATAGTAAGACCCCATCTCTAAAAAAATACATAAATAAAAACAATTACTTGGGCATGGTGGCAAGGACCTGTAGTCCTAGCTAATCTGGAGGCTGAGGCAGGAGGTTCTCTTGAGCCCAGGAGTTCAAGGTTACAGTGAGCAATGATCATGCCACTACTCCAGCTTTGGTGACAGAACCAGATCCTGTCTCAAAAAAAAAGAAAAAAAGTATTGCAACATAGAGTCCTTTAGAAGCTAAGGACAGTTAGTCTTCAAGATACTCATCTCACATTCAATGACACCCATAGGCTCAATGTAAAGGAATGGAGAAAGATCTATGAAGCAACAGAAAACAAAAAAGAGCAGGGCTGCTATTCTTACTTCAGACAAAACAGACTTTAAATCAACAACATTCAATAAGAACAAATAAGGACATTACATACTGATAAAGGGTTCGGTTCCACAGGGAGACTTAACTATCCTAAATATATATGCACTTAACACTGGAGTACTTAGATTCACAAAACAAGCTCTTAGAGACCTATGAAAAGACTTCTATAACCACACAATAATAATGGGAGACTTCAACACCCCACTGACAGTGTTAGACAGATCACTGAGGCAGAAAACTAGCAAAGATATTTGACCTAAACTCGACACTTGACCTAAACTCAACACTTGACCAAACCGACCTAATATACATCTACAGAGTATTCCACCCAACAACATAATATACATTTTTCTTATCTGCACATGGCATATACTCTAAGATTGGCCTCATGCTCAGCCATAAAGTTATTCTCAACAAATTCAAAAAAACCAAAATTGTACCAACCACACTCTCAGACCATAGCACAATAAAAATAGAAATCAGCACCAAGAAGATCTCTAAAAACTATACAATTTCATGGAAATTAAGCAACCTGTCCCTGAATGACTTCTGGATAAATAATAAAATTGAGGCAGAAATAAAAAAATTATTTGAAGTAAATGAAAGAAAAAAAAAACACTACAGCATACCAGAATCTCTGGGACACAGCTAAATCAGCATTAGAGGACAGTTTATATTGCTAAATGCCTACATCAAGAAGTTAAAGATCTCAAATTAACAACCTAACATCACATCTAGAGAAGCTAAAAAATACAAGACCAAACCAACCCCAAAGTTAGCAGAAGAAAAGAAATAACCAAAATCAGAGCTGAACTGAATGCAAATGAGACATAAAAATTCATACAAAAGATCAATGAAACCAAAGATTTTTTTTTAGAATAAATAAGATTGATAGACTGCTATCTTGATTAATAGAGGAAAAAGAGAAGATCCAAATGGACTGAATCAGAAACGACAAAGGTGACATTATCACCGACCCCACAGAAGTACAAAAAATGCTCAGAGACTATTATGAACACTTCTATGCACCTCTATGCACAAACTAGAAAACCTACAAGAAATTGATAAATTCCTGGAAACATAAAACCTCTCAAGATTGAACCAGGAATAAGTTGAAATCCTGAACAGACCAATACTGAGCTCTGAAATGGAATCAGTAATAAAAAGCCTCCCAACCAGAAAGGGCCCTGGACCAGATGGATTTACAGCCAAATTCTACCAGATATATAAAAAGGAGCTAGTACCAATCCTACTAAAATTATTCCAAAAAAGCAAGGAGGAAGGACTTTTCCCTAACTCATTCTATGAGGCCAGCATCATTCTGATACCAAAACCTGGCAGAGACATAATGAATAAAGAAAACTTCAGGCCAATATCTCTGATGAACAAAGATGCCAAAATCCTCTCCTGAATGCAGCAGCACATTAAAAAGCTAATCCACCATGATCAAGTAGGTTTTATTCCTGAGATGCAATGTTGATTCAACATATGCAAATCAATAACTTAATAAATGGAAAAGGCTTTTGATTAAAATTCAACATCTCTTCATGTTAAAAGCCCTAGTTCAAAACCCTAGTTTATTAAAAAACAAGCTAGGCATTGAAGGAATACACCTCAAAATAATAAAAGCCATCTATGACAAACCAATAGCCAACATCATACTGAATGGGCAAAAGCTGGAAGTGTTCCCCCTGAGAACTGGAACAAGACAAAGTTGCCCACTCTCACCACTCCTATTCAACACAGTACTAGAAGTCCTAGCCAGAGCAATCAGGCAAGAGAAAGAAATAAAAGGCATCTAAATAGGAAGAGAGTAGGTCAAATTATCTCCCCTCACAGAGGATATGATTCTATACCAAAGATGACTAGGGATAGCAGGTTCAAGAAATGGACATAAGTGTCTGTGTGTGTTGGGGGGACTATTGCTAATTAACCTAGACTAGTGGGTCTTAATCTTGACTACAAATAAGAATCAGTTGGGAAGCTTTACAAAATATGTGGGCCCCACCCGGAAAGATCCTGATTCCATCATTCTGGAGTGGGCACCTGTCAGGGGTATTTGTAAAAGCTTCCAGGCAATTTTCACTCACAGCCAGGTCTAAGACTCACTGATCCAGATTGATGGTGTGGGAAGGTCTCCAGGCCTCGCTTTGAGGAAGGAATACTACAAATACAGGGTAATGACAACAGCCCTGCCATTATTAAGGAGTCATGAGCTGTTTTAGTGTTTTTATGGTTTATTCGCTCCTCACAACAATCATACTAGGTAGATACTGTCTTTATTTTACATATGAGAAAAGTGAGAACCAGGAATTGCAATAACTTGTTCAAAGTCACACTGCTAAAAGCAGTCAAGGCAGGTTTGAATAAAGCTTCACCTTCATCTGAAGGCTGTTCCTTCTCCATTACATTTCCTTGTATGCCCACTATTGCTGGTATTGAGTAAAAGATGTAAAATTTTAATTTGGGGATCACTGCTGACCCTATGAAATGTGTGGAGTTGCCTGCACATTGTAACAAATGAAAGAAATAAAATTCTCATTCCAATTGCAATTTTCATCTTCAAAAGCCAAACTGGCTGATCCTTTTAAAGGTCTGTGAAGGCTTCGGAATGGGTATGCTTGGCTAAGCTGAACTGAAGTCCCAGTTATTCAGTCAGGCACTTTGCCTTTGAAAGGTGTTCTCCTGAATGGGGCAATTAAGTTTTGCCTGTAAAATAGTGACCAGTGCAGACTGGTATTTCCCACTCCACAGGTCTGGTGTCCACATCATGGTGGTTTTGACTTTGTGTGTCCTTGTTCACTATCCAGTTCTTTGCAATAACTGGAAAGCTGTCACTTGGCCCCAATAAACTAAGATAATAGTTATCTCCATCCAGAATCCCTCCTATTCCTGCTTCCCTTCTTGCATTCCCATCTGCAAGGCTTGGCCTTCTCCCAGGTCATAGGCCTGTATGTGTAGGTGACAATTAGACTAGTGTCTCCCAAATTAACTTAGCTGATGACAGGCTGGTGCTCATGGAGCTTAATGAGTGCATTTGATGCTGACTTTGATCCTTTTGTTTTACTCAACCCAGTGTCCGTAGGCTGGACTTCTTACTCAGGTCATGTCAGAAATCTGTGGGTTTTGTCCCAAGTGCAACTGGGCAAGACAGGCCATTGTAAACACATCACTCCTTGGAAAATTAATTCAAGGTATGCGACCAAGGGTGGCCCAGTGGCATCAGCTCAAGCCCTCCTTACACACGAGAAGGAAGTCCAATCTGCAATCTGGAAGTCCAAACCTAGGAGTCCTTCGCATATTTGCATTCTCACAGGAAGTAAAACTTTTTGGTGCTTATTTGTATACTTGGTTTTCTGTTCTGAAGCAATGTCATCTTGATGTCTCAACCTGAGGAGGAATGAAATCAAAGATGGTAGTGTTGGCCAGGCACGGCGGCTCATGCTTGTAATCCCAGCACTTTGGGAGGCCGAGGTGGGTGGATCACCTGAGGACGGAAGTTCAAGACCAGCCTGTCCAACATGGCAAAAGCCTGTCTCTACTAAAAAATACAAAAATTAGCCAGGCGTGGTGGTGGGCTCCTATAATCCCAGCTGCTTGGGAGGCTGAGGCAGGGGGAATTGCTTGAACCCAGGAGGCAGAGGTTGCAGTGAGCCAAGATCGCAATATGGCACTCCAGCCTGAGCGACAGAGTGAGACTCCATCACACACACTAAAAAAGATTACAGTGTTGATGTAAATTTGAATAACCCAGTTTACTCAAGTTCAACATCTTTGCATTTTCAAATTCAATTCCATTTAAATAAGAATGTTTTATTTCTTGTCTAAGATAAGAATTTATGAATATTGCTCTTATCACTAGCCACCTTACTGGATGGTTTGGGGCGAAGCAAAAACATAGCAAAAGGGTATTATCATTCTAAAAACACCTTCTTCTTTAAAGTTCATAGTAATTTTTATAATATGTATTCACATCACAGCCCATTTGAGATTTGTCAATATTCTTTTCTCTATATAGATTCGGGGTGGGGGGAGACAATAAAGAAAACCTAAGCTGAACAAGTTAAGTCAAATGTTATACTTTCATGAGGTAAGTAACGCATTCATTCATTCATTCATTGCGTCATGTATTTAGTGAGTATTTGTTGAGTGCTAGGCTTCAATTACGAAATAATTTGGTTGAGGTGTGTGTGTGTGTACATGAGAAGGATATACTCTAAAAATGCTTTTAATTGTTAACGTATCTGTTATTTTATAGTTTTTATGCATGCATTATTCTTTATTGTTTTACCATTAGGAACAATTAATTTAACATTCTCACACATATAAAATCAAGAAAATCTCGTTCCCTTAGGAAAAAAGCTTCACCCTACCACTCATCTTGAAATAGCAATTTAGTGTGTTAAAATGCCCAAGATTCATATTAGGGAGGCAAAAACAAACACTAAAGCTGCACAAAACAAACACTATTATCAGGCAGATGAATATTTAATCAATTCTTATTTGTTTTCTTGGTCTTTTAGGTGTGGCTAGTGCCTATGTATATGCCCGGCTTTGGACAAATGGAGTCAGTGGAGGCAGTGTTAGCTGAAAAGTCCTATTTAAACAATCAAATTGGACAGCTCCTGAGCTTCAGGCTGTCAGCACAGTCAGGCTGTAAAAGAAACTATTCTTGAGTTTCCCAAGTGTCTGTAAAGCATCCTGCCCTGACTTTTCTGGGCAAAGGCTTCCTCCATGGTAAGAAAGACTATTCTAAGGAAGAGGAGGGAACTTAAATTAAGCAGCAAGACGGGTACAGTGCTTTTTTCAAATCTCGAGTTGTGAAATCAGTGTAGTATGGCATGACCAGCATAGAATGCAATAGAATGGAAGAGACTGAAAAAGGATTGAAAGCATCAGAACGCATAGCATGGCATGGCCAAAGGTAATGTTTCAGGAAAATTTTTTCCTTAATATATAATCTCCTGTATCATCTATTTCTCTCTCTCTACTGAATCTTCCCATTGTTATACACAGAAACATGCAATCTTTTTTTTTTTTTTGAGATGGAGTCTCGCTCTGTCGCCCAGGCTGGAGTGCAGTGACGTGATCTCGGCTCACTGCAACCTCTGTCTCCCGCATTCAAGTGATTCTCCTGCCTCAGCCTCCCAAGTAGCTGGGACTGCAGGTGTGTGCCACCACACCCAGCTAGTTTTTGTATTTTTAGTAAAGACAGGGTTTCTCCATGTTGGCCAGGCTGGTCTCAAACTCCTGACAGGTGATCCATCTGCCTTGGCCTCCCAAAGTGCTAGGATTACAGGCATGAGCCACCACACCTGGCCAACAATCATTTCACTTTAAAACAAAACAAAACCTTTCCTGATCCCACTAATCCCCCTAGTTACTGCTTCAATTCTTTCCTTCGTTTTGAAGCAAATTCCCTGAAAGTGGTACGACATTTTCTCATTTCTCTCCTTCCATTCTGTCTTAACTGTCTTTCCCTTAGGGTTTCAAGCCCATTATTCCAGCAAAATTGCTATCGTCAAAGTCAGCAATGATGTCTACATTTCTAAATTCAAAATTCAATGGTGAATTCTCAGCCCTCATCTTGCCTGGCTGATCAGCAGTACTGAAGATGGTGGTTCACTCTCTCCTCTTTGAAGCACCTCCTCTCATCCCTTCCATTGTTCCCATGATGGTCCAAGCTGCCTTCTGTCTCCACTGTATTATAGAACTAGGCTCCTAACTGCTCTCCCTACTTGCATCCTCACCCACTACCCACATTCCCTTCTATACTATATTCTCAACATAATGGTTAAAACATCTCATTCCTTTGATTAAAACCCTCTACTAAGGCCAGGTGTGGTGGCTCACGCCTGTAATCCCAGTACTTTGGGAGGCCAAGGCATGCGGATCACGAGGTCAGGAGTTCAAGACCAGCCTGGCCAACATGGTGAAACCCCGTCTCTACTAAAAATTCAAAAAAATTAGCCAGCGTGGTGGCACAGGCCTGTAATCCCAGCTACTCAGGAGGCTGAGGCAGGAGAATCACTTGACCCTGGGAGGCGGAGGTTGCGGTGAGCCAAGATTGCACCACTGCACTCCAGCCTGGGTGACAGAGCGAGACTCCATCTCAAAATAAATAAATAAAACCCTCTACTAACTCCCATGTCATTCAGAGTTAAAGCCAGTATCTTTGCAGTAGCCTGCAAGGCCCTATACAACCTGCTCCTGACTCTGACCTTATTGTCCACTGCTCTCATTCTATGCTACCATCTCTGGCCACGCTGACTTTCTCCCTGTTCCTCAAACCTCCGAGGCATGCTCCCCTTGCAGAAGTTCTGCATTTTCTACTCCCATGCCTGGAAGCCTCTCCCCTAAACAGGTGCCTGGCTCACTCCTTAATTTCTACCAGGTCTTGACTCAAATCCACCATCTCTGTGAGGCCCTCCCTGGAAACGCAATATAAACTTTAACACGTGCACTCACTTTACACTCCTCTTCCCTTAGCACTGTCAGGCAAAATTTCAACAAATTTAGTTTAAAAATCACTAGGTAGCCATAGAAATGTATTTTTCAATGTAAGTTGTGGTCAAAAAGTCTCTGGTATAATAAAACACAGCTTGAGCTAAGAACCCAGATGAACCTGGGCTCACACGTGGCACTGAGGACAGTCCTTTGACGGGTTCTCTGAGCTAATGCCCATGTAGCTCCCTTCCTCGAGCCAGAAAGCTCTCTTCTCCACCCCACACTTAAATGGCATAATCAAATTATTCCTTCAAAAGACAGATCATCCATAAAATACTATGTAGTCATTAAAAATCATGTTCTAGAAGAATATTTAATGTTACAAAGTGATAATCCTAGTACAGTACTAAGTAAAAAGTCAATTTATAGCTCCATTTATAAAAGCATGTATTTTGTCCCACAGTTCTTGAGGAGTAATAAATAGTACATAATTAATTTTTCTACGTTAAATTATGATTAGCTTGCCAAGGTGAGAGAAAGTGGAATATCCGTCATGTTTTTGTGACTCCCTTTCCACTCCTATGTGGCCAGGACAGGGAACTCAGATGGCCCAAGAAAATGGCAGTTACTCAACAATCCTGCTCAGTGCTGAAAAGCCTCTCCTCTGGCCCCTTGTAGTTCATCAGAGAAAGAACTGGTGATGCTGACCATGTGCCCTCAGGGAGAGCATCCCTGGACCTCTGTGGTCAGTGCCAGGCTGCCAGAGATCTCCACACCAGCATCTCCCCACCAGGTGGTCTGTGGGTGAGGCCCAGATCTCCATCCCTCCTGGGACCACATACTTAGCCTCCTCTCTGGGTCCTGCTCCAATGACCTGGCTTAAAACCCTTCTGAGGTGAGATCAAAAGCTCACACGCAGACTTTAGACCCTCTCTCTCCACCATAATCCACTCATTTAAAGCAAGAGTCTATGGAGGAGTTTCAAGGCAGCCCATTTCACACACCTGAAACCCCAAAAATGCTATTAACTGTTCCGATTCAAAGGAGCATGGAAGAAAGGCAGGGCTGTACTGTCTTCCAGTGGGAAGGGCAAGGAAAATAATGTGTTAAGTGTTTTGTTAATGAGAGTCTATATAGCTGGAAAACAGATTTATTTTGTAAGTAATACCTACAGTAATTGAGAGGGAGAGAGAGAAAATACATACCTCACCTCTTACTTAGCTGGTGATGAGTTCTAATAATTTAATTGTTTCTTCTCCCATTCATATTGTGTATGGAAATAATAGTGGTGATTTTAGGTAGCATGAGTGACTCAAGGAAGAAAGGGACACGGTTGGGTAGGGAGCCTTCGAGGCTCAGTAGCTCCATGCTTCCTCCATCTATTATTAGAGTAGGTGGGACTAGCAGAGAACTTCTTCAGACATCTTTTCCACAACAAAAGAAGAAACGGTTTTCATAAGGAGAATCTATTGCAGCTAAAATGCAGAACTGAAAAAAATATCCAGGCGTGACATCAGCAAGATGGACTAGAAAGCTCCAGGCCCTCCTTCTGCCACAGAGACATGGAACTAATAGCAATGTATGGACTAGAATACCTTTGTGAGAACTCTAGAGACCCGTTGAGAAGCTACAGCATGCAGGCCAAGGTAAAACCAAGAAGAGATTCCAGCAAATAGAAAAATGCATGTGTGCCATGCATTTCATGTGTGCCCATCAGTGCCTCTCCCTCTACACAGCATAGCACAGGGCAACCAAGAGGAAAACCTCCATACTAAGGTTCCTCCCTCAGAATAAAAATAAAAGAGTAGACCATGTTTCTAACATTCTGGATTGTCTGGGGGCTGCCTGAGAAACTGGCTTCTGTCTCTCCTGACTTGGAGCACTAAAGGAACCAATGATAGAGTTGGAAGATGCTTGAAAAGAGGCAAGCTGTACATTAGAGTTGCAGTTCCACAGGTGGACAGCAGGGGAAGCAAGAGATCAAAAAAGGTTTGAGAGGTCCTAGAACCTCTAGCTGGGCTGATGGGTGAAAGCCTTCCCTGCATGAAGCCAGTATGTAAAGACTGGGAGATGTGGTTGATTTTTCAAATGCCCAAATTTCAACAGATTATAAGGCATAAAAATGAAAAAAGAAAACACAACCTAATCAACAAAACAAAATGAATCTCTCAAAACTGATCCAAAAGAACTGCAAATCTATGAACTCCCTGACAAAGAATTTAAAATAACAGTCATAAAGATGACCAATGAGCTTTAGAAAAAGAGAACACATATACACAATTAAAAAGAAATCAGGAAAACTATGCATGAGCAAAAGGAGAAAATCAACAAAGAGATGGAAACTATAAAAAAAAACCAATCGAGTTTTTATTCTTCCTTTAAAAGACAGTTATTTGAAAAAAAAACCCCCAAAAATATCTGACTAAAAAATTCACTAAAGGGGTTCAACAGTAGACTTGATCAGATAGAAGAAAAAAATCAGTGAATTTGAAGGCAGGTCATTTGAAATCATCCAGTCAAAGGAACAAAAAGAAAAAAGAATGAAGAAAAGTGACATAAGGGACACAATCAAGTGGGCCCAACGTATACATTATAGAAATCCAAGGAGAGAGAGAGAGAGAGAGAGAGAGAGAAAGGAGCAGAGAAATTATTAAAGAAATAATGGCTCCAAACTTTCCAAATTTGAAGAAAGAAATAAATTCAAAAAGCTCTAACTAGCTTTGGGATAAACCTAAAGAAAACTGCACTGAGATACATTGTAGCCAAACTGTCTAAAATCAAAGACAAAGAGAGACTCCTGAAAGCAGCAAGAGGAAGGCAACTTATCACATACAAAAGGAGCTTTCATAAGATTATCAGCAGATTTCCCAGCAGAAACTCTGCAGGCCAAAGGAAGTAGGGTGACATATTCAAAGTGCTGGGGCCAGAGGGAACTTGTCAAACAACAATACTGCATCTGGCAAAATTGTCCTTTGAAAATGAAAGGCTTTCCCAGATAAATAAAACCTAAAGGAGTTTATTACCACTAGACCTTCTCTACAAGAAACACTAACTAGAGTCTTTCAAGTAGAAACAAAAGGATTTAGACAGCAACACAGAGTCATAAGAAAATATAAGGTTCTCAAGCAAGAGTAAAGACATGGATAAATATAATAACTTATATTATTGTTAATTTGGTACACAGAATTTAAATGATGAAAATATTTTAAAAACTACATCTATTGCATAAATATCTTTATACAACACAAATATCTGTGGCATCAATAATAATGGCGATTTTATAGTATGTGATTTAGCACTTTATTAAGTGTTGTATAAAGATATTTATACACATACTGTAAAGCATATTGTATGCTTTGTAAAGCATGTATGTGATTGGAGTTAGGTTATTATCTGTTTAACATAGTATGCTGTTTTCTTTGTCTTTGTAGTCAGAAAAAAATAAAATAAAATAGTGTGCTGTTAAGTTTAAAAGCATTTTATAACATTTAATAAAATGCTATAACTTTTTTGTTTTATGTAATTGCAATGGTAGCTACAAAAAATCTGTAAAATATACAGAAAATGAAATTAAAAGTAAGTCAAAGCATGCCATTACAAAAAAATTTAATGAAACACAAAGGAGGCAGTAAGAGAGGAAAGGAGGAAGAGAAAAGCTACAAGACATACAGAAAAGAATGAACAAAATGGCAATAGTAAGTCCTTCCCTATCAGTAATTACTTTAATGTAACTGGACTAAACTCCCCAATCAAAAGACAGTCATCGAATGGATAAAAAAGTCACAGGATCCAACCATATGCTGTCTATAAGAGCCACTTACATCTAAAGACGACACAGGGTTGGAAGTGAAAGAACGGAAAAAGATATTCCATACCAGTGGCAACCAAAAGAGAGCAGGAGTGGCCATACTAACATCAGACAAAATAGACTTTAAGTCAAAAACAATTACAAAAGACAGTGAAAGACACTATATAATGATAAAAGGGTCAATTCACTAAGAAGATATAACAATTATAAATATTTGTGCAGCAAATCAAAGCCACAAACATGTGAAAGGAATTTTGACAGAATCAAAGAGAGAAATAGACAGCAACATAATAGTAGGAGATTTCAGGACCTCCTCTTTCAGTAATGAATAGAACAACCAGACAGAAGATCAATGAGGAAATAAAGGAATTAAATAACACTATAGACCAATTGACCTGACAAGACATATACAGAATATTTCACTCAATAACAGCAGAATATACATTCTTCTCAAGTATACAGAAAACATTCTCCAAAATAGCCCACATATCTTAACAAATTCAAGAAAGTTGACATTATATAAAATGTCTTTTCTGCAACTACTTTTAACTTCATATGGAAGCAAAAAAGAGTCCGCATAGCCAAGACAATCCTCAGCAAAAAGAACAAAGATGGAGGCATCAAGCTACCTGACTTCAAACTATACTACAAGGCTACAGTAACCAAAACAGCATGGTACTGGTACTAAAACAGATATATAGACCAGTAGAACAGAACAAAGGCCTCAGCAATAACACCACACATCTACAACCATCTGATCTTTGACAAACCTTACACAAACAAGCAATGGGGAAAGGATCCCCTATTTAATAAATGATGTTGGGAAAACTGGCTAGCCGTATGCAGAAAACTGAAACTGGGTCCCTTCCTTACACCTTATACAAAAATGAACTCAAGGTGGATGAAAGACTTAAATGTAAGACCTAAAGCCATAAAAACCCTAGAAGAAAACCTAGGCAATACCATTCAGGACATAGGCATGGGCAAGGACTTCATGTCCAAAACACCAAAAGCAATGGCAACAAAAGCCAAAATTGACAAATGAGATCTAATTAAACTAAAGAGCTTCTGCACAGCAAAAGAAACTATCATCAGAGTGAACAGGCAACCTATAGAACGGGAGAAAATCTTTGCAATATATCCATCTGACAAAGGGCTAATATCCAGAATCTACAAAGAACTTAAACAAATTTACAAGAAAAAAACAAATAATCCCATCAAAAAGTGGGCAAAGAATATAAGCAGACACTTCTCAAAGGAAGACATTTATGCAGCCAACAAACATATGAAAAAATGCTCATCATCACTGGATATTAGAGAAATGCAAATCAAAACCACAATGAGATACCATCTTAACGCCAGTTAGAATGGTGATCATTAAAAAGTCAGCAAACAACAGATGCTGGAGAGGATGTGGAGAAATAGGAATGCTTTTACACTGTTGGTGGGAGTGTAAATTAGTTCAACCATTGTGGAAGACAGTGTGGCAATTCCTCAAGGATCTAGAACTAGAAATACCATTTGACCCAGCAATCCCATTCCTGAGTATATACCCAAAGCATTATAAATCATTCCACTATAAAGACACATGCACCTGTATGTTTATTGTGGCACTATTCACAACAGCAAAGACCTGGAACCAACCCAAATGTCCATCAGTGACAGACTGGATAAAGAAAATGTGTCACATATACACCATCAAATACCATGCAGCCATAAAAAAGGATGAATTCATGTCCTTCGTAGGGACGTAGATGAAGCTGGAAACCATCATTCTCAGTAAACTAACACAAGAACAGAAAATCAAACACCGCATGTTCTTACTGATAAGTGCGAGTTGAACAATGAGAACACATGGACACAGGGAGGGGATCATCACATACAGTGGCCTGTCAGGGGGTGGAGGGCTAGAGAAGGGATAGCAATAGGAGAAATATCTAATGTAGGTAACAGATTGATGGGTGCATCAAACCACCATGGCATTTGTATACCTATGTAACAAAACTGCACGTTCTGCACAGGTACCCCAGAACTTAAAGTATAATAAAAAACAAAAGAAAAAAATAAATCCAGGAAAAATAAGAAAAAAAATTATTTTCTGATCTTAATGGAATAAAACTAGAAATCAAAAGCACAAAGAAAATTAGAAAAATCCTCAAATACGTGGAATTTTAAACATGCTCTTAAACAACCAATGGTTCAAAAAAGAAGTAACAAGATGAATTAGCAAATACCTTGAGACAAATGAAAACAAAAACACAACACAATACAACTTAGGAAATACAGCAAAAGCAGTGCTAAGAGGGGCATTTATAGCTGTAAACACGTATATCAAAAAATTAAAAAGGTCTTAAATCAAACCTAACTTTACACTTCAAGAATCTAGAAAAGAAGAACTTACTAAAACCAAAGCTAACAGAAAGGAGGAAATAATAAAGATTAAAGCAGAGGTAAATAAAATTGACAATAGGAAAACAATTTAAAAATCAATCAAACTAAAGTTGTTTTTTTGAAAAGATCAACAAAATTGACAAATCTTTAGCTAAATTGCGAGGGGAAAAAGAGAAAATTAAAATCAGAAATAAAATATGGGATATTACAGGTAATGCTACCAACATAAAAAGGAATTACAAGAGAGTATTATGATCAATTGTGCATCAACAAATTGTCTAACCTAGAAGAAATGAGTAAATTTCTCGAAACACAGAACCTACCAAGAGTGAATCAGGAAGAAACATAATCTGAACAAACTAGTAACTAGAAAGGAGACTGAATCAGTCATCAAAACCCTCCCAACAAACAAAAGCCCAGGACCAGAATACTTTGCAGAACACTCCACTAAACATTTAAAATTAGGCTGAGCATAGTGGTTCACACCTATAATCTCAGCACTTTGGGAGGCTAAGGCGGGGGAATTACTTGAGCCCAGGGGTTTGAGACCAGCCTGGGCAACATAGAGTGACTCTATCTCTACAAAAAATTAAAAATTAGCTGGGTGTGGTAGCACATGCCTGTGCTCCCAGCTCTGTGGGAGGCTGAGGTGGGAGGATCACTTAAACATGGGAGGTTGAGGCTGCAGTAAGCCATGATTGCACCACTGCATTTCAGCCTGGGTGGCAGAGTAAGACAGTAAGACCTTGTCTCAAAAAGTAAAAACTAAAAATAAAAGAAGAATTAATACCAATCTTCCACAAACTCTTCTAAAATATTGAAAAGCAGGGACCACTTTCAAGCTCATTCTATGAGGCCAGTGTTATCCTTATATCAACATCAGACAAAGACATTACAAGGGAAGAAAACTACAGGCCAATATATCTGACGAATATTGATGCAAAACTATTCCAAAAAAACTAGTAAATTCAATTCCAGAGCACACTCATGAAACACACACACAAACACACACACGACAAACTAGGACTAGAAGAAAACAACCTCAACATGATAAAGCCCAAAGCGAACATCATACTTAAGGTATAAAACTGAAAGCATTTCCTCTAAGATTAGTAACAAAGATGCTCACTCTCACCACTCTTCTTCTCCTCCTCCTCCTTCTCCTCCTCCTCCTCCTCTTCCTTCTTCTTCTCCTTCTCTTCCTCATCCTCCTCCCTCCTCCTCTTCCTCCTCCTCCTCTTCCTCCTCTTTCTTCTTTTTAAGACAGTATCTCACTCTGTTGTCCAGGCTGGGTTGCAATGGTTCAATCACAGTTCACTGTAATTGAGGTCCTGGGATCAAGTGATCCTTCTGCCTCAGCCTCTCAAATAGCTAGCTGCAGGCGCACATCATTGGGCCCAGCTATTTTTTTTTAAGGTAGAGATAGGGTCATGCCATATTGCCCAGGCTGGTCTCAAACTCCTGACTTCAAGTGATCCTCCCACCTCAGCCTCCCAAAGCTCTGGGATTACAGGAGTGAGCCACCATGTCCAGCCTCCCTTTCCACCACTTCTGTTCAACATAGTATCGGAAGTCCTAGATAGGGCATTAGGCAAGAAAAAGACATTAAAGTCATCCAAATGGAAATGAAAGAAGTAAAATAATCTCTGATGCCATGTTCACAGATGACATGATCTTATATGTAGAAAACTCAAAAGATTTCACAAAAAACCTGTTAAAACTAATAAACAAATTCAGCAAAGTTGAAGAATACAAAAGCAATACACAAAAATCAGATACATTTTTATACACTAACAATGAACAATCTGAAAAGGAAATTAAGAAAACAATTCAATTTACTATAGCATCAAAAGGAATAAAATACTTAGGAATAAGCCTCACCAAGGAGATGAAAAACTCATACAGTAAAAACTATAAAACATTGCTGAAAGAAGTTAAAGATAACAAAAATAAATGGACAGCATCTCATTCTCATGGACTGGAAGATTAACATTAGTTGTTAATATATTCATGCTACTCAAAATTATCTGTAAATTCAACACAATCCCTATCAAAATCTCCATGACACTTTTTGCAGAAATAGAAATTTTTATTCTAAAATTTTATGAAATCCCAAGGACCCCCAAATAGCCAAAAACATTTCTGAAAAATAAGGAAGTTGGAAGAATCACATTTCCTGTTTCAAAACATATTACAAAGCTATAGTAACAGAAACAGTATGGTACCAGCATGAAGACAGATATGTAGACCAATAGAACAGAATAGAGAGCCCAGAAAATAAAACTCATGGATGTGGTCAAATGATCCTTGATGAGAGTGTCAAGACAACTCAATGGAAAAAAAGCAGTCTCTTCAACAAATGATATTGGGAAAACTAGACATATGCATGCAAAAGAATGAAGTTTGACCCTTATTTTATACCATATACAAAAATTAACAAAGTGCATTAAAGACTTATATATAAGACCCCAAACTATGAAACTCCTAGAATGAAATATAGGGGGAAAGCTTTTCTGCATTTTATTTGGCAATATTTTTTGGATATGACACCAAAAACACAGGCAACGAAAGCAAAAATAGACACATGGAACTATATCAAACTTAAATGTTTGTGTATCAAAGGATACAATCAACAGAGTGAAAGGCAACTTACAATTCTTTGCAAATCATAGAAAATATTTGCAAATCATACATTTGATGAGTGGTTAATAGGCACTATATATAAAGAATTCTTACAATTAAAAAAAAAAACCCAGAATTAAAAAAACAGGTAAAGGACTTGAATAGTCATTTCTCCAAAGATGACATACAAATAGCCAACAAGCATATGAAAAGATATGCGATATCATTAATCATCAGAGAAATTTGAATCCAAACCACAACGAGATATCACCTCACATCCATTAAGATGGCTATTCTAAAACACAGAAAGTCAGTGTTGGTGAGGATATGGAAAAATTGTAACCCTTGTGCATTGTTGGTGGGATTGCAAAATGGAGCAAATGCCATAGAAAATAGTATGGAAAATCCTCTAAAACTGAAAATAGAAATATCATATGATCCATAAATCCCACTTTTGAGTATATATCCAAAAAATTGAAGATAGTGCTCAAAGAGATATTAGCATTCCTGTGATCATTGCAGCATTATTCACAACAGCCTAGAGGTGAAAACACCTAAATGTTCATTGACAGATAAATGGATAGTCAAACTGTGGTCTCTACATTTGATGGAATATTATTCAGACATCAAAAGGAAGGAAGTTCTGACACATGTTACAGCACGGACATGCTACAGCATGAATGAACCTCGTAGACATTATGCCAAGCAAAATAAGCCAGTCACAAAAAGACAAATGTGGTATGATTATACTTATATGAGGTAAATGCCTGGAAGCGTCAAATTCATGGGAAGTAGAATGGTGGTTCCAGGTACTGAGGGATGGGGAAATGGTGAGCTGCTCTTTAGTGAGTACAGAGTTTCAGTTTTGCATGAAGAAAAGGTTCTGAAGGTCTGTTTTACAACAATGTAAATACACTTAACACTACTAAACTACCCACTTAAAAAGAGTTAAGATGGTAAATTTAATGTTATGTATATTTTACCACAATACAAAAATACAAAGATCACTATATATCTTTAAGAAATTAGTTGGTTGCAGTGGCACACACCTGTAATCTCAGCTACTGAGGTGGGAGGATCCCTTGAGCCCAGAAGTTCAAGACCAGCCTGAGCAACAGAGTTAAGACCCTGTCTAAAAAATAATGAATATCTTTTAAAAGCACATAGGGAATAGGGGCAGATGTTTTCTGAAACAACTATGTGCCCAACATTTCTTTATCAGCTACTAGTTGACTTTCAACTGCCTTTCTTAGTTTCTCCATCTTTTGGGGTCACCGAGGAATCGATTATCAACTTCCACAATCCAGTTCACCGCCTTTAGCTACTTCATATTTTTGTGTCAATTTCTGGGAGAATATGATAAGGCATCATGCTAATTTCTGGATCTCTTTTGTGCACAAAGAAAAGAAAAGCAGATGTCACCTTGGAGGAATTGCAAGTAGTACCAGGGTCCACTCCACTTCAAGTGACTCTTTCCTCAGGGCCTCAGGGGACCTGGAGCTGCCAGAGCCTGGAGAAGCATAATGAGCGTTTCAGGAACAACCTTCTAGGTCTCAAAAGTGGGTGGCTGCCTGCAACCGGTTGTCATTTTTCTCTGCAGTAACCATCTCTATAAAGCTGACTGCTGCTACCGGCTGCTTCAGGGAAGCCAACGCAGACACCAAGCCCCTTGCCAAACACGTAAAATGGATCCCTTTAGTTCTGCTGATCAGCCTGTAGACTTTTTCCTGGAGTGAGGAGGCTGGTGTACCTGGTGAAAACTGCTGTTTAATTCGCTTTTTCTCCCCTGGGGAAGCATAGCTTAGCCAAAAAGGCTAAATTCTGAGAAGATTAAATTAGTTTGCATAAAAGGCAGTGAATTTCTGGGTAATTTGTTCAGGCACCCGTGTGTGCCACTTGGATTACTTTCCCCAATTATGCAGGGTAGTCTGCAGGTCTTTAGGGGATTGGGTTTTAATACCCTCACTTTCCTAATGCTAACATCCTAGGGTTTATGTGCCCCTCCAAAGGAAATGCTGCTTTAGCGGATTTGGGGATGAACTCATGCTGGTTGGAAAGTTTCAAGTGTTGAGTAAACTCTTCCATATTATGAAGGCATGTATAACACTCCCTGTTTAGGATTGGACCACCACAGGTTTGCGTGGCTGTCTGCTACTTTCAGACAATGCTTACAAAATATTTCCTTTTTCTAATTCTTTATCACCATATTAATCGTATACCCCTCTTCACATTCAACTGAACTAAAAACAGACAAAACCAAAACATATAGTTGATCTCCCAGTTCCTGCCACTGCCCATCAGCTGCCTATAATTTCTCAGCTTCACAACTTGTTGTATTTCAGTTAGGATATATTAAAACCCAGAAACTAAGGTACAAGTTGCATTCTTATTCTACAGAGAAGAAGGGCACCCACTCCACCCCTGAGAGGTGGAGGTCCCTTAGACGTTCCTGACCCATGCGATCTCCCCTTCCCTGAAGACAGGGCCAGAACTGACTCCCCACCCCTCCACTGGCTGTACACATATATACACACATAGATACATATATATGTGTAATATACATACACTATATATACACATATATACATGTGTGTTTACATATGTGTGTGTGTATATATATATGTATTTACTTATTTATTTCCAAATATCCCTAGTACACTCTTGTGATTAGAAGCCTCCTGCTTAGGGGGTGGAGTTCGGGGTGGGAGTTGGGTCTGGGTTTTAATCTGGAGCAAAATAAAGACTGGGTTTTAAATTTTAGGATAGAGCAAAGAGGAGGGTTTCAGGAGTGAGAGGTTGAGAGGTGCATCTCGGAGTTAGGTAAGTGTGGCGTGATAGGAGGGGAAGGGTGGAAGTTGCAAGACCTAAAAGGAATATGAAATCTGGGCCCATAGTGTGCTTAGGCTGGTCCTCAAGCTAGGATGATGAGCTACAAGGTTCTTTTTCCCACCACTTTGCCCTTTTCCCACTCATCCCCCAGTTTCCCTCCACTTTACTCCCAGCAAAGCAAGAGGTGTCTACATGGAGAGAGTTGATCAAAACAAAACACATCACTCTGTAGACTGCTGGGGACATACACTGCTGGAGGCTGTAGGTCAGAGGATGCAAACCCAGTTGCCTGCAGTCCAGGCGAGAAGCCTCGGTAAGGGAGGTACTGGGCTCCCACCCACTGTGGGAGGTGGAGAAGCATGGCCAGCCGGAGCTGGTGTGCCCTGCCTGATGTCATTCAATGAAGACAATTCTGCGTTATCAAAATATGTCTCCCTACTGCCCATCTTAAGACCCTGTTGGTCTTCATAACTCATTCTAAACAACCAGCAAGCAGCAGCAGCCCTGAGAATGGTTCTCCTTCCCATGAATGGAAATTCCTGTGCAATCTCACAGGTTGAATGCTGTAATCAATGTACAGGCACCTGGAACACTGCTCAGCACACCGTGGGTTCTCAGTGGAGGTTCAGATGAGACCTGAATGTCACCAACAAAGAGCTCTTCTGCGTGCTCCAGGTATAATCCCCATAAACATCTAAGCATAACTTACCCTGAACTTCGGTGTGAGAAACACGAATCCGTATTGATCCAAGGATACTTAGATCCCATTGTGGCACCGGGTTTTCCAAGACCCCAAGGAAGGGAGGCGCTGGCACCATGTCTGTACATCAGTGTGTGATGTCCACGATTATTACAGGATGAGAGGGCACTGCTCATCCCCAGGACCCAGAGAGCTTTGAAATACTCATCCTGGTAGCTGTTGGACCAGTCTGAAGTGAGTCCTAGTATTATCCCTGAGTTATCCATAGAAGGAAAGGGAAGAACCAAAGAAACAAAGTCTTCTCAGCTTATGTAAAATTTAACTCATTCATTCATGTATTCATCAACTTTGTTTGAACACCTAAGTCCCAGGCATGGTCTAGGTGTGGGGTTCTGTATAAACACAAAACAAATAAAGGTGAGTGAGGGGAAGAGAAGAGCCCTCAGGAAGCAGTCTCTTCAACTGGCCAATGACTTGCATTTTGTGCACAGCAGTCATATGGAGCCCTGCAGTGGAGGCCTTGCCTGCTCCCCCAACCCCTTACCTCCACACCACAAGGCTGCTTACCATGAACACCTGTGACTCTGCCTGAGGGATTATTTTTTTTTCTGATGGCAGGAATACACTTAGCTCTTATCTCCCTTACAAAGCAAGCCAAAGTGCTGCTTTGCAGAAGTGCTGCTTTCTAGAAGCAGCCCTCAAAAGCCGATAAACGGCTGGTGGATACATACCCCAAATGTCTCACCCCTCAATGGGATAACTCTGAGGTGTGCTCTATGCTGCCTGCCAGTGGCTGGGGGACTTTACAGGCTTTATTTTCCCTTTCCTGTCTCGCTTTCCCACTCCCCTACCAGTGTTTCCTGGGTTCATCTCCCAAATAAACTATTTGTATGCAGATCCTTGTCTCAGGATCTGCCTCTGAGGGAACCCAAACCAAAGGACCATATTACTTAGATTTTTCTGGCTAGTGTTAGTTTTAAAAATTCCATCCCACACCACTATATGGCACATTTCAGGTTTAGAAAACCTGTTTGCCATGTGTATAGGCCATAGAAAATATCTATGAAAGAATAATCCTTGTTTGGAATCAATAAAAGCCACCTTATCCCTGCACTGTGGCATGTGCCTCTATGGATAATAGAAATTAAAATATGATAGAAAAGGTTGTTTTAAGATTTTTTTTTTAGTAAGTAATTTTCTTAATATTTCAATTTCTAAAAATGGAGTCTGGCTTTTTTTGCTCCATGCCTAGGATTGTAGGAAATTTTCTAGTATAAAGGTCAAGGCACACCTCTAGCCATGGTAAAGCGTGCTGGGTTAATAAGCCCCACTGGGCTGGCTCGGCTCAGCCCTCACTCCTGTCTGCCTGCCCCTTGCTCTTCTGATGGCCACTGTCACCAAGTACCATGTTACAGAGTCTCCTTGAAGGCAAAAGAAAGAAAAAAAATCATCTTCGTTCCAGACAGCCTGGAAAAAAATACACATAGGGAAACCAATATGGAAAAAAAGATAAACAGCAAGCTTCAGAATTTGTTTAGTGTCATGTTACTTGTCTCCCAAAAGTCTTGATTTTAGCCAGACTTCCCTCAGGCCAGTTTGAAATAAGGACATTTTGAACTGTTGAATCATAGCCAAGCTGCATAAAAAGCCTGCTGATATGCTATTTCTGTGTTTTATGCAAAGGCTAGTGGGGGAAAAACGTTTTTCAAACAGGTCTAACCACAAAGAAGTCACAAAACTTTATGAAAATCTGCTGAAGATATTTGGCTAAGTGCCTTGTCCTATAAGAATTGTGTACATCAGAGAAGACACAATGGCAGAGATAAACACATACACATACACCCCACACCCCACCCGGTTTAACATTTTCTCTGAGGCATATATCAACAAGCAGGACATTGCCTACTTATCTTACAAAAGATAGATTCATCTACAACAGCCACCTACTTGGCATCCCTAAATCCGCTGGAGCAGCCAAAACTGGCTTCCGCCTTCACAGGTGATTCTGAGAGCCTGTCTCCAGGGGTTACACTCGGAAGTGACACAGCAGACAGTTTTAAGAACAGTGACATTGCAATCTCAGCCCCTGAGGAAAAGAAAAGAAAGAAGAGATTACGGAGGAAAGACTAATGGCTTTTGTTAAAATACAGTGACCATCGAACACAAGATAGAACATGCTTAGAACGTGGAAAAGCAAAGGAGAAATGTCTTTACTAATTATGATGAACCAAAACCACTGAAGTTACTGAAACATTAGAAATCGTCAAATACGTAGCACAAGAGTTTTATTTCATGTTGTTTCGAAATCATCATGTGCAGACTTCAGATAAACATTGTTGAAAACACTTTAATTTCTGAAACAAGTGAAAAATCAAAATAGAGGAGGCCGGGTGCAGTGGCTCATACTTGTAATCCCAGCACTTTGGGAGGCCGAAGTGGGTGATCACGAGATCAAGAGATCAAGATCATCCTGGCCAACATGGTGAAACCCCGTCTCTACTAAAAACACAAAATATTAGCCAGGCGTGGTGGCAGGCGCCTGTAGTCCCAGCTACTAGGGAGGCTGAGGCAGGAGAATTGTTTGAACCCAGGAGTCTGAGGTTGCAGTGAGCTGAGATCACTCCACTGCACTCCAGCCTGGTGAGAGAGTGAGACTCTGTCTCAAAAAAAAAAAAAGTCAAAATAGAACTATATTTTTTATGTATGTCGAAATCGGATTAAGGCTGGGTGCAGTGGCTCACGCCTGTAATCCCAGCAGTCTGGGAGGCTGAGGTGGGTGGATCACCTGAGATCAGGAGTTCTAGACCAGCCTGGCCAACATGGTGAAACCCTGTCTCTATGAAAAAAAAAAATTAGCTGGGCATGGTGGCCCATGCCTGTAGTCCCAGCTACTTCGAAGGCTGAGGCAGGAGAATCACTTAAAACCGGGAGGTGGAGGTTGCAGTGAACTGAGATTGCACCACTGCACTCCAGCCTGGGCGACAGAATGAGACTCTGTCTCCCCACTGCCAAAAAAAAAAAAGAGTCCAGTTGTGGTGGCTCACGCCTGTAATCCCAACACTTTGGGAGGCCAAGGCCTGTGGATCATCTGAGGTCAGGAGTTCAAGACTATCCTGGCCAACATGGTGAAACTCTGCCTCTATTAAAAATACAAAAATTAGCCAGGCATGGTGGTGCATGCCTATAGTCCCAGCTACTCAGGGGCAGGGTGCTGAGGCAGGAGAATCGATTGACCCCGAATAGCAGAGGCTGCAGTGAGCCGAGATTACGCCACTGACCTCCAGCCTGGGTGACAGAGCGAGACTCTGTCTCAAAAAAAAAAAAAAGAAAAAAATATCAGGTTAAGACTCACATCACTGAGCCTCTTTCCAAAAGGTAAAATTCAATTCAATTAATTGAATTTAGTGAATATTTACCCAAAACATACCAGGATCTGGATATTCTATGTAACCTCTCCATTCCTCAGTTTCCTTATCTATAAAATGTGCATAGTCATAGTACCCACCTCCTAAGGTTGTTTATTAAGTGAAAAACACTTAGAATAATGCCTGGCAAACAGTGAGAAAAATCTGGGTTAGCATTTGGCAGCAGCAGCACCCACATCATCACCATTATTAGGGAACCGAGCACTGCTGGAGATAGAAAGTGGAGACAGGCACAGCCCTGCCTACATAGGGGTTGGCATTTATCAGGAGAAATACGCTAAAGACACAGATAACTATAACACAAAGCCACACGTGGAAGGTTCCCTCAGTAGCAACCACAGCACACTCACATGTGGAACCGGGCGCCCGTTCAATAAGACAGAATTATGTCAGGGACATTGCTCACCTGGAATCACTCACTCTGGGCATCAGAACTCTGACTCCAACAGTCAAAGGGCCCACCCAGTTCAGGTATCTAACACCAGAAATGTTCTTTTGACTTGGGACTTCATGAAAATGAAAGGGTGGGTTGTTTTTGTTTAGATGTTTTGGTTTTTGAGATAAGGTCTCACACTCTTTCATCTAGTCTGTAGTGCAGTGGCATGATCTTGGCTTACTGCTGCCTCGAACTCTTGGGCTCAAGTCATCTTCCCACTTCAGCCTCCCGAGTAGCTAAGACTGACTGGAAAACAGGTTAGTTGTTCACCGCATTTAGAGTCCGATTAATGACAGTGAGGCCTGGTACAAGAAAAGTGAATTTATTTCCAAAGCTAGCTTGGGGGCAGGACACAAGGTGCACTGTCTTAAATGTACCACTTCGCCTTAGGAGCAAAAAGTGGACTCTTTTATAAGGTTAGAGGGGAAGGGAGCTAGGGCAGGGCTCTACTGGACAGTTGAGTTGGAGCCTTCCTGGGAAGAAATAAGTTATAAAAGTGGCCAAGTGGGCATGCTTTTGACATGCCCTCCTGAGGCGACCTTCTGGAGGTCATGCTCTGATCTGCAAATTGACTGTCGGCTCTGGAGGAGAGATCCATCTTGGCACACATAAATGAACTTGTCCTGTAGGGAATGTCTGGTGAGAGGGAGGTGAGAGGTTATTTTGCATTTTAAAAAGGGCTAAGTAGGAAGCAGGGGGAAAAGAGAAAGGAGAAAAGAAGAAAAAATAATTAAACTACCTGTTAGAAAAATGGATGTACTTGGTTACAGGACTACAGGCGCATGCCACCATACCTGACTAATTTTCTAAATTTTTAAAGAGACAGGGTTTTGCTATGTTGCCTAGGCTGGTCTTGAACTTCTAGTCTTGAGCGATCCTCCTGCCTTGGCCTCTCAAAGTGCTGTGATTACAGCCATGAGCCGCCGTGCCCTTCAAAGGGTTTATTTGAATGAATAAACCTATGCCCTGTTACAAGAACACGTACCCTTATGCACATGAGTAATAAAGGATATACATGCTGGTGACCAGAACCCTTCCTAGGGGTGCTCATCATCAGTTTGCCTCCTCTCCTGTGGTCTCCAGACACTGGAGTGTCTGCTTCTTACTTCAGGGCACTCAGGATTGACCACAGATAGTTTTCAGCTCTTGCTTTTTAACCTGGAAATGGCTGCATAATGAACACTGCAGCTCTGTCTACTATAAGCTCATGTTGAGATCTCCACCTGGCCGCCTGTCTGACCCATCTGCAGGATGAGCAGTTGGCCATCCTGATCACCATGTTCTCGGCCACAGGAAGTATATCACGTGGGTTGGGATGGAAGATGCTACCAAAGCTGTAGGGTTTCAAAGGTGAGAGAGACCACAGGTGCATAGGTTGGTAGATGGAGGTGGAGGTTGGAACATACATCAGGAAAGGCGAAGAAGTAGCATTTGATAAGGTCTTGAAACAATTAATATGAAGATGGAGAAGAGGTGAACTGGGAAGGAGAGAAACATTCTAGACTCTGGCAGCTCCCAGAGAGCAGACCCGCTCTCCACTACACACCTAGCACCTCTCACGGTGGCATATTGTAGGTGCTTGGTAAATACTGAATGAACGAATGAATGAATGAGTCAAGGGAAGAGAACATGAAAGCTGCAATGGTGACCAATGATCAGGCAGAGTTTCACACATTTTAATTATTCTGCTTTGATTCTAATGTGAAAGTCAAGTTGGATTGCAGGAGGAAATTTTAAGTGTTGCTTCATAGTGATACATCACAATAAGCAAAAATCACTTAGTATTTTTAATGTCTAGGCATCAATTTTAAATTTAACCAGAATCTCTTATTTCCTTCTCAATTTCTGTTCTTTATTTCCCCTCCTTTTCTGTTCTCCTCACCCCCACAGTGTTTCATTCTTAAAACGCCTACTATATATTGCTTCATTTACAAAGCACTTATAAAAAATTTAAAACAGAATCTATGCAGCAATGTATCAGTTGTCATAATTTTCTAACAGATGTGATGGACTGTTCCAGACAATGAGACAAAGATGACTCTTCCTTGCCCTTCAAATCACTGTCTTAAAGTCAGCCAAATGGAACGTGGCTCCTAGGATAGATGCTCTGCAAGGTTGGAAATCCTCTATTATGGTTACAAATCTGTGTGTCATAAATAACATTGCATTTACAAATAGACTTGAAAAAGGTCAGTGCATTTTCTCTGCTCTTTTAAATCTGTTCTCTTTATTTATTAAAGTGTTTGGGTTACAGATTAGCTTTCTAACTTTATTGATGTCTTGTCTGCCTTGAAACCAAAACTGTACTTAGAAACAGTGAATGACTTATTTTATTGCATATTTAAGTGCCTTTAAAAATCATTATGTTTGTGATTTTGATTACTGCCTTGGGGGAAAACATTTACCAGCCAAGGAGAGGAGTCAAGAGACAGATCCTAACACTCAGGAAGAAGTGAAGTCTCATCGCAGGAAAATATTAGACAAAAATGTAATCTCATCCCTTGGAAAAACAATTCATGTTTTAAGGGCTCAGTGCTCTGAAAATTTATGTTACAGATAATTAATAATGAAAGTTGAAGTTTCCACAGTTTTTTTAAACCATGACAGTTTATTAGCATACTTTTTGAAAAAACTCCTTGAAAGCAAAAAATGGTGGCTCTACCTAGAGCCCGATGGAGCCTTTGTCCTTTCCTGGGACCAGCTGACTCACCCAGCATCTGAGTCACTCAAACCCTCCCCACACCTCTCAACCCCCACCCTGCCCTGCCCTTGGAAGCAGAAAAGGTCAGTCACTTCAAGAGGTGGCTGGAGCGTCCTCCCTTTACGGGGAAGTCACCTGTGACAGAGCTGGGACTTGAAGCAGCTCTGCAGTTCTCCAGGCCTGCCCAGCAGAGGTGTCGCTTGCTTACCTGCTTGTCTTCCTTCCTCCCTTCCTTCCTTCCTTCCTTCCCTCCTTCCTCCCTTTCCTCCTTCCTTCTATCCCTCACTCTCTCTCCTTCCTTCCTTCCTGTTTCTCTCCTTCCTTCTTTCCTTCCTTCTGAACCAGCCTTGTTGTCTGGGGTGACACCTGAGGTTCTTGGCCTCATAGCCATGGAGATCAAGGACATGGACACATACAAAGAGTGAGGTTTAGAGCAGAATTTTAGTAGGTGAAAGAAAGAGAATAGCTCTTTGTTACAGAGAGGGGTCCCAGAAGAAATGGTTTGCTGATGTGCAGTGAAATGCAAGGGTTTTTATAGATAAGCTATTTGGGAGAGGTGGTATCTGATCTACACAGGGTGTAAAAAACCAGTTAGGACCAGGTGTGTCATATGTATAGGGTGTGAATTTCTGGCAGCCTCCACCCCAATCTTTTATTATGTAGGTGGGTAGTTACCCCATGTTGCTAAAAAAGAGGGGAGGTGGAGCGCCCGTGGTGGACATGCCTGGCCCCAGGTAGCCCCTTCTGTCTGTGCCACTGCCAGCATCCCCTTGTGCAAGCTTCCAGCTTCCTTATCTATGTTTGCAGCTCAATATTTCAAGGAGCTCTTTGTTAGAAAAGAAGTGATTTCAAGGGCTGCTTTTTGTTAGAAGGGAAGTTCTGCTGGGGACTCTTTTGTCCTCACTATCTGTCCAAATAATTTCTTTCTCTCTCCTGTATCACTTCCTTCCTTCCCTTCCCGCCCTCCGTCTCTTCCTTTCCTCCTCCCTTTTTCCCTCCTTTCCTTCCTTCCTTCCTTCCTTCCTTCCTTCCTTCCTTCCTTCCTTCCTTCCTTCCTCCCTCCCTCCTCCCTCCCTTCCTCCTCCCTCCTTTCTCTCTGCCTCTCTCCTCCTCTCTTACTTCCCTCCTTTCCTTTCTTTATCCTCTCTCTCTCCCCTTTTTCTTCCTTCCTTTCAAATTCTCTTCAAATTTTTCTTCAATTTTATAAAACCTATTTTAATTACATAATTAATATAAAAAAACTCCCTGTAGAAAAGTAAAAAATAAAACTCTATCCAAATGTTCCTTGAGCTCTGTCCACATTGCTAGTCTGTCTCCTTAGATGCAGTTACCATTTTCAGTGTGTGGAGAGCCTTTTACACTTTCTGCTATGCAATGACATATTTACAGATGTATGTGGTTTTGTCTGTGTGAACATGTTTACTTAACGAGTGTTATGGTGTGTGCAGTATTCTGCAATTTGCTTTTTAAAAATATTTTAACATTTTATTAAATCTCAAGTAGATATAAATTAGTCTAATGTATGTAAGGTATATAGAATAACACTACAATGGACACCTATGTATCCAAAACCCAGTTTAAGAAATAGAATATTCCTTTTGATTTGGAAGCTCTCTAGTTCCTTTAATCCGATCCGCTTCCCTCCTCTTTGATATGAATTTTGTGTTAATCATTTCTTTACCTTTCTTTATAGTTTTTCCTTATGCATTTCATTCCTGAAGAATGTGTTATGTAATTTTTCACATTTTTTGCACTTTATGCAAATGGGATGAAATGTAGTTATGTATGTGTGTGTTTCTCATGGTTCTGCAGGCTGTACAGGAAGCATAGCAGCTTCTGCTTCTGGGGAGGCCTCAGGAAACTTAATCATGGCAGAAGGTAAAGGGGAAGCAGGCACATCTTACATGGCCAGAATAGGAGGAAGAGAGAGAGGTGCCACATACTTTTAAACAACCAGATCTTGTGAGAACTCACTCACCATCATGGAAACAGCACCAAAGTGACAGTGCTAAAACATTCATGAAGGAACGACTCCCATGATCTAATCACTGCCCACAAGGCCCCACCTCCAACACTGGGGATTACAATTGAACATGAGATTTGGGTGGGGACAAAGATCCAAACTATATCAGTGTGTGTTGCATGTGTAGCTGTAGTTTATTCATTTTCCCTGCTCTATGATAGCCCATTGTATGATTAGACCACTACTGAAGCATACATTCTATTATTGTCTATAATTTAGATTCCTTCCAATTTTTTGCTATACATCTTCTTGTACAAATCCCTTAATGTATGTTTGCAAAGTTTATCTAGAACATATATGTAGGTCCTGCCTAGTCAATGAGTGTGCACATTTTCATCTTAACAGATTTGCTTAACAAAAAGGCAAACTATGAAATATGTAAAGAGGTTTATTCTGAGCCAATATTGAGTGATCATGGCCCAGGGAACAGTCTCAAGAAGTCCTGAGAAAGTGTGCCTGAGGCAATCAAGTTACAACTTGGTTTTATACATTTTTAAGGAGGGAGAAGTTATAGGCAAAGACATAAATCAAACATGTAACGTATATATTGGTTCAGCCCAGAAAGAGAGGACATCTCATGGGAAGTGGGGTTTATAGTCACAGGTCGCAGGTAGACTCAAAGATTTTCTGATTGGCAGTCGGTTGAAAGAGTTAAGCTAAAGGCCTGAAGTCAGAAGAACAAGCAAATGCTTGAGTCAAGATAAGGGGGATTATGGAAGTCATGGTTTTTGTTATGCAGATAAAGCCTCCAGGTAGTAAGCTCCAGAGAAATAGATGGTAAATGTCCCATTTTGGACCTTAAAAGGTGTCAGACTCTTAATTAATCTCTTCCAGATCCAGGAAAGGACTGGTTGCATTACTGGAGATTCTTTACAGATGCAAATTTACCCTACAAAAGATAGCTTTGCAGGGCCATTTTAAAATATGTGAAAAAAATGTATTTTGGGGTAAAATATTTTGATCTCCTTTAGGATCTGCTATCTGTCCTGTGATGTTATACAGAGTCAGGCTGAAATTTGGTATCTTATTGCCAAAGGGTCTGTTCTGTCAGTCTATGATCTCTATTTTAATGTGAATACTGGTCAGTTGTGCCTGAACTCCAAAAGGAGAGTGGTAAAATGAGATGTCTCCAATCTTCCTCCCCATCGTGACCAGGAATTAATTTTTTCAGGTTCTCTGGGGTCCCCTTGCTCAAGAGGGGTTCCATTGAGTTGGCTGGGGAGTTTAGTGTTTAGTTTGGTTCAGAAAGTAATGCCAGGTTGTTTTCTGGAGTGGTTGTAGTGATAGACACTCCTACAAACAGTGTATAGGGCTGTGGCCGCTCCACATCCTGCCCAATACTTGGACATTATCAGATTTCTTAATTTTGGCAATCAGGTGGCTGATTGAGGTGAAATGAGGTGACATAGCACCTCATTGCTTAAATTTTTATTTCCCTGATTGTAAATGTGGTTGGTCATCATTTTCTTTTCTATAAAGGGTCTATTCAAGTTTCAAATCTATTTTTCTAGATGGTAATTTCTCTTTGCAGGGAGACGGGATTATAAGATTTCTTTATTTAACCCTCATTGTTCATGTGTTGCAATCATCTTCCCAGAGTTTTAGCATATCTTTTTACTTTCTTTTGATATCTTATAATGAACGGTTTTTAATTTTAATTTAGTCAAATGTACCAATATTTTCCATTTAAATCTATAACGTTTTGTCTGTTTTTAAAAACTCTCTCTGGAAGATCTAGCCAGAGCAATCAGGCAAGAGAAAGAAATAAAGGGCAACCAAATTGGAAAAGAGGAAGTTAGACTATCTCTGTTTGGTGATGATATGATCATACACCTAGACAACCCTAAAGACTCCTCCAAAAGACTCCTAGATTTGGTAAATGAATTCAGTAAAGTTTCAGGTGACAAAATCAATGTACACAGTAGCATTGTTATACACCAAAAACTATCAAGCTGAGAATTGAATCAAGAATTCCATCTCTTTTACAATAGCTGCAAAAAAAAAAAATTACCCAGGAATATGCTTAACCAAGAAGGTGCCAGATCTCTACAAGGAAAACTACAAAACTCTGCTGAAGAAATCAGAGATGACAGAAACAAATGGAAATACATCCTCTGCTCATGGATTGGAAGAATCAATATCATGAAAATGAACACACTGCCTAAAGCAATCTATAGTTTTTTTTTGTTTGTTTTTTGTTTTTTTTTTTTGAGACAGAGTCTCGCTCTGATGTCCAGGCTGGAGTGCAGTGGCGTGATCTTGGCTCACTGCAGCCTCTGCCTCCCAGATTCAAGCAATTCTCCTGCCTCAGCCTCCCAAGTAGCTGGGACTACAAGCATGTGCCACTATGCCTGGCTAATTTTTATATATTTTTAGTAGAGATGTGGTTTTGCCATGTTGGCCAGGCTGGTCTCAAACTCCTGGCCTCAAGCCATCCTCCCACCTCAGCCTCCCAAAGTGCTAGGATTACAGGCATGAGCCACTGCTCCCGGCCGCAGTCTATAGATTTAATATAATTCTTACCAACATCATTTTTCAAAGAACTAGAAAAAACAATCCGAAAATTAATATGGGACCAAAAAAGAGCCTGAATTGCCACAGCAATCCTAAGCAAAAGTAAGAATTTGGAGTCATTATATTACCTGACCTCAAATTATGCTACAAGGATACAGTTACCAAAACAACATGGTACTGTTATAAAAATAGATACACAGACCAATGGAACAGAATAGAGAACCCAGAAATAAAATCAAATGCTTACAACCAACTGATCTTTGACAAAACATACAAAAACATAAACTGGGGAAAGGACATCCTATTTAATAAATGGTGCTAGAGAAATTGGATAGCCACCTGTAGAAGAATGAAATTGGATCCCTATCTTTTACCATATTCAAAAATTAACTGAAGTTGTATTAAATATTTAAATCTAATACCTGAAACCATAAAAATTCTAGAAGAAAATCTAGGAAAAACACTTTTGGACACTGGTCTAGACAAATAATTTATGACTAAGACCTGAAAAACAAATATAATAAAACAAAAATAAATAAATAGGACCTAATTAAATTAATTACAGTTTCTGCACAGCAAAAGAAATACTCATCAGAGTAAAAAGACAATGCAGAGAATGGGAGAAAATGTTTGCAAATTATACATCTGATAAAGAACTGATATCCAGAATCTACAAGGGACTCAAACAAATCATCAAAAAAAAAAAATCCATTAAAAATGGGCAAATGACATGAATACACATTTCTTAAAAGAAGATATAATACAAATGGCCAAGAAACATGAAATGATGCTCAACATCGCTTATCATCAGGGTGAATGCTAGTCATCACTAATCATTTAATTTGCATCATCTAAATACAAATTAAAACCACAATGAAATATCACCTTACCCAAGCCAAAATGACCATTACTAAAAGAGTCAACAAACAACAGATGTTGGCATGGGTGTGGTGAAATGGAAACACTTATACACTGCTGGTGGGAATGTAAATTATTACAACCTCTATGGAAAACAGGGTGGAAATTTCTCAAGTACCATTCGACCCAGCAATCCCACTGCTGGGTATCTACCCAAAGAAAAAGTAATCACTATATCAAAAAGACACCTGCACAGATATGTTTATCAAAGCACAATTCACAATTGCAAATATATGGAATCAACCTAAATGCCCATCAACTGATGAATGGATAAAGACATATATACTGCAGAATACTACTCAGCCAAAAAAAAAATAAAAAAGAATGAAATAATGTCTTTTGCAGCAACTTGGATGGAACAGGAGGCCATTATTCTAAGTGAAGTAACTCAGGAAACTAAAACAAAAAACTGCATTTTCTCACTTACAAGTGGGGAGCTAAGCTGTGGGTATGCAAAGGCACACAGGCTCAATGTATAATGGACATTGGAGACTCAGAAGGGATGAAGGTGGGAGGAGGATGAGGGATGAAAAACTACCTATTGGGTACAATGCACACTACCCAGGTGATGGGTGCACTAAAATCCCAGACTTCACCACTATACAATTCATCCAGGTAACCAAAAACAGCTTGTACCCCTATAGCTACTGAAATAAAAAAAAATTGTTTTTAAAGAACTCTTTCCTTCCCCTGGGATTATAAAGAGAGTCTCCTTTGGTATTCTATAAATTTATGGTTTTGCCTTTCACATTTAAGTTTTTAATCTTTTTTTGTTTCATGAAAAATAAGATTCCATTTTCACTGTTTCCATCTGGATAATCACTGGACACCACCACATTTGTTGAAAAGGCCATTCTTTCTCTGCTGACTTGCAAAGCCAGCTCTGTCATAACTCAAGTTTTCACACACATGTGGGTGTGTTCCTGGGCTTGATATTTTGTTCTATTTGATTATTTTTCCTGTGCAAATACTACTCAGTCTTAACTGCTACAGATTATTAAGTCTTGATATTTAGTTGGCCAAATCCCCAATCTTGTTTTTCTCGCTTAGTAGTGTTTTGTAATTTTCCTTCTTCATTTTAGAATCACCTTATCAAGTTCCATCAAAAGGAAGCAAAGCCAAAAACTATTGTGACTTTTGCTGGAAAGCATTAAATCTGTAGATTATGCTGGGGGAGAACTGATATGCTTATGTTATTAAATATACCAGTTTATGCACATGACATATGTTTTCATTTATCTTGGTCTGCTTTAACATCTCTCCATCATGTTTTACACCATTTTCATAAAGTTCTTTCTCGTTTTTTGCTAGATTTATTTCTATATAGTTTGTATTTTAATAGTTTAAAAATAATATTTTATTATATGTTATATTTGTCACTGAGGTAGGAGGCGGAACTAGACTCTGGAGGCAGGGTTTGGACACTGGACCAAATTGAAGACTAGCTAAAATAAGTCTGGGGGCTGGGCGGTGGCTCACACCTATAATCCCAGCACTTTGGGAGGCTGAGGCAGGCAGATCACTTGAAGTCAGGAGTTTGAGACCAGCCTGGCCAACATGGTGAAACCCCATCTCTACAAAAATACAAAAATTAGCTGGGCATGATAGCAGGTGCCTGCAATCCCAGCTACTTGGGAGGCTGAGAAAAGAGAATCACTTGAACCCAGGAGGCGGAGGTTGCAGTGAGCTGAGATTGCACCATTGCACTCCAGCCTGGGTGACAGAGCAAGACCCCATCCCAATAACAATAATAATAATAAAATAATAATAAAAAAAGAAACAAGTCTGGGGCAGAAGCACCTCTCTATAAGACACACCCACCAACGTACTGAATCAGCTTACCATTGCCATGGCAACACCCAGAAGTTACTACTGCTTTCCATGGCAACTATTCGACAATCCAGAAGTTACCACCCTCATCTTAGAAATTTCTGCATAAACTGCCCCTTAATTTTCACAAAATTAAAAGTAGGTATAAGTATGAGTGCAGAACTGTCACTGGTCACACCGTCTTTGGGGTGGCCCCACTCTGCAAGGAGCAGTACCTCTACTGCTGCTATATGCTGCCGTTTCAGTAAAAGTTGCTATTTAATACCACCAGCTCACCCCTGAATTCTCTCCTGGGCAAAGCCAAGAACCCTCCCTGGTGAAGCCTCAGTTTTGGAGCTTGCATCATTACTAATGTGCATCATCACTAATGTAATGTAAAACATATGGTTGGTTTCTATATTACTTTTAATAATATAAAATAATCCTGTTCTACTCTCTTATTAATAGTAAAAATATATCTGTGGATTCTTTTGAGTTCTCTATGTAGACAATAATATCATCTGCAAATAATGAGAATTTTGTTCTGTTTCACAATCCTTGTAAACTTTATTTTTCTGGACTCCCTATGTCAGCTGGGATGTCTAATACAATATTGAATAAAATGGCGATAACAGGCTTTAACAGGCTTTAAGTGAAATGTGTTCATGGTAATGTTTCACATATCCTAAAAATAAAGAATTAAAGTCAAAATGGCTGTGGGAGGACCTCAAATGCAATACAACAGACAGTTGAGCCTCATAGTAATACAAATGAAAAACATACCCATACTGAAGAAGGTGGGCTGGGGAGGGAAAAGAACTAACCTAGTAACTTTGGAAAATAGTAACTTGACTGTAAACTCTAAGACAAAAGACTCCACGCATTGCACACAGATCTTGCACTGAGATGGTACATTTGTTTTTCACAGAGGTATGAGTTAGGACTCAAATTATTTTATGTACACAAAGATTGAGAACACAAGTAAATGTAATGTTTATTATGAGTGCTGGGTTTCTCACTGTCAGAGAAAGGAGTGACAAATACAGAAAGAGGGGAAAAGGCCGGAATGAACCCTGGGGTGCTGGATGAACTTGTGTTTTCTGGTATATACAAAGATAGACAGATATAGAAATATCCATGTACCCTTTACACATTTTCAACCCTTCTTTTTCATTATATTAATACACTTTTAAAATATTCTATACCTGTTAAGTATAATATCTGAAATCTTTGTAGACCAGATTTTAGTCATGATTTCCATGACTCTTCCCAATTTCTTTGTTTTCATGAGTGTGTGTGTGTGTATGTGTGTGCGTGCATGCACATAATGATTTTTAAATGTGAGCTCATATTTTTCAGACCTTTATCTGTGGAAGTTCTCAGAAGACTGGGTTAAAGCTGGACCCTTCTGGAGGGTTTATATTTGTATTTGCTGGTTGACTGGGTTCCTTCTCAATCCTGGATCACTTGAATTTAAGTCCCTGGTTTGAGATTTGTTGAATCAACCCAGTAACATAAATTCAGACTCAAAACATGTAGGGTCTAGTTTGTGGTTATGAATTATAGGAATGTACCAAGGTTTGAGATGGGCAAATTTCTTTACTGGGGTGGAAGGGGAGGATACATTTCTGGCTCACCTTCACATTGAAAATTCAGTCCTCTATGGTGCCAGATTTAGGCAGGGGTGAGGGTTGATGTATCCTTATACTCCTCCATTTATCTTTCAGGATAAGTACTGGGCTTTGATTTTTGTACTCATAAGCCTACACACACACACACACACACACACACACACACACACACACTAACACAGGCAAAAAAGGAAGAACACATGCCTTCAACACAAAAGCCAACCTGCCTGCTTTGCTTACCTCTCTGGGTTCCCACTTTCTTTTCGTCTTTGGCTCAGGATTCCTTCACTCTTGCCAGCTCATCCACACAATTTAAAATACATATTTCTATATATTATGCAGAATGTGTAGTTGTTCTTGGCAGAAAGACTGGCGCCATGCTGCCTCTAGCAATGCTAACAAAACCAAATACGTGCTGAGGATTTAACTTATTCCTGGCCTGGGCTTCATGGATGATCTATTCCACAGCAACCCCGTGAGACAGGCAGGATTATTGTTGTTGTTTCACAACCAGTGAGATGGAGCAGAGGCCCCTCTTAGGGGCCTGTGAATCCCCTCTCCTCCAAGCATGGAAATAAAGGAAAATCCTGAGTTCCTTCAAGGAAAGTTCCAGGCAGCTCGCTAGCCCTGAGAAGTAAATGAGCAACTTGATGAGCAAGAAAGTAATAGTAGCCTAAAACGATAGCCAAGAAAGTTAGAATCAGAGGATGTTTGGTTCGCTATAGAAACTAAAGATAAAGTCTTAACATATGTTCTTGAGTTGTTTTTCAGAAACCCAGACCTCCACCAAATGGGGCTGCTAGCACAGAGATCCCAGATGAGGGAGAACTGAGGACCCAACTCTGAGCAGTGTTCTTTGTGTTCTAAATTTCTTCCTGAAGGGACTGGAGGAGGTCACACCCATGAGCCAATGCCAACATTTTTTTCTGCTGATCCCAAATTTTTAGACAAAGCTTTACTTTCTGAGCCAATCACAAGGCAGAAAATCTTTGACTCCATCTGGGACCTGTGGGACCTCAGTTCAAGATGCCCCACCTTTTTAGGTCCAGTTGTTACAGGTAGTTAGACAGGCATGAGCAGGGGCAGGAGAGGGCTCTCCCCCACCCACTAGGCATGTCGGGTGATGGTTCGGCAACAATCACATTGCCTCTCTAAAAGTGATAAATTGGCAGTGGGTGCCAGGGAGAGGCCATTTTCTGATGGTCCACACTTGTTGTACTAAAGTGTTAATTGAATGCAAATGCCAGGGAGAAGCAACTTCCCAGGCGTGTGCATTAAGAGACAAAATGGCATAGCGTGACCTCCCAGGGGCACTCCACTGGCAAAGGGAAGAAAGCCTGAGGTGGGCATGCATACAACTTCCTAAACACACTGCGTGTGCTCCCTTCTCAAGTGCAAGGAGGGCAGTGGGCATGCGGGCAGCCATCCTAAGGGAAGAATCATGGGAAAGTGGCCGGCCTATAAAGCCCTAGGATCAAGGTCAAACACCGCCCTTGTTCTTCAAGTCACCCACTTAGATCTCTCCCAAGTGTACTTTCCTTTCTTTCCTACTCTAAAGCTTTTAAATCAACTTCCACTCCTGCTCTGAAACTTGCCTTGGTCTCTTTTCTGCCTTATGGCCCTCAGTGGAATTCTTTCTTCTGAGGAGGTAAGAACTGAGGTTGTTGCAGACCCATGAGGGATTTGCCGCTGCCGGTAACTTGGACACCTTTTACTGGTAACATATTTGCTGCCATGTGACTCAGATATTTGCCACCAGTAACAAAACCAATGTATAACTTCTGTGTATTGATTTATGGCTTTGGCTGAGGCAGAGGTTACTCTGCTTCCCAGCCTTTAAAAACGCTTACCTGTAAGCCATCTGACAATTCGGGTCTTACGCATTAGCTGCCTGATTCTCCTTGTTTGGCGCCCTGCAAATAAATGCCTTCCTTTCTCCTGCTGCAAACCTCAGTGTGGATGTTTGGGCTTTACTGTATTGCGTGGGGGGACCTCAGTTCAATTTGCTAACACTAGCTTATAAGTACTCATATTTAAATGTTCCATCGTAATATAGTTTAATATAGTAGAATAAAGCTAGATGATGTGATTCTTGGATGTATCAAAGCCAAGAGCTTTCTCTAGTCACAATTATCTTCTAAATAGAACCTACATCAGCACAGGGAGAGAGCTTAAAGATGAGTTAAAATCCTGGCTAAGTACCTCTGAGTGATTTCTTATTGGTTATTAGTGCATCAAAACAAGAATTATTTGACCAGATGGAAAAGCAAGGCACTACCTGAATAAGTAACAAGAAGCAAACATCTCACCTTAGAAGGAAACCAAGGTCCCCTCACAGCTGCCATTGTGAACAGCCTCTAGAGGACTATCCTGCCAAATAGGGAAAATGTCTACTCACTTATGACCCTGGCAAAGTGGAAGATTCAACCTGAAAATTGTCTATTTTTGAGATTGTTTGTCCAGTTAAGTTTCAGTAGAATGCTCAGCATAAATATTTGTGTTTCATCATATTCAGGACATTACTCTTCTTTAAAAGTTAACTTATCACTTTAAAAACAATCCTGGAAAACAAAACAAAAGTAAACAAATATATCCTTGAGAATTGTATAAACTATCAGGAGTAAATAACCCTTTCAGCACACACACTAAATTGAACACTGTGACAGGCATAGCCCGTAGTTATCTTTGTTTCAGGCTACTCTCCATAGAACCTTATTGTAAGAACAAACACTTCAAGCAAAACATAGCACATTGGCTCTGTTTGCTATTCCGATGTCGTTGTGAGTCCAGCTACGATCTGACAAATTTTTACACTTCATGAATAGATTCCCTGGTAAAACTCCTAGGATTTAAACAGTCTCAAAAGCTTCATTGGGATAAAGCTGCTCTTAACTTTTCAGAACTGTGTCACGGGGTAAAATGGGTCTTATTTTTTGGCAGTGATTTATATTTAGTAGAAATTGTAGTTGCCACACACACTTTCGTAGTTCAGTGTACATTTCTATGAGCATAATCTTTATACCATAGCCATCACATATTGGGATGAATATGTTTTAGCACAAGGATAAAACAGTATTTTTAATTCCATCTCTCCCGTATTTTATTTCATGTCACTGTAACAGTCAACACAGCAGAGACTTACTTTCTCATGAAGAAAAGTAATTCATCCATGGAACTTGTCAGGGGAGATAAGAAGCACATATGTGACTGTACCTACTCACGTGTGAAGTTAGAAAGTGACGGACACCACTAAGCACATATATCCTCAAGCCTGCGTTTTCCTGCATTACTTGCATTTGAGTGGAAAGTGGCCACTTAGAAGACCTTTAACTATAGCTAAAGAGCTAGTTCCCGGCCGGGCGCAGTGGCTCACGCCTGTAATCCTAGCATTTTGGGGGGCCGAGGCGGGCGGATTGCCTGAGCTCAGGAGTTCAAGACCACCCTAGGCAACATGGTAAAACCGCATCTCTACTAAAATACAAAAAAATTAGCCAAGTGTGGTGGTGCACGCCTGTAATCCCAGCTATACGGGAGGCTGGGGCAGGAGAACTGCTAGAACCCGGGAGGTGGAGGTTGCAGTGAGCTGAGATCATGCCACTGCATTCCAGACTGGGCGACAGAGTGAAACTCCGTCTCTAAAATAAATAAATAAATAAATAAATAAATAAAGAGCTGGTTCCCTTTACAAAGATGTGGAGCGCCAGCATTTTGAAGAGAGTAAGCCTTAAGATTTTTGACTTAAATGCTTATCTCATTAACAAGGCAAATGAAGTTTAGTTTCAAAGTCATCTGGAACCATTTGAATGATTTAACTCCACATGTTTATCTGCTGTGTGTGCTATATTTTTGGTTATTACATGATATGATGGAGTCACCTGAAATCCTTTTGGGAATAAATCAGAGTATACATCTGCACACACACAAGTTACATGGCACGGTGGCATCTCAATCCAGAAAGGAAAGAAACTTGATGAAGTGCAACTAAAGAAATATTTTTTCCAATTAGATCTCTTAAATTTTGATAAGAGAAATTTTTGAGCCAGGCACAATGGCTCATGCCTATAATCTCAGTGCTCTGGGAGGCCTAGGTTAGAGGATCCCTTGATGTCAGGAGATTCAGGCTACAGTGAGCCATGATCTCACCACTATACTCCAGCCTGGGTGACACAGCAAGACCCTGTCTCCAAAGAAGAAGAAAAAGAAGAAATTGTTTTGATTGTTTTTTTTTTTGTTGTTGTTATTGGTACATAGAGGTCATTTTTCTTTAAATCTTTAAGGACTTTGGCCTTTTTAAAAGAAGTATGCAAAATAATAGTACCTTTAAGAAAACAAAAAGATAGTAAGCAAAATCTGGGTAGCAATATGTGCTGTCTTTGATTCATAAAGAGGATGGCCCTGGACCATCAATAAGATAAATACCATCAATTGCTTTGCCGGGAACAGCGAGGACTGTGCTCTGATGAGCCCCATTCCCCTAACTCCTGTTGTGACCAGTAGCACTAGTTTTTCAGGTGGTCAGCTGAAATTTGGGGCTTTTAGCCACTGCCATATGGGTTGATGTTTTTTTAGGGGATAATTCTTTTTTTTTTTTTTTTTTTTGATGGAGTCTCCCGCTGTCGCCCAGGCTGGAGTGCAGTGGCGTGATCTTGGCTCACTGCAATCTCCACCTCCCGGATTCAAGTGATTCTCCTGCCTCAGCCTCTTGAGCAGCTGGGATTACAGGTGTCTGCCACCATACCTGGCTAATTTTTGCATTTTTAGTAGAGATGGGATTTCACCATGTTGGTCAGGCTGGTCTCGATCTCCTGACCTCGTGATCCACCCACCTCAGCCTCCCAAAGTGCTGGGACAGGGGTTAGTCACCACATCTGGCCTTAAAGCGATAATTCTAATAAAATTAAAGTAATCATTTTGATACCAAAATAGATTATTTGTTTTCAACTAGAAAAATATTTTAAAAATATAGATTATATCCCAACTTATAACCCGAACAGTGACCCACTAACTTATAACTGTATGACTTAAAAAAAAAAAAAGAAAGAAGGAGGAGGAACAGGAAGGGGAAGAGGAAGAGAAAAAGGAGACTGAATGTTGAACACAAATTCACTCTTGTGAAAAGCAGTGTATATGTGTAAAAGATATTGAAGCCATAGAGTTGTAGCAGAGACCCTTAGTTGCCCATAATGCATCTATTGTCTCTTCCTCTCTCTTGTCAGTGGGTCCCAATTTACAGTTTTCATCTAACTATGAGACTATTTGTGCAATCTTCCTTTGCAACAAGAAGATATAAGTAGATGTTTCTTGATGTCCAGGAAGGTCTGCTCCCTGGACATAGTGGAACCAGGATTTCTGATGTTGCTTTGTCCAAATCCCTGATGTCACGGAGCTGCCAATCCAGCTTTGGGGCTGCTTATTTGCGGACTTCTTTTGCATGAGAAAGAAATAAAATTTCCTCTTATTTAAATTGCTATTTGAGAGATTTCTCTTATTTGCAGCAAAACCAAATCCTAACAGTTAAAGCTGCTTAGCACTGTAACTATCATAAAATACTTTCACATTTATTATTTCTCTATAGATTAAAAGTAAACCTATGATATATGTAGAAGAGATATTATTATCTCCACTTTATAGATGAAGAAATGGAGGCTTGGGAAACATAAGTATCGTGTCCAAGGTCAGAAGGCTTATTAGGACAGAAGCAAGTCGAGAATTCATGCCTCTGTCCATAATCTCACTTTCTGCTATTTCGTCAATTCTCTCTGGTCTGCTGGAATTGGCTTACTAGCATCTTCATTGTACAAGTAGTGATTAATATCTATTGACCATTTACTATGTACTAGACATTACTGTAGGTTATTTAGCTGTGTTAATTCAATTAAGATTCACAGTTTCATGAAGTGAATACTATTAATTAGCTCCATTTTATAAGTGGGGGAACTGAAACTAGGTGGGGGAACTGAAAGAGGTGAAATATCTTGAGTTTGACTCGATGATCAATGGCAAGGCTTTGACCTGAAATCAGGCCGACTGATTTCAGAACTGGAGAGCTTCACCTGAGTCCTCTAAGCAGATGACAGAAAATGCAGCATGGCTGATGAACAGTGGAATTTCTCCAGGAGAAAAACTAAACACATACAGTATTATAATCCAAAGTATTGAGAGTATGTATTTGAGAGAACTTCCTTACAGTCAGTGCCAAGAACAAGTACAATTCAGGTATTTTGTAATATTATGTTAATCATTCAGCTGCTTGGTATAAGAGAGAAAAGTAGGGCTCTAAGTTCAATTATCTCTTCTTCCTCCCCCAATTATATGATGTTTTCATCTTTTTGAGTTAATGAAGTTTTTTAGGTCAAGTAGGTGGTAACCTAGGCTATTTGGAGAATAGGGAGATATTTGTAATTCTGAGTTATCCATCCAGAGTTGATCAAATTTTAAAAGTTTAACATTAAATTTAATATATATGTGTATGTATTATATCTAGACAATGCCTGGCATGTAGTAGGTACCCTATAAAAATGGTAGCGATTCTCTAAATTGATCTCTGGATGTTGTACTGTGCACCATCCATCTGTTTGATTAATTGTGTGGTTGCTTAGGCTTCATTCCTCCTTCTTCTGAAAATGCCACCACACCAAACCTGGGTCCACCCAGCCCAGGCGGCAAAGACAAGCACTGATTATAGCAGGATGGCAGTGAGACAAAGCGAGGGGAACTATTATTACCTTTTGGTTATTAGGTTGCTCATATACTTCTCAGGGCTAGCTAGGTGCCTGGAACTTTCCTTGAAGGAACTCAGGATTCTCCTTTATTTCCATGCTTGTGGATGGGGGTGCAGAGGAGGCCCCAGGGGTTCCTGCTCTGTCTCAGTAACAGCAGTTCAATTTTCTATTGAAATCCATTCCTCCTCTTAGTCAATGTGATTCTTCTTCTAGAATTGAACAGGGAGGACTTTTTCAGAGATGAATATATGACCAACAGTTAGTCACCAAGAATTACAGTGAGTGGTTGAAGGATGGGCAGTTAGACCACAGATATTTAGGCCTGTGTAAATACACAGTGACAGAAGCTACAAGGGATTTGGAGGATGGAACTCATTCTCTTGATAAAAGCAAAGTGAGGGTATTTCAATGGGACTGAACATCACGCAGAAATAATGCTGCCATTAAGCATTCAACTTCTAGCAATTTGTATTGGCCTCTCAGTCATTTAAGATTTTCTATAACATGAGTTGTCATAAAGTTTACACATATGATGGACTCATTTTTCCCTTATTTACATTGGGAAAGGTCTTTCTCACTGGAGATAAAGAAACTTTCTCCTGTGTCAACAAAAAGTGTCAAACTCTGTAAAATATTTGAAGAGATTTATTCTGAGCCAAATGTAAGTGACCAATGGACTGTGGCACAGCCTCAGGAGGTCCTGAGAACATGTGCTCAAGGTGGCTAGGCTGCAGCTTGGTTTTATTTATTTTAGGGAGGCATAAGGAACCAACCAATACATGTAAGAAGTACATTGGTTCAGTCTAGAAAAGGGGGAGAACTTGAAGCAGGGGCTTCCAGGTCATAGATAGATTCAAAGGTTTTCTGATTGGCAATTGGTTGAAAGAGTTAAGTTATTGTCTAAAGACCTAGCATCAATAGAAGGGAATATCTGGGTTAAGATAAAGGGTTGTGGAGACCAGGGTTCCCATTATGCAGAGGAAGCCTCCAGGTAGCAGGCTTCAGAGAGAATAGATTGTAAATGTGTCTTATCAGAGATGAGTCTCTCCTGGATCAGGAAAAAGACCTGGAAAGGAACTGAGATTCTCTACAGAATGCAGATTTTCCCCACAAGAGACAGCTTTGCAGGGCCATTTCAAAATATGTCAAAGAAATACACTTTGATTTTTTTCAGGGCCTGCTATCTGTTATGTGATGCCATCCTAGAGTCAGGCTGGAATTTGGTGTCCTATTGCTGCAAAGAGTCTGCTTTGTTAGTCATAAGACCTGTTTTAATGTTAATGCTGGTCAGCTGGGCCTGAATTCCAAAAGGGAGGGGGAGTATCATGAGGCATATCTGACACCCGCTTCCCATCATGGCCTGAACTAGTTTTTCAGGTTAACTTGGGAATGCCCTTGGCCAAGAGGAGAGGTCCATTCAGATGGCTGGGGGTCTTAGAATTTTATTTTTGGTTTACACATACTGTCTCTAGAATACCATCCAGGGAAAAAACCTACATTGACAATGTTGTCATCATGTGTTGGCTATTGGCTTCGGGCTTACTTTCTGCAATAGGCTAGAATTGATCATCAGCAGGACTGAATCCTAATTCTGTTATGAGAATGACATAAAGCTAAATCTACATTCAGAAAGCCTTGCTAAAAAGGTTGTTTGCTTGCTTTCACAGGATGAGATCCAGGCCTCTCAGAACACTCTGGGGGGAATTTTATGCCAGGACTATCTGAAAATTTGCAATTTCAGCAGGCTTTGTAATGTTTACCATTCAAATAACTAGACCCCAGCCTGGTATGACGCATGGTATAGCTGTTGAACAAATGTGGGGGAGGGAGGGAGGAATGAAGGGAACAAGCAAATACCCGACCTGGTTGACATTTCCAACACATACATAATCGTGGTCACATCCTAGAGAGATGTGGGCGAGGGGAAAAAGTTGAGAACCACTGCCTTAAACTTCATTGTCTGTAATCTCTCTATGCACCCTACTGAAACACAATGATTTGTGTGCTAAATTTCTCTGCTTTAGTACGATGTTTCCTTCGTTCTATGGTAGGATTTGTTGCAAGGTGAATTGCATCTGTTGCTAAGGAGATACTCAGGAGTCCTCAAGGTCCAGGCTTCAATAGATGATAGCAAGTGAGTTCTCCTGAAAGCTGAGGGCTAAAGCAAGGCAGGAATGCAAATTCTCCTTGGGGAAAGAGTGGGGCGGGACTACGTTTAGCATAGAGATTGCCTAATAGTTGTGACCAGCTTCACCTGGGAGAATGGGAGTCTAGAAAAAGCAGAGTACTAAGAAAGCAGCAATGCATATTAAAGCTAGGTTTTCAGATTAACTCAGGAGTAGTTATTTAAAAAAGAAAAGGAGAGAGAGGGGCACTGATCTTTTAATCAAGAAAGCAACCTCCCTCCCCAAGTAGCAGATAGACAAGGAAGGTTCCAAGGGTTTGCATACAGTGTGAAATCACAGAGCCTAGAGCCATACATAAGCCTATGGGTTGTTGCCAAGGCCTGAGAGATGTTGCTAAGGATTTCTCTTTTTGAAGCCACAGAGGAGGAAAAGGAGGAATCATAATACTGAAAGATTAGTGAGATGGCTACCAGATTCTGACTTAGACCAGAGATTCTTAAGTGGAAATGTATGCGTCCCCAGGAGGGAGAATCAAAAAGTTTCAGATCCTGTAGCTCATAGAGTGACTTAAAAATCCTTCAATAATTTCCTATTGCTTTAAAAATAAAATCCAAACTCTTTATCACGACCTCCAGGGCTGAGCATGAGCTGGCTCTAAACCTCTTCCCAGCCTCATCTCTCACCTACAGCCTGAATGAAATGAGGCTCACTGTCTGTCTTCTGCCTGACAATTCTGACAAAACCCCACCCCTCCCTCCTTCAAAACTCGTGACTCTTTCTGTGCCATTTCACTCTCACCCTTGGGTCTGGGCTTGTCACTTCTCCCAGGGGATTTCTCTAAACCCTCCTCAAGGTGGCCTCCCTAATTACCTACTTTCTTATCACCCAGCAGTTGTTACACCTGTAATTATTTGGTTTATTCATTGTTCTATCTTTCCCCATTAGAATATTTATTCATTCCAATAGTTATTCATTCAAACTATTTGTATCGAGCCTACCATGTGCCTAGAACAGTGTTTACTTAGGATTTATCAGTGAACAAAACAAAGTTTCTCATACTCAGGGACCTTACCTGAGAGACAGGAGAAATGTATAATAAATAAGTAACACACCTAATATGTCCGATGATGACATTTGCTATGGAAAATGTGAAGCAGGGAAGGTCAGTACAGAGGGCTGGGGGTGGGGGGAGTTGCAATTTGATCAGATTTTGTAACATTTACCACTCTAACAACCAGAGCCCAGCCTGGTGTGAGGCATGGTGTAGCTGTTGCACAAATGTCGGGGAGGGAAGGAGGAAGGAAAAGCAAATTCCCAACCTGGGGACATTTCCACCACATACGTGATCATAGTCACATACTAGAGGAATGTGGGTGAGGGGAAAAAGTTGAGAGCCACTGCCTTAAATTTCATTGTTTGTAGGCTGGGCACAGTGGCTCATGCCTGTAATCCCAGCACTTTGGGAGGCCAAGGAGGGCAGATCACTGGAGGTGAGACCATCCTGGCCAACATGGTGAAACCCTGTCTCTACTAAAAATACAAAAATTAGCTAGGCGTAGTGGCGGGCACCTGCCATCCCAGCTACTTGGGAGGCTGAGGCAGGAGAATCACTTGAACCCGGGAGGCGGAGTTTGCAGTGAGTCGAGATTGTGCCATTGCACTCCAGCCGGGGCGACAAAAGCAAAACTCCGTCTCAATAAACAAACAAACAAACAAACAAACAAAAAAACAAACAAACTTCATTGTTTGTAAACTCACTTCTATGCACCCCACTGAAATACAATGATTTGTGTGCTAAAGTTTCTCTGCTTTTTATGAGGTTTCCTTCGTTATATGCTAGGATTGCTTCCAAGACTCACCAGACAATATGATAGTAAATATTCACATCAAATCTAGGCTGCATTTTGATTTAAGGCATATTAAAATAGAGGAAAATGTTGATCTTCTAATCAAGAAACAATTTTAATTACAGGTAATCAATGGAGAAACCATGATTTTCATTTGGATTTCAGCCAAAGCACTTGCCTTGTAATTCAGCCCCTCAGAAACTCTTGCTGCCTTGCAGGCAGTAAACAGTCCATAGAGGAAAAAGTGCTCATGGAGGGAGAGGCAGGCTTGGATGCTCTATGTGGAAACTCCAGAGGGCTAACAGCAGAGGTTGAAGAGTTCCAAGGCGCTGCTAAGACCGCCTAAGATGCTACATAGGAACCCCACTACTGCAACAAATTTTTCTTGTAGCGGGGAGTTTTAGATATTAATCTCTGAAGAGAAACTTGTACAAGGAGAAATGTCCATTATCGAGAAATTCCAGTGTATTTTGCATTTAAAATGTCCTGTTCCTATTTAAAACTAGTGGATCATCTCCAGAAATGTGTGTGATAAATAAGCCAACAATAACTCTCCCTCCCTGCCAAATGCCACATTAACAATGAAACCATTGATTTGCTCCTAGAACAAGTATGCTTTGTTCACCTGGACGAGAAACAAACTGACTACAGAATGTATTTTCACATGACAATGTTGAAAAATCCAGTGATTATTGCTCAGGGTCAAAACTTGTTATAACAAGCTCTGAGAGAATGCTGTCAGGGTTTGTGTGTCCTACAATTTGGTTGTATTGAATATTGCTTTTAATATGCCATTGCTATTGGCCTGGGAATCGTTCGGTGTAATGGAATTCAGCTTGTAGTTCCTTTAGACTTCTTAATTATTCATGCAAAATAGAGAAGGCTATTAATTATTCAATTAATCCCCCTCTGTGGGAAAATGCTATTTGGATTCTTATTATGCATTTTAGCTACCTAGTTAGACGTAATTAGCCAAATAAATGATAACTTTCGGTTTCCCAGGAACCTTTTATGCATAGTCTTAGTCTCAAGAATAGATTTCTAAATATACTATTATTTACAACAAAATTGCTAAAGTCAGAGTCTAGTAGTGCACTGATAATAAAAAGTGAGTGTGAGGGGAGATACTCTTTTATAGACTATAAAGGCTGAAAAGTCACCCACCTTTATTTATTCCCAGGCTTAGCCAAGCTTCCACATTTTTCCACCTACCCAATCAATCAATAATGCTACAATAATTTAGGAGGTCGTTATAAATCATCTGTAACATGTCCAAACTTTTTATTCCTGAGTAAATACTTGAACTGGGCTCCTGTTGCATGCCATTTCACAATGCTCAAGTTCTGCCTCTCTGAGGACGCTGACAGCTTCTCGCAGGTGCAATCTCACACCTGTGCACGCCTCTTCTTTCTTGCCTTTGGGTGTGATGGCGGCTGCCATGCAGGAGGCACCTTGGAGCACATTCTGGTATTTGCACCTGCATGATCATAACGTGGGGTCCAGCCTCCAATTCCCTGGAGAAGACAGTTCTGAGACATATTTCAAATGGCTCTTCAGAAGATCCAGGCTGGACAGAGCATTGACTGCCTGCCACGGTACCCCATTGGACAACACCTTCTTAATGCAACTTTCCCTCCTTCCCTGTTCTATGCCTCTGTCCCACAATCCTGTCCCTTCAAATAAACAGTCCATTTGTAAGCCTTCATCTCAGGCTCTGCTTCGTGGAGCAACCCAACTGCACACCACTATTTGGCTTATGTCTTTCTGACCAAACAAATATATCATTTTCCCTTCAAAGTCAAAACAGATACAATCAGAATAGAAAACCACTAAGCTAACAAACAGCCTCAGCAAAGTGCTAAGAGTGACTTCAAGAATCAAAAAAGAGGCTGGGCGCGGTGGTTCACGCCTGTAATCCCAGCACTGCGGGAGGCGGACGTGGGCAGATCACGTGGTCAGGAGATCGAGACCATCCTGGCCAACATGATGAAACCCTGTCTCCTCCAAAAATACAAAAATTAGCTGGGCATGGTGGCGGGCGCCTGTAATCCCAGCTACTCGGGAGGCTGAGGCAGGAGAATTGCTTGAACCCGGGAGTCGGAGGTTGCAGTGAGCTGAGATCACTCCACTGCACTCCAACCTGGTGTCAGAGCGAGACCCCGTCTCAAAAAAAAAAAAAAAAAAAAGAAGAAGAAGAAGAAGAAGAAAAAAATCAGAAAAGACGGACCATAGGGGAAGTCCTGGTCCTTTCTTCACCTGGTGAATATGATTGTGCATTTGCCAATCCCAGGCTGTCTGCCAGGGCAGGTACGTGGGGAATGTGAGCTGCTGCAGCCCTGCCACGCTCTCCCAGGCATCTCCACACAGCCAGTAAGTCTAGGACGGGTTGGAGTCTCACCTACAGGGCATGTGATTCTGTATATTGTTACCTTTATTGGATCATACACTCACAACAAAATAATAATTCTCTTCTTACAGTACTTAGAGCAATCATAATGTTTCCTCTGTGTGAGGTCCTGCCTGGCTGAGTCACCTACGCCAGACGGTGGCGAGTAACCCTTCAGACGTCATGTTTCTCCCAGCTTTCTTCACCAGCAAGAGTTATTTTGGCCAACCAGCCATCATTGGTCCCTGCCAGGAGGTCTGTAAGGCGGTCCTTGGGTGGGGCTGGGCCGACCCCGCAGGACCTCCCTGCAGGCCCTTCCCTCGTGAGCCAGCAGATGGTGCTGAGGCAGCACGGGACCCAGGACTGGGGCGGCCACGCACTTCCCAGGGAGCGAGGGTGAAATGCGATTCCTCCTTAGACGCTAAGCAGGGAGTGAATTGTGTAATCCTTAGTATTTCACACTTAAAATCTCCAGGGAATTTGTCTTGAACTAATTTCCAGCATTATTCATCCCAAAAGTTCAAAACCATTTCAAGGTTCTTGGATAACCTATGAAGCCAGAGGCCTTGTCTTGTTTACCCTTGTATGCCTGAGACCTAGCATGAGGCCTGGCACTTAGTAGGAGCTCTAGAAATGCTTCTGAAATGAACAAAGCATCTGCATAGATTCAGAAGGGCAAAAGTGGCTTGTTCAAAGCCACAGCCACAACCTTTAACCTGCCCTGGGCTTAAACCCAGTACTTCCGAAGTCCTGTCTGCTACTGTACCCTATCTGCCTGCAGTTTTCAGAAGAGCTGAATTATTGTCTTTATTATAGTTTATGAACATTTTTAAAGTTTTTCCTACATATGAATTTAACATATAAACCAGTGAGAAATTTGGATTCCATGTACAGAGAAATTCACTTTACAGGGATGTCTGTTTATTAATACATATGTGCCATATTTAATTGAAAGGGACAACTTCACATTAAGGTTCAAAAACTTCAATGTCTTTCTATTTAAAACTTCAGTATGGTATCATTATGCACAGGAGGAGAATTGCCTGATGGTAAAACTTCACTTCTCCAACAGCAGTGAAGATACAATAAGCCAATTCAATTTTTGTAGACCTCAGTGTATTTTTAGAAAATGTTAACCATTTTGAATCGGTAGCTTTCTTAAATGTGGCATGTATTTCTCATCAAGAAAAACGTGGAATAGAATTAAACTGATTCGTTATGGCTGAGCATCCTTTCTGTGTAGTGACAACCTTTGGGGCTACAGAGGCCATGTTTGACACCCTGTTTGCTCTACCCTATTGTCTCAATCCTGTTTTGATAAATAAACAACTCTGGGCTGCCTTATTGTTTCTGTTGCTTGTTTCTGCTTGCGTAGGTTTCTTTTTCTTCTCTTCAGCATCATGCTGTCTGCTCTTCTCCCCACTGTCTCTTTTTCATGTCCCTATGTCCAGTGCCCTTCACTGACAGTCAACCAAAGCCACACACAGCAAACCACTCCTAATCCACTGTGGTTTGTTTATAAGATGCAAATATTGGTAAAACTAGAAGAAGAGTAACATCTAAAACTGAGTGTCTTGCATTAAAACACAGTGCGAGAAATGTTGATAAGATTGTTAGCATGCCATACGTGATCTTTGAGACTTGGACTCGGATTACCTATTTTTGGAGCTCACAGGCTTTTTATTATATTTCCCTTTTTTTAATAGGAGGGTAGGATGGGGAGGGGGAAGGGTTAGGGGTCAAGAAGGGAGAAGGAGGCTAACTGTGTTTTATGTAGTGAGAATGCTGATGAACAACTTCCAGCTCTGTGAAGTTTTCATTTTTCTTGTTTATTGTGATTAATGTGCTTTACTTGTCCATTTAGCTGGTTTTTAAAAGTTTCATGTAAATATTTTTATTTTCATTTTATTATTTTTTAAAATAAATTTTATTGTGTATATTGGAGGTTTACAATTGGATATGGGATACATATAAATAGTAAATTGGTTACTAGAGAGAAACAAATTAACATAACTATCATCTCACATAGTTACAATATTTGTGTGCCAAGAGCAGCTAAAATCTACTTATTTAACAAAACTCTCTAATACAACGTACTTTTATTACCTATAGTCCTCATGTTACACATTAGATCTCTACCCTTGTCCATCCCACGTATCTGCTATTTTGTATCCTTTGACCTACATCTCCCAATTTCCTCCCACTGGTTACCACTGTTTTGTTCTCTATCTCTGCATATATGACCTTTCTGTTTTCTTAGATTCCACATATAAGTGAGATCATGCAATATTTTTCTTTCTCTGTCTGGCTTATTTCACTTCACATAATATCCTCCAGGTTCAACCATGTTGTGGCAAATGGCAGGATCTCCTTCTTTCTAAGGCTGAATTATTCTGTTGTGCGTGTGTTGGAATATTACAGTTTCTTTATCCATTCATCCGTTGACAGTTAGGTTGTTTTCATACCTTGACTGTTGTGAATAATGCTGTAGTGAACATAAGAGTGCAGGTATCTCTACTAGCGGGTGATTTAATCTCCTTTTAGTATAGGATTACTAGGTCATATGGTATGGTAGTTCTATTTTTAATTTCTTTAGAAACCTCCATACTGTTTTCCATAGTGGCTGCAGCAATCTACATTCCCACTAACAATGCATAAGTGTTCCCTTTTCTCCAACCCTCCCAACACTCTCTCCATTTGTTACCTCTTGTTTTTTTGATAATAGCCATCCTAAAGGGTGTGGGGTGGTATCTCATAGTGGTTTCAATTTGCGTTTTTTTTCTTGTTTTATTTATTTATTTATTTTGTTTGTTTGTTTTTCTGAGACAGGGTCTCACTCTGTTGCCCAGGGTGGAGTGCAGTGGTGCGATCATAGCTCACTGCAAACTCCCAGGCTCAAGCAATCCTGTTCTATCCTGCTATATTGCCCAGGCTGATCTCGAACTTCTGGGCTCAAGTGATCCTCCTGTCTCAGCCTCCTCAGTGACATGCGCCACTGTCAGGGCACTATTTCTGAATCAGGTTATTTGTTTTCTACTATTGAGTTTGATTTCTGATCGATTTTGGATATGAACCCCTTATCAGATGCATGGTGTCCAAATATATTCTATCATTCCATAGATTGTCTCTTCACCCTGTTGATTGTTTCCTTTGCTGTACAGAAGTTTTTTAAATTTTGATGACATCGCATTTATTCGTTTTTGCTTTTGTAGCCTGAGCTTTTGGTGTATTGTCAAAACAACAACAACAACAAACAAAACCTTTGCCAATGTCAATATCAAGGAGATTTTCCCCTATGTTCTCTTCTGGGAAATTTGTGGTTTCTTGTCCTATATTTAGGGTTTTTTTTTTTAACTTTGAGTTGATTTTTTTATGTAGTATAAGATAAGAGTCCAATTTCATTCTTTTGCATGTAAAAATCCAGTTTTTCCAGCACCACTCATTTATTTTTTAATTTTTAATTTTTTTAACTTTTATTTTAGGTTCAGGAATACATGTGCATGTTTGTTACATAGGTAAATTGCATGTCACAGGGGTTTGTTGTAAAATTATTTTGCCTATACAGGTAGTAAGCATAGTACCTGATAGGTAATTTTTTGATCCTCACCCTCCTACCTCTTTCCACCCTAAAGTAGCCCTTGGTGTGTGTTGTTCCATTCTTTGTGTCCATGTGTACTCAATGTTTAGCTCCAACTTATAAGTGAGAACATGCAGTATTCACTTTTCTGTTCCTGTGTTAGTTCACTAAGGATAACGGCCTCCAGCTCCATTCACGTTGCTGCAAAAAACAGAATTTCATCTTTTTTATGGCTGTGTAGTAGCCCATGGTATATATGTACCACATTTTTTTTATCCAGTCTACTATTGATGGGCTTTTACGCTGATTCCATGTCTTTGCTATTGTGAATAGCCTAGTATCTTCATTTATTGAAGAGACTATCCTTTTCCCATTGAGTCCTCATTTACCTGACTTTTAACTTTAGTAAGCTCTTGCCTAAATATTTTGGAAGTTCAGCACACCAGTGGTAAAGACAGTTTAAACAACAGTAGTGGACTGTGTGTTTTAAGGACTTAAGGAAAATAAAATCTCACAATTTTTAAATAAAAGAAGCCATGCCATAAATACTTGCCACGGTCCTGGAGAAAAGCCAGTATTTCAGGGGTAGCTATCACTGGAAACTGTAATTTTAGAAAAGGGGCTGAGAATCAAGGGTGCTGGTAGAGGACAGGATGTTCTAAATGTGCCCATACTTTCAGGAATGATGAGCAAATATATGGCCAGACTCCAGACGCCGTTTTTTTCTGAGAAGGACTTCTATTTGTTTGAAGACCTATTTGGCTGTTCAGTAATTACTAGCCTTTTTATCTTAATTTTGGAAGCACACTAGTCTTTCTTTTTATGGGACATGTCACATCCCTGGCTTAATTGCAAAAATTTCCATTTTAAAAAGCCCTATTGTTAACAATATTATTCAGCCAAACATGTTGAACTGAATATTGTCTATACTGCTCTCAATTTTGAAAACTCCAGGGTATATAAAAATCTTTAAGAAAACATAATTTCAATGTGATGCACTTAGCTTCTCTGGTTTTAAATTCTCTGGTCCTCCTCCAGCATCTTCTTTGGCTCTTTGTGGGGTTGGCATCTTAGAGCTTCTTCCTCCCCCAGCCCCAGAAGCAGAGGCTCTCTAAGGCCCGGCCTCTGGCTCTCTGCCGTTTCCACCCACAGGCTCTTTGGAAGCACCCTTTCATGCTCTCGACTCCACCAAGGGTGCGTGCACGAAACTCCCAAGTGGACATTGAGTGCCAGCCATTGTCTCTCAACATCCCTTCAAGGTCAGTTCTCCCAGCCTCCCAGCCACTCAGCCTCAACATCTGGAATAACTGTTGACTCTGTTAACTTTTTCCATAGACTTGGCATGTCAGTTTAAAAACTCACATTAATTTTCTGTTCAAAACGTCTCTAAATCTCATCCCTTTTTGTCCTCCTCTGCTACACCCACGACCATCTCCGCCCAACCCTATAAGTTTCTGGATAATTGTGCCTGACTTCTAAATGGTTTCTCTGACTTTAGTTTTCTCCTCCTTTAATCCCACTTGCATACAACCTGTAGACTAATTTTAAAAATATACTACTTTAATTATATTGCTTCCCTACTTAAAAATCCCCATTGGTTCCCTTTTCACTTCCAGCCATGAATATAAATTCCTCGGCCTGCCCTGCCAGGCTGTTGTTATTAGCCAGGTATAGGCTCCAGGATCAGCAGACACAGTTTCGTATCCAGCTCCAGCACTTACTATGTGTAAAATAGGGACAATCGTACTTGCCTCAGAGGATTTTGTGAAAATTAAATACCATTTGCAATGTCAAGAACAGAACCTGGAAGGTGATAAATGCAAAAGAAACACGAGCCATTTCCCACTCAACTTATTTCTTGATGAGATTGACAACAGTTGCTTTACTGACACTGGGGCAAACTAGGCACTTGTGAAATGTTCTTGGTGAGTGGAGATATGAGCTAGGAATATTGTTCTGAGGGAGTGTTGAGATGGCACAGTTTCAGAGATGATGAGTTCTGCATTAAGACAGTGGCCATGTTTAGCAGAGATGGCAGGGAATGGGGAGGTCACTGGTGAGGATGACTGTGATCTAGGATGACAAGGCTGCTATCCCTCTAATCCAGGGCTTAGTGTGCACATTACTAAAGGCAGGTAGACCAGATGTCATGAGCCTTTTGAACTAATGCAATGTGAGTTCTGCACCATTGCCAATCAAATATTCTAGCCCCAGATTCTTAAGTTGGATCTGTTAAACCTTTAGCTATAATGTCCAGTTTATAGGAAACACAGATGTGGCAACCACACAATGCACAGCTCAAATGTGCTGGTTGTGTAGAGTGAGGTTCACCAAGCTGGATCCGCACCTGCATGGCTGGCTGCTCCCCAGTCAATAACTGGTTATGCCTGTGCATCTGGTGCAGGCCCATTCCTGTCAAATGTGCAGTTCCTCTGGGTGGAGCTTTCTTAGAAGTGCACTGCAGTCTGTGATTGCCCTTCGCAATGCCTTCCTCCTCCTTCTCTCTTATGGGTTCTGACAGCTCACCACACCACCTTTCCCTGCTCTTTCTCATTTATGAGTCAAAGGCATTTACCTCCATAAATATTCTGTGCATCTAATCCCATCTTGGTGCCTACTTCTTAGAGGACTAGAACTAACACAAATGGTACCAGGAGCTGTCCAAGAAAACAGACCACAATGATTCTGCTGAGATGTTGGAAATATCAAATAAAAAAAAAATTGTTGAAAAGAAAATAGACCACATGATGGGATTTGAGAACTGGCTCATTTACCTCTCCGTAAGCAAAGAATGCCATTCTGAGTGTTATGTGAGACAGAGGAGGTTGTCTCTGGCCCGAAGAGGGGCCCAATTGCTAAGGATTTTACTGGTCGTACCTGGGAAAAGTTCCAGAAAGGAGAACACTTTTGCAGGTGAAATTCTTTAGGCATTTGAAAGGCATTGGGGGTCTATGAAGATGGCAGAGTTGACTGGCTACTGCTGAGTTGTATTGCTGTCCTGTGGAGGGACAGTGAGAGACCAAGAGCCATTAGCAAGCTAAGTGTGAGAGGCAGAGCTCTCTTTTGTAGCTTACAAAGATGCCCTTATCTCCTGCAGCACAAGAGTGGACACAGCTGTGCAACAGATGCAGGCCCCGATTTAGAGTCACAAAGCTCCAGAGATGCTTATATGCTCAGCCAGTCTGTTCTGCTGAGGGCAGAGCCAATAGTACACTGGACCTAGCTCTTTTTTAGCTCACAAGAGCCAATTAATCATTAGTGCCTCTTCAGAACTCCTCATTCAATGACATTATAATTGATAGCTTGAAGTCAGCTGTGGTGTGATATTTGCACCGTAGAAATCAGCAAATACTGTATGATTCAGAGGTTTTCTTCATCCCTCTTTTTGAAGAGCTGCTTGTTAAACACTTAGAAGCATACCACTGGCTGGGGCCTTGGCTGGGAAATCCTGAGATCCTGCAACATGGGATGGGGATGTGCAGACATAAAGTCCAGAAAATGTGGGTTCTGTAGACCTGCCTGCACTGTCAGAACCTGCTAAGATTGCCCACCCTCCCTAGGAAGAGGGTGGGAAGAACTGGGCTTCCTCATGCTTAAATGTGCTGCAGAGGCTTCTCTGCAAAGCCATGGAGGCTGCTTCCACCTCCTCCCCTGGCTGCCAAGCTGATAAGGGTAGGGGTTAAATCTCAGCATAACCTACCTGGGGATGCAACTGGCTCTAATAAGGCAAGAAAGCCAATGTGCATGGAAGGGGCTGCAAACATCACCTACATGCCCTGACAGGGGCCAGAGGCCACCCCTGGTATTGAATTTTGAGAGTGCTTGATCAAGGGACATAGATTATATAACTGGATAAGCAAAAATGTATTGGTTTGGGGGACACTTTCTAGGAATACAAGATTTAACACCCTGGCAAGAATCTCAGGGAGGGTTGCTAGATAACATTAAAATGTTTCATATGGTATTGGGGGACACATTTATGCTAAAAAGTATCTGTTGCTTATCTGAAATTTTAATTGAACTGGGCATCTTGTAATTTTATTTGCTAGATCTGGCAACACTAATCTTAAGAGATGGGCAAACTTGCCTCTAAGGGGGTTCTTTGAAGCCCAGAGAAAGTGATGACCAACACTAAGTGAAGGGGAAATGTCTGGGGTGTCCTGCCAGAAGGCGTAAGAAAACACAAAGGGGCCGACACAAGCGGGCATGCTGGAACACAACACGTAAAGCCAGAAGACCCCCCCAGAGGATGATGTTCCACAAGAGGGCCTCAAGGACACCCCATCCATTAAGGCCATGGGCCTTGGTGAGAGGGGCAACAGCATCGCTAGGAAGTTCAGTGGCAGCTCCTCTACAGGCTAGGATGGTGGTGGGAGAGGCGAGCAGAGAGCTGAGCTCATTAACATCCGTGTGTATGATGGAGCCCTAAAGTAGCAAAAGCTGGGTGGTGGCCTTGTAGCCATAGGCTGCAAGTCCCCTAATAACCAATGAGAAACTGCGAAGGGAAATTCTGGAGGTGTTCCCATAAGACAACAAGGAGGCCAGGCACAGTGGCTCATGCCTGTAATCCCAGCACTTTGGGAGGCTGAGGCGGGAGGATTTCTTGAGCCCAGAAGTTCAAGCACAGCCTGGGTGACATAGTGAGACCTCATCTCTACAAAATATCAAAAAATTAGCTGGTGTGGTGGTGCACACCTGTAGTCTTGGCTACTTGGGAGGCTGAGACAGGAGGACCACTTAAGCCCAGGAGATTGAGGCTGCAGCAGCCTGGGTGACAGAGCGAGATCCTGTCTCAAAAAGATAAAAGACAGCAAGGAAACCCAGAATTTCCACTTTCATTTATTCTCATAAATGTGGTTACAAAGACATGAACAAGGGTAACGATTGCAGCATTTTTTCTAATAGTAAAACAATGGAAAAGGCCTAAAGATCTTGGACTACTTAAGTAAATTGTGCCTTCAATCCTAGAATGGACACATGATAGTCGAGAAGATATTCACAATGGAGTGTTAAGTGAAAATCACAGGTAGCGAGACAGTGTTAAATGAGCGTATTCACTTTGAGATAATTTGTCAAGCTGATTTGCGTACTTTTCTTATACGTATATTATACTTTTTAAAAAGTTTGTTGATAAACTGAAAATATGAACGCATGCCCTCATTTTATGAAAGCAAGCATGCATATGAGCACGCACAGGTGTGTGAATCATTACATAGTCACAGGTATGTTTGTATTTGTCCTCATGTGTATGTATTAGTGTAAAGATGTAACTATCAGCCTGTGTGTGTGTATGTACACATGTGCCCAGATGTTCATGTGCCTCTGCCACGTACATGCACATATATGTGCAGGCAGCTGAGGGAACACTCCACTCCATCCCTCTCTTCCTCCCATGACTTTCCTGTGCCTTCTGGAACTCCCACTCAGGAGTCAACATGTGAAAGCGTGAAGGGTGGTTGAGGGGTTGAATTGTGGGGTGAAAAAGATATTTACTTCCAAATGTATTCTCGATTTGAGTTTTTGGCCACTTTTTTCCCTTTTCCATTTACAAGTTAAATTTTATAAACCTCAAAAAATAGAATAGAGAGCTGTGGTCAGGAAGTGGCATTGGAGAATAAAGAGAGGCACAGATTCTCCCTCCCAACCTTGATAAACAGAGTTTGAAGGTAGAAGTGGCTTCTGCCTGAGACAACTGAAGGGGGTCACTGCCTGCAGGGGTTAGACAGGTTTCAATTCAGGCAAAGTGGTAGAGGGAATGTTCAGAAAAGGGTTGGAGGAATTTGCTGATCCCTGAGTGGGAGTCCCAGAAAGCACAGGAAAGTCATGGTGGGGAAAGGGGAATGGAGTGGAGTGTTCATTCACCAGGAAGGATATGCAGAGTAGCGTAGGGATGAGAATGCCGAGAAAGCAGATGACTGTAAGGAGTAAGCTTGCAGATTGAAAGAATCTGAATGGGAGTGTTTAATTGTGATAGCTACTTGAAGGAGGGTTTAGAAGTGAGACCCAATTAGGAAGGGTCCCTGTGTACACTGCTGTCACCTACAGCAAGCATGTGGCTACCTTTGACAGCAGTGAGCAAACAAGCATGAGGTCAAGTCCTTCTTTGGGGTGTGTGGGGAAGATGCATTGGGGCTGGCCATGGAATGGCAGTGACCTAGGCAAGTCCATCCAGTCTCTCTGTTGGATCAACATGCCACCTAATCATGGGGTCACCCTTCTTCAGGACCTCACGCTTTCTTTGCTTTAGGGATGGGGTGACGGGTGGGGTATGTGATCTCCATGCTCTAGTGGGCATAGAATGGTAGGCAATAAGATGGCCTTGTAATGGAGAGGACCCCAAAGGTCATAGAGGAACTGTGAAGTCTAGATGACACATTTTAGGCCCTGGTAAGAGCTTTGGCTCTTACTCTGTGAGTGACATGAACTGTTGTATTTTTAAAGGATTATTCTAAGCCCATTGGACAGCAACTCTCCATTTCTCTCTCTCTACCAGCCTCTGGCAACCACCATTCTGTGAGTCGATAAATTTGGCTATTTTCAGTACCTTACCTAAGTGGTATTATGTAGTATTTGTCCTACTGTCACTGCCTTCTTTTACTTGGCATAATGCCCTGAAGTTTCTTCCATGTTGTCACATATGGTAGGATTTCCTTCTTTTTTTAGTTTGAATAATATTCCATTTTATGTATACACCATATTTTCTTATCCATTCATCCACAGATGGACATTTCAATTGTTTCCACAAATTGGCTACTGTGAATAGTGTTGCAATGTGTATGGGAGTGCTAATATCTCTTTGAGATCCTGATTTCAATTCTTTCGGATAAATACCCAGAAGTGGGATTACTGGATCTTATGGTAGTATGGTAGTTTAATTTTTTGAGAAATTGCCATACTGTTTTCTACAACAGTTACACTATTTTGCATTCTAACCAACATTGTACAAAGGTTCCCTTTTCTCCACATCCTTGAAAACACAGATCTGCTATAAAACATTGTCCCTATAATTACCAACTCTCTAATGTACACTTAAAAATTTGCTGGGAGGCTTAGACAGGTGGATCACAAGATCAGGAGATCAATACCATCCTGGCTAACACGATGAAACCCTGTCTCTACCAAAAATACAAAAATTAGCCAGGCGTGGTGGCAGGTGCCTGTAGTCCCAGCTACTCAGGAGGCTGAGGCAGGAGAATGGCGTGAACGCGGGAGGCGGAGCTTGCAGTGAACCGAGATTGCACCACTGCACTCCAGCCTAGGTGACACAGCGAGACTCTGTCTCAAAAAAAAAAAAAATAAAAATAAAAAATAATAATAAATTGTTAAAAGATTAGATCTCATGTTGTGTTCTTACCAAAATAAACTTTTTTTAAACAAAATCAATCATTTTAGTTATTATATTGGGAATATGCAAAGAAGGAGGTAAAGAAGAAAAAAGACCATTTAGAAATCTATTCAAGGGTTTTCAAAAAAGATGATTGGCTTTGACCAGGGTGATGGGAATTCATATGGTGATAAGTGTTAGGATTCTGGAGATATTATGATGTAGATACAGACAATTGGATTTCATGACAGACTGTGACTTATGATAGTTTGCCCGAGTGACTGGAAGGGTGGAGTTGCCATCAACAGATGGGATCATCAACAAAGATAGGGAAGGCACTGGAGCAACAGGTTTGGAGAGAGATCAGGAGTTCCATGTAGAACAAGACAAATTTGAGAAGTCAACAGACCTTTCAAATGTCAGGAAGAGTTCAGGTTTGAGTTCTAACTTTAAGATACACATTAGGAGTTATTGGTATAAGTGGTACTTAAAGCCAGGTGAGTTAATGGAATTCCAAAAGAGTTATTATAGATAGAGAAGAGGATCAGTAATGAGTCTTGGATGGGGTGATCAATGGTACCGGTTTGCTTGTGATGGAGGGATTTCTGGGACATAGGACTTTAAGTTTGAAAACTGGGAAAGTCCTAAACAGACTGGTCACCCTAGTTCTAGAGTACTTCAGTTGATTAGAGATCCCTCACCTGCAGCAGATATTGAGCTGGAAAGGGCAATTGGAGACAGCTACTTTGGATTTCTGGAACGTGATTGATCACATAGCAACTAGGGGAGTGCTTGATAAAGGGAGAGGCAACTGATTATTTTTAAGTGAGCAGTGTGCATGAACCAGAGATGGTGGCAAATTCCTTAGCCCTGCTGTGAATGTGAGTTAGGAGCATGTGTTTCTGGAGTGGCTATCTGGACCCAGAGTGGGAAGCAGATAACTTGTCTTCCAAAGATACGAGGTTGTGCTTTTGGATTGGTTTGGTAGTGCCTTTAGAGACCAGTACAAATGCTTGCCTTGATTTTGGCACTCTTGCAGCAGCAACTTCCTCCAGCAGCATCTTTCAGGAAAGTTAAAGAGACAAGACAATATTTTTTTTGGAGCCAGACATTCAGGGAAATCTTTGTTAGTTGACCAAAGAGATAAAGGAACACAAATGTCTGTGTTCACACACAATGAGAAATACATGCTTTGCAAAAATAGTTTGGAAAAGTCACAAATGAATGTTTCCAGCCCTCAACAAGCAAAAATCAGCAATCTGTGAGGAGTGGGAAAATCAAATTTCCAGAGTTACCATATTTTAATACTCCAGAAGTGCAGTCTCAACAAAAAATCAGAAAACATACCAAGAAACAGGAAATTATAGCCCATCCACAGGAAAAAACAATTTGACAGAAGTTATTTCTAAAGAATATTAGACATTGGAATAACTAGTTAAATATATCAAGCCAACTGTCTTAAATATGTTGAAAGAGCTAAGAAAAAAAAAAAGCCATGGACAAAGAACAAAGGAAATCAGAAAGCAATGTATGAACAAAAAGGGTCTGTCAAGAAAGAGATACAAATTGTAAAAAAGTACCCAAATAGAAATTGTAGGGGTGAAAAGTACAATAACTGAAATTAGAATTTTACTAGAGACATTCAATAGCAACGTGAACAGTCAGAAGAAAGAATAAAAAAAATTGAAGATAAAAAAATTAAAATTATCCAACCTGACGAATGGAAAAAATGAAGAAAAATGAATGTATCCTAATGAACTTGAGGAAAGGAATCAAGCATAATAACATATGGACCATAGAAGTCCAAGGGGAAGAAAAGAAAATGAAGCAAAAAAAACTTTTTGAAGAAACAATGGCTTAAAATTTCTCAAATCCACTGAAGATGAAAATACACAAACCAAGAATCCAAATAGGATAAACTCAAAGAAATCCAAACCCAGAAACATAATAGCCAAATTGTCAAAATCCAAAAATAAAGATAGAATTTCGAAAGCAGAAAGAAGTGACTCATTATATACCAGATGTCCTCAGTACAATTAACAGCTGGTTTTTCATCAGAAATCATGAAGTCTAGAAGGCGCTGAGATAACAAAGTCTTAAAATAAAAGACAAAACTGTCAACCAAGAATTCTATATCAAGCAAAACTATCACTCAGGGATGAAGGAGAACTTAAGACATTCCCAGATTAAAAAAAAAAAAATGCTGAGGGAGTTTGTTACCAGAAGACCTACCATACAAGAAATGTTAAAGGGAGCACTTCAGGCTGAAATAAAAAGACACTAGGTAGTAACTGGAAGCCATAAGAAACAAAGAAGAACACTAGTAAAGGTAACCATAAATATAAGTAGAAAAGCCAATATTAACATAATTTTGGTTTGAAACCCCTCCTTTTTTTCTATACGATTTAAAAGGTAAAGGCATAAAGCGATAATTATAAATTGAAGTTAACAGGCACAAAATATAAAAAGATGTATTCTGTGGCAATAATAATATAAATGGGTAGGAACAAAGATGTATGGAAATAGGGTATTTGTATACTATTGAAATTAAGTTGGTGTCATTTAAATTAGGTTGTTATAAGTTTAAGGTGTTAATTGTAATACTAAGGCTACCACTAAGAACATAAATATTTAAGGGAATCAAAATGATATACTACAAATGTTAAACTAAGTGTTAAAAAGGCAGTAATTCATGAATTGAGGGACAAAAACATAAACATACAGAAAAGAAGAAGCTAAATGGAAGAAGTAATTCATTTCTTATCAATAATTACTTAAATGTAAATGGATTAAATTGTCTAATCAAATGGCAGAAATTGGAAGATTGGATAAATAACACATGATCAATTTATGTTGTCTAAAAGAGACTCACTTAAGATACAAAACACAAAGAGTTTAAAAGTGAAAAGATGGAAAAAGATAATCTCTGCAAATTGTAAACAAAAGACAAGTGAGTCAGCCAAAATAAACTTAAAGTTAAAAATGTTTACAAGAGACAAAGAAGGACATTACATTTTGATAAAAGTCTCAAGCCAGCAAGAAAATATAATTATAAACATATATACATTTAACAACAGAACCCCCAAATATAGCAAGCTACAATAATTGTTGGAGGTTTAATAGTTGAAGGTTAATAATCAGAACTAGACAGAATATTTACAAAAAAATTAGAGAACTTGAACAAGACTGTAAAACAATTAGAACTAACAAACATACTGAACACTCCACCAAAACCAGTAGAATACACATTCTTCACTAATGTACATGGAACATTTCCTAGAATGGACCATAGGTAAGCCCACATAATAAGTCTCAAGACATATTAAAATATTTTTGAAACAATACTAAATATCTTCTCTGAACACAATGCCATGAGCTAAAAATCAGTAACAGAAGAAAGGCTGGAAGATTTACAAATATATGAAAATTAAATAACACAATTTTGAACAACCAATAGGTCAGAGGAAAACTCACAAAGGAAATTGTGAAATACCCTGAGAAACATAAAAGCAAATGCCATTTTTTATGGGATGCAGTGAAAGCAGTGCTCAGAGAAAAATTCACAGCTGTAAATGTCTACATTAAAAAAGAAGAAAAATATCAAACAACCTAATTATTTCAAAAGGAAATAGAAAAAGAAGAGCAAACTAAATTCATTTCTAGCGGAAGGAAAGAAATAAAAAAAATTAGTGTGTAGCTAAATCAAATATCGAATATAAAAACAATAGAGAAAATTAATAAAACAAAGCTTTTCTTTGAAGATATCAATAAAAATAGACAAAATTTCTGCTGGATTGACTAAGAAAACAGAGAGAAGATTCCTATTGCTCAAATTAGACATAAATATGGTGACATTACTACCAATTTTACAGAAACAAATGGCTTAAAAGAGAATACTATGAACAACTGCATGATAACAAGTTGGATAATCTAGATAAAATGGATAAACTCCTAGACACACACAAACTAGCAAACTAACTTAAGAAGAAATAGAAAATCTGAACAGATCTATAACTATTAAGGAGATTGAATAAGTAGTCAAAAACCTCCAAACAAAGAAATGCCCACAAAAGATAGTTTCACCAAGAAATTCTACCATTTAAAGAAGAGATGGCCGGGAGCAGTGGCTCACGCCTGTTAATTGCAGCACTTTGGGAAGCCGAAGCTAGTGGATTATCTGAGCTCAGGAGTTTGAGATTAGCCTGGCCAACATGGTGAAACCCCTTGTCTAGTAAAAATATAAAAATTAGCCGGAGGTGTCAGTACACGCCTGAAATCCCATCTACTCGGGAGGCTGAGGTGGAGAATCACTTGAACCCAGGAGGCAGAGGCTTCAGTGAGCTGAGATCGCACCACTGCACTTCAGCCTGGGTGACAGAGCAAGACTCCTCTCAAAAAAAAAAAAAAAGAATCAGAAGAAGAAGAGAGAAACATTCCTCTCAAACTTTTCCAAAAAATAGAAAAAAACCCTCTTCCTAATTCATTCTATGAGGCAAGCATTACCTTCACATCAAGGGCAAAGACACCACCAACTACGAAAAACCAAAAAATGGCTGGGCATGGTCTCTCAAACTTTTCCAAAAAATAGAAAAAAACCCTCTTCCTAATTCATTCTATGAGGCAAGCATTACCTTCACATCAAGGGCAAAGACACCACCAACTACGAAAAACCAAAAAATGGCTGGGCATGGTAACTCATGCCTGTAATCCCAGCACTTTGCAAGGCTGAAATTGAAGGACTGCTTGAGCCCAGGGAGTTCAAGACCAGCCTGGGCAGCAGAGCAAGACCGTGTCTCCCCCCCAAAAAATAAAAACTTACCTGGGAATGGTGGCACACACCTATAGTTCCAGCTACTTGGGAGGCTGAGGTGGAAGGGTCACTTGAGCCCAGAAGTTTGAAGCTTCTGTGAGCTATGATCATATCAATGTACTCCAGCCTGGGTAACAGAGTGAGAACTAGTCTCTAAAAAACTACAGGTCAACACTTCTTATGAATATAGACATTATCAATAAAGTACTAGCAGCCTGAATTCAGCAGTACATTAAAAGGATTGCATATAATGGCCAAGGGTATTTAGTCTCAGAATGCAAGAATTGTTCAAGATAAAATCAATCAATGCAACATAGCATGTTAAGGAAAAAAAACATAATAATATAAATAGGTACAAAAAAATTGGACAAAATGTAACACCCTCTCATGATAAAAACAGTAAACTAGGAATCGAAAGGAATTTCATCAATATCATGTGTAAATCTCACAGCTAATGGTGAGCCAATTCAATGGTGAGTGAATGAAAATGGGTTGGGGGCATCCGTGTCAGAAAGGAAGAAATAAAATATCTATCTTTACAGATGATACGAAGTTAAAAAAAAAAAAACAAAAAACTATTAGAGTTAAATGAACTCAGCAAAGTTACAGGGTACAGAATCAATACTCAAAAATCTGTTGTATTTCTAAACACTAGCAATTAACAATTTTAAAAGGAAATTAAGAAAACCATTTCACTTACAATAAGCATCAAAAAGAATAAAATACCCGGGGGTAAATTTAACCAACGAGACAGATAAAAACATTAAAAACTCTTGTGTGGGCCGGGCGCAGTGGCTCATGCCTGTAATCTCAGCACTTTCGTAGGCTGAGACGGGCGGGTCGCGAGGTCAGGAGATGGAGACCATCCTGGCTAACATGGTGAAACCCCGTCTCTACTAAAAACACAAAAAAATTAGCAGGGCGTGGTGGCGGGCGCCTGTAGTCCCAGCTACTCGGGAGGCTGAGGCAGGAGAATGACGTGAACTCGGGAGGCAGAGCTTGCAGTGAGCCGAGATCGCGCCACTGCACTCCAGCCTGGACTACAGAGTGAGACTCTGTCTCAAAAAACAAAACAAAACAAAACAAAACTAACCCAAAAAAACACAAAACACAAAACGCAAACACACACACACACACGTGTGTGTTAAAAACACTGAAAACACTGCTGATTGGCCGGGAACGGTGGCTCATGCCTGCAATTCCAGCACTTTGGAAGGCTGAGGAAGGCGGATCACCGAGGTCAGGAGTTCAAGACCAGCCTGGCCAACATGGCAAAACCCTTCTCTAATAAAAATACAAAAATTATCTGGGCATAGTGGCGTGTGCCTGTAGTCCTAGCTACTCGGAGGCTGAGGCAGGAGAATCACTTGAACCTGGAAGGCAGAGGTTGCAGTGAGCCCAGATCATGCCACTGAACTCCATCTTGGGTGACAGAGCAGGACTCTGTCTCAAAAACCAAACCAAACCAAACCAAAACAAAACCACTGCTGGTAGAAATTAAAGAAGAGTTAAATGGATGGAAAGAAATCCTATATTCATGGATTAGAAGACCAATCCATGATCAATAAGCACATGAAATGATGCTCAACATCATTAGTGATCAAGATGATGTAAATCCAACCAAGATGATGTAAATCCAAACCACATGAGATACCACATCATACTCATAATGATGACTTTTTTTAAAATAGGAAATAACAAATGTTAGCCAGCATATAGAGAGATGGGAAGCCTCATGCATTATTGGTGGAAATATAATATGGTGCAGTGCTATGAAAAACAATCTGTTCGTTCCTCAAAAAGTTAAAGATGGAATTATTATATAATCTGCAATTCCAGTTCTATGAAAATACATTAAAAATTGAAAACATGGACTTGAACAGATATTGCACAACACATATAAGTTAATCATGGAATTATCATATAATCCAGTAATTCCACTCCTAGGTAAATACATAAAAGAATTAAAAACTGTACTTGAACAGATATTGCACACCACATAGCAGCATTATTTACAATACCTAAAAGGTGGAAGCAATAAAAGCCTATTGGTGAATGAATGAATATACAAAATCTGGTATATACATATAATGGAATATTATTCAATCATGAAAAGGAATGAGGTTCTGATGCATACTATGACATGGATGAACTTTGAAAATACAATGCCATGTATGATTCCACTTATATGAGGAGTCTAGAATATGTAAATTCATAGAGACAGAAGGTAGAATAGAGGTTACTAGGGGCTGTTTGGAGAGAGGATTGGGGAGTTATTGTTAACTGGATACATACTTTCTCTTTGAGATTATGAAAAAGTTTGAAAATAATAGTGATAATTACACAACATTAGGAATGTACTTAATGTCACTGAATTGTAAACATAAAATAATCAATATGATAAATTTTATTTTGTGTATATTTTACCACAATTAAAAAGTTACCAAACAAACGAACAGCTACATCCCACAGCCGGCAGAAAAACAAACCCTGAAGAGCTGAAGCATAAGATTTCCAGAGTTATTACATTATAATATTCAGAATAGCCAATTTTCTGTAAAAATTATGAAGCATGCAAAGGAACAAGAAAATATGGCCCTTTCACAGAAGAAATTTGCAGAAATTTTACATGAAGAAGTACAGATGTTGGATTCACTAGACAAAGACAAATCAACTGTCTTACATATGCTCAAGGAGCTAAAGGAGAACAGAAGAGTTATTCATGAGCAAATAGTGAAAATTAATGAGGAGAAAGAAGTTACAAACAAGAGCTAAACAGAAATTCGCAGCCAGAAAAGTACAATAACTGAAATAAAATTCACTAAAGGGTTTCAATGGAAAATATAAGCAGAAGAAATAAAGAATCAGAGAACTTGAAGATAGGCTAATTGAAACTTATGCAGCCTGAGGTACAGAAGGAGAAAGAATAAAGAAAAATGAATGAAGACTAAGAGGTCTGTGGAACACAATCAAGCATGCCAATATACTCACAATTCCAGAATTAAAGGAGAGAAAGGAGCAGAAAGAATATTTGTAGATGTACTGGCGGCTAAATCTTATGAAAGAAAGAAAACTACACATTTCCCAAATCTTATGAAAAAAATAAAACTACACATTCAAGAAACTTGATGAAATTCAATTAAAAAACACAGAGATCCTTGACAAGATACATCACAACCAAATTACTAGAAGCCAAAAATAAAGAGACAATCTTGAAAGCAGCAGGAGAGAAGTGACTCCTCATGTACAAGTGATCCTCAACAAGGAAAACAGCCAATTTCTCATCAGAAACCATGGAGACCAGACACAAATGGGGTGACATTTTTGAAGTCAAGGAAAACAAAATGTCAGTGAAGAATTCCATATCCAGAAAACCTTTGCTTCAAATATGGAAAAATTCAGACTTTTCCAGATAAATAAAATCTGAGGGAATTAATTGCTAATATACTTTCACTACAAGAAATTCTACAGGAAACCCTTTAGGCTGAAATGAAAGGAAACTAGACATTAACCCAAAGGCATATGAGAAAATGAAAAACCTCCATAAAGGAACTACATAGGCAAATGTAAAAGTCAGTATTATTGTATTTTTGTTTTGTGTCTGCATTTTAAAATTTCCTCTGTGATTTAAAAATAGCACATGAAATAATAATTACAAACTGTGTTTATTGGCACACAATATATAAGGATGTAATTTGTGACAATAACAACATAAATGGGAATGGAGCTTTATAGGAGTAGACTTTTTATATGCCATTGAATCTAAGTTGGTATAAATTCAAATTATATTGTTATAACTTACTAATGTAAATTAAAATACTAGAGAAACCACTAAGAAAATATCTAAAATTTATATGCGAAATTAAGTAAGAATGGTATACTACAAAAAAGAAATTAAACACAGAAAAAGCAATAATGAAGGAAATTAGTAATAAAAAGGTATAAGCCATAGAAAACAAATCATAAAATGGCAGAAGTAAGTGCTTTCTTATCTGTAATTACTATGAAAGTAAATAAATTAAGCATTACAATCAAAAGGCAAATATTAGCAGAATGGATTTTAAAAACCGTAGTTTAATTACGTTATCTACAAGAAATTCACATTAGATGCAAATAAACAAATAGGTTAAAAGTGAAAGGGTAGAGAAAAGATATTTCATACAAATGTTAACTAAATGACAGCTGGGATGGCTATGCTAATACATAATACAGGGTTTGAGTAAAATAGCTGCTGAAAGTGACAGAGAAGAACACTAATATTGGTAAAGGGTCCTTTCATCAAGAAGATATAACAATTGTAAACATATATGTCACACAGAAAAGAGTCTAAAAAAGACACTGCTCTTTCCCATCTTGCAAGATGGCAGGTGAAAAAGTTGAGAAGCCAGATACTAAAGAGAAGAAACCCGAAGCCAAGAAGGTTGATGCTGGTGGCAAGGTGAAAAAGGGTAACCTCAAAGCTAAAAAGCCCAAGAAGGGGAAGCCCCATTGCAGCCGCAACCCTGTCCTTGTCAGAGGAATTGGCAGGTATTCCCGATCTGCCATGTATTCCAGAAAGGCCATGTAGAAGAGGAAGTACTCAGCCGCTAAATCCAAGGTTGAAAAGAAAAAGAAGGAGAAGGTTCTTGCAGCTGTTACAAAACCAGTTGGTGGTGACAAGAACGGCGGTACCCGGGTGGTTAAACTTCGCAAAATGCCTAGATAGTATCCTACTGAAGATGTGCCTCGAAAGCTGTTGAGCCACGGCAAAAAACCCTTCAGTCAGCACGTGAGAAAACTGCGAGCCAGCATTACCCCCGGGACCATTCTGATCATCCTCACTGGACGCCACAGGGGCAAGAGGGTGGTTTTCCTGAAGCAGCTGGCTAGTGGCTTATTACTTGTGACTGGACCTCTGGTCCTCAATCGAGTTCCTCTACGAAGAACACACCAGAAATTTGTCATTGCCACCTCAACCAAAATCGATATCAGCAATGTAAAAATCCCAAAACATCTTACTGATGCTTACTTCAAGAAGAAGAAGCTGCGGAAGCCCAGACACCAGGAAGGTGAGATCTTCGACACAGAAAAAGAGAAATATGAGATTACGGAGCAGCGCAAGATTGATCAGAAAGCTGTGGACTCACAAATTTTACCAAAAATCAAAGCTATTCCTCAGCTCCAGGGCTACCTGCGATCTGTGTTTGCTCTGACGAATGGAATTTATCCTCACAAATTGGTGTTCTAAATGTCTTAAGAACCTAATTAAATAGCTGACTACAAAAAAAAAAAAAAAAAAAAAAAGACACTGACAGGATTGAGGGGGAAGTAGACAGTTTCACAGTAATACCTGGAGACCTCAATATCTCACTTTCAATGGTAAATAGAACATATAGACAGAAGATACATGAGAAAATAGAGAACATGGAACAACACTATAACTATCTCAGCCTCATATACAGAACACTCCACGCAATAGCAAACTACACATTCCTTTCAAATGCACATGGAACATTCCCCGGGATAGACTATATATAAGGCCAAAAACTCAGTTACAATAAATTTTTTAAAATTGGAATTATACACAATTTCCCTCCAAAAACAATGGAATGAGCCAGATCACTGCTAGAAATAAACTGGAAAATTCACAAGTACAGGCATGTCTCAGAGATATCGGGGACTCTGTTCCAGACCACCACAATAAAGTGAGTCACATAAGTTTTTTGGTCTCCCAGTGCATGTAAAAGTCATGTTTGTATTATACTGTAGACTATTACGTGTACAGTAGTATTATGTCTTTTAAAAAGTACCTGTTTTAATTTAAAAGTACTTTGTTGCTAAAAAAGTTAATGATCATCTGAGCCTTCAGCAAGTCATAATCTCTTTGCGTGCGGAGGGTCTTGCCTTGATGTTGGTGGCTGCTGACTGATCAAGTTGGTGGTTGCTAAAGGCTAGGGTGGCTATGGCAATTTCTTAAAATAAAAAACAATGAAGTTTACTGCATCAATTGGCTCTTCCCTTCATGAAAGATTTCTCTGTAGCTGTGATGCTGTTTAATAGCATTTTACCCACAGTAGGACTTCTTTCAAAATTGGAACAAGTCCTCTCAAACCCTACCAGTGCTTTATTAACTAAGTTTATGAAATATTCTAAATCCTTTGTTGCTGTTTCAATAGTGTTCACAGAATCTTCATCAGGAGTAGTTTCCATCTTAAGAAACCATCTTCTTTGCTCATCCACGAGAAGCAGATTCTCATCCATTTAAGTTTTCCCATGATATTTCAGCAATTCAGTGACATCTTCAGGCTCCACTTCTAATTCTAGCTCCCTTGTTATTTATACCACATCTGCAACTACGTCTTCCACTGAAGTCTCGAACCCCTCAAAGTTATTCATTAGGGTTGTAATAAACTTCTTTCAAACTCCTGTTAGTGTTAATATTTTGACCTCTTTCCATGAATGCTCTTAATGGCATCCAGGATGGTAAATCCTTCCAGAAGGTTTTCAATTTACTTTGCCCAGATCCATCAGAGGAATCACTACTCATGGCAGCTACTGCCTTACAAAACATACTTCTTAAATAATAAAACTTGAAAGTTGAACGTACTCCTTGATCAATGGATTTCAGATTGGATGTATATTAGCAGGCATGAAAACAGTGTTAATCTCCTTGTACATCTCATCAGAGTTCTTGGGTGATCAGGTGTATTGTCAATGAGCAGCAATATTTTAAAATAATTTTATTTTTCTGAGAAGTAGTTCTCAACAGTGAGAGTAAAATATTCAGTAAACCATGCTATAAACAGATGTGCTAACATTCATGCTTGCTGTTTCATTTATAGAACACAAACAAAGTAGATTTGGTGTAATTCTTAAGGGTCTTAGGATTTTGGAAATGGCAAATGAACAATGACATCGACTTAAAGTCATCAGCTACCATTAGACCCTAGCAAGATATTCAGCCTATCCTTTGAAGCTTTGAAGCCAGGCATTGATTTCTCCTCTCTAGCTGTGAAAGTCCTAGATGCCATCTTCTTTCAATAGAAGGCTATTTTTTCTACACTGAAAACCTGTGATTTAGTGTAGCCACTTTCATCAATGATTTTAGCTAGATCTTCTGTATAACTTGCTGCTGCTTCTCCATTAGCACTTCCTGCTTCACCTTGTACTTTTGGGTTATGGAAATGGATTCTTCCCTTAACTCTCGTGAGTCAACCTCTGCCAGCTCCAAACTTTTCTTCTGCAGCATCCTTACCTCTCTCAGCCTTCATAGAATTGACACATTAGGGCCTTGCTCTGGATTAAGCTTTGGCTTAAGGGAATATTGTGGCTGATTTGATCTTCTATCTAGATCACTAAAACTTTCTTCATATCAGCAGTAAGGCTGTTTTGCTTTCTTACCATTTGTGTGTTCACCGGAGTAGCGCTTTTAATGTCCTTCAATAACTTTTTCTTTACATTCACAACTTGGCTAACTGGCACAAGAGGCCTAACTTTTGACCTGTTTCAGCTTTTGACATGCCTTCTTCATTAAGCTTTATTATTTCTAGCTTTTAATTTAAATTGAGAAACATATGACTCTTCCTTTCACTTGAATACATAGAGGTCATTGCAGTGGTATTAATTGGCCTAATTGCAATATTATTGTGTCTCAAGAAATAGGGCAGCCAAGGAGAAGAAGAGAGATGGAGGAATGGCTGGTTGGTGGAGCAGTCAGAGTGCACACATTTATTAATCAGGTTTGTCATTTTATAAGGGCACGGTTTATGGCACCCCAAAACAATTACAATAGTAACATCAGAGATCACTGATTATATATATTATGATAATAATGAAAAAGTTTGAAATATTGCAAGAATTACCAAAGTGAAACACAGAGACAGGAAGTAAGCATATGATCTTGGAAAAATGGTGCCTGTAGACTTGCTCAATAGAGGGTTGCCACAAACCTTCAACTTGTAAAAAAGAAAAAAAATGCAATATCTGTGAAGCATGATAAAGCAAAAAGCAATAAAACAAGAACATATGCATGTATGTGGAGTTCAAAAACACACTCTCAACCAATGGGTCAAAGACTAAATCACAAGGGAAATTACCGAATACCTTAAGATGAATGAAAATAAAAGCACAATATACTAAAGCTTATGTGATACAGTGAAAATAGTCCTGGGAGAGAAATTTATAGCTGTAAATGCCTACATTATAAAGAAGAAAGATCTCAAATCAATAACTTCACTTACCCTTGAAGAACTAAAAAAGAAGAGAAAAGTAAATTCAAAGCCAGTAGAAGAAAAGAATAATAAAGATTAGAGTAGAATTAATATAAATAGAGATGAGAAAATCAGTAGAAAAAATCAACAAAAACAAAAGTTCATTTTTTGAATATGTAAAAAACATTGACAAACTTCTTAGCTAGACTAAGAAAAAAGAGAGAGAGTACTTAAATAGCAAAAAATGGAATTGAATTGGAGACTTTGTTACCAACCTTCAGCAACACAAATAATTATAAGAGAATATTATGAACAATTGTAGTCCAACAAGTTTAATAACCTACATGAAGTAGACAAACCCCTAGGAACATAAAAACTACCAAACTGACTCAAGAAGAAATAGAAAATCTGAAAAGACCTATAATGAATAAGGAGATTGAATCAATAATCAAAAGCCTTCCAACAAAAGGAGCTTAGGACCAGATGGCTTCACTAGCGAATTTTACCTAACATTTAAAGAAAAATTTAAATCAATCCTTCTCAAACTCTTCCAGAATATAGAACAAGAGGGAATACTTCGTAACTCATTTTAGGAGGCCAGTATTAACCTCATGTCACAAGCAGACAAAAACACTTCAAGAAAAAAAATTTAAGCCAATATCCATTATTATTATGCATGCAAAAATCCTCAACAAAATACTAGCAATCTAAATTCAATATAATATTAATGGGATTATATACCATGAATAAGTGGAGTTATACCCAGAATGGATTTATACTCAATAGGCAAACATGGTTTAACATAAGAAAAACAGTAATATAACATACCATATTAATAGAATAAAGGGGAAAACACATAATAATCTCAATGGATATAGAAGAAGTATTTTTTAAGTTCACCATCCTTTCATGATTAAAAACACTCAGGAAAATAAGAATAGAAGGGAACATCCTCAAAATGCTAAAAGGCACTTATGGTATCCCCATAGCTTACTGGTGGTACTTGAAGGTGAAAGGTTGAAAACTTTTCTCCTAAGATCAGGAACAAGAAATATATTCTCGCTTCCACCACTACTTTCAGCATTATACCAAAGTTCCAGCCAGGGCAATTAGGCAAAGTAAAGAAGTAAAATTCTTCCAAAGTAGAAGAAAGAAGTAAAACTATCCCTATTTGCAGATGACATGATCCCATATATAGAAAACCTCAAAAACACACACAGCAAAGAACTACTAAAGCTATTAAACAAATTCAGCAAAGTTAGAGGGCACAAGAGCAACATGCAAAAATCAGTTGTATTTCTTTTTCCCAGCAATGAACAATCTGAAAAAGTAAATTGAGAAAATTTAACTAAAGAGGCAAAAGATTTAAACACCTAAATTAAAGAAATTAAACACCTAAATAAATGAAAAGATATCTCTTTTGATGGATAGTAAGACATTATTAAGATGCCCATACTATCCAAAGCAATCTATAGATTCAATGGAATCTCTATTTAAATTCCAATGACTTTCTTTCCAGAAATGCAAAAGCCAATTTTCAAATTCATATAAAATTGAAGGGGTTCTATATTGCCAAAATAATCTAGAAGAAAGGAGAACAAATTTAGGGGACTTACACTTCCTGATTTCAAAACTACAAATCTACAGTAATCAAAACAGTGTCGTATTGGCATAAAAAGAGACATATAAGCCAATGGGCTAGAGTAGAGTGTCCAAACATAAACCCTCACATATATGGTCAATTGATTTTCAACAAGCATGCCAAGAACATCCAATGGGGAAAGAGTAATCTCTTTAACAGACCGGACGTGCACGTACAAAAGAATGAAGTTTGACCCTTATCTGACACCATATACAAAAATTAACTAAAAATTGGTCAATGACCTAAAACTATAAAACTCTTAGAAAAAATATAGTGACATTGAATTTGGAAATGAGTTCTGGATATGAAACCAAAAACATGGGCAATAAAAATAAATAAATTGGACATCATCAAAATGTTAAAAATCTTTGTACATTAAAGGACATTATCAAGAAAATGAAAATGAAAAATGACCTACAGAATGAGATAAAGTATTTGTAAATTACATTCCAGATAAGGGTTTAATATCTAGAATATATAAATAATTCTTATACCTCAACATCAACAACAAAAAACCCAACTCAATTAAAAAAATCAGCTAAGGAATTGAATAGAAAGTTCTCCAAATAAGATGTACAAATGCTCAACAAGCACATGAAAAGAACCTCAACACCACTGGTCTTTAGGTAAATGCAAACCCAAACCATAATGAGGTATCGTGTCACACCCTGTAGGAAGGCTATAATGAAAAAAATTTTTTAAGGGAAAATAACAAGTGTTGGCCAAAATGTGGAGAAATTGCAACCTACTCATACTATTGTTGGAAATATAAAATGGTTCAGCCACTGTGGAAAACAGTTTGGCAGTTCCTCAAAAAGTTAAACAGAATTACCATATGACTTAGTAATTATATTCCCAGATACATACTCATACTGGAAACAGAAGTTTAAATGAATTCCTATACATGAATGTTCATAGCAGCATCATTCACAATAACCAAAATGTGGAAATAACCCAGTGTCCTTCAATGGATGAACATATAAAGAACATGTGATAGGCAAGGCGCGCTGGCTCACGCCTGTAATCCCAGCAATTTGGGAGGCCAGGCAGGAGGATCACTTGAGACCAGGAGTTCACGACCAGACTAGCCAACATAGTGGGACCCCATCTCTACAAAAAATAAAATAAGATATAATTAGCCAGGTGTGATGGTGCATGCCCGTAGTCCCAGCTACTAGAAAGACTGAGGCAGGAGGATCACTTGAGCTCAGGAGGTGGAGGCTGCAGTGATCTGTGATCACACCACTGCACTCCAGCCTGGGTGATGGAGGGAGACCCCATCTCAAAAAAACCGAAAAACAAAAGCATGTAATATATCTATACAGTGGCATGTTATTCAGCTATAAAAAGGAAAACAAATACTAATAACATGCTACAATGTAGATGAATTTTGAAAACATGCTAGATGAAAGAAGCATTCACACTAGGCCACATATTGCATAATTTCATTTATATGAAATATTCAGGATAGGTAAGTTCACTGAGACAGAAAGCTGATTAGTGGTTATTAGAGGCTGGGAGGTTGGGAAAATGGGAAGGACTTCTTCAATGAGCATGGAGTTTTATTTTTTGGTGATGAAAGTGTTTTTGGAACTAGATAGATGTGGCGGTAGCACAATATTGAAAATTTACTAAATGCTACTGAATGACCCACTTTAAAATGATTAATTTTATGTTACATGGAATTTTACTTGTATAAAAATAAAGAACAGTGAGAGAATAGGACAAGAGAGACTGGAGGCAGTGAATTCAGACAGTTTTTAAAGGAGTTTTGCTGTAGATGGGAGTGGAGAAATGAAGCTGTAGCTGGTAGAAGTGGAGTAAATAGTAGGTTTTGCTTTATTTTCAGATGGGAGAAAAAATATTTAAAATGACTCTTTGCTCATGAGAATTATGTACAAGAAAGCCGATGACAAAGGGGCAGGAGGAAAGAATCGCTGGGAAGACATCCTTGAGTAAGTGAGAGGGGGTGGTGCCTGTTCCAATATTTACCCTTCACAATATCTGAAAGGGGATTACAAAGTGAGACAACCTTAGGCAAGCAAAAAGATTAACCAAACTTAACCTGCACTGTATAACAAACCCAAAGAGATAAGTACCATGAAGTACATAAAATGTGTGAGTATAGCCCTGTTGTTCTGATGTTACTTGTTCCTGCTGCCTTGAGTGCTGCTAAACTCTCAGTCCAATGCGGGTGGGGAAACAGCTGAAAAGGACCTTTGTTTCCCGTTCCTGGTTCCACAGGTTATAGGTCTACTTGTTGATCTCACACTGGTTGACATCTACCTCATGCTAATCCACAACTGGACAGTTACTATCTTTCTTCTTTTAAATTTTTATTTGGTGTACAAAGAGTTAGCATGGTTGCTTTCATTGGGTGGATTCCTTGGATAATCCATTCAGAGAAGATCACTTAGTCCAACTTAATGAAATCCACATCCTTTGCACACTGATGGAGATACTGGCCACACATAAAAATAGGAACACTCACAAATGTGCGCATCATCCTTGCATAGGGACCATACTAATCTTCTCTGAGTAGGTCCAATTTTAGTATATGTATGGCCAAAGCCAGCACTGGTTACCATCTCTTAGTACAAACTGTGTTCTGTGTCTTATTTGAGTTATTTAAATTTAAGTCTTCAAAGTTCAGATGCCTTTAGTCCCAGCTATATAGAGTTTATCATGGAACTTCCGTTACTATTGTTTTTCAGTTCTTGTAGCATTTTACACATCACGTTATATGTACAACTCTAGAGATGGGACTTTATCTGAATATGAATGCCCTCTGCAGATGCCTTTTGCAAAATACTGCTGTCACTGAATTATTTCCACAGAATGTTTCCTCAGCCAGATTGGGAAGTTGTGTGTGTGTCTGTGGGGTGAGGGCGGGGTCCAGTTCTCATCCTTTCTGAGGTTACCAGGGTGTCACCCACCAGGTTCAGTGCCATCTTGAAGATTCCCCCTGCCTTCAGTGTCTCAGATGTTCTTTCACCGTGTCTGTTTCCTGTATCTCTCTAACACATGCCTCTTGACTATGAAAATTAAGTTAGAAAACTCTCTATTTAGAGTTTCATGAGAATTTACTGGGTTTGTGCCTTTACATGGGGGTTTTACCTGCAGACTCGCAGAAGAGCTTGTCCTGGGGCAGACCACTCTTCATCATTTTCTAGGGATGATTCTGAGCATGATCTCTCCTCAGGAGCCAAAAGGTGCTTAGTTACTGCCTTCTTAGACATTGAGAGGCATTGGAATTTAATCAGCAATGAATGATTCCAAACTACTTACTGCGATGATGTCCACTGAAAACCACAATTACTATCTCTATGAAGTAATTTTTTTCTCCATTGTATATGTTATCGACTGGGTGGGTGCAATGACTCATGCCTGTAATCCCAGAACTTTGGGAGCCTGGGGTGGGTGGATCACTTGAGCCCAGGAGCTGAAGACCAGCCTGGTCAAAATGGTGAAACCCCATTTCTACAAAAAATACAAAAATTAGCCGGACATAGTGGCATGTGCCTGTGGTCTCAGCTACCCAGGAGGCTGAGATGGGAGGATCGCTTGAGTCCAGCAGGTTGAGACTTCAGTGAGCCGTGATTGCACCACTGTACTCCTGCCTGTGCAACAGAGTGAGACACTGTCTCAAAAAAATTACAATTAAAATTAATAAAAGTACATGTTATCGACATGGCAATAGAGGTAGCACAGAAAGTTGTTTTTTTTTTTTAACTGAAGAAGGTATACATCTTCACACAGAGAAAAAACTAAAATTGGAATGCATACATTTTTCCCCATTTTTCTTCTCAATTTTTTTAAAAATAGAGGCAGGGTCTCACTATGTTGCCCAGGCTGGAACTCCTGGGTTGAAGCTACCCTCCCACCCTGACCTCCCAAAATGTTGGGATCACAGGTGTGAGTCACCACGCCAGCTCTGGAATACATTCCATAATTTAGTATATTTCTGGAATTCAGTCTTCTTCATTGTATGGAAGCGAAAATATCTTATGTTTCTAAGTTTAACAAAGGTAAGATAATGACCAAATTCTAGTAAGAATCTGAATATCTTTCTTCTAATTAGTTGTGTCATTAAAATTTTGCTTGGAATCAAAATAAATTTTCTTTTTAGTCTTTACATGGCTCATAAGAAAATTCCCTGTGATTCAACAAGAGTATGGAGATTAGTTCTGATTATACACTGAAGATCCTATACAAGATTTAATCACAAAACTAATTAGAAAGTTAATTAACAAATCATTATTAACCCCACATGAAAGACAACTGAAAATAACTCTTGCTTTCCATTGTGACTAAAGTTTAGAGTTTCCTAGTCATTGGTTAGTTTTTCTAATCTGATTGCAGAAACCAAAAATAAATGCAAAAATTGAATGTTAGTACAGTATTCAAAGAGGATATTGTTTTAGGACAAATACAACTGTGGGTCAACAGTCTAGTGATTTGTGATCATTCACATTTAATATTAAATATTCATGTTAAAATTCTGCAGGTTTTATTTAGAGGTAGGCTGAATAACTCCACTTCATTCAATTATTTTTCTCATATGACAGAGAAAAGAATCTAAATCTATTACAAAGTTACAAGCCCAAAGCCCTACCCAATGAATTAAGAGCTAAGGTACACCAGTCATGGCACTGAGCTTGTCTTAGTCCCATTAAGTGGTTGTCCCTGGATGGGCATATGCGGAGCACGCTGACGGATCTTCAGGGTTCACAAAATGGGCTCTGAAACTTTCATTTTAACTTGATCATCCTCTACTTTTTTTATTTTTTGAAATTCCCATTATATTAAAAATTTTTAATTGCTATAATAATTGCACATACTAATGGGAGACATAGTGATGTTGCAATACATGAAATGTATAGTGGTCAGAAAAAGTAATTAGCATATCCATAGTCTCAAACATTTATCTTCCTTAGGATACATTCAGTTATCCTCCTTCTAGCTATTTTACATTATTGTTAACTATAGTTATCCTACAGTGTTTAATTCCTATTTTTGACCTTAGTTTATCTTCTATTCTCTTTTCTGCATAACCAAAACAGCTTGATAGGCTAATTTTCTGCATTTCCAGATCTTGACCTTTGGTTTGTTTTAGTTGGAATACAAGTCTGCTATAACAAAAGCCAAAACACCAGTGGCTTCAACAAGATAGGGCTGTATTTCTACTTTATATAACAGTGTGAGTGTGAACAGCCCAGAGCTGATACTGTGCCTCTGTGGCATTGAGGACCTAGATTCCTTGCTGTTATCCTGTTCTCAACTAATGACTTCCATCTTGTGTTCTGCTAGCTCCTGCTTCTGTCTACTTTCCTGCCTGTGGGAGGGGGAACACCTCTCCCCTTTAGACACACAACTCAGAAGTTGCACACGTCACAGGGACACATGTTTTGTTGGCTAGAATTTAGTTGCAAGGCCACATAGAGTGGCAAGGGAACTAGGAAATGGAGTTTTTGACTGGGTAGCCATGGGCTCGTCTTAAATTGGGGGTACAGGAAGAAAGAGAGAATGGACAAAGGGAAACACTGGCAGTCTCAGCTACAGATTCTGTTTCCTGGTTTATTAGCAAATATCCCTTGAGGGTGGTGTCTCCATGACCGAACGTTTCCATGTTAAGTGGCTGTTTGAGCCCAGCTCTGGGGATTTCATGCATCCGGATATGGCCTTCACATACAGCCTGTGGCAGGTCTAGCCAGGCCCAACAGGTATAGTCTGGACACAGAATTTAGTACTGTATCTCTGATATAAAGGCATGGTCTAATCATGCAGAATATCCTAACATCTTCACTGACATTTTGATCTTGGACATTTAGATATTGCTTCAGGATAAATGTGTGATAGTTTTGCTCTTGAGGACGCAGTGAAGCAAACATCTTTTGGCAAGCCTGCTTTGCCGGAGAATTACATCATGAGCTCTTGGGGGCCAAGAGAACAGAGAAAGGAATGGAGACCCCACAAAGTGGGCTCGATGGAGATTGTTTGGGTCACTGAATGGAAATGTACAAGCGGTTGTCCAGGAACCGACTGCTTCAGGGGCTTCCTGCCACTTGGAGTGTGCTGAGAGCAGGTGGGCAGCTGCCAGTTTAATTTTTGGTTGAGTGGGAACATTTGGGGCATTGGAAAGGTTACAAAGTCCTTTCATGAGGGCTCTGAGGTCACCTCATTCCAAAAGTGCTTGGTCTTTGCCGAGCAGTAAATCTTGAACAGTTCCCGAAAATGTAGGAATGACAAGCCATGGACCTTTTAATAAAATTAAACATAGCTATCATATAAACTTTTATTCTGAGTCCATAATCACTAAGTTATAATTAAAGTTTAATTAGGCTTTCTAGGGTCTTTCTTGGGAACCATGGTGTGACCGATATTTTCCTTCTCAGGAATGAAAAAGGAGGCTGGCTGGAAATAGGCCCCAAAGCTTTTATTATGGAACTAACCATAAAGCTAAGTAAGAGTCCTCATTTAACTAAAGGCCTCCAGAGTGTACCATACATACCAAGAAATCCTCCAAGGAACTTGGTGACCGGGCTCCAACTCCACCCTCACTTGCACAAAGACTGAGGGTCTTTTTCTTCAGGAGTTACTAGTAACCATCTTCAACTATGTTGCCTGAGCTAAACACAAAAGTTTCTTAAAGCAACCACCTAGTAAATAATTTTAATTAATTTATTTTTTGTTAGAGGCAGGGTCTCCCTCTGTCACCCAGGCTGGAGTGCAGTGATGCAATCATAGCTTACTGCAGCCTCAAACTCCTGGGCTTAAGGGATCCTCCCACCTCAGCCTCCTATAGTTAGGACTACAGGCCAGTGCCAGCACACCCAGTGAATTTTTTTTTTCTTTGTAGAGACAGTGTCTCCCCATCTTTCCTAGGTTTGTCTCAAACTCCTGGGCTCAAGCGATCCTCCTGCCTTGGCCTTCCAACGTACTGGGATTACAGGTGTAAGCCACCATGCCTGGTCTAATTTTAATTTTTAATAACTCAGTTTAAAATATAATAGGCCAGGCTGGGCACAGTGGCTCATGCCTATAATCCTGGTGCTATGGGGAGCCAAGGCAGGAGAATTGCTTGAGGCCAAGTGTTCTAGACCGCCTGAGCAATGTAGTAAGACCTTGCCTCTCCAAAAAAAAACAAAAAAACTCTCTCTCTCTCTCTCGAGATATATATAGATATATAGAGAGATATAGAGAGATATATATAAAATGTATACACACACACACACCTATATAGTAGTCCAAAAAATGTGTGTGAATGCTAAGAGTGAGTTTTTTAAAAAGAATAGATTCAGCAGCTGTGATAAAACTAAAACAGAAAATTCACTGAGCATTAGTAACTAAAGAAGCATACTTTTAGGACCATTTAGATTAAATGTTAATTAATCTTACTCATTTAAATTTGGGAATAGCTGGAGGTATTCAATTTGGAATCAGAAAGGATTGTATGATCTATTTTTAAAAATGGTAATTAAAAAGTGAAGATAAAAGTGTGGTCACAAGAAACAGATGACAGTTACAGTTAAGAACATTTAACTTGATTTAAAACAATGAAACTAAAAGAGGCCTAATGAAAATAGATTGTGTGTGGGGTTTTTTTTGCCATCAGCCTGCCTGATGAGCCTGTCTGTTCCTTGCTCTGTGCTTTTTTCCCTAGAAAACAGTTTGAGGAATGAGCTAGGTAGGCAAGAGAACAATAACTCTCCTAAAATATAAATTTATTTTAATAAAGGCAACAATTCAAGCTATAAAAGGTCTGGAAAATATTAGAAAAATAATTACCCATAATATCATTCCCATAGCACAGTTAATGTTTTATTTTTGGTGGTTTTCTTTTTAAATTGTGCATGTTTTGTTACACTCATTCTTTCAATGTGGTGGTGAACAAGACTGAAAATATCCCTGCCCTCATGGCGCTTGCATTGGTAGAGAAAGACCGTGAACAAATGAATCAATTATGTACTATGTTTGAGCTGATAAGTGCAAGGGAGAAAATAAAACAGGCACAGGGAGATGGGTCGGTGAGGTGCTTTGTAATTTTAATAGAATGGTGCTAGGGTAAAATAGAAACTGAGAAGTGACTTTTGAGCAGAGGCAGGAAGTGGGTGGTCATTCGCTGTGACAACACCTGCGGAAAGATCCAAACAGGAGAATCTGAGATGGCCAAGGCCCTGCTGGGGAGCTTCCCTGGCAAGTCTCAGAGACTCCAGTAACACATGGGCCCTGTCCCGTAGTGATGGAGTGGGCTGGATGGTAACCTGCCTCTGCAGCCAGGCTGCCTCAGTGACCCACAGGTGTAGTGTTCACTTACATTGCTTCATTCTTCTAATCTTTCTACTACTCCATGTTTTCCCAGTTTTTCACTTAGGCCTCAAGGATTTTCATGGTTTTTTTTTTTTTTTTTCGAGACAGGGTCTTGCTCTGTTGTCTAGGCTGTAGTGCACTGGCACAATCAGAGCTCACCACAGCCTTGAACTCCTAGGCTCGAGTGATCCTCCTGCCTCAGCCTACCTAGCAGCTGGGACCCTAGGTACATGCCACTGTGCCCAGCTAAGCCACAACAATGTTTAAGATTGTGTATCCAGGAATACTGTCTATTATTATATCTGTCTACTATTTATTATTAATAATAATAACTTGTTTTAATGACAATTTTTTAAAAATTGGCTATGCCAATATACATGAACACTATTCATTTTAGTATATTTACCTTGTATGTAATTATTTCCTTGAATTTTTAGAATTCTCATAATTTTTCAGTTGATTGTTTTACTACTTCTGGGCTTAAAATTATGCCATCTACAAGAAACAATAATTTTATTATTTTCTTTACATATGCACCTAATGTGTGTTTCATGCTTTCTTGTAATTGTCAAAAACTACCTAAAATATTAAATAACTATCATGGTATTGGGCTCCTTTATTTTATTCTGGATTTTCATGAGATCATTTCCAGTGGTTTGCCATACAATTTTTTTCATTATCTATATAGATGATTATTTTTAAAGTTTCATTTATTGATATGATGTACCAAGATGTAGGCATCTCCTAAAGCTGAACAACTGTCCTTGATACAATGTTTGGTCATGAAGGGAACAGATGATAGTTACAGTGTTGGGCTGCATTCACTGCTATCATGAAGGATGTTCTTCACATCTATAGTAATGCTATAGTTTTCTTTGGGAAGCAGGAATTTGAACAGCATATTAAATAAGTAGGATTTTTTTTTATAGGACCACAAACTAGTCAATATAAGACAGAAACAGCACAAGTAAAGGACATATCCATTGTGTTGAAGCAAGAACCATCTGATTCAGGGTGGCCCCCTGAGAGGGGCGGGAGAAGGGCAAGCCATGGGCTCTTCCCCAGGGGCCGCACGGGGCTGTCAGATTGCAGGCATATGACCCTTCCACACTCTGCTGAAGCAGAACATAGAAGTATGGCAGAGCAGAACGGAGCAAATCCCGCTCTCTTGCTGGCAGAGCCAGAGTACTGGAGCTACTCCACAATCAGTTCGGGGTTTTTGATAAAAGATCATTCTTCACTTTTCAGTTTCTGCTGCCTCTGGCGCTCACTGGCATAATTAATTATTGTCTGGCATAGACAAACAATAATCAGCTTGGGAATGTTTAACTTTGGAGGGCTGTGCTCTGAGCACATGGAAATATATGTCACCTATACAAGATGTCATCCCCTGTAGGCCCTGCAGACAGACGCTGGGCTTTGAGTTACTTTTTTTCTAACAACAATTGTAGAGTTTCATAGAATTGCTTAGAAAATGTGCCCTGAGGAGAGCAGGAGGAAAGCTTTCTCCAAGGAAGTCTCTCCAGGGAGACACTTAGTTTGTTCTATGGTCATTTAATAGTCTTTAAAAAGTTGCTTGCTCACAGAAAGATGGTGAGAAGGTAAATTGGATTAATCCATCTAATGAATATTTATGGAACAGGAACCAGGCACCATACCAGACTTGGAGAACAAAGTCTGGACGTAGTTAATAAGGCAGGTGGGAATTTAAGGTCTCCACTCATCTTGTGCCCTTCCCCTACTTACCTTCTCTTTCTTCCCTACTGCAGGCTGCCTGTGACTCACCGTACTTTAAGTTTCTTCTGAGTACACTGAGCCTGATATGTAATAGTAGTAATAATGATAACAACAGTAGCAGCAATAACAACAGAACCAATAACAAACATTTATTGAACCTATACTTTGTCCTGGCCATTGTTCTAAATGCTCCACATGGATGAACTCACAGACCCTCCCAGCCACCCACAGGGGACACTGCTACGATTATTACACAATATTAAGTTCACAGGGATGGGAAGTATCAGACCAGGATTCCAACTTGACCTCAGTTTTTCTAGCAAATAGTTCCTGAGCCTAGCTCCCAGCAATGTGCTGTGGGTACCTGTGAGGATGTTTCAGGAAGGAATGCAAAGCAAGGGTTAATTTAGTGAGACAAAGTTCTGTTTTCACTCTAGTCTCTACTTTTTTTTAAAAAAGTTTAATTTCCATAAATCTATGGGGTCCAAGGGCAATATTGTTAATATGCATTGATTGTGTAGTGGTCAAACCAGGGCTTTTTAGGCATCTATCACAAGACTAACATACATTTTACCCATTAAGTAATTTCTCCTCATAGTCCCAACTCCTACCCTGGTCTCTACATTTAGAAAGTAACATACAAAATTTGGCTGAAACTACAGAAAACAATAACAGTCCCAAATTACAAACTAATGAAAAACAGGGTTTGTGAAAAATAATATTATTAAGAGTTTGGATTGTTTGATTCATGGAAAAGCAGGCACAGGGATGATCCAAGTGTTCAAGTACACAAAGAACTCTCTTACAGGGTTCTGACAAGTGACTAGCCATTGCTACAGAAGGCATAGTAGAAGGCTGAGACATCTTTAAATAGAAGCAGTAGCTAAGATATAAGGTAGTGCTTACTGACAGTTATGGGAGAACCACTGGAAAACCTGCAAAGGGACATGGGGAATTCATGAGATTTAGAGAAGAGGGCATATATTCCAGATGGTTAATGTGTCATTCTGTCAAAGATTTGGACAAATGAGTAGTTCACAGTGTTTTCTGTGCAGCCTTAGCAGTTAATTTATTCTCTCTCTCCCTCTTTCTCTCTCTACCCCTCCCCCTCTCTCTCTCTGTCTCTCTCTCTCTCTCTCTAAGTTCTTACCATTTGCCAGTTTCTGTGCATGCTGCCCATTGTGGGTCCAGCCTTCACAGATTTTATAGTCTTAATGTGGCATACAGAGAAAAAAATTATTTCCTAATGCATAGAAAACTGCCTGGCTAGATATTTTGATAACACCCCCACCCACCCCAGATGTCCCCTACTTTCCTTTTACTAGGCCAAACATAGCTCACCCCTGCTCATTATCTCAGGAAAGGCTCTGCAGGGCAGAAAACCAGAGATGGTTCCAAGCCTGCTTGCTTTTGTAAAATAGAACCATAAATCCTCAAGGAAGGATGATGCCCTAGGATAGAGGAAGTAGTTAGAGCAGATAGTCCTGCAAATAGGAAGCGATTTCCTTAGGCTTGGGGGAAGGAGGGGGTGAACCATGGTTCCTGGAGAGAGCCCTGTTAGAGGTGACTAGACTACTAAAAGCATGTGGGATCCCAAGAACAGAGGGATCCATGATCTCCCCCGTTTCATGGACCCACTAGAGGACAGTGAGACCACAGAGGGAGAAATAGACCAGGCAGAACAGGTCTGCTTTTTTATCCTGTTTATAGACTAGATTTCAAATAAACAAAGGGTTTGGAGGCTAAAGTTTGGAAATCATGCTGCAAGAAATCATTTCTTATAAGGCTTTATTCTGAGCTATGCCTCAGTCTCAGGCTAAATTAACCCTAAGACGTTAATTTTCACCCCGCACATGCACACCTGCCCCAGCAGCACAACCAGCCCCATGCACAGGTGCATTTCTGTGATCAGTTTCCTCCCCCGAGCTTATGCTTACTCGAAAACTGGTGTAGTGGCGGGACACACACACTGACTGCCCCTGGTGAGCCCGTCCCCTTACTTCTCTGAGCCTTTGAACACTTCCCTCTTAGCTTTAGTTACTGTTATTTACCTACCTTTGCATTGATGGATTGCTTCAGTTAGAAATACATCCACAGAGTATTAGCTTATGTGGTATTTGAATAACTTACATTTTCAGAACAGTGATTTTTCTGAGACAATCATGATAAGAATCATAGTATTTACTGAATGTTTATTTTCTTTTTCTTTTTTCTTTTTTTTTTTTTTTTACCAGTATCAGTCAGGTTAAATGTGTCAAAAGGATAATCTTACTTAATCTCATAATAAACTATATGGAGCAGGCATTTTTATTATCCTCCTACTACAGAGAAGAAAATTAAGACACAGGGATGTTGGGTAATTTGCTCAAGTTCACACAACTGTTAAGTGGCAGGGGTGGAATTTGGATGCCAGTAATTTGATTCCAGAATCGACCCCCTGTTCCTGGGGAGAGGGGAGTGGTCAGGGAGCTTTAGGCTCTCTCCCATGCCCTTCTGAGGCTGAGTGAGGAGCCTCCAGGGTGTAGTCTGAAAGACCAAAAGATGCCCCTTTATCAATTAAGATGAACTCTAAGGTTAAGGAAACAAAACCTCTGGGTTGATGGTTCAGGCCCTGGCTGGCATGGCAAATTTCTAAATTCCTTTGGCTATAAGAAAAACCACACTCCTACTAAACTTCCTAATAATTGGAACTATCAGGCAAATTCCAACTTGGGTTTGCTGCTATGACTCTGACTGGACAGAGGCATGGTCTTTCAAACACTCTTTCCTGATAAGCAACTGTGGACCTTAAGCCAGTTTCAGCAGCTCATACAGGCTGCACACAAAATGTCTTTGTGTCCTATAGTTCACCTTTTGATGTAAACAGCCAAATATCCCACCTCATTTTAATGGTAAAACCCTGCTCAAAAGTGAGCATGGGATGTATGTTACAAGTATGTTTACCCACTGTGCGTGTGTTTGACTCACCTCATAAATATGTGTAGCTTTTCCCCAAGACTTTAACTCTGTTGTGTGATACAGGCCCTGTGAGACATAAAACCCAGCCCACAACTTTCCTCTTTGAAGAGAGAAAATCGACACATACCAGACACTGTCTCTTCCTGATTTGAAAACTGGTATCACCAATAAAGCTCTCCTTTCTACTACGCAGCCATCCTGGTGGTCTTCTGGAAGACAAGGGATTGTCTTAGGCCTGTCTTGGCCTACAACAGCCCTGCCATCAGCACCGTGCCGCAGTTGCTGCAGAATCGAAGGAGAATGTCAAGTCCCGCTTGCTTTAGTGACTATCCTGAGCCTCACAAGTGACCTCTAATCTGGGCTTTCCAAGTTTTCTGAGAGCTCTACTGCTGAATCCACCCACTGCACAACACAGCTTTTGGAGCTCAATTGGTCTCAGTGGAGGGCAGCAAAGCCCAGGGCTTCCTCCTCAGCAACACCTCCAGGGCCCAGCCCAGGGGGCTCTTTTCTATGCTATGAGAAGAGGCTTGCTATTCAAATGTGCTTCCAGTTTACACTGGGACCAAGCATTTCATCTTTCTTTCCATCTCCTAAAAACAAACTATTCTGAGTTCTCTGTTCTCTAGAGCACAAAAGACCTATATCTAGCAGTCCGAAAGGAGAAGAGCAAGGAAACCAAGAAAAGAAATTTAATGATACACCAAAGGGACTTAATATGACAATTATTATCCTGCCACATGAGCTTTCATTTTGATATGGTGTATTCCTAGTCCTGTTTTCTAGCACAAAGAGCCTAACTTGTTTTATATATTTATATTGTTGATAAGAACCTTTATCTTCACCAGTGTCCATATCATATCCTATTTACTATCTGGGTGCTTGGGAAAGTAGGTTAACTTGCATGTGTAGAAAAATTACTCATTACCATGTTCTTATTTATGTATATTGAAGGATGCCTTTGGGAAAGAAAGCATATGGTTAACGATTAGTTATTAAATGTGCATATGAAGTTGAATATTTTCACAACAGAAAAATACCATTTCAACTCTGTTACAGCATATGGGTTAAAATGTAGTGGAGCAATGATTACCAAATCATGCGGGATTTGCTTCAGGTCCCATAGCTCACCGCAGGGAAAGCCAATCACGAGACAACAAGTGTTGCTAGGTGTATTGGGCCAATCTTGCATTGCTATAAAGAAATACCTGAGACTGGGTAATTTGTAGAGAAAGAGGTTTAATTGGCTCATGATTCTGCAGGCTGCACAGGAATCATGACACCAACATATGCTTCTGGGGAGGCCTCAGGAAGCTTCCAATCACAGCGGAAGCCAAAGAGGGAGCAACCACGTCACATGGCAAAAGCAAGAGAGAGTGAGGTGAAAGGTGCCACACACTTCTGAAAAATGAGATCTCCTGTGAACTCAGAGCGAGATATCACTTATCCTCAGAGGATGGTCCAAGCCATTCATAAGAGATCCACCACCATGATCCAAACACCTCCCACTAGGCCCTACCTCCAACATTGGGAATTACGTTCAACACGAGATTTGGGTAGGGACAAATATCCAAACCATATCACTAGGGAAGAAGGATTTTTATTTGGGTGACATCAACTGGGAGAATAGGAGATAAGTCTCGAATCCATCTCCTCCATGAACTAAAATTGAGGGTTTCTATAGCAGGAAGGAATGTAAAACAGGAACTAGAGTGGGGTAAGGAAGAGAAATGAAGGGTCTGGCATCTCATCATCTGGATGTGGTGATCTGGTGAGTTTCAGGCCCTTGACAGAGAGTTGGTTTCCTGAGGAAGAAACTCAGATAGGACAAATACAAGCTTCAGGTTTTAAGACCGGGAGGTTCAATTTCTATATTTATTTTTTAAAAAACATAAATATCAGCTCTATGGGACAATTAAGATGGTTTCACAATCAGTAAAAATGATGAAGTAATGTTTACTTTCTGTACTAATATTTATTTCATTCTTCAAAAATGCATGTAATTTGTTAGTTATTTTTTCAAGAAGTTAGTTTTATCTACAGAAGGGCCTTTAAATCTTATGGTTTATTTTTTCTAATTTATAGGAGAAATTGAGGGACAGAGAATTTAAGTGACTTGCCTAAGGTCATTCAGAAATCAGGATCTTCTGTCTCCCTAGGCGAATCCTCTTGTTATTATACTTTGTTGCCTCTTGTATCAGATTCCTAATTTTATTTATGAGGAAGTGTTGTTTAAGGTATGTGTGAATATATCTGCTAAAGGAGTAGTGGGAAAAAATTCTAACACAGGGACTGAATCCAATTTATTAGTGTCCTTTGTCATATTGTTCTACTGACATAAAATTCAGCAATGTCATTCACAGCCATTCAAAGACATATTCCAGGGCTGTATAAGCCATAAAGGATATGATCAGCATTTAATGTTACTTTTTTTTTTAACACAGTCGATGGTAAACAAAATGGAGCCATTTTTCTCATACATAAAAGTAAACCAGATTGAGCTACTTGATGTTTTCATCCACTTTCAAAAATAATCAGTGATGCAGATCTGAAGATTGAGGAGTGGACTGTGTATTACGGTATCATTATTTTTGGAAGAATTGTTAGCACATCAGATAATGTAACCCAGGGAACATAAATTGACTTGCAAAAAAGGAAAGAAAGAAGAAGGAAGGAAGGAAGGAAGGAAGGAAAGAAAAAAAGAAGGAAAAGAAAGAAAGAAAGAAAGAAAGATTCTACTTAAATGTATGAATGAAAGGGGAGAAGCTGTAAGGAGCCTGGGATGGTGATGGATATCAAGGTTTCTGAAATGGTTATCAGAGTTCTAGAGGATTACTGATTTTGAATGTATAACAGTAACCTATTTGCAGCAAGAGGGGAGAGTTCAAGGATTTCAAATACCATAAAGGATGTTTCCAGCCAAAGGAACATCAGTTTGAAAGCAAAATGCATCTTTTCTAAATTAGTAAATCCCTTTTCTCTTTGCTCAATAGATGAAGAAAAAACCTTTTTGCCAAAGAAGGAACCAGGAAGAAGCTTTGAAGAGAGCAAGGAGGAGAGCTGGTGGAAATGATGCAGTGTCAGGACACATGAGCTCTGCAGCACAACAATCTTTTGACATGTGAGTGGCTGTTGACATAGAGGGTGCGGAAATGGCAAGAGCTCTGCACTGCTTCTTCACTGGTAGAGTGGCAATAATAATCTTTACCCTAAAGAGCTGTTGTGAAGATGAGATGAGGAAATGCCGTGAAAGTTCCTGGTTTATAGTAGGAATTCCAAGAATGTATGCTTATTTTAAGTACACACACAACCAAATTTGAATGCAATCTATTGATGTCTAGTCATGAACTTGGTGCTTAGGCAAGGACTACTATTAACTATTTAGGCCATAAGTTATAAAAATATTCATTATAAAACCATTGCACAATGAGACAGGTTTGGTCTGGAAGTGATAGCTGGCACCCAAGCAGCCCCGCCTTGGACCATGAAGTAGAAGTGATGTGTTGAGTATGGCAGAGTAAAATGATAGAAGAAGACTGGTCCCTGATAACCCTGGAGCTATTATACAACCTGGACAGCCCAACTCTGGTCCACAGTTACATGGGAAAGAAATAAACTTCTGTCTTGTTTCAGCCACTATCCTTTTGGAATTTTGGCAATTAAAGTTGAGCCCAATGCTAACTGACAAAGAGGTTTTATTTTCTGAATAATAGAGTTTAGTGTATAATCTTAGTATAGTGCCTATCCAAAGAGTTTAATAAATCATGGCTATATGAGTTCAAAACTCAAAAAAATGCAGTAAAAATAATCTTTAGAACAAACATATTCAGCAAGGTTGCAGGGATACAAATACACAAAAAAATATTGCATTCCTCTACACAAGCAACAGAAAGCTAGAAAATAAAAGTGATTTCATTCATGACAAAGGCAAGATTTTTTTAAAGTGAAATCTGGGCTGGCATGGTGGCTCACACCTGTAATCCTAGCACTTGGGAGGCTGAGGCAGGAGAATCACTCGAGCTCAGGAGTTTGAGACCAGCCTGGGCAACATGGCAAAAACCCATCTTTATTTAAAAAAAGAAAAAAGTAAAATCCTCATGGGGAAATAAAGGAAGGTAAGAACAAAGAGATTTGATTATCTTTGTAAAGAAAGAAAGATAAAAAAATAGAACAAAGAGAGACAGATTTCATACTCCTGACTAACCTGACTAAAAACACAAAATTAAGAGATCGAGTAGAGTTAGTTATAACAACAATAAACATGTAGAGAACTTACAAGGTGTCTAGCAGTGTTTTCAGTGGTCGAAATATATTAACTCATCTACATACATAAACTCAAGAGTCCTAAAAAGTAGACATTATTACCACATGTGTTTTACAGAAAAGGAAACTGAAGTACAGAGAAACAAAGTAATTTTCCCAAGCTCATACACACACTAGAAGTTTCTCTTTATTGAAATGCACACACGTATGCTCAAAAATATAGCCAAATCCCCAATAACCTAAATAAAAATTCAGTTATGTGTTTATTCTGTCTCCGAAATGTATATAAATCCATGAATATTAAAAAATAGAGCTTAACATTGAAGGTGAATATACCTATTGGATAAATTCAATTATAGAGTAAAATGTGACAAATAGGAAGGAAAACGATATTTTCATGTCACAATTTAAACTTAAATATTCTTTATTATTTTTTTAAGACGGAGTCTCACTGTGTCGCCCAGGCTGGAGTGCAATGGTACAGTCTCGGCTCACTGCAACCCACTCCCCCTGGGTTCAAGTGATTCTCCTGCCTCAGCCTCCTGAGTAGCTGGGACAACAGGCGTGTGCCACCACACCCAGCTACTTTTTGTATTTTTAGTAGAGATGGGGTTTCACTCTCTTGGCCAGGCTTGTCTTGAACTCCTGACCTTGTGATCCACCCGCCTCAGACTCCCAAAGTGCTGGGATTACAGGCGTGAGCCACCACACCAGGCCAAATATTCTTTCACTTCCCATCAGGATGATGTACTACATTCATTCTTTGAAAACTCCCTTAGCTTCAAACGGTTAGTTAGTAACAAATCAATAAAGAATAAAAATGTAAAACCAGAAGGAAAATCTGGGTTCCTAAGCAAGTAAAACCCTTCAATGGATAAAAACCCAAAGACTAACTCAGAGCAGTGAACAGGGATGAAGGCAATCAGTAGCTATATTCCAGGTCTGGAATCAGGAAGTGATGGCCAAGAAGTTCCATTTTCCAGAGGTGGAGGGAGTCTAAGAAGCTCACTCAATGCAGAGGGACCAGAGCAGGCTAGGGAAGGGCTCCCATGCTTCTGAAAGGAGGTGGAAGAAAAAGTTCCTTGTCCATCACTTTAACCTGTTGATTTTAGCAAGCTATGGTCTTAGATACGCAGGGAAACAGACGCAGCCTGGAACCCAGGAACAGAACTATGCCAGCCACTGACTTTAGGACTAGATAGGGGCTATCTCCAATATTCTGAAGACATATATGAGAAGACAAAATTCAAAGCCAGCCATTCTTTTCAAATTAACCCATAAAATAAATGCAAGCATTATTTTTTTCTAGAACTTGATAAACTGATTCTAAAATATATATAAAGGAGTAAAAGACCAAGAATTGACATTAAAATTTTGAAGAACAAAGAAGAGAAGTATTTCTATTAGCTATCAGATATATGATAAGACTAAAGTTTGGTGGAAAACGAATACACCAATCAACAAGAAGAAAGAGCCCCAAAGCACAAATATATATATACACACACATATATGGAAGTTAGATATAGGAAAGAAATAAAACAGTGGGGAAAGGAAACCAGTTGGGGAAGGAATCACTTAATTCAAAAATCAGTCAGTCCCCAGGTTTGGATTCAACCCTTAAGTGTGAAAATGAAAACATAGAAACGTACCTTTATGACCTCAAGTTTCTTAAAGAAGATGTCAAAACCACAAGACATTTAAGAAAATACAGAAAAATGTAACTACTTTAAAACAAAAAAACTTCTGTGTATCAAAAAACACTATACACTAAAAATATAAGCCATAGATTAAAATAATACATGTGTGATGCACATAATCTATGAAAGATTTGTATCTAATATCTATAAAGATCTACACGTTAAGAAAAATGACAAAACAATTCAGCAGAAAAATGTTCCAACTATGTGAACACGCAAGTGACAGAGGCAGAAACTAGAAAGGTATGAAAGACGTTCAGCTTCACTTGCAATCAGGGAAATGAAAAACTGAGATTGGTGAAAAAACGCGAAAGCCTGCCGAGCCTTGGCAGGGATGGTGGAGCAGATACTCCTGGTCAGCTGGTGAAACATCATCTCCAACCTCTGTGCCCTTGGCTGCTCCCTACTAGAGTTTGACCTTCCTTCCGGCTGGAGGAGGACACGAGCCACAGCACTGGGTGTGGAAGTGGGCTGAAGAGCACTGGGAAGCTTTGCCTCTTCTGGCATCCCTCTCTTCGTCCTCCTCTGAGCAGAGAAGTGATGTCTCATATCACTGCAGCCTTCATATAACCTTGGGAGACGAGCATGAAGGTAAAGCCAAGCTCCTCACAGAGACGCTGCTTCTGACCTGATCGATCTGCTCCAGTAGTAGCAGCTGCTTGTCTCCAAAATGTTACGTGAGAAAAGGCAAACTCTTATTAAAGAAGTCACTGTGAGTCAGATGTCCTATACGTGCAATGAAGTGCATTCCTGATTGATACAGATGTAGAGAAAATGAAACTCCTTTACACTATCGGTAGGAAACTAAATAAAATGTAGTGATTTTATAGAGCAATTGGGCAGTAGGAATCAGCCATGTCACTTCTAGGAATATACATGTAAGTTTCACTTTTAGGGATATGCATAGTATGTGTGGATGTGTGTATATACAGTATATGATGATGTACACATGTAGACACAGAAGCATATACACACACATATATATTATAAATGCCTATGTAAATATAAATATATAAAGAGGAGAAAAAGATACAAGAGAATGTTCAGAGTTATGATTTGTAATCTAAAAAAATTAGAAACTGACATGATCTTCAATCAGAAAAAGATAATTTGAAATAATACATAGCCACTAAAATAAATACACTAGATCTACATGTCTCAAAGTGAATTAAACTTAGTATGATCTTGATATAAAAAGAAAAGTTACAACATGACATGTAGAGAAAATATCACTTAAGGGCTGGGCGCGGTGGCTCACGCCTGTAATCCCAGCACTTTGGGAGGCCGAGGTGGGCGGATCATGAGGTCAGGAGTTTGAGACCAGCTGGCCAATATGGTGAAACCCTGTCTCTACCAAAAATACAAAAATTAGCCGGGCATGGTGGTGCACGCCTGTAGTCCCAGCTACTTGGGAGGCTGAGGCAGAAGAATCTCTTGAACCCGGGAGGTGGAGGTTGCAGTGAGCCAAGATTGTGCCACTGCACTCCAGCCTGGGCAATATTGAGACTCCATCTCAAAAAAAAAAAAAAAGAAAAAAGAAAATACCTCTTAAATAATGCTTGAAAACATGTAAAACATGATATTTTTGCTTTACATATATATGTAGGAATAGTATAAAAATGTGAGTGGCTATAATAAACATGACATTTGGAGTGATGTCCTAGAGAATGAGGGAAGGGAACTGAGTCTGAGGGGGTTCCAAAGGGGCTTCAATTACATCAGATGTATTTCATTTCTGAACCTGCCTTATCTGCTTATCAAAAACCAAAACAAGCCCACACGTGGTGGCTCACACCTGTAATCCCAGCACTTTGGGAGGCTGAGGCAGGAGGACTGCTTGAGGCCAAGAGTTGAAGACCAGCCTGGGCAACATAGCAAGACCCCTTCTCTATTAAAAAAAAGCAGAAACAAATAAATACGAAAAAATGCTAAATTTATTTATCTATATAATGTTTTCAGGATATATATTATATTATTTTGTATACATTTCAGTGTGCTCGATGTATCTGATGCTCTTTAAAAAGCTTGCTTTCTAAAATATGCAACTAATTGATACAAATGTATCACATTCCATTTGATAATTGGGTAAAAGAAATTAATGGATCATTCGATAACATGGAACTACAGATAAGAAATCACACAGAATAATGCATATTTATTTAATAAGTGTTTCTAATAATATTAAGATACTATTTTAGGCCGTGCTCTGTGCTTTACACCTGTAATCCCAGCACTTTGGGAGGTCTGGGTGGGAGGATTGCTTGAAGCCAGAAGTTCTCAAAACCAGCTTGACAACAAAGCAAGGCCCTGTCTCTACAAAATAAAAAGTAAAAAATAAAAAACACTATTTTATACTTATCTACTAAATAAATAGGAATTATAAAATATCAGTGCTGTTGTACCTGAGAATGACAAATTTTAAATGTTTTTGATCACATTGCCAATTATTTTAGTTGTTCTGGGAAAAAAATGTGATGAGCTATGAAATTACTGGGTATGATTTGGCACAATAATCTTACTCTCTGGAACATTCTCCAAGGAAATAAACATATTTAGAAGTTATTTACTTAAAAATATTTATAGTAATGCTATTTATGATTGCAAAAACAAAAACGCAGCAGGGAAAAACCCAAATGACTAAGAATAGGAGATGGCAAGCAAAAAGTCATATTACAACAGAAGTTTACTGCAGAGCTATAAAAATGTCAACTGTGAGGTTCATGCTGATGCATAAAAATATGAAATAAAATTAATTTTGTCAAGCTGAGTTATAAAAATGTCAACTTTGAAAACCATGTTGATATATGGAAATATAAATTAAAATTAATTTGGAAAAGCAGCACACAGCATTTCTTGATTTCCTTTCACTATGTGAAAACAACAATATTTGGCAAAGATAAGAAGAAAATTTGGTGGGAAATACATAAACTGAATAGGATTCATTAGATTCTTATTCATTTCTTTAATTTTGCCAAAGTTGACATATATTCTTCAATAAAACAAGACGACAGAGCTTTTCGCAGCAGCGTAACGATTTTATGAATAAACAGACAGATCTGAGCCCACCTGGTGTGGTTAGTAAGCACTTCCCTTCTGTATTCTGACATTTCTCATTCTCCAAACAGGTGACCAGATGACAAACTGGGGAAACATATTTTTTCCACATGTTAAAATTTTTACAATACTAACAGTTTTCTATCATCTTTCTTATTTTGGAAAGAATATGGCACTATACAATAAAATATTAAATCCATTCATATAAGACCAACTTGAACACTTTATAAAAATCATGTCACCTGGAGCCACAAATCTGTATTTCATGAACAGCACCATGGGTCATTCTGTATCATAGCAGATGTTAATCTTCCACCTCAATCAAAATACATGAGTCAAAGGAGCAAATAGCCCACGGACAATCTGGCTTCATCCACCAGCTACAACTCGTCTGTTATAAATGACTGCATGAATGAAATTACAGAGGAGGCAAAATTCTAACAGAAGGACAATATTAGAATAATAAAATTAGCTTTCTAGAGATAGACAAGATGTAAAACATAATTTTTCCAGAAGAACAAAATTATTTTTGAAGCTTCCAGTTTTATCTTAAAAATCCAGGCATATTTTGCCTCCACTCCGTAATATATCCATGTTTATTTTAATATAAAAATAATGCTTTAGATCATCGGCTAAATAATTTTAGTCTCCCTCCTGACAAAGCTAGAGAATAACAGTATTTCATGAAGATGCTCAAGAGTTTATATACTTTCGGCACATGGAAGCCCGTTCCTGGGGGGAACAACCCTCCGATTTGAGAAGCATGGCACAAGAGTGGGAGGATTTGAATGAGAACATTAGTCATGAAAGGACTTTGCTCATAAGATTGTTTTTGCACTTAAGCCTTTTTTCCTTTCCCGAGAAGAAAATGAAACCAGTAAATCTTTTCCAAGGGAAAGAATGTTTATACTTATTATTAGAAAATAGTTTGGACACAGTTTTGTAAATTGTTTTCCAAATGTTGAGTTGAACTTACACTTAGGGAAAAATAATACATAGTATTAACGTTTGCCTCATAATATTACACTGTTGACCTACAAAAATTTTAAAAAGATGCCACTAAGTATTTTGCCAACAAATAGCTGGTTATTGAAAACAGGACATTCTCAAGGTTGGATTGACCAGGCACAGTGGGAGGTCAAGGCAGAAGGATTACTTGAAGCCACAAGTTTGAGATTGGCCTGGCCAACATAGTGAGACCCCGGTCTCTGTAAAAAATTTAAAATTAGCCAACCATGGTGACAAGCACCTGTGGTCCCACCTACTTAGGAGGCTGAGGCAGGAGGGTTGTTTGAGCCCAGGAGTTGAGCTATGATTGTGCCACACTCCAGCCTGGGCAACAGAGAAGAATCGTCTCTAAAATTAAAAAAAAAAAAAGGTTGGATTGTCAGAAATCAGTGAAACCTAATTAATAATAGTGTAGAAAATCAGTGAAACCTAATTAATAATATTGTAGAAAATATAAATAATAATTTTTTTTCCATTTTAAAAATAAGAAAAATGATGCTAATAGCATGATGAGAGCTGATGTGAAGGTTGAGTGAAGCATTTAGAAGAAAGTGCTAAAGGGGCATTGACAATACGATCAAGGGCCAACATTAGACAATTTCAATTTGAATAGTTTGCTACTTAAAAATTTCCCTCAGAGTTTAATTTAAAGATGATAAAGAAGAAGCATCTGAATAAATGTTGACAGAGCCTCTGTGAAGAAGATTATTGCACAAAAATCTTAAAAATCTGATTAGAACATAGTCTGAGTATAGCAAAATATAACTATAGTGTAAGACCTTATCTACATGCTAAGTAGACAATGGAGCAATTCAATGAACACGAATCAGTGCAAGGTATTCTGGCTTATTAGTACTTGTTTACATGAAAAATTTATGTTGATTATTAAGACTGTTAGTGATAAAATAAGAGTCCCACATTTGGATTTCTGTTTGCTGTTTACTTTGGTGGTGGTTCATTTTCAGGTTTAAATCAGATTGAAGAAAGATGAAAGCAGAAGAATATCCTCCAGATTGGAGGGCTGTAATAAAAAACCGATGTGAGTATGGAGATGTATGCATTGAGTTGGAACCCAAGGTAAGATAATTTAAGATTCGAAAAGGGCAATCAGGCCGGGCACAGTGGCTCACACCTGTAATCCCAGCGCTTTGGGAGGCCGAGGTGGGCAGATCACCTGAGGTCAGGAGTTCGAGACCAGCCTAACCAACATGGTGAAACCCCGTCTCTACTAAAATTACAAAAAATTAGCCCTGTGTGTGGTGGTGGGTGCCTGGAATCCCAGCTACCCTGGAGGCTGAGGCACGAGAATCACTTGAACCCAGGAGACGGAGGTTGCAGTGAGCCGAGATCGTGCCACTGCACTCCAGCCTGGGTGACAGAGTGAGACTTCATCTGAAAAAAAGAAAAAAAAAAGGAATCAGACTTTGTTTTAAAAGGTGGAGATTATCAAGTTACATGTCTAGAGCTCTACATAATAGCTTCTGGGACACTCTACAGCCAGAGACAAAAGAGTTGGCACTTAACAGAGACAAAATCTAAAAGCAAAAGAAATAAAAGGTAGAAGGGAGGTGAAGGTAATTTACTAGCCTGAGATGTGGGAGTTATGACCTCTGGAAGGAAGCTTGGTAAAGGAAATTTTGATTAAAAAGGAGACTATGAGTTCAGATAAATAGGCTAGTTACTTGCATACCTTTCACCATAGCAATGATAAGTGAAGGCAGGCAGAGAAAGTATAAAGATATAATAACGAAAGCATATGTAAGAAATATTAAATTGATTCCTTAGAGTTGAATTGTAGAGGAAGCCGCTCTTCTTATATCATCCTTGTTATTTCCGATTGTTTATTGAGTGTGTGGTAACGTCTGTCCTAGTAACTGTCTGAACGTGCCTACCTTTCTTTAGAGCCACTCTATGCATGTGAACAGGGACTGAATCTTGAAATCCTTCACACAGAAAGGATTAATTCATCTAGATCAAAGTGGTATTGATGAATGAACTTCCTCCACAGTATACTTGTGATGAGACTGTACTCAGTTTCCAGTTGATTATGAAATGGGTTCAATTCCAGAAACTTTGTTGGAGACTTACATTCAAAGAACTATGCAAAGTGCTGAAAGAGGGATAAAACCAAAAGAAAACTCACTGAGCTCGTCTTTGAAGCACCCACCCTGATCTAAACATCTCACGCTGAAACAAATTAAAATGGTAAGGTGGTCTTCTCCATGTCCTAGAAACACACACACAGACACACGCACACACACACACACACGCGCACACACACACGCGCGCACACACACACACGCGCGCGCGCGCGCACACACACACACAGTGGAATGCAGGGGCTAAAACTATGCTCCCAGCAGTTTCTAGGTTTTGAAATATCCGAGGTGAGTGGCAGTTCCATTCCTGCCAAAGAGTATTTCACGATGATGAAGGACTGGAGCCAGGCTCAATATCTAAAACTGGACTTTGGGTGTTGCTCTCTAATCTCTGAAAAGAGCCTGAAAGTAGCAACTTTTGCTGCCAGGGAGTACCGCTGATATAAAGTGGTATTCTTGCTTTGCACCCAGAAAGAGAAAGGTACAGGGCCTGGGCCAAGTTCCTCACTGTCTTGGCGACTGTATCTGCAGAACTCTCAGTCTCATGGTAGAATGGAAGGCCAGAGCTGCCAATACAAGGCCTGAAGCTGGACCAGAAGGCAAGGGCCAGGAGAAGGCGGAAGAGGGAGAGGAGGGGAGCGGGAGAGAGAAAACAGCTCACTCCAAGGCCCCAGGACTATAAACACTGAGGAAAAACAAACAACAGTCAGCAAATCAAAATGGGAAGACAAATACAGAGCAATAAAGCAAAAATAAGAGAAGAATATCAAAATGACTTTTAAACAAGTATGTTTAGGATTATCCCAGAAATAAAGAAATAAACTCTATGAAACAAGTCATTATGAAAGGAAAAAGAAAGTGACTTGTCTCAACAGAAGTTGAAAGAGCATCTGATAATATCCAAACGTGTTTATGTAAAAACAAAAACCATAAAAACCTCAAAACAGTAACAAGAGGTAATGGAACTTCCTTAACCTGAAAAAGGGTCTTTACCAGAGCCTGTAGTAAACATGGTAACTTTAACACATTCCCATTAAAGTCAGGAGCAAAATAAGGCCGCCTACAATTCCCTACTATTCAATGGGCGCCAGAGGTTCTAATACACTAAGGTTTTAAAATATTAGAGATTTGGCCAGGCACTGTGGCTCATGCCTGTAATCCCAGCACTCTGGGAGGCCAAGGTGAATGGATTGCTCGAGGCCAGGAGTTCGAGACCAGCCTGGCTAAAATGGCCAAACCCTGTCTCTACAAAAAATACAAAAAATAGCTGGGCATGGTAGCGCATGCCTATAATCCCAACTACTCAGGAGGCTGAGGCAGGAGAATCACTTGAACCTGGGAGGCAGAGGTTGCAGTGAGCTGAGATAGTACCACTGCACTCCAGCCTGGGGGACAGAGCGAGACTCTGTCTCAAAATAAATACGTGAATAAATAAAAATAAAAAAATGAAAATTAGACCAGGAGCGGTGGCTCACGCTGTAATCCCAGCACTTTGGGAAGCAGAGGCCAGAGGATTGCTTGAGGCCATGAATTTGAGACCAGTCTGTGCAACAGAGCAAGACCATATCTCTACAAAAAATTAAAAAAGTGAGCTGGACATGGGTAGTACGTGCCTGCAATAGTCTTAGCTACTCAAGAGGCTGAGGTGAGAGAATCGCTTGAGGCCAAGAGTTCAAAGTTGCAGTGAGTTGTGATCATGCCACTGCACTCCAGCCTGGGTGACAGAGTGAGACCTTATCTCTAAAAACCAACAACAAAACTGTAAGCACCAAGACAAATGTGGTGGCTGAAATATTTCATGTGTAAAGCTCACAGCCTGCACCCTTGCTCCTGCCAGATCAGCTCCATTCTTTCTATTTCCTGCCCAACCCCACCTACCCAGGAAGGGAAGTTTTGCCCCTGACGTTGCTGTTCTTTGGGTGTTTGTAGTACAAGATCAAGAGGGTGGAGGGAGGGATACTGAAAGGGACAGGCTGGAGGTAAAAAGCACAGGCTGAGATTTCTTGAGGGGTTAGTTGATATCCATGGCAAGTGCTGACGTGGGAAAGAGAGGATAGAAGAGAAAAGAGGGAGGGAGAGAGGAGTGTTTCAGCTGGTTCGAAGGGCTGGTGTAGATGAACTATTTGAATCTCTTCAACTGTTCTTCCACAGATAAAAGAATGAAATTTGTTTTTAATTACTTCTACCAGTTGAATTCTTCTCTAATCCATTCTGAAACAAAATTAGTTATGTGGGTGTCCAAGGTAAAAATGTTCACACAAAACTTTATGTCAGGCCGGGCGCGGTGGCTCACAACTGTAATTCCAGCACTTTGGGAGGCTGGGGAAAGTGAATCACCTGAGGTAAGGAGTTCGAGACCAGCCTGGCCAACATGGTGAAACCCTGTCTCTACTAAAAATACAAAAAAAATTAGCCGGGCATGTTGGCGCGGGCCTGTAATCCCAGCTACTTGGGAGGCTGAGGCATGAGAATCGCTTGAACCCGGGAGGCAAAGGTGCAGTAAGCTGAGCTGGCTCCAGCCTGGGTGACAGTGAGACTCCATCTCAACACCAACCAAACAAACAAACAACAAACAAACAAAACAAAAAAGCCCAACTGTATGTCAGGAGTGCTAATATAGCTCTGGAGAGATATGATCAGGTCTTGATGTAGGTAATGGGAGAGGAGGGCAGAATTTTTTTTAAATAAAGTGGAGTGGGGAGAAAATGATAATGTAGAAAAGTGTCAATAACAGTTAGCAATACAGTGAACCTGCAGGGATCAGGGAAAAGGTAATGGCTGGGATGATGGTGGTCTTAAATAAGGGCAGGGGGAGGAGGAGGAGGAAAGAAATAAAAGGATCAGAGAGAAAAAAATGAAGGAGGATTTGGATATGTCGAATGTGGTGAAAAATTCATGCAGAATTAGCAGGCAGCAGGATGGAAATTTGAGTGTGCAACTGCAGAGAATGTCAGGGTAAGATATATAGATTTTGGAGTAAAACAACGACAACAATAAACCAAACAGTTAATGTCATTATCAATGGAACTGAAAGCTCAGGAAAAGAGCCCAGATTTAGAAGGAATAGAATGTTCTCAGCCAGTTGTTGAGGATAAATGGAAGAGGAGGAGGTTGGTGAGGCAGACTGAGATGTGGTCAGAGACGAAGGTGGGGAGTACAGCTGGGACTGCTCCACTAGTGGGAACTAGGCAAGATGCTGGAGGCACATTTGGGGATGCCTACCATTCTGTATTCTATTTATACCAGGCGTGGGCATCTGTGACATTCTGAATGTGTGTCTCTGCCCATTTATGGATTAATAGTAGACATCTGAGTCAAGCTGGGTCCTCTAATCCTTCCCAAGAATGAGAAACTGGAATTCAGTGAAGCAAATCAGTCTGTGAGGTGATTAAACCGGGCCTGGGATGGCTGGGCATGGCCATGGTACCTGCTGAGGCAGAGAAAGACAGCATACAGAGAAACAGAGAGGACAGCATGAAAAGGACCAAGAAAAGGGAGCACCTGGAGTGAGGGAGGGTGACCTTGGCCCCATTGCTGTGCAGGGATGCCAGGCTGAGCTTCCTGACTTTGTAGTGTGGGAAAGACTTCTGACTCTGCCTGAGAAAGTTGTCTTTTTTCCTAAGCAAACTCAAAGGGATTTTGTACCTGCTTAAGGCCAAAGGAGGGGATTTGAAAGTTGTGCTCAGTATCATCAAATGTTACAGAGGAGTCTGGTAATAACAATGACGTGATAAAATAAAGTTGGGCGAAGTGGCTCATGCCTACAATGCCAGTGCTTTGGGAGGCCAAGGCAGGAGGATCACTTGCAGCCAGGAGTTCGAGGCCAGCCTGAGCAACATGGCGAATCCCCATGTCTACCAAAAATACAAAAATTAGCTGGGAGTGGTGTCTCGAGCCTGCACTCTCAGCTACTCAGGAGTCTGAGGTGGAAGGAACGCCTGAACCCAGGAGTTCAAGGCTGCAGTGAGCTAGGATCCTGTCACTGTACTGCAGCCTGGGTGACACAGTGAGATCCTAACTCAAAAATAAATAAAATAAATTTGGACAATTCAAGGGCCATTTATGACCTTTCAGAGAGCTGTTTCAGTAGAGTGCAGGGAGCAGATGTCAGACTGCAGGGAGTTAAAGCGTTAAGTGTCCAAGATAGATAGATTTCTATAGGGTTCTGGTAATTAAAGGAGGAATAGGGAAGACAGAAACAAAGTCAAAGGACCTCTTCTGTTGCTGTCAGTCAGGGTGGAAAACACTTGCATATCTGTGTAAACTGAGTGGGAAGAATTAATAGGAAGGAGAGTATGGCTAGTTAGGGAGAACATAAGAGAAACATTAATGGGCCAACGCTGTATACTGTCTCACATTCGTATAAAACATAGCTGCATTTGCTTCTTGTGACTTTGTCCCTGAAATCACAAATGCTGAACTTACACAACATTCGAGTTTTAGGGGAGCAAAGCACCTAGTTCGGTAATCATTTTACTTCAGGAGAAAAGAAATAATGTTATTTTTAAAGTTTATTTTATTTTTGTAGAGATCAGGTTGTGCTGTGTTGACCAGTCTGGTCTCAAACTCCTGGGCTCAAGGATCCTCCCACCATTGGTTTCCCAAAGTGCTGGGATTCCAGGTGTGAGCTGCTGCGCCTGGCCAGAAACAACATTATTTTAATGTAATAATAAATAAATGTATTGTCTCTCCTAAATATGGCTGTATAAAAAGACATCCCATTAAAATAACGTTATTTTAATGTAATAATCAATAAACCTATTGTCTCACCTAAATATTACTGCATTAAAAAACACTTAAAACACTTGGAGGTTTAACACTATAATCTATTATTTCCCAGGAGTATTTAGATTGGCTGGATGGTTCTGTGGATCTGAGCCAGCTCAGCTAATCTTTCTGGGCTCCTTCATTTATGCTGACCACAGATGGTCAGCTGGTGGGCTGGCTGAGCACTGTGTGATCTCTCATACTAGGGCCTTAAATGGAACAACTGGCTGTGTCCCATTCCCCAGCAGGCAAGCTTATTCTTCTGGCGATCACATAGAATCATGGCATAAATAGGAATAAATAAGGCCTTGGGAGCCTAAGCTGGGAACTGGCACACCATCACTTTGCCCTTTCTACTGGCCTAAGTAAGATATAAGGGCCTCCCTGATTCCTGCCTCATGACGGGAAGAAATGCAAAGGGGTATGGAAAAGGGAGATCACTAATTGAGACCATTAATTACATTGATCCACCATACTTACAAAGACATGTGGGTTTTTTTTTTTCTGTTTAGACAGAGTAAGGTGTTATCTGAGAGGCCCTTATCAACTAAGATGGGCCCTAAGGTTAAATAAAGGCCCAGCTGGCCTGGCCAATTTCTAAATTCTTACAACTATAAGAAAAATCACACTCTTATAAACTCCCTAACAATATGAGCCATCAGGCTGATTTACAACTCTGATGGGACAGAGGACTGGCCTTACCACATACTTATCTGAGAAACGATTGCAGACCTCACACCAGTTTCAGCCAGTGTATAGAGGCTGCACACAAATGGTCTTTGTGTCCTCTAGTTTACCTTTTTCCACCTCATTTTAATACTAAAACTCTGCCCCAAAGTGAACATGGGGTGTATGTTACATATATGTTTACCCATTGCACATGTGTATGGCTCCTCTCACAAATATGCATAGCTTCCCCCTAAACCTGCTAAATCTGTATGACACCAGCCCTGTGAGGCATAAAATCCAACTTGTGCTCCTCCTCTTGAGAGAGAGACCACCTTCCAAGATGGAAACTTTCTCTTCCCAGCTTGCAAGCCAATCTCAACATTAAAGTACTCCTTTCTACTATCTAGCCATCCTGGTGGTCTTTTGAGTGACAAAGGGAATCTCAGAAATATCAACAGTGGTTTCTTAAGGAGATCTTAAGGAACTCAGCAGTTTAGTGCTGAAATACAGGTTGAAAAGCTAAGAACAACTTTCTTACTCTTATATTTTATGTTGTTGGTTCAAGTAGATTAAATTGGTGAGTTTTGTTCCATTCTGGGATATTACAGCTGGGGTGTTTTCCAACACCAACAACCAATTCTCTGATTCCTCTCATATCAACTGGATGTTCAACAATTCGATTCTGGCACTAACTCCATGGAGTTGGTGCAAACCCCACAGCTTACGAGTTCAGTCCCATAAGACTGCCCTCCACTCAGAAGCTAGTCACAAGTCCCAGGCCTCCATACTTCTGACCTAGTGAGTATAAATCAGGGGTTCCCATGACCCCTTCCTCAGGCTCCCGTAATTGGCTAGAATGGCTAACAGCACTCACAAAGCCACTTTAATTACATCTACCCATTAATTATAAAGGGTACAAATGAACCGCTAGATGGAGAGGTACAGAGGGTGAGGTCCAGGAGAATCCTGAGTGCAGGAGTTTCAGGGAGGTGGGGGGAGGGGTTGTCTCCTTATGAATACAAAATGACACTCCTATCACTCCAGAGATTCTGAGAGCTTTAGGTGCTGTGTGACAGAAACCAAAGACAAATATATTTCTTATTATAACACAAGACAGTCATGCATCCATTAATGACAGGTCCTCAGGCAATTTGGTCCAGGTGCAAACATCACAGATTATACATACACAATCCCAGATGGTAGAGCCTTCTGTACACCTAGGCTATATGGTGTGGCCTATTGCTCCTAGTCTACAAACGTGTACAGAAAGGGATTGTACTGATAACTGTAGGCAATTGGAAAACAATGGCAAATATTTGTGTATCTAAACATAGAAAAACTACAGTAAAAATACAGTATGAAAGATTAAAAACGGTACCCCTGTATAGGGCACTTGCGGTATATGGATCTATAGGACTGGAAGTTGCTCTGAGTGAGCCAGTGAGTGGGCAGTGAGTGAATGGACCTTCCTGTTTGCCACCGTAGACTTTATAAACACTGTATGTTTAGGCTACACTAATTTATAAACACTGTACATTTAGGCTACGCTAGTTTATAAAAAATATTTTTCTTTCTTTAATAATAAATTAACTTTAGCTTACTATAACTTTTTTACTTTTAAAGAGTTTTTATAACTTTTTGACTCTTTTGTTATAACACTTAGCTTGAAACACACATTGTACAGCTGTACAAAAACATTTTATTTCTTTATATCCTTATTCTGTAATCTTTCCTTTATTTAAACTCTTTTTAAAATTTAATTTAATTTAATTTTTTATTTTTTGGGAGACAGGGTCTTGCTCTGTTGCCTAGGCTGGAGTACAGTGGTGCAATCCTGGCTCACTGCAGCCTCAAACTCCTGGGCTCCAGTGATCCTCCTGCCTCAGCCTCCTGAGTAGCTGGGACTATAAGCATGGGTCACCACACCCAAGTAATTTTTATTTTTATTTTTGGTAGATACAGGATCGTACGTTGGCCAGGATGGTCTCGAACTCCTGGCCTCAAGGGATCCTCTCGCAAGTGATCTTCCCTCCTTGGCCTCATTTCCCAAAGTGCTGGGATTAGAGGTGTGACTCCTGGTCTTCTTCTTTTTTATTTTTTTTTTAACTTTTTAAATGTTTTTGTGAAAACAAAGACAAAAACACACACATTAGGGTCACCAGTGTGACACAGGATCAAGGTCACCAACATCACTGTCTTACACTTCCACATCTTGTCCCACTTGAAGGTCTTCAGGGGCAATTACACGCATAGAGCTGTCATCTCCTAGGATGACATTGCCTCCTTCTGGAATCCCTCCTGAACGAGCTGCCTAAGGCTATTTTACAGTTAACTCGTTTTCTTAAATAAGTAAAAGTGTGCTCTAAAACAATAAAAAGTATAGTATACTAAATACATAAACCAGTGGCATATTTGTGTATTATTATTGTCAAGTATTATGTACTGTACATGATTTATATGTGTTATATACAACTGACAGTGCAGTACATTTGTTTACACCAGCACTACAAACACTTGAGTAATTCATTGTATGCTACATTACGGCTACAGAGTCACTAGAAATAAGCAATTCTCAGCTCCATTATAATCTTCTGGGACCACTGTCCTATGCAGTTTGTCATCGACCTAAACATCATTATGCAGTGCATGACTGTATATATTTATGTATGTAATATAATATACCCTATTTTCAGGGTAATATTAATAGCTCAACAATATAAAGTAAGTTAGTTGTATTCAATCCAGACATAGGGAAATCTGAAGTATTTAATTTCAATACAAGTGTGTAATACAGTACTCTCACTGTGTATGGGTAATCTGAATATCTAGAGAAACATGCAACTTATATCTTTATGAAGATGGATAAAGTCTTTTTACTTTCTCATGGAAATGTCATGTTAGCAGTTTTAGATCAACTCACATTTCTAAAATTAGAAATCAGTTTTATAAGAATTTGCATTTTGGGCATCAAAATGAAAAAGAACAAATGCATATTCAGTCTGAAAAAATTGGACAGTATTTTTTGATGAAATATGAGGTATTAAGGTAACATACTAAGCAAAAATACTAGTCTTTTTTACTTTGATTAAAGGCTTAATATAAAGGGGAACACTTTAAATGAAAATAATTTGAACAAGTTTGGATTTAGGCTATTAGTACACAAGCAATGACAGTCAGATGCTTTTGGATTTTTGAGGTTGGTTCAAGAAAAAGTAAAGAAAAAGCCATCCTCTGAGAGAGCCAAAAATAAAACATAAGAGAGCTTATCATTCTGCAGAAGTAGCTCTCTCCAAGAGATGGTTTGATATTGCTGATGGAGTTTAAAAAAAACACCTCAATCCAATCAAGTTGGTGACTAGGGAATATCGAAAGCTTAGAATGCAAAAGAACACTGGAGCTCCATGAATAGCGTAATATTCAGCTGACACAGCCCTTGAGTCTCTTGGCTGGAGACATCCCTCTATAACCGTTGTACCAGACAAGTTGTTCCTTGTTGACACTACCCATTAAGAGCAGCCAGCTCTCCTTGTTCTGATTTCATGGTCACTTGGAAATCTTTTAACATAATTTGCCTTCTTTTGTACATTATACTGGTGGGAATGTGCTGACCAGAAAATACTTATCTTCTGGGCATTTACGTCTGTCAGTATAATTAGGCTTCTTGTTTTCAGCTCGTTTCCTTAGACTGATCCCTTTTTGGAGCATTAACAAAGTTACATTTCTGGACCTACAATGCTGAGAATTAAACCTACACCCTGAACTTGGTGATCCCTTAAGTAAGTGGTATGCCCTGAGACACATCTTTGGAGCCAGCTGTTTTCTTTCCATGATGGCTCAAGGACAGAGACAGAAATAGCAGCTACCTTTCCTGACTCCTGGCATGCACTCTATATACAGGTGCACCCCATTTTATTGCATTTCACTGTACTGTGCTTTGCAGATACTGCATTTTTTACAAATGAAGGTTTGTGGCAATCCTGGATCAAGCAAATCTATGAGCACCATTTTTCCAAAAGCAGGTGCTCACTTCCTATCTCTGTGCCACATTTTGGTAACATTTCAAACTTTATTATTATTATTATTATATCTTTTAGGATGATCTGTAACCAGTGATCTTTGATGTTACAATTGTAATTGTTTTGGGGTGCCAGGAACCAAGCCCATACAAAATGACAAACTTAATCAATAAATGTTGTGTGTGTTCTGACTGCTCCCCTGACCAGCCATTTCCCCCATCTCTCTCCTTCTCCTTGGACCTCCCTACTCTCTGAGACACAACAATATAGAAATTAGGCCAATTGGTAATCCTGCAATGATCTCTAAGTGTTCAAGCCAAAAGAAAAGTCCTGTGTCTGTCAGTTTAAATCAAAAACTAGAAAGGATTAAGCTAATTGAGGAAGGCATGTTGAGAGCTCAAATAGAAGGAAAGCTAGGTGTCTCTTGCCAATTACCCAAGTTGTGAACACAAAGAAAAAGTTTTTGAAGGATACTAAAATGCCACTCCAGTAAACACGTGACTGTCAAGAAAGCAAAACAGTCTTATTGCTGATATGGAGAAAGTTTGAGTGGTCTGGATAGAAGATCAAACCAGCCACAACATTCCCTTTAGCCAAAACCTGATCCAGAGTAAGGCCCTAGCTCTTTTCAATTCTATGAAGGCTGAGAGAGGTGGGGAAGCTGCAGAAGAAAAGTTTGGAGCTGGCAGAGGTTGGGTCATGAGGTTTAAGGAAAGAAGCTGTCTCCATAACATAAAAGTGCAAGGTGAAACAGCAAGTGCTGATGCAGAAGCTGCAGCAGGTTATTCAGATGATCTAGCTGAGATCATTAATGAAAGTGGCTACAGCAAACCACAGATTTTCCATGTAGAAGAAACAGCCTTCTATTAGAAAAACATACCATCTAGAACTGTCATAGCTGGAGAGGAGAAGTCAAGGCCTGGCTTCAAAGCTTCAAAGGACAGGCTGACTTTCTTGTTAAGGGCTAATGCAGCTGGTGACTTTAAGTTGAAGCCAATGTTCCAAATGGTAAATTTGGAAAAATCCTGGGGCCTCTAAGGATTATGCTAAATCTACTCTGCCTGTTCTCTATAAATGGGACACCAAGCTTGCATGATGGCACTTCTGTTTACAGCATGGTTTACTGAATATTTTAAGTTCATTGTTGAGACCGATTGCTCAGAAAAAAAATTCCTTTCAAAATATTACTGCTTATTAACAATGCGCCTTGTCACCAAATAGCTGTATGGAGATGTACAAATAGATGAATGTTGTTTTCATGCCTGCAAACACAACATTCATTCTGCAGTCCATGGGTCAAAGAGTAATTTTGACTTTTGAGTCTTTTTATTTATTTAAGAAATATATTTCCTAAGGCTATAGCTGCCATAGATAGTGATTCTTCTGATGAATCTGGAAAAAGTAAATTGAAAACCTTCTGGAAAGGATTTGCCATTTTTGGTACCATTAAGAACATTTGTGATTCATGGGAGGAGGTCAAAATATTAACACTAACAGGAGTTTGAAAGAAGTTTATTCTAACTCTTGTGGATGAATTTGAGAGGAGGTCAAAATATCAACATTAACAGGAGTTTGGAAGAACTTAATTCCAATCCTCATGGATGACTTGAGGTATTCAAGGCTTCAGTGGAAGAAGTCACTACCCATATGGTGGAAACAGCAAGAAAACTAGAATTAGAAGTGGAGCCAGAAGATGTGACTGAATTGTTGCTATCTCATGACAAAACTTGAATTGGTCAGGCATTGTGGCTTACGCTTGTAATCTTAGCACTTTGGGAGGCAGAGGCAGAAGGATCGCTTGAGCCCAAGAGTTTGAGAACTCATCTCTACTTAAAAAAAAATAAAAAAATAAAAACAATTAAAAAAAAGATGGGCATGGTGGCATTTGCCTGTAGTTCCAGCTACTCAGCAGGCTCAGGAGGCTGATGTGGGAGGGATTGCTTGAGTCCAGGAGGTCGAGGCTGCAGTGTGCTGTGTTTGTGGCACTGCATTCCAGCCTGGGCAACAGAGCAAGACCCTGTCTCAAAAAATAAACAAAAACAAAACTTGAGTGGATGGAGAGCACCTTCTTAAGAATAAATAAAGAAAATGGTTCCTTGAGATGGAATCTACTCCTGGTGAAGCTGCTGTGAACACTGAAATGAAAACAAATGATTTAGAATATTATATAAATGTAGCTCATAAATCATTGGCAGGCATTGAGAGGATTAACTCCAATTTTGAAAGAAGTTTTACTTTGGGTAAATTGCTATCAAACAGCATCACATACAACAGACAAATCTTTTGTGAAAGGCAGAGTCAATTGGTGCAGTAAACTTCATTGTTGTCTTATTTTCAGAAATTGCCACAGCCACCCCAGTCTTCCGCAAGCACCAACTCGATCAGTCAGCAGCCATCAACATCAAGACAAGACTTTCCATGGGCAAAGAGATTATGACTTGCTGAAGGCTCAGATGATCATTAGCATTATTTAGCAATAAAGTATTTTAAAATAAAGATATGTACATTTTTAGACACAATGCTATTGCATACTTAATAGACTATAGTATAAACTCCACTTTTTTTTTCTTTTTTTTTTATTATTCCACTTTAAGTTTTAGGGTACATGTGCACATTGTGCAGGTTAGTTACATATGTATACATGTGCCATGCTGGTGCGCTGCACCCACTAACTCGTCATCTAGCATTAGGTATATCTCCCAATGCTATCCCTCCCCCCTCCCCCCACCCCACAACAGTCCCCAGAGTGTGATGTTCCCCTTCCTGTGTCCATGTGTTCTCATTGTTCAATTCCCACCTATGAGTGAGAATATGCGGTGTTTGGTTTTTTGTTCTTGTGATAGTTTACTGAGAATGATGATTTCCAATTTCATCCATGTCCCTACAAAGGACATGAACTCATCATTTTTTATGGCTGCATAGTATTCCATGGTGTATATGTGCCACATTTTCTTAATCCAGTCTATCATTGTTGGACATTTGGGTTGGTTCCAAGTCTTTGCTATCGTGAATAATGCCGCAATAAACATACGTGTGCATGTGTCTTTATAGCAACATGATTTATAGTCCTTTGGGTATATACCCAGTAATGGGATGGCTGGGTCAAATGGTATTTCCAGTTCTAGATCCCTGAGGAATCGTCACACTGACTTCCACAATGGTTGAACTAGTTTACAGTCCCACCAACAGTGTAAAAGTGTTCCTATTTCTCCACATCCTCTCCAGCACCTGTTGTTTCCTGACTTTTTAATGATTGCCATTCTAACTGGTGTGAGATGGTATCTCATTGTGGTTTTGATTTGCATTTCTCTGATGGCCAGTGATGATGAGCATTTTTTCATGTGTTTTTTGGCTGCATAAATGTCTTCTTTTGAGAAGTGTCTGTTCATGTCCTTTGCCCACTTTTTGATGGGGTTGTTTGTTTTTTTCTTGTAAATTTGTTGGAGTTCATTGTAGATTCTGGATATTAGCCGTTTGTCAGATAAGTAGGTTGCGAAAATTTTCTCCCATTTTGTAGGTTGCCTGTTCACTCTGGTGGTAGTTTCTTTTGCTGTGCAGAAGCTCTTTAGTTTAATTAGATCCCATTTGTCAATTTTGTCTTTTGTTGCCATTGCTTTTGGTGTTTTAGACATGAAGTCCTTGCCCATGCCTATTAAACTCCACTTTTATATGTATTGGGAAACCAAAAAATTTGTGTGATTTCCTTCATGCTATATTCATTTTATTGTGGTGGTCTGGAACCAGACTGGTAATATTTCCGAGGTATGTCTGTATTATACTACCTGCTATTTTTAAGAGAATTTGTGTCTAGCTACAGTTAATGGGGGCATATTGCTATTCAAGAATTCCCATCATCAAATTTTCAGGTTTTCTTCTTCCAGATCTTTGACTTTGAGATAGCATGGTTGTACCATCAATAACTATGAAAATAGGATTAAAGAGACTGCTATTTTTCCTTCTGGAGTTTTCATGCCTTTCTTTAAATGCCATTAGCTTATTCGGTATTGGTTGTAGTGGGAAGTGAAGCTTTTTTTTTTTTTATTGACAAGAGGATTCTTATCTTGTTCAGTTTATACAGACTCTAAGCATCATCAGAAAAATTATGTCTATGTTGGATTTTTAAAAATTCAAGGAAGTAGACCTGAAGGGAGTATTTTTAAGCTACTTTTTGATAACTTTGTTCAACTAAAAGAAAGCACAAATGTACAAGTAAGTAGATTTCTATATAGATTTTAAGTCATTTGTTCAAAATCACATAATGTGCATATTATCTTATTTATAAAGCTTTATGATATCATTTATTTAAAATTGGTTTTAGACTGGGCATGGTGGCTCATGTCTGTAATCTCAATACTTTGGGAGGCCAAGGCCGGAGGGTGGCTTGAGGCCAGGATTTCAAGACCAGCCTGGGCAAAACAGTAAGACTCTATCTCTACCAAAGTAAATAAATAAATAAAATTATTTTTAATTATTCAATATAATTTACACTTCTTTCTGAACCAGTATTTACATTTAAATAGTATGCTATGCAATTATTTATACCTCGACCCACTAAAGGAAGCTTAATATTGGACCATCCATGTAGGAAAACACAACTGTAACATAGAAAATTATTAACAGTGGCATTAACATGAAAATAAACTTGATGATAATAGTTGTTGAAGATAGTGACTAATGAAATATTTTTGGTTGCTGTGGAAAATTTGCTTGTCCAAGCAAGTATAGAATTCTGTTAAGATAACTTCTCCTCAGTTATACCAAAGCATATAAAGAAATTCACTCTGTGTTAAATTCTCCCAAATGGTCATATTCAAAATATATGCTAAGAAACAATCTCAAGTCTTAAAAACATATTAAACCCCATCTCTACAAATAGTTTAAAAATTAGCCAGGCATAGTGCTGTACACCTGTGGTCCCAGCTACCCAGGAGGCTGAGGCAGGAGGATCACCTGAGCCCAGAGGTCAAGGCTGCAGTGAGCTGTGGTGGCACCAGTGCACTCCAGCCTGGGTGATAAAGCGAGACCTTGTCTCAAAAAAACACAGAAAAAACCCACACTGCTACCAAGAGCCAATCCTGCTATTGATCAAATAATAAAGCAATGTAATTTAATCCTACTTAGAAAAGAAATATAGGCCAGGCCTTGTGGCTCATGACTGTAATGCCAGCACTTTGGGAGGTTAAGCGGGGAGGATTGCTTGACCCCAGCAATTTGAGACCAGCCTAGGCAATACAGTGAGACCTCCATCGCTACAAAAAAATTTAAAAAATTAGCCAGAAGTGGTGGCACATGCCTGTGGTCCCAGCTTCTCTGGAGGCTGAGGTGGGAGGATCAGTTGAGCTTGGGAGGTGGGGGCTACAGTGAGCCATGATCATACCACTGCACTCTAGCCTGGGTGACAGAGCAAGATCCTGTCTCAAAAAAGAAAAGTAAAGAAAAGAAACATACACAACCAGCCAGAAAAATGTAAACAAGTTTAGCGAAGTTTTTAAAATGGAGAGTTCCTTGGATAAAACCAGTCACTATCTTAGCAGGTGGAAAGTTTCATTTTCATTGACAATAGATGGACACATTATAGGACTGCTGTGCCTGTTATGTTTTGATGACCTCCAGAAAGGGGTTCTCTGTATCATGCCATCAGAAATTTCTATCTTAACAATAAACCATCCTTGTCTATCTGGTCAACTTTGCATTGAGAGTTGGTTGGATTCAACTGAATTATAAAAGTAAAATGCCTAGCAACTACCAATGCTATAAACCCCTTTGCTCATGATGGATCATTAGCAAAGTTATAAAAATCAACAATATGGCTATTTCATTTTAATCTGCAGCCGTTCAGATAAAAGGGATTTACTACAACAGCTTTCAAAAATTTTGTAAGAAGTGTACTAATGCGTTCCTGCTTATATTTCCATAAAATTTGAATAACAGTGTAGTTTAAGACAGATGTCAGCTTCTCTGAACAGAATCATATGTTGTCAGCACTATGCACCTATGCACTTACATTTAAGTAGCTGTAGATGAGGTTTCCTGCCTGTTTCAACTTGTTTCATTGGTGTATCCTTTTCCTTATGTAAACCCAGCCCCTGAAAACAGTGTGTCTGCTTTCATAAACTTAAACCAAATATAGTCAATAAACATGTTATAAAAACAATTGTTTCCCCCCAAGAAGTGAAGATAAGCTGATGTAAATTCACTTTATTTGGATTTCAATCCAGCTTTCTTCTTTGATTTCATATATTATAACATCAATATTCACTTTTCTGAAGGGCTCCTGGAACCAGAAGTGCACTTAACTCTTTCTGTGCTGGGGACATTTTGATATCTCTATTACTAATACCTAGAATCTCCAATGATAAATAAATACCTCTGGGATGGACTGGGGATACACTGCAATAATTGAAGCACTTTATCCTTCACCAAAAATGGTATCCGTGTTCCTGTGAGTAGCAGGGAGGTGGAACTCTCACCTGCTGAGTCCCGTTCTAATTTCATCCAATCTGGTGAACAAGTATCCAACCAAAGGTGGTACCTGCAGGCATGCCCATTGTCACAGTAATGCAACACTGTAAGTCCTTAGCACAATGTTAAAATTGGTTGGAACTGAGTTTCAAATGTTTTCCTCTCGCTACTGAGGTCTTCTACTTCTTTCTTTTTCTCTTTGTCTCTAATATCTTTTTCTTTTTGTTTTTCTTTTTCTTCTTCTTTTTTTTTTTTTTGAGTTGGAGTTTCGCTCTGTTGCCCAGGCTGGAGTGCAGTGGTACTATCTCAGCTCACTGGAGCCTCTGCCTCCCAGGTTCAAGCGATTCTAGTGTCTCAGCCTCCCGAGTAGTTGAGATTACAGGCGCCCGCCACCACACCCAGCTAATTTCGTATTTTTAGTAGAGACAGGGTTTCACCATGTTGGCCAGGCTGGTCTCGAACTCCTGACCTCAAGTGATCCGCCCTCTTCGGCCTCCCAAAGTGCTGGGATTACAGATGTGAGCCGCCATACCTGGCTAATATATTTTTCTTAACTGACTAGAGCACAGAACACAAATCGTGTGTTTGCACTTACAAATTTCTATGATCATTGTTCCTAGTTTAAAAACTTCATTAGCAAAGGGGTTTATATTTCTCTTTTCAGTAAGGACACGAAATTATGTTTCAACAATGCCCAGTCTCACCTAAAAAGCAAGTTTTCATTCTCTGTTTATGGTAGCCCACGACAAACCAAAAAGATCATTTTGGATGGTATCATTGTTAATCCTGCTAAATGATTCAATTTCCTGCTGAAAGCAACAAACTAATACTTATTTAGTACCTACTATTTATTATTTGCATACTAGGGTTTATACACAAGGCGTCCTATGAAAGAACATTTCATTCAAAAGTCACAACATATAGTCTTCAATTATCAGCTACCTTTATTTGTAAGCCAAAATAAATGATTTAATACAGTCCTCCCAAACTGGGAGACAATGCTTTGAGAAAGGCCAAAGCTAGCCAGTAAGGCCATAAGTTCCATGAGGGCAGGATCTACCCAGCTCCTGTTTCCTGCTCAATTCCAAGCAGTTAGAACAGGGTCAGTAAACACTGCTTGCCACTTGGAAAGAGTATTCTTTTATTTGGAAATGGTATCCAGGTACTCGTGAGTAGCAAAGTCAAGAGCAGGAAAGGGGAGTGGGGGAGGTTGCAAAATCGGAGCGAGCAGCAGGACCGAGAGGGATCCGGAGGAGAGAGCCTTCAGACGGTGAACCCCAAGAGCTGGGATGAAGCATGGGTGAGCTACTGGGACTTCGCTGCCAGGGAGCAAGCTGGCAGGCAGGAAGTAGCCAAGATTTGGGGGAATCCTTCCCAGGGAACGAATACAGAGAAGGACGCATCTGAAAATTCCGCCGCAGCCACCTCCCTCCCATGGGAAAGCCCCGACCTCGGCGGGCCCAGCGCCACCCGGCTCCCCGGGGTGTGGAACACTGAGCGAGGCAGGTGCGGCGGGAGCATGCGCGCGGGGCGGGCAGGGGGCGGCTCCCGCGCCCCCACCCCGCGCGTGCACCCTCGCGCCCCTCCCGCCGGGCACCGCGGGGCAGCGGCGCCGCAGCCTGGGCTGGCGGAACCTCGCGCTCCGACTCGCCCCCCGCCTGTAGCTCGGTCGGCGTTGCGGGCAGGCGCCGCTCCGCTGGGGGTAAGAAGGACGCCGCCGCCCGCGTGGGATGGTCGCGAGCCCGCGTGGGTGCCCACGGCCGCCGCCGCGCGGGGTGGCCCCATCCCCGGGCAGGTAGAGGGGCCTGCACGACTCCCGCGGCGAGGGCCGGGCCGGTGGGGGCGGTGGCGGTTGGGGATAGCCCCGGTCCCGGCCCAGGCTCTTTCTCTTTCTCTTTCGCCGCCGGGGCGCGCGCCGGGCTCCCCGCGAGAGGCGCTGCCTCACTTGTCGCCTACTTTGGACGGGCGCGGCCGCCGCAGAGCCCGGCGCCTCGGTCAGCCGCGAGGGCAGGGTCGGGGTGCCAGGCGCGGCTACCTGGGCGCCCTGGAGCCAGCGCAGCCTGGGACCGGGGGAGCGGGACGGGACGGGACTCCTGAGGGCCCCCAGGCAGTCCTCCGGCCATCGAGCGCCCGGCGGTGGGCATTTGGCTTTTGTTTCCTCTGGGGCTAACGCCCCCGTCTGCCCGCGTGTCCCCCTCAGCCGACAAGTGTCGTGTGCCCGGACGGGCGAGCGCTGCCTCCCTCCACCCGCTTTCTGCCCTTGTCTTCCTCTGCGAGTTCTGCCCAGCCTCGGGAGCGGGAGCCCAGGGAGTGCGCGCAGGGCGGGCGGGCGCCTGGCCAGCCTGGGACGGCGGCTCTCAGGCTCCTGCCACCGCCTGGAACTGCGGGGGGCGCGCCGGCCACAGTCGCCCTCGCCTGCTCTCCGGGCCTTCTTGGGCCCGCTTGGTCCCAGGTGGACGCGAGTCGAGCTGGGCACACCTGGGCCAGCGCCGCACTTACCTGCGGGATTGGTGAGAGCGTTTTCGCGAGGTCGCAAATTCCGGGTGGGTATTGTCCCCTGCTTTTGATCTCCCTTAGTCACTGGTTAAAGTGCGAAGTGTGCTTTATCTTACATATGCCTTTAGAGGGACATTCTTAATGCGCCAATGCCCCGAGGTGGAACTAAATAAAGGGAAGGCCTGGTCATTGTTACTGTTGAGACTGCTGTACTTAACAGTCAGAGGAAGGCAGCTGGTCACCACGACCCACTCGGCCATTCCCATGCTGAAGACTCGCTCTCACTTCACACTTGTTTGGACTCCACTATGACTTGCTGGTGGCCCATCTCCTGGATCCTTCTGTTGGAGCTGTTCTAGAAGATGCTTGTGGCAGGCTCCAGTTTCAGTCCTTGGCTGAAATAAGTGTAGTGTGGCTCTTCGGTTTTCTAATCTATTCCACCTAAAAAGGTTAAGGTGACAAACAGGTGGTGGGTACAGTAGAGTTGTTTTTGGCCCTTGGTAATATTAAAAACTTGGAATGCATTCCTTATATTACTACAGAATTAGGAGAAACGGTTGAAAGAGGAGAGGTTTTTTTCTTGGAGTATCCAAAGGGATTGGATTCGACTACACTGACTTGGTGTGTAATGGTTGAGTAGGAAGGAAGATGAACATAAAACTGCTATTAATTATGCTCTTAGATGTGAGGCAACATTGAGGATGTATTGCATGTAACCCTTGACTGCAGAATCACTTAGCACTTTGCTGTACAATATTGGGGTCACAAGAAATGTTCAGCTTGGTTAACCTCTGCAGTGTGCTCTCACTCAGTTTCCAAAGAAAGGGTATTGGTGGGAAGGTGATCTGGTGAAGACAGAGGTAATGAAAGTGAAGGAACTGTGTTAACTTTCACTTTTTAAACATTTTATTTTTATTTTTTAGAGATAGGGTCTCACTCTGTCACCCAGGCTGAAGTGCAGTGGTACCATCATGGCTCACTGCAGCCTTAACCTCCTGGGCTCAAAGGATCCCGCCTCAGCCTATTGACTGGGAGGGTAGCTGTGCACCACCATGCCTGGCTAATTTTCTAATTTTTTTTTTTTTGTAGAGACGGAAACTCATTTAACTTTCACTTTAAAGAGAAGTAAGCTTGCATATTTTAAAGTTCTCATAAGAATCTTAGGTGCTCTGTAACATCTGTATAACTTCATTACAGTACCTGTGTGGTTTATATCTTAAACGACACTTCTTACTCCTTTTTGGTGGTAATAAGCCTCCTTTGCTTGGCATGGGACTTGGCACGTGGGTAAGTGCATGCTCAACAAATACTCGTAGGACCGAGTCCGTATGTGAGCAGACAACTGCTGAGCAGAGGCAGGAGGTGATAAAAGCAACAGTGAGGGAGATCAGGCTGACTCTGAAGGAAGATTTGCTGATGGAAAGCCCTCGAGTTCTTCCTATGAAGAAAAGGCCAACCTGAAAGCCACTTCCAGGAGGCTGCGTAGGAAGCACCAGCACCCAGTCTGACCAAGGAAGCAGAAGCTTCAATCCCTCCTCCCCCCATCACTCCTTCAAGTGGGTTAAGTTTTCTGTTCTCCAGAGAGCCGAAGGAGGGTCTGAAAATCGCCATTAGATAAGTGTTCATTCTTTCAGTTAATTATTATAATTAAGAAAGAATGCTGCTGCTGGTGAAGTGGGGGAGTGAGCAGGAGAGGTAGGTTTGGTGGGCTGGAGGCAGGGTGGAAAGGATAAATTCCATTTATACAACACTGGATTGAGAAAACCAAAGACTGCACGTTCTCACTTACAAGTGGGAACAAAATGATAAGCACACATGGACACATAAAGGGGAACAACATACACTGGGACCTATCGAAGGATGGGAGGAGGGAGGGGATCAGGAAGAATAACTAATGGATACTAGGCTTAATACCTGGGTGATGAAATAATCTGTACAACAAACCCCCAGGAAACAAGTTTACCTATGTAACCAACCTGCACACGTACCCTAACTGAAAAGAAAAGTTAAAACAATGCATTTATCAAATTACTCTACTAAAATATTATTTTAGTAATGCTTATATCATGTATTAATATATTATAGGAAATATATTTTGGTAAAAGCAAAATGATTTTGCGTTGTGAAAAACTAAACATATCATTTGGCTCATCCTTAAACAACAGAAAACCACTGAATTGAAAACCCTGAAATGGCTTTTCAGTGGAGAGAGAAACTCTGATGTTGGATCGGGGGAAAGCCAGTTAGGAAATACTCAGCGACTATGGGGGTGATCCTAAAAAGCATGTGTTAGGGTGACTAAACTAGCATTGAGAGAAAAGAACAGTTCCATGGCTATGGTCCATGCCCAGGAAAGGAGTCAGTGAGAGAAACTAAGAAGTGGTCTGAGGGGGAGGAAAACCAGGTGTCTCAGTCACAGGGAAGCCAGTGGAGAAGTAAGGGAGGGAAGGGAGGGAACAGCGTGGTTAGTCTTGTCAGTTGCTAATAAAAAATAGGCGCTGAGAAGATGAAGTTGAACTTGGCTAAAAAGAGGTGATCTCAGTGGTAACACATCAGTGCAAGCTGTGGGTAAATGTTTTGCTTTCTGTTTGAGGAATACAGATGTCCTCCCTTCATTCGAATAGCATTTTACACTTTACAAAACATTTCCATCTTGTAGCATTGGCAAAAATATTTTGAGGATAGTTTATTATAGGAACATACCTCCAATTGAAGAAAACTACTTAGGTCCATAAAAAAATGCACTATTTACTACAGTGAATAACAGCAAGCAGTATAAATATCGGCATCTTGTACTTAAGCAAAATAAAGCAGAACGATGAAATTAGAAGATGCTTGGGGGAAATGAAGCTCTTCAGTTCACTTATACACATATAATCTTTTGTTTAAGCATTTGCATTAATTTTTTAAAGGATAGTGCCTTAGGATAATTTATCCATATTTTATTATGCAAATACAAACGATTTTTTCCACGGTAGCAATGGAAAAGTGAAACCTTAACTCTGAGCCCATCAGAGTTGTCACAGGTCTGTTCCCTTGACCTATGTGTCCCTTTTGGGGATGATGTCGCCGTAATGGAGGCCCTGCTCAGTGTCACCTGGTGAACCTTCTTCATTTTGTGTTGATCTCAGCTCACATGGGAAACATTCTCTTAATGAGGCTGGAAGTAATGAGGCAAACTCTGACAATGCTTATGTATCCCTCCTGAAGATGGATGTGAAATGATAAAAGTGTGGTCGCTGCCACAATTAATAATTGATTAATAAATTGTTTGAAAAGTATCAGGTGGGGACCGCAGGAGATGAACAGCAGTGCATGCATCTCATTTCTTTTCACTGTAACTAGCCAGAGAGAATGTGTTTAACTAGAGGGACAGATAGAGAGTATAACACTTTTACACCCAGTATTTTGGTATGTAAGCTATTCTGATAGCTTTTAAGATGATCATGACAGGAGCTTTTTAGATTAAATCAGCATTGCTCCAGTCCTTTATTTTTTTTTTGAGTGTATTAAGGAACTTAGGGGTGAGGCATTTTTGTTGGGTGTCCACTGTGTGTATGGGGGTGACTATGCCGACATGACGCTTGCCTTCATGGAGCTTGTAGTCCAGTGAGGGACAGATAGCAACTAATCAGCCAAACATATGTAAGTACAGACTTTAAGTAAGCCTGAAGAAGACCCACGTGAGTGCGTAATGCAGATTTGTGGGCCAGAAAAGGTGCCTGAGGATGAGTATCTGCTAGCCAGGTGGGGAATGGAAGCAAAAGGAAGTTCAGGCAGAGAGAAGCCCCTAAGGCGGTTTGTGGGGAAAAGCTTGGTGCCCTGGAGGAAGGAGAGACGGCCCTGAGACAGGAGGGCAGGGCCTGGGTGGGAGATGGCTGGAGGCCTCTGGAAGACCTCGTTAAGGACTGTGCAGCTTATTTAGACTGGTTAGGATGCCATTGCAGGTATCCAGGTGGGAGTCAGGGAGGTGACCTTGGGCCGGGGAGCGGGGCATGGAAGTGGGTAGAAGTGGAGGGACTTGAGTAATTTGGAGGTGTAATTTATATAATTGCTGATGGGTTAGAGGGTAGGCGAATTGGAAGAATCCAGGATTACTCCTCTGATCTCTAGCATGAGAAGTGGAGTGAATTTTGGAGATGGGGAAGACTGGGGAGAAGTGTACCTGGTAACTTTGCTTGGATCATTTCCCCAGTGTGAGCCCTAGGGGAAATAGGTTATTTTTAAGGTGACAACTTGGTGTAGTTGTGGTGTGTGTCAGGCACTCAGCACTGTGCTAGGCAGATGGTTTTGGAGCTTAGCAAATGTGGGCTTTTCCCCTTTTCGGTGATGGTGGGTTTTGATATTCTGCTTAGGCCCTAGGCCTAACAACCCTCCTGAATTTGAACTCCCAGTCTGTCTGTACATGGGCACATGCACCCAAACACATACAGTCTTAGAGTGTGCCATCAAGAGCCTCTGTGGTAGCTTTTCAGTCCTGATCAGATGGTCTGCATTATTGGATGTGCCGAATGGACCATTTTTATCTCATTTTCCCCTGCAGCATAGAGCCCCAACACTGATGCTGATATTGGGACCTTCCAAGTTCCTGAAGGGTCAATGGTTCTGTAATTATGAGCCATTGCTTAATTTTCATCGTTCCTTCTTTTGTGAGTACTTCCTGGAGTGACAACATATAAAAAATAGTATTTGGTCCTTATTATTGTTATGATGATTTATTTCTAAGTAAAAATCAAGGACCAGATTATAGCCACAATTCCAGGCCTGTATTAATGGATATAGGTTAGTGCTGATGCCAATTAAAGCCCATTCATACAAGAGCAGCTATCTGACTCCTGGCTTTGATTTTCTAATCTGGTTACACCTGGTACACTCACTTGGTGCTGTGTAACAAATGGCGTTAAGATCTAAATCCAGGGCCAACAATTTGGATGTCTAAAGGAAGGTAATAAGGGAAGTAGGCAGACAGAAGAAAATTCAGAGTTCTTTTGGTCTCACTTCCATTTTCCTTACCTTTGAAGACTGGGCAAGGCTGGGCACAGTGGCTCACCCCGGTAACCCCAGAACTTTGGGAGGCCGAGGAGGGTGGATTGCCTGAGTTTAGGAGTTCGAGACCAGCCTGGGTAACATGGCGAAACCCCATCTCTACTAAAAATACAAAAATTAGCCTGGTGTGGCATGCCTATGATCCCAGCTACTCAGGAGGCTGAGGCAGGAGAATCGCTTCAACCCGGGAGGTGGGGGTTGCAGTGAGCCGAGATTGCACAACTGCACTCTAGCCTAGGTGACAGAGCGAGACTCGGTCTCAAAAAAAAAAAAAGAAGAAGAAGAAAAAAAGAAAACTGGACATAGGTATTTGTCTACTGTGAGAAATAGTGAGAAAATCCCCTTAGTGCTTTGGAGGCAGTAGAGAGTGGTGAAGACTGCAGCAAACTGTGGATCTTATATGTTCTAAAGGAGGTGGCTATTATTTAAAAAATAAACAAAACTGAAGTTGGAAATCTGCAGTTTTAAAAATGTGAAGTCTCTGTATTTAAAATACTGGTTTAAATATCTTAGGATACTGCTAAGAGAAACAGAATCTGTCTGCTGACCAGATGCAGTTTTTGGTCCACAATTTATAAGCTCTTGCTGGTGGGGTCAGCTATATAATTAGCTGGATGTACTCTACTTTTAATTAGATTGTTTTTTCTTATTTACCATGAATGTGGACTGTGCATGAACGTACTGGCTTCTTATTGCTGCTGATCCTGCCATTTAATTGTGACTTGATTAAATCTGGGAGTTGGGAGTGGGAAATTTGGCCAAGCCTGAGACTGTGAGCACATCCTGGTGCCAGGTTGAGAACAATGTAAACTTTATAACACTTTCATTCATGTTTCTGTGAATTTTTTTTCACAGTTTTCCATTGTTTAAGTCTGCCTTTTTTACTCCTTGTCTAATGGTTTGTGCAACTCATGGACACCCTCCTTTTTGTGTGTTTGGAGGGGATGGTATCTTCTCTCTCTGGTGGGCTTTTGTACATTTGTGTCTGCTTTTCTTGTGAATTTTGCTCCTCTAAGGAGGCTCCAAGCCTCCTTGAGACTGGACTATACATACTGTGCGCTTTCCTACCACGATGTACTGTTGTCGTCCACAATTGCACTCTGAGGTGTGGAATTTTACTTTTCTATGTTCTCCAGAAAACTTGTTGGGTGGAGTAAGGGCTTGTTGCCATTTATTTCCAGAGCCTAGCAATTGTCTGGCACATGTTAGATGCCCAGTGAATAAAGGATGAGTGATTTTGTGTCAACTAGTGACAAGCTTACTCAGGAAAGAAATCTTACAAAATTCCTAACATTTTGGGATTCTGTGTGTAGGCTTCTAAGACTTTGGGTTCTATTGAAAATTTAAGCACTGACCTTTCAGCTGTTCATTTTATTATAATTATGATCATGTATCAAAGAAAATACAAAGGCAAAGAATATCCTTTAATTCTCTATCATTATAGCCTTTAGTCTTGGCCTTTGATATCATAAAGGTGAATTATTGGAGATGCCAGCATAGTACTTCCAAGTCTATATTTTATGCACTCAATTTCTGAGAATGGTTAGAACAATGATTTTTTTTCCCCTTTCTCTTCTAAAACTATAGGTTGCTGTGATTTTATTCCTAGAAGATATGTGACTGTTTTTGGGCAGGTTCACACATGCAATTCAGCTTAGAAGAGGAACTGTTAAGGTTAACAGACCAAGAACTCGAAGGAGCGTCCCCACTTCAGCAGTTGCTGTGGTCTTTGTGTTTTGTGTGAATCGGTGATGCCCATCTATTTTACTGCAGTCGATCATTAGTAATCTTTAGGGCCACTTTATTCTTTTACTATGAGGACAAGGAGAATATAATTGTCCGTCTTTTCAGAACTGGCTTGCATCTGTGTCCAAAACAAACAATGCCCATCACTGTGGAGTAAAGGGCGAGAGAACAAAGAAAGGAAGCTGTGAAGGGTACAGTTACACATTAATCACCGTGATGCGCAAAGTGTGAGGTTAGTAGGCACTGCTTTGAAAGCTTTACATTGCATTTATTTCCAAACAAATTGTCTTTCAAGATCCTAGAACTTTCAGCCCAGAGTAGCTGTAGGCCAGCTATGGCTTATGAAGAGGTTTCTGATGTCCCACATTTAGCAACTTTGTAAGGCTTTTTTTTCGTAGTTACACATTTGGATTCAGCATTTTTTGAATTTTAGGGAGTTTAAAAATAATCTCATCCAGGGTTTCTCAATCTCGGTACAGTTAACAGGAATTTGTTGTTTCGCATGCTGCCCCATGCCTGGTAGGATGGTAAGCAGCAGTCAGTGTTCCTTGCCTCACCTCACGAGATGTCTGTAGCACCTCCCCCTCCTTAGCTGTGACAACGAAAACTATCTCCAGACACTTCTTCCTGTCCTCTGGGGAGGGGTGGAGGGGTAAAATCACCCGAAGTCCTGAGCTGCTGATTTAACCCAGCCTGTTTTGCAGATGACACATCAGAGGTCCGGTTGTATTATGCAATGTTTCCAGGCTCAGAAGTCACTATGTCAGAATATGAATCGAAAAGCACATTCTCTACAAGGAGGGAACTTTTTATCAATTCAAAACTCCTTTTCTCTTGTAAAATGTTCTAATGATAGTAGATGGTCCCCGTTGATTCTTTCTTGCCATGACTGGCCAAGTACAAGTGTCATGATTGTTAATCAAACTGTGGTGAAGACATAAAATTATCAATAGCAGTTTGAAGACCAATTTGCCCACATTTATCCATCTGAGTAATGGCAGAGTTGGAGCTGTGACTTGGCCTTCCTCACCAGGTTCCAGTCCACGAGGTTTTCTATGATGTCATGTCAACCTTTGTTTTCATAGCCAGATTTTGCAATAAAGTTGTGTTCAGTAGCTTGGTGAATTTCATTCTAGAGTAATAATTAATACTTAGTGCACTTGCACAGTTGGAAATCATGAAGCCAGTAATATAGACAGCTGCTAAGTAAGAGTACATTCATTCATTCCCTGAATGCTTACTTAGTGTGTACTTTGGCCAAGGCTGTGGTAGGTCGTGGAATGTAAATGATATTAGGAGGACCACACAGACACCCAGACTGGACCTGTTCCAGGAAACTCATAACCATGGATAGATTCAAATTTGAGGCTTCTTTGCATGGCAGTACAGGAAAATCACTGGCTTATTAATAGGTTTATTTCTTCAGCTGCATTCCTCAATACCTGTGATGGGTGCTGGCAGGAGGCACTCAGACCTCTCTCCTTAGAAATGCCTTACTATTCACAGTGGCACTGGGAGGGGCTGGAAGAGCTGTTTAGGGGGCCCTCGGGCCCAGCCCCTGTGTTTAGGGGGCCCTCGCGCCCAGCCCCTGTGTTTAGTGGGCCCTCGGGCTCATTTCCTGTATTTAGCAGGCACTCAGGCTCAGCCCCTGGGTTTAGTGGGCCCTCGGGCTCAGGGCCTGTGCTGACACTGAAAGGGAGTGAGTGTGCTTTCCAAAAGTTAGTGAGTGAGAATATCCTTGCCAAGGCCCTAAGTGACAGGCACTATTGTTCTGCACCACAGATGGTACATCAGGAGCTGTTTGTGCAGGTCGCAGAGCGGCAGGGCTGCATTACCTTCACGCCAGCTTTTGTTTTTGTCAGCTGGATCGCATTGCGCTCCCTCCAGAGACCATGTGTTATGGAGGGAAGGAAAAGTGCAAGGTTTTAATAAGTCCCTTGCAAAGAGGAGCTATCTTCATGGTTGTATTATTTCCCTATTGTTTACGTGGCCACTGCTGCCGTAGGGCACAAAAGAAAGATCTGTTTCACTTTTTGAAAACTGAAAAATTTCTGTCCTTGCCTTTGCATGTCCTAGTTGGGTGTTATACTGAAAGTGAAGATCATAAATTCACCAAAACATGTATGCCTTTGTGTATGAGCATTAAAAAAGTTCTTCAAGTTTTCCCTAGCCTAAGCATTTAAACATGTCAGCAAAAATACAAATAAAAAGAAATAGCTAACTGGGTGTGGTGGGTCCCACCTGTAATCCCAGCACTTTGGGAGGCTGAGGTGGGAGGATTGCTTGAGCCCAGGAGTTCAAGACCAGCCTGGCAACGTGGGCAACATAGTGAGACTTCGTCTCTTCAAAAAAAAAAAAAAAATTATCCAGGCACGATGGCATGTACCTGTGGTCCCAGCTACGTGGAGGTTAAGGCAGAAGGATCCCTTGAGCCCAGGAGACCGAGGCAGCAGTGAGCTGTGTTTGAGCCACTTCACTCCAGCCTAGGTGACAGAATGAGACCCTATCTCAAATGAAAAACAAAAATGAAGAAAAAGAAATTGCTTATAAATTATTTTGAGATTATTTACTGACCTTCTTGACATTTTCCTGATTTTTATCCAGTTCCCTTCAAGGTTTCCGTAATGAAGGTCCCCATAGTTAAATAAAAGCACAGGACTAGCATATCCTTCTGTAGAATGGCACTTTTCTACAGGCCACGAAGAGCTTCTCGGACTAAAAATAAGAAATTGAGCAGAACAGAACAGAAATCGAGCTTTTTATCTTTGTTCCCAGAGCCTGAATTTCCCTCCTCCCCTGCCAGGTATACAAATAAATGTGTCAGTGAATGGCTTGGGGTGCACTTGTCCCCTATGCTCTTTTTTCATTTGTTTGTTGAAACTAATATGGAAAGAACCAAGGTGGAAGGACGTTCCTGAGGTTCTGTGGATCAGGGGTTCCAACTTAATCAGACTCTTTTAAAAATTATTTCAACAGCTTTTCGGGGGAACAGGTGGTTTTTATCACATGGGTAAGTTCTTTAGTGGTGATTTGTGAGGTTTTGGTGCACCCATCACCTGAGCAGTGTACACTGTACCCAATGTGTAGTCTTTTATCCCCCACCCTCCTCCCACCCTTCCCCCCAAGTCCCCAAAGTCCATTGTATCATTCTTATGCCTTTGTGTCCTCATAGCTCATCTCTCAGTTAGAAGTGAGAATATTTGATGTTTGGTTTTCCATTCCTGAGTTACTTCACTTAGAATAATGGCCTCCAGCCACATCCAAGTTGCAGCAAAGCCCATTATTTCATTTTCTTTTATGGCTGAGTAGTATTCCATGGTATATATATGCCACATTTTCTTTATCCACTCGTTGGCTGATGGGCATTTAGGTTGGTTCCATATTTTTGCAGTTGTGAATTGTGCTGCTGTAAACATGCATGTGCATGTGGCTTTGTCTTATAATGACTTCTTTTCCTTTGGCTAGATACCCAGTAGTGGGATTGCTGGATCAAATGGTAGTTTTAGTGTTTTGATAACAAATATTTGTAACATTTCTCTAAGTATCCTGAAATGAAATTGACAGGTAAATAACTTACTTATACATACTGTCAGAAAAGTGAATATATAGTGTGCATAAATAATACAATGGAAAAATATATGTGTAATTTATGGTAAAATGATATGTACTTCAAAATGTCTGGACATGACTAACCTAGAGAATAAAATCAAGTAGTTTGATGCTTGTACCTGCATCCAATATATAGATTGTATCCAATATAATAGGTTATAATAGATTCACCGTGAAGGTGACCAGTGAAAATGCTTTATTGGTGGACTACATCGGGGAGGGAGAGTCATTGAACAGCATTGGGTTCCATGATATCATTTTCTGAAATGGTGAACAGTATTTGCTAAAGTTCTGCACAAAACAAAGTAAAGCCTTTACTTAATATACACAGAGTTGCATTCCTGGGAGAGACAGGAATTAGTTAAATATGCAAAAATACTTTCTGATGATATGTAAAATGGAAGTAGGCTTAAGGTTTAGAGAAGCATAAATAGGTTTTTCATACGCATAAATGTCAAGTGGGTTGCTCCAGCTGTGCAAAAGGCAAGATGATATTTTGCTGTGAAGAACTGTCCCACATATGGGAATGCTAGCAGCATTGGCCCTGTGTCCTTTAAATGCCACTCAGGAAACCCCACACATATTTAAAAAATCCCCCTGGGGGTAACCTACTTCCCCCTTCTTTCCTACCTCTGCCTCTGTTGAGCACTACTGGTTTGATAAATAAAGGTAAATAAATTCTACTGATTATTTGCAGTGATGAAAGACAGAGGGTTTGCTGAAGGGCAAATTACTTTCGCTCAGAGTTTAGAATAATCAATTATTCTTTCCCTTTAAGAATATTATTTTATATAAACTAACCTTTTATTCTGTAAGAATTCTGACACTCTCAAACGTTATCATCTTAATTCTTCTAAAACTTCCGCCTTGAAATGAAAATATGAATGGATATTCTATTTTTCGGTGAATGACTAAGCAATACTTAGTCTAAATTAGTCACAGTCAATTTAATCACTAGTGATTAAATTTCTGATTTGTGTACTTTATGTTCAAACCTTGTTCTGTATGGCACCAGAGGTTAAACTTTTTGTTTTTAGCTTAAAGTGAGTAAGTTGTCTAAAGTTGGAATGGGCTGCCTTGTAGATAGATTTTGTAGAATAGAGAGAGGTGTGCAATTGAGTGACCACTTATATGGATGTTATATAATATTTGGTTGTGTGTGTATAAAGAGTTGAACTTGTTATTTAAGACTGAGTTATATTTTATTAAATCATAGATGCTTATATTATTTCTAGAAGGCCAGAATAATTTATTAGAATTGTAAGCGTACTTAGGAACTTTCTATCTTAACTTTCTGGCCAATACAGGAATCATTTCTACATTGTCTTTGAGAGATGGCAATGTAGATTGTGCAATGAATTTAAACAATATTTTTAATAGTGAAACATCAGTGGAATAAATGTATATAGCTCCCCGAGGTACTTATTTTGAAGAGATAAAAATAATCTGAATGTATACACTCTGGAATTTTGTTTTAAGGAAAGTCCTGTTTAGACATTTTATGCCTCTATGCTGATGCAGATATTGATCATTATGAGAAAAACAAGTAACAGAAATTCATGTCTTACCTGCCTAGGCTTACTGCCACTTGAAGCTATGGGCTTAGAGAAGTATAATACTAGCTTGAAAGTTATGTCTCCGCTTCCTTGATTCCACAGCAACTTCTCATTGTGGAGGTTTGGATTGAGGTCACAGCGGCCCCTTGATGGCGCTGCGCCCCTGGTTCTGGTTATGGAGCTCTTCTACACCCTTGCCCTACTGCACCCTTGCACACCGCACACTTGCCTGTACATTTCTTAATGCCTTTGTGCCCACGTTAGCCTGGTCTTGGTGATGCTGGAGGTGTCACCACACAGTATGTGGGGATGCTTTTCAAATATTAGAGCCGCCTTGTGGGTGTGCACAGGGCGCACTTTTCCTATTGACTCTCACCTTTACAAAGTGAGTGCCTTATTATCCTAGAGAAAATTAGTTGTGCTGTGAGGCTTACCCATATATAGTTTGGCTGTAATACACTAATCCTCATGTGCTTTTTCCTCGTTTGAACTTTACCTCTTATAAGCTGTACTTTGCATTCTATAAGCTGTCTTCTTGCCCGGTGCATTTTTTGCCCTGTGCACTTTTCGTGGTTTGGGAAGAGGATGAGGGTGTGATTGGATTCCAGTACATTCTTACAGTGTGAATATGCTGTAAGGAGCAACAAGGACTCAGATTTCCACAAGGTAATATTTTAATGGTTTTTGACATCTAGTCAAAATTCAGAGTCTGCAGCATTACATATAAAATTAATACTTGGTGATATCTATAAACGGTGCTTATAAAGTCTAAAAATTAGTATGTGCCACGTGCTGTTATTAAATACCCACACAACCTCATACGAATACGATCATTTTATTATTGATTTAATAGTCATTATTGCCCGTGAGATGTATAAAGGCATATTCCTCTTAAGTTCAGCTTGCTTGGCACTGTATAATTAGAGCCAAATATAATGTCAGATTGTGTTTGAAGGGTGGGTAGGGCACGTGGTTTTATGAAGTCTTTTGCTAATTAATGATGGGAGATGGAAGTGTGAGTAGGCTGGCAGCATCAGGTAGCTTAGGACAGTGTCCTGCTCTAGGAGTGTACATTGAGGACACCTTGTGAGTCTCAGCTTCGACACTCAGCAGTGCTCAAGAAGAGAACACGAGTTAGGTTTTGCGTCAGTTGCTGTCTGCTCTGCCCGTGGTCAGCACCTGAGGTCTGTAACAGGTGGCTTGTCTCTCTCTGAACCTCTCTGTAGATTACAGTTCCCAGTTGCTTGATTTTGGGAGTGAGCATGAAGCCATTTTCTTGATTATTGCCTGTATGAGCAGAGCTTTTGGGATGCCTCCCAAGTAGTTTACAAAATCCTGTGCCGGGTGTGGTGTCTCACGCCTGTAATCCCAACAATTTGGGAGGCCAAGACAGATAGATTGCTTGAGTCCAGGAATTTGAGACCAGCCTGGGAAATATGTTGAAATCCTGTCTCTACTAAAAATACGAAAAAATTAACCAGGCATGGTGGCATGCGCCTGTAGTCCCAGCTATTTGGGAGGCTGAAGTGGGAGGATCATCTGAGCCCAGGAGGTTGAGGCTACAGTGAGCCATGTTCGCACCACTGCACTGTAGCCTGGATGACAAGGTAAGACCTTGTCTCTAAAACAAAAACACACCTAACCCATGGATTTTTGGTCACTCTTCTTCAATATAACCCCTGGACTTTCTGTCACTTTTTTTGTCTATTTCACTCTATATCTACAGGATAAGTGTGAAAACACCCAGGCAAAGTGCATTCAATGGTTTATCAACTAATTTGGGTTTAGACTTAAACCAGATGCAAAGGAAAGGGAGGAAATTGGCATATTGAATTGTTTTAGTTTCACAAAACTTTTCAATAGTGTAATTTGTGATACATTTAACATAAAACAACTTCTCAAGGTCATGATGCAGAACTTCCTAACTTTAAATTTTCGACCACATTTCTTTATAGCACTATATTAGATGTATTTGTAAAAGCTTGTTTTGTATTTCTGTAGCACTTAATACTTATAGAAATTAATGTAGATTTCAGTTCTTCCTCTTTTTTTTTAAACATGTCCTGATATTGCTACACAGTGATTTCCCAAGGTCAGAGTTATTAGTGGTGGTTAACTCCTAGCCATCAGTTTTGAAGATTTCTGTGTTTGTTTTTATTTAAGAAAATTGTAATTGACTAAAACCATTGTGTTTTTCAGGTAATCAAAAACTCAGAATTTCTGTAATAGAAGAAATGGTTTGGGAAGGAGCCAAAATTATTGGTATTCTGAATATTTCATTATATCATATAGAGACCATGAAGGGTCTTATTAAGGTTAGCTGAACAACATTTGCTCTGTTAATTCTCCATTAGCTATATTACCTAAAATAATGAGAGTTTGCTATTTTCTAAGATGTAAGTATAGCCGACACTTGGCATTTGGTAGCTTTTGGGAAGATGGGAACTGCTGAATATTCTTTGCTAAATTATATCTAGTCAATTGAGATTAAAATGAGTTGGAAATAAATGGTTATGGCTGACAATTACTATGCAGTTAATATACCTTCAAGAACAAAGCCACTTATACAGTTAGGTGCCACTGTTTCCTTTTTTTTTCTTTTTTTCTTTTTTTTGTGATGGAGTCTTGCTCTGCACCTATGCTGGAGTGCAGTGGTTCAGTCTTGGCTCTCTGCAACCTCTGCCTCCCGGGTTCAGGCGATTCTCCTGCCTCAGCCTCCAAGTAGCTGGGACTATAGGCATGCACCACCACACCCGGGTAATTTATGTATTTTTAGTAGACATGGGGTTTCACCATATTGGTCAGGCTGGTCTTGAACGCCTGACCTCGTGATCTCCCCTCCTCGGCCTTCCAACGTGCTGGGATTACAGGCTTGAGCCACCAAGCCCAGTGTCCTTTTTCTTTCCAAAGGTTTGGCTAAGTGTAATTAAAATATAAAGAGGTTTCATGTGGCCTTATTTAGTTCTAGCCAGATTAAAAATAAATAGGAAAAGTACATTGGAAACCAGTTTGAGGTGATGTATTTTGACATGTTTGGTGTGTTATTGAAGCATATGTTCCAACCCACCAGCAGAAAGTGGCTGGTTGTTTTTGGATTGCTGGACAAACACTGGGGTGCTCCCTTGGGGTCCTCAGAGGCTGGCTTCCAGGTCTGGCAGATCCCCTGAGTAGGTAAAGTGGCCTTAGGATGGGAAGCAGTGGTGGCTCATGGTGCCTGGGGCGCATGTCTTTCGGGCCTCTACAATGGACTGCTGCTCTTTGGGAGTTTGAGTCTTCTTTTTTTTTCTCCCCCGCCCCCGCCCCCCCGCAATGAAGTCTGAAATCCAATTAAAAAAATGTGTGTGTAATTTCCTGGGTTTTGGAATAGTGTGAGGCACAATCAAAACATCTATAGGCTGAATGAGGCCAGGATTGCCAGCCTCAGACTTCTGGCATATGCTTTACCAAAACAAGAAGGCGAGGAAGTCAGACAGAGGAAAGGACTATTTCAGAGCCTTTATCCTTTCTTTGCCTCTGTGATGTGCAAAGAACAGATTATGAGCTCAGCTCCCCAGAGAGGCCCTATGCCTGACGTGATCCCAGGCAGCCCTTGTCCTTGCTGTTGGCATTTTGAACCCAGGATGGGATGATGCTCCACTCAGCACCTGCTTGCAAACAGTACACCTCCACCTGCAGATGAGGGTGCTGTCCAGCATTCTTTTGTCTTAACCTGCCACAGGCCATTCATTACAGAGCCACTTCTCCCTTTTCTGTCCTCTGACCTCTTAACACTCAGTATCTGAAGTAGAGGCCTCCACAATTGCGACTGTTTTCTATACCGTTAAAACTATACGTGAGCTTATAGAGAGTTGCCAACTTTTTCTTTTTGTTTTTGGAGTCAGGTCTTGCTCTGCCGCCCAGGCTGGAGTGCAGTGGTGCCCGTCACAGTTCACTGCAGCCTTGAGAGAGTTGCCAACTTTTAATTTTCCACATGCAGACAAAAAACAAACAAGCCACCATTTATTACTTCCCCTTAAGAAGATAACCTTAACAACAAAAATGTAAGAGGGAAACCATCTCAGAATAATGGATTTTTCTTCCCAAGAAAGGGCAGGTGGCAATGTTTAGTGAATGGACACAGTGAAGAGGAGGGGTTACTATGGAACTTCTCAGATGTAAGAAATTTTTTATCTTTTTATTTTTAAATTTTTATTTGAGACAGGGTCTTGCTCTGTCACCCAGGCTGGAGTGCAGTGGTGCAATCATAGCTCACTACAGCCTTGACTTCCTGGGCTCAAGCGTTCCTCCCATCTCAGCCTCTCAAGTAGCTAGAGCTGTAGGTGCAAACCACAATGCCTGGCTAATTTTTTATTTTTTATTTTTTTTGTCAAGACGGGTCTCACTATGTTGCTCAGGATGGTCTCAAACTCCTAAGCTCAAGCGATCCTCCTTCCTCGACCTCCCAAAATGCTGGGATTACAGGCATGAGCCACCGTGCCTAGCCTGAAAAATTTTGATATAGATTTTATAATGATTTTTACGATACCACACTGTGAACAGTTGTTTTCTTGATAGAGATTTTTCAATTTGGGCTCTTCGGACAGTGATATTTGAAATAAAGATTGGATTATGGATTGTCCTGGTACTTTGATTTTTTAAATAAGAACTATTAACAAAACAAATTACACATAGCTATAGACAAAAAAGGACAACAGTTAACATTAGTTTTCTCAGATTGTTATACTCAGCATAGTATAGGCTGCTTGTAGCTCTTAATCGTTTTCTAAATAAGATAATGTGCTTATTTACTTTTTTTCTGTGAACTCTGCAGAGAAGTACATTTACTGTTTTTAATGCTTGTCTCCTGGTCTCGTGCTTTGCATGCTCAAGATGTGACATGCACGCTCTGTGCTTTGGTCCTTCTGTCTGCTCAGTGCGGCCGCTTGCTGCACTCCTTTCCTCTCTGTCTTTGGTGTCTCAGTTCATCTGCATTTCATCTTAGTGTGTATATTTGGCTTCTCTACTCATGCTTCATCAGCATTTTTTGCTTAGTTTCTCAGAATTCCTAAACATCTATTTTTACACTTAAAACGTTTACTTGTTTGACTGAATAAAGAAACATTAAAAAAGTCCTGCCTGGCTTTAACTCATTGGTTAGCCTTTTGTAGGTGTGTGAATGGCAGTAACTTAGTTAGTAATGTGCCTCAGTTCCCTGTAGAAGAGGGTTGTTTTGAAGATCAAATGACTTTATAAGCATAAAACATTTAGAACATAGTATGAAGATAGCTACTGTTAAGTAACTGTCAGAAAGTGATTGTCAGTTGTTAGAAACACTTTTATGGATGGCAATATTGCCCCAATGGGTGATATAGTTAGTAACATGTGCTTATTCCCCAGAAGAATAAATAAACACATACTGAGAGGTACATTCTTTTCTTAGGAAGAACAATGCCACTGATGCCTTTGCCTGTCTAAGTCACAGGGGTGGTTTCCACATGGTCACACATGGTGCTTCCTTACTAGCTGCTGGAGCCTGCACACAAAATCCATACCCTCTTGAACCTTATTTGTAGAGAGAACAATTTGGACTATTCTGGGTGGTTCAAGAGGTGCCAAGCACAGGCCAAACACTTTCCAACCTGGTGGGTGGTAGCAGATGAGGCTCCGGGTGTCTGGGCTGCAGAAGGGGCTGTGCCATCCCTGCCAGGGGCACCTTCCACTGGGATCCCAAGGTCCTGCATGGTCAGTCTAACACTGTGTAGTCAAGAAGTCAGACTAGTCTACATGACGGGGGTTCCTAGGAGCTTTGGATTACCCATGGGCTGTACAATTACTGTTTGTGCATTGTTTGAATGATATTAAAAGAATGATTTAATCTTTATAAGAAGAGCCCTGTTTGAATCTTTATTTGGGAGATGTTTCTCATGACTGAATGCTTAAATACAGAAAATTCAGTTTCAGAATGTGGCTAGCTTCATTTCCTATAATAAGATTAAAATAGCATTTTCTTTCTTATTTTTTTTCTCACCTATACTGGCCATGCAAACATTTTATTTCTTAATTCATATGGATTAGATTTTTTTTAACCCTGGATGGAAGAAAACACAGATTAAGATGCATTGTGAATATGACAGTTTTAGTAGTTAGAAGTGCTTCGGTTGACGTCTTGGTCTTGCTCAGTACTTATTTTAAGACATTGGGAAAGAATCATTTTACGACATTTTGTTCTTTTCCGCATCTTTATTGTAGATAATATCCATGGGAGTTAAATTATAAAATGATCAAAACAAAACCGAGTGTAGAACACCCATGTAATATGGTAATGTATTTAGCTGTTGTGGAGCAAAAATGCTAGCTGCATCTCCATTTTTGCAGTGTTTAATTGTGAATTTACTCCTCCCAAAGTGAAAGTTACCTCAACTTTTCAAATTCTGCTGCTACTAATCATATTATCTGAGACCATGATTAAAATTAATACATCATATGGCAGTGCCTATTTTTTAGGACCGAGAACAGTAAGTTGGGTATTTAGGCACACATTTTGTGTCAGACACATCATTTTACTTAGTAATACACTTTTAAAATAAAAGAGAAAGTTTCCCTTCCTCTTGTTCCCCCCCTTTATATGTCAGTAAAAGGGGGCAATTATTTTGGCCACTTTTGCCAGGAGAAGCCAGAACATTTCGTGAAGCAGGTAGAAAGGAAAGCAGAATGGGATGGATAGGGGTAGGACAGATGGGCAGCTGACCTGCTGCTGTGTGATGGGAGAAATGAGGCTGTGAGTTCATGGATAATGATCATTTGCCCATATTGAAGGTGGTCCTGGATGTAATAGTCTCATATATATATATAAATAAAATATTTTGAGACAGGGTCTCACTTTGCTCACTTTGTTGCCCAGGCTCATGTGCAGTGGTGCCATTATGGCTCAATGCAGCCTAACTTCCTGGCCTCAAGTGATCCTCCTGCCTCTAAAAGTGTTGGGATTACAGGCGTGAGCCACTGCACTCAGCCTCATAATATTTTATGAAGTAACGGAACAAGATATTGGGGAAAGACATCTACATGTATGTCAAGGTATTGAGAATCATTAAATTTCTAAAGAAAGATCTATATTCTTTTGTGTATTGAAGGGAGGATAAATTTATTTTCATGAGATTACATTTGCAAACTGCAAGCAAATGATCTTTTCCCTCTATCTCATATAGTCCCATGGATGTGTGCTGAAGAAAGTTAAAAATAGTCTTGTATGGGAGAATTGAGGACAGTTTATTCTTGGTGGTGAGGTGGGATCTCTCTTTTTTAGGGGTTGATTTTTGCTTTTATTAGATTTATAAAATTTATTTATAGTGGCATTATTTCCAATTAAATCATACAGTATTTGGTGTATAATGCCTAGTTTCTTTATTCCACAAATAATTATTGGGTGCCTGGCGTGTGTCAGGCATTGCTGTAGATGTTTGTGTACATCAGTAAGCAAAACAGGTGAAGGTCCTTTGTGAAGCTTGTGTCCTGGTGGGGGAGAGGCCGTCAATAAGCAAGAAACATAACAAACAGGTAAATAATGTATCGTTTTCTTTTATTATTTTTTATTTTATTTTTTGAGACAGAGTCTTGCTCTGTCACCCAGGCTGGAGTGCAGTGGCACAATCTTGGCTCACTGCAACCTCCACCTCCTGGGTTCAAGTGATTCTCCTGCCTCAGTCTCCTATGTAGCTGGGATTACAGGTGTGCATCACCATACTCGGCTAATTTTTGCATTTTTAATAGAGACTGGGTTTCATCATATTGGCTAGGCTGGTCTCGAACTCCTGACCTCAGGTGATCTGCCCAACTCGGTCTCCCAAAGTGCTGGGATTACAGCCGTGAGCCACCACACTCAGCCATGTTTATCATTTTAAAAGGTGCTAAATGTTATGGAAAAGCAAAGTAACATAGAGTAAAGGTAGTGGCAGCACTGGGCTGGGGGCAGATTGTTGTGTTGAAAGGGTAGTGAGAAGGAGAGGGGAGTAATGTGATGGTGTCTAGGGAAAGAGTTCCAGACAGAAGGAGCAGCTCGAATGGACCTGAGGCCAGCGGGTGTGGGCTTGGTTGAGGAACAGTAAGGAGACCCTTGTGAGCAAGGGGAGAGCGGAAGGTGGTGAGGGAGTAGAGGTGATGGAGTGCTCTGTAGCCACATGAGGGCTCCATATTCATAGTGACGGGGTGCCCTGGCAGGAGTCAGGCAGAGGGTTGACAGGGATGGACCTAGGCTTTATGAGTATCACTGGCCGTGGAGGCCAAGAGCCTGCTGGAGAGGCTATGATCACAATCTGGGTGGGAGATGATGTAGCTCCAACCAGGGCAGTAGCAGCGTCTGTGGTGAGAAGTGACTGTATTCTATATTTATTTTGAAAGGAGAGCCACTGGGATTCCCTGATTGATTGGCTGTGGAAGAGAGAGGAGCCCCCCATGGCTCCAAGGTGTTTGGCTTAAGCAACTGTCCTGAGAGTGTTGCCGCCTGAGATGGAGATAGTCTTGGGTGGAGAACAATGTGAGTTAGCCTGTGGAAAGTGCTTAGAACAGGTCTGCATGCGGTTGGTACTCAATAAATGTTAGCTTCTAGCATTAGCATTAGTTGTTGGAGCATTGTGGGCTTTCATTTCAAGCTTATTCCTGATCCTCTCCCTGTGTCACCACTCATGCTCCCTGTGAGAATTAGGTGGCATAGAACACAATCCAGGAGCCTGGACTCAGCAGGAGTCAGGTGAACCAGGCTTATCCTTTACTTCCGCTGAATTCCGGTTTGGGGCTAAGTTTCTGTCCTAGGAGCATCACAGAAAGCTAACGTGAGATAGTGCACAGAGAAATTAGTTGCATATCTAAAAAAGCAAATATTTGTGATTCATATAATGTGTGATTACATTTGGCCCGTTGAATTCGCATAAATTAAATATGATGTCTGTAGGCTCTATAGGGGGTTTATTATCTTTATAGTTAAAATTTTTTTTTTTATTTCAATCACTTTTGGGTTACAAGTGGTTTTTGGTTACATGGTTGAATTGTATAGTGGTGAATTCTGAGGTTTAATGTACCCATAAGCCAAATAGTATACATTGTATCTGATATGTAGTTTTTTTTGTCTCTCATTTCCTTCCTACTCTCCCCACTTCTGAGTCTCCAAAGTTCTTGATACCACTCTATATGTCTTTGTGTCCTCATAGCTGAGCTCACACTTATAAATGAGAAGATATGGAATTTGGTTTCCCATTCCTGAGTTACTTCACCTAGTTTAATTAGGTTCCATTTATTTAGTTTTGTTCTTGTTGCATTTGCTTCTGAAGTCTTAGTAATAAATTCTTTGCCTAGGCTGATGTTTGGAAGAGTTTTTCCAAGGTTATCTTCTAGAATTTTTTGGTTTCAGGTCTTAAGTCTTTGATACATCTTGAGTTGATTTTTGTATAGGGTGAGAATTAGGGATCCAGTTTCATTCTTCTACATGTGGCTATTCAGTTTTCCCAGCACTATTTATTTATTTATTGAGACAGAGTCTCTCGTTCTGTTGCCCAGGCTGGAGTGCAGTGGCACGATCTTGGCTCACTGCAACCTCTGCCACCCAGGTTCAAATGATTCTGCTGCCTCAGCCTCCTGAGTAGCTGGGATTATAGGCGTGTGCCACCATGCCCAGCTAATTTTTGTATTTTTAGTAGAGATGGAGCTTTGCCATGTTGGCCAGGCTGGTCTTGAACTCCCGATCTCAAGTGATCCACCCACCTTGGCCTCCTAAAGTGCTGGGATTGCGGATGTAAGCCACTGCGCCTGGCTCCAGCACCATTTATTAATAGGGTGTCCTTTCTCCAATTTATGTTGCTGTATGCTTTTGTTGTAAGTATTTGGCTTTATTTCTGGGCTCTCTATTATGTTCCATTGGTTTGTGTGCCTACTTTTATACCAGTACCATGCTGTTTTGGTAACTGTAGACTTATAGTATAATTTGAAGTCTGGTAATGTGATGCCTCCAGATTTATTCTTTATGCTTAGGGTTGTTTTGGCTATTTGGGCTCCTTTTTGGTTCCACATGCCATATGAATTTTAGGATTGTTCTAATTCTATTAAAAATGATATTGGTGTTCTGATAGGAATTGCACTGAATTTGTACTTTGGGCAGTATGGTTATTTTCACAATATTGATTCTTCCCATCCATGAGCATGTGATGTGTTTCCATTTGTTGTGTCATCTGTTATTTATTTCAGCAGTGTTTTGCAGTTATCCTTGTAGAGATCTTTCACCTGCTTGGTTAAGTATAGTCCTAGTAGTAGTAGTAGTAGTAGTAGTAGTTGTTGTTGTTGTTTGCAGATGTTGTAAAGGGATTGCGTTCTTGATTTGAGTCTCGGCTTGGTCATTGTTGGTATTTAGTGGTGCTATTAATCTGTGTACGTTGATTTTGTAACCTGAGACTTTACCAAATTTGCTTATCAAATCTAGGAGCCTTTGGAGGAATCTTTAGGGTTTTCTAGGCATATGATCATATCATAGGTGAACAGTGTTAGTTTGACTCCCTCTTTTCCAATCTGGATCCCCTTTATTTCTTTCTCTTGTCTGATTGCTATGACTAGTGTTACTATCACTATGTTGAATAGAAATGGTGAAAGTGGTCATCCTTGTCTTGTTCTGGTCTCATGGGGAATGCTTTCAACTTTTCTCTATTCAGTGTGATATTGCCTGTGGGTTTTCCATATATGGCTTTTATTGTTTTTAAGTAAATCTCTTCTATGCCTAGTTTGTTGAGGGTTTTTATCATAAAGGATGCTGGATTTTATAAAATGCTTTTTCTGTATCTATTGAGATGATCATATGGTTTTTGTTTTTAATTCTGTTTGTGTGATGTGTCACATTTCTTGACTTATGTATGTTAAAATATTCTTGCATCCCTGGGATGAAACCCACTTGATCATGGTGTATTATCTTTTGATGTGCTGTTGGATTCAATTAGCTAGTATTTTGTTGAAGATTTTTGCATCTGTGTTCATCAGGGATATTTGTCTGTAGACTTTTGTTTTTTTTTGTTATGTCCTTTCCTGGTTGTGGTATCAGGGTGGTACTGGTTTCATCAAATGAATTAGGGAGGATTCCCTTTTTCTCAATCTTTTGGAATAGTTTCAGTAGGATTGGGACCAGTTGTTCTTTGAATGTCTGGTAGAATTCAGCTGTGAATACGTCTGGCCCTAGGTTTTGTTGTTGGTGCTGGTGATTTTTAAATTACTGATTCAGTCTCACTGCTTGTTATTGGTCTGTTCATGGTTTCTGTTTCTTCCTGATTTAATCTAGGAAGGTCGTATGTTTCAAGAATTTATCCATTTCCTCTAGATTTTCTAGTTTGTGTGCATAGAGGTGTGCATAGCAGTCTCGAAGGATTTTTTGTATTTCTGTGGTGTTGGTTGTAATGTCTCCACTTTCATTTCTAATTCAGCTTATTTGAATGTTGTCTCTTCTTTTCTTGGTTAATATAGCTAATAATGGTATATCAATTTTGTTTATCTTTTCAAAGAACCAGGTTTTTGTTTCATTGATCTTTTGTATCTTTGTTTTTCAATTTCACTTCATTCTGTTCTGATCCTTGTTATTTCTTTTCTTCTGCTAGCTTTGAGTTTAGTTTGCTCTTGTTCTCTAGTTCCCTGAAGTGTGACAATAAGTTGTTAATTTGTGAACTTTCAGACTTTTTGATTGGCAATTAGCATTGTAAACTTTACCCTTAGCATTGCTTTCACTGTATCCCAGAAGTTTTGATAACTTGTGTCACTATTATTCATTTCAAAGAATTTTTAAATTTCCATCTTGATTTTATTGTTAACTCAGAAATCATTCAGGAGCAGATTGTTTAACTCCATGTAATATATGTGTGTGTGTGTATATGTATATATATATAGATATATAGTCTTGAGGGCTCCTTTTGGAGTTGATTTCTAGTTTTATTCCACTGTGGTCTGAAAAGATACTTGATATGACTTCAGTTTTTAAAAATATATTGAAACTTGTTTTTTGGCCTATCATATGGTCTGTCTTGGAGAATGCTCCATGTGCTGTTGAGAAGAATATATATTCTGCAGTTCTTGGGTAAAATGTTCTGTAGATACCAGTTAAGTCCATTTGTTCTAGTGTGTAGTTTAAGTCCATTGTTTCTTTGTTGACATTCTGTCTTGATGATCTGTCTAGTCCTGTCAGTGGAGTGTTGAAGTCTCCTACTATTATTGTTTTGCTGTCTGTCTCATTTCTTAGGTGTAGTAGTAATTGTTTTATAAATTTGGAGCTCCAGTGTTAGGTGCATATATATTTAGGGTGATAGTTTCCTGTTGGACTAGTCCGTTTATCATTATATAATGTCCCTCTTTGTCTTTTTTAACTGCTATTGCTTTAAAGTTTGTTTTGTCTGATGTAAGGATAGCTACTCCTGCTCACTTTTGGTTTCCATTTGCATGGAATATTTGTTTCCACCTGTTTATCTTGAGTTTAGATGAATTCTTACATGTTAGATGGGTCTCTTAAAGACAGCAGATATTTGGTTTGTGATTTTTTTTTAAGCATTCTGCCAATCTGTATCTTTTAAGTGGATCATTTAGGCAATTTATGTTCCTTGTTAATATTGAGATGTGATGTATTGTTCCAGTCATCATGTTAATTATTACATAGCTACTTTGTTTTCTTTGTTGTGTTGTTGTTTTACAGGTTTTTATGAGTTTTATGCTTTCAAGAGGTTCTATTCTGGTGTAGATTGAGCTTTTGTTTCAAGATTTGGAACTCCTTTTAGCATTTCTTGTAGGACTATTCTGGTAGTGACGAATTCCCTCAGCATTTGTTTGTCTGAAATGAATTTATTTCTCCTTCATTTGTGAAAGTTAATTTTGCTGGATACAGAATTCTTGGCTGACAGTTCTTCTGTTTAATGAGGGTAAAGGTAGGACCCCAATCCCTTATGGCTTGGAAGGTTTCTGCTGAGTTTATTATTTTTTAAATTCATTATTTTAAAAGTGATACCTGTACCTTGTGACAAATCAGAGCCCAGAAAGGCTTATGATCACAAACGATAGTTTCCTTCCTGACTTTCCTTGTCCCTAGTTTACCCATTCCCTAGAGACCACCTCTTTTCTGTTTTAAGCACCTTTTCTGGTTGCCTCTGCTCCTCCTTCTCTTTTGCCATGCCCTTCCCTGTTAAGTACTATTGACACCTGGACTTCACTGCTCTGTTGCATGTGTTGGGGCCTTAGTAGCCTGTTTGGAAGGACCCAGGGTGTCTCAACACAGCCGGTGTCCATCTGCCTGTGCCTGGCCCCTCAGTTCCACCTCTGAGCTGATAGTCTGGTTCTCAAAAAAGAATACAAAACAAATATCCATGAATGTTTTGTTAATTACACAAATAAACCCATATATACAATATTGCTTAGCCAGATAATTGTATGCTTGCCTTTCTGTGCATTTTCAATTTCTTCTCCATTTTAGCCATTTCCCTCTCTCATCCTTTCCTTCCTCTTTATCCGTACCAGCATCCCCTGGCTCCACTGGAACTCACTTTTCTCACCTGGTAGTTTTCTGAACTCAGCTGGGACAAATTCAGTTCACTGTTTATAAAGGCTGCTAATATTTTATGGTGTGATGATGTACCATAATTTATTCTGAAATTTCTATATTGTTAGGTATCAACTTTTTTACTCTCAAAATTTGTCTGCAAATAATGCTGGCATATCCAGGGACATGTTTTATTCTGCCATTCCCGTATTGCTAAGCAGTACATTTTTTCATGTTTTTCTTCTCAAATAATGCCAGAATAACCATCCTTAATACATTTGTCCTACATCTTAGTGCTTTTATTTTTATGGCATAGATTCCCAGGAGTGGATTGTTGGTACTTGCATTTTTTTATGTTGATAAATCCTTTCAGGTTATTTTCTAAAATCACACCTAACAAAGTACCCTTGCCCTCACATCATAGCTCTTTTTAATTTTTGAACAATCTAATGGGTATAAAAGGGTATCATATTGTTATTTTAATGTGCATTTCCTTGGGCCTGGTGACTCTGAGCACCTTTTTTACCTAATTACTGGCTATTTCATTTACTCCTCCACACTCTAGATAGTGTGTCTATACCTCTGTGACTTCTTAATCAACTTTTATACACTTTTTGTTGACGTTTGCATGGGAAAGGTGAAAACTATCTTTATTTATACTACTTCTGCTCCTCTCTTTTTCAGAATAATTGTCTATGTCTTTTCCCACAAATTTTTGACAGCTTCTTTGGCTCCCTACTCATCACGATTAGGGGCTTTGCAGCCCTTCTTGTCTTGCACCTTCCCCACTGCCACCTTCCACCTATTCTTGGCTGCTCTTACACATTATGAAAGATGCTAACAATTAAATTTTATTTTCCAAAACCACATCTTCGGTATTTTTCCCACTAGATGACTCTCAGGGTTGAAAACTAGTAAAATATACTTAAAACACAGAACATTATAGCTGAAGGGCCCAGAGATGTATTTAAATCAGAACATCTCAAACTCTTCCATTAAAGAATGCCAAATGCCAGTCAAATATGTATGTACTTCTGCTCCCATAAATGCACTTTTGTGTAGATATTTAGGCAGTGTTTTCCCTTTCACTCATACTAGATTTTTGTTTTAATAAATAGAACTAGTAAATATAAATTACCCCTGAGTCTGTTAATACAACTAACTTTCTGGGAAGACTGGTAAGATTGTAGTGTGGCTTGAATGCTCATATGGGTATCCTAGTTTGAGAAACACAAATCTAACCATTTACTTCACTTTGTAGGCAAGGGAATAGTGGTAGCACAGAGACGACAGCCTTAGGTGAAGGCGTCCTGTTTCAGCTTCCCCTGGAGGTTCCCAGACCTCAATTTGGAGGATGATTTTTGATCAGGCCCAGCCTGTAGTTCCAGGCTAATTTTCTCTTGTGTGTGTGTTTTGCCAAAAACCTGGGAGTCATTTCTTTTTCTCTGTAATCCTGTCTGTCGCCAGTCCTGGCTGCTGTACCTTCGAAATGTATCTGGATTCTGGCTCATTCTCCTGCACTCTAATGCTGCCATCTACCCCCAAGCCACCATCCTCTCTCACCTGGATCACTGCTACAGACTCTTCAGTGGCCTCCCTGTTTCCACCCTTGCCTTCCATAGGGTTCCTTAAGTGCTTTCTTCTCTTCCTAACCCTTTAGTCTCATTCTCATGTCATTCATAATAAAATGAAAGTCTGTTCCAGGATCTGCAGGGTTGCCTGCAGTCTGGCCATTTCCTGCCTTTCTGGTCTCATCTCTTGCCTTCTCCCCCTTTGTGCACCCTGCTCTGTCTCCTTGGCTTCTGTTGTTCCTTGAGCAGCTTCATAAGCAGCCATCTCAGGACTTCTACACTTCTCCTTACTGGGAACACTCTTCACACAGGTCAGTTTCCACTCCCTCATTGCTTCGTGTTCAGATCCGCCTGTGGTAGAGGCCTCCCTGACATTAGCACTCATCACAACCTGGCATATGGATTATCTGTGTGTTTCTTTAGGTTCTGTTTTCAGTTAGAATGTGAGCTCTGTGAAGACTGGAACTTTGCTTTGTTTACTGCTTTATCTGCAGTGCCCAGCACAGTGCGTCACATGTAGTAAGTGCTCAGTAAAATAGTTGGCGAATGCATGAAAAGAATCTTGCTATGTTGCTCCTGGCCCTTGATATGTGACCCTTGTCAGACAGAACTGTTTGCAGTCAGTCATCCCTTCCCCAGACATCAATGGCAGGCCGTCTGCACCAAGGCCTATGCTCTTCTCCCTGTCATGCCTTTTGCTCAGTGTTCACATTTTCTCAAATATTTTTTTTCTTTCTCTACTTGTTGGAATCTTTCTCATTCTTTAAGTTCAACTCAAATGCAGTGAAACCTCCAATCTCCTAGTTGTAGTGCAGGCTTTCTCCCCTGTGTGCTTGGTGTGCTATCTGTCATTCTATTTAGTACATTCTGCTTTGATTGCAGTTATTTATATACATGGCTTATCTCTCCTACTGGATGGAAAACACCTTTCTTTAGGAAATTCTAGTCTTCCCTCAGTGCTTGTTCAGGTGCTTTTGAGTGTCACATCCTTGTGAAATGGTTGTTGAAATGAATTATGTGTGATATTTATACCTTTATCTATGGCATTGGCTCAAGTTTAGAGACAGGTTCAAATTTTGATTGACTGAGGGAGATTTTGGTGTTTCCCTAAAGACAATAAGAGAAAGTGAAGGACTAGCTGATAGACCATATAGGAATTGAGTTTATTCCTCATTCGGCCTTTTGGAGAGAGGTTTAGGAATAGGGAAAGGGCATTCTGAAAGTAATGTTGGGCAATCATTCTTGCCTTCAAGAGGATAAAGAATTAATTTATATAACTAATAATTAAGGCTTAATATGTGGAATAACTTTGAATGATTAATTTCAAAGTTGTGAAATATTTTCTTGGAGAGCTTGAAGAGTGGTTAACCAAGTGTTGCTTTGAATGGAGATGGTGGTAGGCTTAAAGGGATGAATTCTAGAACCTCATTGGACATGTTGCTTCTGAATGGTTAAATGAGTCATCTCTGTTTCCTCTGTTTTAGTGACTGTTGGGAATCTTTACCTCTTCTGTTAAGCTTGTTTAATTTTAATTTTAATGTATTATTTATTTACTTTTGAGACAGGGTCTCGCTCTGTCACCCAGGCTGCATTGCAGTGGTGCAGTCACAGCCCACTGCAGCCTCAAACTCCTGTGCTCTAGTGATCCTCCTGCCTCAGCCTCTAGAGTAGCTGGGACTACAGGCACATGCCACTATGCTCAGCCAAATACTATATATTTTTTTGAGATGGGATCTCACTGTGTTGCCCAGGCTGGTCTCGAACTCCTGAACTCCAGCAATTCTCCCACCCTGGCCTCTCGGAGTGCTGGGATTGCAGGCGTGAACCACTGTGGCCTGCCCCTTTAAGCTTTTTATCTCACTCTAATGCCATAGAAATAGTGAGATATTTTGCTTTGAACTTACGAACTTCTCTCCCTTCCGTATCCAAATTTCTGTATCATCTACTTCTCTTTTTTTCTTCCTTCTCTATTCTCCCCCAAAGGAAGACCTGTCACTCCTTCTTTCCAAGGCTGGCAGAACTCTACCTGCTCCCTGTCTCTAGGTATGTCTCTACGAGTTGTCCTTTCTCTTTTGAACATGGCATACCTCTTGCTCTTCTTGTCCCAGGTGAGCCTCTCCACAGACTGCACATACTGTTGAGTGTCCTCATAACATGGCAGCTGGCTTCCCCCAGAGGAGACCATCCGTGACAGACAGCAAGCCAGGGAGAAGTCATCCTTTTATTAACTAGGCTTGGAAGTCACTTCTGCCACATTCTTTTCAGGAGAAGAAGCAAGTCACTGAGTTTGGCCTATATTCAGAACAGGGTGGGGAATTAGAATCCACTTTTGATGCAAGGAATTGTTAAAACATTTGCAGAAATATTTTAAAATCATTGCGGCATTGTTAGAAATAGTGTCCCAGATTCAGTGAAAGAAGAGAGAGTTTTTATAAGTTTATTTGTTTTTCAAAAAGTAAAACATGCACAGGGTATACAATTCAACAGAGAAAAGTGTCTGCCTTCCACCCCATACTCTGGCTACCCCGTTACTCTCCCTGAAGACAGCCATTAGTACCACTTTGTGCCTTTCTTTTCAGAGAGACTCCAATTCCATGTGACTACAGATATATGTATATGGATGTGTCTGTATACATGAACATTTGTATGTATGGTTTGTGTGTGTGTATATATATGTATATATATGAGTGTGTGTGTGTGCATAATCCTCTTAGGCATGATTATATATACAAGAAGAGAATTTTGATGAGGTCGTGGGGAAGGCCTCTGCCTACTCAGGTAAGCAGGTTCTGCACAGTAGGGCAGCAGTGGCTTCCTCCTTCTGATGAGTGAAGAGTGTTCCTCTCTGAGGCAGGACAGCTGTCCCCAGATGTAGTTGAACATCACCATTACAAAGGAAGCTGTTTCTAAAAAGTCAGTTATTGGGCTTCCACCCTTAGAGATTCTGATTTGGTAGGTTTGGAGTGGGGTCTAGGAATTTTTATGTAAAATATTTTCCAAGGATAAAAAGGCACACCCTTGATGAAGGCAATTGGTAATATCTTTAAAAACTGTACCTGATCCTAAAGTCTTACTCACAGGTTTTTTATCCCACAATTAGAGGAGCCAGTGTATGAAATAACATTCATGCAGATTGTACAAGAAACTTACCAAAGCAAAAAACTTAGGAAACACGATTTAATAGGGATTGCTGGCAAGATGGCTGAATAGGAACAGCTCTGGTGTGCAGCTCCCAGTGAGATTGACGCAGAAGGTTGGGTGATTTCTGCATTTCCAACTGAGGTACCCAGTTCATCTCATTGGGATTGGTTGGACAGTGGGTGCAGCCCACAGAGGGCAAGCCGAAACAGGGCAGGGCGTCGCCTCACCCAGGAAGGGCAAGAGGTTGGGGAATTTTCTCCTCTACCCAAGGGAAGCCATGAGGGACTGAGCCTGAGGAACTGTGCACTCCAGCCCAGATACTGCACTTTTCCCATGGTCTTCACAACCTGCAGACCAGGAGATTCCCTCTGGTGCCTACCCCACCAGGGCCCTGAGTTTCAAGCACAAAACTGGGTGGCTGTTTGGGCAGACACAAAACTAGCTGCAGGAGTTTTTTTTTGTATCCCAGTGGCACCTGGAATGCCAGCAAGACAGAACCATTCACTCTCCTGGAAAGGGGAGTGAAGCCAGGGAGCCAAGGAGTCTGGCTCAGCAGGTCCTACCCCCACGGAGCCCAGCAAACTAAGATCCAGTGGGTTGAAATTCTTGCCGTCAGCACAGCAGTCTGAGGTCGACCTGAGACACTTGAGCTTGGTTGGGGGAGGGGCGTCCACCATTGCTGAGGCTTGAGTAGGCAGTTTTACCCTCACAGTGTAAACAAAGCTGCTAGGATGTTCGAACTGGGCAGAGCCTACTGAAACTCAGCAAGGCCGCTGTGGCCAGACTGCCAGAGATTTCTCCTCTCTGGGCAGGGCATCTCTGAAAAAAAACGCAAAGCCCCAGTCAGGGACTTACAGATAAAATCCCCATCTCCCTGGGACAGAGCACCTGGGGGAAGGGGCAGCTGTGGGTGCAGCTTCAGCAGACTTAAACGTCCCTGCCTGGCAGCTCAGAAGAGAGCAGTGGACCTCCCAGCACAGCATTTGAGCTCTGCTAAGGGTCAGACTGCCTCCTCAAGTGGGTCTCTGACCCCTGTGTATCCTGACTGGGAGACATCTCCGAGTAGGGACCGATAGACACCTCATACAGGAGAGCTCTGGCTGACATCTGGCAGGTGCCCCTTTGGAATAAAGCTTCCAGAGGAAAAACAGGCAGCAATCTTTGCTGTTCTGCAGCCTCTGCTGGTGATACCCAGGCAAACAGGGTCTGGAGTGGACCTCTAGCAAACTGCAGCAGACCTGCAGCAGAGGGGCCTGACTGTTAGAAGGAAAACTAACAAACAGAAAGGAATAGCACGTCCACTCAGAGACCCCATCTGAAGGTCACCAACATCAAAGACCAAAGGTAGATAAATCCACAAAGATGGGGAGAAACCAGCGCAAAAAGGCTGAAAATTCCAAAAACTAGAACATCTCTTCCCCAAAGGATCACAACTCCTCGCCAGCAAGGGGACAACACTGGATGGAGAATGAGTCTGATGAATTGACAGAAGTAGGCTTCAGAAGGTGGGTAATAACAAACTCCTCTGAGCTAAAGGAGCATGCTCTAACCCAATGCAAGGAAGCTAAGAACCTTGAAAAAAGGTTAGACAAATTGCTAACTAGAATAATCAGTTTAGAGAAGAACATAAATGAACTGATGGAGCTGAAAAGCACAGCACGAGAACTTCGTGAAGCATACACAAGTATCAATAGCCAAATTGATCAAGTAGAAAAAGGATATCAGAGATTGAAGATCAACTTAATGAAATAAAATGTGAAGACAAGATTAGAGAGAAAAGAATAAAAAGGAATGAACAAAGCCTCCAAGAAATATGGGACTATGTGAAAAGAGCAAATCCATGTTTGATTGTTGTACCTGAAAGTGATGGAGACAATGGAACCAAGCTGGAAAACACTCTCAGGATATTATCCAGGAGAACTTCTCCAATCCAGCAAGACAGGCCAACATTCAAATTCAGGAAATACAGAGAAGACCAGAAAGATACTCCTCAATAACAGCAACTCCAAGACACGTAATTGTCAGATTCACCAAGGTTGAAATGAAGGAAAAAATGTTAAGGGCAGCCAGAGAGAAAGGTTGGGTTACCCACAAACGGAACCCCATCAGACTAACAGCAGATCTCTCTGCAGAAACTCTACAAGCCAGAAGAGTGTGGAGGCCAATATTCAACATTCTTAAAGAGAAGAATTTTGAACCCAGAATTTCATATCCAGCCTAACTAAGCTTCATAAGTGCAGGAGAAATAAAATCCTTTACAGACAAGCAAATGCTGAGAGATTTTGTCACCACCAGGCCTGCCTGGCAAGAGCTCCTGAAGGAAGCACTAAACATGGAAAGGAACAACCGGTACCAACCACAGCAAAAACATAACAAATTGTATAGACCATTGACACTATGAAGAAACTGCTTCAACTAATGGGCAAAATAACCAGCTAGCATCATAGTGAAAGAATCAAATTCACACATAAGAATATTAACCTTAAATGTAAATGGGCTAAATGCCCCAATTAAAAGACACAGGCTGGCAAATTGGATAAAGAGTCAAGACCCATCAGTGTGCTGTATTCAGGAGGCCCATCTCATGTGCAAAGACACACATAGGCTCCAAATAAAGGGATGGAGTAATATTTACCAAGCAAATGGAAAGAAAAAAAATTAAAAATAAAAAAAGCAGGAGTTGCAATCCTAATCTCTGGTAAAACAGACTTTAAACCAACAAAGATCAAAAGAGACAAAGAAGGCCATTACATAATGGTAAAGGGATCAATGCAACAAGAAGAGCTAAGTATCCTAAATATATATGCACCCCATACAGTAGCACCCAGATGCATAAAGCAAGTTCTTAGAGATCTATGAAGAGACTTAGACTCCCACACAATAATAGTGGGAGACTTTAACACCTCACTGTCAATATTAGACAGATCAACAAGACAGAAAATTAACAAGGATATTCAGGACTTGAACTCAGCTCTGGACCAAGTGGACCTAATAGACATCTACAGAACTCTCCACCCCAAATCAACAGAATATACATTATTCTCAGCACCTCGTCGCACTTATTCTAAAATTGACCGTATAATTGGAAGTAAAACATTCCTTAGCAAATGCAAAAGAATGGGAAGCATAATAAACTGTCTCTCAGACCACAGTGCAATCAAATTAGAACTCAGGATTAAGAAACTCACTTAAAACCGCACAACTACATGGAAACTGAACAACCTGCTCCCGAATGACTACTGGGTAAATAATGAAATGAAGGCAGAAATAAAGATGTTCTTTGAAACCAATGAGAACAACAACACAATGTACCAGAATCTCTGGGACACATTTAAAGCAGTGTGTAGAGGGAAATGTATAGCACTAAATGCCCACAAGGGAAAGCAGAAAAGATCTAAAATTGACACCCTAACATCAAAATTAAAAGAACTAGAGAAGCAAGAGCAAACAAATTCAAAAGGTAGCAGAAGACAAGAAATAATGAAGATTAGAGCAGAACTGAAGGAGATAGAGACACGAAAAACCCTTCAAAAAATCAATGAATCCAGGAGTTGGTTTTTTGAAAAGATCAACAAAATAGATAGACTGCTAGCCAGACTAATAAAGAAGACAAGAGAGAAGAATCAAATAGACACAATAAAAATGATATAGGGAATATCACCACTGATCCCACAGAAATACAAACTGCCATCAGAGAATATCATGAACACCTCTACGCAAATAAACTAGAAAATCTAGAAGAGATGGATAAATTCCTGCACATATACACCCTCCCAAGACTAAACCAGGAAGAAGTCGAATCCCTAAAGAGACCAATAACAAATTCTGAAATTGAGGCAGTAATTAATAGCCTACCAACCAAAAAAAGTCCAGGACCAGACGGATTCACAGCTGAATTCTACCAGAGGTACAAGGAGGAGCTGGTACCATTCCTTCTGAAACGATTCCAATCAATAGAAAAAGAGAGAATCCTCCCTAACTCATTTTATGAGGCCAGCATCATTCCGATACCAAAACCTGGCAGAGACAAAACAGAAAAAGAAATTTTCATTCCAATATCCCTGATGAACATTGATGCAAAAATCCTCAATAAAATACTGGCAAAACGAATCCTGCAGCACATCGAAAAGCTTATCCACCACGATCAAGTCGGCTTCATATCTGGGATGCAAGGCTGGTTCAACATATGCAAATCAATAAATGTAATCCATCACATAAACAGAACCAATGACAAAAACCACATGATTATCTCAATAGATGCAGAAAAGGCCTTGGACAAAATTCAACTTGCCTTCATGCTAAAAACTTTCAATAAACTAGGTATCGATGGAACATATATCAAAATAATAAGAGCTATGTATGACAAACCCACAGCCAATATCATACTGAATGGGCAAAAACTGGAACATTTCCTTTGAAAACTGGCACAAGACAAGGATGCCCTATCTCACCACTCCTATTCAACATAGTATTGGAAGTTCTGGCCAGGGCAATGAGGAAAGAGAAAGAAATAAAGGCTATTCAAATAGGAAAAGAGGAAGTCAAATTGTCCCTGTTTGCAGATAACATGATTGTGTATTTAGAAAACCCCATGATCTCAGCCCAAAATCTCCTTAAGCTGATAAGCAACTTCAGTAAAGTCTCAGGATAAAAAATCAATGTGCAAAAATCACAAGCATTCCTATACAACAATAACAGACAAACAGAGCCAAATCATGAGTGAACTCTTATTCACAATTGCTAGTAAGAGAAGAAAATACCTAGGAATACAACTTACAAGGGATGTGAAGGATCTCTTCAAGGAGAACTACAAACCACTGCTCAAGGAAATAAGAGAGGACACAAGTAAATGGAAAAGCATTCTATGCTCATGGATAGGAAGAATCAATACCGTGAAAATGGTGATACTGCCCAAAATAATTTATAGATTCAATGCTATCCCCATCAAGCTACCATTGACTTTCTTCACGGAATTGGAAAAATCTACTTTACACTTCATAGGGAACCAAAAAAGAGCCCATGTAGCCAAGACAATCCTAGGCAAAAAGAACAAACCTGGAGGCATCACAGTACCTGACTTCAAACTATACTACAAGGCTACAGTGACCAAAACAGCACGGTACTGGTACCAAAACAGACATATAGACCAACAGAACAGAACAGAGGCCTCAGAAATAACACCACACATCTACAACCATCTGATCTTTGACAAACCTGACACAAACAAGCAATGGGGAAAGGATTCCCTATTTAATAAATGGTGTTGGGAAAACTGGCTAGCCATATGCAGAAAGCTGAAACTGGACCCCTTCCTTATACCTTATACAAAAATTAACTCAAGATGGATTAAAAACTTAAACATAAGACCTGGGACCATAAAAATACTAGACAAAAACCTAGGCAATACCATTCAGGACATAGGCATGGGCAAAGACTTCATGTCTAAAACACCAAAAGCAATGGCAACAATAGCCAAAATTGACAAATGGGATCTAATTAGACTAGAGAGCTTCTGCACAGCAAAATAAACTCTCATCAGAATGAACAGGCAACCTACAGAATGGGAGAAAAGTTTTGCAATCTATCCATCTGACAAAGGGCTAATATCCAGAATCTACAAAGAACTTAAACAAATTTACAAGAAAAAAACAAACAACCCCATCCAAAAGTGGGCAAAGGATATGAACAGACACTTCTCAAAAGAAGCCATTTATGCAGGCAACAAACATGAAAAATGCTCATCGTCACTGGTCATCAGAGAAATGCAAATCAAAACCACAATGAGATACCATCTTAACACCAGTTAGAATGGCGATCATTAAAAAGTCAGGAAACAACAGGTGCTGGAGAGGATGTGGAGAAATAGGAATGCTTTTACATTGTTGGTGGGATTGTAAATTAGTTCAACTATTGTGGAAGACATGGCAATTCCTCAAGGATCTAGAACTAGAAATACCATTTGACCTAGCCATCCCATTACTGGGTATATACTCAAAGGATCATAAATCATTCTACTCTAAAGACGCATGCACATGTATGTTTATTGTGGCGCTATTCACAATAGCAAAGACTTGGAACCAACCCAAATTTCCATCAATGATAGGCTGGGTAAAGAAAATATGGCACATATACATCATGGAATACTATGCAGCCATAAAAAAGGATGTGTTCATGTCCTTTGCAGAGACATGGATGAAGCTGGAAACCATCATTCTCAGCAAACTAACACAGGAACAGAAAACCAAACACCACATGTTCTCATTCATAAGTGGGAGTTGAACAATGAGAACACATGGACACAGGGAGGGGAACATCACACACCTGGGCCTGTTGAGGGTTGGGAGGCTAGGGGAAGGATAGCATTAGGAGAAATACCTAATGTATGTGACAGGTTGATGGGTGCAGCAAACCACCATGGCACGTGTATACCTATGTAATAAAACTGCACTTTCTGCACATGTACCCTAGAACTTAAAGTATAATACAAATAATAATTAAAAAAACCAACTCAGGAAACTCGTATGAAGAAAAGTGGACACGGCCAGGAGAGGAGGTAAGATTTCTTCACCTATACCTATTTATATGGTCTTAACTTTCGAACGAGATGAGTTTGTCAGTTACTCAGTATGTGAATGGATGAATTTGTAACCAAGCAAATAAACAAAATACAACACAGTGCTCCTGGTGGTCAGCCAGGTTTGTGACCCTTGAGACAGGGGGCCAGGTGAGGATCAGAGAAATCCACTTCCTCTCTTTTCCCTTTTCCTGTTTGTGCTCCGTGCCCTCCTCCAAAGCTTTATTTGCTTTTGGTTGAGAGAACTTTCTGGAATTTGTGATAGTCAGCGTTACTAATGTCCTTAGATAGTTGGCACTGTGTATCACCTTTTGTAAATACACAATGATTTCAGTGTGAGGGCAGGAGAGGACAAATCCCATCTTGCTACCTTCATTCCTCCATTCAGATATTCATTCAACAGATATGATAAGCTATTAGCAAGGGCCATACACTGTTCTAAGTGCTCAGGCTATGCTAGTAAGGAAAGTAGTTGAGGACCCTGACTATGTTTTTTGTTTGTTTTTTGAGACAAGGTCTCACTCTGTCACCCAGGCTGGAGTGCAGTGATGCCATCAAGGCTCACTGCAGCCTCAACCTCCCATGTCCAAGTGATCCTCCCATCTCAGCCTCCCGAGTAGCTGGGACTACAGGTACACACCACCACACTCAGCTAATTTTTGTTGTTGTTGTTGTACAGATGGGGTCTCCCCAGCCCAGGCTGGTCTGAAACTCCTGGTCCCAAGCAATCCTCCCACTTCAACCTCCCAAAGTGCTGGGATTATAGGCATGAGCCACTGTGCGCAGCTGGGGCCTTACTTTATGTACCCTGTAGATAGGATAGACAGACAACAAATATGCAAAACAAATGAACAGACAGTGTAATTTCATCAAGTGTTTAGTGATTAAACTAAAACAGACTGATGTGACAGCGAGTCAGGGGGTGCTACTGTGGATAATTTTCACGACTGACAGGAGGAGGTGATGTTTGAAGTGGGACCTACATTAAGAGAAGCAGGAAGCCCTGCAAGGATTTGGGTGCCGTGCTCCAGGTGGGCTGCAGTGAGTGCACAGGTGCTGAGGAGCATTTTGCTGGGCACCTCTGGGGACAGTGGGAGGGCCACTGTTGCCAGTGAGGCGAGCAGGGAGAAAGCAGACTGAGACAGTGGGGTCGGAGAGCTTGAGGGGCTAGACCCAGTCCATATGTGGCCTTGTAGGACTCAGTGACGAGTTTGGAGTTTCCTTAATGTGCTGGGAAGCTACTGGCAACTTGAGCAGGGCAGGGATGAGTTCTTAGCCACAACACTGTAGCCACATGTTTTGGGACACCTCATGTTTTTAGCGTGTCTAAACCTAAACTAGTGCCCTCGCCTGAGTTTGTGCTTTTGCCTATTTCTTGTTGAGTGGCTCTGCTCACATTGCTGCCCCAGTGGAGATTTGACATCCAGGCCAGGCCCTTCTTTCTTTATTATTGCCCATGTCTGTTCTGTCACCAGGTCCTATTGGATTCCACCCCATTCTTTTTGGGTTCTTCTCTATTTCTCATCCTGACTGTTGCAGTTAAGCCATTGTCATCTCATTTACTAAATTGGTATTGACGACCTCCTGTGCCCCAGACGTTATTCCAGGTGCTGGAGATACAGTGACAAAGAGCCCTCTCGGAGGGCTCAAGTAAAGGAACTAGGATGAAAAGTGCTGAGTGTCATGCTAAGGGAAGCGCTGGCTGTGGAAGTGTCCCTCACCTAGCCTGGGATCGGGGTGGTGGTTGCAGGAGGCATCCAAGGAAATGACATTTACACGGAGGTCTGAGGGGCAGCGAGGTGGTGGGAAGGTGGCTCCAGGTAGGAGGTGAGAAGAGAGCGCACAAAGTCAGGTTGTAGCACAGTCTGGCTGGGAAGAGAAGTCGGCTGGTCAGGTGGGGAGCCAGGTCAGGAGGTGCCTCAGAAGCCGTGGCAGCCTGGACTTTATCCTTAGGGCGGGAGAGCCATGGAGGGGCCATAAATGGGGGAGAGAGAGCCAAGCCGTAGAGGCATTTTAGGTCCACATATGGACAGTAAGTTTGGAAGGTATAAAGACTGGAGTTCCTGTATCGACTGGGGCAGATGCAGTGATCTAGGTGGCCGCCAGTGGAAGGCACCTGTGAGTCAGGGTTTGCAGTTCCTGTGTGGACGTCTGAATTAATTCTGCAGATCAGACTGCGTTACACTGCAAGAGCAGCCCGAGTTTCCCAATGCACCAAAGCAGAAGCTTTTTGGAAACCTATATATTTTTTCATACTATTGGGAATTTCTTCAGAATATGAAGGCTTTATCGAATTGTGTCTGAAATGAATTTCATTTAAATACTGAATTAATTGAAAGCTTTGCTTCTGAATATTTTTCCATAGATTTCACGGTGCTTTAGAAATTTCATTTTGCCTCATGTTTTAGTACTGGCAATAACTGCCAGTAATAGAAGTGGCAGTGTTGAGGGAAATGGTGGTGGCGAGTGTGGGATGGTCTCAGTGGGCAGCTTTCTTACGATGAGGAGAGGCGGGGCGTGACTGGTTCTATCGTGTTTTCACTGGGACCAGGACTCACTGTGGAAGGGCAGGAAGTACCACTTAGTGGTGAGAACAGCACGCAGGCTCCAGTTTACCATTCTGGTGATTTGACTTTAATGAAGCCCTTTGGAATTTTGACTGTAATCATGGAAGAGGTCATTTGCTTCTTTATTTGTACAGCTTTTTGTATCCATCTGTCCCACGAATATTTGTTGACACTCACTTCCTGTTAGGCACAATCCCACAAAAGAAATGTGGACTTTGCGGATGAAGTAGACCTCAATGTTGCCTTGCATCTAAAAGGCGAGACATTGCCAGGGAGTTTATTTTGTAGCTCTCTTGATAAAATGTTTTAGCAAACACTAGCGTGCCAGGCTTGGTCCTAAGCCCTTTGCCGGTGTTAACCCATGTAATCCTCGTGACAGCTCTGTGTGCTTGGTGCTGTTGTTATTGGCATTTTACACAAAAAAGAACCAGAGCACAGGGGATAAGTGACTCGCCCAAGTCACAGCTGTTCAGTGGCAGTGACTGGATTTGAACCCAGCCACTGCCACTCCAGAGCTGGATTTTCAGGAAGATGTAGCAGGAGTGTGAAGGGCGGGCATGTACATCTGCTGTTTGTGTGTTCACAGGGGAAATGTGGGCAACCAGGGAGGGCTTTTATTTTACTTGAATTCTTCAGAGACCACTGATACACATGGAAGATGAAAAATTACAACAATGAAGAAAAGTCCTCTCTTAAACCCAAAAATTTTGTTTCTGCTATGAATTTCTAAGACCTTCCTTAAAAAAACCCCAATAATTTAGCTTTGTCAGTATCTTAGGAAACAAAACAAAACAAAATAACACAGTTTTTCCTTTGAGTAATCTGTCACATTCAAGTTTATTATTATTATATTTTAACATTTTAGTTTATGGAAGTGGTAAAGTGGGTTTTTTTTTTTTATCAATTCACTTGACATTTGGGCAGATCTGATGGAGTTTGTAAAGCAAGGCCTGCACTATAATTCCCTTGTACTTTCTGTGGGATTTTCCTACTGTGATTCACTCGAAGATGTATTTTGTACGGTGCATAATCTGTTTAATTGAGAGTTTGCTTTGCCAACACTGGGTTGGCTTCCTTGTTGGCAGGGTACATTTGGGTAGAGCGACTTCTCTTTGCACTTTGTCAAAGCTCTAAGATCTCACTGTGTGTAGGGGTGTGTGCAGGGCAGATAGGAATAGGGGTTTGGTGAAGAACTAGGCATGGCTGCTGCCCCTACAGCAGATCAGCTAGAGAGGAGTCAATGTCAAGGACGTCTAGTGGAGTGTTGGTCTGCGTTTTTATGCAAGTAGGAATGGAAGGGACTTTACTCCTGTTAAACCTGTTGGAGAGCATGCATAGGGTAGCTGAAACCTCAGCCTTTTGACTGCCCTTTGGGAAGGTTTGATAAAAGACTACTTTGTTTCAGGTTGTTTCTTTACTGTGCAAGAGACAAGCTCTCCAGTTCCCAGCACGGATGAGGTTGCAGAGACAAGGATGCGCAAACTGGATAGCTTCCCAGAATCTGCAGAGTCACATCTTCATGGTGCGGCCTCATTATATTTCTTAGAGAAATTTTTTTCCCCAGAATATTGTGGGGGAGAGAACCATGTTTAAATATTAACATAACATTTAATGAAAGATCAGATGTATGTGATTTTTTGCATCATTCTGTTTTGGATGACAGTTTTCAAAAAGGAAAAAATAGTGTATATTTAAATGTGCTTTGCAACAATAAAGCACTTAACAACCATTGATTGTCATCTTGCTTCAAGAGGATACTGAATTTAAACTTTCTTCCCATTATTTGCAAAATATAATTATGGTGGGTTAAGTTCCTGCAGGAAAACATGTTTTAAGTGAAAGAATTGGAGTCAGACTGTTGTTCCTTTTTTTGTTTTTAAAGAAAAATGATCACAAAGAAAACACTGAAGCAATTTACATATTTTCAGCAATTACATATCTGTCCATTGGGTTATAAGTAGGGTGATCATATAATTTAATGTACAGGTGAGGACACTTTGGAGAGTGAAAGGGGGCACTTACTGGATTGGAAACAGTAGGTCAGCAGGTGTGAACTGGGATTGCTTTGTGCAAGACCAGGAGCTTTCACCACTCATAGTTTAAGAGGCCTTGCGGAAGAATGGATATTGAAAAGAGGAAAATGAAATAAAGAGTTGCAAATTTCTATTTAATATTGAAGAGAATTATAGTTGGTTCTGGGATTTGATCTTACCTTGCTTTCAAACTAATAAGACACTGTTACAAATAAGCCTGTGTTATTTGTCATGGGTGCTGGCAGAGGACACAAGACTCCTGGGTCAGAGGCAAAGGGGTGTCTAATTCTTGATACAGCAAGCACACCAGCATCGGCATATTTATGTCAGTTTCCCTTGCCCCACACATCCCCATAGGGCAGCTTGCTATGGACCAGGTGGATGCTGGGCATGCAGTGTATTTGCATCATAGCAGAGTTGCACATCTAGGCAGGGGCAGCCACCACTTTTTTAGCAAGCAGTAAATAAGCCTAGTCTTTCCCAGGGGCTGAGAGAGGGAGGTGGAGAAAGGAGGAAAGAAGTTAACTCATCTTTCAAAGTTACCAGCTGCATAAACAACCTTAGGAAATGGCCTGGGTGGAGGGGTGGTCAGGGCCTGCAGTCTTGGCACCCCTGACAAGATGTGTAGGGGCCCAAGGGCCCAGGAGCACTGTCTCTCCCAACAGTTCTGAGTTGTGACATGTATCTTCTTTATGGCTTCAGGCCTGTGTTCATTGCGTCAAGGTAGACATTGAAGAGAGGCTATTGTGGAGAGCCTCATGGAATTCATGTATGTCTTTATGGTGATATTGATAAGCTTCTTGAGAAACTGAGCCTGGAATTAAAATAATGATTTCTTACAGTGTTCTGAAACCAAGAACAAGATCAAATTATTAGGTTTTCTGCTTTATTATAGGTTGGCATCTATTTTCTTAACCACAGTTCAGTGACATATGCATTTGTAGCTAAATTAGGAAAGTTCTCTAAGCATTATTTGTTATTACCAAGCACCAGTGCCCTGCCTTAACAATTCAGTAACATTTGGGGCGGGAATTGTAAGGCCATTTTTTGGAAGATATGCTCTGTGGTAGTAAGGGTTTTGGTGAAATTTTGGAGGATGATTTGCCAGGCAGAGTTGGCTTTCCTCAGGATCGTGCAGTGCTTTATGCTTGAATTTCCTGGGTGTGTTGCTCTTTCCCAACATGAGGCTGGGCTGCCCTGGGCACTTAGCTTCCTCTGAGAGGCTCTCCCCGCAGGGTCTCGCTTACAGAGTAACCAGCCCTGGTGCTGTCTTCCACCCTCATCAAAACTTGCTTTTCACAGGCATTTCCAGAACTCCGCTCTGTGTGTTCTGCCAAGTTCTCTGATGGTTTGTATTCTGGTTCATCAGCTCACAGTACAGGTGTAAGCCAGGGGGTGGCAAGCCATAGCCTAGTGGCCACATCTGGCCCGCCGCCAGTTTTGTCAGTATTTTTACTGGCACGCAGCCATGCCCATTTGTTTTCATATTGTGTGGCTCCCCTCATGCTCTCATGGCAGAGTTTAAGTAATTACCGCAGGGACTATGACCCTCAAAGCCTTAATATTTACAGTCTGGACTTTAAAAAAACAAAACAAAACTGTGCTGACCCTGGGTCTAAGTTAATAAATCAACTGGACAGAACCCTCCTTGGCGCGACTAAGACTTGCTCCTGTGCATTCCCCACAATGCTCTGTGCACAGAAAGTGCTGGATCTGCATTTGATAAGTGAGGAAAGATAAGCGCTGGTTGGTGAAATGTGCATGAAAAGCGCTGGCCTCCAGTCATGGAAACCCAAACGTCTTTTCTTACAAATTTTTAATTTTTTTAAATTTTTCTGAGTCGGCTTGCTTGGTGGGGGCAGTGCTTCAGCCCTGTCCCTGTCAACTGGGGACAGTGTGGCCTGTGGGTTTATCAGAGCAGCTGCGTCTACCTCCCGGCTCAGTCTCCCAACAGGGAGGACTCTTCACCACCGCCAAACCTTTGAATCATACACACATTTAACTTAGGTGACTTCATCTCTTTTGGCCACCAGTAGTGGGTGTGATTCTGCCACTGCCCTGGGTGGGAGGGGGGACCTGCTGTACCCTCATGTGTGCTGGGTTCTGTAGGCCCCCAAGGGACTGTGCTGTGCTGAACGGGAGGCGTGGTTTCCCACAGCTGCTCATAGACGGGCGGCTGGTGATTCCATCTGGGTTCCCATTGAAGAACCTGCAGTGTCTCCCCTGCTGGAACAAAAGCTGACTTCATTGCTCCTTTAGAGGCATTTATCATTTTCCAAGTCTGATTTGATTGTATGTAATTTTTCCCTTTGCATGAGGACATTATAGCCAATCTGCTATGTTTATGATTTATGCATCAGGATTTATGCCTGCTCTCTGCTAGGCACTGTCCTGGGTGCACAAGCAAGAGAGGAAGACCGACCGGATAAAAATCTCACCTATGCCTTCCCTTCACCCTTGTGTCCAATAGTAAGCCAGGTCAGTGCTTTCTTTTTTTTTTTTTTTTTTTTTGAGACCGAGTCTCACTCTGTCACACAGGCTGGAGTGCAGTGGCATGATCTCTGCTCACTGCAACCTCTGCCTCCCAGGTTCAAGCAATTCTCGTGCCTCAGCCTCCCAAGTAGCTGAGACTACAGGCACGTGCCACCATGGCCAGCTAATTTTTGTATTTTCAGTAGAGACAGGGATTCACCATGTTGGCCAGGCTGGTCTCAAACTCTTGACCTCAAGTGATCCACCTGCCTCGGCCTCCCAAAGTGCTAGGATTATAGGCGTGAGCCACTGTGCCCCACTGGTGCTTTCTTTATAAGGCATTTTACTACCATTTCTCCTCTTTAACCAGAAACTGCTGGTTACTTTGCACCTGGGCTATTCTAGCAAATCTTCCAGCTGGGTTCTGGGACTCCCTGACTCTTGAGTTCTTGTCCTGTGAATGTCATCCCAGGTCTGTTGCATATCCCCCTTTCCAACCAAATCCAGCTGTAATCCTGCTTGGCTTTCACAGCCCTCCATGAAGCCTTCCTGGGCAACATGATTTCCTCTTATTCCTCATGAGAAATTGCCTTCCGTGTATCTGAGCTCTTTTCTGTTTCTAAGCCATGGCCTGTGTTATTTCCCTTGTATAGAGTGATCCCTTCTAAATATTCTCCTTCCTCTGTATAAGGCTTCTCAGCCTTAGCACCATTGACAGTTTTGGACCAGAGAGTTCTTTGTGGTGAGGGGCTGTCCTGTGCATTGTGGGATGTTTAACAGCATTGCTGGCCTCCGCACACCACATGCCCCCAGCATCCCTCCCTGCCCGTCCCCTGGAGGACACATTCCCTTGCTTTCAACCTACTTTCTTATATCTTCTGTTAGTTTCTTATTTACAGCATATTGATGAATTATGATTTTTATACAGATGGCTGATTTCTGTCTTTTAATTTGTGTAATTTTGAGAACCACTGCTCTCAAACCGTATGTGGGGGACACACTGCCCCAAGCTGTAGCCCCGCTTCTCCAGGAAGCATCTGTTGACTGCAGCCCTCGCTCACCTTCTCTTCCTTGGACTAATGTAGTGCTTGTGCATAACAGGCATTGACTTTTTTTTTTTTTTTAATTTTTGAGACCGAGTCTGTCTGTGTCACCCAGGCTGGAGTGCAGTGGCGAGATCTCGGCTCACTGCAGCCTCCACCTTCCGAGTTCAATTGATTCTCCCACCTCATTTTCCTGAGTAGCTGGGACTACAGGTGTGCGCCATCACACCCGACTAATTTTTGAATTTTCAGTAGAGACGGGGTTTCACCATGTTGGCCAGGCTGGTCTCAAACTCCTGACCTCAAGTGATCTGCCCGCCTCGGCCTCCCAAAGTGCTGGGATTACAGGCGTGAGCCACCACACCCAGCCTCCAGACGTTGACTTTTATTAATATTAATAATTGGACAGCACTGTTTGCCAGTTGCTTAAAGTGAATTAATCTTGTTGCCATAATTGTGTCGTAGGCTCCTAAAGTCAAGGGACCACTTGGTATACTACTTTCCTGTGACTTTTTGGAAGTCTCTTAAACTTTCTGTGGCTCCATTTTCTCATCTGCAAAATGAAGATAATAATACCTATACCTCAGGGTTGTCTTGAAGTTCCACGAGTTAATGCATGGAAAGTGCTTAGCAGGGACCTTGGCAGACAGTAAGCACACACTCAGCAGCTGTCTACCTGCTGTGACTACTGTTTATCACCCAGGGTCCCTAGCAAAGTAGATAATCCAATGGGTAGTCAAGTTAGTTCACTTTTACTTCTTTAGGGAAGTGAGTGGAATGGGAGCATGTGGGCTGCAGCCTCAACAAAGATCTTCTGGTGTTTTCTCTCCCTTGCTCGCACCCCAAGTATTTTTATGCTGTTGACATCAGTTAAAAGTAAGCACCGACGGCCGCCTCACTGTGAGTCATGGAGAAGCAGCACAGAGCAGGTCTTGGTGGATGCCGGTGACTGGAGAGAGTGTAGAGGGTGAAGGGAAGATGGCGCTACCATTGCCTGTGCTGAGGGGAGGCCTGAGGTCTTTATGCATTTGTGTGTTTACTCTCTTGTGGCTTTCTTGTGAGCTCCAGGGAAATCATGCTGGCTTGGTATCCCTCAGCAACTCAGAGCTGAGGTGTGTTCAGCCACATCTTCCTTCCAAGCATGTTCCTCCCAGGACTTGGTTTTGAATTCATGTTTCACGAGCTTTGTGACTGTAACTTATAGAACTTTCATTTCTTTATAAAATGGGAATGATTCTACTATCTCCTTGGGGTTGAAGTGAGGGCTAAAAGAGGTAATGCCGAATCCGTATCTTGTAAGTAAAGCTCATGGCGTCTGTTAAAAGGCAAATCACCATCCTTTGTGACCATTAGTGCTGTTTATGATGTGCCTTCCTAGTGGTCATGGGAAATCTGGAAGTGGGTGGCATTCTGACCTCAGCCTTGGCCTCACAGTGCTTTATCTGAGTGCTCTGACTTTAGGTCGGGTGGCTTCTGGGGCCTTCTGAGGAACATGCACAAGCTGCTACAGCTACTGGTAAAGGGGTGTGAAAAGATTGTCAGGGATTGCCCTGACCCCAGCTTTTGAGAGCAGGTGCAGCGTGTTTTTCTCATTCAGTGGGCAAGGCCAGGTGAAAGAGCTCTGTGTGAAGACATTCTCTGTGGGCCAGGGTGGAGAGCACCCTGAGGAGGCAGCACTGATGTGGTTAATCCATTGGCCTCCTAGACTTGGTGGGAAGCCTGTTCTCAGCGGGAGGCCACTCATTTTCTAGGAAGGACACACTGGCTAAGTAGCTTAGGCCTTCGGCAAGAGTTTATTTTAAAGTGAGGTAATGGCAATGGTAACAGGAGTGTCTGTGAGGCTGTCTTCTTGGCCTTCACAGTGATGGTTTCTAGGTAAGTTTTGAAAATAGCACATTTCTGTGTTTTACTGCAGATTGAAGGGTTTTCTAGGCACATATGTAAGGAATAAGATTCCTGCCCACTCAGAAAAGATGGCATGGCATATGCAATCAGAGGGACCCGACAGAAAGGTAGGCTCCAGGGTTAGACTGTCGGGCTTGGGATCCTCTTAGCTCCTGCTGGGGGAGCCCCCCTCCTGGCCTTGCCTTCTGGCACCTGCTGTGGGCTTTCCTAGGGACTTGTGTTTTGTGCCCTGCTTGGGTTCGGTGAGTCAGGTCACTGCCAGGCACTGCTGCTGCTCCTCTTTCTAATGCAGAGATCTGCTCCACAGTCTCTTTGGCTAGAGTAAAAGGAGATCTTCCTGTAGGTATACAATACATTCACGAATTTCCTTTTAAAGCACTCATTTACATCCTTGAATGTTTTGGAAAAAGGCAGGCAAATGATGAGAGAAAGTCTGGCATTTTGATGGCTTCCCAGGCTCCTTGGCATTAAACAAACATCTGCACTTAGCTGAGTTTTCCTGTCACAACATAGTCCATTCAACTAGATTCTGGCTGGGAATAGTCTTTTTGGGAATGTGTGAAATTAGACACCTATTTAAAGTTGTATCCACAGCTTTGCTTTACAATACTAATAGAGATATGTAGAATTCATGAATATCAATTCCTTGTATAGATATTCACAGATCTCTAGTCCCTATATTATGAACTTATTTCCTTCATTTTGAAAGAACTACTCCTAGATAATATCATTATTTAAAAACACGAACTTTTCTGTCTTAAGAATTCAGTGATACTGTGAACACTTTCAGATGTTGGAAGATGGCCTTAAAATAGACATTGATGCTATTATGTTATCTTTCTCTAGACATAGTAGCCACAATTTGTTCTCTGACATGAGCGTTTGTCTGTATTTTCTGTATGGCTACAGTTTTAGGAGCTCAGCATGTTGCAATGTTGTTTAAAGAAGAATGTGCTGATCATCTGTGGACAGACATTTTCAAGTTAATACTGTGTCAGGGAATACATATTAAATTACTTGTCTGTTCTATATGGAGGAATTATTAAATTTAGTTATTAAGTTTATAAATTTTAGACATAATTTTTAAGTTTATGCACTTAGAGAAGGAAAAGACTATAGAATTAAATAAAAGGTTGGAAGTTTCTTTCCTTAATCTAGCCCAGGCATGTATATAATTGAGGTTACAGAAGTATGCCACGGCCACCTTCCCATCTGTGCTCCTAACAGAGTGCACCCTGTTTGCTGTGCCCTTGTGAGGTGCATTTGGCTAAGGCTGTGTGATTTTTTTTCAAAGCTTGTGCATACATTGACAGTGTCTGTCCTCTTTATTTAATATAAGAGTGTAATATTGCTTAAGTGAATTCAGCTTAGGTAATTATTATTTAACAAGAGTGACTTAGGGCAAACTCTAATGTCCCTTGAAGAACTAGTGATAATTTGAAAATCATTTTGCTTGCAAACAATACAGTGTTTCAAGTAACTTTTCAAAAGCTGGCATTTTTGCAGAAGATGGAAGGGACTGTGGAGCCAATTTGTATTAGAGATAGTAGCCTGGATTTTGTTCTTTCTTTGACTTTACAAGCTCTTCTTGCTCTGTGGGTATTGTTTTTCTTATCTGGAATGTGGGATCTGATGATTTAAACCACACTATTGTTGCTGCCTTATCTTCCTATAAGAAACCTGAACCATTTTCTTCTTTAGATGGCTAAAATGTCTGTTTTCAAATAGGACATGGCCAGTAGAATAAATCTTCCATTTATTTCTTCTGAGGATAAAGCAGACAGAATAAGTTAGAGCATTATCATGTGCAATTATGGTTAACCTACTTTTATTTCTTCTTGAGTTCATAAAGTATGTCTTTATGTCACAAAGCTGGGAGGAAAATAACAGCTCCTTAGACATTCCATTGAACAGTGACTTTATTATCTTTTCCTCTCTGTTTCTCTTCCTCTCTTTTTTTGCCTGTGTAAAACATAATGTTTATACATTTTGTAACCTTTCTAAAGCTTTTTGTGTGGAGGGAAGCATGTTTATTCCATAAAACATATTCATAGGTGCTTGATATCAAGATATGATAATCTCAGCATTTAATAAATATTTTAGTGATAATTTTGATTGCATTGATTATACATATAAATATTCAAGCTTAAGTTTAAAAAGATACAGAAATATATGTAGTAACAACAGCATGAATAAACATTTTATTTAATTTGAAAGCTTACATTACACTTTTGATTTTTTTTGCTATAATATATATTTTAAAAATAAACAATTGTCCTCATTCTTGGTTACTAGTCTTTTTTCTATTGGTATGGAAGTTAATAGTATCCATTTTTTGTGTAGCTGCTTTTGAAATCTGCCTTAAATTTTGTTTATAAATATAACCTAAATTGCCTAGATGTTAAAGACTTTACTGACATCTGAGATTACAGTTATGAAAGTATTAGGCATCGTGTAGAAAGTATATATGATAGATACAAGTTTAGAGTGTTATAATTAATCCTAATGAGTTTTAAAGATGCCACAAAATATATCATTTTGATTACGCTTATGTGTAAATTTGTGTTATGTATAAATTTATGATGAAATCTAATTTCATCAGTTTTAAAGTTTAGCAGTTTATTTAATGATGAAAAAATGTGTAAAAAGAAATGTTACCAGTGACTCTTTTACTTCGGAGGTAACAATAAAGCTTTTAGGTTTGAATTGTGGACTCTCTGTTCTCTATAGAAATAAAGGACTAATTTGTATATTTTAAGACTGGAGTTCTTAACTTTTTGGTCTCAGGATCCTGTTATATTTTTAAAAACTACTAAGGACCCAAAGGTGCTTTTAGTATTATGCATGTCTTATATATCAATATTTATGGCATTATAAATTATAATGGAAAAAATTAAGAATATTTATTAGTTTATTTAAAAATAACAATATAATCATTACTTAACATAAATAATATTTTAATGAAAATAGTTATATTCTCTGAAACAAAAATATTTAGTGACTAGAGCGGCGTTGTTTCACATTTTTGCAAGTTTTTAATGTCTGGCTTAATAGAAGGCAGCCAAATTCTTATATGTGTTTCTGCATTGCAGTCTGTTGCAATGTGTTGTGTTGGTTGAAGTATAAGAAGAAAATCCAGGCACGCGTAGATACAAGGACCAAAAAGAGAGGATGTCGAGGACCCCTTAAAAATATCATAGAGACCCCCAGGAGCCCTTGGACCACAGTTTGAGAATCAGTTTTAAGACAATGGGTAGAGGTTTAGTGATAGCCTCTTTTTTTTTTCCCAGCTGTTAGATGTCGAGGGAGCATGGTAATAATGAGAAGTCATCTGAACTTGGAGTAAGGCTTGCTGCTGTTAGTGGTTATGTGAATTAAGCATGTAATAACTTTGAAGCTCGGTGTCTGTTTTTGCAGTGTGATTCGGAGCAGCATAGTGGTTAAGTGGGCATGGGAGCTCCTGGGTTCAAAGCTGGGCTCCTTCACTGAGTGGCTTAAGTTGGGGCAAGTTTCTTAATCTCTGTAAACTTCAATTCGTTCCTCTCTAATATGGGAATAGAAAGAGTCGTTTCTTCTTGGAATTACTGTGAGGCTTAAGGGGTTAACTCATATGAAGTATTTGAAAGTTTGGCAAGGAGTAAGCCCTCAGCAAGTTAGCTGTTAGTATTTTTGTTACATCTGGGTTTCCAAAAGTAGCTTAATGGGTATGGTAGGTAGTAAAACCATTTTCTTTATCTTTGTCACTTCTGACATCACGCTTTCAGTTTGCTTTTTAATACACGTACTTGAGTGGACTTTCCCTGTCAACTCTCATAACATTGCAGTTTGGAGGTGGTGGGAAGTGGTTGAAAAGACACGGGGCTTCCTGGAGGGGGACTAGGGCACCCGGGGGGCCTGGGAGTCGGGTGTGGGCGTGTAGTGAGCCATCAGGGGCTGCCCCTGGACGGTTCATACCTGGGTTTTCCATGAAGGGGTTTGTTAGAAGAAATGCTTCCAAAGTTAAACCAAGTGTGAAATCCACTTACTGCCACAATTTACGAACTCAGGAAACGGAGACTTGACCGTTTTTTGGCGATTTTTCTCTCCTTCTTTTTCCCACTAGGAATAGAAGAATGTCTGTGTCTAGCATTTAACTTCATCCCCGATATATGTCCTAGACTATTATCTCTGTCAGAGTTCATAGAAAACAGCCCCTCCATTTTTCACAGGAGCTATGGGAAAAGTGTTTTAGAATGGAGACCTTTCCTCTGCGGTTCACGGTAGATGAGTGCTTTCCGCGGGCATCAGAGTATGGCGACTGAAAGGCAGTGCGCATGCGCCCACACTTCCTTCTCCAGCCTTCTCTCCGAAAAACCCAGTACAGCCTGGGATTTGGGATTTAACATTTCTAATAAAAACTTGCATTTGTTTTTCCTGTATCTTTTATTGCTTTCTCTTCCCACTACTTTCCAATACCCTGTACAGAAAGTGCTGAGTAAATATTGGTTCATGAGTTGTTACTAAGATGTTGTAAGTTACCAGGGAGGGAAAGTGTTTTATTGGAAAAAGTGCACATTTTAAAGTCAGAGATACTTGGGTGCAGATACTGGCAGTATCATTTCTTGGTGTTGTGATTTGTGGCAAGATACTTAATTTCTCTGAGCCTCATTTAAAAAATACTTATAATGAGACTTCACAGGGATGTGGTAGAATACCAGATTACATAAATGAAGGTAGCCATCCTCCACTAGACCCAGGTGGCTGGGGAAGGAGCAGTTTTCCAGCAGAGAGGGGCTCTGTTAGCAGAAGGAGAGAGGGCTGCTGAGCAGACAAAAGTATAAAGATGGTCTACGTGAGCTCTCCTAGTGCTGGTCTCTTCATGTCCTTTTCTTTTCTTTTCTCTTCTTTTCTTCTTTCTTTTCTTTTCTTTCTTTCCTCCCTCTTCCTCTTTCTTTCTCTTCTTTCTTTTTCTTCTTTTCCTTTCCTTTCCTTTCCCTTTCCTTTCCTTTCAGTCCCCTCCCCTCCCCTCCCTCCCTCCTTCCCTCCCTCCCTTCCTTCCTTCCTTCCTTTCTTCTTTCCTTCCTTCTCTTCCCCCCCTCCCCTCCCCTCTCCTCTCCTCTTTTCTTTTCTTCTTTTTTTGATAGTGTCTTGCCCTGTCACCGAGGCTGGAGTACAGTGGTGTGATCATGGCTCACTGCAACCTTGAAATCTTGGGCTCAAGGGATCCACCCACCTCAGCCTCTCAAGTAGCTGGGACTACAGGTGTCTACCACCATGCCTGCCTAATTTTTAGTAGGGATGGGGGTCTCACTATGTTTCTCAGGCTGGTCTCAAACTCTTGGAGTCAAGCGGTCACCCTGCGTCTGCCTCCCAAAGTGCTGGGACTGCAACCACGCCCAGCCACAACTTGTTTCTACTACTTAGGTCCCTCAGTTGCTCAGAGCAGAGGCCCACTAGAGAAAGCCTAAGGAAAGAGACGACGTACATGGAATTCTTTGGAGGTCATCTGTGGAACCCCTGCATAGGACTGCAGCCAGCTGAAGAAGCAGAACCTGGCATTGGCACACTGTCCAGGACTGTCTCTTTAAAGATCGCCTTCATTTTCCTTTCCCACTGCAGTCTGGTTTCCTCCATTTCCACATGAGGAAAATAGGTTCTGCCAACAATTTCCAGCCTGTGTGTTACAATCTAGCCTCTCAGAGAAGGATTAATCTGATCTACCTTAGTTCCTATTACAGATTCCTTGGTACGGAATCTGATTTGTCCAGCTTGAGTCTGGAGGCCACCCCTGGATCTGTGGGCTGTTGCTGGGGCTATGATCATGTGGGTACAGGGCAACTTCCCATGCAAAAATTTGCACGGTTGGGGCAGACGGCGGTGGGGAGACACAGCAGTTCCTAAGAAAGAGATGTTGGCAAGAGAGCCTGGTAGACTGTCATTACTATTTATACTGGAAAGAGGACTGAATTTAGTGTGAGAAGATCTGTGTTTGAGTCTTGGCTCTGCTCTTTTGAGCTACCGTGGTCCTGAGCATTTCTCTTAATGGGGGTGGGACTCTCAGTGTCCTGCTGGGTATCACATGCTTCACCCATTGTAGGCCACAGTTAAAACATCAATAAGGCCTGTTACTATTGCTGCTGCTGCTGTTTCTGTGACTACTGGTGTTGTTATAATCATCATTATTACTTACTTTGCCTACCCAGTATCTTTTTTTTTTTTTTTTTTAATCAGGTAGAGTCTTATTCTCTTGCCTAGGCTGGAGGGCAGTGGCACAATCACAGCTCACTGCAGCCTTGGACTAGACTCCTTGGCTCAAGCAATCCTACCTCCTAAGTCTCCCAGGTAGCTGAGACTACAAAAGTATGCTACCATGCCCAGCTAATTTTTTAAATTTAAATTTAAATTTAAATTTCTTTTTTGTAGAGATGAGGTCTTGGTATGTTACTCAGGCTGGTCTTGAACTCCTGGCCTCAAGCAGTTCATTTGCCTTGTCCTCTCAAAGTGTTGGGTTTACAGGCGTGAGCTAGCACTGCACTGCACTCTGCCCCAGTATCATTCTTGAGAGCATCAAATCAGATAATGTATGGGAAAGCAGTTTAACCCCATACACATGCACATTGGGGATTATGATTTGATCACCATCTCGTGGTCTAATGTCATTCTCTTCATTCTTCCTGCTCAACCTTTGATCTCTCAGTTTATCTCTGTGTAACATTAAAGTGATAAATCTCCTTTCTGAGTTAATTAGCTTTTGTAAAGTTTTTGGATGTTTGATATATAAGATCCTAGAAAAGTGAAAACCTCTAGAATAGTGGATAGAAGAGTGACTGATTTAATTTCCTGTCTCATCTGGCTTTATTTAAAATTTTTGTTTTGAGACAGGGTCTTACTCTTTCACCTAGGCTGGAGTGCAGTGACACAGTCATAGCTCACTGCAGCCTAGAACTCCTGAGCTTAAGGGATCCCCCCGTGTCAGTCTCCTGAGTAGCTGGGACTACAGTGCACACCTCCACACCCCGCTAAATTTTGTATTTTTTTGTAGTGATGGGGGTCTCACTATGTAGCCCAGGCTGGTCTTGAACTCCTGACCTCAAACTACCTTCCCACCTTGGCCTCTGAAAATGTTGGGATTATAGGCATGAGCCACTGCTCCTAGCCTCAACTGGCTTTAACATTCTCCTTATAGAGTTCTGTTTCTCTATAAGTACTGTATTCATGAAACAGAGAATTACCTTTTACTTGCCAGCTTGTTGTTAGTATGTCATGTGGTGCTTCTGAATTATTAACTCATACTTAAGTAATTATGAAAGCAAGAAGGGAGGAAAAAAGGGAAGACCATGACTTTCCAATTCATACAACCCTTTAACCCACTGTGTCTGCTGCCTTCTGCTTGCCCCCCACACTAGGAGGAATATGAAGGGTGAGATGCAGAGAATGTACAGTCTCTTTCATTGAAAACATAAGTCTGTAAAGCACTCACAGGTCTCCTTTGCGTAAGGATCTGCTTTGGTCACCTAGTACTTCAACAGAGTGCTAGAATCTCAGTCTGTCCAACTCTCTGGGAATTTTTGAGAGTTTAAAATAGATTTGGTGTAAGATTTTCCCTAGAAATCCCTAGAACAAACAACTTATTTAGAATGCTTTAGAATTTTTTTTTTAGATATGTCATAGTTTCACCCTCTTCTAAGAGTTATCTGTGCTGAAATGAAAAAAAAAGTGTTTAGAGAAAACTTATTTTAGCCATTTTCTCAAGATTATACTAAGTAATTGTTTGAGGTCATGTTTATTTATTTATTTTTTTGAGCTGGAGTCTCACTGTGTTGCCCAGGCTGGAATGCAGTGGCATGATCTCAGCTCACTGCAACCTCTGCCTCCCGGATTCAAGCCATTCTCCTGCCTCAGCCTCCCAAATAGCTGGGATTACAGGCATGTGCCACCATGCCTGGCTAGCAGAGACAGGGTTTCACCATGTTGCCCAGGCTGGTCTTGAACTCCTGACCTCAGTTGATCTGTCTACTTTGGCTTCCCAAAGTGCTGAGATTACAGGCATGAGCCGCCGTGCCCAGCTGTGTTTGAGGTTATGATGTATTATTAAATGTTGGCCTGAGAATTAAGTAAGTTACTCAATTTTATACCTTTAAATAGTTTCAGAATGTCTTAAATGACTGATTAAGCTTGTGTTGCAGGTCTGGGCTATGAAAGTAACTGGCACAAAATGAAAACACTAGATTTGAATCAGTAAATACGATATGAAAAGACCCAAAAATGTGATTCTTTGCAAGACATTTTCATAAACTGAAATCATACCTGGGCTATCCACTGGAATATGGAACAATGCAGAAATAGACATGGCAAGTTCTCCACTTGGTCCCCATCTGCACAGGGCTCTCCTGTGGAGCCCTCAGGCCAGTGCTTCTGCTCATTCCTCTTGCCATTGGTTACCTTGCTTCAGGGAACTGGCCTCTCACTGCTTTCCACGTGCAAAAGGGGCAGTCTCCTGTGTGTTTGAAGAGCCAAGTTTCCTGAGGGTAGACATTGTAAACTTAGATGACACAGACTTTCTGAAACTTGTGCTGGTTAGATCCTAGGAGGTCTTGGATTTGGTTTGAGGAGCACAGGAAGGTGGGCTGGGGAACTGGAGTAGCTTGACCAGGTGTCACTTTCTTATCCGTAAGCCTTAGACTTTTGCTACAGCTGTCTTTCTTTTTGGGTGACTTCCTTTAATGCTCTGTTCTAAAACTGCAGGGTTTTGGAGGGAACTGCTTTGAAGTGGAGCAACATTGATCATGTGATACCTTTTTGGAGGGGACTTTTGACTAGGTAGTGGGCCAAGGTGCAGGAAGCCCTGGAGTGTGTGAGCTCAGCCCAGGGCTGTATCCCTGAGCCTGTGGTCAGCTAGCTGCGTGACCTTGTCTCATTTCTTTGGCCTTCAGTTTTTCTTTCTGTAAAATAAGAAGGTTGGATTAATTTGCGTCCATCTTCCAAAAAAGCTTTTTCATCACAAGTTTATTTAATCGGCACTCTTAGTAAAGTGTAAGTTAGACCCGGAAAAGGTCTTAAAGGTCATTTTCTAGGATAGTCTCATCCACTGATTTTACAAATGAGGTTGTTAACTCCCAGCATAGTGAAGCACTTGCTTTAAGGCTGCATAATTTATGGAAAGTTGATTTTCTCCACCTTGATGGGGGAAGGGTAGGCCAGGCTGCGGATGAGACAGACACTTTTCGTGATGTGTGCTCCGCTTTGTCTTCATCTGTCCAAGGCTTGGTCAAAGGCATTTTCTAGTGGTGATGGTTTTGTGTCTTCCCAAGGAACTGAAAGAAAACAATGAGATAATGAGATTACGTTCTGAACTTTGAAGCACTAAATGAAGTCAGCCTGGAGATAAAGCTTTTAATGATGCATGCAGGAGTAATTTCATTGTGATAGCTGTATCACAATTTATGCTTTTTACATAATCCACAAGGCTTAGGCAACTGACTTATCCATGAAGTGACCAGAAAATCCTGCCATTCTCTGTCGTATATGCATATGGTTTGAATTTTCTCAAATGATATTGTTTTTTTTCAAAAGTCTTGATGGTGACAATTAGGCCCCAGTCATGGAGGGGAATTTTCACAGTTGCTTATGTGTATGTAGTGTCTTGATGAGAGTGATTTAAAACCTGGCAGTCAGCATTTGGAGGACTTGTGCATTCCTGTTAAGAACAAGAGGAATCTCTTTTTCTCTCAAACATTTACTACATAGAATTAGAATAGATCATTGGTAGGGGATGATGGGGGTGGCTGGTTTTATAGAAAAGATACCAAAATTAAACGAGCTGCAGAATGGAAAGAAGGTACTAGTTATTTCACTGTTCAGGACTTTTTTGTTTGGTGCTTTTACATATTACTAAATTTTTTCTTCTGAAGTTCCACCCAATAAATACTTAGGAATTTCACAGAATGTCTCAAGATTTGATGAGAAAGTCAACAAGAAAATATATAGTAGTGTCAAAGACTCCAGCCTGTTGTCACCATTTCTTTTCAAGATAAATGGAGTTTCTTAATTACAATTTTGGGGGATAGACTTAAGCAGACTGAAACAAGGTTTCAGGTGGGAGCTAACTTGATAAGATATCAACGCTTTGGATGAGATACAGCAAAAGTCAGATAAAGTCACGTGGTGCACAATGACGTTTTCATCAGTGACGGACTGCATATATGACACCCATATGCATATATGATCACGTAAGATTATAACAGAGCTGAAAGATTCCTGTCACCCAGTGACAGTGGGCAGCTGTGGCAGTGTTGTAGCCCATTGCATTACTCATGTGTTTGTGGTGATGCTGGTGTAAACAAACCTACTTTATACTTCATAAAGTAAAAACTTATAGTAAGCTAAGACCAACTTATCATTGAAGAAAGAAAAACTGTTTTTAATAAATTTGGCATAGCTTAAGTATACAGTGTTCATAAAGTCTACAGCAGTGTACGGCAACGTCCCAGCCTTCCCATTCACTCACCGCTCATTCACTGATCCACCCAGAGCAACTCCCAGTACTGCAAGCTCCATTCATGGTAAGTGACCTCCATTTTTTATCTTTTATACCGTATTTTTTATTGTACTTTTTCTATATTTAGAGAAATACTTACCATTGCATTACAATTGCCTGCAGTATTCAGTACGGGTTTGTAGACTAGGAGCCATAGGCCATTCCATATAGCCTGAGTGTAGTAGGCTCTACCCAGTAGGTTTGTGTAATTGCACTATGATGTTTATGCTAATAACGCATTTCTTAGAACAAATCCTGTTGTTAAGTGACACATGACTGTATGTTTATGTTGATCCAGGCAATCAGGAAAAGAAAATCCATCTGTGAGCAGGATGAGCACATGATATTTAAGCTGTGGGACAAATAGAGTTTGGCAGAATGCCGTAACTCTGTTATGTTGATTGCCATCTCCTCTTCGAGGTTTGGCCTGTGGGTTCTCCATGAGTGGGAGCGGTGTCCTCTCTCTCTCTCCAAGGCATTCTTTGGAGTGTAAATGTCATCTTGCACCAGGTACTGGGATGCTGACTCTGTGCAAACACAGAGAATACTACAGAATTATTTTGGATTTTAAAAGGTACAGACACAGAAAGCCCAGGTGACTCATAGGACTTGTATTAGTCACTAGAAAGAGAGCTGACGGCATCATTGCTGTCTGAAGTTCAGGCCTCTTTTTTGAGGGCTGTGATTGAGCTGTGGAGGAGCTCTAGAGGTCTCAAGCCTGCTACTATGGTGGCCGTTGATTGTGGTGTCATAGAAATGGAGGTGACCAACCCTGCTGGGGATGAATCATGCACACGCTGGTGAATCACTTATCGTGCACATGGTACTAGCTTCAGAGGTCACTGCTTTGTTTGTTTTTTTTTTTTATAAATTTGAATGAGAAAAGTAATTCAAATGAGGATAAAATGAGGGTGCTAAAGTTTATCTTTACCTAGCACACTGTTTACTCGTAAATCATGTAAGTTAATGGGTTTTTAATATTGCAGGAGGTTGACTTACATACAGTTGATAGATTTTAAGTCATTGAGATGAACTTATTGAAGCTAGCCATATGTATTTAAATGTAATCAAATGATAATTATTTAGAACAATTCCATTTTCCAGGCCTTTGTATTCAGATAGTTGTTTCTGGCTGGTAGATTGTTCACATTGATAAGCATCTTGACAAGTCATCTATTTTGCTCAAGTTCTGAAGTGCTTTGTAGACAAAATGGATGAAGATTACTACTGTTATCCAGTTCTTTGACTTTCAGGTTTTTCTTTTCCAAAGAAAAAAAAAAATCAACAAATATGCTTGCCTTATCATAGTATTATTGAAAACATTACAGGTGAATAAAGAGTTAATTTATTAGAAATCTTAAAAATTTTTTTATTTTAATTTTTGTGGGTACATAGTCGATGTATATATTTATGGGAGACATGAGATGTTTTGATACAGGCATGCAATGCATAATAATCACATCATGTGGAAAGGAGTATCTGTGCTCTCAAGCATTTATCCTTTGCGTTACACACAATCCATATTGTTATTTAAAAAACATAAAAAAGCATAGTGACTTCCAGTTCTATCCATGTTGTTGGAAATGACAGGATCTCATTTTTATTATGGCTGAATAGTACTCCACTGTGTATAAGTACCACATTTACTTTATCTGTTCATCTCCTGATGGACACTTAGGTTGCTTCCAAATTTTGGCTATTGTGAACAGTGCTACAACAAACATGGGAGTGCAAAAATCTCTTTGATATGCTCATTTCCTTTCTTTTGGGTATATACCCAGCAGAAGGACTGCTGGATTATATGGTAACTCTATTTTTAATTTTTTTTGTGGGACCTCCAAACTGTTCTCCATAGTGGTTGTACTAATTTACATTCCTGCCAACAGTATACGAGGGTTCCCTTTTCTCCACATCCTCACCAGTGTTTGTTATTGCTCATCTTTTGGATAAAAGCCATTTTAACTTAGATGAGATGATATCTCATTCTAGTTTTGATTTACATTTCTCTGATGATCAGTGGTGTTGACTTCCTTTTCATATGCCCATTTGCCATTTGTATGTCTTCTTTTGAGAAATGTCTATTTAAATCTTTTATGCATTTTTAAATTGGATTATTAGATTTTTTCTTATTGAGTTGCTTGAGCTCCTTATTTATTCTGGTTATTAGTTCCTTGTCAGCTGGGAAGTTTGCAAATATTCTCTCCCATTCTGTGGGTTGTCTCTTCACTTTGTTGTTTGTTTCCTTTGCTCTGTAGAAGCTTTTTAACTTGATGTGATCCCATTTGTCCATTTTGCTTTGGTTGCCTGTGCTTGTGGGATATTAGTCAAGACATTTTTGCCCAGACCAATGTAGAGAGTTTCGCTGATGTTTTCTCATAGTAGTTTCATAGTTTTAGGCCTTAGATTTAAATCTTTAATTTGTTTTCATGTGATTTTTGTATGTGGTGACAGATAGGGGTCTAGTTTCATTCTTCTGCATATGGATATCCACTTTTCCCAACACCATTTATTGAAGAGACTGTCTTTTCCCCAGTGTGTGTTCTTGGGACCTTTGTTGAAAACAAGTTCACTGTAGGTATGTGGATTTGTTTCTGGGTTCTGTATTCTACTCCATTGGTCTATGTGTCTTTTTCAGAGCCAGTCCCTTGCTATTTTGGTTACTGTAGCTCTGTAGTATAATTTGCAGTCAGGTAACATGATTCCTTCAGGTTTGTTCTTTTTGTTTAGGTTGTCTTTGTCTATTCTGGGTCTTTTGTGCTTCCATATAAATTTTAGGATTCTTTTTTCTATTTCTGTGAATAATGTCAGTGGTATTTTTGAAAGAGATTGCATTGCATCTGTAGATTGCTTTGGGTAGTATGGACATTTTAACAATATTGATTTTTCCAGTAAAAAAATGGAATATCTTTCCATTTTTTGGTATCCTCTTCAATTTCTTTCATCAGTGTTTTATAATTTTCATTATAGAGATCTTTCACTTCTTTGGTTAATTCCTAGGTATTTAATTTTATTTCTACCTATTGTAAAAGGGATTTTAAAAAAATTCTCTTTCAGATTGTTCACTGTTGGCATATAGAAATGCTACTGATTTTTGTAGGTTGATTTAGTATCCTGCAACTTTACTCAATTTATCATTTCTAATAGATTTTTTTGTGGAGTCTTTAGGTTTTTCCAAATATAAGATCATATCTCCAAACAAAGATAGTAAAAATCTTTTAAGAAACTTGCTGAGTGTGTTCCTGACAGAATTCATTTTAAAAACATATCACTGATATTTTTATTTAATTACATCTGCTTAACCAGTGTCCACAGAATTCTTGCCTTATCATGCATAAATTCAAAATTCTGTAGTAAGGATGCTTATTGAAATTGATGAGTAGAATATTATATAAGTGATGAGCAGCAAATAAGCATTTTTTTTTTTTTTTGCTTTCATCATGGTCTCTTGAAAGTTTTGGTTTTAGAGCTACCTCATGAACTGTATGAACTGTGAGTTGCGTTGATTTGTATCATACTGTGAGTGTGTCAATGGCAGAAAGCCATTATATTTTCCACCATAGTTTTTCAAGTGTGTATTTAATAGAGACAAAATATGTGGAAAGCTTATGAAACAGAATGTGCCTTTTTAAAGAAACACTGCACTAGGTTGCATTTACTTGTGGTAAGTTATAATTTACATATGTTTAGTTTAATTTATTGAAAAACTATAATTTTGTTCATTTAGTTTATTTTAAAAGGTTACGGGAGGTATTTGTCTTTTAAAATAAGAATTTATATAAACTGTATGATATTTATTCTTTCAAATGGTTTGAAGAACAATTTAGGATAAAAATAGAAGGAAAATATTTTTGACCATTTAAAGTTCCTGAAAAATGTCTCTTTTCAGTTTCTTCCACTTTTGAGGCTACCAACTAGATTTCCTTTTTTTTTCTTTAAGGTTCTCAGCACATAGGAAAGACAGCTAAGAAATAGATAAATTGTATGGTCATGATATAGCATCCCTTTGCATTTTCCTGGCAGAAACAAGGTCACTGTCTGTATCCTACCTTCAGGGTAGTGTGGTTGCAAGATTTTCTGGCCTCTGCCTTGGAGAAGGCAGGACTCATAATGTGGGGAATGATCTAGATGTTAAGTACCTGGCAGTGACAAATAGTCACAATAAAGTTCATAGTAATCTCATCAACCACTTTTTATTTTTCCTCTAGATCAGAAGATAGAGCATGTGATATGGAAGTTTTCTTAGCTACCATGAGAATATTTACCATCTCCTTTTATCATAATAGGCTCTCAATAAATTTTGAATGACTAAAGGTAAATATTTATAATTTATTGAGAGCCTTCTGTGGAATGGACTGTTCTAAGTGAATGCATTAATTTATAGATCTAAACTCAGCCAAAAGATTCAGCTCATAAAGATGAGGAGATTGGGTTTGTAGAAGAGGAGGTAATTACTTTGAGGTGAAATGATCATGATGTGTTGGGATCTTTGGTTGTGTCTTTTAAGTGGCTAGGTGCTCCAGATTTTAAAAGATTTGGCAGAGAATGCTGAGAGTGACCACATTTTGAGTAATTACTAGCAGTGAGAAGGGAGAGAAGCAAAAAAATTTAAACCCACCTGTCTTTCCTTCTTGGCAGGGGGAAATTCACTTATAGTAGCAGCTATTAGTATAATACCCAGAAAATAATATAAGCACAATAAACTTTTTATAAAGAAATCAACTTTTGACTTGAGTGGTGGCTCATGCCTGTCATCCCAGCACTTTGTGGGGCTGAGGCAGGAGGATTGCTTGAGGCCAGGAGTTTGAGACCAGCATGGGCAACATATTGAGACCCTGTCTCTTAAAAAAATCAACATTTAGGCTGGGCGCGGTTGCTCACGCCTGTAATCCCAGCACTTTGGGAGGCTGAGGCGGGCGGATCACGAGGTCAGGAGATTGAGACCATCCTGGCTAACATGGTGAAACCCCGTCTCTACTAAAAATACAAAAAATTAGCCGGGGGTGGTGGCAGGCGCCTGTGGTCCCAGCTACTCGGGAGGCTGAGGCAGGAGAATGGCGTGAACCCGGGAGGCGGAGCTTGCAGTGAGCCGAGATCACGCCACTGCACTCCAGCCTGGGCGACAGAGCGAGACTCCATCTCAAAAAAAAAAATAAAAAATCCACATTTAAAAATTGCGGTATAATATACATAATACAAAATTTACTTAACCATTTTCAGTGATCACTCAGTGGCATTAAGCACATTCACATTGTTGTGCAGCCACCACTACCATCCACCTCCAGAACTTTTTTGTCATCCCAAACTGCAATTCTGTATTCAGTAAACAATCAATCCCCATTGCCTTCTCCCCCAGACCCTGGTAGCTACCATTCTACTTTCCGTCTTTATGAATTTGACAATTCTAGGTACCTCATATAAGTGGAATAATACAATATTTGTTCTTTAGTATCTGGCTTATTTTGCTTAGCATAATGTTTTCAAGATTCATTTATGTTGTAGTATGCGCTTTTTTCGAGATGGAGTCTCGCTGCATCTCCCAGGCTGGAGTGCAGTGGCGTGATTTTGGCTCACTGCAACCTCCGCCTCCCTCGTTCAAGTGATTCTTCTGCCTCAGCCTCTTGAGTAGCTGGGATTACAGGTGCGTGCCACCACACTTGGCTAATTTTTAAAAATATTTTTAGGAGAGATGGGGTTTCACCATGTTGGCTAGGCTGGTCTTGAACTCCTGACCTCAGGTGATCTGTCCGCTTTAGCCTCCCAAAGTGCTGGGATTTCAGGCATGAGCCACTGTGCCTGGCCTAGAATTTCATTTTTTAAGGCTGAATAATATTCCATTGTATGTTTATACTACATTTTCTTTATCGATTCATCCATAATGGACATGTAGGTTGTTTCTACTCTTTGGCTATTGTGAATAATGTTGCCATTTACATTGGTGCACTAATTTCTGTTTGGGTCCCTGCTTTCACTTCTTTTCAGTTTATACCTAGAAGTGAAATTGCTATGTCATATGGTAACTCTATGCTTTATTATTTTAGGAACCACCATACCGTTTTCTATAGTGGCTGTACCATTTTACATTCCCACTTGCAATGCACAGGGTATTCACTTCTCCACATCTTTATCAACACTTTTTGTTTTCCGTTTTTTTTTTTCTTTTTTATATTAGCCATCCTATGTGTAAAGTGGTATCTCATTGTGGTTTTGATTTGTATTTTTTCATGATTATTGGCTATTAGAATATCCTCTTTGGAGAAATGTCTGTTCAAGTTCTTTGCCCATTTTTCAACTGAGTCATTTGTATTTTGTTGTTGAGATTATGAGTTCTTTATATATTCTGGATATTAATCCCTTATGAGATACATGATTTGCAAATATTTTCTCCCATTCGGTGGATTGCCTTCCACTCTCTTGGTATTGTTCTCTTATGCACAAACGTTTTCAGCTTTGATGGAGTCAAATTTATTTACTTATTCTTTGGTTGCTTGCGTTTTTGACATCATTGTTGTTGCCAAATCCAATGCCGTGAGGGTTTTCACTTATGTTTTCTTCTAGGAGTTTTATAGTTTCAGCTATTATGTTTAGGTCTTTTGTTCATTTTAAACTAATTTTTGTATATGGTGTAAGGTAAAGGACCAGCTCCATTATTTTGCATGTGAATATCCAGTTTTCTCAATGCCATTTGTGGACTCAAACTTAAGTAAGCTTTTTATTAAACTATGACATACACAAATGTATGTATAATGTAAGAATACAGTGTAGTGGATTTTATTTATTTTTTTTATGAAGTGAACACATCTGGAAAACCAGCATTCAGATCAAGAAACATTACATTAGTAGGACCCTAGAAGCCTTCTCCCTTCTTGCTCCTTCCAGTGACTGCTCCCAAAGCCCCTCCCACCACAGGTGATTACTCTCCCTCAGTTGGATTTGCATATTCTTGAGCTTATATCAGTCAAATCAGTGTGTATTCTTTTTTTTTCTTTTTTGAAACAGGGTCTCATTCTGTCACCCAGGTTGGAGTACAGTGGTGCAATCACAACTCACTGCAGCCTCAATCCCCTGAGCTCAAGTGATTCTCCTGCCTCAGCCTCCCAAGTAGCTAGGTGCATGCCACCACACCTAGCTAATTTATTCACTGTTTTAGGGGAGACAGGTTCTCAATGTGTTGCTCGGGCTGGTCTCGATCTGGCCTCAAGCGATCCTCCCACCTCGGCCTCCCGAAGTGCTTTGATTATAGACATGAGTCACCGCACCAAGCCAGTGTGTATTCTTTCGTGTTTGGCTTCTTTTGTTTAGCATAATGTCTCTAAGATTCAGTGGCACTATTCTATATAGCAGTAGTTTAAAAATTTTTTCTGTAGTATTTTATTGTATGAATACACCACACATTACTTATTCATTCTACTATAAATGGATGTTTTGATTATTTCCAGTTTGGAATATTAAGAATGATGCTGCTGTGGACATTATTATATATGTCTTTTGGTGAATACATTTGTTGAGTTAACAGCTAGGAGTAGAATTGTTAGGTCATAGGATATGTTTATGTTCAGTTGTAATAGTTACTTCCAAATGGTTTTCTGAAGTGGTTGTTCTAATTTACATGACAACTGCACTGTAGTAGTTAACGAGAGTTTTAATTGCTTCTTCTGTCTAGCACTTGGTGTTGTTCATTTTAACCATTTTGGTGGCTGTGTAATGGTGTAACTTTGTAGTTTTAATTAGAATTTTCCTGTTGAAAACTGAAGTTAAGCATCTTTTCAAATGTTTACTGGCCACTTGCATGCTTTCTTTTGTCAAGTTCCCATTCAAAGCTTTTGCCCATTTCTCTACGGGTTATTTGCTATCATCGTCAATTTGTAGGATTTCTTGATATTTTCTGGATGAGTGTCCATGTGACCAATGTGTTGCAGATACATTTTCCTACTTTTTGGATTGCCTTTTCACTTTCTTAATGGAGCCTCTTAATGAACAGATGGTCATAATTTTAATGTACTCTGGTGTATATACTTTTTTATTTTTTGGTTGGTACCTTTTTGTATATTATTCAAGTAATTGTTACCTAAGGCCATGAAGATATTTGCCAGTTTTGTTTTTTTCTCTAAGCTTTGTTGCTGTACTTTTTAACATTTAGATCTACAATGCATCTGGACTTCCTTTTGGTGTATGGGTTATATTGGCCCCAGTACTATTCATTCAAGATCATCTTTTTCAATCACATTCCCTATTGTATTTCCTTATTTAAAATTATGTATCTGTTTCTGAACTTTCTAATCTGTTTCATTGGTGCCTGTTTATCTTTCTGTTGGGGTCATGCTGTTGTAATTATTAGAACTTTGTAATATCATGCTATCTGGTAGTGCAAGCCATCTAGATTTGTTCTTCTTCTTCTCATATTTGTATTTCCATATAACTGTTAGGATCAATCTAACCAATTTCTTTAAAAATCCCTCTATACTTATTAGGATTTTTAGCAGGTCAGTTTGGGCATAATTGTCACCTTTACTGTACTGAATCTTCTAATCCATATATATGGTATTTTTTTCATTTACTTTGGTGTTTAAAATTTTTTCTTAATAATGTTCTATATAGTTTTCAGTTTAAAGTTCTCATTCATCTTTTGTTAGATTTAGTATTAGGTCTTTAATAGGAATCAATGCTATTGTAAATGGCATTTTCAAATTTTATTTTTTGTTGCTGATATATGGAAACAAGATTGACTCTTTGTATGGATCTTGTATTTATTAATTTTGGTAAATTCTCTTATTTCTGGTAGTTAGTCAATTTAATTTTTTTGTGTTCAGATCCTGTTGTCTGGAAGTGTTTAGAATTTTCTTTTTTTTCCCCTTCCAATCCTTATGATTGTTTTTCTATTTTTCTTGCATCATTACACTAGTTAGGACATCTAGTGTAATATTAATAGAAGTGATGATAGCGGGCATCCACATAATTTCCAACTCAGAAGAAAAGCTGTCAATAATTCACCATCATGTATGATGTTTGCTGCAGATCTATGATAGATACTCTTTATCAGAATTAGGTGGTTCTTGTCTATTTCTGTTTCATAACAGTTTTTTTTTTAAAAAGTTATGAATTGGTGTTAATTTATGTCAGTTGGTTTTTTGTATCTGTTGAAGTCATATATTTTCCTCCCATGTTTTAATTAATTAATTAATTTTAGAATATTGAGGTATGATTGACATATAAAAAGATATATATATATTATATCTTGATGAGTTTGGAGAATATATACAACTATGAAAACATTATCACTATAAAGGCCATAAACATAGCCATCACCTCCCTAAATTTTCTCTTACTCTCTTTTTAAATTATTATTATGTTTTTCTTCTTTTTTGGGGGTAAGAACACTTAACATAAGATCTACCCTCTTAACAGACTTTAACCATACAATACAGTATTGTTAGTTATAGTAGCTAATGCTACTATACTGTATGGTAGGTTTTCAGGACTAATTTATCCTACATAACTAAAACTTTGTACCCTTTATCCATCACCTCCCAATTTCCCCCTTTCCTCAGCTCCCGGCACCATCATTTCACCCTCTGTTTCTGCAAATTTAAGTATTTTGGATCTCACATATAAAGAGATCATACAGGATTTATCATCTGTTTGGCTTATTCCACTTTATGTAATGCCCTCTGGATCCATCCATGTTGTTGCAAATGGCAGGATTTCCTTCTTTTTAAAGGCTGAGTAATGCTGCATTGTATATGTGTACCACATTTTCTTTATCGCTTCAACTGTCAGTAGAAATTTAGGTTGTTTCCACATCTTGGCTATTGTGAATATTGCTGCAGTGAATATGGGAGTACAAATATTTCTTTGGATACTGATTTTAGTTCCTTTAAATATATGCCCAGATGTGGGATTGCTGGATCATATGGTAGTCATATTTTTAGTATTTTGAGGAGTAGCCATGCTGCTTTTCATACATTCCCACCAATTGTATACAAGGGTTCCCTTTTCTCCACATATTTGCCAATATTTATTATTTTTTCTAAATTATGTAGTAGCCATCCTGACAGTGTGAAGTGATATCTCATTGTGGTTTTTATTTGTATTTCCTTGATGATTAGTAATGCTGAGCACCTTTTTCTATACTTGTTGGATATTTGTATATCTTCTTTGGATAAATGTCTGTTCAAGACCTTTGCCCAATTTAATATCAGGTTTTTAAATTTTTTTTGTAGTTGAATTATATGAGTTGCTTATATATTTTGTATATTAGCCCCTTATCAAATGTATGGTTTGCCAATATTTTCTCCCATTTCATAGGTCATCGCTTGATTTTGGTGATTGATTTCCTTTGCCGTGTAGAAGTTTTTTGGTTTGAGGTAATCCCACTTATTTATTTTTGCTTTCATTGCCTGTGCTTTCAGTGTCAAATCCAAAAAAATCATTGTCAAGACCAATGTGAAGACACTTTTCCCTTACATTTTCTTCTACCAGTTTTACAGTTTCAGGTCTTATATTTAAGTCTTCAATCTATTTTGAATTGATTTTTATGTATTGTGTAAAATAAGATCTTCATTTTGCATATATACATCCATATATATATATATATATATATATATATATTCCAACATCATTTCTTGAAGAGACTGTCCTTTCTCCATTGTGTATTCTCACTGCCGTTGTCAAAAAATTAGTTGACTGTATATGCATAGGTTTATTTCTTGGCGCTCCATTCTGTTCCGTTGGTCTATATATCTGTTTTTATGCTACTACCATACTTTATGATTATTATAGATTTGCAATGTAATTTGAAATAGGAATTGTGATGCCTCTAGTTTTGTTCTTCTTGCTCAATATCTCTTTGGCTATTAGTGGTCTTTTGTGGTTCCATATTAATTTTAGGATAGTTTTTCCTATTTCTGTGAAAAATGCCATTGGAATTTTGATAAGGAATGCATTGAATATGTAGATCAGTTTGAGTAGTGTGAATATTTTAACAGTATTAATTTTTACAATCTGTGAAAAGGGAGTATGTTTCTCTGTATTTGTGTCTACTTTAATATCTTTCATCAGTGTTTTACAGCTTTCAGTGTAGATTTTTCACCCTCTTGGTTAAATTTATACCTCATAATTTTATTCTTTTTGATGTTATTGTTAAGGGGATTGTTTTTAAATTCTATTGGATAGTTTGTTGTCAGTGTATAGCAACAACTCATTTTTGTATGTTGGTTTCATATTCTGCAAATTTACCGAATTTTTAAAATTAGTTCAAACAGTTTTTGGTGGAATCTTTATGGTTTTTTTTGTTTGTTTGTTTGTTTGTTTGTTTTTGAGACGGAGTCTTACTCTGTTGCCAGGCTGGAGTGCAGTGGCACCATCTCGGCTCACTGCAACCTCCGCCTCACGGGTTAAAGCAATTCTCCTGCCTCAGCTTCCCATATAGCTGGGACTACAGGCGCATGCTGCCATGCCCGGCTCTTTTTTTTTTTCTTTTTTTTTTTTTTTTTTTTTGTATTTTAGTAGAGATGGGGTTTCACCATCGGTGCCCAGGCTGGTCTCAAACTACTGAGCTCAGGCAATCCACCCACCTAGGCCTCCCAAAGTGCTAGGATTACATGCATGAGCTACCGTGCCTGGCCTATGGTTTTCTATATATAAGACATGTGACTTGCAAAGACAGACAATTTTACTTCTTTCTTTCTGACTTGGATGCCTTTTTTTGTTTTTCTTTTGCCTAAGTGCTCTGACTAGGACTTCTAGTACCATGTCGAGAGTGGGCATCTTTATTTTGTTCCTAACTTTTCACCATTATAAATGATGTTACCTGTGGGCTTGTCATATATGGCCTTTATTGTTTTGAGGTCCATTCCCTCTATACCTAATTTGTTGAGAGTTTTTTTTTAATCATGAAAAATGCTTTTTCTGCATTTATTGAAATGATCACGATTTTTATCCTTCATTCTGTTAATGTAGCATATGACATTTATTGATTTTGATATGTTGAACCATCCTTGCATACCAGGGATAAGTCCCACTTGATGAGAGTGTATAATTCTCTTAATGTGCTGTTAAATTTGCCAGTATTTTGTTGAGTATTTTTGTATGTGTTCATCAGGGATATTACCTTGTAATTTTAGTATATTGGAATGACCTTGTCTGTCTTTGCTATCAGGGTAATGCTGGCTTCATGAGATGAATTTGAAAGTGTTGTCTCTACTCTTCAATTTTTTGGAAGGGTTTGAGAAGGATTGGTGTTAGTTCTTCTTAAAATGTTTGTAGAATTTACCAACGAAGTGACCAGATACTGGGCTTTCTTTATTGGGAAGTTTTAAATTACTGATTTAATATTACTTGTTCTTTGTTCAGATTCTCTATTTCTTTATGTTCAGTTTGGGTAGATTGTATATTTCTAGGAACTTATCCATTTCTTCTAGGTCATCCAATATGTTGGCAAATAATTGTTCATAGTAGTGTTATGATCGCTTAAATTTGTATTTCTGTGCTATCTGTTGTAATGTCTCTTATTTCATTTATGATTTTATTTATTGGAATCATCTCTTTTTTTCATTGTTAGTATGGCTAAAGGTTTGTCAAGTTGATCGTCTCACATAATCAATTCTTAGTTTTATTTGTCTTTTTAATTGTTTTTCTAGTGTCTATTTTATTTATTTTTGTTCTAATCTTTATTCCTTCCTTCTGCCGTTTGGGCCTATTTTTTTTTTTTTTTTTCCTCTAGCTCCTTGAAGTATAAAGCTGGACTGTTTATTTGACATCATTCTTATTTTGTAATGGAGGCATTTATTGCTGTAAACTTTTAGCACTGCTTTTGCTGCCTCCCATAAGTTTTAATATGTTGTATGTTTCCATATTTGTTTGTCTCAAGATATTTTTGATTTCCCTTTTGGTTTCTTATTTGACCAATTGGTTATTCAGGAGCATGTTGCTTAAGTTACACATATTTGTGAATTTTCCAATTTTCCTCTTGTTATTGATTTTTAGTTTCATACCATTGTGGCTGAAAAAGTTACTTGACATGATTTACAACTTCTTTTTTTTTTTTTTTTTGATATGGTGTCTCGCTCTGTTGCCAAGGCTGGAGTGCAGTGGTGCGATCTTGACTCGCTGCAAGCTCTGCCTCTTGGGTTCACGCCATTCTCCTGCCTCAGCCTCCCAAATAGCTGGGACTACAGGTGCCCACCATGCCCGGCTAATTTTTTTTGTATTTTTAGTAGAGACGGGGTTTCACCATGTTAGTCAGGATGGTCTCAATCTCCTGATCTTGTGATCTGCCCGCCTCGGCCTCCCAGAGTGCTGGGATTACAGGCATGAGCCACCGCACCCAGCCGATTTACAACTTCTTAAATTTGTTAAGACTTGTCTTGTGTCCTAACATATTATCTACCCTGGAGAATGTTATGTGTATGCTTGAAAAGAATGTGTATTCTGCTGCTATTGGATGGAATGTTCTCTATATATCTGTTAGGTCCATTTGGTTTATAGTGTTGCTGAATTTCGTTGTTCCCTTATTGATTTTCTGTCTGGAGGAAGTAGGGGTTGTTGAAAGTGAGGTATCAAAGTTCCCTATTACTATTGCATTGCTGTCTATTTCTCCCTTCAGTCCCTTCAGTTCTGTTAATATTTGCTTTATATGTTTATTTGCTCTTATGTTGGGTGCATATATAATTGTTATATCCTCTTGATGCATGGACCCCTTTATCAATATGTAACAACATTTGTTTTCTTCTGTGACAATTTTTTACTTAAAGTGAAGTTTTTTTTCTGATATAAGTATAGCTACTCCTGCTCTCCTTCGGTTACTATTTGCATGGAATATTTTTTTTTCTGTCCTTTTACTTTCAGCCTAAGTGTGTTCTTAAAGCTAATGTCAGTCTCTTAGAAACAGCTCATAGTTGGATCTTTTTTTAAAAAAAATTCAGTTGCTCTTTGTTTTTGGATTAGAGAATTTATATTGAAATTTAAAATAATTATTGATAGGCAAGGACTTACTAAAAATATTTCAGTAATTGTTTTTTTCACTGTTTTGTAGTTTATTTATTTGTTCCTTTCTTCCTCTGTTGCCATTTCCTTTCATTGATGATTTTTTTTGTGGTAGTATGTTTTGATTCCTCTATCTTTCTCTTTTAAATACCTAACACATCGGCTTTCTTTGTGGTTACCATAAGGCTCACATAAAACACTTACAGTTACAGCAGTCTATTTTAAGCTGATAACAACTTTAGTTCAATTGCATTAAAAAACTCAATACATTTACTTCACCCCACAAAATTTTATGTTTTTGGTGTCACAATTTACAACTTTTTTCCTTTTTTAATATAATAAATCTATCTTTACTGCATTCGGATATTTTACAACTTTTTATATTGCATATCCATTAACAAATTTTGTAGCTATAGTTATTTTTAATACTTTTGCCTTTTAACTTTTATAGTAGAGTAAAAGTGATTTATTCACCTTCATTATAGTATTAAAGTATTCTGAATTTGATTATGTGCTTACCTTTACCAGTGAGGTTTATACTTTCATATGTTTTCACATTGCTAATTAGTGTCCTTTTGTTTAAACTTTGAAGAACTCTTTTAGCATATCTTGTAAGGCAAATCTAGTGATGATGAACTCCCACAGCTTTTGTTTTTCTAGGAAAGAGTTTCTGTCTCTATTTCTTAAGGACACCTTTTGTTGTATTTTTAGTTGGCTGCTTTTTTCTTTCAGCACTTTGAATATATCATCCCACTCTCTCTTGAACTGCAAGGTTTCTGCTGATAAATTCATTCACAGTCTTATGGTGTTTCCCTTATATGTGATGAGTTGTTTTTCTCTTACTACTTTCAAACTTCTTTTTTTTTCATTTTTGACAATTTGATTATAATGTATCTTGGTGGAGACATTTTTATATTCTACCATTTGAGGTTCTTTGGACTTCCTGGATCTTAATGTTCATTTCCCTCCAAGATTTGGGAAGTTTTCTGTCTTAATTTTTAAAATAACTTTGCTTTCTCTTTGTCCCTCTTCTCTTTCTCTGCTGCTTCTAGGACTCCTATAATTTCTATGTTTGTTCACATGATGCTGTTCTATAAGTCCTGTAGACTTTCTTTATTCTTTTTCATTCTTGTTTTATTTTTATTCCTCTGACTACTTTTAAATAACCTGTCTTTGAGTTCACTGATTCTTTCTTCTGCTTGATTGAGTCTGCCATTGAAGCTCTCAGTTGAATTTTTGAGTTCAGGTGTTGTATTCTTCATTTCCAGAATTTATGTTTGGTTCTTTTTAAAGGTGTGTATCTTTTTGTTGAAATTCTAACTTCACATATGCATTGTTTCCCTTATATAATTTAGTTTTCTATCATTTTCTTCTCTTGTGGCTCACTGAGTTTTATTAAAGATAATTACTTTGAATTCTTTGTTGGGCAATTCATAGGTATCCATTTTTTTTAAGATCAGTCTCTGGAGCTTTATTTTGTTCTTTTGGTGGTATTGTGTTTTTTTGATTCTTTGTTTTCCTAGAAGCATTGCATTGTTTCTTTGCATTTGAATAAGTAGTCACCTCTTCCAGCCTTTACTGACTGGCTTCAAGAGAGAAAGACCTTCACCAGTGAGCTTGTCACTGGTGAGAGCTTCGTTAGTGAGACTCTCTAGATTCTGGAGGTCTCGAGACCTTATCAATGGACGCCCATACTCTACTGCTCTTGTTCCTTCTTACAGGAGAAGTCTTAGGATTGTGTGCCTTTTTTCAATCCCACAAAGCCAGGCCTGGAATGAGGGCCTCCTATTTATTTTCCCTAGTGCAGTGACCTGATGTGTTCAGATTGCACACATTATCCCAATCTAGCAGAGTTGGATTGGCTGCTAAGATCTGCACCTACTGTTGAGATGTGTGTGCTATCTGTAGGGGGCTCATGTGCATCATTGTGGGGACCTATAGGGGACTGTGCTTGGGGATGTGTGGGGCACAGGCCATTGTGGGAGTATGATGTGCCAGTGGTGTGGGTCAACTGGGTGCAAGGGCCCACAGGAGAGTCATTTTGAGGGATTTGTCAGTGAGTCTCTTGGTGGAGTTTGCTAGCTGATTAGCAGGATCCATGGCTGGCTGTTGTGATCTGTGCACTGGTTGCAGTGAGCCCCTGCCCCTTTGCCATGCTCTCAGCTGTCCCCAGATGATGCTATTGTACTCATCCCCTCAATATTCTTGGTTAGCAAGACAGAAGTGGGCCTGCTAGACAGCATGCCACAAGGCTGGAGAAGCTGGGTGCTCACTTTGCTCTTAGTTCCCCCTGTGGGAGAAATTCTGCGCCAAGGAGGCTTCTCTTGGCACTGAGCTGTGCCACCTTGGGGGAGAAGTGATGTGGGTAATGTGAAATTGCTTTTCACCCTTTTTAATGCATCTACTGTCAGATTTTTTTGCTTATCAAGCTGCTAGAAACTTAGCTAGACTCTGGGGTTCTCACAAAGTTATTTTTGTTTGTGGATAGTTGCCAAAATTGGTGTTTTTGTGGCAGTATGAGGGCTGGCATTTGCTATTCTGCCATCTTGCTTACATCCCTCCCTCTTTTTAAAAGGATTTTTAAAAAAGATGTTCATAAAAATTTGGTCTGTAATTTTCTCATAATGTTCTTAGGTTTTTAGGCTGTTGTTATTTTGGCCTCATAAAATAGATTGAGAAGGTTAATCCTTTTCTGTTCTCTGGAAGAATGTGAGCTTTGTGTTATTTTTAAAAAAATATTTGGAAGAATTCACTAGTGAAGCTCTCTGGGCTTGGAGATTTCTTTATAGAAAGATTTTAATAAGAGCTTCAATTTATTTTATGGACAAAGTAGAATTCAGATTTTTAACATTTTCTTGATTTGATATTTCATTTTTAAGAAATTTTATTCTATAATTTAATTTTTCAGATTAGTGAGAAGTTGTTTATGATGTTTTTATTACGTCTTTAATATATGTATGATCTGTAATCATATCCTTCCTTTCCCTGCCTGATATTGTCAGTTTGTATTTTCTTTTCTTTTGCTTTTTGTCTTGCCTTGAGTTTATCACTTTTATTAATCTTTTTAAAGAATAAACCTTTGGCTTTGTCTATTGTGCATTTTATTTCCATTCCATTGATATTTTCTCTTATAAAAATGATTTTCTTTTTAAAAAACTTTGCTTGCATTTGATTTTCTGTTCCTTTTCTAGCTCATGATGATAATCCATTTAAGGCTATACTTTCTTTCTAAGCACGAGATTTAGCTGCATCTCACAAATTGTGGTTTATCATATCTGAATTATTCAGTTGAAGCTATTTTCACATTTCTATTGTGATTTATTCTTTGATTATTTTGATATTAGAAGCATTCAATTTCCAAGCAGTTGAGGATTTTCTGTTAAATATTTCTGATTGATTTCTTGCTTGATTACATTGTGTTTAGATAATATTTTTTGAGTGACTATAATTAAACTTTTTTGAAGTCTGCTTTATGACCCAGCATACATAGTCAATTTTGGTAAATGTTTCAAGTGCTTTTGAAGGACATTTTTTTATTTTCTTTGTTGGTGCAGTGTTGTATACATGGACAAACTTGTGAACCGCATCATGTGGCCCTAATGATATGATGTTTGGGTCGGCGGAAGGGGCGGATCTGGTTGTTTTATAAGCTATTGATAGTGATAAGTCTCCAATATATTTGTGGGTTTGTTCATTTCTCCCTTTAGCAGTCAATTTTTGCTTTACATGTTTTGAAATTCTGTTAATGAGTACACAGTAATAGAGAATTCTTATTTTTTCATAAGGGATTATTGCCTCATATACTTATGAGGTGTTCTTTTAAAAAGTATTTGGTAATATTTCTTGCCTTACAGTCTAGGTTTTCTGGTATTAGTATAGTTTTATCAATCTTTTAAAAAGTTAGTTTTTTTCATGGTATGTCTTTTTATGTTAAAACATATTTTTCAAGTCTTTTATGTCTTTATATTTAAAGCATTTGTCCTGTAGGTAAACAAGTTTACTGTTTAGGTTTCTAACATCCACTCTGATAATTTTGGTTTTTTAATTAGAGTATTTGACTCCTTTACATTTAATAAAATTAATGACATTTGTTCATATTTGTCACCAACTCTTTGTCTTCTACTTGATACATTCTTTTGACCTGATATTTATCTATTTTTTTACTGGCCTTTGTGTTTACTATAATGATTAGAAATCTCTATCCTTTCTTTATAATTATATGAAACAATTTGTTGCTTAGTTTCCTTCTTTTTCCTTAGAAAATGTCAATTTAATTTTCCTTGTCATCTTTTGTATTATTGTTGATATGGATATTAATTCTAGACATAAGTATAACTCAGGACCCAATATTATTGTTTATCAGCATTGATTTATGTTTACCCACATGTTTACCTTTGTTGTTTTCATTTCTTTTTGCATTTCTGTGTTCTGTTGGGGATCATTTTTCTTCTACCTGAAGAACTCTCTCCTCTCCTCTCCACCATTCATTTTCCTTCTTTCCCTCCTTCTCCTCCTCCGCTTTTCTTCTCTCTTCCTCCTCCTCCTCCTCTTTCTCCTTCTCCATTTTCTTCTTCTTTTAGTATGGTTCTGTCGTCAGTGGATTGTTAAAGTTTTTGTTTGTTCAAAAACATCTTCATTTCAATTTTTATTTTTTGATAATATATTCATTGTTATAAAATTCTTGGTGAGTACTTAGGGTTTTTTTGGTTTGTTTTAAAACACTTTAACAAGGCCATTCTATTGTCTTATGGCTTTCATTGTTCCTGTTAGAAGTCAGCTCTATGTCTTATTGTTATTCATTGAAAGTAATGTATTCCCTTCTCCTTCCTCTCCATCCCATATTACTTTTAAGATTTTTTTCTTTGTGTTTATATTAGTACTCTTATTAGCATATGGTTAGATTTGGATTTCTTTATAGTTATCTTACTTAGGGTTTATAGAGCTTCTTTCATTTAAGTAAACTAGTCGCTGAACTTAAACATATATCTGTAAAAGTTCATCGAACATACGTGTTCAGCTTAGTGAGTTTTCACAAAGTAAACACATCCATGTGTCCAGCAACTATATTAAAAACAGAACATTCCCAGTACTTTAGAAACCCTTTCTTAGGTACTATTTTCTACAGATACTATTTTCTAAAGGTAATAGCTGTCTTGACTTCCCATGCTTTAGGTTAGTTTTGCCTGTTATTGAACTTTATATAAATAGCATTATATGGTATGCATCCCTTCAAGTCAAAATAATGTTTATGGTATTTATTGATGTAGATACATGTAGTTATAGTTTGTTTATTCTCATTACTATACATTGCTTGTTCATTCTGTTTAATGACTGTATCATAATTTATCCATTCTTCTCCTGAACATTTTGTTATTATAAGTACACTGTGAACATTCCTATATGTCTTTTGTTTGATATTTGTATGCATTTCCGTTCTAGGAATGTTGGTGAGAGTCTATTGTTTGGTGTTTTTCTCAGTTTTGGAACATTTTTGGCATTTTTCTCTTCAAAGGTCGATTCATTAGTTTTCTCATTTTTTTCCTTTTTGGGATCCCAATTACATTTTATGTCTTTTTATTGTGCCCTATATATTTTATGCTCCTTTTCTTTCCTTTTTATTCTTCCTCTCTGTTTAGTTTGGATATGTTCTACTGACTTGTTATGCAGATTACTGCAATGTCAATCTGTCGTTAAACCCATCCATCAATGAGTTTCAGATATTGTATTTTCCAGTTCTAGAATTTCCATTTGGTTCTTTTTACACATTCCAGATATCTGGTGAAATATACTGTCTTTCATTAATTTAATTTAATTTTCCTTAATTTTCTTGAACATAATTATTTTAAGGTCTTTGGTATTAGCTCTAATATCTGAATCACCTATGGATCTGTTCTAGTTTTAAGTCATATTATCTTACCTCTTACTACGCCTGTAATTTTTTATTGAATGCTAGGCTTTGAGTATAAAAAGTTATAGAGGTTGTAAATGTTACAAATTGATATTATTTTCCTCTCAAGAGAGTTCACCCTTTTTTCTGCAAGGCAGATGAATTTGGGGGATGTATCACCTTAAGCTAGCTGAGGTGAAGTTAGGTTACAGTTTCTGTAAGCCTCAGTCTATCTCTGGTTGGACCTTATTCCTCAAGCATTCCCCTCCACGAATTTACTGAGAATTCTGTTGTGTTCACCTCTTCTCCTTGTTGAGTTTTCATTGTTGATCTTTAGTCTTCATAGTACTATGTGACTGGTAGAAAAACTCTACTTTGCATTATAATGTTTATGGCTTAGCTTTTTTGCTTACCTTGCTAAATATTAGAGTAACACTCTTCATGTGTTTGAGGGTCTTCAAGTCTCCAATTTCGATCCTCTGGCCTCCGAAGATCACGTAAACTCTGCCATGGTCCTTTACCTGTGTAAATATAACCAGGAAAATGTCATATATTGACAGATTATCTCTCTGAGTTTCTCCTTTTTTTTTTGCTTTTAGGTAATCTTATACTTTCTAGTTCTTATTTCTTTCATAGCTCTCCAATGCCTTTATTAGTTTAGTATTTTATGTAGTCTCTTTTGTCATTCAAGAAAGTATTGGTTAGTCTGCCTTAAAGTATTACATCCTACTTAGATACCCTCAAAGAATGTTTATTTGCAAAATTAAACAGCATTTAGAAGCACTTGACATCACAGGGCTGGCCTGTGACTACTTGTGACCTTTCTTTTGAACCGTTAACTACTAGATTTGATTTAATACATGAATGAAGGAATTAAGGAGTGACTACATACAGCTTGTATTAGTCCGTTTTCACACTGCTATAAAGATATTACCTGAGACTGGGTAATTTATAAACAAAGGAGGTTTAATTGACTCACAATTCCACATGGCTGGGGAGGCCTCAGGAGACTTAAAATCCTTGTGGAAGGAGAAGCAGGCACCTTCTTCACAAGATGGCAGAAGAGAGTGGGAGTGTGTGAAGGAGGTATTGTCAAATGCTTATAAAACCATCAGATCTTGTGAGAATTCACTCACCATCAGAACAGCATGGCAGAAACTGCCCACATGATCCAATCACCTCCCACCAGGTCCCTCCCTTGACATGTGGAGGATTAGGGGGATTATAATTCAAGATAAGATTTGGGTGGGAACACAGAGCCAAACCATATCACAGCTGTTGGAAGAATAACCCAGATTTGATAGGTGATCTTTAATGCATATCATTACAGCAAAGAAGCATGCATTATTTTTATTTTGCAAATTGATTTTAGAGTAGTCATGACACTCTAATACCCATATAATTAGTTTGCTGTGATAGCATATTATTTTTATCTCTAAAAGAGCAATTGAGGACAGGCGCAGTGGCTCATACCTGTAATCCCAGCACTTTGGGAGGCTGAGGCGGGTGGATCACCTGAGGTCAGGTATTTGAGACCAGCCTGGCCAATGTGGTGAAACCCTGTCTCTACTAAACATGCAAAAATTAGCTGGGCGTGGTGGTGAGTGCCTGTAATCCCAACTACTCAGGAGGCTGAGGTAGGACAATTGCTTGAACCCAGGAGACGGAGGTTGCAGTGAGCTGATATCGTGCCACTGCACTGTAGCCTGGGCAACAGAGCAAGACTCCATCTCAAAAAATGAATAAATAAAGTAAAATAAAATAAGAGAGCAATTGATTTCTGAGAGCCTTGATACTTTAGAAAGACAAGCTTTGGAGAGACAAAGGTAAACCATTAACGGTTCAAGAGAGGTCTTGGTACATGCTTTTTTTAGTGTTGCTAGAGTTAGATTTTTCTTTCAGTGATTTTGGACGTATATAAAGGGGACATTTCAGAAATATATTTAATGATCTTATTTAAATCCAGACACAGATTTGACAGAGCAAAGATAAAAATACATAATTGTCAATAGACAGTTAAAATTACATGGGCAATATGGTAAGGAAATCAGCTCATATGTTTTTGGGAATCACAAAGAAATCTCCTTACCCCCAAACAAACTATATCTTTCATAAACTAGAAGGTAGATTTGCTATGTATGACATTCCTGTAAAAATTACTGTGTTTCCTCCACTATATTATTGCCTGTAAGCTGCTTCATTATTTTAAGGACCACTAGTAAGAAAAAACAATGCCAATTAAACAATTATATTTTGATGTTTTTAATCATGAGGAATGTATGTTCCTTTTTGAAGGAACTCCCCTTTACTTTTTAAACATATTTTTATTATCATTTTTGAACATATTTAAGAGAAAATTATTAGTTTAATAAACTAGACTTTTTTTAAAAAAACTTTGTCACCTTCCGAGTCTGAGTACTGAATCACTTTTGACTTAGAGTCACTGATGCCTGTGTTTTCCTGTAGAGTATCACCCTTTGTGCCCTTAGGGGTGTTAATGTTGAATCATTTCTTAAGAGGGTGTTTTAATATTGTCTCTGGGTTTTTCTTCCAAGCTATTGACATGCATTCCGCATGTGATGGTATCATCAGATAGTTTACCTGACACCAACTGGGACTCCTGTTCCTTTTTCAAATGGTCTTAGGTCAACGTTTGTTGACCTGAGCATCAAAAGGTTGCAGATGTTCTGTCAAGCTGCCAAGAGACACAGCCAAACCTGTGCTTAGGCAGGCAGTGATGACTACATAAGAACCACTACCTGGTTAGCAGCACTGCAAGACCGTCTTGATTTCACATGTGTCAAAATGTACAGAATGTGCTTTCTCAATCAAATATTGCATCGTTTGGAATGCTTTATGGCCACTTAATATCTGGCTACCTCATACATGATGTGTTCTATATTTCTGGCTAGAACACAGATAGTACAGATATATGTAACTTCTTGCAGACAGAATGGAGAGAAAGGATGAGTTCAGTGCACTTATTGGCATATTAATATTTGATATTTGAGGGTTACGGGGAAGATCATTGTAACATTATTGAGTGACTAGGAACATAAAGAGACACAGAGACCTTGAAAGTTGATGACAGAAAAAAGATGTCTTGTTTCCATTGATTTGCTGATTTGTTTGTGGTTGTTCTCTTACGGCTGGAGCTATGCTCCCAGTTATGTAAACACATACGTGTACATCTCTTCCCACCCCACCTGCATCCTGCTTCTCCATGCTAATCTTATTCATAAACAATTAGGTTTTTTTTTTTTTTTTTGAGATGGAGTCTCACTTTGTCGCCAGGCTGGAGTGCAGTGGCGCGATCTTGGCTCACTGCAACCTCCGCCTCCCAGGTTCAATTGATTCTCCTGCCTCAGCCTCCCACGTAGCTGGGACTACAGGCATGTGCCACACTGCACCTGGCTAATTTTTGTATTGTTAGTAGAGATGGGGTTTCACCATGTTGGCCAGGATGGTCTCGATCTCTTGACCTCGTGATCTGCCCGCCTCAGCCTCCCAAAGTGTTGGGATTACAGGCATGAGCCACCACGCCTGGCCCAATTAGATGTTGTTTTCTTTTTGGCACCAAAGCCTTACCTCTTTTTGCTTCTTCATTTTCTAAAACCCATTCATTATCATTATTATTGATTCCTACCCTTGAAAGTTTTCATACTTTTATTTTGTGGCAGCTCTTAATTTTCCTAAAATTTTAAATGCCATATGTTTTTTTTTTACATTTTAACTAATTAAAAAGAATTTTGTTTTAAATTGTTGTTTATATTTTTTTGAGGTCTTTTAAGGTAGTTGGAAGAACTCTTAAGACATTACAGAATGGAAATTGCATTCACAAAGTAGGGTATAGTTAATGAGTTAGAGTAACGTTGGGATTACAATCCAAATCTTTCTCAGTGTTTTAAATTGGAGAACTATTTACAGAGCATCTATTCTCATACTGTTGCTGCTGCTACTGCTACTGCTGCTTTCTAGCTTTCAACATTTTTATTAGTCTGGATTCTTCTAGTTGCAAAAAACAGAAATGGCTGAACCAGAAAAGGGAAGTTATTAGCTCACAAAACTGAGCAGCAGTACTGGGGTGGAGCTGGACCAGTCATGGCTGACTCTAGAGGCTAGTCACTCCCAACACTTGGTTCCACCTTCCTCTGCATTGTCTTTGGTCTGAATGGACCTTTCTTTTACTTAGCGGCCCCTGCAGATCTAGGCTTACATTCTATGAATCTAACAGTCCTAGATAAAGAGGTTCTTCTGCACAGTATTTCTGATAAGAATCCTAGAATTGAATCTCTTTGGTTTTGGTTAGGTTACATATCCATCCCTGAACCAATGACTGTGGCCAGGAGGGTAAATTTTATTGAATGGGCCCTTTCTGAGTTACCTGCCTACCCTGGAACCATGTGACTCAGCATGAAACTCCCCAAACTAAAAATCAGGTAGCTGGACAAAGAAAGAGGATGTTGGGCTGGCTAAACCGATAGGTTCTTCTTAACGCATTGTATTCTATGAGCAGCCCAGTGGTCTTCAGAACGTGTCAACTCTTTGGCTTATTTTAACCAAGAGGAGGATAGTTAAAACTTCAGTAGTGAGTCTTAATTAGATTCAGCAAAGTAGATCCTTACCTCAGCTCTGACTCGCTCAGGGCTTGTAGGGTAGCATTATTTCCCTGCTTTCAAATTATGTCAGTTCAAACCTGAAGGGTGAGAAGCTGATGACATGATATGAAGGCAGAATGTCAAGGTGAGAAGAGCCTTTCCCTGGGAGTCATGAGTCCTGAGTGCTATTTTCAGCTCTGAGAACATAGGCCAGTGATTTTTCTGCTGGATTGTGAGCTCCTGGAGGTCAGGGACTGTGCTTAATCTTGCTTTTTACATATTTCCTCTTTTTTTTTTTTTAATCTCGCCTTGTAAATCTACTGTTGGATATAAGTTATCTTAATTTATCCTCTATGTCTCTTCTCCTTGATACTTTTTAGCGCTTGATCTTCTTGTGCTTTATTTTGGGTGATTGTCTCCAATATACCAGTTTTCACTTCTAAAAAGTAAACTTATTTGACATACCTACAGATGCTTTCATACTGTATTATGCATTTTATTTCCAGATTTTGTATTTACTTCTTTTTCACATTTGCTCTTTTTAAAACCAAAAAATTGTTCGTATCTTACCAAGTTTGTTTTGTCACGTATTTCCTCACGAGTTTATACATACTTGATTTTAAGTTCCTCTAGGCTTTTTCTATTATAAAAATGTCTAGGGTATTCATGCTTCTGTTTGTTGCTTCTTATGACACTTAGGTTGGTGAGCTTCATTGTGGGCTTTCTAGTTTTAGTCCAAGAACTTATCTTCAGTGAGACTTTTTTTTCATACTAATTTTGAGAGCATCCCAGGTTGTTGAGGTATTGCTATGGGGCAGTTTTGTTATAATTGATTTGAGCTTTCTGCATTGCTGGGTAGGGGGAATTGGACCTCCACACCTATGTTTAGTACAAGCTTGGATCTCTGATCTCTCAGCGATTCTTGTTCCAACAGTGTTTTAATGGGGTGGTCCACCTCTGTGATACTGTCTAAGCCAGTGAGTGAAGGTTTATTAGTCATTAATCAAAGATAGGACAACCTTTTGGATGATGGAGACAATTTCTATCTCAAACCATGCATTTAGCTTATGGCTTCAGTTTCTATCCCCAGATAGGAATAAAAAGCAAAGCCCCTAATATGTATATCTGATTTAGTTCCTCAGTTGTTTTTTGTTTGTTTCTGACATTTCTGTTTTTTAATAATCCAGAACTGAGTTGTGTAATATAAATAATTTTGCTGTATTTTCCTAGTATTTCTTTTTTTCTCTGCATCTGCTCAGTTGACCTCTTGACCAGAAGTCACTTATTTTATATTTCTGTAGCCCCTAGTGTATTGTGTTGCACCAAGTGGAAAATAACTAGATATAGATTTACAACTTTTAAAATGTATTTTAATGTTTAGTAACTGCAAAAAGATTTTTTCTAGTTAGAATTATAAGGCTAACAAGAAATCAGATCTGCTACATAGAAAGAAAGAAGCTTGATTTTGTTTTATTATTATATAAAGTGTTTGTAGTAGAAGTTTTAAAAACACTTTCAGAATATATGCATACTATGGGAGGTAGAATCTTGACCCTCAAAGATGTCGATATCCTGCTCCTTGGAGCCTGTGAATATTATGTTGTATGGAAAGGTGGAAATAAGGTTGCCAATGAAATGAAGGTTGCTGATCAGCTGACTTTAAGGGAGATATTCTGGATTATTCAGGCGGACCCATGTAATTGCATAGTTCCTTTAAATGTGGAAGAGGGAAGCAGAAGAATCTGTGTCTGGGTGACATATCCTAAGAAGACTTGATCAGCCATTGCTGGCTTTGAAGATGGAGGAAGGGGTCACGAGCCAAGGAATGCTGGAAGCCTCTGGAACTGTGAAAGGCAAGAAAATGGATTATCTTCTAGAGCTTCTGGGCACACCCTTGGTGAAACCTTGATTTTTAGCCTAGTGGGATCTATTTAGGACTTTTGACCTCCTTAACTGTAAGATAATACATTTGTGTTGTTTTAGGCCACCAAGTTGGGGTAAATTGTTACAGCAGCAATAGGAAAGTAATTCACATACTCTGTGACATGAGAGTTCCACTCCTAGGCATGGACTTAACAGAAATGTACTGAATGTATGTTTCAGCAAAATAAGTATAGTAGATTGTTTAAGTAGCATTATTTGTAGTATCCCAAAGCTAGAAATTACTCAAATACTCATCAGCAACAAAAGGGATAAATGTGTTTTACACACTCTACTACAATACTATACAAGAGGAAAGGTGAACTGTCTACATCTGCATACAACAGTATGGATGGGTGTCACAAACATTATGTTAGTAAAAGAAATGAGACACAGAAAACTATGCATACTGATATGATTTGAATGTTTGTCCCCTCCAAAACTCCTGTCGAAACTTAATCCCTAATATGGCAATATTGAGAGGTGCTCAGCATTTAAAAGGCAAGAGCCTTGAATGGATTAATCCACTTGTGGATTAATAGATTAATGGGTGAATGGATTAATGGGTTATCATGGGAGTGGAAATGGTGACTTCATAAGAAGAGGAAGGAGACATGAGCCAACGTGCTCAGCCCCCTCACCATGTCATACCTGTGCACCTTGGGACACTGTAGACAGTTCCCACCGCAAGAAGGCCCTCACCAGATGTGCCCCACTCAACCTTGAACTTCTCAGCCTCCATAAGTGTAAGAAATAAATTCCTTTTCTTTATAAATTACCCAGTTTCATGTGTTATGTTATAAGCAACAGAAAATGGACAAAGACAAATACTCTGTAATTCCATTTCTAGAGTGTATAAAAAGAAACAGAAGGCTGGGTGCGGTGGCTCAGGCCTGTAATCCGAGCACTTTGGGAGGCTGAGGCGGGTGGATCGTGAGGTCAGGAGATAGAGACCATCCTGGCTAACAGGATGAAACCCCGTCTCTACTAAAAATACAAAAAATTAGCCGGGCGTGGTGGTGAGAACCTGTAGTCCCAGCTACTCGGGAGGCTGAGGCAGGAGAATGGCGTGAACCCAGGAGGCGGAGCTTGCAGTGAGCCGAGATCGCACCACTGCACTCCAGCCTGGGCGACAAAGCCAAACTCCGTCTCAAAAAAAAAAAAAAAAAAAAGAAAAGAAAAAAAGAAACAAAAGAAACAGAAGTCATCTATTGTGTTGGAAGGTGGGACAACCATCAAGATTTGCCTTGATTGAAGTAGTGACCAAGGGTACACATTCACATGTTCTGTTTCTTGATTTGGAAGCTAGTTACATGTGTTCAGTGCATGAAAATTTATTGAGCTGTGGCCTAAGCTGTTATGCATTTTTCTGCATGTATGTTACACTTCAATTTTTAAAAATAATATATTCCCAAACGTGGTCCCATTTTCCAGCAGAGCTCTGTGTATTCAGTGTGGGTGAGGCTTCATGAGGCTGTGATTTGCCTTTGTCTCCCTGCCAGCTAAGCTGGAGAGTCAGAGCTAGAACTTGTGTGACTGGATGACTTTTCCACTACTTCATTCTGACTTCTCGCCTGTCACCACATCAGATTAGAAAAAGTTTCCGTGGTACTAGTTTTTTATTTGCTGAATGAAAATTCTAATTAATAAATTCACAAAAATCTAATGCTATTCTGAAATGCTCCTAGTAGAGACATGTTCTAGCAACAAAATAGTTTGATTTTATTTCTGCATATAGCGTGTTTTCATGTCATTTAATGTTGTATGTCATTTTGGCAGCAGTGCTAGTTGTCATGATTCAGTGCCAGTGTATTAAAGATATTCCTGGAAGGCAGTTTATTTGAACAGTGCTTAGTGGTGTGATATTAGGAACATTCAATTTTGGCAAGGCTTCAGAGAGGCATTTGTTGGAAAATCTGTTGTAATGAGTATAGTCTGTCCTTCTCAATAAGCTATGAAGTGGTCTATTGTTTAAAATTTAGATTCCAGTTCTAGCTCTGCTACCAGCTAGTCACATGAGCTTAGGCAAGTCATTGATTTACACACTTTCCCACTAACTACCTGACAGTCAAATATGTATGTTAATATTACTCCTATGCATGAAACACATGCTTTGCTACTATAATGTAGCCAGGGGCAGCAGCAATATACTTTTAGAAATGGAGCCATTAGGTAAGGTGTTACATGTTGGAGATAGACAAATTGCAGCTTTGCTGTTACTGGCAGTGTCACCTTGAGCTACTTCAGTGTAAAGAGGCTGTTGCCAGGCTGCCACCATGTGCTTGGCACACAGTAGGAACTTACTTAATAAATGCAGTTACAGGGATGATGATAATTATGATTTGTTAAATGTCTTCATTGTTTTTTAAGGTTCTGAGCAAATGATTGCTGTTGAGGGAGTACATAACGTGGTTACTTGATGATGATATTCAGGGGCAAATGAGACCTCTAAAGAAATAAATATGAGAACGTATAAAATTCCTCCTATAACCTACCCCTAATGTTGAATTTTTGTTTTAAATATTCAAATATGCAGTGAAGTATAGAGAATAAGAAAATGAACAACTCTACGCTGGCTGTCCAGATTTACTAATCTCAGTATTTTGCCGCACTTGCTTCTGCTTTTTGAAAGAAGTGAAGCATTGCAATTACACTTGAAGTCTCCTGTCCCCAAACCTGTATATCTTCATCCCTCCTGAGACATAATTGCTATGCTGTCGTTGGTCTCCTTTTCAGCAGTGTTGTTACATTTTAACCTGATGTGTGTGTGTATCTATAAGCAAACATTACATAAATGATATATGGCATGTATCATCCTGCACCCTTTTCTCTTGGTTCAAATATATTTTATAGAGTTATCTGTGATAGAATATATATCACTGTAGCTCTTTTAAGTGCTGTATAATATTCCATTTTTGAATATATCACAATTTATTTATTCATTTTCCTACTGATGGGTGTTTGGGTATTATCATATATTTCCTGTTACAGACAAAAGCCACGATAAACATTGTACCTTTTGCACATGTGCTAGAGGTTTTCTATCTATCTAGAAACAGCCAGGTTCTAGGCATGCATAGTTCCAGCCTTACTCAGCTTTGTTAGATATTCCCAAGTGCTTCATCAAGTAGTTGTACCAATTTTCACCTCCTCAGCAGGATGTGAGAGCTCCTGATGCTTGCTTCACACTCGCTTCAACACTTGGTGAGCCTTACCTTTACCAGTCATTTTCCTGGGTAGAAGAGGATACTTATATTTAATACGCATTTCCCTGCTTTCTAGTAATAGTGCGTTTCTTTTCCTGTGTTTATTATTTTTCCTTTTTCTAAGTGTTGCCTGTATTCTTTTACAGTTATTTTCCCCTGTGCATAACTGAAAGATCATGTATGTAGTTATTACAGTTAAATCAGGGTCATTGGAAGGAGTAGACAAATTAATGAACATACAATGCTTAATGTACTGTCTGTCCTATAGTAAGAAGAAATTAATATTGCTGACGCCCTTGGAATGCCCAATAATGACATCATCAATAACAATACTTATCAGTGGAACAGAATTTCAGACCTCGGCAACCATTCTACATTCCTCTTACATTGTAGCCATGCAGTTGGATATGACAAGTATGCACAACTAGCTGATGACATCTCATAGCCCAGAGTGGGAAGCAGCCTTTCCTCCTCTACTCATCATCCATCTCTCTTACTCATAGAACCCTGCTTTCCTTTATGGGAATTATGAGAGAAGACTTAGGGTTTTCCAGGAGGCAGATCCTCCATTTCCCCATGGCTTTGTCCAAGAGTGCAGGAAGAAGATCTAAGATTGGTCAATTGGATGCTCTTTCCCAGGACTTTGGCTTGAGGGACAGAGACTCTAGCAAGAAGGGAACAGGTAAATTAGTTAGTTCACTCATTCCAGGGGCTTCAGCAGCAGAAGAAATGGGGTGCCATGCTGATCAGGCTGGTTTAGCCATGGGATGTTTGGTCTGCCATCTGCTTTCTTGATCACTTTGTTTCTGTCTGATCTTGTCACAGATGTTAAATCTCTGAGCCTTGGATATTCTTACAGTAGACACCTTTTTTGCTTAAGAGAGCCAGAGTCAGTTTATCTTTCTTGTGATTTCCGTATTTTGTCTCTGCTCAGATTTCATTCAGTGGAGTTAGAAATGCCAGGGCGCAGCTTATGCCCTGTGTCAAGAAGGAGTAAGATGGAGGAGGCTGATGCCCTGGTTCAGTCATAGACTCCTCCTTCCTTCAGAATAGTGTGATCTAATGAAGGTGGATGGTTAGGAGCAGTGCATGCACCCTATCTTCTGCCTGTTACTGACTGTACATGGTATGTTCTTACAAAAGATCTGGTGAGATACTTGTTTTTCCCAATCAGAAAAGGAGCAAGCCTTGCTGAAAAAGGGGTTTCAAAGCAGAAAAATGGACTGTTCAGTTAAAAGAAAACATACTGTGTCCACTATTTTACCTGTATCAACTTTTCTTTCTTACATTAGATGACTAGGGTACACCATTTCAAAGGACTTTAAGAAATCTTATAATATTGTATTTATACAAGGCAACATACATATTTCAATATGTAAGTCATGAAGTATAATAAATGTATATCTATAAAGCCACCATCCAGCTTAAGAATGAAAACATGATACTAATTTTCCTCCCCAACTGCTATGCTGAATTTTTTGTTTCCTATTTCCATGCTTCTTCAAAAAATCTTTACTGTATAAGTAAAAAGGCAGTTTACTTTATATATACTACTTATATAGTTTGCCGTATATATCTAAGGTACATATTAAGGGCTTTTGCTTGATTTTGTATTTTAAAAATGGTAGTATAAAGCTGGGCATGGTGGCATGCACCTGTAATCTCAGTTACTGGGGAGGCTGAGTCAGGCGGATCACTTGAGCTCAGGAGTTTGAGTTCAGCCTGGGCAACATAGCAAGATACCATCTCTCAACAAAAGTAGTATATAGTCTTTTGGCTTGCTTTGCTCATTCAACATTATTGATAATATTTATATTCTTGCATATGTAGTCGCAGTTGATTTATTTTCATTGTGTAATGTTATATTGTCTGAATATGCCACAGTTTATTTTCTCAGATTCCTGTTGATAATTGTTTTCATTTTTTTCCCATTAACATGAACTTATCTCTTAATTTTGTGTAATTGCTGGAGCCCTGGGGTCATGGAATTTGCTGGAATTATCTTCAACTTTCAAGTTCATGCTGAGTTGCTTTTTTATGGGTTGCAACATTTAATCTTCTTCCAGCAGAGTATGAGAGTTGTCATTGCTCCTCAACCTTGCCAACATCTAGTAGTGACAGACTTCTTAATTTTTGTCATTCTAGTGGGGATGCATTGGTAGCTCATTGTGGTTTCTTTCTCATTTTCCTGATTACTAATGAAGTTAAGCAACTTTTCATAAATTTTGGTGTGAAGTGCATATTCAAAGCTTTGCCCTTTTTTTGTGTAGATTGTTCTGTCTGCTATTGCTATAAAAATACTTCAAAATTCAATGTCTTAAAATAACACATTAGTAGATCTTTAGGCCACTCATGATTGGGCTGATGATCCAGGCTGGGCTTGACTGCATGGTTTTATAAAAGGCTTCATTTCAGGCTCCGGTGTGTTCTACCTGTGTTTGCTCTGGGGGCCCACTCTAAAGGAGCAGAGGCTAACTAAAGCGTGATCTTTTTAATGGTAAGTAACTGCAGTGCCATGAGCTGAAAACAAGCTGCACACCCACATTTTAAGCGTCAGCTTGCCCTGCATCTGCCATTGGTCAAAGCAAGTCATAGCACAAGCCTGAGTTGAGTGCCTTTGGTCCAACAAGGACTCAGGAGCCTCAGCTCCTATGACTTTGCAAGGTTCAGCCCCTGTGGCTGCTCTCAGGGCCTGGCACTGAGTGCCTGCAGCTTTTCCAGGAGCATCGTGCAAGCTGTAGGTTGCTTTACCATTCCAGGGTCTAGAGGGCAGTGGCCTTCTTCTCATAGCTCCACTAGTCAGTGTTCCAGTGAGTACTCTGTGAGACCTCCAACCCCACATTTCCCCTCTGCACTGCCCTAGCAGAGGTTTTCTGTGAGGACTCCACCACTGCAGCAGGCTTTTGCCTGAATGTCTAGGCTTTTCCATACGTTGTCTGAAATCTAGGTAGAGGCTCCTGAGCCTCAATTCTGTGCACCTGTGGGCTTAACACCATGTGGAAGCTGCCAAGGCTTATGGCCTGTACCCACTGAAGTAGTGGCACAAGCTGTATATGAGCCCCTTTGAGCCATGGCTGGAGCTGGAGTGGCTGGGATGCAGGGAGCAGTGTCCTGAGGCTGCACAGGGCAGCAGAGGCCCCTGGGTGTGACGCACAAAACCATTCTTCCCTCCTTGGCCTCCAGGCCTGTGATGGGAGGGGCTGCCAGGAATGTCTCTGAAATGCTTTCAGGGCCTTTTCCCTATTGTCTTAGCTATTAGGATCTGGCTCCTCTTTTCTATGCAAATTTCTGTAGCCTGCTTGAATTCTTTCCCTGAAAATGGTCTTTTCTTTTCTACCACATGGCCAGGCTGCAAATTTTCCAAACTTTTACACTCTGCTTCCTTTTTAAATATAACTTCCAATTTCAGGTCATATCTTTGCTCACACATATGAGCATAGGCTGTTATATGAGCCTAGGCTGTTAGAAGCAGCCAGGCCACCTCTTGAAGGCTTTGCTCCTTAGGAACTTTTTCCACCAGATACCCTAAGTCATACCTCAAGTTCAAAGTTCCAGAGATCCTTAAGGCAAGGTCACAATGCAGCAAAGCTCTTCGCTAGTGCTTAACAAAGTGACCTTTGCTTCATTTCCCAATAACTTCATTTCCATCTGAGATCTCCTCAGCTTGTACTTCAGTGTCCATATCACTATCAGCATTTTTGTCACAACCATTCAAGAAGTCTCTAGGAAGTTCCAAACTTTCCTTCATCTTCTTATCTTCTTCTGAGCCCCCTAGACTCTTCCAGCCTCTGCCTGTTATCCAGTTCCAAAGCTGTTTCCACATTTTCAGGTATCTCTATAGCAATGCTCCACTCCTTGGTATGAATTTTCTGTGTTAGTTCATTCTTGCATTGCTATAAAGAAATACCTGAGACTGGGTAATTTATTAAGAAAAGAGGTTTAATTGGCTCATGGTTCTACAGTCTGTACAGGAAGCATGGTGGCATCAACTTCTGGGGAGGCCTCAGGAAACTTACAGTCATGGCAGAAAACAAAGGAGAAGCAGGCATTACTTACATAGCTGGAGCAGGAGGAAGATAGAGAATGGGGAGGTGCTACACACTTTTAAACAATCGTATCTCATGAGAACTTACTCACTGTTACCAAGACAATACCAAGGGGGAATTCTGCCCTCATGATCCAATCACCTCCCACAAGGCCCCACCTCCAACACTGAGGATTACAATTCAACATGAGATTTGGGCAGGGACACAGATCCAAACCGTATTTACTGAAGTCACCCTGTTGTGCTATCAAATACTAGATCTTATTCTTTCTAACTATTTTTTGGTACCCATTTACCATCCTCAGTTCTGCATCACCCTCCACTACCCTTCCCAGCCTTTGGTAACTATAATTCAGTTCCACCCATGTTGTTGCAAATGACAGGATCTCACTTTTTATGGTTGAATAATACTCTGTTGTGTATATGTACCTCATTTTCTTTATTCATTCATCTGTTCATGGATACTTAGGTTGCTTCCAAATCTTGGCCCTTATGAGTAGTGGTTCAGTAAACATGGGAGTGCAGATATCTCTTTGATATACTGTTTGTTTGTTTTTTTTTTCCTTCTTTCCTTCCTTCCTTCCTTCCTTCCTTCCTTCCTTCCTTCCTTCCTTCCATCCTTCCTTCTTTCCTTCCTCCCTCCCTGCCTCCATTCTCTCTTCCTTTCCTTTCCTTTCCTTTCATTTTCTTTCTTTTTCTTTTTCTTTCCTCTCTTTCTCTTTCTTTTCTTTTTTTGAGACAGGGTCTCACTCTGTCACCCAGAATGGAGTGGAGTGCCATGATCCTGGCTCACTGAAGTCTTGACCTCCAATGCTCATGCAATCCTCCCACCTCAGCATCTCATGTGCTGCCATGCCTGGCTAATTTTTTTTTAAATTTGTATATATGAGGTTTCACTGTGTTGCCCACGCTGGTCTTGAACTGCTAGGTTCAAGCAGTTCTCCTGCCTGTGCCTCCCAAAGTTCTAGTATTACAGATGTGAGCCACCATGCCCATCCTTATTTCCTTTCCTTTTATAAAAAAATATTTTTATTACAATAGCTTTTAGTTTTTGATTACCTGGATAAATTGTATAGTGGTGAAGTCTGAGATTTTAGTTCATCCATTACCTGAGTAGTGTACATTATACCAAATATGTAGTTTTTTTTTCTCCCTCACCCCCTTTCTAGCCTCCCCGTTCTGAGTCTCCAAAGGTCATTATACCACAGAGTATGCCTTTGTGTCCATAGCTTGGCTACCACTTATAAGTGAGAACATGTGGTACTTGGTTTTCCATTCCTGAGTTATGTCACTTAGAATAATATCCTACAGCTCCATCCAAGTTGCTGCAAAAGACATTATCTCATTCATTTTTATGGCTGAGTGGTATTCCATGGTGTATATATACCACATTTTATTTATTCACCCACTGAACGATGGTACTTAGGTTGGTTCCATATCTTTGCAATTGTGAATTGTGCTTCAATAAACAATGTATATGTCTTTTTGATATGACTTCTTTTCCTTTGGCTAGATACCCAGTAGTGGGATTGCTGAATTGAATAGATCTTTTAGTTTTTAAAGAACTCTCCATAGTGTTTTCCATAGAGGTTGTATTAACTTACATTCCCACAAGCAGTGTATAAATGTCCTCTTTCCACCACATCCACACCAACATCTATTGTTTTTGATGGGATTATTTGTTTTTTTCTTGCTGACTTGTTTGTGTTCCTTGTAGATTCTGGATATTAGTCCTTTGTTGGATGCATAGTTTGCAAATATCTTCTCCCATTCTCTGGGTTGTCTGTTTATTCTGATGATTATGCCTTTTGCTGTACAGAAGCTTTTTTGTTTAATTAGGTCCCATTTATTTATTTTTGTTTTTGTTACATTTGCTTTTGGGGTCGTAGTCATAAATTTTCTGCCTAGGCCAGTGTCTGCAAGAGATTTTCCAGGTTATGTTGTAGAATTTTTATAGCTTCAGGTCATAGACTTAAATCTTTGATTATCTTGAGTTGATTTTTGTGTAAGGCGAGAGAGAGGGATCCTGTTTCATTCTTCTACATGTGGCTATCCAGTTTTCCCAGCACCATTTATTAAATAGGGTGGCCCTTCCCCAGTTATGTTTTTGTATCCTTTGTTGGTTTTAAGTATTTGGCTTTATTTCTGGGTTCTCTATTCTGTTACATTGGTCCTCATGCCTATTTTTATACCAGTACCATGCTGTTATGGTAACTATAGCCTTTTGGTATAATTTGAAGTTCAGTAATGTGATACCTCTGGATTTATTATTTTTGCTTAGGGTTGCTTTGGTTATTTTGGCCCATTTTTGGTTCCATATGAATTTTAGGATTGTTTTTCCTAATTTTGTGAAAAATAATGTTGGTATTTAGATAAGAATTACATTGAATTTGTAGATTGTTTTGAGCAGTATGGTCATTTTCATGATATTGATCCTTCCAATTCATGAGCATGGGATGTATTTCCATTTGTGTCATCTGTGATTTCTTTCAGCAGTGTTTTTTAGTTCTCTTCATAGAGATCATTCATCTCCTTGGTTGCATGCAGCTATTATAAAGGCGTTTGGGTTCCTGATTTGATTCTGCTTGGTCATTGTTTGTGTATAGCAGTGCTATTGACTCGTATACTTTGATTTTGTAACCTGAGACTTTACCGAATTAATTTATCAAATCTAGGAGACTTCTGGAGGAGTCTTTAGGGTTTTCTAGATATATAGTCATTTATTTTGACTTGGTCTCTTCCAATGTGGATGCCCTTTATTTCTTCCTCTTGACTGATTGCTATGGCTATGATTCCAATACTCTGTTGAGTAGAAGGGATGAAAGTGGGCATCCTTGTTTTAGTTCTCAAGGGCGAATGCTTTCAACTTTTCCCCATTTAGTATGATGTTGGCTGTAAGTATGTCATACATGGCTCTTGTTATTTTGAGGTGTGTCCCTTCTATGTCTAGTTTGTTGAGGGTTTTTTATCATAAAGGGATACTGGAGTTTTTATAATTTATTTTTTCTACCTATATTGAAATGATCATATGGCTTTTGTTTTTAATTTTGTTTATGTGATATATTACATTTATTAACTTGCATGTGTTAAATCATCCCTCCGTCTCTGGAATAAAACCCACTTGTTCATGGTGTATTATCTTTTGATGTGCTGTTGGATTTGCTTAGCTAGCATTTTGTTGAGGATTTTTGCATCTATGTTCATCAGGGATATTGATTTGCAGTTTTCTTTTCCTTTATTTATTTATTTTTTGATATGCCCTTTCCTCATTTTGGTATCAGTGTTACTGGTTTCCTAGAATGAGTTAGGGAGGATTTCCTCTTTCTCAGTCTTTCAGAATAGTTTCAGAAGGACTGGCACCAATTCTTTGAATGTCTGGTAAAATTCAAGCTGTGAATTCATCTTGCTCTGTGCTTTTTTTTGTTGACATTTTAAATATTACGATTGAAACTTACTGCTTGTTACTGGTCTGTTCAAGGTTTCTATTTCTTCCTGATTTAATCTAGGAGGGGTGTATGTTTCTAGGAATTTATCCATTTCCTCTAGATTTTCTAGTTTGTGTACATAGAGGTGTTAACAGTAGTCACAAATGATTTTATATATTTCTATGGTTTTGGTCGTAATGTCATCATTTTCATTTCTAATTGAGTTTATTTGAATCTTTTTATTGTATTTTATTTTTATTTTTGGTTAATCTAGCTAATAATGGTCTATCAATTTTGTTCATATTTTCAAAGAAGCAGCCTTTGGTTTCATCGACTTTTTTGTTGTTGTTGTTGTTTCTATTTCACTTAGTTCTACTCTGATCTTTGTCATTTCTTCTGCTAGCTTTGGATTTAGTTCTTCTCTCATAGTTCCTTGAGGTGTGACATTAGGTTGTCAGTCTGTGAACTTTCAGACTTTCTTATGGGCATTAACATTGTAAACTGTACTCTTAGCATTGCTTTTGCTATATCCCAGAGGTCTTAATAATTTGTGTCACTGTTGTCACTCATGTCAAAGAATTTTTAAATTTCCATCTTGGTTTCGTTGTTAACCCCAAAATAATTCATGGGCAGATTGTTTACTTTCCATGTATTTATATAGCTTTGAGGTTCTTTGTTGAGTTAATTTCCAGTTTTATTCTACTGTGGTCTTGGAAGATACTTAATATGATTTTGATATGTTAAAATGTATCAAGACTTGTTTTGTGGCCTGTTATATGGTCTATCTTGGAGAATGCTCCATATGCTGATGAGAAGAATGTATATTCTGCAGTTCTTCGGTAGAGTGTTCTATAAATATATGTTAGCTTCATTTGTTCTATCATGTAGTTTAATTTCATTGCTTCCTTGTTGACCTTCTGTCTCGATGAGCTGTCTAGTGCTGTCAGTGCGGTGTTGAAGTCCCCCAGTATTATTGTGTTGCTGTTCTATCTCATTTTTTAGGTCTAATAGTAATTGTTTTATGAATCTGGGAGCTCCAGAGTTAGGGGCATGTAAATTTAGGATTGTAATATCCTCTTGTTGGATTGATCCTTTTATTATTATATAATGACCTTCTTTGTCTTTTTTTTTTTTTTTTTTTTTTTTTTTTTTTACTATTGTTGTTTGAAAGTCTGTTTTATCTGATATAAGGATAGTAACTCCTGCTAGCTTTTGGTTTCCATTTGTGTGGAATATCTTTTTTCACCACTTTACCTTGAATTTATATGAATCTTTACATATTAAGTGGGTTTCTAAAATACAGATATTTGGTTTATGATTTTTCTATCCATTCTGCCAATCTGTATCTTTTAAGTGGAGCATTTACACCATTTACTTTCAACATTAATATTGAGATGTGAGGTACTGTTCCAGTCATCATGTTAATTGTTACCTAGATGGTTTGTTTTCTTATTGTGTTATTGTTTTATAGGCCCTGTGAGTTTTATGCTTTCAAGAGATTCTATTCTAGTGCATACTGAGCTTCTGTTTGAAGATTTATAACTCCTTTTAACCTTTCTCGTAGGGCTGGTCTGGGGTACTGACAAATTCCCTCGGCATTTGTTTGTCTGAAAATGACTTTATTTCTCCTTCATTTTGAAATTTAGTTTTGCTGGATACAGAATTCTTGGCTCTCAGTTATTCTGTTTAAAGAGGCTAAAAATAAAATCCCAATTCCTTCTGGCTTTTAAGATTTCTGCTAAGAAGACTGCTGTTAGTTTGATAGATTTTTCTTTATATGTTACCTATTGCATTTTGTCTCACTGCTCTTAGAATTCTTTCCTTCATGTTGACTTTAGATAGCTTGATGACTATATACCTTGGTGATGTCCTTTTTGCAGTGAGTCTCCCAGGAATTTTTGAGCTTCTTGTGTTTGGACATCTAAATCTCTAGCAAGACCAGGGATGTATTCCTCTATTATTCCATCAAGTAATTTTTCTAAACATTTTGTTTTCTCTTCTCCCTCAGGAACACCAGTTATTTTTAGGATTGGACCTTTTACATAATCCCAAGTTCCCTGGAGAGTTTGTTCATTCCTTCTTATTTATTTTTTAAATTTTTGTTTGATTGGGTGAACAAAAGCCTTATCTTCGAGCTCTGAAATTTTTTCTTCTACTTGATCAGGTCTGTTGTTAAAGTTTCCCATGCATTTTTAAACTCCCTAAGTGTGTCTTTCATTTCCAGATGTTCTGATTGGTTTTTCTTTAAAATATGTATCTCTTTATAACATTTTTCATTTATATCTTGAATTTTTTTTTCATTTCTTTATGTTAGTTTTCACCTTTCTCTGGTATCTGCTTGAGTAGCTTAGTAATCAACCTTTTGAATTTTTTATCTGGTATTTCAGAAGGATGTGACTTACATGTTTATAGTTTATTATAGCCTAATTTGGCTCTTAGTGCTTTTAGTACTGAGTAATTTGTATGGGTTCCTTGGTTATAGTGAATCTTTGTATTGTGGCTTTCCCAGACGCCTCTTGTAGTAACAATGTGCTCAGTGTGTGAACAAGTTCAGCATCTCCTATGGGGTTGGAATGGCAGAGATCTCTTGAAGCTTATCTTGTTTCCCCACAGTGTGCATTTATTTATTTATTTATTTATTTATTTTGTACCAGTATTTTATTTATTTACTGGGTTGAATAGTTAAAGCTTCAGGCCAGTATGGGAAGTATCCCTGGGTAGAAACTGGTTGTGGCTAAAGCAGGTGGCTAAATGCAGTACCCAATAGTGGGCAGATGTCCCAGCCCTGACAGAGGTGGCTGGGGGAGCTTTCAGTGAAAAACACTGAGGTCTCATCAGGGGGAAGGGTGGGAGCCACCTTAGTTCTTCTGCCAGGCCAGCAGGAAAGTGATCCAACTCCCAGATGCACTCCTGACCCAATGTTCCAGCTATTCCTATCAGACAGGCACCTGTTTTCATGTCTAGGAATGTTGATGTTCCAAGTAGAGAGGAGTTGTGACCACCTCTTGTGTAAGCCTGAATCTGGAGGGCACTCCTAATGTGAGGATGCTGTCACCCTAAAGTGTTCCAGAAAGGCTGTCTATAGATACACCCATATCAAGCTCTTGTGGGAGAAGCCCCAGCTGTGTTTGCAGTAATGGATAAGAGAGAAAAGAAGTCCCCTTCTCCAAGACCCTTCACGAGCACCAGCATTGCACTAATGCCTCTGCTGAAAGAAACTTCCCGTGAGCAGAATGTTCTGGGACTCAAGGCCTGGTATCCAGACTCTTTTGTCCTATGGGGTGTTCCCTTGATGTGGTGCACTTCCCCTTCCCCTAGGAGTTGGTGTCCCTGAGAGCCAGACCACTGTGAACACTGCTATTCCTCTGGGTGTAGCCACCCCATAGGGCTGCCACATTTCAGGCTGTTGGTGAAGATTATCTGCAAGGGGTCCAGTGATGTGACCTGTCCTTATGTCTCCCAGCAGTAGGCACCGGCACTAGCTCCGATGGGGGTGGCAGGGGAGTGGCATGGACTCCGTGAGAGTGACGTAACTGTTTCCTTATGTCTCCCAGCAGTAGGCACCAGCACTAGCTCCGATGGGGGTGGCAGGGGAGTGGCATGGACTCCGTGAGAGTGACGTAACTGTTTAGAAAGTTCTGAGCTGCAGACAACCTCTGTTGATACCCTTTGGACCCTGAATCTTGGGACTTCCTGTGCTATTCTCATAAAGTATTATGCAAGACTTATGGGTGCAGAATTAATACATAATTAACTATTAATATTTTAAGATTCCAAAATAGGTAATAAAGGCAAAATTTTTTAAAAAATGAGAGTAGGTGGCTGCCATGACATAAGGAAAGTGACAATATGAAGCCACTATGCAGACAGGCTCCACATGAGGGCGAGTGGTTCCCACAGGACGTTTGGTGTCAGTTTCTGACTTAAATCATTGTGTGTGGCAAGGATTTGGCTAGCGTACTGAGTGGTTAAGTTTCAGATAACTAAACTTGCAATATAGTTAAAAAAGCTACAGCATAGTATGGTGTTCAAAGAGGGACCCCAGAATTGTACTGTCTGGTTACTTGCCTGTTGCATAACCTTGGACAAGTTACTTAACCCCTTGGTGTTTCCTCTTCTGTGAAATGAGGGTGACAGTGGTACACATATTGTCGGGCTGTCATAAGTATTAATTGAAAGTGTATACGTAGAGGACTGATAGCTATGCCTGGTACATGAGGACTCAAGTAATGTTAGCTACTATTAATACAATTAAGAAGGATCAATTATTCATGCATAAGTTATCAAAATGCATTCATTTGTAATCATTTATTAATTTATTCAAACATTATGAATTATTAACATCGAGTATCAACTGGATGAATAAATTCTAGGCTGGCAGTATCTTTGAAATAGTGGGAAATCAGTTCAGTGATCAGAAATTTGTATTCGATATTTTGGTGATAAATTCATTTAAGATCTGTGCAGTGTCCTAGAACCAGCAGAAATGTTCTTTCACTGTGCATGTCGTTAGACATAGTGTCCCTCCTGTGAACACCCAGGCCACTCTGTAATTTTTTAATGGCATGTATTACATTTCTTATTCATTTATGTATATTTCTTACCTATATGGTACCAATATGATTTATTGTTTAAACTGGGATATTTTGGGGGAGTGAAAGCAGTGCTGTTAATCCTTATGCCAGGATGAGTGGCAGAAGACAGACGTACCTTGGGTTATCCAGGACATGTGGCTGCTATACTTATCTCCCTTTAGCGGGTGTGTGATTAATCAGCTTCATATTCCTCAAGGTACCTGTGACTATATTGGTGGTTAATAGATGATCATTAAAATGTTTTTGAAAGAATTACCAAATAGCACCTTGACATAGACAGACAGTGAATTATTTTAGTTATTTATAGACTCCTTCAATTTGAAGTATTCAGATGCTTTCTAAGTATCAATCTAATTTATCTCCTTAGTATTTGGCAACATGCAGACAGATAATTCTACTATGAAGGGAAATTAAACTCATTTAGAGGATTAAATTGAAAAATTAGTACACTATTTTCAATTTTTATACAGAAATACAAATCATTTATATGTAGTTATCTATGTTGTTTTTTAAATCTAAAACACTATTTAGAAGCTTCTCTAATTAAAATCACTGAACATCACGTTGTCTATGGTAGGTGGTGCTCGGGCATTGTCACAAAGCCAGAGGACACCGGGCACAGCTCAGTCTAGTTGGTATATACCTTTACTTTCCCTGGATAATGTGTTTCTTTGATGTGTTTTATAATTTGACATTATTCTTTTTTTAACTCTAAAAACTTTATATATTTTTTCAAAGCTCAACAAGGAGACATGTGGCTGATGTGACATTTGGGGCTTCCTGGGAGTAGGCCATATATCATGGACAGTCAGAGTAATCCATGTATTTTGATACCATGCCAAGGACATCAAGTTAGGTTTATTTCAAAAGAAATGTCCTATTCGGTTGAGTAGAATATGCTCTTTGCATTGACATTATAAAGGATTATACAAAATCTCTCTTTAAGTCTGTTTTTCTGTGTGTTAGACTATCTATCTATCTATCTATCTATCTATCTATCTATCTATCTATCTATCATCTGCCATCCATCTGTATAACATTCATCTCCTATGTATTTAATGGTCTCTTGTATTTGATTCCTTTTTTGTCTGGCAGCAAAATCTTACATGGATTGTTTGGTGACTTTTATATTTTTGCTTTATTATTTCTAAATTCAGAGGAAATTCATTATTACCAAATTGTATGTTGAAATTTCTCCTCAGTGTAAAAACTTTCATTTTTTTTTCCTGATATAAAATAATGTGAATTCAGGCTTTCTTGCTGTTTTAAACAAATCAAGGTTATTGAGATAATTGCAGGGATTATCAAGGCAGATCATTTTTGATGGTGAGGAGAAAAATGCCAGTAGCCAGATGATTTCAGTTTGACAAGTCATGGGGTATTATTTGTCGTGAAAGTCAGGCCAGCTTTGGCAGTGCTTGTGTCTTGTGCAATAATACTTCGCTACAGGCATCAAGTCTATGCTGTTCATTTGCATAGATGTTCAGAGTATTACCAGAAGCTAGGCATGAAACATTGTATTTACATTCTACAAAATGAATGTAATGTTATTGAATTTAGTACATAAGTGCCTGTCTTAAGGACATAAATATCATCTGACTAGAAGCAAAAGGATATGTGGAAAAGAAGTGTTTTTTTGTTTATTTTTTGTTTTGTATATTAAAGAAAAAGGGAAAGGAATTAACTTTGAAAACAGTGCTCACTCTAGTCATACAGCATTCTAAAGGATAATGTATGGATCGAGAACTAATATTCACTGGATTTAAGGGCTTGAGGCTTCTCTGTAATTCAGAGAGACATGTTTATGTAGTTGGAGTCAATAAACACATATTGAGAGACTTCTGTGAGCCAGGTAATATCTAGACAGCGGAAAATAAGGATCAGTAATTCACAGTCCTTGTCATCGGGATGGTTACAGCCTCATAAAGGGAGGCATATCTGCAAACAAAAACTACAATAAAGGTATGCACAAGAAATGCAATGTAGAAAAGACACACTTGGTTTACTTGGAGCAGGAGGTAGGCAAGGAAGACCTTTCTGAAGGCTGTGAAGTCTCTTTTAGTGGGGTCAGAAAGGACGAGTTCAAATTAGATAAGTTGAAAAAGGGAGGGCAGGCAATGGGGAAGGTGTTCAGAGGTTGAGGGACCAGCAGAAGTATGGAGTGGAGAAGCAGCAGGAACCTTGCTTTGCAAAGAACTTTAAGACTTTTGGATTGACTGCAACATAAAATTGGAATGATCAGAGTTAATAGGAGTAGAGGAAGAAGGTAAATTCAATAAATGTTTAGTAAATTAAATATCAACAAAACCTGATGACAATATGTACGGTGTGATATAAAGGATGAAATGATGGAAACTCCTAGTTCTCTGGCTCAGACATTAGCCCAGAAGTAGTATTGTTTGAATGAGAAAAAGATGCATTTTCTCCTGGGATGATGCAGGCCAGTGGCAGGTGAACCGTGGGTGTAGAGCCCATGGTGGATTTCAGCCTCCACTTGCCCCTTGGCTTGGTGCTCTTGGGTGGTGTACAGTCTGAACAACTGTAAGAGGAAGCTCTGGGCAAATGGGTGGCCAGTTATCAGTGCAAAGAGGAGGAGAGCCTAGAACTGGGAGGCAGTGTGGAGGGAGATGAGCTCAGTTGCAAATATGTTACATTTACCATATTTGGAGTGTCGTTGTTCAGGTGGAAATATCAATAAAGAAGTTGGATATATCATCGTAAAGCACTGGGGACTATAGATGATTTAGGGCTATTAAAAGTTTTAAAAAATTATATTTCAATTGTTAACATTATTTCAAAGTGAATGACTTCTGAATTATAGCTCCAGCGGAACTCGTTTGGTATTGATGGTTGGTTCTCCAAAACGGTTGGCCTGCCCTGTAAAAAATCTCATTTCAAATAACTTTTCAAAGAATGTCTACCACTGTTTATGAATATACAGAAGAATGATCATGATTAATTGGATTGGTGAAATTTTTTCTTATTTTCTGTTTCAGATTGCTATGCTATGCCTTGTATGACTAAGACCTCTTACCAAGAATACGTGTCAGACCATGTGAGTACAGAAGCTGTGCAGGCTGATTGCAGTGAATCCTAATTGGTTAGGTCAGCTAAGCAAAAAAGCAAACATTTTATCCCAGATAAGACCAAAAGCAATAATATCTATTTTCCCCATGATATAAATTCTAGATGAGGTAGTAAACGCATTGCCCTCCCCCTTGTCTTATTATTATATTAAGTACTATAAAACCAATTGCAAAGTTTTTGTCAACTTATCAGGTTATTTATAGTAACCAACTATGAGAAGTATAATTGAAAGCATTTTCTTGTTTGCTTCTGTAATTCTGAAGGGGTCACACCCCCATCCCCAACTTCTTATGTAACCCTGTTTTACAGAAAACCACTGCCAAGGAGTGCGGGGGTGGCAATGAAACAGCCCAACAGGAAAAGGAAGCTTAATATGGATTCCAAAGAGCGTTTGGATCAGGACGGACGCTTGGTAAGATGTCCATCCCTGGACCCTTCCTCACAGTGTGTGATCGCTACCAAAATGCACCATGGAATAGTAGAGTTCACATAACCACACTCAGGGGCTTTTCAGTCACTTGAAACGATGTGGCTTCTGCTTGAGCTTTATGTGTAGGGGTATAGAATATAAGTGTTCTTAAAGTCTGATATATATTTTAAAAGGTGATCTTAACTTTAAAGGTGAAAGGAGACCTTTTCTTTTACAAAGGTGGAGGTAATCAATCATTCTCAAGTAAGAGAACGGAAGCTGTAAACTGCATGGGGTTACATTAGGGTTCTCCAGAGAAACAGGACCCCCTAGGATGACCGTATGTGTATATGTGTGTGATATTTTTGTGTTTGTGTACACACACACACAGAGCGAGAGAGAGCTAGCAAGCGAGAGAGAGGGTGAGAGAGAGAGAGACTTATCTTAAAAAGAGGAATTGATTGAGGCAGGTTGTGGGGGCTGACACGTCTGAAATATGCAGGGCAGCCTGATAGGCAGGAGGCCCAGGGAGGAGTTGGTGCTGCAGTCTTGAGTCCAGGTCAGTCTGCAGGCAGAATTCCTTCTTCCTTGGGGGACCTGTTTTTTCTCTTAAGGCCTTCAACTGATTAAATGAGACCCACCCTCATTACAGAGTGATCTACTTTGATCGAAGCCTGCTGATTTGAATATTAATCATATCTAAAAACATACCTTCACAGCAACATCTAGATACTTAGAAGGTATAATGTTCACTATGCCTGTAGTCACCATGCCTGTTCTGTTTCCTTATGACAGCTTTATGTATTCCTGCAAATTTAAAAGTTAGCAGAATGACCAGAAGACCTCCATGGTGATTATTTTTGGGGATGGTGGGCCATTACAGCATTCTCATCTGTGACCCTTCATTGGTTCTTAGCATGTATTTGGATGTGGATTTTGGGGTCTTCGTGTGGTTTGTGGTTATACATTTACACATTGCCGTTGCTGAAGTGACATCATGTAATACATTTTCTTTTGGTTCAGTTCCAGGTTAGGTGTGGTTTGATGAACTCCAGACATTACATGAGACATCTCAAAGAATGATCTGGTTTGAGGTTGGTTTCAAGATGTTCAGAATAGGTCTGTGCCAAGCTCTAGAGCCATTCCTTCAGGATTAGCCTCACTGGGCAATGGGGTGATTAACATTGGGCCAGGGGCCAGTTCCCTGGGTCCAGATTGGTTGCTTTTCTTAGATCAGTTCCAGGAGAGTTTAGAGCTCTAAATGTATAAGGGAAGAACTTTCTATTTAAGAGGTGTCTTGGACCAGACTTGGGCAGGCCTGCATCTGTCTTGGCTTAGGTGAAGATGTCATTCTTTGTGTTCTGCTGTGTCGTGTCCTCTGAGGAATCAGAGCACGAGGAGACTCAGGATTTGATGTGTTCAGAGTTATTCTGGGTACTTCTCCACATGTGGTCCCTGGACCAGCAGCATCAGCATCACCTGGAGGTTTGTTAGAAATGCAGATTCCTGGGCCCTAGTCCAGATCTTCTGAATCAGCTACTCTAGGGGTGGGGCCCAGCAATCTGTTTTAACAATCCAGGTGATTCTGAAGCCCACTCATGTTTGAGAACCATTGTCCTAGGGAAGTGGCTAGATGCATCTTACCGCTAAGCATGTTACAGTTAATCAATATTTTTCTTAAATTTTTTTGTTTAACATTTGAGACCACCTTCCCCCATCCACATGTATTTTATATTAATTGTCAGTATCATTTCTCTTTAAGCTGCTGAGATTGTTACCCCCCTATCTTAGTACTCGGTTATCTTACTCTACAATCTGAGTATTTAACCGTTTGCCTCTTCTGCATTAGCACAAATCCCAATTTCCTCTTAAAGACCAACTCAGTTTCTAACTTAATCCTGATGTGTTTACCATTATTTCTACCCCACATTGGGACTTTCCCTTTATTGGACTCCAGAAGTGCTTAACACTTAGATATGCTTTTAGTGCAGGGCTTGCATAGCTAGATTTTCAAAAATATCTGTTAAATGATGTTCCTGGTGCTTAATGACATCTCCATGCAAATGAATTTTTTCAATCATTAGTAACAAAATAATATTTTAAAGGGCCATATTCTTAGTCTACCTTTTGAGATGTTTGGGACATATCATTATTTTAAAGCATGTTCACACATAATTGAAAAGATGCACATTTAGTCCACGTTGCACTGTCAGTTTGGGGCTCATTGCCAGTAACAATGTTCATTTTCATTAGTCAGATTTAACAGTTTAATACAGTAGGCTGTATTCACACCTGGGGCTGCATTCACTGTGGAAAGAAGGGTTGAGTCATGCTTGAATTTTGCTAGACTCCTTGAAATATTGGTAACATCCTTTATTTTGTGTATTACCCTTCTGGTTTACAAGCGACGTTTCTAGTCAACTAAATAACATCCCATTGGCAGATCATGCACATGAAACATCAAGCAAATGCACAGTTGGGTGTTTCGGAACATTTTCTTCTGAGAGAGTAATTTCATACCTTGGATATCTAATAATTTTAGATGATAATATTAATATCTGTCAGTGAATGTCTTTCTAGACTAATATTTTCTATGTATTTCTAGATAGAATGTAAAAAATATTTTCTTATGCTTTTCAGAACGTAGGCATATGGTTAAAAAATAAAACAGTACAGACAGGCAGTAAAGTAAGAATTAAATTATCCACCGTATCCCCTCACACATACACTAAACCCCTAAATATTTTCCTAACCGTGTGACCACTGTGTACAGTTTCTCGTATGTCTACATAAGAAAAAAAAAGACAGCTAAAAATTCCAAACCTTTTATGCACATATACACATACATACACACATCCCAAATGGGCGCACATTCTGCTCGTTGTTCTGCTTCTTGCTTTTTTTGCACTTAATTATGAATGTCTTGGAGATACAGGTCTTATTCTTTTCAGTGCTGCATAGTATTTCATTTTATGAATGTACCATAATTTATTTTAACAGTGCCCTACTGTGAACATTTACATTATTTTAATTTTTATGGTTATACACAATGTTATATCCAATGTTCTTATTCATATATCCTTTTTATACGTGAATACTTTTGCAGTTCATTCATAGGTACTATCACTGCAGTGAAATTATTGTACCAAAGGATATGCTCGTAAATTTTGATAAACCACTAGGTATCATCCTCCAAAGAGATCACCCTAGTTTATCCTCTCCCTAACAGCATCTGAGAGAGTGCCTCTTTTCCTTGGGATTTGTTATATGTTTTACATCTTTGCTTCTACCGTATGGGTAAACCTCTGTTTATGATCTGGTCCCTGTAGTGCTGCTGCAGACTTGAAGAGGGTTTTTCTCTGTCCCTTTAGACTCCTTGACGTATTTTGTCTTTTCACAACTTCCAACACAAAGATAAGTGTCATTTTTGGTGCCCTTTACTAGATTTTTCTGCTCACCAGCTTGCTTTAGAACTGACTAGCAAAGTAGGCACGTGGTGATTGGGGAAATGAAGTCTGTTTTTTTTCAGGGTGATTTCATTGATGTCTAGTGTGTATGTAAGCGTTCTGCGCACAAAACCCCAAAATAATATACAGGCTGTGAAATTTCAAATTTCCTACATCAAAATGCAAGTTTCACAAAAGAAAAAGGAAATTTTGTTTGAATATACAAAATGAATATACAAAAATGAAATATATGATCTCTGTGTATATAAAATATTTGATACTGAAAAAATGTTAATTCCCATTCTCCCTCTCCCTGTGAACCTCTTAACATCAATGGATCTTTATCTAAATAGTGAGTTATGAACTTTGAGAGATAGAAATATGAGACATTTTTCATTCTCAAAAGGATCTTAGACTATTGCTGAATAAAGGAAAACTAACTTATGTAGAGTAATGGAAAACAACTAAGTACATATGTAGCCCATTTGTGCTCTAAGGTATGGTCACCCTTCAGAGAAAGGTAGAGTCATCGGGAGCTTGAGTCTGACCTTGAAGGATGAAGAATATCTAAGATATTTACCTTGAATGCATTGTTATTCTGTTGTAACAAACAGCTTATAAATCCAACCTGGTAAATCTAATTGGAGAGAATATAACTTTTTTTTTTTTTTTTTTGAGACGGAGTCTTGCTCTGTCACCAGGCTGGAGTGCAGTGGCGCAATCTCGGCTCACTGCAATCTCCGTCTCCCAGGTTCAAGCGATTCTCTTGCCTCAGCCTCCCGAGTAGCTGGGACTACAGGTGCGCACCACCACGTTCAGCTCATTTTTTTTTTTGTATTTTTAATAGAAATGGGGTTTCACCATGTTGGCCAGCATGGTCTCAATCTCTTGACCTTGTGATCCGCCTGCCTCGGCCTCCCAAAGTGCTGGGAATACAGGTGTGAGCCACTGTGTCTGGCCATATAACTTTTTAATATATTAACATCTAGATGCTCTCTAACCTTGAGAGGTAAGAAAGTTGAGGGGTAAGAGTGGGAATTATCTGGGCCCCTTAAGGAGGCAGCATGAGCAAAGGTATGGGGTTGGAAGAGAAGGTGACGTGTGTGATATATGGCTGGACCTTAATGACTTATCTGATTCGAGCAGATGTTGCTATTAGCAGTATAGTAGGTGAGCATTGGATGGGGTTGGGGCATGGGTCAGGAGATTCAGGTTTTATTCTTTAGCTGTGCTGCTTATTAGCTGTGTGGCAAAAGACAAGTCACTTCACTGGGCTGGGCTCAGCTTCTTTGTCTGTAGAACAACAGTCTTAGATTGCAAGAACTTTATGGGTCTTTCCATTTCAGTAAGTATAAGGTTTGCTGTGCAATTAGATTGCAGGGTGACTGGGGTAGGTCTGGCTGGTCACACTTGGTGAGGCTTGATGGCCAAGCAGAGAAAGTTGTACTTGAGATGGTGGCCACTGGCCTTTAAAGAATGACATCAAAGGCCATGGTTGAACTCAACTTTTGCAGAGGGTAATGCAATCTTTCTGTAATATCCTTAAATAGATACTGAGAAAATGTTTGGGGTGAGTTTATTTTGGTTTCTATTTTTAAGTAATAGTTAATTCTTTACATTTTGTTGCCTCATAGAAGACTGATGCCAGTTTACAACAGTCAGTAAAATTCATGTATTTATAAGGCTTTGTTATATTTTTTGCTTTTTGTTTTTTGTATGTGTCTTAGCAAACACTTTAGAGAGATTTCATTTGGAGACTGTAGCTATATTATCAAGTATTTGAACAAAATGGAAGTATTTCATTCTCCCTGAGTGTGTCTGAATTCCAGTAGAGTGATGGAGAAAAGTCCCACAAATTTCTTTACTTTTATCCAATAGGCAAATTCTATTTATCTTCAGTTTATATCCCACATTGGATCAGAGCAAAAAAGAAGTTGAAAAGTGGACTTGAACTAGCAGGTGAAATTCAAATAGCAGTTTGTCACTGGGGTTATTAAATAGGATTTCACTGTTTTCTACAGTCCATGAAACCAATGTGTATCACCCTCTGGGGCACAGATAGCAGGTTCTTATGGAACAAGAACAGCAGGGTTCTCAGAAATCCTTGAGTGTTCAGGAGTCTTTGGTCTGACAGCAAAGGAGAGCAAAGGGGTATTATCTGGCAGTTCCAAGGTGATGAATCAAAATTGCCAACCACAAATCAGTAGCTGAAAATCCTGTTTTGTTCCCTTGATTGGAATTCATAGACAGAGAAACGTAGACACTAATTAATTAGAAAACGTCACTGTGCCTTGTAGTAAAAGCATGTGATGCGTCCAGTGCCAGCAGGAGGGAACAGAACATTAAGCCTTTTTGGTTATTTTCCCACTTCATAATCCTGTCTTCCAAAATGATGGATTTTAACCTGGTGAGTGGAAATGTACCATAGCAAAGACTTATTTTATGTTCCTTAAACCATTATCTCCCTGTTTTTCAGAACGCTATTTTTTTCTGGAACTTTATTTTCAGTTTTCAGAATTAAAGTTTGAAACCTGAGAAATCGCAGTAATGGTTTTATTTTTCGCATTTTGTATTGATTTCCTTTAGTGGTCTGTCTGCAAGGATAAGATAAAGCGCTAATTTTTTCTTTTGTTTTTTAAAATTCACTCTCTGTTCATTAATAGCAGTGTAGATTTATTACCTTTATGAAATAATTAATTAGCTAGACAGAAGAAAGAATGTTAAAGCTAGCAGGAACTTTGGAGAACATTTAGTCCAATTTCTTTATTTTAACAGATGAGAAAAATCAGGTCTAGAGAATGTAGGTCATTTGTTCAAAGTTAAATAGCTTTTAGTGGTGGGTTGAGATTTGACCTTAGGTCACCTAGCCCTAAATTCAGCATTTTCCCTGCTCTACCATATGATACTAAATACTTTTCCATTTGCAAAATTGTTTAAACATAGGTCAGTATGTTATAGATATATATGTTTATTCTGATATACACAATATAATCTTTCGTGTGTATATGTGTATGTTTACCTGTCTATAACCTTGATCCACCTAAAGAACGTACAGATGTTGGAAGCTTAGGCAATTTAAATCCAAAGTGAGAGGTAATGTTGTTTTTGTGTGGAATATTTTTTCTTTCTAGGCAGAATTTCAGTAGCAAATACAGAAGTGTGAACCAAACACTCACTGAGCGACAGATAGCATATTATATATTTCTTTTTATTTTTGAATGACACAGTGATTATAAAAATGCTTCAGTAGCTGTAGTGTGAACATAATCAACTCTCGAATGCTGTTTCTTTTTACTGTTTTAGGTTTTGCAGTAGAAGGGAGTCTCTTTGTTTTGAATTACATATGTAAATTTCCTGTGTATTGAGTGAATGAACAGGGGTGGAACTGGGGTAAAGTGCTACCATGGAAAATTAGACCCAAGACAGGAGTTCATCGTCTCACTTGCAGTAGAACAGGGTAGATATGATTGCGTGACTGTTTCCACTCCCACTGCATGCCCTGCTAAAAGGTGGTGGCTTTGCCACTCACAGTGAGGGCCGTATACTTTTGGCAGTAGCATCTGCTGGGAGCTTGTTGGAATTTGTAATCTAAGGCTCTACCCTAGAGCCACTGAATCAAGGTCTGCATTTTAGTAAGATTCCCAGATGATTCAAATGCATGTTAAGAAGCATTGGCTTATAGTACATTTTAGCAGAATGCTACTTTGTTAATTGCACGAAGATATCCATGATAACTTTGGATGTGAAATCTACCAGGCAGAAAAGCACTCTTCTTGAACCTTTCATTCTTGCCTTCATGCATCAAATATTTGTCGACCTAGACTAGATACCAGACTATGTTTTGGGGATGAAAGACAATTAAGACACTGATACATTTTGTTACTATACAAATTATCTTTTATACCTTAAAACCATAGACTTGAAAAAGGAACTAAAAAAAGGTAGGAAAATGAAATTAATAGTATTTATTTCATCAGTTAAAAACTAGTTTGCTTTCATTAAAATATTAGTATACATGACTCATTTTTGAAAACCTGGTTTAGAGCTTTGTGATACCACTATGTGCAGTCTTTTTTTTTTGTTTTTTTTTTTTTTTGAGATGGAGTTTAGCTCTTGTTGCCCACGCTGGAGTGCAACGGCGTGATCTCAGCTCGCTGCAACCTCCGCCTTCCGGGTTCAAGCGATTCTCCTGTCTCAGCCTCCTGAGTAGCTGGGATTACAGGTGCCCGCCACTACGCCCGGCTAATTTTTGGTATTTATAGTAGAGACAGGGTTTCAGTATGTTGGCCAGGCTGGTCTCGAACTCCTGACCTCAGGTGATCCTCCCGCGTCAGCCTTCCAAATGTGCAGTCTATTTTTTAGATTTGGTTTTTATGGTTGTCAAAGCTAGGGTGACCAAGCCTCCTCATTTGCCTAGGACTCAGGAGTTTCCCCAGATGTGGGGCTTTTCAAAGTGCTATGAACAGGTCTGCCCCATGCAGACTGGGACTGACAGCCACACTAGCCATAACTTAAAAAGATCTATCCCAAAACTATATAAGAATAAATTGAAGAAATATTTTTTGATCAAACTTACTAATTCATAACACTCATTTTTCAGCAAAAGTTTTTGTATAAATCAGCTGCTAAATTTTCACATTCTCTGATGATAATTAGTTGTTCTTGGAAATAATGAAAACTATTACATATTGGCCAGGCGCAGTGGTGCATGCCTGTAATCCCAGCACTTTGGGAGGCCGAGGTGGGCAGATCACTTGAGGTCAGGAGTTTGAGACCAGCCTGGCCAATATAGTGAAACCCCATCATTACTAAAAATACAAAAATTAGCCGAGTGTGGTGGTGTGCACCTGTAATCCTAGCTGGAGGCTGAGGCAGGAGAATCACTTGAACCTGGGAGGTGGTGGTTGCAGTGAGCCGAGATTGTGCCACTGAACTACAGCCTGGGTGACAGAGCAAGACTTCATCTCAAAAACAGACAAAAAAACCCCAAAAAACTATTGTATATTTATGTTTCCAAAAATAAGTTCAAAGCCTGCTTGAAACCCTTCATTTAAAAGATTTTAAAATTGGGAAATTCCGTTCCCAATTTTTAAGTACATAATTATTACAATTTTTTTTTTGAGACAGAATCTCACTCTGCCACCCAGCCAGGAGTGCAGAGGCACAATCTTGGCTCACTGCAACCTCCGCCTCCCAGATTCAAGCAGTTCTTCAGCCTCAGCCTCCTGAGTAGCTGGGGTTTCAGGCACATGCCACCACGTCCAGCTTATTTTTTCTTTTTTGTATTTTTAGTAGAGACGGATTTTCACCATGTTGGCCAGGTTGATTTCGAACTCCTTTCCTCGTGATCCACCTACCTTGGCCTCCCAAAGTGCTGGGATTACAGGTGTGAGCCACTGTGGCTGGCCACAAATTTTTAATAGGTGGAATACATTTTGATGGCCACAAAATGACATAAAGAAGACACATATCTGGATACCCACTTTCAAAATGCTCTTTGTTATTGTGTCTTTCAAAAGAGAAAGCCACTTTCCTAGTCTTTGTTGAATGGTAAATGTTCCTTCAAGAGTTGCAGGAAGAGCATGCCTTGCTTGCGCCATGGGGTGGGGCTGCACCATCTTGCTTGCTGCGTGTGCTTGTATTGTTCATCATACACAATTCATGGTTTCTTTTCAGGAATTTTTGAAGTCGCTTGTCCATTCTATGAAGGTCAGTTTGGTTAAAATTAAAGCATTTTAACTGAGTACTTACAAACTGTAGTAGACCCAGATAGGCTGAAAGCAAAAGTAGGATGGAGGGCTTGGCTTCGGTGAGGACCAAGCCTCTTCTGTCAGCCACTCCTGTGCGACTGTCAGGCCCAGGGATCCACTCAGGGAAGGTACCTGTGTCAACCTCAATATTAACTGTTATCAAAGCTTCCTGTCTCTTTTATTTTAGCCAGAAGCAATACTTTTAATGGATTCCTTCCACGTCCAAATGGATCATGTGTACCCCTCCTGGGCACCCACCGGAAGACTCTGGGTATTGTGTGCGTTGTCCGCCTCAGTGACGAGGATCTTCATAACTTTCCTTCCTGCAAAAAGGAACATTAGTTTTCAGTGTTTCCAACAATTATCCAGCAATACCATCTAAACACCATTTTCTGTATTCTAGGAGCAAGCTGAAGAGGAAAAGAAGCCCAAGGATAGCACAACCCCTTTGAGTCACGGTAATTATCACCAATATTTACAGTGGTAGTTCACAGTGAACAAATTTTAAGTGAATTTTTATTAGATTGCTTAGTTGTTTTAGGTTTATTAATTAAAATATGTGATAATAATATCTACCATTTATTCAGGGTATTGCATACTCTTCTGCAGACTTTATCAGTGTCATCTAAGGTTTTCAAATATATGCTTCAAAAACATCTGAAGCTCTTGTTATCTCATTTATTTGCCTTTTAAAAAGGCTTTAAATAAAACAACTTATTTGTAAATTTTCTCTGTGAACAAGAAAATAAAGAGATGCTATTTAGTTTTTTAATAATCCTTTGTGTGAGCTTTTCCCAGACTGATTTGATCTTCTAATGATTGCATTGTATTGAAGTCATGTTGTAGAGGAGATTGTGCATTTTCTCTAAAATGAATACTCCTCATTATGGTTATTAATACATCAATAGGTTTTAGATAATAGCCTTTTCATATTCAACTAATTCTCTGATGCTTTAAATTTAAACCAACAGATGAAGATGCGATTTTCTGGAAATATACATTCCACATATTTTATGATTATTGCTACACAAGGAGACAGCTGTTACTAAATTTTCTATCAAATGTAGTAGAATGTCCAACAACATTTGTGTTATTATCTACGGAAAGGAAGCATATAAATATGATAATGGTCCTCTAATTAACTTTTAAAGTACCTTAACATTTTGTTGAGGAAGCTTTTGTGTTTATTTTTAAATAATGGAAACACCTAAAAATACCTTGAAAAAAATGACAAATAAGAATTGAGATTTTTAAAGTCCATTTTCTATGGCTTAGTCTTGGGATGAAATATTGAGAATTTGTGATTTTTCTCCCTAAATGATTTTAAAAATAAAAGCTATGTTTTTTTATTTTAAACAAATGGGTGGTGCTTTAAATTTCTTTTCTTCTCTTGCCGCCTCCCCAGGCCTGTCATGTTCTTTGCTGAAAAATCAAAACAGAATGCAGTAGTTTGATAATTATATAACTTGATGTTCAGCTCTATCAAAATATACCTCAGTTATGTAACACTGGGATTTTAGAAATGAATTGGACTGTACCTGGCCCTAACAGCAGGGGGTTTTTAAAACAATTTTTTTCTTCTCAGAGAGAGGTTGTGATTTATGATGTTGTTGTATCTCCCCTGCAGCTATATTTTCACACTAATGTAAATTGTTTTAGGTTGTCTTATTCTGTGGTCGAAACATTTACTCTAGAAAAAGAAAAGCAGACTGAGGCCAACAATGTAAAAATATTCAGTCCTTCAAACTAACGTTTTTTACTGATTTAGTATTTACGGTTTCATTACATCCAGGTATATATTTATCTCAAATAGCTTTTTGGTTTTATTTATTTGTTCTTGTTTTTAACAAGTCTGGGAGCGTCCAGTTGGAAGCTTTTCAGTTTTAACAGAAAGTAACTTTTTGCTGTGTTTTTTCATTGTTGGACTTGTTTTATAGTTAATGGTCCATTGTCAAAAGTTCGCACCGTGGCTGACTCTTCTTTAAATCTGATAATATATTGTTCCTGTTTTCCCCAGCTGTAGAACATAACAAATGTTTAGGAAAAGGTTGAGATTTGGTTTGTGTATGTAGATACTATGAACTGCTAGTTGTCGTGCAAATTGGATTATTTGAGGGCTTTTTGAGGTAATTTATATTTTTACCATTTTTAGTAGGACAAAGGAACTAATTTCCAAATTGCTTACTGTGCTAGCATTATAATGGGGATTTTTCTCTATGAAAATAGTTTAGTTTTTTATTGAGGATGCTTATAAAACAAAATAGATTTAGTCTCTTACCTCATGTCTTAGAAATAGTAACAAAAAAAATACTAAACAAAAACCCCACACAGAACTGTGTATGTACACATAGTATATTTATATGTGAACAGAAAATTGTATTGAAAAATAGGTCAGGCGTGGTGGCTCATGCCCGTAATGCTAGCACTTTGGGAGACCAAGGCGGGTGGATCTCTTGAGCTTGGGAGTTCAAGACCAGCCCTGGCAACATGGTGAAACCCCATCTCTACCACAAATACAAAAAAAATAGCCGGGTCTGGTGGTGTGCACCTGTAGTCCCAGCTACTTGTGGGGCTGAGGCAAGAGGATAGCTTGAACTCAGAAGGTCGAGGCTGTAGTGAGCCAAGATCTTGTCCCTGCACTCCAGCCTGGGGGACAAAGTGAGACCCTGTATATAAAAAAAATATATCTATATTGCAAAATAAACCTTAATTCTTAGTAGTGATTTTATAACAAGCATGTGTTTCTTTGGAAATCATTGTTAAAACATTTTATTGAGTGCCCAGTCTGTGCGACTGATACTGAAGCCCGTGTTACAGCTGATGAAGCTTTAAGAGGCCATTTGACTTATTTGAGGTAAACTTAACTGGTTAGTGGTGCATCCAGAATTTGAACCCACATCTAGCAAGTTCTAAAGCCTGTGCTCATTTCACTTTACCTTTATGTTCTTTCTACATTAACATTCTTCTTTCTTTGTAGCTATTAACACAAAGGCAGAGAAAACTAGAATCTTGATGAGAAATGGGATGGGAAAAAATAACTGCTAATAATTAAAGTATTAATGGTGTCTGCTACACCCCTCTGTGTTCTTGGAGACTGGCTGAACTAGATTTTCCCTGACATAGTCATGCTGAGATTGAGTTTTTGATTATTTTGGAAACTCTCTGAGATAAACTCTTCATAGTAATTCTAAAAACTTAACTAAGATAGCTCTAAGAGAAGGCTTGTTTCAGTAAGTATTACTTCTTAATGACTGTGTGTGATTAAATTTTAGAATTAGTATTGCCAATCACCGTGTAATCCCAGACCTATATGCCTTTACGTTTGAATATCTAAAATAAAAACAACAGATTTATTCAGTTGAACAAGTGAACTGGCTTCTCTCCTTCTAAATGTGTAAGTGCTCTTTTTAACTAACACAGTATTAGTATTTGTTTGGTTGAGTGTTGGGGCATTGAGGGTTTGTTTTGTTTTGTTTTGTTTTTTTTTGGACAGAATTTCCCTCTTGTTGCTGAGTCTGGAGTGCAATGGCGCAATCTTGGCTCACTGCAACCTCCGCCTCCCGGGTTCAAGTGATTCTCCTGCCTCAGCCTCCCGAGTAACTGGGATTACAGGTGCCTGCCACCACGCCTGGCTAATTTTTTGTATTTGTAGTAGAGATGGGGTTTCACCATATCGGCCAGGCTGGTCTCAAACTCCTGACCTCAGGTGATCCACCCGCCTTGGCCTCCCAAAGTGCTGGGATTACAGGCATGAGCCACTGCGCCTGGCCCTGGCAGTGAGGATTTTATAAACATAAAAGGAGTATAAGAAATTGTAAAAGAAAATTAGGTGTATGCATATCTAAATTAAACTCTCTACATTAAAGTACATCATAATAAACAAGATTAAAAGGGAAACAACAAACTAGCAAAGATTATCCGCAACTATAGCTAATGAAAGGTCAATAATAGATAAAGGAATTAGAAAAAAATAATGAGATACACAAGATCTCAGTCCAAAAACAGGCAAAGGGCATAAACAGGTAATTCAGATAAGAAGAAATCAAAGTGGCTAAAAATGAATATATTAAAAATATTTAGTCTCATTAAAATGCAAATAAATATAAATTTATAAGTAGTGATGATATTTTTTAACTTACCAAATTAACGACAATTTAAAAAAACTGCTCATACTCCTTGCTGGTGGGATGGGGGAGACTGAGTCTTGGCATACTGCTACTAGGAGTAGAATTAGGTTCTGTTGTTTGGAGGACATACCGACAGTATTTATCAAAAGTGCTGAGTAAACATTTCCTTCAAGTCCACTTTTTGACATTTCTCCTAATGATATCAGCATGTGCATTCCATTTATGCATATGATAGTCATTGTGGTACTATTTGTAAATAATGAACAGTTGGAAATATTAATAATCCAAATGTCCAACAACTTAGGAAATAGGTACAACATTGTGTGTAGACAAGTATGTAGTCACTTAAATGCTTTGAAGAAATTTAAATTACACAAGAGGAAAAGCTTATGATAAAATATTAAGGGGAAGAGACCCCCAGGGGACTGGTCTGAATGATGGCTAAAATGAATTCACTTACCTGTAGAGTAAGAAAAGATGTTAACAATTATCATCTCTAAGTTGTTAGATAAAAAGTATATTGTCTATATTTTCCAATTATTATATTGCAAGTAGTATTTAATCATGTTGTAATCAGACAAACATTATTTAAAAATAAATTCAGAAACTCCTGAACTAAAAACTTTAATTTGTAAAATAGGGAGTGTTGTTGGAATATCTGTTCTTAGATATTTCTGAGTAAACTTTTATTTTTGGAAAAATTTTAGGATTACAGAAAAGTGGCAAATATAGTGTAGAAATAGTCCTGCATACCCTTCACCCAGTTTCTCCTAACATTAATATCTTAGGTGACCATGGAACATTTGTCAGAACTAAGTAACATTGACATCACTATTCACTAAACTATAGACTTCATTCAGATATCACCAGTTTTTCTACTAGTGTCCTTTTTCTGTCCCAAGACAGCCCAGAATATCACTTGGTATTTAGCATTGCATGTAGGTTTCTTCTACCGTTTATTCTTGTTTTGTTCTCTCATGTCCAGAAGTCGCCAGTAGCATCTAAGTTTCTTAAGAGCAACAGTATTTCCTCATCTGCCATCAACTCACCATGTCCCCACCATCTGTGTCTATAATCATCATTGCACTGAAACTATTCTTGTGTAGCTCACCAGCGCCTCATGGATAATCACTAATATTGTGTTAATTGATGGAACCAAGGACCTCCCAAATCAATGGAAGCTTTCATGCTCTTATTTTTCTTCCACTTGAAGATTGACTTAGACATTAAAACCGAACTCACTTTTGTTCCCCAGTGTTCAGTCTGCTTCTCTTATAATCCCTCGTCCTGTAGCACCATCATCAACCTGCAGTCAAACTAGAGTCCTGGAGACATCCTTACTCCTCCCTCCCATTTACCTGTGACTCCAACCCAGTGCCTTTTCTCAACTCATCCTTCTTGACATCTCTCAAATAATGTCTCCCCACCTTTGATTAGTTCCTGGTCACTTTTCAGTCTTTCTATACCCTCTTTTCCCCAACTAAGATTTATCTGAAATTCTGTTACTGGAGTGCCTCATAACCCCCCTTCCCTAGAATGTTACTGGAGACCCCTCACCACCTGGCACTTGTTTGTCACCTGCCACCAGGACCCCTGTCTGCTTTGCTGCAGCTGTATAGAACATGCAGTCTAGAACTTACTGTCTGAAGAAGTGCTTTCTCTGCCTGGAGGGGCTTTCTTCTGGCTGACTCCTTCAAAACCTCATTATCTTCTTAACTTTTCTTATTTTGTATTTTTCTCTCTATTTTATTTCTTCTCAGCATATCCTAGGGCAATTTGGTTTTTTAAAAAATAATCAGTTACGTAATATGCCAAATCTCCTACCTAAGTTAGATGTCTTTTAAGAAGGCATAGAATCAGTCCAATCAGACCAATAAAATCTATCCTTTACTATACTGAAGTCATAATTTACTAAAGCTCTAGAGTATTAATTAGCTAAAAGGCCTGAAGAAGCACAGATTCTAAAAGTGGTTAACTTATTATCAGGGAGTAGTTTTGGTGCCGGGGGATATGGCTTATTAAATGATTCTAGAAGCTTCAAAGGTGACTCCTTGAATAGTATCCTGGAGTCTTTTGTTGGAGGAGCTAGTTTACTTCCCGGGTGTAATGAGAGAAGCACTTTCTTGCAAAGTAATTATATGTCAGTGGATCTAATGTTGGTATTTTCTAAACTTTGTGAGGGACCTGTTCATTCCCACTGAGGTAATTCCTTACCTGAGAATGGGTATTAACAATAAAAAGGGGAAAACCAAATCAGTTTTACTTTATTCAAGTCCTATTAATACAGATGCCATTTACTATCATTAAGTAAACAGTTAAATATTTAGGCTGAACCGTTCATGAGAACTCTGCCCCCATGATCTAGTCACCTCCCACCAGGCCCACCTCCAGCACTGGAGATTACAGTTGTACATGAGATTTAGTGGGGACACAGATTCAAACCATATCAGCTACTTTGAACCTAAAGAATTATATTTCCACTGAGCCATGACACTCAGTGGAGGATTAACAGGGGACTTCTTTCTAAGTAAAGAACTTTTTGCAGGGGCACTTCAATAATTGAAGCCTCCACGTGCATTTTAATGAAAACACTACTTTCTAACAAGTAGTTTTCAGTATGTTCAAATAATTTCTTTGCTCTTGATACTGGTTTATAAGAGCTAAGCTTTCTACTTTTCTGATTCAAGGGCCCCCCTCCGTAGGATTCTGTCTCTTTTGGGTGAATTCGTGCTGGGAATAAAGATGCTTATAAAGGGAAGGAACATGTTTGTTTTCTTCCTGGAGTCAATCAGTAATAGCATCAATGAATTAAATTGTATAAAGCACAAAGATAGGCCAAGTGCTTGTATTCATAAAGGCTGTATATATATATATATATATATATATAGAGAGAGAGAGAGAGAGAGAGAGAGAGAGAGAGAGAGTTGTTGTTGTTGTTGTTGTTGCTGTTGTTTTGTTTTTGAGACAGAGTTTCACTCTTGTTGCCCAGGCTGGAGTGCAGTGGCACTATCCCGGCTCATTGCAACTTCCGCCTCCCAGGTTCAAACGATTCTCCTGCCCTAGCCTCCCAAGTAGCTAGGATTACAGGTGCCCGCCACCATGCCCAGATAATTTTTGTATTTTTAGTAGAAATGGGGTTTCACTGTGTTGTCCAGCCTGGTCTCAAACTCTTGACCTCGTGAACTGTCCACAATGGCTTCCCAAAATGCTGGGATTACAAGCGTGAACCACCGTGCCTGGCCTCTTAAAGGCTGTTTTATGAAAACAGTTTTTATGTGCCGGAGGAATTCATTAATATATGAAAGCAAACACCGTATTAAAATCTTTGCCTTATTAAAGAACTTCCTGTGACACCTTCAGATTATTAACGCCTTCATGCCATCCTACAGAGGAACCCCCTCTGAAGACAATACTAAGTCTCTCCTACATCTGTGATTAGAGGTCCCTGGTGGATAGTAAGAGTGCTGAACTCTGGAAAAGGGACTGAGTACCCTGTTTTGTTTTGTTTTGTTTTGTTTTGATTGATTGAGCAAAAGACAATGTCACAGAGCAGCACTTAGTTCTAGTGGAGACATTTGGGAAGCCTTCAAGCCCTGTAGGCAGTGCACTTACGTAGGGAGGGCCTGGTGGTGGCCAGACACCGTCTCCTGCTGAGTAAACATCCCCATCTTCCTTCCTGTGGGTTTTGCTCATTCTCTTCCTAAAGCCAGAGGTTTCTGTTTCATTTTGAGTTTGAATAAAGGATTCTTTTCATTAACATGCTTGATTTTTTAAAGCATATTTGATTTTTGCTCAGCATAATTACCTTCTGCTGCTGAAATTGAAGCTGCCACTTTGGTGCATTTTAATGCTCGCTCAGACCTAAACTTTTCATGTGAATATTTGGACCATGAGCTTATTTGCTGACATGCCTATTTTAAATGACTGCATCATCTCCCTGTGTGCTCTCTCTTAGCGCCACAGAGTGATCTTCTTCTCCTTTTTTAATTGATATTTTGTAAAGATTGGAAACTTTTTATATCAAACTTATAAAAAAGGCTGCAAATACAGGACAAAGATTTTTTTTTCTCCTGAATTAGAGAGTAAGTTGTCAATCCGATACCTCATCACCCCCGATACATTATTATGTATTTCCTACATATAAGAACATGCCCTGCCCAACCACAGTACGACCAATCCTTCCAAGCAGGAAATTAGCATTGATACATTACTCCCATCCAAGCTTCAAGCCTCATTTCAAGTTTCACCAGTTACTCCAGTAACATCCTTTATAGGAAACGGATTAGCTCAGAATCATATGTCACATTAAATTGTTGTGTATCTCCCGTCCCCTCAATCTGGAACAGTTCCTCAGCCTTTCCTGAACTTTTATGACCTGGACACTCTTGAAGATTACAGGCCAATTATTTTGTAAAATGTCTGTCAGTTTGGATTTGTCTGATACTGCCTCATGATTAAATTCAGGTTATGTATCTTGGGGGAAATATCACAGAAGGGATGCTTCCGTCGCCACTGCATCACAGTAGATGTCACATGATTTTGGGATGTCCCATTTATGAGGATAACTTTGATTTCTTGATTAAGGTAGTGTCTTCCAGGTTTTTCCACTATAAAGTCACAATTTTTCCTTTGGAATTAGTAAGTGTTTTATAGGGTGGTAATTCAAAACTAGAAATATCATTTTTTTTTTACAAATTTCTTTTTATTTATTTCTTAATGGACTCATGGCTTCTTATTTTATTCAGTGGATTTTAATCCTTTTTTTTCATTATTTTGGTGCTAAGGTTGTCCCCAGTTTGGCCAGTGAGTCCCCTTCAAGCTGGTTTTGGTGTCCTTTTGATTGTTTCTATTATTCTTCGAGCACTTCGACGTTTTCTGACACAAGATGTTTTAGGCTTATCTTGAACTCTCCTTGCCCCAGACGTTGAATCAGTCATTTCTCTAAAGAGCTGTGGCTCTTTTTATGTGGCCAGGGCTAGGTGTGTTCATTGCTATTAGGATGTCATTGCTCCCAGGCCCTCTCAGTGGACAGAGCTAAGGAAAGTCTGTTTGTATATTTATGAACACAGATGTCTATATGTTGAAGTTGAGTAAACTACAGAGATGAATTTCTATATTTAAAATGTTTTATTTGGGAAGAAAGAATTATAGTTGGGGTATACACTATAGTTGGGGTATGCACACAGACTGGGTGGTCTTTGTTATGTGTGAAGAACAAAGAGAAGGTTGGAGGTTTCATAAGAAGGAGGAAAGTTAGGTATTGCTTTAAAAGAAAGTTTTTTGGCACTAGTAAAGTTTTGGGGAACTGGCAAGCCCTGATTGGTGAGTGATGGCAGAGGGTAGAACTAGTCTTAGAGTTGGAGGAGGTGGTTTCAGTAGCCATTAAATAAAACTGGTTGCAGGTTATGGCACGTGGCTTCAGCAGCCAGGCTTTCAGAGATTAATATGCTTGGAGCAATGTTGTGTTCCCTGAGTACTTTGTCCTCCTGGCTTCTTGACTCTGTCTTAGTTGGTTATGACAAGAATGACCCAGTTTATGTGATTAACTTTCACATTTCCCCCTTTTGATCAAAACCTGTTTCTGAAAGTATTGGTGACAAACTATTTTGAAGTTAGGTTAATTGTCCCTTGATAGTAGGACCTATCCTAGTTGTCTCTGTCCTACAATAGGGGGAAGGTATGGGGGTCTATATCAGGGATCTGGGCCATATCTGAGTAACAAAGAGGCCAGAAGGAAAATTTTTCTCAGATTTGTTTGGAATCCAGCATCAAATTCCTGCTTGTCAGTTTCATAGGCATCGGCAGTCATCTCCAGGTGTTGAGCCAACATTATTCTATTAGGAGAGTCGACTTTACAAATATTAGACAGGAAATGAGAACAATGTGTAGAAATCATAATGCAAAAAATAATTAGCAACAATGTAATAAATCTAGTTTGAATAATAATTCAAAACCTCAAACCTAATTTTGAAGGTAATCAACTAAAGAAACCTGAAGACCATGGGAGAAACTTGGTGAAACCTGTCGTAGCCATTGAGTAGCGTTTTATGACTGTGTTGAATTTATTTTTTTATTTTTAATTGATGCATGCTACATGTACGTAGTTTGTAGCACATGTGATAATTTAATAGATTGATATAATTTGTAAAGATCAAAATTAGTCTACTGGAGATATCCATCGCTTTAAATATGTCTTCATGCTTAGAAATATTTGAATTATTCTCTTCTAGCTATGTTAGTGGTGTTGGTGTTGAATTGCTTGAGCTCCTTACATATTTGTCAGATGGATAGTTTGAAAATGTTTTCCCCCATTCTGTGGGTTGTCTCTTCACTTTGTTGATGGTTCCTTTCGCTGTACAGAAAGTTTTTAGCTTGGTATAATCCCATTTGTCTATTTTTGATTTGGTTGTCTGTGCTTTTGAGGTCTTACAAAGAAAATCTTTGCCCAGACTAATGTTCTGGAGCATTTCTTCAATGTTTTCTTCTAGTAGCTTCATAGTTTCAGGTCTTAGATTTTTGTCTTTAATCCATTTTGATTTGATTTCTGTGTATGGTGAGAGATACGGGTCCAGTTTCATTCCTCTGCATATGGATATCCAGTTTCCCCAGCACCATTTATTGAAGCGAATGTCCTTTCCCCATTGTATGTTCTTGGTGCATTTTGTTGAAGATAAGTTGGCTATAAGTGCATGGATTTATACCTGGGTTCTCTGTTGTGTTCCATCAGTCTGTGTGTCTGTTTCTATGCCAGTACCATGCTGATTTGGTTACTATAGTTTTATAGTAAATTTTGAAGTCAGGTAGTGAGATGCCTCCAGCTTTGCTCTTTTTGCTCAGGATTGCTTTGGCTGTTTGGGGTCTTTTGTGGTTGACTGGGTTGAATTAAAGCGAACAATGACAACTCTACTAAAGGGATCAGCAGTACAATTTGAATACACAGTCATGTCAGGGATATTGTCAAGGTTGCCAACTAGATGAACTGAAAGGATTTCTTAGGCTGGAGTTTGTCAAGTTACCTATAGCATTTACTAATTGGGAAATTTTAATTGCAGCATTATTTTGTCAAGTCAGAAAGGTAGAAAAAGGGGCGAGATTCCATGTGGTAGGGAGCCTTGTTCCCGTATCTTGAGAAAAGCTGTCTACAACGTGAAAAATGTCAGTTTCTCATCCTGGTTTGCAATTTGAATGTCTCTAGTTACAGCTTTGGGCAGTTTGGTGAACTTTCTGTGTGGCCTCTACATCAGGCACAAGACTTGTTCCTTAAAATTTATTTAGTTTAAGTTTATATAGGGCTTCAGAATACAGCAGTACCTGTTTTAGTAATTTTATATTAGAAAGTTGGATGGGATGAACCTAGAACTTAGGATCTAGTCTAGACCATAGGTAGATAATAAGAACTTGCAGCTCGCTGGGCATGGTGGCTCACTCCTGTAATCCTAGTAGTTTGGGAGGCCGAGACGGGTGGATCACCTGAGGTCAGGAGTTCGAGACAAGCCTGGCCAACATGATGAAACCCTGTCTCTACTAAAAATACAAAAATTAGCTGGGCATGGTGGTGTATGCCTGTAGTCCCAGCTAATTGGGAGGCTGAGGCAGGAGAATTGGTTGAACCTGGGAGGTTGAGGTTGCAATGAGCTGAGATGGCACCACTGCTCTCCAACCTGGGTGATAGAGCGAGACTCTGTCTCAAAAAATTAAAAAAAAAAAATAAAAGAATTCCAGTCAGTTCACTTGTAAAATTAAAGTCATTCATGTAGCCATAGTGATAATCAAAAAGCTGTGAAAAGCAATACAGAGAATTAAATGGAAAACATCCTTAATTCTTTTAAAGCTTAGTTTTTGTTTTGTTTAGTTTTTAAGTAATCAAAAACCTAATAAAGGCAACACAGGAAATTATATTGATAAACTATACACTCTGTTTCTTAGGCAAGCTACCAAAAAGGTAAAAAAAAAAAAAAACCCTTCTGCAGTCTGATTGTTCCTTTTTATAGGAAGCTCATTTAGGTAACCTGGAAGTAGGCTGGGCACGGCACCTCATGCCTGTAACCCAGGCACTTTGGGAGATCCAGGTGGTAGGATCGTTTGAGCCCAGGAGATCAGCCTGGGCAACCTAGTGAGACCTTGTCTCTACAAGAAATAAACAAAATTAGCCGGGTGTGGTGACACGTGTCTGTGGTCCCAGCCACTCAGGAGGCTGAGGCCAGAGGATTCCTTGAGCTCAAGAGGTTGAAGCTGTGAGTTATGATCACACCATTGCACTCAAGCCTAGGCAACAGAGCAAGTCCCTGTCTCAAACAAACAAAAACAAAAAACAAAGAAACAAAAAGATAACCTGGAAGTGAAATCTGATGAAAGGTTACTTGATCAGATACAGGAAAAATGTGTCCAAGGTTATGTATGTAGCAATTCATGAGGACAGAATCAAGTTATACTGCATGAAAACATTGCTTTTCCAAGCCTTCAAGATAAACATTTCACTGTCAGGCCATAACAGCTGAGTTAGAATTGTACTGACAAGTTACAGGATCTGAAAAAAAAAAGTTGAAGTAGAGAGTTGTCATCCCAGTCCTTCTCAAGGGGAGAACAAGCTGAAGGCAGTGATGTCTGACCTATAAATCACATGCAGGGAGATACAGCAAAGATTAACCTCTGAGACAGGAATCTGAGAAATTTTAAAAGGAAAACTTTACCTAAAGAAATCAAATTACCATTTTAAATGAAGAGGACAACATTTTAAACTTGAAACTAGGGAAACTAAAAGGATCTCATGAAGAAAAGTGTTAGGAATAGGAATTGCGCAGTTTAGAAGATGGCTGTTAAACAGATTTTATAAATAAAAATCAAAACCTGTTGTAATTTTTTAAAGAGCAGATCAATATTTCAAAAAAACCTTGTTGTTTTAAATATAGAGGACTAGACTCTGGTCCTGTATCAGTGCACCCCTCACACTAACATTTAATTTTTAGAAATTTTAGAAAAACAAGCAAATTTTTCCCAATCTCTTTAAACCCAGTCACACATAAAATGTCCTTCCTAAGACCCATTCTTTATAAATCTTTTTAAACTTGTTTAGACCTTTATCATTTTCCCCAATCCTCAGTCTCAGTCCTACAATTTTTCTCTTTTTAAAAAAACTTTGGGACAACCAATCATTTTATCTTAGGACAACAACTTACTATATAAGATTCTTTCTCATACAAATTTTTTTCTTTAAATTTATATTTTGATTATTAGACCTAAGTATATTTGGTCTTTTTATAAAATTTAAGGACGCAAGAAGGGACTTATATTTATTCAGCAATTTGTTTCAGTTTTTATCTTATTTGGATACGACCCAGAAACTTAATGATTTATTATTTAACAATAATATAAATTTAATATTTTAAATTATATGAAAATTTCATTTGTAAACTTTATTCCATTTACCATTACCTAACATTTATTTTTAAAATTACTATACCTGGATTACTTATGAAAAGTGAGATATTAGAGCTAGTTATTATTTCAAGTTTTTTTTTATTAACCAATTTTACATCCTGTTAATACCAGGTATTTACCTAAGTAAACCTTAAAGTTAAATACATGGGTATCTTAATGATAACTCAGAAGACAACTGTTTTTATTAAATCAATAACATTAAATTGATCTTATTTATCAACGAATTGCATAAACAAGATCATTTTGTTTTAGGCTGGGTTCATAGGTTCATGACCTTAAAACATTTAGCAGATGTTTACTGTCTGACCAGTAAGCTCAGGCAAAAATATATGTTGACAATTTTGAAGATATTTCTAATTTACCAAAAGTTTAAAAACCAATTAATTTATCAAAGATTTACTTAAGTCATGTGAACTAAAAATAAACATTTGGGTTAGTTAGCATATATTTTATATGAGCACTCATTTATTTAAATCAATTGGAATAAAATTTCTTAAGGGATTTCTTGATGACTATGCCAGATTTTATTATGTTGACACAACATACAACATAATACATTTACATATGTATAAACACATTCTAAACACATATACATACACAGAGAGATTGTATAGCTTTTACTTTAGAATTTCAGTTATGAGATTATAAAACATGTACACTCACCAGTTTATAATATAAAGACAGTTGGATCCAGATTATTTTTCTGACAAAATGGGATAGGGTCAAACTTTAAGATTTCTCTTTTATTTTGTTGAGACAGAGTCTCGTTTTGTCACCCAGGCTGGAGTGCAGCGATGTGACTACAGCTCACTGTAGCCTTGACCTTCTGGGCTCAAGTGATCCTCCTCCCTCAGCCTCCTGAGTAGCTGGGACCTCAGGCATGTAGCTACCATACCTGGCTAATTTCTAAATTTTTATAGAGACAGGGTCTCATTATGTTGCTCAGGGTAAGATTTATTTAAATAGGTAATCTTATAAAGGCTGTGAACCAAATTTTGGATAAAGCAGTTTGAATCCGATACCAATATCCTGTATTGGCAAAAGGATAGTCAACTGTGAAATGTGACTAAATGATATCAGGAGGCCCACAAGCTAAGAGTTAGCCTACCAAGGTCTGCATAGTATTTTCTTGGTCTTGACTCTTTGTCCTTGAAGATAAGAATGTTGCTATTCCTTTTAGTGTAGAGAGGGTGTTATTTACATGGGAGTTTCACGTTTTGCTTTTAAGAAACAGCACAGCGATCAAAATGATTTTCTTCTCTATCTGCTGGCTTTTAAGTGTCTTGCTTGTATAGTATGCCAGAATAGCTGAGGAGTTTTGGAAAAAGGGAATTTAGTTTAGAGAAGGAGAAAGAGGAGAAATTTTAGGATTTTAGGAAGGGAAGGGAAAGCATCAGAGAAGAAAGAGCCTTAAGACAGTCTTTTGTAGTGAGGCAGTCTTTGAGTCTTTTTTCTTTTTTTTCTGGAGCCTCGTGTATCAATTGAGGTGTGAGTCTTATTTGGAGTGTATAATTTTATAGCTGTGGTCTTTTAGTTTAAAGAAAAACAGCCTGTTTAAATGATCCCTATAATGTTTAAGCATGCTATCAGCTGGAGTCCTAGAAAATATCTTGGCATGCCTTTCAACTTTGAAAGCCCATTTGTAACTAAATTTATCTAGGTGATTCAGTTTAATGCCAAATACACAAAAGCCAATTAAAATGCAAGCACTGACTACACAAAAGTCAAATTAATATGCAGGCGCCTATGGAAAAGAAAATACAGACTTACCAAGAAGGACCATAAGCTGCCTTATCCAACTGAAGGGGAAAAGTTCCTTCACTGAAGCCTCAATCTGAGGGCTGAAAAATTCCTTCATTCAGCTCTCTGATGAAAAGAACCCTTGTGAACAGAGCTCCCAACCAGAGGTGGAAAGACCCCTCTCAAATAGGAGGGGGAAGACCCCTTCACAGCCGACTCCCAGATGAAACAGAGCGACAATCAGGAGTTCAGCCTAAGAGAGACTCAGTGTGGGTGGGGAGAGAGAGGTGACCTGGAGGGAAACAGTTGTGGGTGGGTCCCTTACTTTGTGATTCCAAAGCTGGTGATTCTTGCTAGTGTGAGTCAGCTTTGGAACCTTGCTTCTGACATCAGGTATGGTGAAATGAAATAAAATATGGAGATTTAAAATGTTTCCTTTTAAAACGTTTTATTTGGGAAGCGAGAATTGCAGTTTGGGGCATACACACAGACCAGCTGGTGTTTGGTATGTCTGAAGAACAAAGAGAACCTTAGAGGTTTTATTTTTTTATTATTTTTTAAATTATTATTATTATTATTACTATTATTATTTTTGAGATGGAGTCTCACTCTGTCGCCCAGGCGAGTGCAGTGGCGTGATCTCGGCTCACTGCAACCTCTGCCTCCTGGGTTCAAGCGATTCTTCCGCCTCAGCCTCCTGAGTAGCTGGGATTACAGGTGCATGCCACCATGCCCAGCTAATTCTTGTATTTTTAGTAGAGATGGGGTTTCACCATATTGGCAGTGCTGATCTCAAACTCCAGACCTCAAGTCATCTGCCCTCCTTGGCCTCCCAAAGTGCTGGGATTACAGGTGTGAGCCACCGTGCCTGGCTGGAGGTTTTATAAGAAGGGGAAATGTTAGGTATTGTTTTGAAAGAAAGTTCAGGCCGGGCATGGTGGCTCACGCCTTTAATCCCAGCACTTTGGGAGGCCGAGGCGGGCGGATCACGAGGTCAAGAAATTGAGACCAGCATGGCCAACATGGTGAAACTCCGTCTCTACTAGAAATACAAAAATTAGCTGGGCGTGGTGGCACGCACCTGTGATCCCAGCTACTGGGGAGGCTGAGGCAGAAGAATCGCTTGAACCCGGGAGGCGGAGGTTGCAGTGAGCCGAGATTGCACCACTGCACTCCAGCCTGGTGACAGAGTGAGACTCGTCTTAGGAAAATAATAATAATAATAATAATAATAATAATAATAATATATCTTTTAAAAAAGTTCATTGGTCCTAGTAAAGTTTTGGGGAGCTGGCAAGCTCTGATTGGTGAAAGACAGGGTGGGTCAAACTAGTCTTAGAGTCACAGCAGCTTGCTTCAGTATCCATCAGGTAAAACTGGCCTCAGGTTGCAGCAGGTGACTTCAGCAGCAGGGCTTGCAGGGAATTACATCTTTGGAGCAATGGTATGTGCCCTGGGTGCTTTTTCCCTGACTTCTTGGCTCTGTTTTAGTTGGAAATGACAAGAATGGCCCAATTTATATGATGACTTTCACATATACTTACAAATTGCTATACACACACACACACACACTTTATAGCACTATTTTAATATAGGTGCATCTCTATATATTGAAATCTCACATGGAAATCGGAATTAACAGTGATACCTCCAATTCCAGTCCCATCCCACAGGATTCATTCTAGTAACAGTTCTCCCTCTTTGTATATTTGAATCCCAGTCTTTGCCAGTGAGAAACGTGGCTCTGTTCCCCTTAGTTGTATAGTTGCTTATTTGTTCAGTGCCCCCACCATCCTTCAGTGCTGCCACCAACCCCTCCCTGGCATCCATGGCCACCTCATCCCACGTGGGCTCCACCATCCGGCTGCCTCCCTGTGGATGTCATCTTCAAGCTCCTTTGCTCCAAGAGCTGGCAGAGGCCACCCCTCTGCGGACGCCTCCTCGCCCTGAGTGGGCGTTAATACCGCACCAGGCTGCCCCGCAGAAGCCGTCCTCTCGACGCCCTCCGGAAACTGGACTCCCCTCGCTGGGTCAGCCTCCAGGTGGGTGCCCTCAACGCCTTGTTTAGGGTTCATTCCCGCCCCCGCCCATGCCAGGCTGCCCTGCCAGGCTCTGAGGCCTGTGCCTACTCCCCAACTTGTGGATGTTTTCCCTCCCCGTTCCGGGCTCCGACTGCCCACGCTGGGCGGCCCCTGTGCAGATGCCCTCCTACCAGTTTGGGCTCCTCCAGCGGGCTCGAGGCCAAGGTCGCTCTAGCTGCCTCCACCCATGTCCTCCCACCTTGCTCTGTTGCACAGAGTGGCTTCAGCATGGGATCATAGAATTGCTCAGGAGGGAAAGAGAAGGGAAAGGAGAAGGCCGAGAGGATGAGGCAGAATAGGATACTGCCCTGAAGAAGGGCACAGATGACATGGAGGAGAGCCTGATGTGGAAGAAAAGCGACCGGGGGCTTGGGAACAGCCTGCGTGCGCAGCCGGCCAGTGCGTCCCCTCCAAGGTGGCGGCGCTGCGGCGGTGTGGGAGCCAGCGAGGGAGCTGAGTGCCTGCCTCCCGCCTCGCCCGGCTGAGCTGAGCTGCGGGCCCTTTCCTCCTCCCGGCCCTTTTGCTTGGCCTCGTCTTTGGCTTCGACTTTCCCAGGAGGGACAGCCATGTGATGGTCGTGTTTTGAGTCTCGACGCCCGGGTGGGTCTGACATGTGGGCTCCGTGAGAGCCCCTGTGGATTTCCCTCTGCAGCAGGAAGGAGATAGGAATTGGTGATGTGGCTTTGCTGTTTTGCTAAATTGCTGTTATTTCAGCGTGTAAGCACGGAGCTGTATTTGTATGGTAGCTCACTTTGTAGAATAGACTAATTCCTTAAAAATTCACTTGGAAATGAATGTTCACTCCTGGAATCTTATTTTTCTCCTGACTTCGTATGCATAATTGAATGATACCAAACAACAACAACAAAGATTTTCCCCTAAGACAGCATCTAACTCACAATTAAAGCATTATAGTGCAATACACAGAAATTTCCCTAATGTTTAGGCCAGTGCGTGGCTGCCGGCCACATACGTAGAGAATGATCGCCCAGACTTTGGTTATTTAGCTGTGGTTTTGTCTTTTAGAAATCTTACCTTTTAGAAATCTGAACTTTTAGTTATTCCTTCTGAAGAGTGACTTCTTTTTATATTTGAAAGGAAGTGTAGAGTGTGTGTGCTTAGAATCAAACAGACCTTGTCTGAATTTTGGTTTTGCCACTTAATTGGCATGTTGTGGCTTTCAACAAGTGATTATACTTAGCTTTTCCAAGCCTCAATTCTCTTGCTTGTGAAATGGGAGTAATAGATAATATATCTTACCCCATAAAATTGTCAAGATTAAATGAGAAAATGTTTGTAATGTGTTTGACTCTAGGGAGATACTAATAAATGGTATTTTTTGGAACAGCTTAAATAGGGAATTTATTCATTTTTAAAATAACTTTGAGGCTCTTTTTGGTGTAGATGCTCATATTTTGCTTAGGAGGTTCCTATAGGACTGTTTTTAAAACTATTTAGAGAATTAAATAGTTTTAATTAAATTAAATAATATTTCCTTTAGTATTTTTATCCTGCTTAGGAAAGAACTTATTTTTCTTTGAGGAGTAGTCAGAGTTGAAGTCTAAACCTTTAAAAACTCATTTGGTTTTTCTTTTCTTACATAACCAGAAATAGTACAATATGTTTCTCACAAGCCTTTCCTGAAGCCTCTTTGGGATGTAGCTATGTGTAGAAAATAACTTTTTCAAAAAGCACTTTAAGTGAAAATAGATTTTTGCCAATAGTTTGTGACTGTCCTGATGAAAGTGAAGAGCATGGGAAAATGACAGAGGCATGTGCTTGGCCTTTAGTAAGTTGAACAGATTTAACAGATATATAGGATTATAAAAATATACAAACTTTCAGAAAGCATGAGAAATGTGTTAATTATTTTGGGATGAAAGGGCTCTTACATGCTGGATTTAACGTCACTCTCATCTTAGGAAAGCCTGTACCTGTGGGTCTTGGAGAGGAGGCGTTGCTCCCAAGATCAGTGAATGCACTGCCCATCAGCAGCACAAGCCAGGACCTCAGGGGCTGCCTGGAGGTTCAAGGGACCTTTTTCTTTTTTTACTTCCCTTGGGCAATCTGACAAGGGAGGCTGTTGCTTCTGTTTCTGGAACATTTCTCATCTGTCCACTTATTTTCGTCTTCCCTGTGCCACTTGAGTCCAAGCTGTCACCCCGTGCTTGGACTTCGCAGTTGATCTCCCCAGGCCTGCTCTTGGTACTCCCTAATCCAGGTGCACAATGCCAGCTGCATTGTTCTTTTCAGTACATGAGCCTGATCCTGTCCACCTGCCTACCTTTCCTTTGCTTAAAACCTTTCCAGTGCTTCCCATTGCCTGTAGGATAGGATGTGGGCGAAATTCTTACTAAGGCCTCCAAGCTCTGAAGCATCTTGCCCTTTCCGGTCTCCCGAGCCTCGTCTCCTGCAATGTGCCCCTTCTTTCCTCCTGCTCCCACAGTGCTGGCCTTATTTGAGGTCCTGCCGTGGAACCCTTGTACCTGCCATCCTTTCTGCCTGAAATGTCCCTCCTCTCCCTCTCCAAGTCCTTCCTTTGCCTAATTATAGGTACATGTGTTGCTAAAAGCTCTGGCTTCCATGCCACTTGTCAGGGAAGCTTTTCCTGATTTCTCAGACAAGTCTTGGGCTCCTATTCTGTGCTCTCATGGCCTTGTATTCTGTAAAAGCACTTACTTAGTATGGTTTGCAATTATATCAGATTATTTGATCCCTCTCCAGTAGATTTTAAAGCTCGTGAGGGAAGTGTGATGGACAATTTTGTTTCCTTTTGTGCCCATAGAGCCTAGTACACAGTAGGTCCTCCATGAGTATTGGTTTAATTAGTAACTAGAGAGAACAGTTGATGAGGCTGAAAGTTGGTTTAGACTCATGGAGAAGCACTTTGTTTGCTGTGCTCAGCTGGTTGGACGCTATCCCATAGTTAATAAAAGGACTTTGAAGCTTTCAGCAGGAATGTGATAGCGTCTCTTGTGGAGAGACAGCTCTGTATTGGTAATAGATAACCCAGAATGAATCTGTCCGGGTGATAATGGATTTTCAAGTAGAAATGTATTTGTTCCCCAAATAAGCATCAAGTTATCTAAAGCCAGTTTTTAAAAGTTTATGATACTAATATTTTAATTTTGCTATATGTTGATAACTACATTACCATGGTTTGCTATTTTCCTAGCACTTCTATTTACCTGTAGTTGTCTTCATTGTGCTTAGGATTTTAGGAGAAAATATTTGTAATTTTTCTCAGCTAGTTGTTGTCGTAATTAATTTTTTATAATAGCAAATCTGAATTAAGTAGGTCAGGATTTAATTTCACAAGAAAATTCTATTTTGTTTATGATTTTTAAAACACAGAAAGGATGCTTGAGAACTGAAACCAGTTATTCAAATCAGTGGCACATTTATGGCTTATTAGGGTAATTGGTCCATGAAATAAGACATTACTGCCACAAGTAAACCTTGGGGGAAATCATCCTTTTTATGTTTAAAATGGTTACCTGATTTGTTAAATATATTTCAGCCCTGACAATTTATGACAGTATTTAAAACTATTTTGGAGAATTAACACCATAAGCTTTATGTACAAAAACAGTAGGATAGTGAAGGCTTCTTTGGTGCCGTCTATGTATGTATCATTAATTATTTCCCTGAACATCAGCTCAAAGAGAGGAAAATGTTAGCTATGGATGCTTTGTTTTGTATTTCATACAGTGAACCTGAGTTCAAATCAGAGAATACAGTACCTACCATGTGACAACTATTATGTTAAACTAATTTATTCTTTATGCATTACTTTTTATTTTTCAGGCAGATTAAATATGACTATTTTGTCAATTTTCCCAGTTACTGAGCATTTGGAAACTTTTTGGTGGTGAGTTTGAACAGTTTACTAAATATCAGCAGTGATTATTCCTGATGTACATTCTGTATTAATTTCCTCTTCCTGCCATCAACACAGACATAGCGGCTCAAGCAGTAGAAATTTATTATCTTACAGTTCTGTAGGTTAGAAGTGTGATGTGGGTCTCTGTGGGCCAGAGTCAAGGTGTGAGGAGGGCTGCTTCCTTCTGAAGGCTCAAGGGGAGGATCTGTTTCCTTTTCTTTTCCAGCTTTTGCATTCCTTGGCTCATGGCCCCTTCCTCCATCTTCAAAACTAGCAAGGTCGGATCTCTCTTGTGCTCCTGTTGTGGTCACTTTTTCCTCTGGCCACAGCTGGGAAAGCTCTTCCACTGAGGACTCCTGTGATTACACTGGGGCCACTGGGATAATCCAAGACACTCTCTCCATCTCAAGGACCTTAGCTTAACCACCTCTGCAAAATTATTTTGCCATGTCAGATAATGAATTCACAGTTTCTAAGGATAAGGATGTGGACATCTTTGGAAGGCCGTTATCCTACCTATCACACATTTGAAGCTACAGAACAATCACTTTAGGTTTCCTTGAAGGAAATGGGAATTACTTGTATCTGTTGCTAAGGGAACAGTACTATTATGCAGCTCTGTTAGCACACAGTTTAGGGCTTTCAGTCATTAGGTCTAACAGCTATTGCACTTTCTGGTTACATTGACACAACATTGTAATTCAAGTCAGGGCAAAGGGACTCTCATTCCAAAAGAGTCATAAAAAGCTCAGTGGGGAAAATGCCCCTGTGAACTAATAGAACTCTTCACTGGCTGCTTCGAATGCACTTTCCAGGGATTTCATTTTATGAAACTGTTTTAGATGATTTTACATTAGATTTTTCTTTTAAACAGTGCTAATTTAACTTTCAACTAATAAAAATACCCTCCTTTTACCTCAAGTGATCTGCTAGTGAACTGAAATTCAGTGTTCCTTTACGGATTTTAAATTTACATTCATTGAGAATGACTAGTGTTTTGAAAGGTTAGCGAGCTGTGGAGTTGAGATATGATTTTGAAAAGAATTTATTTGAAACATTTTTACTGTCAAGGGAAAAAATAATCTTGAATAATATTTTAAGTGTGTCCATTAATTGAAGCCCACCAGGGGATGTCTTGAATAGAGGAAAATCTAAATTCTGACTCACAGAGTCAAATTAATGAAAGTAGCAGTAATAACCGGAGCTATATTATATTTAATCTATTACATTCGGTGGCTCTAGGATATATAGAGGAAAAAGGTCAAGGGAAATATGTAGTTAAGTACTTTATGAAGTGAATACTGCCATCTCATATAGGTGGTTGTTAATCTGATGACTTACAGGGTGGTATTCATGAGGGATTATCTTAATATTAACCTCCTAATTATATGGAGTATATTTTATGGAGTCTCAGTGATGCAAATTACATTCATAGACCTTCCTTCCCCACATCTACTACATGGCAAGGGAGAAATCAGTTAACAGTGGGAAATCTGCACACAGATGTGCTCTTTACTGCAGACTTCACCATCACATGAATATCCCAGTAAGAAATCTGAGATCTCTTTGTTCTTGATTCCTCTCTAGTGACAGGACTGGGCCCATTCAGGAATTCTGTTCAGCATTCAGTCCTGCTGTTAAAGTGATCCTCCATCTGTTTGGCAGTTTCTTCTTGTCTTCATCCCTGTGTCCACATTCACCCATCTGACGTTCAAGTGAGGTGTTGACTATTTCCTCTCCTTCTCCTTCCCCTCTCTTTCCCCCTCCTCTTCTCCTCACTCTTCTCTTGTTCTTTACTTGTAATCTGACATATCAGTCTGTCCTAGCTTTTATGTCTCAATGCTTTTTGTTTTATCAATTCTTCACTCTCTGCCTTCCATTTACATGTTGGGATTCCCTTGTGTTTCAACTATGTTTTCTTCTCATTTTGCACTTTTTCTCTGGGTGACTTTTGTTATCATCTTGTTTCTATTCTGGTTATGCTACTTAGCTGCAGATTTAAGTCTCAACTCTATGCTGAAAGTGAATTCCACTTGGCTGTCCTTCATCCTTATCAAATCACCGCCCCTGCCCCCAATTTTTTCTCTACGTTCCTGGTCACTTTTAACCCTGTCACTGTTTACCCATTCTTGTAGGCCAGAAACCAGTATGTTCCATATGATCTTAAGTTTAATTACTAAACAAGAAGGGGAAAACCAAAGATGTGGAAGAAGTTTTTTTTTTTTTTAAGTAAAAGCGAGAAAGAATAATACATATATCCCTATAGAAATTAATTTGAACACCTGGAAGGACCAGGTGATTTCCTAGCAAACTAAAGATTATCACAGGGCACTCAGGAAAAGGTTGAACATTTGAATAGACCAGTAGAAGACATTGATAAGTGAGGGCCAGAGGGGCTCACAGCAGCACTGATCTTTATCTTTAAAAGAACAGATAATTCCAATGATAGTCAAACTCTTCCAGGTCACAGAAAAAGGTGAAAGTTTCTTTGTAAAGCCAAGAAATGAAACCCGAGGAAGATAGTACAAAAAGCAAAACTAGACTATAGATGCATATCACATATAAATACAAATATGAAATTCTAGATAGATATTGGCAAATATAATCCAGCAATATATTAGAAGAATGATATCCTGGTATATTACTAAGGAGGTATAATGATGAGTAATGTAAAATTCAGTGATAACACAGGGTTCAATTTTATAAAATCTGCCAACATAATATATACAGCCATAAATTAAACTACATGACTCGCCATGTAATGATCTCTAGATACTAAAATGGCTTTCGATAAAATTTAACTTCCATTCTTTGCAAAGCAACTTATGTAAAATAGGATTGAATATAATAAAAATTATTTACCATAATGTAACAGCAAATATATAGCAAAACATTAAAACCCTTCAATTCAATTCAGGAAACAGCCGGGGATACCACTATCATCATTAATATTCATTATTGTCTTGGAATTTTTAGCAAATGAAATAAGCAAGAAAATTAAATGAGCACTACAAACTTTGGAAAGAAGAGATTAAAAAATACATATATATGTGTTTATATATACATAGATATGTATTTGTATATATGTATACATGTATATATAAACACATAGGTATGGTTCCTCCACTTAGCTGCATATTTACAGATGATAAGACACATATTTACACATGATAAGATTTTATACCTAGAAAACCCAGGAGAATCTAATGATAAACTATTGGAATTAATACAAGAATGTTGAAGTGGTGGGATATAAGATAAATACAAAAACTTATTATTACCTTTTCTGTATTTCAACCATCAGCACTTAGAAATTAAAAAAGGAAAAATATTCCATTCATAATAGCAATACAATATAAAATATTTAGAGTAAGTTGAATAAGACATGGGAAGGGCCTTATATGAAGAAAACTGAAAAATCCTACTGAAGGATAGAAATTACTATTTGAATAAATGGAAAGCTATACCACAAACATGACAGCTCTCCCACATTAATATTTATTTCACTTGTAAAACAGAATCTCAACTGGTTTTAATTTCAATTGAATAAAATATTTTTATGCCTAAATCCCCAACGTTCTGGTGGTATAGTAATAGAAACAGGAATCTGTGGAACAGGATAGAGAAACCAGAAGGAGATATGTGAGCATGTAATATACGAGAAAGATGGTAAATCAGCTCAGGAGGACACAGCATAGATTTTTTATTTAATTGGTTATGCTTGCCCAAGTGGCCTTTTTCCGTGTAAAAATAAATTTCAAATAGATTAAAGACTTAGAAAATGTTTTATAAGAATATTTTTTTATTATACTTTAAGTTTTAGGGTACATGTGCACATTGTGCAGGTTAGTTACATATGTATACATGTGCCATGCTGGTGCGCTGCACCCACTAACTCGTCATCTAGCATTAGGTATATCTCCCAATACTATCCCTCCCCCGTCCCCCCACCCCACAACAGTCCCCAGAGTGTGATGTTCCCCTTCCTTATGAGAATATTTTTAAGAGACATAATAAACACTCTAGGGTAAGGAAGAACTCAGTCAAGAGTGGAAACTTGTACTCTAGAAATGAAATTATAGACATGTAAAAATCATTTTTTATTTAATCTGAAAATTTTGTTATTTTACTCTCATTTTTGAAGGATGTTTTCATTGGATGTATAATTCTTACTTGACAGTTTTATGGCTTTCAGTGCTTTAAAGATGCAATTCCGTTCTTTTCTTGTCTTCCTTATTTCTCATAAGTCACCACATCGGAAATTTATAGAGCCGCTAACTGCTAGCATTTCCTATTTCTTTTCTTTGTCTTTATTTTTCTTCTTAACACTTACTGTTGTCTGACATGCCATGTATTTTACTTATTTGTCTTGTTTATTGTCTGTCTTCACCCACTAGAATTTATGATGGATACAGGTAGGGTTTTTTTTTTTTTTTTAATGCTTTGTTTTGTGCTGGACTATAAGCTCTGAGCACATAGTAAGCATTCAATTAATATTTTTGGAATGAAAAATGAGGACTGGATGAATACTGTCCTCATGACAATGCTGATTACTCTGTCCACTGTATTCTTAGCCCTTAGCTCATATGTTTGCAATTGGATTTTCCTTGTATGATAGTTATCTAGTTCCTCCACTAAGCTGCAAGCTCTTTAGGGGCAAGAACCATATCTTATCCTTATTTGAGTCATTGTCACCTAACACAGGGTCTGTCTCATAGAAGGTACTGTAAGCCAAAAGGTACTGGAGACAGGTCTCAATCAATTTAAAAATTATTTTGCCAAGGTTAAGGCTGCGCCCTCAGGAGGTCCTGATGACATGGGCCTGAGGTGGTCCAGGCACAGCTTCATTTTATACATTTTAGGGAGACATAAGACATCAGTCAATATATGTAAGATGTACCTTGGCTTGATCTGGAAAGGCGGGACACCTCGAAGCAGGGAGGGAGCTCCTAGGTCATAGGTAGGTAAGAGACAAATGGTTGCATTTCTCTGAGTTTCTAATTAGCCTTTCCAAAGGAAGCAATCAGATACACATTTATCTCAGTGAGCAGAGGGATGACTTTGAGTTCTGTCTGTCCTTTGTCCACGAGGAATTTCCTTGTGGACAAATTGTGAGGGAGGTATGTGGCTTTTTATCTTTGTAGCTATCTTATTTAGGAACAGAGTGGGAAGCAGGTTTGCCCTAAGCAGTTCCCAGCTTGACCTTTCCCTTTGGCTTAGTGATTGTGGGGTCCTGAGTTTTCTTTTCCTTTCACAGTACTTAATAAGTGTTGGCTGAACCAATGAGCACCTCGCTTGGATTTTTTTCCCTTTGTCTTGTCATACATGAATAAAACATTGATGATTTCCCTATTGATGCAATCTCATGATTGAGTATGGCTAAAAAACCTTGATAATTTCCCATTAATGCAATGTCGTGATTGAGTTTGCCACATGTGAAGGTACCATTTTAGTGCATGTTTCCACATGCACACCTGTGAGCCTCGTCCTCATCACAAACTGTCCTCCAGCCTTCTCCTGCTTACCTGCAGGCCTGCCTGCATCAGCACACATTCCCTGTTTTTTCAGTGGAAACGATCCCGAGGCAAACCCTCCCACTTGCCCCTGATGTCACCTCTTTCTCCAGCCTCACATCCCTACTTTTTCCTGCATCTTCAGTCAAGCACTGTAGTCAGCCTCAGGTAAAGGCCACTGATGTCTTTCTAGCTAACTGAATTCAGTTGTCTTTGTTCAGTCCTCATGCTGTTTTACTTTTTAAATCAAATTTGACAGTGAAGTTCTCTACTTGAAAGCATTTCCACCTGCATTCCTCCCGTTTCTCTGGCTGCCCCTTCTCACTATCCTTTATGGTTGTTTTTCCTCCACCCACATCTTAAATGCTGCAGGTCACTAGGCTCCTCCTCTTGGCCCTACCAACCCCATGCTACACACACTCCCTGGGATTTCCTCTGCTTTAGTACCCTGCACACTGATGGGCACTAGATCCATGGTTCTAGCCTTGAACTTTCTCCTGCAATGTCTCTAGAGGGTTCCTCCTAAGTCTCCTTTAGATGCCTTTGGATTTCAAAGATTCAGCGTCTCTGAAAATGTACTAAGCCCCCTCCTCTAGTTTTGTCTTGCATAGTGGCAGGCATAATCATAAATTCACTCTCCTAAGCTAGAAATGTCAGAGTCCTCTTTCTCATGTCATTGATTGTCCAGTTTTTTCACGTCTCATTCAGATGGCTCTCTGCATTCTTTCTGCTCCTGTCAATCCTCACAGCATGGGGAAAGGGAGAGCTATCTCAAATCGAGACCTCGTCATATCATGCCTGCGTGCGCCATGATCTCCTTCCTGATATTTCTATGATCAGTCTTCCTTTCTTATTCTATACCGTGATCCCTAAAATTGCCATCAGTAGTATCTTTTTTAAAAAAATCAAAACATCCACAAAAACAATAGGCAGGGAAGAGGAGAAACAAGTCCAAAACTTACTGTGACATTTCTTTGCTTAAAGCATCCACTGGCTTCACAGTACATATAGACTGAAGACTGAAATTCTAAGCATGGTGTTTAATCAGATGCTTTCTTTTGCAAGGAACAGAAATCACTCAAGCTTGCTCAAGTAATGGGCTGTAGTGCAAAAATGCATGTTTGGGGAGGATGGAGACTCATGGAAATTCAAGAACAGGGACTGTAGTCGGAATTCTGAGGCTATCCTGTCTGTAGGGCCACCTGCAACTGGAAACTGGCCCTCATAGGGAGCAATAGTTCTTAAAGTTAGCTGCATCAGAATCACCTGGAGGGCTTGTGGAAACAGATTGCTGGGCCCTACTCCCAGAGTTTTTGATTCAGCAGAGGCCCACATTTTCACTGATGCTCCCAAATTTTTACTTCTAGCAATTTTCTGGGTGACACTGATGCTGCTGGTTTGGGTATCACACTTTGAGAACCTTAATCTTTAAGGCATGTAACATGGTTTGGGAAACCTTTGATGAGCTCCTTCAGAATTATTTGTTCCTTTCCTTTTCAGGTTTCTTCACATTATAGTAGAACAATGATTCTCAAACTTTAACATGCATTGTAATCACCTGGAAGGATTGTTTTAGTGGATTGCTGGTCCCAATCACAGTTTCTGATTCATTAAATCTGAGGTGTGGTCCCCACATTTGCGTTTCTAACAAGTTTGCAGGGATGACCACACTTTGCACTGGATGAATAAACTGTTGAGTCACCAGATCTTCACTCCGAAGTTCCCTTCTTGATCATACCCTCACACCTCCCAGCTCTTCCCTCTCCTTCAATTCTGTGGAATCTTATAAAAAATCCTGTTTTGTATTTTAGCTTTTCCATTCTTTCTTGTTCTTTGTTGGTTGTCTTCTGACTTCCTTTGCCTCCCAGGCCAGTTGGGACTCTTCAGGCATTTTATCTCACATTCTCATGGCTTAGAGCCTCTCAGCCACTTGGCCATCTCCTCTTCAGCCCCCAGCTGTCCGCAAATGTAACCGCCTGCTCCCACTTCCGACTGTCATGAGCTGTTGGAGAAAGTCCCCTGGTGCTGGTCGCCTCCTCTGTAGAACCACCAGTTTAATGCAGTGGGGCTGTCAGAACTGTTCTGTATTCCTTATATTCAGTCCTAGTTGAATTTGCACAACTCTCCCTTTCCCCGTGCTCCTGAAGGCACCGCTCTGTAGAACCACCAGTTTAATGCAGTGGGGCTGTCAGAACTGTTCTGTATTCCTTATATTCAGTCCTAGTTGAATTTGCACAACTCTCCCTTTCCCCGTGCTCCTGAAGGCACCGCTCTGTAGAACCACCAGTTTAATGCAGTGGGGCTGTCAGAACTGTTCTGTATTCCTTATATTCAGTCCTAGTTGAATTTGCACAACTCTCCCTTTCCCCGTGCTCCTGAAGGCACCGCTCTGTAGAACCACCAGTTTAATGCAGTGGGGCTGTCAGAACTGTTCTGTATTCCTTATATTCAGTCCTAGTTGAATTTGCACAACTCTCCCTTTCCCCGTGCTCCTGAAGGCACCGCTCTGTAGAACCACCAGTTTAATGCAGTGGGGCTGTCAGAACTGTTCTGTATTCCTTATATTCAGTCCTAGTTGAATTTGCACAACTCTCCCTTTCCCCGTGCTCCTGAAGGCACCGCTCTGTAGAACCACCAGTTTAATGCAGTGGGGCTGTCAGAACTCTTCTGTATTCCTTATATTCAGTCCTAGTTGAATCTGCACAACTCCCCCTTTCCCCATGCTCCTGAAGGCACCACTCTGTAGAACCACCAGTTTAATGCAGTGGGGCTGTCAGAACTGTTCTGTATTCCTTATATTCAGTCCTAGTTGAATTTGCACAACTCTCCCTTTCCCCGTGCTCCTGAAGGCACCGCTCTGTAGAACCACCAGTTTAATGCAGTGGGGCTGTCAGAACTGTTCTGTATTCCTTATATTCAGTCCTAGTTGAATTTGCACAACTCCCCCTTTCCCCGTGCTCCTGAAGGCGCCGCTCTGTAGAACCACCAGTTTAATGCAGTGGGGCTGTCAGAACTCTTCTGTGTTCCTTATATTCAGTCCTAGTTGAATCTGCACAACTCCCCCTTTCCCCGTGCTCCTGAAGGCGCCGCTCTGTAGAACCACCAGTTTAATGCAGTGGGGCTGTCAGAACTGTTCTGTGTTCCTTATATTCAGTCCTAGTTGAATCTGCACAACTCCCCCTTTCCCCGTGCTCCTGAAGGCGTCGCTGTGACCTTTACTCTTAGCAGACGCCATCCTACCTCATGAAGGAGGTGAGGGTATTTGGTAGGGTGCCCTCCCATCTTCTTCCCTAGCAGCCTAAAACTCCTCTGCTTTTAACCTCATTCACCACCCGCCTTTTTATCTCAGGGTCCTCCCCCTACCTGTGTTCCCAATGCTACCTGTCTGTTCTGCTTCTCTCTCCCGTCGATTATCCCTCTTTTCTGAGAGGCTTCTTTTTTCCTCTCTCTCTGGGTGCATTTCCCTCAACGGAAGAACTGAGACGTCCCGTCTCCTGATACGCTTAACAGCAACAGTCAACGAAGACTTCCTTTCTCTTTTTCCCCGTCAAGAGCTTATGTCATCTGCCTCCCAGTTCATTTGCAAACTTCTCCAGGTGTTCCTTTCACGCTTTGACCTCTGCAGTCTGACTTTTGATCTCATCGCTCTGCTGAAATCTCTGCCTCTGCGGTCCCGGTGACACCCTGGCTGTCAGATCCAGCAGTGTCTCCCATCTGCATCTTACTTGGGCGAGCAGAGCCTTTAACGCTGCTGATCTCCCTGCCCCGTGAAAACCCTCTCCCAGGAGCCCCCAGGTCTCTGTCGCCTCCTTCCAACGCTGCCTCCCTCGTGCGCCTCCCCGACCTCACTCAGGTGCGAGGAAGCGCCTCCCCTGACCTCGGCTCTTCTTCCTCGGTGTCATCCCCATGGCTGCCTCTGTTTGAAGAGCTTTGCATTGCCTTTGCTAAGAATGTGTGTTTTTTACAGATTATTACGTACACTTATCGTAGATTATTCCGGATACCAAAAGTTTAACGTCTCGGAAAATGACTCACACTTTCCTCCGCGTTCTGCGCTGGTCCCTCCACCTTTTCGGCCCTGCCTGGTGCCCGGCAGCTTCGGGACTATTTTGCCTTCTCCCTTTGCCGCCCCACCCTGTGCCTGTTGATCGAATTTCTGCATTTTCTCTCAATTTCCTTTCTACCTTTCTTTTTTATTGTAAATTGACAACTTATAAATTGTGTTACTTTAGTGTGTACAAAGTGATACTATAATTTATAAATACAATGTGGAATAATTAAATAAAACTAGTTAACGCGCCATCACCTCAAATACTTAACATGTTTTTGCAGAGAGGACATTTGAAATTTACTTTCTTAGCAGTTTTGAAATGTACAATACTCTATTAACCACATTCACCATGGTGTGCAATAGAACTGAAAACCAAACAAAAACAAAAACAAACGAAAAACAAAACCAACCCCAAACCACTGCTGCGGTCTAACAGAGACTTTGTACCCTTCGACATTCATTTCACCGTTCCCCTCATGCCCCGCGGGCTCTGTAACCACAGAGGGCACTGCATGCCCCCCTTTGTTTAGGTCACACCCACACTGTCACTTGTTTGGACTATTGTGTTGCCATTCTCAGTCTCCACTGCCTGTCTCTCCATCCTTTTCATCCTTACCTAGTGCTGATTCATAGAGGAAGTTCTGCTGATATCACCTACCACTCGAAAGTCTCCAAGTGGTTCTCTAAACCATAAGATTAAAGACCAAACCTGCTAGGCCAACTTTGAGGAAGCTGCATGGTCTCACGTTTGCCCCTCCAGCCCCTGCAGTGCAGCCTACTGCTGAGTGGATCCCTGCAAACTTTGTGCTGAACCCTTCCCAGACTCTGGCATTTGCAGAAGCAGCTCTTTCTTTCCACTCTCCTGGCTTTGCCCATGCTGCTTCTCCCTGGATTGCTTGCCAAATTTCTCTTCGTCTCAAAGAGAATTGTCCTCCGGGGAGCTTTCTGTGTTCAGAGTAAATCCTCCTTCATTTTGATTCCAGACACATTGTTTGGGTTTCTTAACTGTGCATATTAGCACTTGTGTCTGCCTGTTTATTCGTCGAAACACTGAGTCCCACCATATGTCAGGTTATGGGTGATGTTTATCTGTCTACACGCCTGCCTCCCCAACTCGAGTAAATGCGGTGTGAGGGAGAAGTTGGATTCTCTCAGTACCTGCTTTGCCTGGGGAGACGAGCACTACATGAATTTAAATTCGGTAGTACTGAAATGAAAAGCAGCCTGACTGCGCACGTGAAAAATGTAGGGAGAGCATGGAAAGGGTCCCGTCACAGTGACCTGGCAGAGGGACTAAAATGTGAGTCTGCAGCTGTGGCCTAAGCGGGGTATTGTTCAGCAGTGATCAGTTGTTCAGATTGGGAAGATCGTATCATTTCCAGTTGGTACCACAAAAGAAGGCGCTATTTATAACAGTGTGGTTGGTTGCCACTGACAGTTGTTTCTCACATATTCTAAGGCATTTCCTGATGAAGTCACGTGCAGCATAACTTTTGAAATGAAATGGAAATATCACCATGAAGGGTTGTGTTTATGGCTAATGGAATTGGGAAAGGGCCACTCTTAAGATATACCTGGTTGTATCCTTAAGAATGACAGTTGATTCATTCTTTACCCCTGCCATTTGCATTTTGGGTTCATAAAATTACTGATAAGTACTGTGCAGTTTCCTAGAACTGGATGTTCTTGTGGCCAAATCTGTCAGCCTTTGTCTTGCTTCACGAATCTCATTGCCTTAACACATGGTCTTCGTTTTTTTCTTATGATTTGTATTTGTATATAAACATGTGCAGTTCTAAAGACAATGTTCATATAAACTGCGCTTAATTCATATTTAAAAAGTAATGTGTGATCATAACGATAATTTGACTTCTATTGTTGGATATTTAGATATTTTTCCAACTTTGTACTGTTGTAAAGGCTGAATTTATTCCTTTTGCATTGTTAGAATAAAATATTAAAGTTGGGATGAATAGATCAGTGAATTGTAACATCTTAATTTTTGGCTATAAATATATATTGTCGACATGACTTTCAAAAGTTTTTTGTTTGTTTTTTTTGTTTGTTTTTTGAGGCAGAGTCTCGCTCCGTCACCCAAGCTGGAGTGTAGTGGTGCGATCTTGGCTCACTGTACACTCTCCTTCCCGGGTTCACGCCATTCTCCTGCCTCAGCCTCCCGAGTAGCTGGAACTACAGGCACCCACCACCATTCCTGGCTAATTTTTTGTATTTTTAGTAGAGATGGGGTTTCACCATGTTAGGATGGTCTCGATCTCCTGACCTCGTGATCCGCCCGCCTCAGCCTCCCAAGTGCTGGGATTACAGGCGTGAGCCACCGCGCCTGGCAACTTTCAAAAGTTTTAATCAAATTTACAAAGCCACCATCCATGAGCGACCTTATTCATTTTCCTGCAAACTTAATTTTATGGTGCTTTTAAACTTAAAAGTTACTAATTAAATTGGAATTTCTGTTCCATTTTGACTGTGTGTGCTAGAGTGAGTCAGCGGTGTCTAGTGGGGGTGCCCGAGCTAGGGATTTTGTTTACATACAGAGTTTTCCAAATGTGTGAACTGTGTGATCTCCATGAGCTTCAGCTTTTCAGAACAATAAAATAGGGCTATTAATCTAATATTCAATATTGTAAATAACAAGTGAATATGTATACATTCACACATATGTGCTCACACACACACACACGTATACACATACACATATCCCAATCAGTACCTGGTATACATATGTATATATTAAGTGACAGGTAATATTTAATCAAATATATTTTGTTTATTATATAATGTTTGGCAGAAGGTTAATAATTGGAACATTTTGCTATAGCCAATGAATATAGTGAGAAGAAATGGAATTTAGGGTTTATGAAGTTGGTTTATGGAATATCTAATATTCCATAAAATGAGTGCCATATCTGTAGTATGTCTGAGAAAACAGCAGAAAAAATAAATTTAGTGACTGAAGCAGTGTTGTCTCATAGCTGGTTCCTTCTGTCCAGGAAACTGAGAAATGAATTGGTCAAAATAGACACATTTGAATTCATGTTTAAGGCCCAGAGTGCTATTCTGCCTGTCTTCCTTTCCTTTAATTCATTAAACAATTTTTTTTTTGAGACAGAGTTTTGTTCTTATTGCCCAGGCTGGAGTGCAATGGCGCCATCTCGGCTCATTGCAATCTCTGCCTCCCGGGTTCAAGCAATTCTCCTGTCTCAGCCTCCTGAGTAGCTGGGATTACAGTCTCCTGTCACTATGCCCGGCTAATTTTTGGTATTTTTAGTAGAAGCGGGGTTTCACCGTGTTGGCCAGGCTGGTCTCGAACTCCTGACCTCAGGTGATTCAACCGCCTTGGCCTCCCAAAATGCTGGGATTACAGGTGTGAGCCACCACTCCCGGGCCATTAAACAAATATTTATGGCAAGGCATGATTGTAGCTCCAGAGAAACAATGATGAAAATACCACGACAGTTTCCCCTCCTTTTTAGAAGCTTATATTCTACTTCCAAGTAGAATATGGTTAATTTCAGCTAAAGTGCTTTCTGTGAAAAATAAAACAACATGGTGAGAAACAGAGGTGAGAGAATGCCTTTATAATTCAGTGACCAGGGAGGACCCGTCTACAGGCTCTGAGGTGCAAGCAAACTTGGTATTCCCTCATCTCACTTGCAGGCATGATGTTACTGAGTAATCCTCTTGCTTCACCAAAATATGCAATTCAATGAAAGCTTTTATTGCTTGATATTATGTATTCTTATTTTTGATCAATTTTAAAAGGTTCTTTGGTACATATGTGATCATAAAAGGAGGCCTTAGATAGTTTACTTTCGGTGAAGTGATAATGCATGACAATTGGAAATATGACTAAATGGAGAAATTACATGCAATCTTTTAAAGAACACAGCTGTTGTAGAAAATGAGATATCTGTATTTGCTTTAGAGCCAACACTGCTGTAATGTTTTTTGTAAAGCACATAACTGTAATGCAGCAAAATGCTTGTGTGGAAATTGGGATGTTGAATAGTCTTCCTGGAGCATCTTCAGGGTTTGTCAGATTGCTTTCTCTCTCTGGCAAAATAAAACATCTCGTGGCAGAAACAGTGCAAACCTTTAGGCGTTCTAATGGGCCAATGGACTGTGAGCTCCTTGATGGAAATCACACCATGACGTCTCAGTATTTCCAAACAATACAAGAAAATCCATCGATGACAATTCTGGTGTCTTATTTGATGATTAAAATGCTTTAAAAATTTCTCATACATTAGTAAGTGTATCTAGCAATAACGAGTTAGTGTTGTGACAGATAGTGAATATTAATGTCCATGCTTTTTTGAGTCTAATTTTTAGCTATAAATTGATATGATGTTTTTCTTTATTAGCTATGTTTAAATTACTTCCCTTTGTTGTCAATAACATATATGGGTAGCAAAAGAAATAAAGTATATATGATTTATTTTTCATCTACTAGACAGCAGATTTTACTCACTTTAGTGGAAATGGATAAAATTTCCACGTAACATTTTCCTGCACACTTGTCACATTAACAGGGGCTCAGAAATTATTATTATTACTATTATTATTATTATTATTTTATTTTTTTCTGAGACGGAGTTTCACTCTGTCGCCCAGGCTGGAGTGCAATGGCACGATCTTCACTCACTGCAACCTCTGCCTCCCAGGTTCAAGCAATTCTCCTGCCTCAGCCTCCCAAGTAGCTGGGATTATAGGCATGCACCATTATACCTGGCTAATTTTGTATTTTTAGGAGAGATGGGGTTTCACCATGTTGACCAGGCTGGTCTCGAACTCCTGATCTCCGGTGATTCACCTGCCTCAGCTTCCCAAGTGCTGGGATTACAGGTGTAAGCCACTGCACCTGGCCAGAAATTTTTTAACGACAAAAAGTTTACGTGAATTATTCCTGCCCAATTGATGGATTTTGTGTTTGTTATTCAGTCACATTGTTGTATTGTCTCGAGAGGTTTCAAATGTTCTAGTGAGAGGTGCATCTTACCTCCTGTCATCTCTGGTGCTGATGCAGCACTGACCTTTTACCATCTGCATCTTCTTCTGGAACATTCACAGCAAAGATAGATGCTAAAATTAGGACTCAGCGTTTTCTGATGAGTATTCTCCAAGGATGTGTGTGTGTATAGCTAAGTAGTAATACTTGCAGATAATTTTTAAAATATAGATTGTGTTAAATAAAGAAAGAATATTTATGTCAATCTTGCCATCCACATGTAGCCACTGTTAGTATTCTGCTGTTTCTTTCCAATTGCTTTTCTACGTGAATGTGTTTGGTTGTGTGGACATACATATGCCTGTTGCTTAGCACATAGAAGTTGCTGTATAAATATGTGAATAAATGAATGTCTTAATATATGGAATAACTTGTATAATATATATGTATGTATGTTTTTTTATTTTTAAATGAGAAATAATTGTATATATTTATGGGGTAAAATGTAATTTTTGAAATATGCTTGTGGAATGATTATATCAAGTGAATTAACATATCCGTCACCTCACATACTTATGTTTTTTGTCATGAGAATATTTAAAATCTATTCTTTTTAGCAGTTTTGAGGTATATAACATTATTCACTATAGTCAGCATGCTGTGGAACATATCTCTAAAGCTTATGCCTGCTGTCTAACTGGAACGTTGTATCCTTTGGGCAACATCTCCCCATTCCCGATTCCTTTGTCATCCAGCCTCTGGTAACCACCTTTCTAAGCACTGCTTCAATGAGTTTGACTTTTTTTTATTGCATGTCTATAAGATCATGCAGTATTTATTTTTCTGTGCCTAACTTATTTCACTGTGCCTAACTTATTTCACTTAGCATAAGTAAGGACACAAAACAGCAGATATGATCTAAATAGACACCGTTTTGTGTCTTTACTTAGTTTTTTTACTTAACCCAGATAATTCTCAAAATATATTAAATACATAAAGCATAAAAATATAGTTTTCGATAACCTCAGAATCATATATGTATGTATATACAATAGTTTCTTTAACCTCCTTCCCATATTAATACTACTTTGCATTTTGCTGTTATTTTGTGATGTACATTTTTACCATCAACTTTTATCAGTGCTTAACTACTCTCTTAGTATGTAATCCTAGAGAAGAAGTACTGGGGAGTAGAATGTAAACCTGAGATAACTATTAATCCTTTTTGCCAGCTTTTGTTATTCAAAAATGATAATTTTGTTGAATTACAAAGATTAGCTATTCATCTAGAAAATTTGGAAAGCAGAAAAAGAAAGCACAAAGAAAATTGGGAAGGAATTATTTATAATTCTGGCACTTAAGATGATTTCATTTGAATGTTTTTGATTTATGTAAGTTTAGTCTTATTTAATCTATTACACATTTACCAAAAATGATCATTTAATCTATTACACATTTACCAAAAATGATCAATTTGTTTCCTTAACTGCTTCTTTTTCCTACTTAGTAGTATATCATTACATAGTCCTTCTCTGCCTTTAGACAGTTGTCTACAAAGCAATTTACTGGCTGGTTTTGAAAGGGCATGTCCATGTAACGCGTTTAATTACCTCCTCCTTTGTGGACCTTTACTTTGTTTCCAGTGTTTAATTTGATGTGGGATTCTAGGAAAAAAACTCTTGTGTTTTGCCCCTTGGGCGTGTCTACTGCGATTGCATTAAGACAAATTCCTAGGAGAATTGCTGGTTCGACTTTTAGGAACGATTTTTTTTTCCCCAAGATGAGATTTCGCTCTTGTGGCCCAGGCTGGAGTGCAGTAGTGCGATCTCGGCTCACTGCAACCTCCACCTCCTGGGTTCAAGCAATTCTCCTGCTTCAGCTTTCCAAGTAGCTGGGATTACAGGCACCCGCCACGATGCCCAGCTAATTTTTGTATTTTTAGTAGAGACGGGGTTTCACCATATTGGCCAGGCGGGTCTCAAACTCTTGACCTCAGGTGATCCACCTGCCTTGGCCTCCCGAAGTGCTGGGATTACAGGCGTGAGTCACCACGCCAGGCCAGGAACGATTTTTAAGCTTTGACAAATACTGCCACATTAGCTTTCCACAGGTTGTGCCAATTGACATTCACAGCAAAAAGAAGTATGAAAGTGGAAGGAGATTATAAAAAACTTTAGACTATTAACTGTAAAATTAGCTAAATCACTTTCCAGAAAGCCTGTGCCTGTTCACCCTCTTAGAGAGGAGCAAGATGGTACCTAACTTGAGAGTTCACTAGGCATTTTCTAGAGGGTGAGACATATTCATTAGCCTGGTCCGAAACAGGAAGAGCTGAATATGGAGTGGTTAGGTGATTTTACTAAATGTTCATATGAATTGAGAGAGAAGACTCTTCTTAGTTGCTGGGTCTTTCAACTACCAATTTAACTAATTAGCCTGCTTCTTGAGTTTATTGTCAAGTAAGTTTTATTATTTTCCTGTCACTAATCATTTTGAGAAAAGTCATTGTGTTTTCTCTTCCAGTCCCTTCAGCGGCTGCACAGGGAGCATGGTCTTGGGAGTGGTACTTGAAAGAACAGAAGGCTGTCGCAGCACCTGTTGAGCTGTTTTCCAAGGTCAGCCACTGAAGGACTTATATTTTTGCAAGGAAGCAACACTTAAGAGGTTTAGTTTAAATGAAATGACTTTCCTAGATAGCCCATCAACTTATTTGAATTATTTGTAGGCTCTGCTGGAAAATGACCCCACAAACCTAATCAGAGCTTTAGTGTTTCAGAGTGGGCTGGAGCCCGGCGCCGCCACCTGCCAGCTCTGTGACCTTGGGCAAGTCATTCAGTTCAGTTTCCTCATCCATGAGGTAGGAAAGGTTCCCTACCTTTCTCCTTGGGTGGTTGGAGGACTAAATCAGTTGTACCCGTAAAGGATATAGGATGCAATGTGCATACTATAAATGCTCAAGAAAGTGTTAGGTTTTACTTCTATTAGCCAGTATTACCTGCAGTTAGAGGGATCTGTTTGGATGTGTTTCTAAGAGTGGTGAGTCAAGCAAGATGTTAGAGAAGACATTGAAACCCCTGAATCCTGGCATACATGACTAGAAAGGTGAACAGAGCAGCTGGTGTAGACTTCCTTGACCATCTGGGCCTTACAGGGGATCATCTTTACCCAAGACACCAAATCTTCTGATAGTCTTTTTGTTCTTCTTGGTCTGAGTTTTAGATGTTTTGGGGAAATTTATGTGCATCAGATTTACCTCGTTACTTTACTTTTTTTTTTCTTTTTTTTTTTTTTTGTGAGACGGAGTCTGGCTCTATCGCCAGGCTGGAGTGTAGTGGCATGATCTTGGCTCGTGGCAACCTCCAACTCCCTGGTTCAAGCGATTCTCCTGCCTCAGCATCTGAGAAGCTGGGATTACAGATGCGTGCCACCATGCCCAGCTAATTTTTGTATTAGTAGAGACAGGGTTTTGCTGTGTTGGCCAGGGTGGTCTCCATCTCCTGACCTCATGATCCGCCTGCCTCGGCCTCCCAAAGTGCCGGGGATTACAGGCGTAAGCCGCCGTGCCCAGCCCATTTCTTTACAGCAGGAAACTACAACTTTTTATTTGGTTTACTTTTCATGACATCTGTTGAGTTACATCTAGTAACTCATGTTAGCATGTGAAAGGGCCAGCATTTGTAATCCTGGATATGGCAGTGGGACAGGGAAGAAGAGGTATAGCGAAGAAGAAAAGAAAGGGAAACCAAATGCAGACCCCTCGTGTTCAAGAAATGATGCATGTCCTTTTGTTGTCTAGGTGGTATGCTTCACTAACAAACAGTATGAAGGTCATACCATGGAAAATGAGACCATCTAGAGCAGCATTCTTAACCCAGCCTTTGCACCATCTACTTTTGTGAGCTTTGGAGAGCACAGCGTGGGTCTTCCTGAGACCTACTAAATCAGACCCTCAGGGGCTGGGCCTGGAAATGTGTAGCTTGAGAACCTCCTGCATTCTTTGTGCAGGTTTGAGGCTGACTACCATAGAAGGTTTAAGAACTGTACAGTTTCTGTCTAGGAGTCAGGTCCATGTTTCCCCACATTGCTTTCACCTGATAAGACTTAGGGGGTTTCTTCCATCAAAAGGTGCAAGCTCAGTAAGGTAAGGGATTTTCCTACATGTATCCCGGCAGTGCCTGCTGTGTTGAGTGTGCTCAGATGATCAGTCGCTGTTGAGTGACTTCTAGGGAAACTCTTCTCGCTTCTGAGTGTAAAGATCTTTGAAGGTGGTTGGCTGGGACCAGGGCAGTTCAGTGTAGCTCACAGTCACCTTGCCCTTTCCCCGCTGCGCCTTCCTGCCCTTGCCACAGAGCCACTGCAGGTTGGGAGGGGAGAACAGAGTGGGCCAAAACAGGAGCTGCCTGAGAACTATCAGGCACTGTGACACCCAAGGGCAGAGGTAGCGGGGTCAAGGTCCAGGATTTGAGGTTGAGCCAAAGAACATAGGTGAGGTTTGCGCCCCGATGGCTGCTGTGGCTTAGGAGTCACACCTGTGCCGTGTCCTCAGATCAGGGTCCCAGGGCAAGGGTCCTCTCTTACACCCCACCCCCCCACTCTGCCGCCAGAATTAAATCAGATGTTTGGGTGTTAAGGGTGAAGTGTGGACTAATTTTCAGAGCAAGGAAAGTTTTGGCTGATGGCAGCCAAGTGCTAGATTCCCTGTCCAGCTCCTGTGTTGCCCCACATCTCAGCCCGTCAGGGTATTAACATTATTCTAGAGCTTCTTCTCTGAGATCCTTTAAGCCCCATCAGCCAGAGCAAGAACACCTGCAGGATTGAGAATTTCTCCTTCAGATTTTCCCTTATGACCTGGTGTTAACTAAAAAAAGACCAAAAGAACACACGTGGGATTTCTGTTCCTGAAATAAATCCTCATGATGGTGTTGGGAATGGTGTGATCATAGGCTCTGGGTCATGTAGCTTTCCCCCTTGACTTTATAGAGGGATGACAAAAGAGGTGCTGGAAGGCAGTAAGTGGGAGGGGCACAACGTTGTGGGACATACAGACAGGAGTGGGCCCCCTTGGCAGGGTGGAGAGAGTTGGAGAGACTCTTTGAAGGAGGCGGGTGGTGAGCAGGTGATGCACCCTTTGATGATTCTTTGGCTAAGGACTTTCTCAAGCTTTTGAACTCTAATATTTGTCATCTCTGAAAGTAACAGCAAAGTGTTAGTGTGTGAGAAAACAGACATGTTTGACATGTTGGACTGCCTTTCTCTCCAGTCATAATCTAACACTCAAGCTGCCCACGTGTTTAAGACTCTGTGTGTGCAAAGTGCCATGTAAGACTGGCCAAAACACTAAAGAACGTATGACATGGTGTCTTAGGATCTTGTGGGCTAGTTGGGATATGATATGCCCATAATAACACAGCAACAATCTGAGGTAGAATGTTAATTGCCCACAAGTAATGAATTTATGAGGAATTCCATGTGTGAGATGAGACCTCATTCGACCCTGAATGCAGAGAGAATTAAGCTCACCAATTATTCCGTCTGATTTGCCCTAATAACTAAAGAAGATGCTTGTGTTCAAGATCACAGTGTTACTCTAACTTGAATTTGTATTTTCAGATGAAATAAGCATTGTCTATAGTTAAAAATAGGTTTTAATATAATCAAAAAGGCAGATGGTTCATGTCAGCTTTCCAAGAAGGAGCATCAGACTAAACTCAATTTTATATTGACATTGTGTTTTTGACTATTAATGTTCATTTTCATTGTGTAAATATTAGTATAATGTTGTTCAGGTCAGCCAGCTGAGATGGAACGCTTCAGCTTTTGACACCGAAATGTTGAAAATAAAACTTAATTCTATGCTTAGAAAACCCTAAAGATTCTGCCAAAAGGCTCCTGGGACTGATAAATGAATTCAGTAAAGTTTCAGGATACAAAATCAGTGTACAAAAGTCAGTAGCATTTCTATACACCAATAATGTTCAAGCTGAGAGAAAATCAAGAACACAATCCCAATTACAATAGGCACACACAGAGAAAAATATCTAGGAATACATTTAACCAAGAAGGTGAAAGATCTTTTCAAGGAGAACTACAAAACACGGCTAAAAGAAATCAAAGATGACATATAAACAACTGGAAAAACATTCCATGCTCATGGGTGGGAAGAATCAATATCATTAAGGTGGCCATACTCCCCAAAGCAATCTATAGATTAAACATTATTCCTATCAAACTACCAATGTCATTTTTCACAGAACCAAAAAAACTTACTCTAAAATTCACAAGGAACTAAAAAAGAGCCCAAATAGTGAAAGCAATCCTAAGCAAAAATAACAAAGCATCGTATTACCTGACTTCAGACTATACTGCAAGGCTACAGAAACCAAACAGCATGGTACTGGTACAAAAACACATACATAGAACAATGGAACAGAATAAAGAGCCCAGAAATAAAGCTGCACATGTACAGCCATCTTATCTTTGACAAAGCTGACAGAAAAAAAGCAATGGGGAAAGGACTCCCTATTCAATAAATGGTGCTGGGATAGCTGGCTAGCCATATAC